>NC_000012.12:63710128-64960128 GCF_000001405.40 Homo sapiens | reverse complement strand
GTGACTAATGAAGGTTTTTTCTTCTATTTTTATTTTTGTCTATTTTTTGAGATGGAGCCTCACTCTGTCATCCGGGTTGGAGTGCAGTGGCACAATCTTGACACACTGCAACCTCTGTCTCCCAGGTTCAAGCAATTCTCCTGCCTCAGCCTCCCAAGTTGCTGGGAATACAGACGCACACCACCACGCCTGGCTAATTTTTGTATTTTTTTAGTAGAGATGGGATTTCGCCATGTTGGCCAGGCTGGTCTTGAACTGCTGACCTCAGGTGATCTGCCCACCTCAGCCTCCCAAAGTGCTGCAATTACAGGCGTGAGCCACTGTGCCCGGCCTCTTCTGTTTATTAAAAAAGATTTGTTGAGTCTATGATGTGTTAGGCTTTATGGAAGATACTCAGAATCCAAAAATGTAGTAATTTGACCAAGTGGATTTACAGAAACAAAATGAAACATAAATGGAAACTTGGAGGCATCCAAGTTTCTAAAACTAATTAAGTGGCCTATACCTCCTGGCAAGTAGAATCTCTCAAATTGTGGGATACTCAGAGACTCATCTGCAGTCCCAAAGTCAAAGTTTGGTGGAAAGCATGGTGGTCTGTTTAAATAACACACTCCTCCCAGGGCCTAACAACACTGGTTGCCTCTGGGGAGGGAAAATGGGAGCAGAGGGATAAATAAATGTGGGGGTTTTTTCATCCATTCAAACAACATTGAGCAACTACTATGTGTCTGTAGCTCTTTGAGGTCTTAATAACTGTGTGGTCTTGGGCACTTTTAAACTTTTTGGACCATAGTTTATAATTAATCCATCAAGGATAATGGGTGTTTAGTAATTATTAATTTATTTCCTTAATACTTGTAAATTTTAAATTGTAAATTGCTCCAAGTATAAAATTCAGGCCTTATTTATCTATAAAGGGAATAAAGGAAAATTCAATTAGACTCCTCAGATAATCTGTGGATACTTGAGTACTTCTGAAAAAGATATTTCTTCTGAGATGGAAACCAGGTCCCTGACCCTGCAATTTGGTCTTTCGTCAGGGTCCTGCTCAAGGGCCATACATCAAGTCCACTCCAAAAGCAAAGGCTCCTGACATTTGTGGCACTGAGGGCTCCATGCAGCTCAGGTTTTACACATTCACATACAGAGACTATCTCCTGCCAGGTTCCCTGCCTATCAAGCTTAGGCGATGAGCTGAAGGAGAGGGCCTCACGATACGTGGCAGCAGGCTTGTATTTTCCTAAATGCCAAGTCCCCACCAAAGCCTGAATGCAGTCTCCAGAGTTTGGCCAGTCCCTGATTCCTCCTTTGCACCACAGTCAAAAAGGGTACCCAGGTCCTTATGAGACTCAGAGGACCAGAGCCAATTGCAGCCAACATTACAGCTGGTGGACAGCACCCTACACCTCCTGGCAAGTAGAATCCCCCAAATTGTGGGATACTCAGAGACTCACCTGCAGTACCAAAGTCAAAGTTTGGTGGAGAGCATGGTGGTCTGTTGAAATAGTACACTCCTCCCAGGGCCTAATAACACCAGTTGCCTCTGGGGAGGGAAAATGGGAGCAGAGGGATAAATGTGGGGTTTTTTCTTCCATTCAAACAACATTGGGTATCTACTATGTGCCTGTAGCTCTTTGAGGTTCTAGAGACACTGAATGAACAAAAAAAAATGCAAAAACCTTTGCCCTCGTGGAGCTTATTTTCTATCGGGGACCAAGACGATAAATAACATACATTTTTAAATGTCAATGTTAATTATAAATGCTAAGTGATAAATGTCCATCATACAGCATTGCATTTACCTATTTACTGATCTGTCTCTTTCACTACAATGGGAACAACTGGAGGGCAAGAATCAAACCTGTTCTTGACTCCAGGCCTTTGCACTTACTGTTCCCTTAGCCAGCACACTTGTCCCCAAGTGCAGCAATTACACAAAGCAGGGGGGAAATTTGTTAACTGGCAGAATAAATGAAGGCTATGCCTAAGCATGTGTTCCAATAAATGTTTTCAGGAGCACTTGCATATATGTGCATACATGTGCACAAACAAGTGAAACGATGAGCTATGTGGGGATAGACACAGAATAGCCCCCACAGTGGTCCCTCAAGAAAGATGAGATGCATCATGAAGGGGCTGTTCTGTGGGTGTGGGGGTGCAGGAACAGAGTGCAGACAGGCTTCTGCCCTGGCCCTCAATGTGGAAGGGTGAGAACAAGAGATGAGCACACAGCTTTAGTCTGAAAGTCTCTCTTGCTTCCTTTGTTTCCAGTGCCATGACTTAAGGAGTGAAGAGAGGGCATAGAGAACAAGCAGAGTATGCAGGGCATATGCTGAGATAAGAAACTGGATCTGAAACAAGTTGAATACTTGCAGGTAGGAAGAAATGGATCGCACCAAACCAAGGTTGCTCTGGGTCTCCACATTCCCTCTGGTTCAAACCTCATTGTTAAGTCGGATTCCCATTCATCCTCCTCTTCCCTGTCCTGTTCCTGTTCTGAACATAGGCTTGAGGGTGACTTATGTTCCTCTCCCAGCTAAGCTCTCAGAGGACAGGAGTTGGGCTGGGAACTCACTCTGGACAGCAGAGCTCTCCAAAGATTTTATAGGAAGAACTACTTTTTATTTTCTCAGTCATTAAAAAAAAACTCCAGTCATTTGTACATATTTTCAAAAAACATAGAAAATAATATTTTTTAAAAGTCATTCATAATGCTGGGTGTGGTGGCTCATGCCTGTAATCCCAGCCTCGGGAGGCCAAGGCAGGTGGATCATGAGGTCAGGAGATCGAGACCATCCTGGCCGACATGGTGAAACCCCCTCTCTACTAAAAATAGAAAAATTAGCCAGGCATGGTGGCACATGACTGTAATCCCAGCTACTAGGGAGGCTGAGGCAAGAGAATTGCTTCAACCAGGGAATCAGAGGTTGCAGTGAGCCAAGATCACGCCACTGCACTCCTGCCTGGCAACAAAGGGAGACTCTGTCGCAAAAAAAGAAAAAAGAAAAAAGAAAAAAAAATCACTCATAATCTACCACCCAGGAATACCACTGTTAATATTTTAGTGTACTTCCTTCAAGTCTTTGTTTTTACACAATTAAATTCATTTTGAATATATAATCTGCAATTCTGCTGTTTTTATGTAATATGCTGTTATAAGCTTTTTCTCATACTATTTTCAATTCTTCCAAATTTCCATTGTTGTTGCTGCAGAATAATCTACCATTTATCTATTCATTCTATTGTTGGACAATAACTTTCCTAAAAGTTTTGTGTGGTCTTGGATTCTGTGCCAACTGAGACAAGGGCCTGGGTGGAATGGAAGGTGCCAAGCCTGACAATACCTGCATACCAACAGGGAGTCTGGCAACCATGACAAGTAGTGTGAGGGTGGGGGCCGAGGAAATGTAGACGCCATCTTGGAGTCCTACCACGCAGAGCTTCAAGATCTGCTGGTGGATGTCGATGCATTGTTGGAAGACTCCGGTCAGATCTAGCACTGAACTAGGTATAGCAATAGTATAAGAAATGCTGTATGATGACAAAGCTGAGAAAGTGGGAGAGAAAGCAGTAAAGCAGCCACACTCTGAGGTACTCCAATTAAGGCTGTAGGAATTTACTTTTCTATTAGTTTCATGTACTGCTTCAACTTTAACTTTGGAGGCATTCCTGTATTTATGAGAACCAATTAAATAGTACTGACTTGGGAGCACTTAAGCACCACAATGGGAGAGCCACAGTGCAGTTATTTTCACGGTGGAACGGTGGGCTAAGGTGACCTAAGGGTCTTCTCCCTGAGTCCTCATAGGTTGCTAGTTAATAGTAGTGACATCTCATGCACCATTTACATTGTTTTCATTGTGTTAGTTTTTTGTTGTTTTTTATTGTATTAAAAACTTGAATTAGTTAAACCTGCAGCTGTTTTTGTGTAACTTGTGAGTCAAGAGTAGTTTTTACAAAAAGAAGAATATGAGACAGAGACTGTATGTGTCCTACAAAGCCCAAAATATCTACTATCTGGCTATTTACAGAAAAGTTTCCTGACCCTCAGCTTAAGAAATAAATAAACCTCAAATTTCAGTAGCTTTGCAAAATAAAGTTTTTTTCTTGTTATTCAGTTCAATGCAGATGTTCCCAGCCCAGAAGTGATACATATTATCTCACTTCTGTGGCAAGAAGCAGTCACATGCTCACATTTGCAGCAAAAAGGCTGGAAAATGTAGCCTTTTGTCTGGACAATGACCCTCAAGGACACTTTCCCTTCTTTATTGTATGTCAGAGCTCAGACCTCCCCTATAGAGGGGGAAGAATGTATTTTGGGTGGACAGATAGGTCTCTCTGCCAAGGTTCAATTACATGTATGTATATACACTTAATTTTTAAAGTAAGTATGTGTTGTTAATTTCAATGTAAATTCCTTGTGTTTTTTTAACCTACAAGAAGTTTGCCTGCAAGGAGTTTTTTAGAAACAAACTACTGAAAGGCTGGGGAGGGGGCTGTAACTTATTGCAATTAAGGAGAAGTCAGACAAACATTAACGTGTGAAAACGCTGAACAAAATCACAGGAGCAGAAGATGGCTCAGTCTCTGTGGTCTTTCACTCTGTTCCAAATAAAGGCACACCTAATATAGTTCTCCCACATGAGAGTCTCCTGCCCTTTCTAAACTGTGGGAGAAGAAAATGAAGAAAACCCTCAAAAAAGTTTTGATGTAACCCTAATATCACTCCAACTCTGCACAATTCTTCTCTTACACAAACCACAATTATTGAAAGCATTTGACTAACGCTTGGGTACAACCATGGTGCCCTGCTTGCTCAGTGACTTCTAGACTAAACAAGGTCCACTGTTCCAGAAGCAGACAGTAGTTGGAAAAACCTTTTACTCCCCAACAGCTGTAGATCATAATACCTTCATACCTGTGTGCAAACCTTCTTTCCCTACATGCAGTTATGATTTAAACAGCCCTTTCATTTTAGAAGGAGATCACAATAGGAGAGCCCCTCTCTGCCAGAGATGAACTAAGGCAGTGCATATGAGGGCTTGAAAATCTATTTAGTGTGCTCTAAATGTAAGGAATCAGTATTTGGATTTTTTAAGTGCAGGAGGTGTGTGTTAGAAACTTTCAGGATGAAAAAATCAGATGCATTTACACATGCCCTTAGCTGACTGCATTTTATGGCAAAGATACAAGGGGAATAAAGAAAGCCAGGAAATTATTCCTACCCTGAATACCATGTAGTGACAAATCAGTTCTTCTCTTGAGGGATTTGAATTCAAATCACTCAGAGAGGCAACAGTCTAAACTGGTAATGAGAGAGAGAAAAAAGGAAAGAAGGTCACAAGAAAAATGGAATGAGTAGAGTAGGGCCCATATGTCAGAGAAGCTTAAGCCTGAAGGATCTGTGTTCTAGAACCATTACTGGGTCTGCTTTCAGTGCTGCTATTATGTCTTGAGAAGGTTGAACAACATTCTACAGAGATTTTAAAAATTGCATGAATAATTGTGTCTTACAAATGCAAGGTTTTTTCTTCTATCATGATATATTAATTTCAACCTTGCTGTGACATCCTCCTATATCTTGTTCTATTTTTTGCTGCTATAACAGAATACCACAGAAACTAAGTAATTTAAAAAGAAAAGAGACATGTTCTGGAGGTTGGGAAGCCCAAGATTAAGAGTCTGCATCTTGTGAGGGCCTTCTTACTGTGTCATAACATGGGGGAAAGCATCAAAAGGTGAGCATACAAGACCGAGAGAAAAATGAGAGCTGAAATTAATCTTGTATCAGGAACCCATTTTCACAATAACAGTATTAATCCATTTATGAAAGCAGAGCCCTCATGACCCAGCCACTCTCAAAGATCCCATCTCTCAATACCATCCTAATGGTAATTCAATTTCAATATGTGTTTGAGAATATTCAAACCACAGCACTGTGCTATTTTATTACATTTGTTTTGATATTTATTTTTATTAAGCTAGAATTTTAATATGGCTAAATCTAAAAAAGAATGATTTTTACTAATTTTTGAATTTTATAATTGTGAAATCAATACTTTCTCATGGGAAAAAAATTAAAACTCTAGAAAAAATTATAAGGAGGAAAATAAAATTCTACTGACCACCCACCACCCTATCATCCTTCATTTTTGTTCTCCAGGAGCAATCACTGCTATGAGTTTCTTGAGAAGCTTCTCAGAACTGTCATCTGTGTACTGCTCTTCATTTTAATCTAATTTCTCCTAGATACTGAGACAGTGGTTTGGTTGACCCAAGGAGGTCCTGGTGACCCCTTGCCTTTACCTGGCACAATCTGAAGGCATCCAGTTCTCCCAGAACAGCATTCTCCACTTTGCTGACCTTCAGTAAAATTGCAACATGAACCAGTTGTCTTGGACACTCTTCTTCATTCTTCTTCATGCCCTAACATCCCATCACTCCTCAGGACACCTTTTGCCACACCCAGACTTTTCCTGTAATAATCCATGTTCAAAAAACTGTTCTGTACTCTATACTCCATCAAATCTTTCAATGAGATTAATACTAGAGTGTGAATAAATGGGCTTTCTTTATAAGCAGATTACCTTTTCTAAAGGATATTTTTATTTTATTTTAAAAAATCAAAGAAGAATACTATAATAGTGGAAATTACAGTTGGTAGTCAACAAATATTTGTTGAGTGGCTTCTCTGTGCCAAGCATGAAGTTATAGGGCAAAAAACGTTTAGATTGGAGGAAACCAATATCTACTACGAGTAGATTCTTGAGCCTGTTCCAGAAAGGCACAGCATGACTGAAATGGTTGCTGAAGAATAGAGGACAGGGGAAACGATCCAAAATAATAGTAACAGGTACTCCATGAGTTGAAACTTGTGACTTGTCTTTGTTTTTAGTTTCTATCTTGTGGAAAATTTTGCTGTTTTCACTCTGTCACAGAACAGATGGAACCATGATTTATGATTCACAGTTTATGAAGCTGATGTAATATTCTACCACACTTTGTGACCCATCATGTTTCCCACATTTGCAATATTTTTCTTCTGGGACACTTGTCACAAAGGGATCACTGAGATGTTGGGATGAGAGTGGTTCAGCCATTATAAAATAGGGAAACTAGTGATATCACAAGGGTCATTCATGTATCCAACAAATATTTATTTGGCCCCTTAATGTGCCAGGTACTGCTCTAGGGACTAAGGATCCAATGGACAAGTCAGATAGGTCTTTACTCTGTGAAGCAGAAAAATAATAAACAAGTAAATAAGCAAACAAATGACAAGATCATTGTATAGAAGTTCTTTGGAGAAAATAAAAATGAGGTAATGTTATAAAGAGTGACTGAAGGCAGACAACATTGAATAGGTTGGTTGGCCAGGCATGGTGGCTCACGCCTGTAATCCCAGCACTTTGGCAGTCCAAGGTGGACAGATCACTTGAGGTCAGGAGTTCAAGACCAGCCTTGGCAACATGGTGAAACCCTGTCTCTACTAAAAAAAAAAAATACAAAAATTAGCTGGGCATGGTGGTGGGCACCTGTAATCCCAGCTACTCAGGAGGCTGAGGCAGGAGAATCGCCTGAACCCAGGAGGCAGACGTTGCAGTGATCTAAGATCATGCCACTGCACTCCAGCCTAGGTGACAGAGTGAGACTCCATCTGAAATAAATAAATAGGGTGGTCAAGGAATGCCTCCCTCAGAGGTGTCATCACAGCTGATGCTTAAATGATGAGAAGAAACTGGTTCTTCAAAAGTCGTAAGGAAGTGTGTTCCAGATAGAGGGAACAGAAAGTACAAAGCCAGGAAGAAGTTTGGGATGCACAAATGCAGACTCAAGGCAAGTGGGTTGTATTCACCAACCCATCTTTGTATCCCCCCCACCCCTGCTTTCATCCAGCTGTTGATGCTGATACCACTGGGGTCATGAGCCAGGATGTTGGCTTTATGCTGTTTAGTGCATCAAATTAAATACTTCCTGGCTCCAATTCAGAAGCTTTAGTGTGGCTCTGGTGGTATTCTGTTTCCTATTTCACACTACAGTTCACAAGAAGTCGACTAGCAGAGCAATCCCAAGGGAATACCAGCCTTGAAACATGGGAAACAACCCAAACATGAATGGCAAAAGATCAGTAAGAGGTGGTGGTGATTTTCCTCCAATTAAATTTGTTTGTAAGGAAAAAATCTATTGTTTTCTAGGTAAATCTGATGATATAGTCACAGCAAAAGTATAGTATATTCATGGCAACACATTTTATGAACTATTATTCCAGTATCTATGTGAAGCAATAAATTATTTGAATTACACTGTACACTCTTCACTAGTACTCTAAGTCCATCATTTCTTATCTACAATTCTGGAAAAAAAAATTTATTTTGAGACAAGATCTCACTATGTTGCCCAGGTTGGTCTTGAACTCCTAGGGCTCAAGTGATCCTCCCATCTCAGCCTTCCAAGTTGTTAGGACTACAAGCTACAATTCTGAAATGTTTTTAAAAATTTGAAAACTAAGTATTTTTCACATTGCATAATGTGCAAAAGCAAACTTATGCTCATGAATTTCAGGGTATTTTCATAATTTTAATCTTAACACAACCACCCTCAGTGGGCCTGCCAATATTTTAATGAGTAAATGGTCAAGAGATAAAAAAAAAATGGCTAACTAGGCAGTACAAGATAGTGAGCTAGGCTTAGCTTCTCTTACTGATGTATATTATATCCATTGTAATTGTCCACCAAATTCTAACTTGCACAAGAAAAGAACACGGTAAATGTACAGTGTATTCATGACAACACACTGTGAACTTTTATCCCAGTGTCTATGTGAAGCAATAAATTATTTGGGCCATAGGTATGTCCTAGTAGCTATTGTATCCCCAGCACATAGCAGTAACTGGCACATAGTAGACATTCAGCAAATATTTATTGAATAGTTGGTCCATTGTTAATACTTGGCCACAATGATGCCCACTGCACTTGCTGTCTTAAATGACAACTACACATCAAATCCTGATGCAGTTTCTTCTGAGTTTTCTGCTGATTCAAGGTCAGGATATCCTTCAAACAGATGTTTGCCATTCCTGAGGCTCGCATGACATTCTGATGGCAAAAAGAAGCTGGTTTCCTGCCAAAGCCCAATTTATACTTTCTGGAGAGTCTGCTAGCTCTATTTTTCTAAATAAACACTCAATTGAACAGTCCCGTGACTCTCTGATCCAAATAAATACTTTGAATCATTAACAGTCTCCACCAGCAACGCTAATGAATTTGAATTCATTTTTAGTCTCTTTCTACTCAGATCTTATCCCCTTCTTTTTTTGCCCTCCACAGCTTCCACAAAGACTCTTATGAGCATCCTTTTGATCCTCATGTTTGTTCTTCTATTGACTGAGCCAAGAGCATCAGCAGGAACTACAGCCTTCCCAGATGCTGTGGCTATAGCTCCTTCCCTTTCTATCTCATTCTGCGGCAGGTCCAGGAAAGTAAAGCTCTGCTAGCACAGTTTCCCATAGATGAACCACAACAGTCACTTACTCCTTTGAGCTGAGAGGAGATGAGAGCTCTGTCTGCTATAGTTAACCTGCCTTGACAAAGAACTTAAGCTTAGCTCTGAAAGCCAGGGACCAAGGAGCCATGCAGAATACAGAGGATAAAAAGGGGTACATTTGATATGTTGTATGATCTATAAAATAGCACATCTGGGTGTTTATTTAACTGACAACCAACAGATAAATTTTTAAGACAATTAAGGGCATTAGAAAACATGATTCCCACTATATAGATTCTTAAGTGAGTGGGGTTGAGAAATATTTTCAGGTTTAACAGTAAATATGTGCTGGGTTCTTTGAATCTTATTTTTTTTAAAGTGCAGAAAACTTAGAAAGTACAACAAAGCATTTTAAAAAGAAACAATTTCTGCCTCTCAAGCTACAGATAATGTCTTTTTTCTTTTTCAAAAAATACAATTTTTAGGCTAGCCTGAAAAAAAAAAATCTGTATGGACCCCAAAGGTCTCCTTGTGAATGAAAATGCTGCTAACGGGAGTTTTGTGTTATGTGTGGGCACTCAGAGTTTTCAAGAAGACCATGAAGGAAAGTTTTCAACTGCTGAGGGCTCCAGACTCCCTGAGAGAGGGGAAAAGGAAACCTTTGGGGTTGATGATCAGAGCTTCACGCCTCAAACACTTGAACAATCTTGCCTCATTTCCTGAACCTGAACTTATTCATAAGTTGGGGTGCTTCTCTAGAACTCTAGCAAGCTAGTTATGAAACTGAATTATCATAGGAATATTTCCACTGGAAGGTTGGTGGAAAGCCCTGTCACTTAAGGAGGCAAAAAATGTCCTTCCATTTTGATCTGTAAAGAACCCTTAGCCAAGCTTGGAAGGATCATGGTGCTTTCTGGAGCCATGGCAGCATAGATGGGGTTCGAAGGTTTGTATACCTCCAGTGTTTGTGCTATATAGGCAGGCATGAGACTAGGAAGCAGGTCACATATATGCAGAGCAGCAAGCTCAAGCACTGGCTCAAGCAGACTGGAAATAGAAACGCCAACCAAGGTTGTATAGGAAATGTGGGCAGAAGTGGTTAGAGGCCCAGGAAATTTCTTTCCAGCCTATTCCAAATGTACAGTGGCAGGAACAAGTATAGGACCTCCCTTCATATAGAAAGATAAAGAGAGTGTCACACATTAGCATGCCAGGGAGGCTGGACAAGGCTACTCTGCTTTGTGGAGCTGTGCCTTGTAAGAGAAACTCCTAGAATCAGAGCCCTGCAGAAGCAGCAACCACCAGTGATAGGGAAGATGGCTGGAGCCGGGGCAGAGCCAAGAGGAAGCAGCAGCAGCAGCAGCAGCCACATGGAAACCATGGGGAAAACAGAAACCAGAGGGAAGGAGCGTAGCCCTCCCTGGCCACACACATGGGTAGGTTGCAATAGGCCAATAAGGCTAGCGGGTAGTGGGCTGGTGGAGTGGATTGGATCACAATTCCCAGTCACAATAATAAAAACCAGTAGGGGATTGATCCCATGTGTGACTATGGCTGATGTGACTTGAGAATGAAAAAGAGTTTCTTGAGGGAAAATGTTTGGTTCCAGAACAGGAAGGCCACCTGTACCAAAGATAAATACTGATACTTTCCACATCCCTAATTCCAAGACTATTCTTTAAATCCCATCAGCTCACCTGGAACTTCTGTGGTCCCCACTGCCTGCCCAATGTGACAGTCAGCAGAAGCTTAGCTCCAAACCCATGCCTGTGAGGTTGGACTCCAGACTTGATGGAGTATACGTATCCAATGGCAACTCAAAGGGGAAATATTAAGAGTGACAAAAAGGAGATTCTCCAACCAGGGACTATTATCTTCATGCCTCTTGGATATTGCTTATTAAACCAAAAGGTAACTGACCCAAAGAAAATAACCCATCCCATCCTTCTCTCACGATACTCGACTTTTATACCCTTAAATGAAGGATGCTCTAAGTACAGCCAGAGTTTGGATGTAGGGGAGTGTGTGTGTGTGTGTGTGTGTGTGTGTGTGTGTGTGTGTGTGTGTGTGGCATAAGCAGCTGAGACTAGGAAGCAGGTGACATATGCACAGCATCAAGCCCCAAATCTGGCACTGACTCAAGCAGATTGGAAGTAGAAACGCCAAGCCAGGTTGTATAGGAAATGTGGGCAGAAGAAGTGATTAGAGGCCCAGGAAATGTCCTTCCAGCCTATTCCAAATGTACAGTGGTATGAACAAGTATAGGACTTCTCTTCATATAGAAAGATAAAGAGAACGTCACACACTAGCATGCCGGGGGGCAGGACAAGGCCGCTGTGCTGTGTGGGGTTGGGCCCTGTGAGAAAACCTCCTGGAGTGGGAGCTTAGACTACACAGCCAGGGGCTTCAGGACAGCAAGATGATAGAAGGCCAAGCTGGGTGCAGGAATGAATGAACATAGGAAAAGAGGCCATTGAGAAGGATGCTGAAGGATACCTTTGGTCGCAGACTGCTTCCTGAAATCCCAGGCCTATCTGCAGGTCTCGTGTGTCTCAACAGGACACCTCAACAATTTACGGCTCCAGGATCTTGGGACAGAGGTCCATAGCTCAGAAGGTAATGGTTACCATGACAAAAAATTCACCATCAACAACAAAGACACACACACACACACACACACACACACACACACAAGACCTCTTCATTTCCAGTATCTTACCATCACCCAAACAACACAAACACCACCAATCTGGGCAGTCTTTGAAATGCTTTTTATTTTTCAGCGATACTCCTACAACTTTGACCATTTAAAAACAACGACCTGCTCTTGATTGTGACATGCTAGCAACATTGAGGTAATTATGGCCTCAGCTCCAGGCAGATCCATTTCAGGGGAGTTCCTGCCACCACTCATTGTCTCTCCACAAGGAGACCTGAATGGAGAAGGGAAAGGCTGAAGGCTGTGTCTCCCTCTGATCTAAAAGTTCAGACTTTAGAGAAGGGCCATGCTGTATTCTGGAGTAGGCATGTCAGTGCCCTAGTTCTTTCTACAAGCAAGCTTGCCTCCTCCCTTCACTCAAGTATTGGCCAATTCTATTTAGAATTCTAAAGGTAGAAGGACCACCTCCTGACATTTCTGAGAAACATGCTCAGGCTATCTTCACAACTCCACTCAAACCCACCTGTGTTCTGGAAGAGGGGCTGCAAAATCACTCTCCAGGGATTTCATGCTAGAGACAGAGGCCAGCTGAGACAAGTGTCCGCTTTCACTGTTTCTGCTCCTTCAGGAACAGGATGCATTTGATGGTCCCAAAAGATGCTTTCCTTGCCTAAAATTCCACAGAAAACTGGACTGAAGCAAGATTTGACTTCGTGGTTTGACACATGTCCAATTACTCCACAACATTTATGCCTCAGTAGGTACCCAAAACTCGACGGCAGCCATCATTGACCAATGTGTGCCCTGGGTCACTGCGGTGGAAGCAGGGACATGTGGAACAAATAGTGCAACACAATCTCACTCTGGGGAAAAAAAATACGTGCTGCAGAAAGTCAGTGGAGGACAGCATTTTGGTAGATTTTTTTTTTAGTCATTTCGTCAATAAATGTTTTCTCAGACACATGCTGGGCCCTAGAGATAGCATGCTGAACTTGACAGATAGTCCCTGCCTTCACCTAGCTTACTATTAAGCTCAGGTTTGAGGATCCAGCTGATCTGACTTCAAATCCAGTGGCCTACATTTGCAGAGCCTCCTCAGCTATAAAATGAGGATGATAAAATTATGCAAAGGGTTATCGTGAAAGGTAAATCAGATAATCCATGTGAAGTATTTAGCCCACTGCCTTGCTCTAAGTGGTGGCTGTTGTTAAGATCATTATTTCATAGGTCACTGGAGGCCTGCTGGAAACTGTGCACTGGACACCAGAATGACCTTATCTGTATGAAGGGCCTTTGGCAGGCAACCAACCCAGAGTCTCAAAGGACTGCATCCCAGCTACAGACAACAGAGCCCCAGAGCTCTCAGCTGAAGCTCAGCATTCACAATCACACAATGCCCAGAAGAACCCAAGCCCCACCACTGCTGGCAGGCCACTGCCCCAGGCAGCAATAAAGGCTCCCAGAGGCCTTTTGTCAATTGTCCCCTGAACAGAACATAAACATCTCCATGCTGCCATTCAGTGGACATCCTGTTTACATGGTGAGTGGGGATCTTGGTTGCTTTCCCTCTTCTCTTTTTAAAGGCTGTAATTATGTTTACCCAAGTCCAGCAGTAGATGCCAGGAGGACTGTGAGTTGATTTCCCTGGCTAACACTGCAGACGGCTGGCGGCAGCCCCACTGACCCCTGCATCCTAGGCAGAGAGCCAGCCCTACATTCTCCTTACAAAGACAGCCATTCTCACTGAGCAGTTTTCTTTGCATGCATGCTGGGATGCTCTGGATAATTGGCTAGCCAATGCCAAGATACGTCAGCACTATGCACGTACCGGATAACTGGATAATGAAGGGAAAGGAAGGGTACAGAGCTCTGTAGTTAGAATGCCTCCTGGGTACCATGCAGTGTACCATGAGCATTTCACATGCAGGTAGTCCCTGGCTTATGATGGTTCAACTTACAATTTTTTTTTTTTTACTTTATGATGTTGCAAAAGTGATGCACATTTAGTAGAAACCATACTTCAAGTACCCATACAAGCATTCTGTTTTCACTTTCAGTACAGTATTCAATAAATTATATAAGCTATTCAACACCTTATTATAGTAGTCTTTGTGTTAGATGATTTTGCCCAACTGTAGGCTAATGTAAGTGTTCTGAGCAAGATTAAGGTAAGTCCAGGTTAAGGTGCTACATTCAAAAGGTTAAGTATATTAAATACATTTTTAACTTATGATATTTTCCATTTATGATCAGTTTATCAGCATGTAACCCCATCATAAATTGAGGAGCATTTGTATATTGTTTGATCAATCCCAGTACAACCCAGAGAGTTATGTATTGTTACCAGATTTTTCAAATGAGGAAAAAAACATAAGGTCACTCTGCTGGTAAGTGGTAGAACTGGAATTTAAACTAGATCTATCAAGCTCTGTAGTCTATGTTCTTTCTACTCCAGAAAAAAAAAATGAGATAACATTTTATGCATGCCCAGATGAGTTGTTTTGACTCAGTGATTCCCAGGTGTTTTCATCCCTTTCCCATCTGTTGTAATATATTTTCAAACATCAACCCAATGCAACATTATTTTTTCTTAAATGGAGTCTCACTCTTGTCGCCCAGAATGGAGTGCAATGACACAATCTCAGCTCACTGCAACCTCTGCCTCCCAGGCTCAAGTGATTCTCCTGCCTCCACCTTCCAAGTAGCTAGGATTACATGCTTCACAGGAATAAAATAGAGCTCAGAGAGCAGCCCAGGCCAAAAGGGAGCAATGTACATGGAAGTATGAGTCAATGCTCACAACAATCGAGGTCCCAGGAAACTGTGCTCATGACACACCTTATCTTCAGGGTCCCTATGGCCCCTCTCAACTCATGTGAACTCTGCTCACTCCTAGCAGATGGTATTCTCTCTCCCTGACTTCCTCTCGGGATGTTTCAGGCAACCACTAAGGTGGCCTCCAGGGATCCCTGCCTTCTGGTACTTACTGCCTGTATGATCCCATCCCCGTTGAGTGTGGGCTGGATTTAGTGACTAGCTTCTAGCAAATAGAAATAGGCAGAAGCAAAATCACTTCCAAGATTAGATAATTAAAAAAAGATCATGGCTTCTGTCTTAGTCTCTCTCTCTCTCTGTCTCTCTCTCTCTCCCTCCACCCCCGCCACCACCCCTCATTCTGCAGAAGATAAGCTGCCATATTGTAATACTCTATAGAGAGGCCCATAAATCAAGGGACCAATGTTCCCAGCCAGTGAGGACCTGAGCCTACCAACAGCCATGTGAGTGAGCTTGGGAGCAGATCCAATCCCAGTTGAACATTGAGATGACTCCAGCCCTGGCCAATACCTTAACTGTAGGTTTGTGAAGAACAGGAAGTTATAGCCAGAACATATAGATTCCTAACCCACTGAAGCTGTGAGATAATGTTTGTTTTAAACTGCTATGTTTGGGGGTAATTTGTAACACAGCAATAGCTACCTAATACTCGGAGCGAGGACAGGTCCTAAAGGGAAAGAGGGAACAGTGTGGAAGAAGACCCCAGTGTGCAGTTCGCCAAGGTAATCTCCTGTCACTGCTATCCAACCTCTGTAGATCCCAGGCAGGCTGACTGTAACCTCACGCTATAGCTTTAGAGATCTAGAAACCTTCAGAGAGATTTCCCAGGACAGCATTCACAGTTTGGCTGCAAGCTGTCATCACTCATGACAGGAGAGCCAGGACAAAGCAGGATAGGGCAGGTTGTGACCCTGGTCCTCAAGAATGGGCAACAGTAATAATACTGTGACTGTAATGTGACCAAGCGCAGAGGAGAAAAATGTGGACTGCAAAACAGCTGATGCCCAAATCCAGAGGTCTCATCCACTGTGGTCAGTAGAGGCATCATTGTGACTCATAGCCAGTCCCCTGGCCGTTTTGGCTGATAATGGGGTGACACCATGCAGCCCACCAGAGTAGGAGGCTGCCAAGGTTAGGCCAGCAGTGGACCTGAGGTCATAAACAGGAAAAGAACCCCAGGAGGAACATTAATTCTATAATGTGACCCAACACGACAGGTGTTGAGGAAGCCTGTGGTTTGGCGGGCTCACAGCAGCCCTAGTACTCACCCCACACATACCACAGGATTGCTTATTGCAACACGGCAAATCTAGGCCCTTCAGTGTTGTGGGAATGAAATTCAGAATGTTTGCCTCACTGTGGTCAGGAACTATGGCTGGATGAATAACAGCCCCCAAATGTGTCCCTATCCTGATCCCCGGACTTGTAAATGTTATCATATCTAGCAAAAAGGACATGAAGATGTGATTAAGTTAAGGATGCTGAGATACGGAGAGTATCCTGGATCATCTAGGTGGGCCTGATCTAATCACAAGGTCCTCTTGAGAGCGGAACAGGAGGACTTCGAGTCAGAGGAGGTGATAATGGAAGCAGAGATGGGAGTGTTACACTCGGAGGATGGAGGAAAGGGTCGCAAGCCAAGGAATATAAGCAGCTGCCAGATGCTGAAAAAGGCAAGAAAGCGGTTTCTCCCGAGAGTCTCCAGAAGGAACCAGGTCTGCTCACACTGTAACTTTAGCCCAGTGAAACTGATTTCATGGTCCTGACCTCCAGAACTCTAACAGAATAAATTTGTGTTGTTTTAAGCCACGAAGTTTGTGGTAACCTGTTGCAGCAGTCACAGGAAACCAATTCAGAACCATCAGGGACTAGTCAGAAAAGAGCGTGGAGGTGGAGTCTCAATTCTTGAGGCCAAGCAGAATTGTAGGAAATAAGGATTGCAAACCAACAAAAATTCGTGTTCTAGAGAACCCACATTTGAATTATCTTCATTGTTGAAGTTGAAGGCCATGGGCCATCATTGCCTATGTCCTTATTTATTATCTTGTCTATATCAATAGTATTTGCCCAAAGAAGCTCTCAAATTCACATTTTATTAAAGGATATGAATGAATGAAGAATAAAACATACAAATGAAATTTCACCATAAATGCCAGCCAACAGCTTCTTAGGGCCATTATTTATTGCAGAGATTTTATTTGGGGGGATTTCAAATCAAGACCAATCACTTCCTTCTCTGCTAAGTTGCTTTTACTGTGATTTATAGATTAAATGTACACAGACAAGTATATAAATGTATACAGAAGGCAGGCTTTTGCCTAAGGTTTGCTTTATGGCACAGGTAAACTTGTAAAGAACGCTCTGTTACGTGTTTAACTACATAACAATTCCAGACTTGTGTAGGTCAAAAATATATCACTCAGAAGGAAAAAGCTAAGCAACAGACTTAATACTGTACATTTGTAGCTAATATGACATATATATTTGTAGCTTATATATGCTAATGTATTTATAGCTAATAATCTTTTTTTTTTTTTTTTTTTTTTTTTTTTTTGAGACGGAGTCTCGCTCTGTCGCCCAGGCCGGACTGCGGACTGCAGGGGCGCAATCTCGGCTCACTGCAAGCTCCGCTTCCCGGGTTCACGCCATTCTCCTGCCTCAGCCTCCCGAGTAGCTGGGACTACAGGTGCCCGCCACTGCGCCCGGCTAATTTTTTGTATTTTTAGTAGAGACGGGGTTTCACCTTGTTAGCCAGGATGGTCTCGATCTCCTGACCTCATGATCCACCCGCCTCGGCCTCCCAAAGTGCTGGGATTACAGGCGTGAGCCACCGCGCCCGGCCTATAGCTAATAATCTTATATGTGAAAAGCTCATCCAATTATGAAATTATTATTAAAAACAATTATCATGAAAATCAGGAAACTTTATGGACAAATATACAGTCCATGACCAGATTATTCTTTGAAAGTAAAAAACCCCAATTAGCAAAGATAGAAAATATATAATCCTTCTAGAATTCAAAGGAAATGGTAAATTGAAATGGGAAATTACATTTTTAAAACCTCAGGTACATGGAGTTGGTCATATGCCTCAGTTGTGGCAGGCTGTCTCATTAATTTGTCCAAGACTCATTTTTTCATTTTATTTTTACCCATTTTCATCCACTCCACTCCCCTAACCTTCCTCACCATAGACACTGTAATGTGTGCCAATGTATGTTCTTGGATAGCTGTCTGCATTAGCTTCCTGTAGCTGCTGTAACAAATTTTCTCAAACTTGGTGATTTAAAGCCACAGAAATTTATTTTCTCATAGCTCTGGAAGGCAGAGGTCTCAAAATCAAGGTGTTGGCAGGGTCACACAACCTCCGGAGGCTGCAGGGGAGATTCCATTCCTTGCCTCTTTCAGCTTCTTGTGTCTCCATGTGTTCCTTGGCTTGTGGCTTATAATAATACAGTTTATAAGTTTATCTGTGCCATAAAGTTAATATTAGCCAAAGGTCTGCTTTCTATATACATTTGTATACTTGCTGTGTACATTCAACCTGTAAACCACTCCAATCTCTGTCTGTCTTCACACAGTCCCCTGCCTCTATTGTGTGTCTCTTATAAGAACATTTGTCATTGGATTTTAAAGTCCCCCTAGATAATCCAGGATGATATCATCTTGAGATTCTTACTGAATTACATCTGCAAAGACTCCTTTTACCCAAAAAATCACATTCACAATTTGGGAATGTGGACATATCTTTTGGGAATGTGGACATACCATTCAACCCACTACACTATTCCTAAAAGCCATGTAGTGATTTTTGTGTATGTGTGTTATTTTTCATAGTAAATTGTGCTAAAAGTCTTATTCTACTTTTTATCACAGATGCTCCTTGACTTATGGTGGGGTTACATCCTGATAAACCTGTTACTGTTGAAAATATTGTGAATTGAAAATGCATTTAATATACCTAACCTACTGAACATCACAGCTTAACCTAGAACACTTACATTAGCCCACAATTAGGCAAAATTATCTATCACAAAGCCCATTATATAACAAAGTGTTGAACAGGTCATATACTTTGCTGAATACTGTACTGAAAGCAGAAAACACAATGATTGTATGAGTGCTGGAAGTATGGTTTCTACTAAATGTCTATAAATGTCCAACCATCACAAAGTCAAAACATCTAAGTCGAAACATCCTATGTTGGGGATCATCTGTATTTTTACCTATCACTATGTTTTTGTCTATCCATAGTGTTCCTATATACCTGGTGTATATTCCATAGTATGTACCCCATCAAATTTTGTTTATTCAACTTCCTAGTGATAGACACCTAATTTCTCATCTACCTGTCTGCTACCACATAAAAGGTAGCAGGGGACATAATTGATTACGGCCCTTTATGGATATGTTGCAGGCGTTTCTCTGGTGTATATTCCCAGGCGTCAGTTGGAT
The DNA here is from genome assembly GCF_000001405.40 of Homo sapiens. Classification (NCBI taxonomy): domain Eukaryota; kingdom Metazoa; phylum Chordata; class Mammalia; order Primates; family Hominidae; genus Homo; species Homo sapiens. The sequence continues at coordinate 64,940,695 of NC_000012.12, read as the reverse complement.
GGATCATACAGAATATAAATACACCCTTGGTTTCTCTAAGTATTGCTAGATTGTGTCTGTACCAGTTAACTCTCACATGCCTTTTTTCCCCTAAATTCTTGCCAACACTTGGAATCATTCAATTTTATAATATTTGCTACTCTGATGTCCATAAAGTGGTATCTTACAGTTGCTTTAGTTGGTCACGTTGGTATTGGTCATATTGGTATTGTCGGGTTTTGTACTAGATTGTAATGGGTGTGCCTTTCTTGTCTTCTCTCTTTGTTCCCTTCATTTGGACAGGAATTAACTTTTCTAGTTTGTTTACAGACCCTTAGCTCCAAGGTCAGATATTTGTCTGTTGGCCTTTAGCCCCATACTCACTCTCTTATATTCTCCTCTGGAAGACAGGTAAGCAGAAAGCCACATTCCCCAGACTTCCTTGACAGCTAAAGTTAAATTTGGTTCTGCCAATCTGGGGGAACTGCACCTGACTGGCAAGTAGAAATAAGGGTGGGGCCATTGTTTCTGACAGTGCCTCAGCTGCAGCAGCAGAGGTAGGTGGCTCCTGCTCAATGTCAGCCCTGTGGTTTCAGTGGCACTGGTGGACAATGGCTCCATGGTTCCAGCAGTGACCCCAGTGAGGGTGGCTCATACACTCTCTCCCAGGTATGCTAGCAGATCCCTGAGCTCTGGGTAGAACACCCTTTCCCTTTTGCTCCTCCAAACATCTTTAGAATCAACGCCCCACATTAAATCCCTTTCAGTTTGAATGATCTAAAATTATTTCTGTCTTCCCGACTGGGCACTGACTAACACATTTCCAGTATTCTTATCATCCTCCTAGAATGACCTTTTGTCCTACAGCAGCATTTCAAAGCATGTCCTTGCAAGATAAACATTCTTAGACCTTGCATCCCTAAGAATATCTTCATTTTGCCCCTTGCATTTCAGTGATAATGTATCTGGGTATAAAACCCAGGAGCAAAATTCTCGTGCTTTGGAAGTATGGCTGCACTGTCTCCTTGCATCCGGTGTTGCTATTGAGAAGTGTGATGACAGCTTATTCTTGTTCCTTTCAAGGTCATTTGCTCTTGCTCTCAGGAATCTTCTTTTAAGTTCTTAAATTTCCTGATAATGTAATGTATCTAGGTGTTGATTTTTTTTTCTTATCTCTACTGTACAACACTGGCGAAACCCCTTCAATCTAAAGCTTTTATCTGTATTTCTATGTAGATTATCATTAATTCAAAATAGTTCTCCACTACTGTTTATTGTTTCTCTCTCATTCTGAGACTTTACTTTTTTTTTTTTTTTTTTTTTTAATTGAGACAGGGTTTCACTCTGTGACCTAGGCTGGAGGCCGGAGTGCAATGGTGCAATCACCGCTCACCGCAGCCTCGACCTTCCCAGCTCAAGCGATCCTCCCATCTCAGCCTCCTGAGTAGCTGCGACCACAGGCATGCATCACCACATCCAGCTAATTTTTCATTTTTTTATAGAGACAGGGTTTCGCCATGTTTGCCCAGGCTCATTCTGAGATTGTTATCATGTTGACATTTCTATTTTTATATGCCATATCATTTAATTCTCTTTTTTATGAAGTCCTCATCTTTTTTTTTCAATTTTTAGGCCTGAGGGCCTCTTCCATCCTTGTCAAGGGTAGTGCTAACCTTTTGTCCTTTCAAAAACACTGCAGTCCTTCTCTTTCTTACTGCTGCCTAGGGGTTTGAGACTTCCAGGTCATTGATTAGTTAATCCAAAGTTTACATTCTGCTCTTCAATCCCTTTATTGAGTTCTTCATTTCATCTATTGCTTTCTTATTACCCAATTCTCTAGTTGAATATTCTTTGTGATGCTCATTTCTTTTTGCTATTTCTGATATTTTTATCTTTTCCCCCGTTTGTGGCTATTTATGTTTGTTTTATATTCTTATGTCTCTGGTCCACTAATTCTAACTTCCTTTGCTATAGGTTGTTCAGCTTATCTTCATTTTATAGCAATCAAATTCCTCTATTTATCCATATTTTTCCCCCATGATGTATTCAGCACATCTGCTGGCTTGGCTAGCACAGTGGCTCTGGACGGAGGGACCAATCAAAGTCACCTAGGTCTTAGATTGATCCTTTCCTCAGAGTTTAAAAAGGGGTATAGAGAAATGTGACCAATCCCTTGAGGCCATTTCAAACTTCACCTCCACTATGACACACAGCTGCAAACATCCCCAGCCAGGTGCTTCTGCCCTCCAAGAACCCCCTTTTCTTCCACCTGGGATACTGCTCTGCTTAGAGGGCGACATCCCTCACTTGAAATCTCCTGGCCCACTGGGTGGAGACAGTGAGATGAGGGAGGAGAGAATTCTCAGGAGCCAGACCTTCTACACAGCCCTAGTAGTCACTTCCCAACAGCTGGGCTCCCACAGAATCACACTAAGGCCAGGCGGTTGCCACTGTGTTCCTGCTCCCACAGAATCTACAGGGCAGGCAGTGAACACCTTCCTACTTATTCTCTTTCAGTTTATCCCAAAATACCACTTTTGTCATGTCACTTCCTTGCCTAAACACCTTCCATGGGTCTCCTTATCTATATTTAAAAAAAAAAAAATGTCCAGTATACAAGGCCTTCTCCAATTTACCCCTTTATTTCCTGAATATCTTTTTCTATTTGGCATCCTCAAATTTACTTTGCTGTCCTATCTTTAGGTAGCCATCACAGCATAACCTCTTATTCATAGCAGAGGCATAAAATTATACCTCTTAATTGATTGTGCTAGCCCATAGGCCAATGGTATTTTTTAAAATGGCAAAATAATTGTTCTTGGTTCAGAAAAAGAAAAAAGTCTCTTTCATATGCAAAAAGAGGGCACAAGTTACCATCACTTGTACATGTGTTAAGCATTTTCACAATGTCAGAGAAAGGTCTGCAATAGTGAGTGAGCCAGACTCACTTATTTGATCTCTCTTTGAATCAAGGTTTCACATTTTTAAGATGTCTTAGTAGTGTGCAGCTAAGGAACAGGCTTAGGAAGTTGACCTCATGATATTGACCCCATGAGCAGTATTTCAACAAACAGGAGCTAGCCTGTGGGAAGCATGAAGGCACTAAAGGATGATGTAAGCTGTCTAAGTCTCCAATCTACTACCTTGAGTTTTGGCCTCAGGACCAATGTAGCAATTTGCAATTATGATCCCCTATCCTCAATCATGAAAATGTGTCAGTTCAATGGGAAGTAAAATGGGCTTTTAAATAAAGAGGGCTAGATAAACTCGTGCATCACAAACAAAATACATGCCTGCTTCCAAATGGAGAAGTAACTGAAAATGTCCAGGCAATTGGACTAGCTTTCTTTTCATGTCTCCACCATTTGTCTTTGGAACCTGAGTCATTTCTATGTCAGCTTGCCCAGGTGGCCTGGAGAACATAAGGGTTGCCAGCCAGGACACTAACTCTTTAAAGGTCTGTTTATGTCTGCATAACTAACAGTGCTTATGTGTACTCAGGAGGAAATGCCAAGCTAACAAGGAAGACCACGAGTCCACAAAATTTTAATTTCTAGTTTTAGGAGAAATTAACTTCCACATTCATGTTTTTGTATTATGAATTTGCATGACAACTTAAAAGTCTGCCATGGTATTTATGGTAATTTCATTACAAACCACATTTTCATCTTTTAATTTCTTTCCTATTTATAATTATACAGCTATAATTAAAAGGTATTACAATGACACGCTATCCTCACTAAAAGCCTGGCCTGCCAGACTTATTACATTCAAGATATTTCTCCAGCTTTATTTCTTTTCTCTCATTTTGGAAGAAGGGGAGGGGAGGGAAGGAAGGCAGTGGAGACTTTGGTCATTATAACCTCAAATCTTTTCATCAACTTCTCTTTGTTCCTTCAAAAAAAAATAGGATTTTTCCAAACAGTCCCCCAACTAAATGAAATGTTTTGATGTAATAGTTTCCATGTAAGCTTCTCACCACATCTGAAGTGATGCTCACACAGACTCACTAAGACCATGCAAAAAACTTCAAGGATGGCTGAGACCTGGATTAAATTGTCTTCCAGGGCGAGTGCCAGCAGCCTCTGCCCCCATGGCTCAAAGGGTCTCACAGGCTTAACACCAAGGCTGAGGCACCTCTTACCTTTCTCTTTCAGAACATAGAAGTTACTTGTGTATAAAGACTTTCTTCCATTCCAATGACTTATCGCTCACAAGTCCAAGAAAATAATCTGGAGGCAGGGAAACTAAGTGTCTAAGGCCAAGCCTCAGCTGAGAAGAGTGCAGTGAACTGATCATTAATTACCTCCATATCTTCAAAGAATGTTGAAACTGTGCAGCCAAGCACAGTCATTGCCCTCAACGAGTTCATACCTGAGCTGGAAGAAGGATGCACATCTACCGTTTGTTGCCAAACTACTATTCATCTTTCCGTTAGAGAACCAATGTTCTCCCACCCATGACACCCTGGTGGGACTATCCATCACTGAATGTCACCTACTTTGAAGCCAAACACTTTGAGCGAGACCAACAAAATTACTTCAGGTAAAAGAGTCCTGGGGCAATAAGCCACTGTTTTTATGATTGCTGCTATAAACATGGCCTCACATTGGGCCCAGATTACCAGACTCCCTCTTCTCTCACAAAAAATTCTTCTTGGGATCCTTTAGGATCTTTTCTTTCTGGTGACCTTCATTGAGATCATCTCAATCCACTAGAAGGTTGTCTATCAAAAACGTAGGGGTCGAAATCTTGATCCCATTCCTCATGAAAGGACCCTCATTCCCTCTCCACAGTGATCTTCTGTCAAATCACAAGGAAAGGTCCTCCTTCCTTGGGGCACTTCTAGGGCAAGAGATAACAAGTTGCCATAGATTCAGAGTGGTTTCTCACAGAAGTAACAGAATCTCCTCAAAATGATTTGCTGTCTGCCCCTAGACCAATGCTTTGCTGCCTTAGCTCTACATTGGTGTTATGGACTGAACTGTGTCCTCCCAAAATTCATATGTTGAAGCCCTAACACCCAGTGTGACTGCATTTGGAAACAATGTCTTTAAAGAGGTAATTAAGGTTAAATGAGGTCATAAGGGAGGAGCCCTGATCCAAGAGAACTAGAGTCCTTATGAGAAGTGGAAGAGACACCAGAACTCTCTCTCCATGCACACAGAAGAAAGACCATGTGAGGACACAACACAGAGACAGCCACCTGCAAGCTAAGAAAAAGAGGCCTCACCAGAAAGCAACCCTGCCAGCACCTTGGTCTTAGACTTTTATCCTCCAGAACTGTGAGAAAATAAGTTTCTGTTGTTTAATCCACACAGTGGCATTTTGTTATGGCAGCCTGAGCAGACTCATACACCTGGAGAGATCTTGAAAACTCAGTGTCCAGGCCATGCCCCATGACAATTAAATCAGAACCTTCCAGTCAGATCCAGGCATCAGAATGTTTTAAATCTTCCAAGATAATCCCAACGTGCAGCCATATTATATACAAAGAGGCTACTACTAACTTTGAAATGGCAAATTTTCTTTCTCTTTCCATTTTACATAGCTGATATTCCCCAACATACAATAAGGATATTATATATTTTCATATTTACTGCATGTATTTGTCTCAATTTGCTGTTTGCTTTTATGACTTTGCCATATATACACATATATAGGTATGTATGTAGATGTATGCACACATATATGAATGAATATGAATATGAATGTATGAATATATGAATGTGTGTATATATGCCTCATATACATATATGTATATATAATACAAATGTGTGTACACACACATACATAAATACATATACTTCCTTTAGTTTTCTTTTAATAGTGGAAGGAGTGAGCAGAATTGCAACTCAACAGAGCTAATAGCAGCAGGTATTCTGAGTGACCCCTTGATACTATGACTCTTACATCTAGAACGATAGCGCAAGTTCATTCATGGAAGCTCTGGTTCATTTATGTGCTTAGTGTTGACTTTGTGCCAGACATTATACTAGGTGCTAGGGACTCAGTAGTGAATAAAAATACACCCAATCCCTGCACTGATGAAGCCTAGGAAGACATGGGTAATTGTTTCCATGCACAGCAAGATCTGTGCTCTGGAGAAAAGGACGTGGTCTCCAAGAGGGTGAAACCAGGCATGTTAACAGCCTTTGGAGTCACAGCAGGCTTCTCTGAGGGCACCGTAGGCATCCCTTCCTCATGTGGGGTTCTTTATTAAGAATGTTTTCTTCACTGCAAACCAGTTTAGAGTTCACCATATGAAGGGAGGGTGGACTAACTCTAAGCTCAAAGATAGACTTCCATCATGTGTGCTTGTGGTACAGTGTTTAGCACCATAACTCACTTTAGAACAGTCCTGATCACCATCACGCCTTAAATATGCATTCCCCACTGGTCTCTAAGGAACTCATCTGTGGCTTGACCAATCACAGAGCCATTCACTTTTAAATTATCTATGGAGAGCCATGAAGCAGAATCACTCCAACCTGACAATTTCCTGTTTGTTTCCCAGAATTCTGGGATTCTAAGAATTCCAGGATTGTTTTTTGTTTTTATTTTTTTAAAAAAAGCATATACACTAGAGAGAATCTAATGATGTCTAAAGAAAATTGTCAAATCTTTGTGCACCCTGAGAGTCAGATCCTCTTTCAACTTTAACATTACTTGATCGCCTGCTGTGAAGTAAACACTGCTCTGTGAAGTAAACATGTGCTGAGAACTGAGATCTAAAACCGTTTAAGACTTCTGCTGTTCCTGCCTATAGCAAGGAGCACATTTTCTTCACTGCTTGAAGTGGAGAAAATGGCTATTCCCAGCCATTCCTGAAGCTCCCATGGGGACTGAAATCCAGTAATGCTGCTAAATGAATGAAAGAAATTAGGGTACCTGGGTTCCCAGATGTCCTCAAATGGGGTTTAGGTCAGGAAGAAGTTGCCACAGAACTCAGGACCTACTTTGCTACTGGTGGTGACGTGCGTAAATGTGACCACTTCTTTTTACTCCACAGAAATTTTTAAGTGTCCAAACTGATAGATTGCTCACCAGCAAACACTGAAATCTCTTGCTCTAGTCATAGGGCGAGGCTTTGGAAAAATTAAGAACAGAACTCAGAGCTCCTCATATTTCCTAGTGATTTCCAGTGGACTTTACATCCTGCCCTCAAAGATTTTCTTTGAAGAGTTATGATTTCATAATCTGACCCACCAAAGGCTGTGAACAAGATCATGTAATGATGCTTCATATCCAACAAGGAGTGATGGGACCACAACTATTGGCAAATATGCATGAGATTTTCACCCAAATCATCACAGAGAAATATTGTAAAACGTGTACTGTTACACACAGAGACACATACACACACACACACACACACACACTCCCCAAAGGCTTTGGTTTGTCTCCCAAGCCTTGTGGAGGCAAACTAGCTGAAACTTGAATTTTAAGGCCTGGGATTCTCATGCTACCCTAAATAGCTGACAGGGACTTGGATGTAAAGCAACAGTCAGACTAAAAGGATAGCTTTCTATTGACTCAGTTCACCCCCAAATCACTCAAATATTTTTTATAACTATAGGGCTGAACTGACACAGAAAACAACTGCAAATATGATAGCTGATGGTCTCACCTTGGTGGTCATGGCTATTCCTCACTGAATCAAGGGAATGCCCCAATTTTCTCATCTAGTTTCTCATCATTTAGTTTGTACTTCTCAGATATGTAGGATTTCTAGTGTTTCCTTCTTTCCTCTTCCTCTTTTTCAAGTTCTTTCTTTTCTAGGATTTAGTAACTTTCATTCTCTTTCCTTTAAAAAGTTTTTTTAATCCAAAATGGATTTTTTTTTCCAAGGTGGCAGACTAGAGGCAGTATTAGCATGCCTCTCCCACCTGGAAGGACAGAATAGTGTGTAGAGTTTCACACTGTGATTTTTTTCCCCCAAGAACCAATGCAGGAACTTAACAGAAAAACCTAAAGAAACCACAGATTCTTTGAAAAAAGTGGCAGGCTGCAGCCTACTCCATGAGACTGGTGAAAAACTGTAAGTCCTGAGTGTGAGAGGGAGAGAGTCAGCCTCCAGAGTACACATCCCTACCAAGGAATCTGAAAATCCAGACCATGAGAGAAGGCCTTAACCCTACCTGAACTGGAATGGATTTAGAGAGCAACATGAACTATAAAAATGGAAGCAGCAGCAGAAAGTGACTTGCAGGCATTCCCAGTTTCCAGCATGAACCAAAGGAAGACATTCCTAACTATATCTTATAGGGGCCATTGGAGAAGTCAGCCAACAAGCTCAGGGAGGGGTCACAGGGTGAAAGAAGCTCCCAACTAAATTTTGTGGTATGATCTCAAGTGGGGAAGAACTCCTTTGACCAGAACAGTGGCAGGGGGAAAAGGCAGGGAGCAGGAAGTGCACTGCAGACACAAGTGAACACAGGAGCTGGGCACTGGCCTTGTGGGCAGGCAGGAAGGAGCGTAGCCTGAAAGCTGAGGTTGCTATCTCTGTGGGGAAGTTGATGGCCTGGGGCAGGTCTCAGCTCTGTGTGCAGACTGCCTGAATCTAAACCTGCTGCTGTTAGTGGAGCACTGTGGGAGTTAGATTGGCCTCACCAACTGTGTGGGAGCTGGGTGAGGCTTACTGTCACTGGCTACTCCCCACTCCCTTTGCAAACTCTTCTGTGCAGCAGAGGCAGTTCTATTCCCCTCTGGAACATTATCCCTGCAGCCTGAAATCACCCCGCAAACCCTCACAGGAAGGGCCCTTCTGAAGGAGAGTCAGAGCTTTAGACCCTCATATCCGTCTGACCCTGCCCCCACCTGGTTGTGCCCCTCCACATGCCCTGGTAGCTTAACACAAAGGACATAAACTTTGGGGAGCTTTATAGCCCTGCTCATTGCATGAGAAATCAGAATACTTCCCCAAGAAAACTTAGGGCAAGCTCAAATCCCACTGCTACTACTGTGGCTGGTGCTCTTCTGCAAGTGCCACCTCTTGGCTGGAGCCAACTGACACAGTCCATTATGGCACCTCTAAGTAGAATAACACTGCACCCAGTAAGGAGAAATCAACTGTGTGACCTCAGCTATTACCCGAGGGCCTAAGCCTGTCCATGTAACAAGTTCACTAAAATTATAACCAGCATACAAGAAAGCCAGCACATTAAGCCTATCTATACCCAAGGAATCTCGCAGAGTCTGTGTCACTCCCCTGTCACCACCATCAGGGCTTGTGCTGGTATCCACTGCTGGGAGACCTGAAGTCAGGTCACATCACTGGATCACTTGCAGACACTAGCCCAGAGTCAGTAGCCCCACTGGGTGGCTAGACCTAGAAGAACAATAACAACGCTGTAGTCTGGCTCTCATAAAGTCCCATTCCTAGGGGAAGAGGGAGAGCACCACATCAAGGGAACACCCCGTGGGACAAAAAAAATCTGAACAGCAGACCTTGAGTCCCAGATCTTTCTGCTAGTGAGGAGTTTCTTACAGCAGAGACACAATTGCAGTGCTGGGCACAGCAGGGAAAGTCTACACTTCTACCACAACAGGGAGGCAGCCTCTGTGATCATGAAGGGTCTTGGAGAAGGGGTCCTTGTCCCCTTCAGTACACTACTGCAGACACAGCTGGGGCTTCTCCCACAGGAATGCGGCATGTATGCACCTATAGATGGCGTTCCTAGAACAATTCAGGTGACAGCATCTCCACAGGAGGAGCACTCCCCAGATTCAGGTTTGCATGAAAGGCAGTCACAACTCCTCTCTACTTGGAACATAAACATTTCTACAGATGAAAAGAGGTGCTTGTCTGATCTGAATAGCTGAAACACTGGGACAGGAGTGAGGCTGGAAAGTGGATAGCTTTCCTGCTGGCCTGGCAGGGGAGATGAGGTAGCTCCCACCCGTCACTCTGATTAAACCTCAGCACATCAAATTGAGAACTACCCTAGCCAACTTCATCAAGACTGGAACTTCTTCCCACCGTTAGGTATTACATCTACCCACCTGCTTTAGCTACAACCAGTGCCTACCCAGGGATATCTCTCCCCCTTGCCTGAAGCCTAAATCATCAACTCACAAAATAAAATAGTGGAGGAAAATTAAATAAATAAAAGAAGTGTACACAATGGGCGGGTGCAGTGGTTCATGCCTGTAATCCCAGCACTTTGGGAGGCCAAGGCAGGCGGATCATGAGGTCAGGAGATCAAGATTATCCTGGCTAACACGGTGAAATCCCGTCTTTACTAAAAATACAAAAAAATTAGCCAGGCGTGGTGGCAGGAGCCTGTCGTCCCAGCTACTCAGGAGGCTGAGGCAGGAGAATGGCATGAACCCAGGAGGTGGAGCTTGCAGTGAGCTGAGATCACACCACTGCACTCCAGCCTGAGTGACAGAGCAAGACTCCATCTCCAAAAAAAAAAAAAAGTGTACACCATGAGAGAATAAAATAAGCTTCAAGAGATCCTTGTTATTCCAACCCCATAGGAGATAGTAAACTTGCCCACACACCAAGCACATAACTACTATAACTAGCACCTGGAATAGCCAGAGCACAAAGACTCTCTATGACTAAAGAACTCATACAGAGAGAGTCTTCACCTCTATAAGCATCAAGAATCAAATTAGGCTATAATAAACTATAAACATTAAAGTCATATCCTTCAGAGGGAAAAAAAGAAATTAAAAAAAAAAAAGAAAACCACAGTCAGCCAGGTGTGGTGGCTCACACCTGTAATCCCAGCATTTGGGAGGCTGAGGTCAGCCTCAAATGGATGTTGCAGTGAGCTGAGATCACGCTATTGCACTCCAGCCTGAGCAACAGGGTGAGACTCCATCAAACACACACACACACACACACACACACACACACGCACATAGTCAAATCAAAATTAAATTCAAGAACAATTTGAAGAAATAGTCTACCCAAATAAGAAGGAACCAGAAAAGTAATTCTGGTAATATGACAAAACAGAGTTCTATAACACCCCTAAAAGATCACACTAGCTTCCCAGCAACTGATGCAAACCAAGATGAAATCTTTAAATACCAGATAAGGAATTCAGAAGGTTGATTATTAAGCTACTCAAGGAGATACCAGAGAAAGGTGAAAACCAACATAAAGAATGGAAAAAGAGTTCAGGATACGAATGAACAATTTTCCAGACAGACAGCTATCATAAAGAAAAACCAATCAGGACTTCTGAAAATGAAAGATACACTTAGGAAAATACAAAATGCAGTGGAAAGTTTCAACAATAGACTAGAACAAGTAGAAGAAAGAATTTCAGAACTCAAAGACAAGGCTTTCTAATTAACCCAGACAGACAAAGATAATGAAGAGAGAATCAAAAGAAATGAACAAAGTCTCCAAGAATATGGGATTCTGTACAATGGCCAAAACTAAAAATAGCTGCTGTTCTGGAGGCAGAAGAGAAGTCTAAAAGTTCAGAAAACTTATTTGGGGAAATAATTGAAGAAAACTTCCCCTGGCCTTGCTAGATATCCAAATATGAGAAGCTCAAAAACACCTGGGAAATTCATTGCAAAAAGATCATCACCAAGGCACATAGTCATCAGGCTATCTAAAGTCAACATGAAAGAAAGAATTTTAAGAGTTGTGAGACAAAAGCATCAGGTAGCCTATAAAGAAAATCCTATCAAACTAACAGATTTCTCAGCAGAAACCTTACCAGCCAGAAGGGATTGGAGTCCTATCTTTAGCCTCCTTAAGCAAAATAATTGTCAGCCATGAATTTTGTATTCATCAAAACTAAGCTTCAGAAATGAAGGAAAGCTAGTCATTTTTAGACAAACAAATGCTGAGGGAATTTGCCACTACCAAACCAGCACTATAAGAAATACTAAAAGGAATTCTAAATCTTGAAACAAAAGCTTGATATGCACCAAAATAGAACCTCCTTAAAGCATAAATCTCACATGAAACAATAACACAGTGAAAAACACAAGGTATTAAGGCAACAACTAGCATGATGAATAGAATAGTACCTCATATCTCAATACTAACATTGAATATAAATGGCCTGAATGCTCCACTTAAAAGATACAGAATGGCAGAATGGTTAAAAAAAAAAAAAAATCCACCAACCAAGTATCTGCTATTTTCAAGAGACTCACCTAACACATAAGGACTCACATAAACTTAAGGTAAAGGGTGGAAAAAGATATTCCACATAAAGGGAAGCCAAAAGCAAGCAGGAATAGCTATTCTTGAATCAGACAAAACAGACTTTCAGAAAACAAGAGTCAAAAAAGATCAAGAAGGACATTATATCATGATAAAAGGATTAGTCCAACAGGAAAATATCACAATCCTAAATATATATGCACCTAACACTGGAGCTCCCAGATTTACAAAACAATTACTACTAGACTTAAGAAATGAGATAGACTGCAACACAATAATAGTGGGGGACTTCAGTACTCCACTGACAGCGCTAGACAGGTCAAGACAGTCAACAAAGAAACAATGGACTTAAACTATACCCTAGAACAAATGGACTTAACAGATATTTACAGAACACTCTTCCCAACAACTGCAGAATATACATTCTCATGAGCTTCTTGTCAGCACATGGAACACTCTCCAAGATAGACCATGTGATAGGCCACAAAACAAGTCTCAATAAATTTAAGAATACCAAAATCATATCGAGTATCTTCTCAGACACAACAGTGGAATAAAACTGAGAGTCAACTCCAAAACGAACCCTCAAAATTATAAAAATACATTGAAATTAAATAATCTGCTCTTGAATGATTTTTGGGTCAACAATGAAATCAAGATGGAAGTTTAAAAATTATTTGAAATGAATAATACTGATACAACTTATCAAAACCTCTGAGATACGGCAAAAGCAGTGCTAAGAGGGAAGTTCATAGTGTTAAATACCTACATCAAAGAGTCTGAAAGAGCACAAATTGACAACCTAATGTCACATCTCAAGGAACTAGAGAAACAAAAACAAACTAAACCCAAACATAGCAGAAGAAAGAACAAAGATCAGAACAAAACTAAATGAAATTAAAACAAACCAAAAAAAGATACAAAAGATGAATAAAACAAAAAGCTGGTTCTTTGAAAAGACCAACAAAATTGATAGACCATTAGCAAGACTAGTCAAGAAAGGAAGAGAGAAAATCCAAATAAGCTCGATTAGAAATAAAACTGGAAAGATTGCAATTGACACCACAGAAATACAAAAGATCATTCAAGGGTACTAAAAACACTTTTACACACATCAACTAGAAAATCCAGAGGAAATGGATAAATCCTGGAAACATACAACCTTCCTAGATGAAATTGGGGAGAAATAGAAACCCTGAACTGACCAATATCAAACAGCAAGATAGAATCAATAATTTGAAAATTGCCAACAACAAAAATGTCCAGGATCAGATGGATTCACACCTGAATTCTACAAGACACTCAAAGAAGAACTGGTACCAATCCTACTGAAACTATTCCAAAAGACAGAAAAAGAAGGTATCCTCCCTAAATCATTCTATGAAGCCAGTATCACCCTAATACCAAAACCAGGAAAGGATATAACAAATAAAGAAAACTATAGGCCAATATCCCTGATGAACATAGATGCAAAAATCCTCAGCAAAATACTAGCTAACTGAATCCAGCAGCACACATCAAAAAGATGATACATCATGATCAAGTAGGTTTCATCTCAGGGATGCAGGAATGGTTTAACACAAGCAAGTCAATAAATGTCATACATCACATAAACAGAATTATGAACAAAAATGGACACAGAAAAAGCATTTGATAAAATCCAGCATTGCTTTATGATTAAAAATAAAAAATTCTCAACAAAATAGGCATAGAAAGGACTTACCTCAAAGTAATAAAAGCTGTATATCAGCAGTCCCCAACCTTTTCGGCACTAGAGACTGGTTTTGTGGGAGACTGTTTTGTGAGGTGGGGTGGGAGTTTCAGGATGAAACTGTTCCACCTCAGATCACTGGGCATTAGTTAGATTCTCATAAGGATTGCGCAGCCTAGATCCCTCACATGCGCAGTTCACAATACGGTTCATGCTCCTATGAGAATCTAATGCTACCACTGATCTGACAGGAGGCAGAGCTCAGGTGGTAATGCCTGCTCACCAGCCACTCACCTCCTGCCGCGAGGCCCAGTTACTAACAGGCCATGGACCAGTACGGTCTGCAGCCTGGCGGTTGGGGACCCCTGCCATATATGACATACCCACAGCCAATATCATACCGAATGGGGAAATGTTTAAAGCATTCCCTGTAACAACTAGAACAAGACAAGGATACCCACTTTCACCACTTCTATTCGACATAGTACTGGAAATCCTAGACAGAGCAATCACAAGAGAAATAAATGAAGGGCATCCAAATTGGAAAAAAAAGAAAGTCAAACTGTCACTGTTCAGCAATGATATAACCATATACCTGGAAAGCCCTATAGACTCATCCAAAAAGCCCCTAGATCTGATAAATGAATTCAGTAGTCTCAGGTTACAAAATCAATGTACACAAATCAGTAGCACTGCTATACATCAACAATGACCAAGCTGAGAACTTAATCCCTTTTATAACAACTATAAAAAAAATAAAATACCTAGGAATATATTTAACCAAGGAGGTGAAAGACCTCTACAAGGAAAACTGCAAAACACTGCTGAAATAAATCATAGATTACACAAAAAAATGGAAACACATCCCATGCTCATGGATGGGTAGAATCAGTATTGTGAAAATGACTATACTGCCCAAAGCAATCTACAAATTCAATGCAATTCCCATCAAAATACCATCATCATTCTTCATAGAACTAGAAAAAACAATCCTAAAATATGTATGGAATCAAAAAAGAGCCCACATAGTCAAAGCAATTCTAAGCAAAAGTAATGAATCTGGAGGCATCACATTACCCAACTTCAAATTATACTACCAGGCTATAGGCTGGCTGTATTTACCAAAACAGCATGGTACTGGTATAAAAATAGGCATGTAGACCAATGGAACAGAATAGAGAACTCGGAAATAAAACCAAATACAACCAGTTGATCTTCAACATAGCATACAAAAACATAAATAGGGGAGAGGACACCCTATACAATAAATAGGGCAAGCCACATGTAGAAGAATGAAACTGGATACCCATCTTCATCTTATACAAAAATTAACTCAAGATAGACCAAAGATTTAAATCTAGGACCCGAAACCATAAAAATTCTAGAAGATAACGTTACAAACTCTTCTGGACATTGGCTTAGGCAAAAAATTCATGAAAAAGAACCCAAAAACAAAGGCAACAAAAACCAAAATGGATAAATGGGACCTACTGAAACTAAAAAGCTTCTGCAAAGCAAAAGACATCATCTCTGTCGCCAGACTGGAGTGCAGTGGTGTGATCTTGGCTCACTGCAATCTCCGCCTCCCGTGTTCAAGCCATTCTCCTGCCTCAGACTCCTGAGTAGCTGGGACTACAGGTGCCCGCCACCACGCCCAGCTAATTTTTTTTTGTATTTTTAGTAGAGATGGGGTTTCACCATGTTGGCCAGGATGGTCTCAATATCTTGACTTCATGATCCACCCACCTCAGCCTCCCAAAGTGGTAGGATTACAGACATGAGCCATTGTGCCTAGCTGCTTTTTTTCCTAATCTTTTTAAAATCAGGGAACTGAATACTTTCTTTTAAAAAAAAAGTTTTCTTCCACTCCTGTTTCTATTCACACACACAAACTAACAGAAGTATACACACACACCCCTTAATAAGCTACCTTGATCATGAAAAGGGGTCTTGACATGTGGTTTTTATCAATCATCTTCATATCCCAGCATCTAATATAATTTCAGATATATAACTGTCCAATTAACACATGCTGAGTTAAACTGAAAAAATATTTAACATACTATGATTTTGTGTTTTGCTTCCAAATGTCTATTAAGAATTGAAGCCATAAGCCTGGGCAACATGGTGAAATCCCATCTCTACAAAAAAATACAAAAATTAGCTGGGTGTGGTGCCATGCACCTGTAGTCCCAGGTACTCTGGAGGCTGAGGTGAGAGGATCACCTGAGCCCAGGGAGGCTGACGCTGCAGAGAACCGTGATTATGCCATTGCACTCCAGCCTGGGCAACAGAGTGAGACCCTGTCCTAAAAAAAAAAAAAAAAAAAAAAAAAAAAAACTGAAGCCATGCTGTGATTTGACAGAACCCCCAAGAAAATACGTCTATCATGTGCCACATGATGATGTTTCAGTGACGGACCCCAAATACAACAGTGGTCCTGTAAGATTATAATACCATATTTTTACTGTACCTTTTCTATACTTAGATATGTTTAGACACACAAATATTTACCAATGTGTTACAATTGTCTACAGCATTCAGTACAATAACCTGCTGTACAGGTTTGTAGCCGAGGAGCAATAGGCTATACCATATAGCCTGAATGTGTAGTAGTCTGTACCATCTAGGTTTGTGTAAGTGCACTCTGTGATATTTCCACAATGACAAAATCACCTAACAATACATTTCTTAGAAGATATCTTCATCATTATCGCTTCTCAGCCTTTTGGCTAAGATCAAGTGTAGAATATATCCTCATGATTAAGTGATACATGACTGTAACTCAGGAGCAATTAATTGCCTTATATATGTGAATAGTTAAGTATGAAAGTACACATTTGGATATGCCATTTTCTTCTCTTGTATTCTCAGGGAAATGTGTCTTGCTTTTGAGAAATAAACGTATTTACTTTTTATTTACATGACAATGGTTCTCATTCCCATTTTGCATTCACTTCTATTAAAAAGAGAAAAGGATGTCACTCTGCTTACTCCAGTTAGTCTGAATACCATGTTCAATATTTCATCTCTGCTGTACTCAGTGCCACAGTGCATGGAGCTAGCATTGTTGTTATGGTCAGATAAGCAGCTTAGCAAGATGAAACTAGAGTTTGAGGCAGATGTGGCCTGAGTTCCTCTTCCTCCAGCTTCTGATGATCTCATACTATGCCACACAGTGTGCTTCTCCTGTGCCAGCCTGTGCTGAGATGGGTATGTCTTTGAATCAAGGTTCTTTCAATTATTTTAAAGTATTCTTAATCTCTTCATGTGCAATGCAATCAATCAAAGTGCAATTTAAGAATCATCTTTACCAACCAATTTCAATAGAAAATAATTTTTCTCCAATATCCCCTGAAATACTGGCTGCCTGCCTTATGTGTTACCCAGGCAATGGATTTTCTCTATAAGCTGAGTATTCTGTGTCTGCCTTCTTTGCATTGCTGCTGTGACCTGGAGGTGGGAGAGAAAAATGGGAGAAGAATGCAAGGAAGGAGAGTCATGTTCTGATTGGAATCTGAGCTTAAACAGTTTTTCCTTTTGTGCAAATTTTGTGTCGTATGTCCCACCATCAGACATTCTTCTGAGTCCAGTTACTCAAGAGTAACCACCATCCAACCCATTCTTGCCTGCCCAGTATCAAACAGGCAATACAATGCAGGCACAATATGAGGAAATCATGCCATGTCACTGGCCCACTGATCTTGCAAGGTATAGAAATAAAATTGCTTTAATAACTTCTATTACCATAATATATTATGGTAATAATATATTAAATTAAACATATTATATTGAATAATATAACAATATATTAAATTTAACATATTATATTTAATAATATAACAATATATTAAATATAACATATATTTGATATATTATGTTATGTATTTTTATTGAATATTAAATATTATAGCCATAATATTTAACAACAGATAAGTTAACAGGTGCCACCATTCAGAGCAGACATGTGGAGTAATTAACTGGTACAATTAACTGGTACTTATTGACTAAATGTTACTTATTGGAAATAGCTGGGTTTTGGAAAAATTTTTTCCATTATTTTCTCAGATACTTGTGGCATAACTAAAATTTGTCCTTGGAACACCTGTGTGGACAAAAATATTGAGAGTGAGTCTGCTCCAAGGTAGGAAGCAGAGCCCTACAGGGCACATAAGAAAAACAGCATAAAGCCACCACCTTGTCAGCATTCGTAACCCACCTGCCTGTACTACACCCTTATTGCTATTCTCAGCCAATCCCATGGGGCAGTCACTCTGCCTCAGGAATGCCAGTGAGCAGGAGTGGGCAATTTGACATGTATCTTCCAGATGATTGCCAAATCAGAGCCCTGACATAAGCCTTCTGTTTTCACCCTTCCATCCCTGACGGGCCAGCCCTGTGGCCTTCCTTGCTCAGAGAAATTTTATTTTCTGAAAGAAAAGAAATGCTAGGCCTTTCTTATGGAAGAAGTAAGGGATCATGGGGTAAGCAACTGACTGAAAAAAAAGAGGTTAAGGACTACTTCCCTGGGGGCACGAGATTCAAGTATGGAAGGGCTCAAGGTCATCCGAAAGTAACTTTGCCTGCGAGTGTTCAAAATGGGTCCTGATGTGCCTTTGCCTGCGAGTATTCACAAAGGGTCCTAATATAGAAGGGGTTCCTGGTTTGCTTTTCCAAAGTATTCTAGTAAATCAAACCATGAGTGTGAATCTGTTACAGGTAGTTAGGCATGAGCAGGCAGGAGAGGGCTCTTCCCCCTACCCACTAGAAATGCAGGATGATGGTTTGGCAATCATCACATTGCCTCTCTAAAAATGATAATTCGGCAGCCAGGGAGAGACAAGCTCTTGATGGTCCACACCTGTTAACACTAAAAGTGTTAACTGAATGCAGACCCCAGGGAGAAGCAGCTTCTTGGGCATGCGTGTTAAGAGACAAAATGGCGAAGGATGACGTTCCAGGGGCAGAGGCCACTTGAAAAAGCCTCAGATGGGCATGCGTGTAACTCCCAAAACAGGCTGTTCGTGCTCAATTGCAAAGGGTAGGGAAAGCACTGCCCAGGCAAGCCCACCCTAAGGAAAGAATCATGGGAAAGAGGGAACCTATAAAGTCATAGGATCAAGGTTAAAGGCCTTTTGTTTTTTTGTTTTTTTGTTTTTTTTGGCTGCCTTCTTTTTCTCTCTTTGACTTTCAGGAGCCCACTTGGATCTCTTCCAAGGGATCTTTCTTTCTTCTCTTATTAAGGCAGGTGAGGATGTCATTTGATATGAGCTTTTCATTCATTTGTTAATTTCACAAATATAGAGCTCCTCTCCACACAAGATAGCATGGTGAGATGAGTAAAACAGAGTCCTTGACTTAAAGATACATACAAATCCCCATACCTTTTCGTTCACATTCTCAGGATAATTGCTTAGTTTCCTCAATGTGAGTGACTAATTACAGAAAGGGACATGAGGCCAGGCACCATGGCTCACACCTATAATCCCAGCACTTTGGGAGGCCAAGGTGGGTGGATCACCTAAGGTCAGGAGTTCGAGACCAGACTGGGCAACATGGTGAAACCCGGCTCTACTAAAAATACAATAGCCAGGTGAGGTGGTGGGCACCTGTAATCCTAGCTACTTGGGAGGCTGAGGCACTAGAATTGTTTAAACCCAGGTGGCAGGGGTTGTGGTGAGCTGAGATCACGCCACTGCCCTCCAGCCTGGGCAACAAAGTGAAACTCCATCTCAGAGAAAAAAAAAAGGAAAGAAAACAACATAATAATCTGACATTTTCTGTTCACAGAGAATCATGGGAACCATTATAACAAAGAAGTCAAGAGTGTTGGTGTGGAGTGGACCTTGGTTTGAATACTCAGCTCTGCCACTTACTAGCTGTAGGCTCATATGCAAGTTACTATCCTCATCTGTTAAAAAGGAATAATATCTAATGTTATATAAAATGTAAAAGTTATTTCACACAATGCCATTCACATAGTAAATGTTCAATAAAAGCAAAAACCTCAGGACATATATAAGTGGCAATGTGAAATTAATACAGCAGAAGCTCAGTTCACACAGATGTTAATCCTTAAACAAGCCTTGCATTGTATGAGTATCCCACAAAAGGAGTAAGGGAAGAAGATCTTACATCACTGGAGTGAGTGACTACCATGGACCAGCCACCGTTACTCACTTTACTTCATTTAACCCGCACAATAGCCTCATGAGGTAGATATCATCACCATTTTGCAGATGAGAAAGCTGAAGCTAAGCAAAGTTGACCTGACCAAAATCACATAGCAATTAAGATAGGAGTCCAGCTTCGTCTCATTCCAATATGAGTGCGTTTTCCTCTTTTCCATTGGCTCTCAAAGTTTGGTCTTAAAGGAGCTGTATCAGCATCACCTGGGAACTTATTAGAACTGCACCTTCTCAGCCCTACCCCAAACCCACTGGGTCAGAAACTCTGGGGTTGGGGCCTAGCCATCTGTGTTTCACACTCAGACTGACACACGATCATTTCTGATAACCACTGCTCTATGACATGCGTTTCCTCTTCAGTTAGGATCCGACTCCTTATTTTGTATTTAACAAGGAGTATGAAACAAAGCCCGGGCTCTGAATTTGTATTCCTCAGCAATAATGTGTCAAGTAATCTTAAACAAGCAAACCCCTGGCCCATTCCAGCCCATAGTGCATGTGCGGAAGAAAAGTAGAAATTAATATTGGGGCCATTTTGCATATTCCTAAACCCGTAAGCTAGTCTCTTTGGAGAACGTTAAAGCTTTGCTATTGTCACAACTAGTGGTGTCACTTCCCACCATTCCTGTTAGTCTTGGGCAACATGATATATTTATTAAGCTCCTACTATGTGCCACTGGGAGAAGAGTGAAGAACAAAATCAGCAAAGCCTCCCCTCAGGGAGCATATGATCCGATCTTTCCCAGCAGTGGACTCTTGTTGGTCATTCCTAGAATCCCAAGACCCTTCTCTTTTATCGTTCCCCCCACCAAACCTATCTACATTTAGAATGGGAATAACTATAACTTCTAGGCAAGTAACTGTAACTCCTAACTGAGATCATTTACTCAAACTCCCCTGGATCACACATAGCCTGTCCACCCAATGTAGTATAGCTGACTCCTCTGGTCTGAATGTGCCCCCTCAAAATTCACATATTGAAACCCTGACCCCCAAGTCGACAGTAATTAGGAGGTGAGGATTTGGGGAGGTGACTGTGACTCATGCCCTTATAAAAGACGCCCCAGAGAGACCCCTCACCCCTTCCACCGTGTGAGCACACAGCAAAAACTACCTTGTATGAACCAGAAAGTAAGTCCTCACTAGACAATGAATCTGCCAGCACCTTGATCTTCCACTCCCCAGCCTCCAGAACTGTGGGAAACAAGTTTATAAACCACCCAGTTTATGATACGTTGTTATAGCAGCCTGAACAGACTAAGACACTGACCAAATGATAAGGATCAGAGAAAAGCCAATCAAGCTTGGAGAAACCATTTTCCAAGCACCCACTGTACCAGCAGCCCAAGAATCATTCAGAATTGTCCTGGCCATTACGCTGTGTGCCCATGGATCTCAGCATGAGTCTGAAGAATCAGCTCTGCCAAGCCAGGACCCAGACCCTCCAGCATTTTAGTCCAATGTTCTCTGCACTCCCCGGGTGATGGTGTGATGCTGGAGTTACCACAAGTCATCAGCCTCACTAGCCAAAGGGCAAATACCCTGAATTTGCTCTTTATTGACTATATGAGAACCACATTGCTTCACACTGAAAACAAGTACTATTTGAAGTATAAAAGGACTCCTAATCTATATTCCACCTGCCGCTAGCTCTGTCTTTGAAAGCCATTGCCTTCACTGAATGATTCCAGCTGGTGCTCTCCTCTGTGCTGGCTTTTATGGGCTATAAGGATGGATACACAAGGTGTAGGTCAGTTTTTTAGGGAATGTAGAAGCCTTGCCCTCTCAACTCAACACATGCTTCTCTTTTCTTCTTCCCTCTATCCTGGAATTAATGGGGATAAATGTTGCTAAAGCATCTAGTTAAATGTTCTTAGATAATTCTGGTCTGTACACTGATTGACCAGAAAACAGAAATGACTTCATCTGAAAGAAAACTAATATATGTGGGAAAGAGGAGTGATCGGCTGTAATATTTATGTTTTCCTGTCTCTTGTGTGAATTCACAGGCAACTTCCAGAATAAAATCCTCACATGTTTTTTCCATCAATTGAAGAATTTGAATCTCTCTTATTGGCAGAGTTTTTCCTTCTTTAAATTTCCCTCCCACCTCACAATGTGCCTGCTACAAGTTTGCGTCATAAATCCCAGTATAAAATTCCCTGTTGCTTAACTTGCCCATAAATGTGGAGCATGTAGTCATGTTATATGATTCCTGGCCTGAACATAAATTTCCTGTAGTCTAGAGGTGCCTTAAGAAGGAGCTAATATGTTCACCTGCTTGTTTTCCAGGCAATAAACCCACAACAGGTGAAATGGGGAGGAAATTTAAATAAGATCAAAAGGTAGGTTCAAAAGAATGGACAAAGCCATCTGGAATGCCTCAGTGCTGCCAATCTCAAATATAAGACCCGGTGGAATTTTAAGTAGAATTTCTAGTTTTCCCTTCTTTTCGACCAACTAAATGTCAAAAAACAAGAGAAAACTAGAAATCCCACTTAAAATTCCACTGGGAATTTAAGGAGGATGCTCATTTTTTTCCAGAGGTTGGGTAAGATAAGAGCAAGTAAAAAGTACTGATTTCTTCTAAGTTCATTGTCAACAACCTCTTTCTCCTCTTCATCCCCCTGGCCTCCACTCTTGTTGCTTGAATATGTGTTTAGCTTCCTCTAGCATTTTACCTTGCAGAATGAGCTTGGGGCATTTGGAAGTTATTTGCTGAGTTATACGGGGAGATTTTTACTTTGGATTTCAAATTACTCTGCAGATGACAACCCTGTATTGCTGAAAAGAATTTTCTGAACAAGAAATAACTGTTCCACTATGCAGCCATAAAAATTAAAAATTAAAAAGTTAAAAAGAAATAACTATTCCAGTAGGAGTGTAAATTGATACAGCTTTTAATATAATTTGGTAATATGTATCAAAATCCTTGAAATTATGACCATTACTTGACCCAGTAATTCCACTTATATGAATTCATCCTTAAAAATTATTGTACAAAGACAAGAACAGATATGAACAAGGATATTCATTGCAGCATTGTTTAGTACAGGAGAAGTTTGAAACAACCTAAATGTCTAGAAATAAATGATTGGTTAAATAAATTCTGCTATATCCATAATGAGAACTATTATGCAGTCATTAAAATGATGACAGAGATTACAGGTTTGGATAAGGATGAATGTCTATCTTATGGTAGCCATTTATGCCTCGTCTTCCACTATTGGAATGCTAAGCATGTGGGAGTTATTTATATCCTACTGCTCAAGTTCATCACCAAGGTCTGATTGCAAAAATTCAAAAATTTGCAACCTCAGGCATAAACGGGTTAATAAGTGAAAAAAGCAAGCTACTAAACAAGTTGTATAGCTATTATCTCTCTAAAAATTATATATATATATGCACATAAGATTTATGAAATGTCTCCTATGAAATTCTTTTTAACAGACCACACACTGAAGTTCAATAAGTACACATTAAGAATTTGTCATGCTAAAATACGATTATGTTTTGTCCTACAATTATAGTGAAGTAAAATCCACAAGTATTTCCCATTAAGATTTGAGCCTTCAAAGCCTCTCCCATGTTGGGCTCATTATGCTCATGCTATTTTTGGGTCAACATGACATGCCTCCCTCTTCCATTTTGAATGTTTTTCATTGAAAAAAAAAAAACAGGTTTTATTTGTGGCAGTTTTTAGGAACTCTGACATAAATAAGAACACACACATCCAGGACAGCTATTTACACACAGTGTCAGAAAATATTTCATTGTAGTGGCTTCTCTTGAATAGAGGCCAAAGCCTGAGTTGGAATTGGCTAAAAAGAAAAAAAAAGCCTTACAAGTAAGTTTCTCTAAAACAGATTTAGTACACATTTCTGTGCAAGAGCTTTAAACACATTTCCATTCTAATTAAAAATATAATTGGCAACATACATCTTTAAGCTATGAATATTTTGGTAGAGGAAATTCAAAGGCCAGCAATTATATACATCTCTAAAAAGCTTAATTATTCACTAAAGGAGAAAAACAAGTTTTTAAACAAACAAAAAGAGCTGTAATATTAACTGTTGACATTTAATTCTCCAACTTTGGTGACTTACCATTATAAATGATGCTGTAAGCTGAAATCAAAGACAAAACTCCTACTCTAGCCACTAGTGTAACCCTCAACTCTGGCTGCCCCACCTTGTCCAGTGACCACTCACTAGTGATTCTGACTTTATATGTCTGGAGTGGAACCCACACATCAGGATTTTTTCAAAGCTTCCTAGGGGCTCTAATACATAACCATAATTTAGAAGTCCTGTACCTTTATAACTGATAACCCTTGATTAGCAATTACTCCAACACCCAGAATGAATGAAGTGCTACAAGATTTAAATAGTCTTAAAACATCACTTAATCCAACCCTTATTTTGCAGTGGAAGACACTCAGGTCTGGCAACTTCCTTTATTATTTTCTTATTTTAGCGATAAAAAGAGAGGGTGAAACCTAGTGTCTCCCAGAGGATTGTCTTCATCCCCTCTCACATTTACTCAATTCTCAACCATTTTTTCCCCACATAGGCACAAAATTCTATAGCCACCATCTCTCTATTCAGTGAGTGGGATTTTAAATTCTCAATACAGACTAGGACAAAAGCCACTTTGCTGAATACTTTTGCTGCACCCAGCATTAGCTCACATCATCACAACTCTGTAAGATGGGTACTATCCTATCTTCATTTTATTGATAAGGAAACTGATATTCAAAGGACTTAAATATTTTGCCTAATGTCAGACACCTGGAAATGGTAGAACTGAGATAGGAACCTAGATCTACTCAACTTCAAGTCATCAGAAAAGAGAATGATAGAGGAGCTCCACCTGGGATAAACCCACAACCCAAAGTCCTGGTTATCATTAACTTAGAGATGAGATCTCACAAGAACCTATTCATATTGTTTCCATTTCCTTGTGTACTGCCAAGACAGCAGGAAGCAGAAGTATAGCAATTGAATGGGAAAATGAGAAAAGTAAAGCTCTTGATACCAAGGGTTAAGGCTTTGTTGAGGAAATGCCACAAGTAATCTTCATGGGCCTTTACCTGCAAGGCAGAAGTGCAGTCAGAAGGGCTCGGCTTTCACAGGATGCACCTTTGCCATCATCCCCGGCAGGCCACCCAAGCAGATCCTATGGCTGATTCCCTTTGAAATGTTCTTCAGGTCTCATGTTATCCATTGCGCATGCTCCTCAATCTACATGGCACTCCCTTTCCCTCCTCCTTCACCTGGCTAACTCCTGCTCATCTTTCAACATCAGCTCAGTCTTCCAGGGTCCCCTGATCTCTGAAGACCAGATCCCATAGTCCTCTTTTGTGCACCCATAACAGCCAATGACACTGCCATCAAACCTTGCTAGGTTGACTTGTCTATTTACTTTTCTGCCTGCTACCAAAATGCCAGTTCCTTTCCGTCAGACCTGCATATCCCACATACACAGGCCTCAGCTCATTCCCTAGCACGGAACAGGCACTCAAAAAACCGATGTGGGAATAATACACAAATAAACAATAAATGTGTAGTCATTCCAGATAGGTGGATAGAATAAAGCATGGCAATGCATTTGGAACAGAGAAAATGTTATGCTTTTCTTTATAATTATAATTTTAAAAATTATTTCCTTTATAATTCACAGTTGGCATTACCACCTCTCTTAGGAAGGGAAGTATTTCGTTCTGAAAAAGTATTTTACCCAAACTGGAGTGCTCAGTGAGATGCTCCCCTCTCTCCCTACCTCACCCCTCTCCCCTGGTTAGGTCCTATAGAGGGGCTAGGACCAAAGCTCCAGAAATAAGAATGAAGTTATTCTGCATCAAAAAGGAATGTACTTTGAAGTTTCATGGGCAATCCAGGAGGAAGGAGTGTGCAGACGAGGAAGAAGTCAGTGAGATGCTGAAAGCCTACATATTCTGCAATGTGGTTAACTCCTATTGACACTACAGTTCAAAAAAAAGAAAAAACTAAACTCATGAATTACACATGAATTTTTTTGTTTATTTTTGTGGGCTTTTTTTTAGATTTATTGAGGTATAATTAACAATAAAACTTGTTACAATTAACCTTCAAGTCATACAATATGATGTTTTGATATATGTGCACATTATGTAATGATGACCACCATCAAACTAATTAACATATCCATCACCTCACATACATTTCTGTTGTGGGGAGATTACTTAAGGCCAACTCTCCTTGGTAACTTCAAGTATACGATACATTATTATTAACTATAGTCACTGTGCTGTACATTAGATCCTGGAACTTATTCATCTTAGAACTGCACGTTTGTATCCTTTGACCCACATGTCCCCATTTCTCCCACCCCACCCCACCCTGCCCCCAGTAACCACCATTCTACTCTCTATTTTTGTGCTAAACCCATGAATTCTTAAGTAAGTTGTTTTAACATGTTGTAGATTCAAAGTGGCAGCCAAGTTTCACACTGTAGTTGATGTGGAGCACGATGGAAACAGCCCATTAGGACAAAAGAGCAAAAAATACTGATTTCATCAGTTTCCCAGGCTTCCTCTAATGGCCTCCTCTGCAAAGCAGGACACTAGGAAAACTGCTAACCTGTTGAACGGACAACAGCACTCAGAAGGTGATGGAAGCAATAAAGGAAACTGCTGAATGAGCCAGCAAATGAGGAGATGTGGCTGCAGCTAACTGCATAAGTCAGAATATTAGCTTAGAGCTTATTCGATGGGGCAAATGCAGTCAGACCTGGCAACTGGAGCTGCTTCAATATAATGGAATGTTCAGGGCACAGCCCAGCACTCAGAACAAGGGCTTCATCTCCTAAGTCACCGGGACATGGAGAATGGCCAAGGCTGCCACATGGAACACACAATCTAAGGCATCCCCCCACGGGTGACCATAAATGCCCCCTGGTTGGGGGTAAGGAAAGAAAGTGTAGGACAGCTCAAACACATCCCACCATGCAGGATGGACTCAGGACTGAGGTAGGGACCCAGACTTAGGAAAAACAGAATGACAGAGGATGTTAGAAGGTGAACTATGTCAGGAATAGTCGAAGGAACTGGGAAGGCTTGGCCAGAGAAGACAAGATCTGGGCATGAGAAGGGTGAGTGGCTTAAGGGGAGAGATAGAAACTCTTTTCCTATTTTTGAAAAGTTGCCCCATAAGGGCAAAATGAAATGTGATCTATGTGGCACTAGAGGGCAGAGCCAAGACTAATGAATGAAAAGTTTTAAGGAAGCAAGATGGGATTTAGATGAGGAAGTCGCCTCTAGCATCATGGTTTTCAGTGGTGACAATCCTGCCCCATAAGGAGCATTTTGGAGATTTATACAGGCTTTTGTAACTTCTAATATAGTCATACTAGAGCATTTACATGTTAAAATACAAACATTTATTACAAGTTTCTTTCCTGTTCCTTCTCCTTTGTATTACAGTTAAGGCAAAATATTTACTTTTAAAAGATTATATGTGTGAGTTACATTATGTATAGATTTCATTTTGGAGTAGAAAAGAAGCTGTTACCAAATATACACTATGAAAATGGGGCCAAAAATACATTATGAAATTGACTTTGCCTGCAATGGGACCCGCTGCTCTGGCAGAAAAGTGACAAACCAAAGGATCTTGGCCAAATCTGCCTATAAGCATTTTTGTGGGGTATGTTCTGTATTCTTCAAAATTTTGAATTAGTTGCTGACATTTAAATGCTGGGAGATATGTACACATCCAGCAAGTAGGCTGCACTGCTGCTTGGCAAAAACTCACCCTGGAAAAGGTAAGACAGCTCCCTTTGGAAAGGGGATCCATGTCTCTGGCCACCCTCCTGCACCCAGGCTCGCTTCACCCACTTACACCATTGGCCTTGGCCTTTGGATCAGATTGTGGCTCCTGCTCTCCAACTCAAGCTCTCAGTAAATCAACACAGTACGCATTGGGGCTGGCATTCCTCCCTGGCAGAGACCCTATATGGGAGAGTGAGGGAAGACTGACTCATCTGCCTGGAAAGAGATCTCAACTTTTCAAGGTTGTGGCTGTTTGGGGGAATCTCATAAAGCCTATTCATGCTTCCCCAGAGAAGTACACAGCCACACAAAAGGTTGCTTATAATTTCAATAGATATTGGACCCCTTATATCTTATTCTGCTTAAAATTAAGATTCCAGCTCTAATATGCTGTGGAGCCCAGCTGGCTAACCAAATCATACTTCCCATCCCAACTCTAATTTGGGGGATTTTTTTCTATGTGTAATCAGATAATTTTTGATAGACTCCCCATAGGGATAACGACATTTAGTCTGCTACACCTGTGGACAGTCAGGCAGCTACTGAATGCTAGTGAAATAACGGTTCTTTGAGTCAAGCAAGTAAGTAACACCTAAAATCTGCTATTCTTGGAAGCTGCCTGCTTCCCAGAGGTCTCCAGCCCAACCACAACCGATAAATAAAATCAATTCTAAGATCAGATGCCCTCCCTCTCCAGTGACTGCTTAGGCCTGTAATTAAACTACGAAGACAGAGATATCAACTATGTTAGACAGCGAGCTTTAAAAAATGAAATGTGGCATCATTTATTTTCTGGAGAACAAATGCCTTGAAGCTAGTGCCTGGTCATATTAATATTTCATTTTTATGTTTCCCTTGCCAGTGATCCCCCAGCCCTTTCCTGCTTTGCAGCATTCTCAGACTTCCTCAGAAGTCATGCATTTAAAAACATGTTTAAACACACATTCTTATAAAAACCTATTTCTCCTTGGTAAGAGGGGAGGGTTAAAAATACCCAGCATCCTCCCAAAAAATTACCAAGAAGCCTTTAATTTGGCACATGTCCTTCCTGTGATTTAAACTCATCAAACCACAGCCGTCCCTGGATAAAATTAGAATCAGACATAACAAAAACAAGATATATAGAAGACTACTGGGAACAATCTTTAGAGATGTTAAAAATAATAACAAATATAGAGAGAAACTGTGCTTTAAAATCACACAATTCTAGATATATCCAGATCAATATATTAACGCAAATACTGCGAAAAGTTATACCATAAAAGTTGAATAATATTTTCATAAAACAAGGCAGTGTTTTCACAAGGCACCTTTCATCAAGCAATATTACAACTTCAGAAAGCACTGGATAGAGAAAGGGAAATATTCCCCAAATCCAATAAAGCTCAGTTGCACCATTTAAAATAACTGCCAAGAAATGGGACATTCTGGGACAGAATTTTGGATCAAACTACTATGTTATTATATCATTGTTTAGAAATGGAAACTCAATTATGTTACAGAATGGCCTTTGTGAATTACTAAACGACTTTGAAATGATAGATGAAAACTTTCTTCTCAGATCCACTCTCACTGGGATAAGAGTGATTTCTCTACTTGGCATGCAATACATGTCCTTCAGAGCAAATTGTTCTGGCCAGAAATGCTCATGCATTATGACAAGGAGCAGAATAACAGCTTTTACTTAAAGCTTTGCACCATAGCGAGTTTTACACAACGATAGAAATTCCCAGAAATGGGTCTCAGGGAGACTGTTTTGTTGCTGTCATTGTTGACTTAAATTGCATACTCTTTGTGTTTTCCAAAAGCCAAACCCTTATTCACCTGTAAATATGCTAGAAATTTTGGGGCAATGTATCAATGAAATAATGCCCCAACTCCCAGCTGATACTAACTAGTGTATGTGCTAAAACAATACAATGAAAAGAAACTCTTGGACTTGAGCAAATTAAGTGGAAAAAGATATGGAAAGGTTCAAGACCAGTCAATAAAGTAAATAAACTATTTCTATCCACCAGTCAGGTTTTGAAAGAGCTCATATAGATAAGTTTTACTACCCTTCTGGCATTAAGAAATTGAAAGCTCCTTCTGGTCTTATGGATTTCTTTTTTTTTTTTTTTTTTTTTTTTTTTTGAGACAGAGTCTTGCTCTGTCACCCAGGCTAGAGTGCAGTGGTATGATTTAGCTCACTGTAACCTCTGCCTCCCGGGTTCAAGCAATTCTCCTGCCTCAGCCTCCCAAGTAGCTGGGATTACAAGCACCCACCACCATGCCCGGTTAATTTTTGTATTTTTAGTAGAGATGGGGTTTCGCCGTGTTGGCCAGGCTGGTCTTGAACTCCTGATCTCCGGTGATCCACCCACCTCAGCCTCCCAAAGTGCTAGGATTACATGAGCCACCGCACCCAGCCTGGATTTATTTTTAATAGAGTTGTTAATATAACCAAGATCAGATCCCATCTGAGTACATTGCCTCCAAGATCCAGATCTTCTGCTTCAGGATCACCATGTGAGTGTCTGCAGCAAAACCTCCAGCCAAGTGGAAATCACACGGCACCCACCACATAAACCCTGCATGTTCCTGTGCAGGCCTATCCCTTAGGTAGGACAAGTTAGGCAGAGGCTCTGGACCCTACATTTAAGGGGCAAGGGTTGGGAAAGCCTTAGGGTACTGCACCATATTCTCTTTTCTGAATACCACTAACTTCTCTCTCAAATTTTCTGTCCCAAGTGGGCTTTGAATAATGAGAATAGAGTGGACTCATTCCAAGTGAGACTTTCTAGTGTGGGTCCCATACAGGTTTTATTACCCCAGTCCCAGACCCCATGCCCCTGCTTTAAGGTATGGCCCTGCTTTAGGTACATTTCAGTAGTGGCCTTTCCCAGAGTCCTGAGAACTCAGAAGGAGGTTGCGGCAGGCCCTGCAGTACCAGGTCTCTTTCCTTCTCCAGAGATGGAGTCTTGCAGGTCTTCAACAGGGAAGGAAACTCCAGAAAGGCACAGGATATAGATCAATATTTTGTCTCTCAGATGAGGCCATTTTAATATGTCATCAGAAACTGTTTCTGAACACATTTTCTAAATCTAACATCAAACAAATTAATGCCTCAAGCCACATTTTGGGTTTGTTATTACTTGGCTTTATTTTATTGAGGGAGTCAATCTTGTCTTTCAATAGAATTTGCTGGTTCCAACAATTAGTGACATAAATCCAGGAATGAGAGTGCCAGAGAAAAAAACTAGTCTGTGCCTTATTCCTCCTCCCTTAGCTCTGGGATCATTGAGGTTGTGTTTCTATAATGCAGGAAGCTGCCTTTGATTTTTCTTTTAGAAACTATGCAAAATAAAAAAATTTGAGGGCCGGTGTAACTTCTTGAGAAGGACAAGAAAAAGAGCCAGAATCCCAGTGGTGCCAGAAAGACTTGGGGGCACATAAACCTCAAGGTCAGTCCTGCCTAGGAGCTGAAAGAAATCATAATAAGATTTTGTCTCTTTTCATCTTCAAAGTCCTTCATAAGCTCTAAATCGTGTATCCCACCACACTACTGTAATCATGCGA
This sequence comes from Homo sapiens, assembly GCF_000001405.40. Lineage (NCBI taxonomy): Eukaryota > Metazoa > Chordata > Mammalia > Primates > Hominidae > Homo > Homo sapiens. Next base: position 64,909,304 of record NC_000012.12, on the reverse strand, counting down.
TTTGGCAGAAGCAGGAGACCTTTTATCTCTGGAGCTCAAAGCACTCTATAAATGCCAATTAATCCTTACAACTGCCCTGGGAGGTGATGGAATATCGGCGGACCTACTTTGTACATAGAGAAGTTACGTGATTTGGTCCAACCCACACAGCAAATTGGCAGCAGAAATAAGTTGAGAACTTGATCTGGAGGTTCTATCCCTGGGACATCTAAGGCTGAAAGCCAAGTCTGTATTTAAAGCATCTACATGGTAGCTGGCACATAGTAGATGCTTAGGTAATAATTTTTGAATGAATGAATAAGTTGGATATTCATATTCCCAACTGCCTGATGAATGTGCCTGAGCTGTGCTAACATCCCCAACTCAGGTTCAAATTTCTTATCCAAATTGGCTTTGACTCTTGGGTTTCCATTCATTCATCCTCCAACCAGAACACCTACTATAGCCAAAGCCCTCTCCTAAGCCCAGTAGATAGAGTGGTGAATAACACAGGCAGCAGCCGTCTCTCAAGGAATTTGCATCCTGAGAAAACAAGGTAGACAATAACGAAGAATACAAGTCATGTTAGATAAGAAGAGTGGAGTGATGTGACAGTACATAAAAGCCAATCGCTGGAGACCAAGGGGTCATCCAGTTGCCACTGCAGGTGTAGGGCAAGTGCCAGGGCCCAGGGCACTAAGAATGTTTTTAGTATTCTGGCAACTTAAGGAAAGAAATTCTCATTTGCTTCTATTCCCCTACAATTGACAGCAAGACCTTTAGGTTAAAAAAGGCCTAATGATTTGTCTTCAGAAATAATGAGAGGCAAACTGGTGATATTGTGTTGTAAGGAGTTCAGAGATGGAATAGGTGATGGCGGCTTCTGAGCTACAGGCCAGGGTCAAGACTGGTCCCCAGAGCCCTTCTGCACCTGAGCATTGCCCCAAGGCATAATATTAAAGTCCCATGCATCCCAACAGAGACTGCTTACCTCTTCTATTTGCCAATCTGTCCATTCATTCACTTTATATTTATTGAGTATCTACTATGCGTCAAGCTCCAAGTGCATCTCTGCCCTCAATGGCCCCACCACAAGCCAGGCCAACAATGATCCATCTCGATATGCTTTTCTTTGACATACAGCATTTTTTTTTTTAGTTATAAGATGATTTGTGGCCCAGTAGTAATGAAAAAGGGGTCATATAGAGATAAATTATCAGTAGGTTTTTTTTGTTTGTTTTTTATTCCTGTCATGGCAAATTTGTAGTTTTAAAAGTGAACTACTCAGCACCAATGGTAGTTTTTCCTTTTTTTACAAAAAAAAAACTAATAGAATTTATTTTTATAGAAGGATTTTTAGGTTTATAGAAAAATTGATCAGAAAGTCCAGAGTGTTCCCACTCCCTCCGTTTCCCTATCTCTCTACTCTGAGTCAATCCTGGAAATGTGCTTGTCTGCTTCCATAAAGGAGCTAATAAGATCACTAAGCACATTAACCTCATGCTTTTCAAATCCCTCTAATTTTACAAAAACAATTGTTAGAAGAACTCAGGTTACAGACAAAGCTCCTGCCTTTCTGACACAGAATTCAGAGCCAGCTGTGAACACATGAAATTCTGTTCAGGCTTATTGGACCTAAGGTGGCATTATTACAAGGAGCAAACTCCAATATCTCTCCTGGGCTCACTTTTCCCCTATCCTGAATTTAATTTCGTGGGGTTGAGGAAGAGGTGGAGGAGATAGCCCTCCAAGTTGGTCCTCCTGGCAATAGTAGCAGCAATACCTAGATGTCTGCAGTGCTAGTGGACTTGACTGTGAAAATGTTTCTATTTTTTCAAGGTACACATTACCCCAAAGCCCATGAGCCTGCTTTGAGGAAGCAGTTCTGTAAAGATGGATTCTTCAGTCACGTGTTCCATATCTTCTACTTGCTTCTCCAAGTCACTGTAGTTTCCTCTCTGAACATAACTAAGTGGGCTTAAATTCCATCAAATCTGTCCTGCATCGTAACTGAAATTTAGCCTAGGTCAACAAAAATTTTCCTCACAACTGTTCACAGTTCTCTTTTCATTCTATCATAGAATTAACAATGCAGAGTAAGCCCAAAGATAGAGAGTGAAGGAGAAAAGGAGAATTTAAAGCTGAGCTGATCCTCAAATTAAAGACTTGTTCTCCCTAAGTGAGGGTTCTCAGAATAGAATTCCCCTGAGCCTATCTAAGAATATGGCGGTTGGCTCCGAAACTCCTAAGAAAATCAGAAACCACCCAGCACCTCAGGAATGCATTCATAGATCAACTGGAAATGCAGGAAGGGTCCTTTCTTAGAAATCATTTGATCTAGACTCCTGAAGATTTTGTCAATGAAGAAATTGTGGCCCAAAACAGTGAAGAGGCCAGGCAGGCCTGCATCATAGAGTCAGGAGAAAACAGAAACTCAATGTCCTGATTCTTCTTACTTTTCACTATACACAGATGTTGCTCCCTGCACACATGCATACATACTTAAAATCTACTTTCTACAGAGTTTAAGTTCACTTTAATCAGCTACTGACTGAAAATGAACAGGGATGCTTTGGTCAACCAAAGATATGTTCATGTCCAAAACCCCAGAAATAAGCTGGAAAAAAGTAATTGGCATTGCTGGTCCCTGGAAACTGTGTGGCCCTTTCTCCCTGACACTTCCATGCCTGCAAGCAAAATTCTCTGTCACATACATGTGCAATTATCTCTGTTTCCCAGAGATCCTGAGGGCAGCCAGCTAAGGCTAAAAGGCCTCAATGACAGAGAAACTAAAGTTTTCTTCTCTCTATACTCTCTGGGCTGAAAGCTGGGCCTGCCCACTCTGTTCTATCCACTGCCGGTTGTAAATTATGAAATTGTGCTACAATTGATTGGGTGCCAGGTCCTGGACTAGGTGATTTTCTTTTGTCCTCACAATTACCCCTATCTGTCCAATGTGAAAACTGAGACTCAATTAGGTGAACCCACTGGTCTCCCTCCAAAACCTGCTGCTGCCTTCCTGGCCATGTTCTGGTCAACCAGGAGTTGGCTCTTCTCTGTTCTAAAAGTGGAGTGGCAGCTGTGAGGACCCCAAAGAAGACCAATTCCAGAAGCCAAGCCAAACATACTGGTGTGCTTTCTGCCCCCAGGAGTTGGAGGAGCTATATCTAAGCTCTTGGACTGAAGACTCACATTATTGAACATCAGGATGGCCAGGCACAGCCAGAATATTACAACTGGGTGCCCCAAATCTACAAAACTTTTCCTCCAAGTCCCAACATTCTATATTTTATGCAATCAATTTCCCTCCTTCTTATGACAGTCTCAGGAGGAGCATTGTATCCTTTTCCCTGGAAAACCTCTTCTTGCCACTCCTCTTACCAGGTGAGTGACTGGCCCCTGTGGACCTTCTGTGCATTTTACAGAAGTTGTCCTCTTCACGGTATCTTTGCTTTGTGGTGGCAGATTGGGGGTGACATCATCACAGCCATAGCCATATAACACTAGGTCTCTGCTGCCTAGTCTTCCACCATTGAAAATCCACCCCTTCTGTTCATATGTTGTGCTATACCAGTGAGGGGATGTTGGTGTTCAGCGGGATGAATCCATATCTGCAGGTGGATGAAGCAAGGGATTTGACATAAATGATTCTCTAATTCTCACCTAGCTGTGATGGCCTCTAAGCTCCAAGGTCACAGCTCAGGTGGCTGAGCTGACCTTTGAACCCAAATCAGCCTGGCTCACAGCTCATCACTACCTGATGCTGCCTCCTATTTCTGGAACTTTCTCCATTTTGGAGATACTCCCGGAACATCCCTAGACATGGCCTCTCACCTTCCCCACTCCTACTTTCCATGGTGTTTGTCATTGCTCAGTTTTCCTCAAACTTAAGGAACACAGAAAAATAGGGGCCCACAGCTCAGTGTAAAGGAAAGTTTAAAGCTGTGGCTTTCTGGTGTCAACACAGTTATGAACCTAGAAGCAAACGTGGGCACTAAAATTCAATGGCACTGGTTAAGTGTTTGGTTATAAGGTAGTCATAGACGTGATCCAAAATCAGGTTGGATTTGGTTTTTTAAAATATCAAGACATTAAATGTATTCAGTAATAAAATATTGAAATTAAAAAGTCAAAATTAAAACTTTTCACTGAAATGATGGATTCCCTGGGAACCCATGGCCAGCAAATTAAGCAACAGAGGGGAAGATCACCTTCCCTTACTCACAGATGGGTGCCGGAGGCCCCCTGGACTTCGAGATAGGAGTTTCTGTGTGTGCATGCAGGAAGAGGAGGGACTCTCATAGCTAACATTTATTGAGTGCTTAGTTTGTGCAAGACTGGTTAAGCACATTATATGTTTTATTTATTTAACCCTCCCAGCAATCCTATGAGCTAGGTACTCTTATCTCTGCTTTTACTGATGAACAAATCAAGACCTAGAGAGGTTAAATAATTTGACCAGGGTCGCACAGTTGGTAGAGAAACCCTTGTCTATGGTCAAAGCTCAAGCTGCTAACCTGAACACTAGTTCTCTCTCTCTCCCACGTGCAACCCTAATGAGGAATGTCAGCACACTTAGTCAGCCTTGGTTCTCCTCACTTTCTTTTTACCACCTCTGGTTGCACCAGCACTGATTCTGGGCATCACACAAAAAGCCTGCATGGGCACTCCCCACAGCGCCAACTCAGCGTCAGGCCCACGACAGCCAGTTAGGAAACACTTGGCTCGTTGTGAAGGAGTAAAATGCTTTAAATAGAGGAGTGTGGTGTGTGCGTATTGCTGTTTGTTTCCATTTTTCTTATTATTCCATTCCCCTTTTTATGGATCACCGAATACTGGCTGGAGCAAATCCAAGCAAGTTATTGACAGAAGGACAAGGAAACCAAAATGAAGATCATATTCCCCAAATAGGCCCCCACATCCTTCTCCATCTCCTCTGGAACCTGGTGGATTTTTGAAGAGACAAAGCTCTTACATTTCTGTTATGGGGATGAGATTTAGGGCAGAAATTATGAGGCCTAACTGATGCAGGACATTCTCTCTGGCTTGGGGTGGGTGGGCTGTATTCCCGGCTGCTTGGCTCTTTCCTCTCTTCCTTGGTGATTTCAGACAGGCACTAAAGGAGCCCAGAGATATCTCCAGCGGTCACCTGAACCCCAGCTTCGGCGCCCACCTCTGTCACAAAGACACCGTGCAGAGAGACTTGATTGAAAAAGCATATGTTCAAACCTGATTGAACTTGCTAACTTAAAGAGGCATTAAAGACAGGAAATGAAAAAGAGATGAGCTGAATTAGTTTACCTTCGGGACCCCAGATAGTATATTTATACAGTCACCATGAGGTAACAACATGGAAGGGTTCCAAGGCTTGGTATGATCTAACCTGCAAGTCTATTTTCTTGTTTTCCGGTCTAGAATCCTCTCCTTGTGGGGGCTGAGTGCTGTCTGGTGCTAAACGTTTCCAGCCAGGGAACTTCTAACCTCTCTCTGGAGACACTCCTGAATACATTAGTAAGTTGGATTCTTCTCTTTCTTTTCACCTCACTGCCACTACTTACATTCTTGGTACCAAGCTAAACAAGTCCCCACTTTGGTGGTTTACATGGAAAGGTATTTGCTGTTTGTTAACATGCTCCCTGAAGTCATTTCTGGGTCCTGGCTCTGTGTTTTTGGTTTCTTTAATCTTTCCTCATAAATCAGTCCCTCCGTTCCCTTCATCTTTTTATTGCCTTTCTCTGAACTCTCTCCAATTTGTCTACATATTTCTAGTGCTGGGTGTCTAAACATAACTTGCTGGATGAAAAGTCATATTTGGAGGGACCTCATCAATTTATCTCTTGCCCTGAATCTTTTCAAGGGGTCTTGGGTATAGTTCTAAATACCACTGACCTGTCTACTCCATTAATTAATAATAAATATCCCCTAGAACAACCTGATAATGTTGTCATCAGACTGCATGGCCCAAGACTCCCTTAAAGAAGAGACTGTTGTTGGTTTTCTGTTTTGTTTTGTTTTTTCATATCTTCTGGTACACAGTAATTAACCAGCTTGGAGGGACCCACCTTACACCTTGGTACATTTTTTAATGAGTGGTGTTAAAGAAAGATTTCAGGGTATTTTTCACAGGCAACCACAAGCTGATGGAAGAGGGCTGTTTCTAAGTTGGCTGTTTAGATGGGACACACTTCCCTAGAGAAACTGTGCTGTTTGTGGTTAAGCTTAACACCTAGTTCACAAAATATATTTAATAAAGTTTTAAAATGTTCACAAACCCCATTGTGGCCAAGAGTACGGTGAAAGAGGAATTCTTACATACAGGTAATAACTGTGCAAGTTGGCACAACCTTTTGCAGGGTAATTTGGCAACATGTATCCCAAAGTTTTACAAGTACATGCTCTTTGACCAATGAGTAACCAATGAGGTTACTTCTAGGAAGTTATCCTTAAAAAAAAATTGAAAAGGTGACAAAGGTGTATGTATAAGATGTTTATCCAAGTATTATTTATAGTAATAGGAAAATATTGACAATAGCCTAAAAGATTTTTTTAAAGAGTGATTGGGTAAGTAGAATGGAAATAGGCTACAAAGATGTATATACAAGGATATTTAGCATAGTATTATTTGTAGTAATATGACAAATTGGAAATAACCTAAAAATTCAACATAGGTTGATTGGTTAAACAAGTGGGTCTAGCTCCATATTTATTGATACAGAACGATGCCTATGGTGGCCAGGCATGGTGGCTCATGCCTGTAATCCCAACACTTTGGGAAGCCAAGGTGGGTGGATCACATGAGATCAGGAGTTCGAGACCTGCCTGGCCAACATGGTGAAACCCCAACTCTACTAAAAAAATACAAAAATTAGTTGGGCATGATGGCGCACACCTATAGTCTCAGCTACTCGGGAGTCTGAGGAAGGAGAATCACTTGAACTTGGGAGGTGGAGGTTGCAGTGAGCAGTGAGCTGAGATTGCACCACTGCACTACAGCCTGAGTGACAGAGCAAGACTCTGTCAAAAAAACAGAAAGAAAAGAAAAGAGAAGAAGAGGAGAGAAAGGAGGCAGAGAGGGAGGGAGGGAAGTAGGGAGGGAGGAAGAAAGGAAGGAAAAGATGCTTGTGGCATATTGAGTTAAAAGAGCTTCTGACGAAGAAGGAGTTATAATGTGATTCCATTTTTATTTAGAAAAATCTCTACCTCGGGCTGGGGGCGGTGGCTCATACCCGTAATCCCAGCACTTTGGGAGGCCAAGGCGGGCAGATCATGAGGTCAAGAGATCGAGACTGTCCTGGCCAACATGGTGAAACCCCGTCTCTACTAAAAATACAAAAATTAGCTGGGTGTGGTGGCACACGCCTGTAGTCCCGGCTAGTCGGGAGGCTAAGGCAGGAGAATTGCTTGAACCCGGGAGGCAGAGGTTGCAGTGAGCAGAGATCATGCCGCTGCACTCCACCCTGGTGAAAGAGCGAGACTCCGTCTCAAAAAAAAAAAAAAAAAAAGAAAGAAAAAAAAAGAAAAATCTCTACCTCTAAGTTTATGAATATAAATAAATATATATACACATATGAGAGAGAGAGATCTGGAGATAAATATCCCAAAATATTCATAATGGTTGTCTCTAAGTGATAGGCTGAAGGTGACTGCACGTTCTACTTTATTGTCTGATCCTAATCCAGTGAGCCTGGTTACTTGTAAAATTAGCAAAAACAATAAACCTTCCTTTTACTTTTTGAAAATTGAAATTAAAACCGAATCAAGGGCCAAACATGGTGGCTCACACCTATAATCCCAGCCCTTAGGGAGACTGAGGTAGGTGGATTTCTTGAGCCAGGAGTTCCAGGTTGCAATGAGCTAGACCCTGTCTCAAACAACAACAACAAACAAACAAAAAAAAACTAGTCAGAATGTACTGGGCTTCTACTACATGCAAAAGATAAATAAGGGTCACTTTCCTGCCTCGGGTAAATACGCAGCTATATGCAGTGCTATGAGAACACACACAAGCCGCAGAAGGAACCATGACGGGGCCTGGGAAGACTGTGCAAGGCTTTGGAGAGAGGTCATATTTCAGTCAGACCTTGAAGGATGAGCAAAGTAGGGATGGTCATTCTAAGTCCACCACCCTACCTCTTGAGTATCAAATTTACTTCTTATTAAAAAGAAGAAAAAAAAACTTCCTTCCCAGCATATTGTTTGTCTATCTGTCTAGTATGAATATAGTTACAATAATTTTCTCTGTAACACACAAGCATTTAATGGTTGTGTTTGTATGATCAATGAAACAGTTAATCAATGTATATGACCAGCATTAAGCTGATTTTGCTAACAACCTATTAAAATGGAGAAAATAGAAGATCAAAATAAATAGTTAATAGAAAATCAATTCCAACCAGACTCCCAGTAAGGAAATGTCCTGCTTAACTAAACATGTGGCCAGCACTGAGCTAGGCACGGAAACATTCTTATAAAAGTCCCCAGCCCCTGCCCTCTTCCACACTCACACCCTGACATGTATCCAGCCTTTGTCATCATCTGCACGGGGCTGCTGCCTGTCAACTGAGTGTTGATATGTTCTCTTTGGTGACATTGTGAAATATTGACTCACATCTGATGTTCCCACTCACTTTCTAGATTCTTGGCTCCAAGACAGAACAGTCAATTGAATTCCAGATGGCAGGATGCACGTATCATCAAACGGAGGAACAATCCTCTGTTGAGAGATGATGTTTCTTTCTCCACAGGTGACCTAGGAAAGCAAGGGCATGCTTGTGTGTGGACACTCACTCATACCATGTGTGCTCGGGTTGTGTGCACAGGCTACCAAAAGCCCTTTGCATACTAAGTTCTTGGTTTATCCACAGAGCATTTTGCTGACCTCTCTCCAGAAAAACAAACAAACAAACAAACAAACAAACAAAAAAACAGCTCCTTAACCTTATTAAACCAAACACTTAAATTCTGAAGCGGCCCAGGAGAATAAGAAGAAACCACTAGAACCCACATTGCTGCACTCTCCTCAGAATGTGATATGTTGGTTAAAACACACACACACACTGACACATATAATGAAAGTGGCCAAAAAAAAATCAAGATATGCTAGAAGAGAATTATCTTGAATTAAGGGAGGACCAAAGTCTACAGATAGAAAGAGCTCAAGAAGTATCAGGAAAGCACAACAATGCAAATGACTCAACATCAGAGGACTGTGCACTTAAAAATGGTTAAAATGGGCCTAGTGCAGTGGCTCACACCTGTAATCCCAACATTTTGGGAGGCCGAGGCAAGAGGATTGTTTGAGCTCAGGAGTTTGAGACCAGCCTGGGCAACACAGTGAGACCTCATCTCTACAAAAATCAAAATATTAGCCAGGCATGGTGGCATGTGCCTGTAGTCCCAGCAACTTGAGAGGCTGAAGCAGGAGGATTGTTTGAGCCCAGGAGTTCAAGATTGCAGTGAGCTATGATCACATCACTGCACTCCAGCCCGGGTTGACGGAGCTAGAACCTGTTTTTTAAAAAAAGCCCTTGGCAAGATGCACTAGTAAGACTCTCTCCACTTTAACTAGTAAGACTCTCTCCACTTTATCCTATACCCTACCACCAGAGATGGAGAAAGAGTTCTTCTAAGGTATAAGGCAGACTCTTAATGCCACACAATACTACAGGATATGTGCAGCAGTTATCCCCACCCAATTCCTGGTCCTTTTTCATCCTAAAGCCTCATCTCGCCCCTGAACTTTGCCTTGTCCTTTAACTCCATCCACCTCTCATTACTTTCTTTAGATGAGCCCAAGGATGATGCTGATTTGTAGGTATCAGGGACAGGGGTGAGTCTGAGGGATGGAGTGGGGTGAAGAAAATAGGGCAGTGACATTCCAGAAGTCTCTAGAGGAGGGATAGGAATCCAGGTGGGGATCTAGTTGAAACTGAGGAACTTGTATTATATATTTATTTGGGGTAACACTGGGGTGGGTTGACGGAGATTAGGGAACTTGTGATAAAGTTGCCTACCAAGCACTTTTTTTTTACTTTGAATATTTATTTGAAATGGTGTGGGTTAGGGTTGATGAAACTGTGGAGAGTTTTATTTTATCAAGCTGGTTCAGCCCATGTTAGCTTCCTGTTGACTCCTAGGTCTCTCATCACTCAGTTCAGGCATTACTTTATTTAGTTAGTTAGTTAGCTAGTTAGTTAGTTAGTTGGTTATTTTGACATGGAGTCTCACTCTGTCTCCCAGGCTGGAGTGCAGTGGCATGATCTCTGCTCACTGCAACCTCCAGGCACTACTTTCTCTTGAGGTTTTTCCCTGACTCCAAGTCTCAATCACATGCCCCTCTTCTGGACTCTTATAACACTTCAGGTATACCTTGACCTAAGAACTTATTACACTCTACTCTTGCTTTCCTTGTCTACCCTGACACTAGACTGCAGCTCCTTCAGGACAAGGAATGTCTCTCATTCTGCATCCTGAGCACCAAGCACTGTGTCTGGTAAGTGACAAGGGCCAATAGTTCTTTTTAAACAAATAATAGGATAAATGAGCAAAGAATTCATACTATAGGTAATTCACCTCAAAAACATGAGAGGTTACAGAGCGATAATTAGTCTGCTATTCCACACCTCCAGAAACCCTGATGATTAAACCAGAAGAAACAGACTTTTTATATAGTAAGTTACAGCAAACCCACATGTGAATCAGTCATTGAATGAATTAATGAAGTGACAAGTTAATCTAAAACAAGTCTCGGGCAAAATATGAGACAAAACAAAGCAAAATACATGACTTTAACTCCCTAGAGCTGAAGGCACATACCAGGCAGCAACATCATAGTCTTGAAATCTAAGATTCAACTGGGATTTGCCAGTCCCAGTTGAATAATAGTGGTTCCAAGAACAGACTGTGGAAGCATCTGATGTTCCTCTCCATGGACCCCAGAATATCCTTTTCTTTCTCATGTTTACTCCAGGGCAGCAACAGAGCCACTGTTACTTTTTGTCACTTGTAACCAAATTGAATTCTAATGTATACAGCTTCCTAAAGGAAATTAGTCTTGAACAATGAGCAGGAGTTAACCAAGCACAGAAAAGTAGATAGGGTGTTATAGAAGAGTAAACGAGTTAAGCACAGGTTTGGAGGTGTGACTCTGCACGGTAAGTACATGGAACCATGGATGTGGAGAAGTCCAATATCTGCTGCAAGGCACAGAGAAGCTGGACACAAGCCTGGAAAACATGGGGAAAACTAAGTCTGAGATAACATTGTATGCCACACAAGGGAGCCTGAATTTTATCTTGATTAGGATGGGAAGCCATACACAGTTTTTAGACAGGGAATGATAGACTCAGATTTGCATTTAGAAAGATCACTCTGGAAATAAAGAAGGGAGTGAAAGGCAGCAAGCTGGAGTCAGGTAAGTGACTGATGCAATAGTCCAGACAGAGAGGGCCCTGAAACTTACCTGCACCCTTGGAGCCACATAAAATAAAAATAAGCCTACCCCTAGAAGTCAGAGACAGCAAGGAATCTTGTACTGAGTTATTGTGAAGAATTCATATGCCAGCTCCAGTCCTTTATTTGGACTGAAAAGGATAGAATATAAAGAATAGTGTGTCTTAGAACTGTCTGGTCCAGTTGGCCCCAGCCATCAGACCTGCCTCTGACTCATGAAGCCATCACCCAACAAAAATAATTAATTTCTAGACCTTTTTCTCATTCTAGACCTGTGTCCAGAATCATTTCAACCTGGATCTGCCTTGTCCTTGGTTCTAAGGCCCTTGATGTGGTCTGACAGTCAGCACTCTAAACTCACGCCCAATTCTCTGATACTTACCAGCCATTGCCCCATTTCTTTGTTTTCCTTTGCAAAAAAACCTCTCCCAAAACTTTTAAGTACTAGTTGTCTGCAATCTCCCTTTCCTTCCATTCTGTCTTAAGTCCACCCAACACATACACTGAAACTGTTTTTCTCAAGGTCATAAATGACACGCATGATGATAAATACAATGAATAATTCTCAGTTATCAACCAATTTGACTTAGCAGCATTTTTTTTTCTGGAGACATCATCTCACTATGGTGCCCAGGTTGGCCTTGAACTCTGGGGCTCAAGTGATCCTCCTGCCTCAGCCTCCCCAGTAGCTGGGACTACAGGCACCTGATGCCATGCCCCTAATCAGCAGCATTTGACACACCTCCTTGTTGATAAACTTTCTTCACTTGCCTTCCAGGATCCACAACTTTTAGTTTCCTCGTATTTGCCTGATTACTCTTCTGTCTCCTTTGCTGGTTCCTCCTCTTCCTCTCTACCTCTTAAATATTGCAGTGTCCCAGGCTCTGTCCTTGGTCTTCTCCATCTACACAAGGGTTTCTCAACTTTGACACTACTGACTTTTTGGCCAGATAATTCTTTGTTGTTGGGGGCTGTGCTAGGCATTATAGGATAGATATATATATAGTAGCATCCCTGCTCTCTGTCCACTAGGTACCAGTAGCAACCACTCCCCACAACCAAAAATGTTTCTAGACATTGTCAAATATCCCCAGGGAAGCACCTCTGGTTGAGAACAAATGCTCTAGGTCTATAGGAAATTCTCTTTACTATAAGTGTCTTAGACCTTAGTGATCTCTTCCAGTCTGAGGTTTTAAATACTATCTATATGCCAATGATTCCCAGTTTTACATATCCAGTCCAGACCTCTCTCTTGAACTTCAAATGGACTAAAATGTTCAAATTCCCATTCAAACATTTTGCTTCAATATCTAGTGGACATCCCAAACTCCCTATGCAATCTTCCCCATCTCAGCTGAAGGTAACACCACTCTTCCAGTTGCTCAAACTAAAAGTCTTGGAATAATCCCTGACTTCTCTTTCTTTCACATCCTGCATCCTGCCAAGAAATCCTATTAACTCTACCTTGAAAACACATCCAGAATCTGACCACTTCTTACCACTACTACTACCCTGATCCAAGTCATCATGATCTCACACCTGGGTCGTCGCAGCAGCCTCCTAACTGGTCTCTCCTGATATATCTTTGTGCCTCCACTGTCTACTCTCTGCAAAACAACCAGAATGAGCCCTTTAAAATATGCCAGATAATTCCACTTCTTGCTCAAAACACTCTGTCTTCTTAACTTATTCAGAGAAAACTCAAACTCCACACAAGTCTCTGCAAGTCTCTTGTCACTTTTCTGACCTAATAAACTGCTACGCTTAGTTATCATCAACTGAGATGAAAAAGCTGAGGGGGGCAGGTTTGGAAGGAAGATCAGGAGTTCATATTTGGATGTTCTTGTGTCTGGTACTCAGAGGGAGTTCTGGACTAAAGGCACACATTTGGGACTTGTTGGCATAAAGACGGTATTTAAAGACATGAACCTGGAACAGGTCACCAAGGGAGTAGATATAGATAAAGAGGGGCTAGGGCTGAGCCCCAAGGCACCTCAGTATTAAATGGATGGGAAGAAAAGGAGAAACCAGTGATAAAAACTTCAGCTGAATTAAACGTAATGGAGTTTAACTGAGCAATGAATGATTCGTCAACCAGGCAGCCTTCTGAGCCAGAATAGGCTCTGAGATTCCAGCGCAGCCACATGGGGGAAGAAGATTCATGGACAGAAAAAGGAAAGTGATGAATAGGTAATGGAAGTGAGGTACAAAAACAGCTGGATTGGTTACGGCTCAGCATTTGCCTTATTTGAACATGGTTTGAACAGTTGGCTACATTTGATTGGCCAAGACTCGGTGATTGGCACAACTGTAGGATATGGGTCTGTTTACACCTCCACTTGTTATGGTTCACAAGGTACAGAGAAACCTTTAGACCAAACTTAAAATATGTAAGGAGGCAGCTTTAGGCTAAATTTGATATAATACCAGCAAAGGAGATTGAAAAGCAGGAATCAGTGAGGTAGAAGGAAAACCAAGTGTGTGTCATATCCTATAAGCTGAGTAAAAAACAGTCTGTCTATGAACAAAATCTGAGTCAAAAGTTTCCCTCAAATTCTAGATTCCTCTTAGAGACTTTTCCAGGAAATGTATAATCAAACTATTTGCATTCCAAATGCAGCCTGCAATGTAAATATCTCTTTCATCACTGCATTATATTGCCCATTAATTTGTCACATGCAGTTCTTGTGGTTCAGATTCTTATCTTCATTTAACATGTGTTTTCCTACTTATGACGGTCACAACTTAATTAAATAAACTGGAAGCTTAGGTATAGCATGAATAGGGCATATATATGTAGAAATATCAAACTGACACATATGACTAATATCTGAAATATAGTAATTACATTGTCTAATGATATTAATCTCGTCATTTACCAAAATGAGTAGCTCAGGACCAAAACTTGGGGGAGCTATTTCTAACTCTAAATTTCATCATAACAAACCCTTTTAAACACATAATGGCTAATATTTAATAATCTGGTATTTTATCAGACAATATATTAATTATTTGGTTAATTTCAAGGGTTTTGACCAACACTTACTGAGTTCTTGGAACCACTTGACTTGGTTATTTCTTCCATTGATATAGATTAGTATTTAGCTGGCCGGTGTGACATTCATGGGTTATTGTAGCAAGGCATAAACAAAACCAGACTTGTAACCAGTCAGTGTCTTTGTAAGAAAAGAGATGTGTGATATAGTTCTAGCTCACAACAGATAAGTGGTTTCTCAGAAACATTTAGTCCCCTGTAAAACTGAGGCTGCCTCTTTTTTGCTTATGATCACCCTTTTAAATCAGAAGAAGCTTCTAGAAGTTTTATTCCCAAAAAGTCTTCAAGGCCATATTTCCCTCAAACAATAATTGAGCTCCAGGCACTATCAGCAGTGGAGGATGGCACATGCTTTCATATTACCCACTTCTGATTTCCCTGATACACACTATTATTCTGCAAATTCTTTGAGATAATCACATATCTATGTGTACCATATTTAACTAAAAGTGTGGAACTAAGTCACCATTCGAAAAAAATTATAAAGCATCATCTTTACATGATGATAAATAGAATCCCAAATCCAAGCTAAATTTCATTCATATTCCTTGGTATTGACTCAGAGTCCATAAAAATGAGTCAGATGCATCTAAAGTTCTTGTAGAACAAACACAAGCAGTCATGTTTTAGCAATTAGGATGAAGTCAGAGCAAGCATACGTTTCAAATCTGTGAACGACAGGATCCTGGGAGAGTCCACTAAAACAAGAAACGAACAAAGGGTAGACTAATTGTCATATCTCCTAGCTAAGTGGCAGGTATGACTGTGAAGTACTCAATAGCCACTAACTGAATGAATGGATGAACAAAGACCTAGGTTTGTGGTGAAAATTTTTGTTTAAAAACTACAGGATAAATTGAACTAAAGAGTTTCTGCAAAGCAAAGGAAACTACCAACAGAGTAAACAGACAACCTACAGAATGGGAGAACATTTTTGCAAACTATGCATCTGACAAAGGTCTAATATCCAGCATCTATAAGGAACTTAAACAAATTTACAAGAGAAAAACTAACAACTCCATTAAAAAGTGGACAAAGGGCATAGACATTTTCAAAAGAAGACATTTATGCTGCCAACAAGCATATGAAAAAAAAGCTCAACATCACCGATCGTTAGAGAAATGCAAATCAAAACCACAATGAGATACCATTTCACACTAGTCAGAATGGCTATTATTAAAAAGTCAAAAAATAACAGACGCTGGTGAAGTTGTGGAGAAAAAGGAACGCTTATACATTGTTGTTGGGGGTGTAAATTAGTTCAACCATTGTGGAAAACAGTGTGGTAATTCCTCAAAGACGTAAAAATAGAAATACCATTTGAGAAAATAATCTGTACAACAAACCCCATGACACAGGTGTACCTATATAACAAACCTGCGCACGTACCCCTGAACTTAAAATAACAGTTAAATTAAATAATAAATAAAGTACAGGATGGATCTCGGCTACTCAGAAGGCTGAGACAGGAGGATTACTTGAGCTCAGGAGTTTGACAGCAGTTTGGACAACATAATAAGATCCCATCTCAAAAAATTAAATTAGGCAGGCATGGTGGCTCACAACTGATTGTAATCCCAGCACTTTGGGAGGCCGAGGCAGGTGGATCACCTGAGGTCAGGAGTTCAAGACCAGCCTGGCCAACATGGTGAAGCCCCGTCTCTACTAAAAATACCAAAAAATAGCCAGGCATGGTGGAGGGCACCTGTAATCCCAGCTACTCAGGAGGCTGAGGCAGGAGAATCACTTGAACCCGGGAGGTGGAGTTTGCAGTGGGCCGAGATCGCACCATTGCACTCCAACCTGGGCGACAAGAGTGAGACTCCATCTCAGAAAAAAAAAAATTAATTTAATTAAAATTAAATTTAAATTTAAAAATAAGCAGTACACGGCCAGGCATAGTGGCTCACACCTGTAATCTTAGCACTTTGGGAGGCTGAGGCAGGCAGATTGCTTGAGCTCAGGAGTTCCAGGCCAGCCTGGGCAACATGGAGAAACCGCGGCTCTATAAAAATGTTTTTAAATGAGCTGGGTGTGGTGGCACATGCCTGTGGTCCCAGATACTTGGTGGGCTGAGGCTGGAGGTTCGCTTGACCCTGGGAGGCTGAGATTGCAGTGAGCCAGGATGGCACCACTGCACTCCAGCCTGGATGACAAAGTGAGACCCTGTCTCCAAAAAATAAATAAAAATAAGCAGTACACAATGGAAAAAAAAAATTTGCTTGACACTGATTCTGAGAAAAAAAAAGACTTGGGAATTTAAATCTACCTCAACCACAAATGAACCAATATTGTTATAGTGTATAAAAAGTTGATATAATCTTATTCAATGGAAGCTTC
Source organism: Homo sapiens (assembly GCF_000001405.40). NCBI lineage: Eukaryota > Metazoa > Chordata > Mammalia > Primates > Hominidae > Homo > Homo sapiens. Next base: position 64,892,479 of record NC_000012.12, on the reverse strand, counting down.
CAGATCGAGTGCAGTAATTGTCCCTATACCTTGCATGAATTGGACCTCACCTGGAATGTTATGTCTCATTCCAGGAAAGACACAGTAAGAACACTGACAATCCCAACTGTCTCCAGGAGATGCTCTGGATTGCTTAGCACAGGGCCTTGGCCCTAAAGCTGCTCAATAAATAAGGACTGAATTATCCCGAATCAATCCTTCATCATCCTTCCTTCCTATCTCCTGAATTGATGAGGAGTCTGGAAATCATGAAAAATGATTAAAGGAAGTTGAAGGGAGGCAACTTCTGGCTTAATATAGAATATGATTTCTAACAGTGCTGCCGCACAAGGAAATGAAACGCCCAACCAAGTAGGGATCTTAGTACAGAGAGTGTTCCAGCAGGTGAGCACTCATGTACCAAGGATGTTACCAAAGGATTGCTTGCAGTAAGTGGGAGACTGAAGCAGGTGACCTCCAAGAGCTCTTTCAACTCTGAGGTCCCTGAAACAGATGTCAGGGTCTGTAGAGGGGATCTCCATGGCCAGCTCAGGACACTGTAGGGCTGGCCCTCCTCCCTCCTCAATGTGAGCCCCTACTCTATATGCTGAGGAATTCCTCAGAAGGTGACTTTACTGACCTGAGGAATTCCTCAGCATATAGAGTAGGGGCTCACATTGGGGAGGGGTGCTGGGCTTCAGCGGCAGCTTTACCCTTTGTGCAGCCAGGGATAGCCACCTGGTGGGGCTTGTTATGACAGAGTGACCTGCACTGGACACAAGGTAGTGTGTATGCCCTAAATCAGACAGAACATTTATTTTCCCTTACTTACAATAAATCACTCTACTTGTTTTAAAAGGAAGCTGGGCCAGGTGAGGTGGCTCACGCCTGTGATCCCAGCACTTTGGGAGGCCGAGGCGGGCAGATCACTTGAGGTCAGGAGTTCGAGACCAGCCTGGCCAACATAGTGAAACCCTGTCTCTACTAAAAATCCAAAAATTAGCCGGGCGTGGTGGCGCTCGCCTGTAATCCCAGCTACTTGGGAGGCTGAGGCAGGAGTATTGCTTGAACCCGGGAGGTGGAGGTTGCAGTGAGCCAAGATCATGCCACTGCACCCCAGCCTGGGTGACAGAGCAAGACTCCGTCTCAAAAAATAAAAATAAAAATAAAATAAAAGGAAGCCGTTTTCGAAGTCATTCTTCAAGAAATAATGATCCTTAGCTGGGAACTTTGTACCTGGGTGCCCCTTATTCAAATGCCACGTCTATATACTTTTTAAACTTTACTAGATTAGAGCACAGGTGAAGGAGGTAACAATGGGACCCATTCTGCCTTTCCTCACACAAGCACTCAGTTAAGAGTAAAATGTCCAGCGTAAATTGCTAGAGCCAAAGCAGCTGGAAAATATTTCCATGAAGCAATAGTGACATCTAGTGGTCAGATGAAATAATCACACTCCTGCTCACTTCAAGTGAAGGAGGGAAAAACAAAACCCCAAGCCTTTTTACTCTCCTTTTATACCTCTTATCCAACCATACCTGACAGGGAATTGGTTGAAAAATCAAAAAAGTCAGTAAAACAGAGAATCATTAAAATTATACATGCAGAGCTCACTAAACACTTTAACCTGGAACATACACCTAACTACGCATGTATTCACCAATCATGTGATGCATGGCCAGGGTCTCTTTCCTGAATGCAGATCCACCAAGTTGCTGCTAGTCTCTGTTGCACAAACCAAACCATTGTACATCATATACAGTGCCCAGCGTTTGCTTATTATATGGTGAGAACCTTAAGACACTTGTGAAACAAAATTCCCTCCGCTGATTTTTATGATTTTTTTTCTCTTATAGTTGTCTCTCTCACCTTTTATTCAATGATGCTTTTTTGGTAACTCAGTTTTATCGAGCCTTTCCAAAGCTTTCATCTTAGATTTTATAGGAACGGCAACTCTTTCTCTTTGTACTCATATTTCATCTGTTTATTAACTATCTGATCAAATACAAATCCTCCAAACATAAACAGGAACAAATGAAATGGAAGGAAGATGTTTATTTCGATAAGGCTTACCTATGTTCATTTTTTTCCTAAGCCAGGGGGCAGGAGTATTTTTAAATCTGATTTAAATTTCCAACGTCCACTGCAATTATTTCATTTCACCTCTCTCTCTCTTTCCTGCAGCGCAATTTCCCCCACCTCCTTCACTTACAGCCCAAACTCCCATCTCCTGTTCAAATGGAGTAGAGATTCCGTCACTCTCTCCCACCTCTACCTGCTGTACTTCCCCACACCAGCTTCTCAACATTCCTGTTTCTTCAGCCTTCCTTCTTATCTCAAAGAAGAGGAAGCTCCCAAGTGTGCATTTACCATTTGGTGTTTGCCTTTCGTTCACCCAACTGTCCTTCCCTGCGGGACTTTAAACTCCGTGAGGGAAGGAATGTGACTTTACTGGTCTGTGAAGCTCCAGAATCCCATCCTGGCCTGAGAACATTGCTCTTAGTGTCAATAATATGAGGTCATGGCTCACTGGAGAATCGGGATAACACCGAGGAGAGTGGTTAGTCATGCCTTTGGGAGACCTTGAGGAACACAGGTCGTCTACCAGGAGAAGCCGTAATGTCATGTCCAACTCCAGCTCAGAGTTTTGTGAACTCAGTTGTAACTACGATTTTTCAGTTCCCAAATACCTTGTCAGTTCTCCCTTCACATGGCAAAACACAGTGTGTTAACTAAGGAAGCCAAGCAGCAAACCCATGGTGTCTCTTACTCTGACAGTCCACCCTATCCCTTGACACTATCCCAGACTTTTGACTTGAAAGCGTAGCCTAACACCTTTAAAGAACCAAGGCTAATGAAGTTTGCATATCTTTAGGGAAGTCCAAGTGCCTTTCACTGGGCCATCAAGTGCTATTGGCAAGAAAGATAAGGCAATAGGAGAGCCAATGTAAAGCAATTTGTTAAGATAATAGAAGAAATGGAAAGGCATTATGCTAATGTTCGCAAATGTATGCCCAATTAAGGCAAATCTGCCTTGGGGCGATAATGCCTGATCCCTGCATTGGACAGAAAGGAATATTTGGAAGTTTTTCTGCCAGCCTAGTCAAATTCAATTCTGTGTGAATATTAGCCCTTGTGAGTAATAACAGACCTCTTTAGCATCCACTAATTCATATTCTTTAACACACCATCATTTTTCCCTCAGATTAGAAACATACTTTTTTTTCTCTTTAGGCTAAAACATGCCATTGTTCTGACGTCCTTTCCGGCTTTATCTAAGAGTGAAAAACAATGCCAAGCGGCCCTTGCCTCTTTCATACACCATGCCCATTAGCTGTACCCCTGTTAATGGGTCTTGGCTTCCATTTCCTGCAAAACTATGACTTTTTAATAATCATGGCCCTTTTGTTCCCAAAGCAACTTAAAAGAGGAGGGACACCAGTGTGGGTCACTGTATTTTAGGATCTAGTTGCCCATGTGGTGTGCACACACCATGAGAGGCCAGCAGTTGTTCCAGTCCAACCCTGACTCTGAGAGAGAAAGATTTTCTGAGTGTCTGTAGTACAATATCCTCTCCCGTTGCCTCCCAGATCACAATCTTCCATTACATCACATTAGTGCAGTGGTTTGGGGGTTGGGGGGACAGGCTTTTAGAAGGACCGTCACCAAGTGGTTAAGAATAAGGGAGCTACAGCCACACACCCAGGTTCAATTTCATCCTCTGCCACTCTCTGGCTCTATGACCTTGAGAAAGTAACATCCTCTCCAAGCTCCAGTTTCCTCATCTATTGCAGAAGAAGGAACACTAAAGCCAGGCGTGGTGGCACGCGCCTGTAGTCCCAGCATTTTGGGAGGCCAAGGCAGGAGGATCACTTGAGCCCAGGAGTTCAAGATTACACCGAGCTATGATTGTGCCACTGCACTTCAGCCTGCGTGGAAAAGTGAGACCCTGTCTCTTAAAAATAAAAGAAGAAACACTGGTATTTACTCTGAGGGGTGGTTATGAGAATTAAAGGAGGCAATCCATGTAAGGCTCTTAGCACAGTGCCTGTCAAACAGGAAGCACTCAATAAATATTAATTGTTATTTTGTGTTTATCTTCCTTCACTATCCCATAGACTCATAATTCTCAAAATTTATGGTCTCTAAACCTCTTTAGACAAGATTTAAACTTAACATAAGCTCTCAAAAATTATGAGGACCCTAAAGAGCTTATACATGATATCTTTTATTTAGTGTATTATAAGTAAAGTCAAAATATTTTAATTCTTTTAAAAATACAATAAATCCATTATCATAAATAAGATTCTATGAAAAATAACCACATTTTCCAAAACAAAAATATTTGGTGAAAGAGCAGTATTGCTTTACATTTTTGCAAATCTCTTTCCTATGTGGTTTAATAGAAGACAGCTGGGTTCTCCTATCTGCTCCTGCATTCAAGCTGTTGTGATATCACACATTATGCAGCCTCTGAAAACCTCCTTGTATACTTGTGAGAAAATGGGAGTGAAAAAGGCAAATCACGCCCTGATGTTGCTATGAAAATAGTATGACCTCTCGGACTTTATGAAAGAACCCTGGAGCAGTGTCCAGATTTTCTGATGTCAATATCAGCACCGCAGAGTCTCAAGTTCCAAGTCAGTTCATTGTTGGAGTTGGGAGAATTTTCCCAGACTATAAGGCCAACAGAATTGGATGTGAAAACAACTGCTGGTGCAACTGTGACTAGGCCCTAATTAAATGAGGCAGGAAAACCCTTAATCCCAACCTCACCATATACCCTCCGGTTCAGAAACTCAGGCCTGAGCCATGCAGAAGCCAGACCCCTGTTGTTCTGCCATTTGGATGAAGCTTGTTTGTGAATAAAATACTGGAATCCATCCATTTCTCCGGATTGAACATTAGCAACTGTTTTTTTTAATTGCTTTTCTTGTTTTTGTTTTTTTAATTTGTTTTAGAAGACAGTCAATTCAAAAAAAATTTTCTTGATGTAATTCCTTTTTCAAAAATTATCTTTTTAAATTCTGGAAATCCAATGTTTATGACTTAAGCCTTGTTATTTTTATACTATTAAAGGTTTGGGGTTTAAGGCTTTGTTTTGTGTTTTTGGCAAGCCTTTAAACAAATATTGTTGTTGAATAAGAACCTCTTCAAATGTTTTACTCATTCTTTATTGACCTTTCAAGATACACACAGTAGTGACATCACAGCCACCATGTCTAGCAGTGACACTCCAAACCATTTACCAGGCAAACTTAAGGAGTGGTTCATTCTCTGCACCTGGTGGGGATGGACAGTCCCTCCTGGAGGGGATCCATTGGTTACCTCTAAGATAATTTCAAAAGAAGGTGGAACTGGGACTCTCTGGGGCTGACTACTTTCTCAGGGAGAGGCATCAGGTGCAAAGCTATTTTTATCTCTTCAAAGCTCTACAACACAGGCTAGTCTTCCCCTCCCCCAACTATTTCTAGAAATTTGAAATGTTATTGTATCAGTCAAGACTAAATTGCTGGCACCAAACCCAAATTGAAGAGAAGACTTTTGGAGGGTAAGGGGTGGAGTATCCTCATTTATTGGAAACACTTTGCAATCATTCCACTCAATTTAGGAGGGCTGTGAAAATATAAGCATAAATAAAAATAATATATAAAACAACATAAACAATACAAATAACATCATGTATGGATTTTTGGCTGTGAAAATTATAACAGCAACTTATTACTATGAACAGCATGCTAAGTAAAAATGGTCCTATTCTTAGCTGAAGCACATTCTAATCTCTAGGTCTGTCTCTATCTCTGTCTTTCTAAATTATCTATACTATTTCTATACCTATACCTATATCTCTCTACATATGTAGCTCAGAAACTTTGTACTTGCTGTTTCCTCTTTCTGGAACATTCTTTCCCCCAAATACATGGATGAGGCCTTCTGACACTATAGCAGTCCCTAACAGCAGCTGTGGGCTCTCCTGTGATTCTCATATCAGTGAGCCTCCTACACCAATGATATACTCCATGCACATGGTGGGGGTTAGGGGATTGGGAACATATGGCAACTTGCCAATGTCAGAATGTTATTTTAAGTCACTTAATTACACCGAGCTACAGATTTTCATCAGTGAAAAAAAAGAGTGGTCCAGACTGGTAGTTTCCAAACTCTGTTCCCCAGAACCCCAAGATCTCCCCCAAAGCAACTTCAGGGGTAATGCTGGCAACCAGAGAGGAAACCAGTGTGCAGAGCTCTGGCCTCTCTGCCCCCACCTGAATGAGGGTAGTGGTTCAGTTGTACTCCAAAAGTCCAGATATTCACCCTAAAACATACAGGGATTTAGTATGTGATTATAAAGGTGGCATTTTTAATCAATAGGGGAAAGATTAATAAATGGTGCCGGCACCACTAGGTAACTATTTGGAAAAAATAAATGTTAAGATGGAACCTTAGTTCCCAACTTACACAAAAGTAAATTCCAAATGAGTCAGATTTAAACATAAAAAATGAAACCATAAAACTAGTAGAAGGAAAAAATTAAAGAACTTTAACCACAAAGAAGTAGAGAGAGCCTTTCCAAACATCACACAAAACCCAGAAGCTATAATAGAAAAGATTAATAGATATGACCAAATAAAAATGACCTTAAATCTATATACATGTCAGTAAATCAGCATGAACAAAGTCAAAAGATAATTGACAAAATGAGAAAAATATTGTGACACAGATTACAGACAAGGATGTTTTTCTTAACGCATAAAAAACTCACAAATCAGTAAGAAAAAGGCTGGGTGTGGTGGCTCATGCCTCTAATCCCAGCACTCTGGGAGGCCGAGGCAGGCTGATCACGAGGTCAGGAGATCAAGACCATCCTGGCTAACATGGTGAAACCCCCATCTCTACTAAAAAAAAAATACAAAAATTAGCCAGGCGTGGTGGCGGGCACCTGTAGTCCCAGCTACACGGGAGGCTGAGGCAGGAGAATGGCATGAACCCGGGAGGCGGAGCTTGCAGTGAGCCGAGATCGCACCACTGCACTCCAGCCTGGGCAACAGAGTGAGACTCCATCTCAAAAAAAAAAAAAAAAAAACCAGTAAGAAAAAAAACAGCAAGAATGAGCAAAGCCTATGAACAAAGGACATATAAATAACTTTTAAATATATGTCAACCTTATGCATATTTTTCAAACATACATTAAGTACTCACCCAATCAGAAAAGATCAAAAAATTTGATAAGATTCTCAGTAATGTGGGGGTAGGAGGAATTGGGCACTTCCTTACATTGCTGATGGAAGCAGAAACTTATGGAACATCTGTGGAGAGCAATTTGGCAACATGTATCAAAATTTTAAATGTGCATTGTTGACAAGTAATTCCATGTCTTAGAATTTATTCTTTAGCTAACTTCCTTATTAGCAATATTACATCATATGTACAAGGATATGCATATTCCATAGATATGAAATTGGAAGCAAACAAATAATCTAATAATAGATTAGAGAATAAATGTATTGTGCACAGACCTGAAATGGAAATCTATGCAGCAGTAAAAAAGAACGAGGTGGCTCTACTTGCACTGTTCTGGAACAATCTCCATGGTACATAGTGAAAAAGGAAAGTTCAGAAGGTTATTGTGTTACTGCTTACGAAAGTGTGTGTGTGAGAATGTGCTTGAATATGCATAAAACATCTCTGAAAGGATACAAAAGAAAGGAGTAACATCGGTTTCCTGTGGGTAGAAGCTTTGAGTGGATAGGGGACAAGGGGTGGAGGGAGACCTAGTTTTCCTATGTGCTTTTTCGTACATGTTAAATTTTCACCTTGTGCAAATATTATCTACTTAAAGTACAAGTCTAAACAATAATTTTATAATGTTCTGCTCCTTAAAAACCTTTGAAAATCATTGAGCTACATGATGCCTAGGATTGCCATTAGTAATGTTTATTATTGTGATATAACCACTTTTTATTAAATAATATCATGATTCTGTAATTTGTTTCACACTTGACAAATGTACTAGAAATTCTGCTCCATAGCTATACATGCAACAAAAATCTTTACACTTTTCACCATCTGTTAAATTCTGTTGCATAGACATTTGTGGAGTTCATCACATACGTTATATGTAGCTCAACCTTCCCCAGACCTTAGCAACTTCTTGGTCCAGATAGGGTCCCTGCAGCAACAATGACTCAACACCGTTCTCACAGACATATTTTGAAACAGGGCCTATAAAGTCCTCCCATCCCCTTAACTGGGCAAGGTTTTCTTTTTATATGTATATATATATATTTTTTTTTATTATACTTTAAGTTCTAGGGTACATGTGCACAACGTGCAGGTTTGTTACATATGTATACATGTGCCATGTTGGTGTGCTGCACCCATTAACTCGTCATTTATATTAGGTATATCTCCTAATGCTATCCGGTTTTCTTGAAATCTTCAGGGGGTGCCTCTCATGTGTTCCCAAACAAGTATGCTCCCAGCAGGCACTCCCACGGCTCTGCTGAACACTGCAGGTCCCGTGAGACCCACTTTCTCACCCAGCCCTGCTGCTTCCCCGCAGACGCCATTAGAGATGCCCTAGAGCCCCCCCCCCCCCCCGCCCCCGACCCCCCGTGAGAAAGCTGCCGCTCACCTGGGGGAGATGGAGCGAATGCCACGCTCTGTTTCCATTGCGTTCTGTCAGACAAATCCCACAAATATGCTGCTTGGGCTCCCAGATTTTATGGAACTTGGTGACACAGCTCTTCTTGTTTTGCTCACAGTCACTCTGCCCTCAACAGGACTCCTCCGGGAATGCAGATGGAACCGGAATGGTAGACAAAACTGGGGAAAGACAATCACCTCTCCTTCTGTGATGAGAATATAAGACCAAAGAAGACTCAAAGGGCTTGAGGAAAGAACCATCTTCAGAAAACAAGAACCATGTTCCTTGACTCTGTCACCTCTCTACACCACCTATTATTATCATGGGAAGACGGAGCCAAAACTGAGAGAGCAGTTTAGGAGAGGTTTGAGTCACTGGAAAGTAAAAAATAATCCTGACTACTGTTCACTGATACAGCCACCATTTTGCCCTTATAATCTGTAATCTTCACAACACCTCTGTTTCAGTTAAGAGTTTTTCAACATGAGTGGTAGAAAATCTGACCAAACTGGCTAAACCCCAAAATTGGAATGTTAGCTGATATAGTAAATAAGCTGAGACAAATTGGCTTTGGGCGTGGCCTGATCCAGAGCTCACAGGCCCTGAAAGCAGCCTGCTTTCTCTCTGTTTCTCAGCTCTGCTTGCTGAGTGTTAACTCTTCTCCAACAAGCTCTCCCCTCATGGTTACAAGAGAGCTGCCAGCAACAACTCCTGGGCTTTTTCCTTCCAGGTTAAATTCTGTTGCATATTCATTTATGGAGTTAATCACATAAGCTATATGTAACCCAATTTTCCCCAAACTTTAGCAACTTAGGACCAAATCCAGTAGAAATGAGTGAGTCTGCTTACGTGAGAGTTCAAAACAAGAGCCTAGGAATTGAGCTTCTTTTCCTGTGGCTCATCCATGGGTCAGACACCATGGTGAGGAGGAGGAAGAGTGCTGAGTGTCTGAGCTCAGGCCCTGTGCTCCCTCCAGGGCCATCACTGTCACCGGAAGTACATGGGCAGAGGTGGAGGAGGGCTGGCTCCCCAAGCAAAATTAAGGCAATGTTGCCAAAGCATAGTAAATTCTGGGCAGCAAAGACGGCAATTGTCCACAACAAACCCTATGAGATTGAAATTATTCTCATTGTACAGATGTGGAAATTGAAGGTCTCAGATGTTAAGTAACTTGCCCCAAATCATATAGTGGCATAGATTGGATTTTACCTCATTAATGTGTGCGATGAGACCAAAAGGATAGGTAGGTATCTGCCAGGCAGACTGAAGCAAGGAGGGTGCTCGAAGCAAGGATTTATGAATACACAGCAGTATGAGGGCATTAGCGGAGTGGGGGGCCTTCAGGGAACTTGGAGTTATGGGCAAAGTTATAAGACAGTGTAGCAAAGGAAAAGCTCAGGCTCTGGTGTCAGATAGATCCAGATGTTATTTGCCAGCTAAATAGGTTGCAGTGAGCAGGTTGCAGTGAGCTGAGATTGCGCTACTGCACTCCAGCCTGGGCGACAGAGCAAGACCCTGTCTCAAAAACAAAAAAAAATTACTAAGGGAGGTTTGTTTGTTTTTTTGCTTTGTTTCACATTTTAATATAGATTTCTGGACTCTCCAGGGATAGAGAGATTCCTAGGTTGAGGTATCAGGAAGTTTCCTCCCAGAAAACTGTTGATCACATAGGGGAATTCATCCACCTCCTTCCAACTGGCCAAGGATGTAACTGCTCACTTCACCTTCATCATCTGTAATACAGTGCCAGTAAGCTTCACAGAGCTCTTGGGAGGAATAAGTGAGATAGCACAAAGGAGCTAGTATAGTGCTGAGCTCAAGGAGCTCCACCAATGGTTGATATTATGGTGCTGGTGAGGATAGGTTGCACGAGGTAATGAATGGGGAAGCTGTGGGAAAATAAGACGGAAAATTAACCATGGGTCAAATCATGCTAAGATAAGGATTTTAGCTTTTACCCTCCAGAAATTGAAGAAAGATTTTGACCAGAGGGATGGCCCAATTAGTTTTTCATTTTAGAAAGATCATTCTGGCAGCAGTGTATAGCCAAGCAGCAGAGAGGTGGGGTGGGCAGGGGGAGGGTCCAAAATGGATGGCAGTGAGACCAGTTAGGAGACCATTACAATACAGTCATGTGCCACACCACGTTTCAGTCAACGATGGACCTCATGTGCTATGGTGGTCCTGTGTGATTGTAATACTGTATTTTTACTGTACCTTTTCTAATATGTTTAGATACACAATTACCATTGTGTTACAACTGACTGCAGTGTTCGGCACAGTAACTTGCTATACAGGTTTGTAGCCTAGGAGCAATAGGCTACACCATATAGCCCAGGTGTGTAGTAGGCTATACCATCTAGGTTTGTGTGAGCACACTCCGTGATATTCGCACAATGTTGAAATTACCTAACAATTTCCCCATCGTTACCCCCGTCATCAGGTGATATATGGCTATAGTTAACTTGTTCAGTGGTTGCTAAACTTAGTTCAACGTTCAAATTACTAAGGAAGGCCAGGCACAGTGGCTCACATCTGTAATCCTAGCACTTTGGGAGGCCAAGGTGGGCGGATTGCTTGAGGCCAGGAGTTCAAGACCAGCCTGGTGGACATGATGAAACCCCATCTCTACTAAAAATAGAAAAATTAGCCGGGAATAGTGGTGCACACTTGGTAGTCCCAGCTACTTGGGAGACTGAGGCAGGAGAATCACTTGAACATGGGAGGCGGAGGCTGCAGTGAGCCAAGATTGTGCCACTGCACCCCAGCCTCGACAACAGAGTGAGACCCTGTCTCAAAAAGAAAACAATTACTAAGGAGGTTTTTTTTTATTTTTTGCTTTGTTTCATGTTTTAATATAGATTCCTGGACTCTCCAGGGATAGGGAGATTCCTAGGCTGAGGTATCAGGAAGTTTCTTCCCAGAAAACTGTTGGTCCCATAGGAGAATTGATCCACCTCCTTCCCAGTGATCAGCATTGCCTAAAGGAAAACTAGAATTGTTATAGCAAGGATGTAAACACTAAGAAACAAGTGAACTTTCTGGTTTTTTAATGTTAAAACAACAACAACTCTTGAAGCCCCTGGGGCACAGGTTGGTGTAGCTAGATAAAGATTGCCTGGGATGGAAGGGATGGAGAGAATGGAATCAAGTGACACTTTGCAGGTCATTTGGTCTCACCAGAGCAAACGACCAGGAAGGAAGCAACCTTCAACGTGATGGTATTTGAAGGCGGGGCCATTGGGAGGTAATTAGGTTTAGATGACACCAGGAGGATGGGACCCTCATGATGAGGTTAGTGCCCTTATCAGAAGAGGAAGAGACCAAAACATACTCCCTTTCTCCATTGTGTGAGGACACAGTGAGAAGGTAGCCATCTGCAAACCAGGAAGAGGGCCCTTCCTCACCAGATACCAAATTTGCAGACACGTTGATCTTTGACTTCTCAGCCTCCAGAACTGTGAGAAAGAAATGTCTGTGTTTAAGCCACCTCAGTCTATGGTACTTTGTTACAGCAGCCTGAACTGAGTCAGACATTCAGCATTGGGAGATGGCCAGCAGGGAACGGCATGAAAGCTGACCCAATACCTACAGTACCAGTCCCCATTCAGGTGAGCACTGGCTGCCTTTGTGGAAGAACCACTCCAACAGTTCTGCCTTCAGCCACTGTCCAGCAAAGGCCTCCCATCCATCACTGTATCCTGGTGGCTCTATGACTGTAGACTTGCTGACTTTACTCTGAGCTGCCTGATGTGGATAACAGATAACTCCCACTTCAATGGTCCAAATACTCACCGGCCTTCACATTTCCATCCTGGGGATGAATCATAATTCATCCAAACATCTCCCCTATTCCCAGATGTTTATATTGTTTTCAGGTTTCCATTAGTACATTTAATACTTCAATGAACATTTGCACATAAAGCTTTTACTGCATAACTTCCAACTCTAAAATATCTGGTATTCTTTGACAAAACCTAGTAATGGCTATTTCTTTGAGTTCAGGATACCAAGTCTCAAGTACTATTCCCTTCTCAAAAGATACAATTAAAGTTCTTTTTATGAAATTCAATACCTGTTGATGAAGAAAACTCTTAGCAAGCAAAGAATAAAAGGGAATTTTCTTAACCTAATAATAGGCACCTACCAGAAACCTCAACATCTTACTTAATGCTTCTTTTAAAAGTCAGGAATGAGGTATGGGTGTTATGAGTGTTCATTATCACTGCTTCTAAAACACTTCTGTTGGCACTTCCACACTAGAAGTCATAGAAAGGAAAAAAAAGGAAAGAGACTGCTGCCTCTTCCAGGATGTAGAGAAGCAGGCATTCTCATTCACTACTTGTATAACTCCAACCTTTAAGAATGGCAATTTGGAGATATATGTATCTTAAAAATGGACATATTTCCTGACCCTTCAACTCCACTTCTATACGCATATCCTAAGAAAATAATTCGGGCTATGTACATACATGTAACAGGATACTGTCTCTACTACTATCTAATCAGAAACCTCCTATTTGACAAGGTACTGGTTATGTGAATTCTGGCATGAACACATTAGGGAATATTAGTCACTAAAAATCATATTGTATAAGAGCATTTACCAGAAAGACAGCTTAAACTACCATGTTCAACATAACTTTTTTGTAGATAATGGCGTGTACACACATACACAAACGTACTGGAAAGATCTATATCTATATCAGAGTATTGATGATTCTTTATGCTCTTTTTGTTTTCCCAATTTTCTAAAACCTGTGACTTTTCTAATTAGGAAAAATAATATATTTTAAATGCTGCAGACAGCAAAGAAAGTGGCTCAGAAACGATGTAAAGAGAGTTTTTATATGGGGAGATGGCAGCAACTATACATCTATTCATACAGAATCCTTAATGCCATGCAGCTAAACTATATTTATTGTTCATTTTATTAAGACAAAAATAAATAGTAGATCTAAAGGTTAATTTTAGGTAAACTCTCTAGGTAAACTCTGTGCTTACTCATATTCAGGAACCAGCGAGTCTGCAAATGCTGGGCAGGTCACAGGCCACCCTGCAACCCAGCGATTAGACTGGGGGAGATAGAGCTTATTGGGCTGTTTCCCTGGTTCATGTGACCAAGGGGGGTCTGGGGTTGGGGGTGAAGGAAGAAGGAAGAAGGGAGAAGGGACTGTCACAACAGTGTTCCATGCTTGCACTCAGAAAATGGCAGAACAGTTACAACAATGAGAATCTTTATGCATATAGCTTTGTGATCAATACAATCCTTCAGAACAACAAGAGACAAACAAAGGAATACAATGTCCCAAACAGCTGCAGTCCACAGGCTGACATTGCTAACTAGATTTAGATCATCTGGAGGCTTTTGTAAGAGGAACTGAGGTGCAGAGGCATCAGAATGAGTTGATTCCCGGCAAAAGGGCTAAGAGGCTACAGACATATCTAAAAATCAAGAAACCACTACTTGTTAAGTACTTCTGGTGTTTGCATACAGTGTCCAATACATAGGGAAGATAGCAAGTCCATACTGGTCTTTGTACATGCTGTGTGGTAGAGGCTACTGCAGGTTTCTTTATTTTCTAAAGTAGGCAAGGCTCATAAATTGACCAATTCACATTGTGATTACTTGGTACAATGCATGCATGTTATTGGTACACAGAGTGCTTTAATAGGAATCTGTTGGATTTTCAAAATTCTGACAAGGCCATTTTTACCTCAGAGGACTATTATCCTTTCACTTATTCATTCATTCAACAGATACGTATCCCAAACTGTGTGTTACCTCATCCATCCCCTTCTCAGGAAGACCAACCCTGGAAATAGGTGAGAGGAGAGTGTTCACAGGGCACAGCATGTGTTGTTGATACTAAGTTTGTGGACAGCAATGGTACAATCCCAAGGACTTGTATAAGTGGCCTCTACCTCATTAACCATTTCCTTGAACCCAGACCATCAGGGAGCTAGTGAGCTGATTCAAGAGAGGAAAGAACAATTCTCCATTCAAGTCAGACATCCCTCAAGGGGAACATGACTATTCTGACTCATTTGAGAAGGGGCAAAGAAAAGGATATGAGGTGGAAACACTATTATCTGTAAAGTTTAGCTGATGGAAGAAAATGGTGTCATTTGCTTAACTTTGGAAAATGCAGTGGGTCTCTGGGCCCTGAGGGTGGTATGCAAAATAAGCCCATCTCTCCACCTACAGCCTTCCCAAAAAACAGGCTGTAGGCGTGGCTGCTTTTTAAGAAGCTGGATGCTAACTTCAGATGGCACAGAATTCAAGACCAAAACTGCAATAACTTATTAGTCATATTTTCCATCTTCAGTTCCTTTGGGGGTAAAAATACCACGAAGAAGATAAAATGGCTTTTCTCACGGTATAGGTCATTGTTGTGTTTTCTGTTCAAAAAAAGCCCACACAACCACATTCTCTATTATAAAAAGTAGTACCTCTCATAGTAAAAGCCTGCTCTACAGTTACAGTTTTCGTTTCAGAATTAACAATCCATTAGCTCAAATTAATATTGGCTGCATCAACAATATTCCTGCAAGTATCGCCAATCGTCTTCCAGAGACAAACATGAAGGCTGAGTCTATTCCTCTAATGATGGCGAGGAGAAGGGGATTGAGGAGTGAGCCTTCTGTTCAGCCAAATAACAGGTGCATGAAGCATTTTTAAAATAAACTCCCTGTTCAGGATAAGGAAGTCAGAGCTGGTTTTGTAAAATGCCATCAAGGGACTCTGTACCATCTGGAGACAGGTCCTTTGAGTCAGGAGGGATTTTAGTGAATGGCTTCCCAGTCTTGGTTTTTACACGCTATGTAGCCAATACATCTGTGTACAAAGAGCATTAAACCCACCTATTGCACTGAAGGAAATGTGGCTAAGTCACTTGGAATACCGAGAGTACTGACCTTGAGTAACTGAAGTGCTACTTCACCTCTGTGTGGCTCAGAGTTCCCATCTGCATAGTGGAGACAAGAGGTGCTATCCCTGACCCGCTGGGTGAGAGAGAGCTAGAAAGGGCAGGAGTGAGAGGGAGCTAGAAAGCACTGGGGCCTTCTCCAGAGAAAGGCAGTGTTCAATTAACAAAGTACTCAACAAAGGACTCCAATCAAAAAGCACAAAATTCAAGTAACAGAGTCACAGGTGCTGTGTTCTGGCTTCTGAGCAGAGGCCTTGTGCGTCTGCAGTCTAGAGCTGGTGGGTGAGTGAGCTGTGTGGTGGGGGATGCAGGCCAGGCTCCGCATGGAGCCCATCAAGTCATCCGTACCACTGAGGATCAAAGCTCTCCTTGAGAGGCGAACACAAACCTCAGGAAAAGCTCAGTGGCGCGAGCAAGCTGTCCGGAGCAACTGCGTAAAGCATATGCCAAGTGTGTCCTGTGCATAAGATCTTCAGCTGGGTTATCGATTGAAATTTCAACAGATGAAAGGTTTTCTTCATTTTGCAGGTAGAAATAGACAGTTAAAGAAAGGCTATCTAGATTTTTCTCCTATGATTTAGCATAAGAATAAAAAAAAAATTTGAAACTGGTACTGTGGGAAATCTCACACGACACAATCCCCTCCGTAAAGCATGAAAAGGAAAATCAGGAAGTTTTTTGTAACGAAGAAACTTACTTTCTTTTTACAGTTTCTGTCCTAGCAAGCTGGTATGTGCATGCTTGAGTATTAGTAACACCCAGAGAACTGGAAGGTTTGGGGGTGCTGTCACAGGGACTCTGAAGGCCCCCAGAACAGAAGGATGGACGAGAGTTAACAATCTAGATATAGTCTTTTTTAAACAGCTCACAATGAAAAATTGGGAAAACTTCACACTATAAAACCACAATATTTATTTTGCCACAAGAATCCACTTCGTCAGTTAGCAAGTAGCTGGGAAAACAGCCCTGTTCTAACTCCTATTATAAAACTTCCAGTTCCCATTTTTTATGGGCTGTTGCTCATCCCTGAACCTATTCATTTTCACTGGACAAATAAAACTCTTTTAGAGCCATTCAGCTGCAACCCTTATACTACTGTGAAAAGGTGAGTCCAGATACAAAGTTTCGGGGAGACATCATCGTTTTTTAGTGCCACTGTTTCCACCGCCGGGTTTGCTGAAGCTCCTACTCATTTGAGGAAAGTGCACAGTTGGGGTTCTTTCTGTAGGGCCATATAATCCCAAGTTCCTGGCAGTAGCAGATTTCCGCAGGGGCTTGACGCTGGGAAAAGGGCTAAAGATGGGGGTTTTTGAGTTGCTGCCTTGGGGAGCTTTGCTGGTGGCTTTGTTTTCTTCGGGTGCACTCGGCGGCTCTGGGCAGTGCCGCTGGCAGGGTGGGTGCACCCTGAGCTCAGTTTCAGCTGCAGCATCCCTCTGGTTCAGTTCCAGGGCTCCCAACTTCGCCTGAACTGCAGACACATCCACATCAGCATCTCCGAACACCGGCTCCGGAGACTGCCCCTCGATCGTCCTCCTGGTACTGCCTTCAGGGCTGCTGCCTTCTCTCCCAGCTGTCGCTGTACAACCAGAGGGGAATGCCTCTGCTGCCCCCAGCCCATTGGTCTTGCTGGCCTCGTTCTGCTCATCTATCAGCCCTACGGTGTCCCCACAGCCCGGATGACTCTTGGTCCTTGGCATGTTCTTTTTGTGGACTCGGATGTGAGTTCGCCACGGGGAGTTGAGCTTCGTCTTAAGGTCTTCGTAGGGGACAGGAGATATTTTCCCTCCTGTGTGACCAGGGATGTGGATGACAGCATTCTTGGCAGCTCTGTTAGTCATTTTCATCTTCTTTCCTAAAAGAAGGTGGTTTATAACTGGAGAACTGTTTACCTGAGACGGGAGAATGCTGGTCACTGGCCCTTTGTCTGAAAGAAATGTTGAAAGGTAGTATGAAGTGTACCACAAAGAAACACATCCATCTTGGAACAGAAATCACTTAGAGGTCCTCCCAGCCCCGTCTACCACATCCCTTCCCATGTGTTCCCCAGGGAGGGGCAGAGTCATGTGACTGAAGACAGCAGAAACTGAATTCAACCGAAGAGCCTGGAATACCAATGCGCTCTTCTTTAAAGAGGAAGGGACCACAGGGTGATGATACAAAAAGGAACATCTGACCCCTCATTCCTAATCAGAGCCTGGACTCCCTAATTTTTTTTTTTACAGAGAGCTCTTGGCTCTGAGTAGCAACCTCTGAGTTACTGTACTTAGAAAAATCTTTGCAGATTTAAAAAAAATAATACAACAAACACTATGACCATATGGATTATCATCTGTCAGCCTCTGAGAGGTAGGAAAAGAACACACTGCATATTATGAAGTGAGATCCAGCAGAATGACAGAAGTGATAAAAAGGTAGTGAGAATGCAGTGAAATCACAGCTATCCAGCATCTAGCCCTACAGGTGAAAAACCACTCCTGTGTCCTCAATGGACTTCGAAAGCCAATTGAAAACTGAAAAGCACCAAAAGCTTTGTCCTCAGCTAGGTGCCGTGGTTCATGCCTGTAATTCCAGCATTTTGGGAGGCCAAGGCAGGAGGATCACTTGAGGCCAGGAGTTCGAGACCAGCCTGGCCAACATGGTGAAACCCTGTCTCTACTAAAAATACAAAAATTAGCCAGGTGTGATGGTGCATGCCTGTAGTCCCAGCTACTTGGGAGGCTGAGGCAGGAGATTGCTTGAACCCGGAAGGTGAAGGTTGCAGTGAGCTGACATTGCGCCACTGCATTCCAGCCTGGGCAATACAGTGAGACTCCTTCTCAAAACAAACGAACAAAAAAGCTTTGTTCTCCTAGAAGGCACTGTCGATGGCATTATCATTGACCACCTGCGGCTATGACCAGACTCCTATTTCCAATGCAGCATTCAACACACATGGTCCCAGGATGGCAGCTGCAGACAGAAATTGTAGGGAGAAGGCCTCTCCCTCTGTGTGCGAGTTTCCTTCTTCCTTGATGTCCATGTCATCTGGCTGAACTAATTTCCACCCTTCTCTACTGTTGTCATTTACCACTGGTCATACCCCAGTATCAACTAAAAATGTTGATAACTGTCTCCTCTTCACCACATTCCTGCCACCTCCCCAATTATTTGACTGTCACTGTGATTGGCCCTCCATTACATTCTCATAGTTCCTCAACCTCTCCAGTTCCATCCTAAACATTATCACCCAGCTCTACCTTATGTGAAAATATTTAATTCTAATACTCCTCATTTTGGCTCTTCTAGCTCTCAGGCTCTCAGTCTAACTATATGTGGTAATGAACCACAGAGACTTCTGGCTCCTTGTTCCTCAGGCTCCTCACAACCCCTCATGTGTCTTCGGCTCACTGACACCCCTACCCTGCCAGATGCATGGCTGACCGCTTAGATCACTCCCTCACAGGCATCCCTGTCTCTTTGTCACACATTGCTAGTAAAGCCCCAACCTAGGGTCCATGATCTACATTCTCTTTTCTGAAACTGAGCCCTTTAAATTCATGACCTCCCATTTCACTGGGTCCTCAATGCCAAACAATCTTTTCATTTCCCTTTCTCGCTCCCTTCAGTGACCTAACTAAATCTTCATTACTTTCTTTAACCTCTCATTTACTCCCAATCCCCACCAAACAACTTTCCCCCAATTACTCCATGAAAACAAAAGCTATCAGATCTGAAAGGCCTCTATTTCCCATCCTCCCTAACTTCGGAAGCTGATACCTCAACCACCATACTCACCACCTTCCACTAAGTCTCAGAAGCTAAGGTCTTTTTGCCTCTAGTTCAAGTTCAATCTCTCCACCTGTGCTGCTAATCCTATCATATACCATCTCATCTAAAACCATGCTACTCAAACCATGGTTTCTGATATGGTTTGGCCATATCCCCACCCAAATCTCATCTTGTAGCTCCCATAATTCCCACGTGTTGTAGGAGGGACCCAGTAAGAGATAATTGAATCATGGGGGTAGGTCTTTCCCGTGCTGTTCTCATGATAGTGCAGAAGTCTCACAAGATCTGATAGTTTTAAAAATGGGAGTTTCCCTGCACAAGTTCTCTTTGCCTGCTGCCATCCACGTAAGATGTGACTTGTTCCTCCTTGCCTTCCACCATGATTGTGAGGCCTCCCCAGCCATGTGAAACTGTAAGTCCATTAAGCCTCTTATAAATTGCCTAGTCTCAGGTATGTCTTTATTTGCAGTGTGAAAACAGACTAATACAGTCCCCATGCAGCAGCACCAGCAGTGCCTACGGGCTTGTTAGAAACATATAATTTCAGCTCCATTCCAAACCTACTGAAACAGAGTGAATATTTTAGCAGATCCCCAAATGATCTGTATGCACACTAAATTTCAAGAACCAAAGCTCTAGAGCTTTGCCTTTGAGCAGCAATCTCTCCCTTAAAGAGAACCACCATCAACCATGATCTGAAGAAGGGGTCAGCAAACTTTTCCTGTAAAGGACCAGACTGTAAATATTTTAGCCACTGTAGTGTGAAAGGAGCCTTAGACAACCTGTAAACAAATGGGCATGCCTGTGTTCCAATAAAACTGTATTTACAGGCCAGGTGCGGTGGCCCACTCCTGTAATCCCAGCACTTTGGGAGGCCAAGGTGGGCAGATCACCTGAGGTCAGAAGTTCAAGACCAGCCTGGCCAACATGGTGAAATCCCGTCTCTACTAAAAATACAAGAATCAGCCAGGCATGGTGGTGCATGCCTGTAATCCCAGCTACTTGGGAGGCCGAGGCACAAGAATTGCTTGAACTTGGGAAGTGGAGGTTACAGTGAGCTGAGATTGCACCACTGCACTCCAGCCTGAATGACAGAGTAAGACTCCATCTCAAAACAAACAAACAAACAAAAAACTGTATTTACAAAAACAGGTAGTGAGCAGGATTTGGCCTACAGACCACAGTTTGCTGATCCCTGATGAAGGTACAAACCACTGGGCCGATTTAGCACCCTGAGCAATTGTTTACCGTCACACCCAAAGACTTGTACAGTGTAGTTAAAAAGGGACTGTACAAAGAATCAGAACACCTGTGTTCTAGCCCTGGCCTGACCACTCACTATAGCTATATAACCCTGGACAATTGCTAAGCCTTCCTGAATCACCATTTCCTCACTATTTGGAAGAAGATGGGACTATCTGTCCTTGCCTTCCTCATAGATTTGTTTTAAGGACAAAATGAGGAAATGTATGTGCCAATGTTTTTGAAACTTAAAGTGAAATTGTTCAGTTATTTTGTGACTGGTTTCTTAATGACTCAGGATAAAGTGAGAATCATCAAGAAGTCAACTATTCTTCTCTGATAAATGGAAGGTAAATTCAGTTTTTGTGCAGGATCAGTCACATGCTCACATGCCACTTTAAAAACATGTCAAATTTATATTTCAGTTAATTCTGGACAGGCACCATTTTCATTAAGATATTCACTTCAAGCAAGAAAAAACAACTCCCAAATCAGCATATATTAAACAATAAAGCAGACTGTTCACTGGGATTTTTGGAATTAAAAAGAAAAAAGCTTGGCAATCCTTGGAAAAGAGCATTTCCAATTGCATTATAATTGTGTTCTTCTTAGTATATTCCCAAGATACTTGCCATCAGCAAGGCACAGGTTTTTAATGTTTTTTTTCCCAGTTTCTCTGATACAACATCTGTTATAATATCACCTAAATGACTAGTATACAGCTTAATTTACTAGTGCACAGATGATTCTATATTCAGATGCATAAAATTTATGCTCCAAAATTTCTCAAGTCCAAGGATTGCATGGCTTTGCAACATTTTAATCATTTGTAAACCCTTCTCCACAGCACACACAGTAGAGACGTGTTTAATACCATCAACTGCCTGGTCCTTGGGGCCTAAAAAGAACCTGCAGTCTTTTTCTTCTTTAGAGCCTGATAAAATAAAATTTAAAATGAGATGCTAAATATGCTATTATGTCATGCCAGCTGTGTTGATGGATACTGAGCTACAGTTAGTAATTCCAAGGCCTTCCTAGGATTATTTGTTCTTCATTTTACAAGTTGAGATAGAGCTGAAATTGATTCAAATGAAGAATCACATTACCTGCCCTGATGTACACCTGATGAACCTGCTGCTGTTGCTTCTTTTTAATTCGAGAGTACTGCCGCTTCAGTGCATTGATATCTGTGGTCATGCGTTCCATCATCATACTGTTAAAAGCTGCATGGTATTCACTTCGACAGGAATTGATTGCTCCTGGACTCAGCTCTGCAATGTTATTAGATCTCAGACTCTGCTCCTCATTTGGCTCTGCGCTCGAAGGATGAGACATAAGGAGATGGTCGGTGGAGGGGAACAGGAGTAAATGGAAATTGATAACACTACAACTCAGTGCGGTATCTTAACCTCCATGAAATTCTAAACCACAGAAAAAAACGCATACTAGAGTTTGTCTAGTGCTTATTTTGATGTGCCCCTGAAAATATTTCTGCATTTTCTTATTAACCTAACTGTGGGTCTGACATGAGCTATATGGGTTCAGAGTTTGATTTTGTTACCAGTTTGTTAGCTATATAGACATAACATCAACTGCTTCCAGATGAAAATCACTGCCATTGTCTAAGATTTCCTTAGAAAGATATAACTCCTAATTTCTAAAATCACTGTACAGATTTCCACACAACGGCATGAGGATTTATACAGAATTGGTTTGTAGAGTTTAGACAGTCATTAAAAGTGCATTCTTCTTACATTAAAGGTAGTAACACAATTTATAAAATTATCAAGACTTCAGACCACTGTATCACTAGAATGAATGCTTTGTTCATTTAACAAACATTTCCTGTCCACTCTGTTGTTATATCGGATGTGGTGTCTGCTCCTGTGATAGCTACAACTAGCAGATTTGTCTCTTAAATAAAATTGAGATGACCTCCAAAAAAGAGAAACAATACTAGGTGGGAGTAACCCACAGACTACACAGGCCAAAGCGGGAGACAGCAAGCTTCTCCAGCACAATTTGTAAAACTGACATGGGAGCCAGAGTCAAAAAAAGACTGAGAGACTCCAACTATCCTAACATCTGCTGAGAGTGTTATTCAGACAAAGGCTAAACATCTCAGAAATTCATTTTTTTACTGTAATCATTTCTGTAAGGAGAAGAAAATTAAAAGAGAAACTGCTAATCAGAGCAAAATCAACAAGAAAGACTAATGATGAAATTTAGGAGAAAGTGATCATGTCATCCTAGAGCACAAAAATGCACAGAAAGAAAAACAGAGAAAAAAAAATGAAACATAGACCCAGGCTACAGAAACGCAGATTCAAAAACTTTACCATTAAAATACATATTGATCCTATGGCTAGAAATCAAAAGCTGGAACTCAGGCAATAAGAAAGGGGGTAGAAGGCATTGCAGAAATCAAGAAGACTCTTGTTGGGTTCAGATTTTTAAAAAGCCTTTAAAAGGATGACAGAAGAGCACATACCAAAGACATACTCACAAAACAGTATGAGCCCAGCCATTAAAAAGGTTAAAACTCAAACAAGCTGAGGCTTGCAGGAAATACTCCAAAAGATCACCACCAAAAGTTAGAAGTAGCAGCAGCTGCTGCCACTGCTCCTATCTTCCAAATAAGAACCAAAAAAAGAGAAGATAGCCCCATGACTTCAAGAAGGTAGTAAAAAGTTAGCAGATGGCAAAGAGAACACAGAGGTGCCTGACATCTATTCAGTTTCTGTCCTCTTTCAGCATATTTCTAATATCTTTGAACAAGGAGAATGGTCTTCAAACTAGAAGAGGTAGAATAAATATCCTAAAAGAAAAGCTTCCACCCAAGACAAGAAAGGACGTAGAGAACCACAAACTTTAAAACAGTGCATAACATTGATAATTCCAGACCACAGAATTCTATTCTGTTTAGAAAAAAAAAAATGAAATAAAACATGCATGTGATTCAGAGCACAACATTTTAAGGGGAACATTACCAAATTACAGGATATCTAGAGGTAAATTAATAGAATATTAGGAGGTCCAGAAGTCATAACTTAAGAGACATGCTTAAAGAAATTCTGAACTGGGGCCTTTGAGAAAGCTTTGGAGGACATGATAGCTGTCCTCAAAGATTTGAAGAGATGTCAGGTAGAAGAGGGAGTAAGTAGACTTGTTCTGGTTTTTTCCAAAGGGAAGAATCCTCTTTTCCAGCTGGAACCATGGAGGGTGTCGAAGAGAAGAAAAAGAAGGTTCCTGCTATGCCAGAAGCCCTTAAGAAAAAGCAAAGGAATTTTGCAGAGCTGAAGATCAAGCACCTGAGAAAGAAGTTTGCCGAAAAGATGCTTCAAAAGGCAAGGAGGAAGCTTATCTATGAAAAAGCTAAACACAGTCACAAGGAATACAGGCAGATGAACAGAACTGAGATTCAAATGGCTAGGAGGGCAAGAAAAGCTGGCAACTTCTATGTTCTTACAGAACCCAAACTGTCATTTTCCCTAAGGATCAGAGGTATCAATGGTGTGAGCCCAAAGGTCTGAAAGGTGGTGGAGTTTCTTCACCTTTGTCAGATCTTCAATGGAATCTTTGTTAAGCTCAGCAAGGCTTCAATTAACATGGTGAGGATTGGAGAACCATACATTTCATGGCGGTACCCAAACCTAAAGTAAGTAAATGAACTCATCTACAAGTGTCATTATAGCAAAATCGAAAAGAAGCAAATTGCCATGACAGATAACACTTTGATTGCTCAATCTCTTGGTAAATATGATATCATCTGCATGGAGGATCTGATTCATGAGATCTATACTGTTGGAAAAGGCTTCAAAGAAGCCAATAACTTCCTGTGACCCTTCAGATTATCCTCTCCACAAGGTGGAATGAAGAAAAAGACCTCCTATTTTGTGGAAGGTAGAAATGCTGGCAATAGGGAAGAGAAGAGCTACAGGCTTATTAGAAGGATGAACTAAGGGGTCTACCATGATTATTTCTGTAATCTGGTCAGTTAATAAACAGTGATGCCTTCAAATAGAAAAAAAAAGCAAAGAGAAGAACTATTAGTAGAACGGGTAGGTGGAAGTTATCTCTTTGTAAACAGAAACCATGGACTAAGGGGAAGAATCAAGCAAAGTGTCTTGTGAAATAATAAGTTTCTTGTCACTCAAGAAATTCAAGTAGAGGTCACCATAATGTTTTGATTTAAAGGGTAATCCTATTGGAAGAGAAGCCAGTCTGGAATAAATTAAACTCAGATGGAGTATATTAAGCATCTACTATATGCCAGGGTCTGTGCTAAGGAACTTAGCATACAAAGTTGAATCCAATGCATGGGAGCAAAAGTCACCACAGAGAAAAAGAAATGTGTACTACGCATGCAACACATAATACAGAGGAAAACCATTACATAATAAAAAGATAAAGTAACAGAGAAGATACTTTTAGTAACAATTTTTTTTTTTTTTTGAGATGGAGTCTTGTTCTGTTGCCCAGACTGGAGCGCAGTGGCATGATCTCGGCTCACTGCAACCTCTGCCTCCTGGGTTCAAGCGATTCTCCTGCCTCAGCCTCCCAAGCAGCTGGGACTACAGGCACGCACCACCACAGCTAATTTTTGTATTTTTAGTAGAGACGGGGTTTCACCATATTGGCCAGGCTGCTCTCAAACTCCTGACCTCATGATGCATCTGCCTCAGCCTCCCAAAGTGCTGGGATTACAAGCGTGAGCCACCACACCCAGCCTAGTAATGACTTTTTAATGTTGTTGTTGTTGTTTGGTAGAGACTGGGTCTCCCTATGTTGCTCAGGCTAGTCTTGAAAACCTGGCTTCAAATGATCATGCTGTCTCAGCCTCCTAAAGTGCTGGGCTTACAGGCATGACCCACCATGACTAGCCTAATAAAGACTTTTAATAGTTGTAACCAGTTCAGAAAGTTACTGGGGCATCTATAGGACACAATATCACTCTTATTGTAGTAAACCAATACATCATGATAATCTAAATCAAGAGCCACCTCTTTACCTTTAATTTGTTTTTGGTACTTCTGCAGTTCAGGAGCCAGGAACCCACTAAAAGGTCCAAGACACCCCACTGCATTAACGACAGCATCCTCATCGTCTGGGTCATTCTCTTCATCACTGTCTCTGGCCTTACTATGTCGTCTTGGAAAACATAAAAGACAAAAAAGAAATATACAAAGAAAACCATGGTATTTTAAAACATAATACAGTTACATGGTTTAAATGCCATATATATAATTAACATAGAATTACATATAATTAACATTGTGAAACCCCATCTCTGCTAAAAATATATAAAAATTAGCCAGGTGTGGTGCCGCACACCTGTAATTCCAGCTACTTCGGAGGCTGAGGCTAGAGAATCGCTTGAACCCGGGAGGCGGAGGTTGCAGTGAGCCAAATCACGTCACTGCATTCCAGCCTGGGCGACGACAGAGCAAGACTCCGTCTCAAAAAAAAAAAGAATTATATATAATGACGTGATTTATAAAGTTTCCCTCCCATCTCTGTCCAACTTCTGCCCATTGAAACTAGTAACCATGGTCATTTGTGAGAATCTCCCATCTAATTCCCACAGGTGATCACTGTTACTGGTTCTTATGTATTCTTCAGTTTCTCTGAGCACACATAAGCAAATATGACTACATGCTTTTATTTTTCTCTTCTTTTTGCATAACTATTAGCATACTATATATGCTCTTCTGCATCTTGCCTTTATTTATACAAGAAATCTTTACGGGCTGGGCACAGTGGCTCACACCTGTAATCTCAGCACTTTGGGAGGCTAAGGCAGGATTGCTTGAGCCCAAGAGTTCAAGACCAGACTGGGTAACATAGCGAGACTCTGTCTCTGCAAGAAATTTAAAAATTATCCAGGCACGGTGGTACGTGCCTGTGGTCCCAGCTACTTAGGAGACTAAGGTGGGAAAATCACTTGAGCCTGGAAGGTTAAGGCCGCAGTATGCCATGATTGTACCACTGCACAATCATGGTACACAAGAATACACAGAGCTTCCTTATGCTTTCTTACAGCTCTACTGGATGTACACGCCCCATAGTGTGGAGCCAGGCTGCTAATGGTATACACTTGAGTGGTTTCCAATAATATACTATTACAAACTCCTAGGCGCAAGCAATCCTCCTGCCTCAGCCTCCCAAGTAGCTAGGACTACAGGTATGCACTACCACACCCTGCTAATTTTTGTAATTTTTTTAGAGACAGGGTCTTGCTACGTTGCCCAGGCTGGTCTCGAATTCCTGGCCTCAAGTGATCCTCCTGCTTCAGCTTCCCAAAGTGCTAGGATTACGGGCGTGAGCCACCACACCCAGCTTGGGTGGCCATTTTCTTATCGATTTCTAGGAATTTTACATATTAGCAATATCCATCCCTATTTTGCATAGTAAGTTAAAAATATCCTTCCACAGATATTTTTGAGTCTACTTATAGAGGTTTGGTTTTGTTCCATTTGGGTCACCCAGAAAATTATATTTAAAGGACTTAATTTTTTCCCTTTTTTTAAATTTTGAGTCAGTTATTAAGGCCTTTCCAATTCCAAAGAACTAAAGGAATTCTTCCACATTTTCTTATGCTAATTTTATTATTTCATTGTTTCTATTTAACACATTCATCCATATGGAATTTACCCTGGCATCTAGTATGAGGTCTGACTCTCATTTTCTTTCCAAATTAGTTCTCATTAGCCCATCACCATTTACCAAACAGTATAACTTTTCACCATTGATTCAATATGCCTATTTTTCATATGATAAACTCTTTATCAATTGTCAATTTTTGGTCTTCACAGTTTTTAAATTAGCTCATCTGTGTACTTGTATACAGGTTCCACACTATTTTAACTATTGAGATTTTTAATGCTTGATATCATTAGATAAGTTGTGGGGTTGCTAAATCTCTCTTCAGTTTACGTTCCAAATTTCTCTGCAAAGTACACTTTTAAAAATCTCTCTTGAGTTTAAATCAAAACCATTTGGAAAGGGACATTAGATTCTAAGTGTCAACTTACTTTAACATATCTCTGGGGCTTCATAAATATTAATTTACAATAACAAATTAAGATATTAAGTCCTCCATCATGAAAACAACAAGGAATTTAAAAACCTTACCCAGAAACTGAGGTGGGTTTAACTGTGGCTGGGAACGGTGTAATGTTGTAGGTGTATTTTTCCCTCAACTCTGCCAATTGTGGGAAAGGGAACGGAGCCATGGAATAAACAGTCTGTAAAACAAAAGCAAAAATGCCAAGTCTGAAACAGTAGCCTTCACAACTCTTATCAATCCTGGAAAGACATTAAAGTTTTATGAAGTCGAGTGTGAAGAGGCAGATACTGCTCCTTACACAGCAGGTGGAGAGATTCCACTTCAACATCCGCTTTCAAGACAGACAAAAGAAGATGATTAAACCCGACCCAGTGGGCTCTCAAATCAACCCAGCTGCAGCTGGGCATTCCAACTGGTAAACAAGGGTGGGCAATCACGGGCAGTCTGATTTCCTCCTGTTGTTCAATAAATGGATTAATGCAGAAATCCACAGCTCCCTATGTCTTCTGTATCAAAGAACTCACAAATGTCCTTCCTATGTAGTGCTTACTTTTCACAGCTCTGTTAGATGATTTTTAGACATTTAATGTCAGGTCAGCCTTCTGGATAAAATTAAATCTAGTGGATGATCTTGTGATCGACTACAAGTTTTCTCCAAAGATACCACCTTTTTAAATGTCTGTGGATGAGTTCTAGGTGAAAATTGTTAGGTGGTGTTTTTAAAGGAAAAAAAAAAAGACAAGAAAAAAGTGACAGGGTGTAAAGCCTAGGCTGTTATAACTCTATAAATAAAAATGGGGAAAAGCACCTGTGCTTCCACCAGAATTTCAAAATTATGTATCATTCTATCAGCAATAAAAGAGTAATATTGTTTGCTTTCTTATTTTTATTAAAATTTAATAGCTCCAAACATGTTTCTTCAATCCTGGTTCTTATTCACCAGAAAACATATATCAATCACATGTTCATTTCTCCTGGGAAGCCAAAGAAATAGCCTGATAATGCTTTCCTAGGAAAATATTTTAAAAAGGTATTTTTTATTTCAGCAGGACTGTTTTTATGAAGGCTTAGAAGATGTCTAATTTGGCATGTGCCAAAAGGAAGGCTGTGAAAGGAGTTTGATTGTGATGCTTCTTCATTTTATAGCTTAGTGCCACCATTGTGACAGTCCCCTGTAATTTTATTCTAACAACCTGTACATCTGACTGTCCCCAGATGTCATGGTATCCCTTTATACTTTACTGTACCAGCCCAAGATTCCAAACAAGTAGGTGTTGGCTAAAATTCCTTCTCTTCAATTCTCCACGCTTACTGTGCAAAGCTACACAGCTTATAGGGACTGCAAACATAATCTCTAAGCTGTCTTATCATAGACACTCCAGACTTGATTATACCCAAAAGGCTGAGAAGGAGTACAGGTTTACTAACAATAAACTGTGCCCCAAGAAAAGAAGCAGAAGGCATCTTGTGGCTCTCACTAGCCTTGAGTGTGAAATTAAACCAGTTCCCCACCTCTCTGGGCTTCCTTTTCCTCATTTAAAAAATAAAGGGTGTGAAACTCAGGATCGTGGTTACCTCTGAGAGGAGAGATGGGAATAAGATCAGGGAGAAGTTATATGAGGGTGTTTTCCCGTGGTTGTTAATTTTTATTTCTTAAATTGGGTGGGGGATATGTAGATTTTATTGTATTATTCTTAATACATCCTATATGCCCAAAATATTTCATATAATTTTATTAATAATGTAGTCAGAAGCACTCTCATGTCCTTTGATCCCACAAAGCTATGCAACAGCTACCTCGCTGCCACTGCAGAATTCTTCCCCGCTTGCTCTTACTATCATGTCTTAGCTCCACATACCCTTTTGAGGGAAGGCAAGAGATGTGAAATCCTCTCCTCAGCAGCCAATCCAGAGCACAGCACCTTCTCTAGGGGCTGGGTAGGAGCTGCATTGCCCTAACTCTATCTGACCATCACATATCAAATGTGATCCCACAGCTGGGCCAAGAATCAACCCTCATTCATGTAATTTTTTTTCCTCCCTAACAGTTTAGAAATGTGTTCAGACATTTAAGAAACCCATGTCCTTTGGATTCAACTTTAAAAGATGAGATTTTTGATGCTAAGAATTTCAAAATTCCTTACAAGTGAAATAAGATGTCTTATTAAAGACAATAAGTAGGATGATGAGCTAATGTTTCACCTGTGTTTAATTTTTGCCAGTTTTGTAACAAGGTATCAGTAAATTCCCTCATCCAGCCTTGTGAAGGAAGTTCATAAGAGGAACAGGGAAGTACATCCTCCCCCTACTGCACCCTGCCCTGCCCCAGGGATGATGGTCTAGGCTCTGAGCAAGATCCCTCAGGGGCCACTCAGCTAAAGACACCTGACCAAAAAGAAAACTAGCTCCATTGCACTTTCATCCTCTACTTCATGTCTTCCTTTCTCTGTCACTGACTTTTAGTAAGTCCTTCAAAGAACAAATCAGTATTCCTGAAACAAAGTTGTTTATAGTAGTTCTTCCCAAATATTCACTCACTTACTTTAAGGTCTCACATCTGAAGGCATGTTTATCCCAGGAGCATAAGCATCCCTGGCACACCGACATAGCACTCAGGGTGTCGGAAATCTTTAGGCCTCCACCTTGGTAAGTCGGAGATTTACAACAGATTCCAAGAAAGAGATTTGACTAATCATCTTAGAGCCAAAATATGGTACAGTAATAGAATCACAGGGTTAGAAAAGAATTCAAACATATTAGTTCCACCTCCCTCCCAAGTAGGAGTCCCTTCTAGAGCATCTCCAACAGATGGCCACAAAGGCACAACTTAAGCACTTTCAGTTATGGGCACACACAGTTTTGCAGGACAGACGGTTTCAATTTAATTCATCAAACATGATCCTTGTATTGAACAAGTATCCATACCCTTGTAATTTCCACCCCATCACTTATGGAAAAAAGTGAACAGAGTGGGTGCAAAGGAAAGTCCTGCCTCTCAGTACATAAGATCTCCCACCAGACAACAGGAAGTCAGTCACAAACACTTTGGGTTAGGCTTCCCAAGCACCTATAAACCCTAATAATAGCATCTTAACTAATTTATCTCTACACTGCCCTCAAGGAATTTACAAGAGGCATTGTCAAAAATCCTACTGATATCCAGGTACATTATGTAATCAGCATTCCTCCAGTTTCTTTACCCTATCAATTAAAAAAAAATCAAACAAACATGAAAATGACCATTGCTAATAAGAAAACAGTGATCTACAAGGGGGAAACCCCAGCATATGATTTTCAGTATGGCACTTAGAACAGAAAGAAAAGGGAAAGACTGAAAGGGGAGAATGCTTTCATCTCTTCGGCTCAAAAATAAAGACCTTACATTCAGCCCACATTTTTCATCTGGCACTATTTTGGGTTTGCTGACAGCACTAAATTAAAAAAAAATGAATGAATATAGGAAAGAAAATGGCCTGAAATGACATTCACCATTTCTCTCCTGAACATTCTATGATGTCAAGGAAAACTAACAAGTCTATTTACTATCTGAACTACCAACATACACTTAAATAGACATTTATATTTAGTCACTGAAAAGACATTATATTTTGTAATTATTGATATGCTTTACAAGAAATATGAAAACATGAGTTGCACAAAATTAGGCTTAGTTCATCTTCACGCAGATGTTTTCCTCGACAGGAGGGATGCTACTCAAATGGAATCCCATCAATCAATCCACAGCCTACAGTTCTCCCTCTAGGATTCTTCTGCTTTAAGCAGTGTCAAAGTGGTTCCTTCTCCTAATACCTAAGATTGGAAATTCCTAGAGGACAAAGATGGCATCCAACACATCTCATTCCTTCTGGCAACGTTTAAACTGTAAGCGAAATGAGATGTTGCCTTATTCTTCTAAAGATGATTTCAGCTTTTAGAAAGACATCTTTTGAATAGGTGGAAGCAGTGTGTTGGGTGGTGAGGAAAAGCATTCAGCTAGGAGTCAGGGACCTGGAGGCAGTCTTGGGTCTGCCACTAGACAATCTGAGAAACCAACAAGTTGCTCACACTCCAACTCATAGTTTCCTCTCTCTAACATGACAGAATTAGCTTAACTGATCTTTAAGTTTCTTTAAAGCCAGTGTTTCTTTGTTTTCTGAAAACCACCTGTATCAGAACCACCCATGGGCCAAATGTCTGCATTTTCATACACTCCTGGATGTTTCTTACACAGTCCAGTTTGAAAACCACAGCCTCAAGATCTAACATTTCATGATTCTGTGTATTCACTGAGTAACCAGTTGTATTATTCACACTAGGCTAGATGTTGCTGAAGCCCGTAACATTAAGGAACTTGCTACTTACAGAAAAAAAAAAAGTAATATACTTTAAAAGCAGCGGGTGCAGTAGCTCATGCCTGTAATCCCAACACTTTGGGAGGCCAAGGCAGGCCTCGCCTGAGGCCCAGGAGTTCAAGACCAGCCTGGGAAACATGGCAAAATTCCATCTCTAAAATACATTAAAAAAAATTAGCCAAGCATGGTGGCATGCACCTGTAGTCCCAGCTACTTTCAGGGCTGAGGAGTGAGGACTGCTTGAGCCCAGGAGTTCAAAACCAGCCTGGGCAACATGGTGAAACCCCATCTCTACAAAAAATTTAAAAATTAGCCCAGCCTGGTGGCACATGCCTGTAGACTCAGTTACTTGGGGGGCTGAGGTGGGAGAATCGCTTGAGCCCAGGAAGTCAAGACTGCAGTGAGCCATGTTCATGCCACTGCACTCCAGTCTATGTGACAAAGTGAGACCATGTTTTAAAAAAAAAAAAAAAAAAGAAGAAGAATCTTTAGTACTGGAGGAGTACAGAGGAACCATCATCCATGAGTCCTGAAATAACAGAGGCTCTGGGAGTGGGAAAGAGAGGAGATTGAGCGGCATCCAGATGGGCAAATAGGATTTTCACAGATGCAGCATCAGAGGGACCACAAGACCTGTTGCAGAATAAGCAATGGCCTACAGAGGCCTGGATGGGAGCAGAGCTATGACCAGTGCCATAGAGTCTGTCTGTGAAATAGCAGGAACACCTTGGATAGGTCAGGAATGGGGCAGTCCAAGTACACCTCCAAAGCAACCTATCTGAAAATGAACCCATCCTCCTCCCCTCAGAAACTTGCCCTCTTCCTTCTAAGCCAGGAGATTATGGGTTGCCCTTTCTCCCCCATTACTTTTTCTTTCACTCCTGTATCCCTTTTCCATGGCCAAGTCCAGTCAATTTCACCTTGTAAGTACTGTCTCTGTTCCAATCTGTTTCCACCCTTCACTGCCTCCTCACAGGCCTTCCTGCTGTCAGACTTGTCCCTTTGAAATCCATCCTTCACAGAGCTGCCCGTGGAGTTGACTCAAAACAAAACTCAAACCATTTTCCTCCTCTCCTTAAAATCTTTCAGGTCCACAGATCTTCTATTCCCCTTTCCAAAGGGTCCACAGAAGCCTTAGAACTCCAGCAAATACAATCTCTCAATCACTGACCTGAAACATCAAGTCCAAGTGCCTTACCAGGCATTGTGGTCTTTCATGAGCCAGTCCCTGAATTCCAGCCTTCTGACAGTCCCCCTCACACTTATGCAGTATATTATCAACAGACCTTGACACATGCTGCTCTCTCAAACACAAATTGACTCTCCACTCTGCACCAGAGCCTTCAACACACAAACGCACACACAACACCCTCGCATATATGTGCACCCCTCCACACACACACACACACAACACCCTCGCATATATATGCACCCCTCCACACAGACACACAGACACACACACACACACACACAGCCTAGTCAAATCCTATTCTTCTGTAAAGGTAAAACCAGACATGAATTCCCTCAAGAAAGGCTTTCCTAAATTCCTCTCCTCCAACTCACTCCACCCCTGCCCCTCAGGCTAGATGAGGTCTTCTCTCTTCCTCAGCCCCCAGCCCCTCTGCACACCTCCCTCGACGCACTCCCCACACTGTGCTCTAGGAGACTATAGGCTCCCGATGACATAGCCCATGCTTTCTTCTGTGTCCCTGCACCTGGCACATTACCTGACATTAGAGGTGCTCGATAAATATTTGGAGAAGTTAATATACAGCATAGAAAATCAGGCTGAAGCATTTTATTTACCGTGGTTAGTAACAAGGAAGTGCTGAAGGACTTAGTGTAGAGCAAGGAAATGACCAAAGCAGTAAGTATGGATCATTACTCTGGTAGCAAAATGCTGGGCCCCTATTCCAGGCCCTAGCTCCCAGATGACATTTCTAGCCACACCCTGGGCCAAAAGGGAACCCCACTGCCTTAAAGGGAAGGACCCAGCACTGGTAGGATTCATCACCTGCTGACTAAAGACCCTGAATAACAACCAGAAATATCCAGGGAGTATGCCATGGGCCCTGAGCTCTGAGACATGCTGGCTTCAGGGGAGATCCAGCATATTCCCAGCTGTAGTGGCTACGGTAAAAGACTCATTCTGTATTAGAGCAGACGGAATCTAGAAAGACAGCCATCATCTACAAGTTGGGTTTAATTCAACATTTATTGAAAAAGAAAAGGCAGAAAACTAACCATGGATTCTCAATAAATGTTTGTTTAATGAATTAGTAAGTTTGGTGGGAATGGAGGGTGGGCGGCAGACAAGATGGCAGAATGGAAGCTTACACCATTCATGCCCCCTGCTGCAACACCAAATTTTAACAACTATCTGTACACAGAGAAGCACGATAACAAGAACCAAAAATTAGGTGAATAATCACAATATCTGATTTGAACTCCATATCATGGAAAGAGGCATTGAGAAGGGAAGGAGAGACAGTCTTGAGTCATGGATGCCACCCCTCCCCAATCCCCTGGCAGTGGCCATAAGACATGGAGAAAGAGTCTGTGCACTTGGGGATGGGAGAGTGCAGTGACTAGAGGACTTTACATTGAACTCAGTGCTGCTCTGCCACAATGGAGAGCAAAGTTGTGCTGGGCTCACTCAGCATTCACACACAGAGGGGGCATTTGAACCAGACCTAGCCAGTGGGGAATCGCCCATCTAGCTGTTGGAACTCGAGTTCCTCAGCAAGCCTCGCCAGTGCAGGCCAAAGTGCTCTGGGGTCCTAGGTAAACCTGAACAGCAGACTAGGACACAAGGACTGCAATTCCTAGGCAACTCCTAGTGCTAGGCTGGGCTTAGAGCCAGTAAACTAGGGTGGCACATGACCTAGGGAGACACAAGCTGGTTTGGCTATGGGAGGGCTTGCGCCATCCCTCCCCCAACCCCAGGCAGTGCAGCTCATAGCAATGAAAGTGACTCCTTCCTTCTGCTTAAGGAGAGGAGAATGAAGAGTAAAGAGGACTTTGTCTTGCATCTTGGATAGCAGCTCAGCCACAACAGGATAGGGCACCAGGCAGAGTCATGAGGCCCCTATTCCAGGCCCTAGCTCCCAAATGACATTTCCAGCCACACCCTGGGCCAAAAGAGAACCCCTGCCTTAAAGGGAAGGACTCAACACTTGCAGGATTCATCACCTGCCGACTAAAGAGTCCTTGGACCCTGAATAACAACCAGCAATATCCAGGGAGTATGCCATGGGCCCGAGCTCTGAGACATGCTGGTTTCAGGGGAGACCCAGCATATTTCCAGCTGTGGTGGCTATGGTGAAAGACTCATCTGTTTGAGAAAAACAGAGGGAAAAGTAAAGGGGACTTTGTCTTGCACCCTAGATACCAGCTCAGCCACAGTAGAGTAGAGCAACAAGCAGGCTCTTGGGGTCTCTGAGTCCAGGCCCAGGCTCTTGGACAGCATTTCTGGACCTGCCCTGGGGCAGTGGGGAGCCCACTGCCCTGAAGGGTGACTCCCAGGTCTCACAGCATTCACCATAAGCTGATGGAAGAGCCCTTGGGCTTTAAGCAAACATTGGTAGTGGCCCAGCAGAACCCCCTATGGACTAGTGGTGGTGGTGGCCACAGGTAGAAGCTCTTCTGCCTGTGGTATGGGGAGGGAAGAGCAGGAAGAACTTTGTATTGTAGTTTCAGTGTCAGCTTAGCTGCAGTAGAATAGACTATCATGTAAATTTCTAAGGTTTTTAACTCCAATCCCTGGCCCCCAGAAAAAAACTCTAGACACACCTGGGGCCTGGGGGGAACTCACTGCCCTGAAGGGAAGGGCCTTGGGCAAGGCCCAGTGCTGAGCTAACTTCAGGTCTGACCCAACACAGTCCCAGTGGTAGTGGCCACAGGGGTGTTTGCATCACCACACTCCCAGTTCCAGAGGGCTCATCACAGAAAGAGACTCCACATGTTTCAGAGAAATTAAAGGAAAAGAATGAGTCTCTGCCTGGTAATCCAGAGAATTCTTCCAGATCTTCTGAAAGACCACCAAGGTGGGTACCTCTACAAGTCTGCAAAAACCACAGCATTATTGGGCTTGGGGCCCAAGTCCCTTCTAATACCTGGTGATAATTTGGATATTTTTCTCACCCAAATCTCATGTTGAATTGTAATCTCCAATGTTGGAGGTGGGGCCTGGTGGGAGGTGTTTGGATCATGAAGGCAGATCCCTCATGAATGGCTTGAGCCATTCCCTTGGTGATAAGTGAGCTCTTGCTCTGAGTTCACATAAGATCTGGTTGTTTAAAAGTGTGTGGCACCGCCCCCACCCCCCCCATCTAACTCTCTCTTCCTCCTGCTCTGGCTATGTGACATGTCTGTTCCCTCTTTACCTTGCCATGATTAAAAGCTCCCTGGGCCTCCACAGAAGCCAAGCAGATGCCAGGGTCATGCTGCTTATACAGCCTGCATGAACCAATTAAATTTCTTTTCTTTATAAATTATCCAGTCTCAAGTATTTCTTTGTAGCAATGCAAGAATGTCCTAACACCTGGAAAGCCTTCCCAAGAAGGATAGGCACAAACAAGCTCAGATTGTGAAGACTATAATACCTAACTCTTCAATGTCCAGACACAAGAGAACATCTACAAGCATCAACACCATCCAGGAAAACATGACCTCACCAAATGAACTAAATAAAGCACCAGGGACCAATCCTGGAGTAACAGAGATATATGACCTTTTAGACAGAGAATTCAAAAGAAATTCAAGATAACACAGAGAAGGAATTCAGAATTCTATCATAAAAATTTAACAAAAAGAGTGAAATAGTTAAGCAGAAATTATGGACTTGAAAAATGCAATCGACACGCTGAACAATGCATCAGAGTCTCTTAATAGCAGAATTGATCAAGTAGAATAATTAGTGAGCTTGAAGACAGGCTATATGAAAATACACAGAGGAGATAAAAGAAAAAAGAATAAAAAATAATGAAGTATGCCTATGGAATCTAGCAAATAGCCTCAAAAGGGCAAATCTAACAGTTATTGGCCTTAAAGTGGAGTTAGAGAAAGAGATAGGGATAGGAAACTTATTCAAAGAGATAATATCAAAGAACTTCCCAAACCAAGAGAAGTACATCAACAGTCAAGTACAAGAAGGTTATAGAACACCAACAGATTTAACCCAAAGAAGACTCCCTCAAGGCGTTTTACAATCAAACTCTCAAAGGTCAAGGGTAAAGAAATGATCCTAAAAGTAGCAAGAAAAAAAAAATGAGTAACATACAATGGAGCTCCAATATGTCTTGCAACAGACTTCTCAGTGGAAATCTTACAGGCCAGGAGAGAGTGGCATAACCAGGAGAGAGTGGCATGACATATTCAAACTGCCAAAAGAAAAAAAAACTTCTACCCTAGCATAGTAAGTATATCCAGCTAAAATATCTTTAAGCATAAAGGAAGAATAAAGACCTTCCTAGACAAACAAAAGCTGAGGGATTTCATCAACACTAGACCTGTCCTATAAGAAATGCTAAAGAGAGTTCTTCAATCTGAAAGAAAAGGATGTTAATGAGCAAGAAGAAAGCATGTGAGGGTAAAAAACTCACTGGTAATAGTAAGCACACAGAAAAACACAAATTTAGGATAACACTGTAATTGTGGTATATTAACTCCTCTTGACCTAAGTAGAAAGACTAAATGATGGCCAGGCGCGGTGGCTCACACCTGTAATCCCAGCACTTTGGGAGGCCAAGGCAGGTGGATCACAAGGTCAGGAGAGCGAGACCATCCTGGCTAACACGGTGAAACCCTGTCTCTACTAACAATACAAAAAAATTAGTTGGGTGTGGTGGCAGGCGCCTATAGTCCCAGCTACTCAGGAGGCTGAGGCAGGAGAATGGCATGAACCTGGGAGACGGAGCTTGCAGTGAGCTGAGATCATGCCACTGCATTCCAGCCTGGGTGACAGAGCAAGATTCCATCTCAAAAAAAAAAAAAAGAAAGAAAAAGAAAGACTAAATGCTGAACCAATAAATAATAACTAGAACAACTTTTTAAGACATAGACAGTACATAAAGAGAAACAACAAGGAGTTAAAAAGCAGAGGGACAAAGTTAAAGTATGGAGTTTTTATTAGTTTTCTTTTTGCATGTTTACTTATGCAACCAGTGTTACGTTGCCATCAGTTTAAAATAATAGGTTTAAGATAGTATGTGCCAGTGTCGTGGTAACCTCAAATCAAAAAACATACAATACACAAAAAATAAAAAGCAAGAAATTAAAGCACACCACCAGAGAAAAATCACCTTCACAAAAAAGGAAGACAGAAACGAAGGAAAGAAGAAAGAGAAGCCCACAAAACCACCAGAAAACAAATAACAAAATGGCAGGGGTAAGGCTTTACTTATCAATAACACTGAATGTAAATCCACTAAATTCTCCAATCAAAAGACACAGAGTGGCTGAATGGATGAAAAAATAGGACCCAATGATCCGTTTCCTACAAGAAACACACTTCACCTGTAAAGATACATATAGACTCAGGTAGCTGGCAAGATGGCTGAATAGAAACAGCTCCAGTCTGCAGCTCCCAGCAAGATCAATGCGGAAGGTGGGTGATTTCTGCATTTCCAACTGAGATACCCCGTTCATCTCACTGAGACTGGTTAGAAAATGGGTGCAGCCCACGGAGGGTAAGCTGAAGCAGGGTGGGGCATCACCTCACCCAGGAAACACAAGGGGTTGGGAAACTCCCTCCCCTAGCAAAGGGAAGCCTTGAGGGATTGTGCCATGAGGAATGATGCATTCTGGCCCAGATACTATGCTTTTCCCATGGTCTTCACAACCCACAGACCAGGAGATTCCCTCGGGTGCCTACACCACCAGGGCCCTGGGTTTCAACCACAAAACTGGGCAGCCATTTGGGCAGACATTGAGCTAGCTGCAGGAGTTTTTTTTTCATACCCCAGTGGTGCCTAGAACATCAGCAAGACAGAACTGTTCACTCCTCTGGAAAGGGGGCTGAAGCCAGGGAGCCAAGTGGTCTAGCTCAGTGGATCCCATCCCCATGGAGCCCAGCAAACTAAGATCCACTGGCTTGAAATTCTTGCTGCCAGCACAGCAGTCTGAAGTCAACCTGGGACACTCAAGCTTGGTGGGGGTAGGGACGTCCACCATTACTGAGGCTTGAGTAGGTGGTTTTCCTCTCACAGTGTAAAGAAAGCTGCCAGGAAGTTCGAACTGGGAGGAGCCCACCACAGCTCGGCAAAGCCGCTGTCGCTAGAGTGCTTCTCTACATTCTTCCTCTCTGGGCAGGGTATCTCTGAAAGAAAGGCAGCAGCCCCAGTCAGGGGCTTATAGATAAAACTCCCATCTCCCTGGGAGAGAGCACCTGGGGGAAGGGGCAGCTGTGGGCGCAACTTCAGCAGACTTAAATGTTCCTCCCTGCTGGCTCTGAAGAGAGCAGTGGATCTCTCCGCACAGTGCTCGAGCTCTACCAAGGGATAGACTGCCTCCTCAAGTGGGGCCCTGACTCCCGTGCCTCCTGACTGGGATATACCTCCCAGCAGGGGTCAACAGACACCTCATAGAGGAGAGCTCTGGCTGGCATCTGGCAGGTGCCCCTCTGGGACAAAGCTTCCAGAGGAAGGAACAGGCAGCAATCTTTGCTGTTCTGTAGCCTTCACTGGTGATACCCAGGAAAACAGGGTCTGGAGTGGACCTCCAACAAACTCCAGCAGACATGCAGCAGAGAGGCCTGACTGTTAGAAAGAAAACTAACAAACAGAAAGGAATAGCATCAACATCAACAAAAAGGATGTCCACACAAAAACCCCATCCGAAGGTCACTGACATCAAAGACCAAAGATAGATAAATCCATGAAAATGAGGGAAAACCAGCGCAAAAAGACCGAAAATACCAAAAACCAGAACGCCTCTTTTTCTCCAAAGGATCACAACTCCTCACCAGCAAGGGAACAAAACTAGACAGAGAATGAGTTTGACGAATTGACAGAAGTAGGCTTCAGAAGGTGGGTAATAATAAACTCCTCTGAGCTAAAGAACCATGAAGCTAAGAACCTTGAAGAAAGGTTAGAGGAATTGCTAACTAGAATAACCAGTTTAGAGAAGAACATAAATGACCTGATGGAGCTGAAAAACACAGCACAAGAACTTTGTGAAGTATACACAAGTGTCAATAGCCAAACTGATCAAGCGGAAGAAAGGATATCAGAGACTAAATAAAGCACGAAGATAAGATTAGAGAAAAAAGAATGAAAAGGAACAAACAAAGCCTCTAAGAAATATGGGACTATGTAAAAAGACCAAACCTACATTTGAGTGGTGTACCTGAAAGTGACGGGAAGAATGGAACTGAGTTGGAAAACACTCTTCAAGATATTACCCAGGAGAACTTCCCCAATCTAGCAAGACAGGCCAACATTCAAATTCAGGAAATACGAGAACACCACAAAGATACTCCTCGAGAAGAGCAACCCCAAGACACATAATCGTCAGATTCACCAAGGTTGAAATGAAGGAAAAAATGTTAAGGGCAGCCAAAGAAAGGTCGGTTTACCCACAAAGGGAAGCCCATCAGACTAACAGTGGATCTCTCTGCAGAAACCCTACAAGCCAGAAAAGAGTGAAGGCCAATATTCAATTTTCTTAAAGAAAAGAATATTCAGCCCAGAATCTCACATCCAGCCAAACTAAGTTTCATAAGCAAAGGAGAAATAAAATCCCAGACAAGCAAATGCTGAGAGATTTTGTTACCACCAGGCCTGCCTCACAAGAGCCCCTTAAGGGAGCACTAAATATGGAAAGGAAAAACTGGTACCAACCACTGTAAAAACATACCAAATTGTAAAGACCAACAACACTATGAAGAAACTGCATCACCTAATGAGCAAAATAACCAGCTAGCATCATAATGATCTAATTCACACATAACAATATTAATCTTAAATGTAAATGGGCTAAATGCCCCAATTAAAAGACACAGACTGGCAAACTGGATAAAGAGTCAAGACCCATCGGTGTGCTGTACTCAGAAGACCCATCTCACGTGCAAAGACTACATAGGCTCAAAATAAAGGGATGGAGGAAGATTTACCAAGCAAATGGGATATTGGCCTGAAATTTTCTTTTTTTGTTGTGTCTCTGCCAGGTTTTGGTATGAGGATGATGCTGAACTCATAAAATGAGGATCAGAGTGGAACTGAAGGAGATAGAGACATGAAAAACCCTTCAAAAAAAATCAATGAATCCAGGAGGTGGTTTTTTGAAAAGATTAACAAAATAGACAGACCGCTAGCCAGACTAATAAAGAAGAAAAGAGAGAAGAATCAAATAGACACAATAAAAAATGATACAGGAAATATCATCACTGATCCCGCAGAAACACAAACTACCATCAGAGAATACTATAAACACCCCTAGGCAAATAAACTAGAAAATCTA
This sequence comes from Homo sapiens, assembly GCF_000001405.40. Lineage (NCBI taxonomy): Eukaryota > Metazoa > Chordata > Mammalia > Primates > Hominidae > Homo > Homo sapiens. Next base: position 64,851,034 of record NC_000012.12, on the reverse strand, counting down.
GAAGAAATGAATAAATTCCAGGACACATACACCCTCCTAAGTCTAAACCAGGAAGAAGTCAAATCCCTGAATAGACCAATAACAAGTTCTGAAATTGAGGCAGTAATAGCCTACCAACCAAAGAAAGCCCAGGATCAGATGGATTCACAGCCAAATTCTACTAGAGGTACAAAGAGGAGCTGGTACCATTCCTTCTGAAACTATTCCAATCAATAGAAAAAGAGGGACTCCTCCCTAACTCATTTTATGAGACCAGCATCATCCTCATATGAAAACCTGGCAGAGACACAACAAAAAAAGAAAATTTCAGGCCAATATCCCCAATGAACATCGATGCAAAAATCCTCAATAAAATACTGGCAAACCAAATCCAGCAGCACATCAAAAAGCTTACCCACCACAGTCAAGTTGGCCTTATCTCTGGGATGCAAGGCTGGTTCAATATATGCAAATCAATAAACGTAATCCATCACATAAACAGGACCAATGACAAAAACCACAATTATCTCAACAGATGCAGAAAAGGCCTTCGACAAAATTCAACACCGCTCCATGCTAAAAACACTCAATAAACTAGGTATTGATGGAATGTATCTCAAAATAATAAGAGCTATTTATGACAAACCCACAGCCAATATCATACTGAATGGGCAAAAGCTGGAAGCAGCATTCCCTTTGAAAACTGGCACAAGACAAGGATACCCTCTCTCATCACTCCTATTCAACACAGTATTAGAAGTTCTGGCCAGGGCAATCAGGCAAGAAAAAGAAATAAACAGTATTCAAATAGGAAGAGAGGAAGTCAAATTGTTTCTGTTTGCAGATGACACAATTGTATATTTAGAAAACCCCATCATCTCAGCCCAAAATCTCCTTAAGCTGATAAGCAACTTCAACAAAGTGTCAGGATATAAAATCAATGTGCAAAAATCACAAGCATTCCTCTACACCAGTAACAGACAAACAGAGAGCCAAATCATGAGTGAACTCCCATTCACAATTGCTACAAAGAGAATTAAATACCTAGAAATACAACTTACAAGGGATGTGAAGGACCTCTTCAAGGAGAACTACAAATCACTGCTCAAGGAATAAGACAGGGCACAAACAAATGGAAAAACATTCCATGCTCATGGATAGGAAGAATCAATATCATGATAATGGTCATACTGCCCAAAGTAATTTACAGATTCAATGCTATCCCCATCAAGTTACCATTGACTTTCTTCACAGAATTAGAAAAAACTACTTTAAATTTCATATGGAACCAAAAAAGAGCCCATATAGCCAAGACACTCCTAAGCAAAAAGAACAAGCTTGAGGCATCACACTACCCCGACTTCAAACTATACTACAAGGCTACAGTAACCAAAACAGCATGGTATTGGTACCAAAACAAATATATAAACCAATGGAACAGAACAGAGGCCTCAGAAATAACACCACACATCTACAACCATCTGATCTTTGAAAAACCTGACACAAACGAGCAATGGGGAAAGGATTCCCTATTTATAAATGGTGTTGGGAAAACTGGCTAGTCACATGCAGAAAACAAACTGGATTCCTTCCTTACACCTTCTACAAAAATTAACTCAAGATGGATTAAAGACTTAAACGTAAGACCTAAAACCATAAAAACCCTAGAAGAAAACCTAGGTGATACCATTCATGACACAGACATCGGCAAAGACTTCATGACTAAAACACAAAAAGCAATGGCCACAAAAGCCAAAATAGACAAATGGGATCTAATTAAACTAAAGAGCTTCTGCACAGCAAAAGAACCTATCATTAGAGCAAACAGGCAACCTACAGAATAGGAGAAAACTTTTGTAATCTATCCATTTGACAAAGGGCTAATATCCAGAATCTACAAGGAACTTAAATGAATTTACAAGAAAAACACAAAAAAACCCATCAAAAAGTGGGCAAAGGATATGAACAGACACTTCTCAAAAGAAGACACTTATGCAGCCAACAAACATATGAAAGAAAGCTCATCATCACTGGTCATTAAAGAAATGCAAATCAAAACCACAATGAGATACCATCTCACACCAGTTAGAATGGCAATCATTAAAAAGTCAGGAAACAACAGATGCTGGAGAGGATGTGGAGAAATAGGAATGCTTTTACACTGTTGGTGGGAGTGTAAATTAGTTCAACCATTGTGGAAGACAGTGTGGCAATTCCTGAAGGATCTAGAACCAGAAATACCGTTTGACCCAGCAATCCCATTACTGGGTATATACCCAAAGGATTGTAAATCATTCTACCATAAAGACACATGCACACTTACATTTACTGCAGCACTATTCACAATAGCAAAGACTTGGAACCAACCCAAATTCCCATCAATGATAGACTGGATAAAGAAAATGTAGCACATATACACCATGGAATACTATGCAGCCATAAAAAAGGGTGAGTTCATGTCCTTTGCAGGGACATGGACGAAGCTGGAAACCATCATTCTCAGCAAAGTAACACAGGAGCAGAAAACCAAACACCACAGGTTCTCACTTATAAGTGGGAGCTGAACAATGAGAACACATGGACACAGGGAGGGGAACATCACATACCGGGGCCTGTCGCGGGGTATGGGGCTAAGGGAGGGATAGCATTAGGAGAAATACCTAACATCGATGACAGGTTGATGGGGGCCACAAACCACCACGGCACATATATACCTATGTAACAAACCTGCACATTCTGCACGTGTATCCCAGAACTTAAAGTATACTAAAGAAAAAAAAAAGATACACATAGACTGAAAATGAAGGGATGGAAAAAGTTATTCCATGCCAATGGAAAGCAAAAAAGGAGCAGGAGTAGCTATACTTCCATCAGAAAAAATAGATTTCAAGACAAAAATTAAGAAGAGACAAAGAAGGTCATTATGTAATGATAAAGGGGTCAATTCAGCAAGAGGATATAATGATTATAAATATATATGCACCCAACACTGGAGCACCCAGATATAATAAAGTAAATATTATTAGAGCTAAAGAGAGAGATAGACCCAAGCACAGTGACGGCTAGAGATTTCAATACCCTACTTTCGGCATTGGACAGATCACCCAGACACAAAATCAACAAAAAAAATCATCAAATTTAATCTGTACTATAGAACAAATGGACCTAGTAGATATTTACAGAACATTTCATCCAACACCTGTAGAATACACATTTTTCTCTTCAGCATATGGATCGTTCTCAAGGATAGATCATATGTTAGGTCACAAAACAAGTCTTAAAATATTCAAAAAATTGAAACAGTATCAAGTATCTTCTCTGACCACAATGGAATAAAACTACAAATCAATAACAAGAGGAATTTTGCAAACTATACGAACACATACAAATTAAACAATATGCTCTTGAGTGACCAGTGGGTCAATGAAGAAACTAAAAAGGAAACTGAAAATGTTCTTGAAACTAATAATAATAAAAATACAACATACTAAAACCTATGGGGTCACAGTGAAAGCAGTACTAAGAGGGAAATTTATAGCTATAAGTGCCTACATCAAAAAACAAGAAAAACGTCAAATAAATAATGTAATGACATATATTAAAGCACTAGAAAAACAAGAGCAAACCCAACCCAAAATTAGTAGAAGAAACAATAAAGATCAGAGCAGAAATAAATGAAATTGAATGAAAAAACCATACAAAAGATTAAAGAAATGAAAAGTTGGTTTTTTTGAAAAGATATATAAAACTGAAACACCTGTAGCCAGACTAAGAAAAAAAGAGAGAAGATCCAAATAAACAAACTCAGAGATGAAAAAGGAGACATTACAACTGATACCACAGAAAATCAAAGGATCATTAGTGACTGCTATGAGCAACTGTATACCAATAAATCAGAAAATCTAGAGAAAATGGATAAATTCCTAGACACATACAACCTACCAAGATTGAAAAATGAAGGAATCCAAAACCTGAACACACCAATAACAAGTAACAAGACTGAAGCCATAATAAAAAATCTCCCAGTAAAGAAAAATCACTAGCATCTCTATATGCAAACAGTGAACAATCTGAAAAAGAAATTTTAAAATCCCATTTATAATAGCAACAAATAAAATTAACTACCTAGGAATTAAGTTAACCAAAGAAATGAAAGAGCTCTACAATGACAACCATAAAACATTAATGAAAGAAATTGAAGAGGACACAAAAAAATGGGAAGATACAACATGTTCATGGATTGCAAGAATCAATATTGTTAAAATGTCCATACTACCTAAGGCAATCTACAGATTTGATACAATCTCTATCAAAATACCAATGACATTCTTTACAGAAATAGAAAAGTAATCCTAACATTTATATGGAACCACAGAAGACCCAGAACAGTCAAAGCTATTCCGAGCAAAAAGAACAAAACTGGAGGAATCACATTATTTGACTTCAAATTATACTACTATTATAGTAACCCAAACAGCATGGCATAAAAACAGACACATAGACCTATGGAACAGAACAGAGAACCCAGAAACAAATCCACATATCTACAGTGAACTCATTATCGGCAAAGGTGCCAAGAACACACATTGGGGAAAAGACAATCTCTTCAATAAATAGTGCTAGGAAAACTAGACATCCATACACAGAAGAACAAAACTAGACCCCTATCTCTTGCCATATACAAAAATCAATCAAAATGGATTAAAAACTCAAATCTAAGACCTCAAACTATGAAACTAATACAATAAAACATTGGAAAAACTCTACAAAACATTGGAGTGGGCAAAAATTTCTTGAGTAATACCCCATGAGCACAGACACCCAAAGCAAAATGGACAAATGGGATCATATAAAGTTAAAAAGCTCCTGCACAGCAAAGAAAACAATCAACAACATAAAGAGACAACTCAAAGAGTGGGAGAAAATATTTGCAAACTACTCATCTGAAAAGGGATTAATAACCAGAATATTCAAGTAGCTCAAATAACTCTTATAATCTTATAATTCGATTAAAAATGGGCAAAAGATCTGAATAGCCATTTCTCAAAAGAAGATATACAAATGACGAACAGGCTTATGAAAAGGTGCTCAAGGCCAGGCACGGTGGCTCACGCCTATAATCCCAGCATTTTGGGAGGCCAAGCTCGGCGGGAGGATCACTTGATGTCAGGAGTTTGAGACCAGCCTGGCCAATATGGCGAAACCCCATCTCTACTAAAAATACAAAAATTAGCCTGGCATGGTGGCAAACACCTATAGTTCCAGCTACTCGGGAGGCTGAGGCACGAGAATCGCTTGAACCCAGGAGCGATTTTTTTTTTTTTTTTTTGAGACGGAGTCTCACTCTTGTTGCCCAGGCTGGAGTACAGTGGCACGATCTCGGCTCACTGCAAGCTCTGCCTCCCAGGTTCACGCCATTCTCCTGCCTCAGCCTCCTGAGTAGCTGGGACTACAGGCACCCGCCACCACGCCTGGCTAATTTTTTGTATTTTACATAGAGACAGGGTTTCACCGTGTTAGTCAGGATGGTCTCGATCTCCTGACCTCGTGATCTGCCCGCCTCAGCCTCCCAAAGCGCTGGGATTACAGGCATGAGCCACCGCGCTCAGCCCCCAGGAGCAATTGTTGAACCGCAATTTGGTGAGCTGAGATGGTGCCACTGCACTCCAGCCTGGGGACAGAAAATCACTGATCATCAGAAAAATGCAAATCAAAATGACAATGAAATATTATCTCACCCAGTTAAAATGGCTTTTAATCAAGACAGGCAGTAACAAATGCTGGCAAGGATGTGGAGAAAAGGGAACCCTTGTACACTGTTGGTGGGAATGTAAATTAGTACAACCACTATGGAAAACAGGTTGGAGGTTCCTCAAAAAAAACTAAAATTAGAGCTACCATATGATCCAAAAATTCCCTGCTGGGTACAAGCCCAAAAGAAAGGAAATCAGTATATCAAAACAGTATCTGCACTCCCATGTTTCTCGCAGCACTGTTCACAATAGCCAAGAATTGGAAGCAACCTAAGTATCCATCAACCAATGAACGGATAAAGAAAATGTGGTATATATACAATATGGAGTACTATTCAGCCATAAAAAGAAGAATGAGATTCTGTCATTTGCAACAACATGGATGGAAATGGAGGTCATTACGTTAAGTGAAATAAGCCAGGCACGGAAAGACAAACTTTGAATGTTCTCACTTATTTGTGGGAGCTTATTTGTGGATGGAAATGGAGGTCATTATATTAAGTGAAATAAGCCAGGCATGGAAAGACAAACTTTGAATGTTCTCACTTAATTGTGGGAGCTGAAAATTAAAACAATTGAACTGATAGAGATAGACAGTAGAAGGATGGTTTCCAGAGGCTGGGAAGAGTAGTTGATAGGGAAGAAGAGATAGTTAGTGGGTACAAAAAGTAGTTAGAAAGAATGAATAAGACCTAGTATTTGATAGCACAACAGGGTGACTATAGTCAATAGTAATTTAATTGTACATTTAGAAATAAATTTAAAAGTATAATTGGATTGTCTGTAACACAAAGGATAAACATTTGGGGAGGAATACCCCATTTACCCTGATATGATTATTATGCATTGCATGCCTGTATCAAAGTGTCTCATGTACCCCATAAATATATGCACCTACTACGTGCCCACAAAAATTAGAAATTAAAAAAAGAATCTAATGGAAGAGTGAGTGTTAATAAGACAGCTATTTTTTCTATACTTGCTGTCAATTTCAAAGACTTGATGAATATGATATTGACGTACAGTAACATGCCATAAAAAATAACTAAACCCTTCAAGTCTTTCACTTTAAAATTTATGATTAATATATAATTACCTGAGTTGAAAGTGTGGGCAAAACAAATGAATCAAAATGCTGATGAGAATAATCTTTTTTATCCTCAATAATTTATTCCCCACAATAAGTGTTTCCCCCCACAAGTCTAAGTAGGCTGGGCACAGTGGTTCATGCCTATAATCCCAGCACTTAGGAAGGCCGCAGTGGGAGGATCACTTGAGTCTAGGAGTTCAAGACTAGCCTAGGCAACATAACAAGACTCCATCTATACAAAAATAAAAATAAAAAATTAGCTGTATGGTGGCATACGCCTGTAGTCCCAGTTACTCAGGAGCCTGAGGTGGCAGGATCACTTAAGCCCAGGAGACAGAGGCTACAGTGAGCAACGATTGTGCCACTGCACTCCAGCCAGGGTGACAGAATGAGACAGTCTCAAAAAAGAAAAGAAAGACTAAGAATAAAATTCAGAATAAGCACTTGGTGATTTTGTTTTTCCAGTGTATTTTTCCAGTTTATATTGCTGCTAATGACTTCTAAGCAACACAGTCTGACAGAAAGCTACAACAAATATCCATCATTCATTTCTTCCTTCCTTCTATGACATAGATTCTTATCAAATTATAAACAGACTCTTGGTCAATTTGAGAAACTAAGTCTGACAGCTAACCAAGCACATTTCTCAAGACCGCTGCTCTGGCACTGGTTGTTCCCACCGTGCCCGGGGTTCCCCGAGCCAAGCTGCTCCATGTTGCCGACTCACCTGCATGAGTTCATGGCTTTGCAGAAGATCATTCTCTAGCATCTCCTGGGTAAGGCGCCCCATGGTGCTGTAGAATTCATCTGCTGTTTCACAACATTCTATCTGCCTAGATAAAGAAAGGACAGAAAATACAACTTGTTTAGGGCATCCATGCTGTGTAACAGTACATGCTGCAGGTATAAGATATGTTGGACTGGGCATGGTGGCTCATGCCTATAATCCCAGCACTCTGGGAGGCTGGGGCGGGAGGATTGCTTGAGGCCAGGAGCCTCAATGCAGCAAGACCCCATCTCTCCAAATAATTTTAAAAATCAGCTGGGTATCGTGGCGCACACCTGTGGTCCTAGCTACTCAGGAGGCTAAAGCAGGAGGATCACCTGAGCCTGGGAGGCTAAGTCTGCAGTAAACCATGATAGCACCACTGCAATCCAGCCTGGATAACACAGTGAGACCCTGTCTCAAAAAAGGGCAGGGGGCAGTTGCCTTTTGCCATCAAATAACTCAGGTTATCAATCAACAAATATCAAAATCCTGATATTTGTAAAGCCCACTGTGGATGAAACATTTAAAAATACCAAAAGCAACTTTGAGGTACTCGTTTTGGGTAAGTCCTGTCATTCCTACTTGGCACTCCTCGCCTCACAGTCCCACCTGTGGCATCTTTATTGCTTCCATGGGACACAATCTACACATCAGAATTCCCACCACTCGTTAGAAAGCATAACCATGAAATTGGGTACTAAAAAACAATTATCTCCTTTAAGGGACTCTGTTGGTCTTAATCTGCAAACAGTGATATCATTAATATAATAGATTTAAAACCAAACCACAGTAGGAATAAAAGATGACAATTACAAGAACTGTATCTGCATATTTCATCAGTCCATGGGGTGTTTTCACAGGCAGAATTTTCTGAGTTCTTCTCAGGGTGCTGCTGCTAGTTGGAGATTACACCTCTTCTTGCATTCAGTTCTACATGTAAATAAAGAATCTGACACTCACTTGGCTACCTGTGAGCCAGGTTGGACTTCAATCTTTCTTCTACAAAGGGGAAAACAGAAGAGCCCAAAACAAAGAGTACCAGGTATTTCCATTTTGTTTGTTTATTTATTTATTTATTTTTTCTTGTGACAAAGTCTTGCTCTGTTGCCCAGGCTGAAGCACAGTGGTGTGATCTTGGCCTGCTGCAACCTCCACCTGTTGGGCTTAAGCAATCCTCCTGCCTCAGCCTCCCGAGTAGTTGAGGTTACAGGCACCCACCACCACACCCTGCTGGTTTTTTGTATTTTTAGTAGAGATGGGGCTTCACCATGTTGGCCAGGCTGGTCTCAAACTCCTGGCTTCAAGTGATCCACCTGCTTCGGCCTCTCAAAGTGCTGGGATTACAGGCATGAGCCATGGCACCCAGCCTAGGTATTTCCATTTTATATGACAACGTTGTTTGTATTGTAGGATAACTCTAGTTTCCCACCAACCAGAAGACCTACACTTTGATACATACTAATATTGGGGGATTTCTGTAAAGCCATCCAAAATAATATGATTATGGAAAAACCATAGGTTCTGGAGTGTTGTTCTAATCCCATTGCCACAAATGTAAATAAATGAATGGAACAAACTGCTGAAATATTACTATAAAAGAGCAGAGCAGCCTGTGGACATGAATGAAAGGTACTTAAGTTTACCCTGGGAGGTAAGGAAGAGAAATAATGCTTGAGATGAGTTTTGAAAAGTGTTTTTCAGGCTGACAAGGAAGAAAAAACATCCCAAAGACACAGATGCAGGAGACAGCAGGCCTTATCTGGGGAACTGCAAGTAGCTCCGCACAACCAGCGAGACCAGCACTGGGGTAGTGGTTGCAGGACCAGAGGAAGCCAGTGAGAGCTGAGGGAAGAGAGCTACTGAGAGCAGAGAGCAAAGGCCTCACCTGCCAGCTGAGCCTCTACAGAGCATGAGTCACGAAAAGGCTTTAATAGGGAGTGAGGGAACAGCTGTGCCCTTGGCAAGGTCTGCCTGGAGGTGGCATGGCAAGTGTGGATTACCATGAGGAAACCAAGGAGGACACACCACAGTGGGCCAGGCATGGGGTGACAAGGGAGGAAACCAAAACAGCAGGGGCAGAGGAGAAAGGACACATAAAGAGATGCTAGTGATGGCGTGCTGATGGTCTACAATTTACATATTCCCAAGTACCCTTGGGGTGAGCGAAAGGTAGAAATTCCAAGTTGCAGAAGTCAGGTGAAAGGAGAGGTCCTGGATCACCATATATAAGGCACATGTTACTCAGGTGTACATAAACTGGAGATTACCTATATGCTTTTATGGTTTTTCCAACAGGAAGTTTGTGGGGAAGATTACAGGCACTAGAATCAGAAAGTTCCATATTGAAGTCCCAGTTCTGCTATTCACTGGCTGTGTGACTATGAACTAGCTAATTAACCTTCCTGGGGAAATTTTCTTACTGAAAAGACAGGGAGAATAACCCTATCTACTCCACAGGGTTATTGGGAGAACTGAATGAGATGATGTGTTTAAACTGCCTAACACAATGGCAGGCACTGCAGGCACTTATGATGTATGTCAATTGCCTTTCCTTTCCCTTAACAAGCTGCATGCTCAAAACATATAGAATTATAATAAGCAAAAACTGAAAGAGTTAAAATTCTATCATTCTGATTCATATATCCCCTAAACTTCAAAAAGACCAGCCATTTATTATCAGTAGATTCACATTATTAAAAGCACAGACTCTAGAGCCAGGAATGCCTGGGTTCAAATTCAGGCCATTCCACTTAGTAATTAGGTGACTTTAGACAATTAACTGAACTTCTGTGTGCCTCAATTCTCACATCTATAAAATGGAGATGACAACAGTGCGTACTTTATAGGATGATGAAGAATACATGAGTTTATCCATGCAGAGTAATTAGAACAGCGACTGTTCATTGCAAGCACTCAATGAATATTGGCTTTTGTTGCAGCTATTATTATTTCAACAGTATGACATCCCTGGGATGATCTTAGGAATAAATTCTGATCCTACAGATTAATGGATAGAGAGGAGTAAAACCAGGATAACCTCTTTTCTTCCTGCTCCTTCATGAAGAACCAACACAAAGGCAATTATAACTGACTCATCATACAGTAAAGTGCTTTACTATTTTAATGTTATAAACCAGCTATGCAGCAACTGGACTACCACACCCAAAGAAACTATCAGAGCTCAAAGGGCTTACAATGTATAGAGTAAGTTGGAAATACATGGCTGCAGCAAGAGGTAGCTATTGGGGGGTAATGAAAGATAAGTAAATAGCACACCAAATCCCATACAGATGAATTTATTTACCCAGCTGAAAAGCAATGTACAATAAAACCAAGGCAAAGGAGATAGCTAGGTGATGTTTAAAAATACACACAATAATAATTTTTTTAAGTCCCTGAATTGATAGTTGGTGGATTTTTTTTTTTTTTTTTTTTTTTTGAGACAGAGTCTTGCTCTGTCGTCCAGGCTAGAGTGCAGTGGCACGATCTCGGCTCACTGCAAGCTCCGTCCCCTGGGTTCACGCCATTCTCCTGCCTCAGCCTCCCGAGTAGCTGGGAATACAGGTGCCCACCACTACGCCCAGCTAATTTTTTGTATATTTAGTAGAGACGGGGTTTCACCGTGTTAGTCAGGATGGTCTCGATCTCCTGAACTCGTGACCCACTGCCTCAGCCTCCCAAAGTGCTGGGATTATAGGCGTGAGCTACCGCGCTCGGCCGATAGTTGGTGGATCTTTCTTTGCAAAATTGTTAAAAATGCCAGAAGTCTCCCAGGAAACAACTTACCATAAATACAAAGGCTAGTTAAAAGGTTTTTGAAACAAAACAGTGCCAGTGATTTACTAGTTTTGTGACATGTTGTCTGTGGGAACCCACTCGTCATTTATAGCTCCAGAAGAGAAATGGTAAAAACTTCACTGCTTCTTAACTATAAGTTTCATCCTAATGCTTCTTCCGTTACCCAAAAGGCACAACATTTATGTAGTAATCATAATATATCAAAGGTGAATGAAAAATACCCTATCTTTTTCAGCCCTGCTACTAGTAAAGAATATAAGCAAAATCTATTTGGTAATATGTTTTGGCAGTAACAGATTCCAACAGAGAATTAATTCTTAATGAAAGGAAAGAAGTTCTATGTGTTCTACCAGGCTAGATATCTTGTTATCTCATTTGATTTTATCACAGCCCTGAAAGGCAGAACAAAATAAAGATTCATCAATAATTCAAATTATGATATTAACTAACAAATTCACCTACTCCTAACCAGATCTTTCAGTTTCTCTGCCACCTAAGTTCCTTTCCCTCTTCCCAACTAGTGTCCAAAGAGATGCTGACAAAGAGTGAACCAGCCAGGACACAAGCACTTGAGGAGGAGTGGGAGAATCTACAGGCCTAAAGGCATCTGCCCCCTTCTCCAAAATAGACTGTATGTGCCAGCAATGAGCCTGCTGAGATTTCAGGAGGCTAAAGCAATTTTAAAAGTTCACAACTTTCTCATTTCACTTAAATATTGCTTTACACGTTAGAGCACAAAAACTGCTTAAGGCCCTCAACATCACAGAACAGAGCAGAAGGTGGAAATCACTTACTCTCCTAATTTTGCCCAGATAGCCAGCGACACCCTTAGGATGATTTCTGAACCTTCAAAGAAGACTGAATCCCAGATCTTTAAAACGGTCTGATTAGGGAGGCATGTGGCAAAGAGAGTCAGAAACCACTGCATCGTGAAGACATTTGTAAGTGGGGGCTCATATCCACCTGAAATAAAACAAACACATTCAATTCCTTCAGAACTGATGATTGGCAGCATATGCAGATACCCTTTTCTAGTCTTCCATGTCCACTCAAATTTGTTGTATTTCCTGACTGATTTCTTCATATTTCTAAACTCTTGTTCTTTCTTTTTTCTGCCATGTTTCTGGAAGAACACAGGTATGCTTAACAAATATGAACTTCAAAAAATATTTACAATACTTCAGAAATCTTAACCTAAAACTTACTTTGGCTCTACCTATTGTAGTGAGCTGAAAATTAAGGAGAAAGTTTTCCTCACCAAAAACAGAAGAAAAAGAAAGGACTTAAGCCTCTCAAAAGCAAAAGCCATCAGATTTTCAAAATCATATAATGCCCACTTATATTCAAATGCTGCTTTGATAAGAATAAATTGCTCACTATAAATTATCTACCAACTTCTTAAGTTATACTTAGTTCTCAGACCACAGTGGAGTTAAACTAGAAATCATTAACAGAAAGATAGCTGGCAAATCCCAAAATAGAGAATAAACATTACATTTAAAAATATTTCCAACTAAAGATCTGGCGTCCAGCAAATTTTGAAATTTCTAAATTTATTAAAAAACATAGTACTCCCTCTTACTTTATGTGATCAGTATATATTTTTATGAAATATAAATATTTAGATATTTACACTGATCCTCCCTTCAAATTACAGCCAATATGTACAATTATACCTAAGTGTAAACAAAAAGATGTCTGTTTTCCTATATTCATTTTCTTCTTCCTTACCTATGAACAATGGGAGTATCTTTGTTCAGAGACTAGAATCTGAGGTTGCTCCTCACAGCCAAGTGCAAGGCACTTGGGTAAAAACATGTAGCTCACTAAAGTGTGTCTGACTAGGGGACAGGGAAGATTGGCCTATCCGGAAGCATTATAAAATCTACACAGTTATACTGCAGAGCCAAGTTAAACGAGATTATTCAAATGGTTTAGAAGGAAATGCCTAGAGACATTCAGGTATCTCTGGGTCCGTGGCCTGCTAGGAACCAGGCCACACAGCAGGAGGTGAGCAGCAAGCAAAACTTCATCTGTATTTACAGCCACTCCCCATTGTTTACTACCTGAGCTCTGCCTCCTATCAGATCAGCAGCACCATTAGATTCTCATAGGAGCACAAGGCCTATTGTGAACGGTGCACGTGAGGGATCTAGGTTTCGCGCTCCTTATGAGAATCTAATGCCTGATGAGCCGTCACTTTCTCCCATCACCCCCAGTTGGGACCATCTAGTTGCAAGAAAACAAGTTCAGAGCTCCCACTGATCCTACATTACAGTGAGTTGTGTAATTACTTCATTATGTATTACAATGTAATAATAATAGAAATAAAGTACACAATAAATATGCTTGAATCATCCTGAAACTATCCCCAAGCCCTGGTCTGTGGAAAAACTGTCTTCCCGGAAACTGGTCCCTGGTGCCAAAAAGGTTGGGGACCACTGGTTTGGAGGAAACACAACAAACTCCTGACTATTCTGTACGCACAGCCAGGGAAGTACAAGCAGTAGGTATAATGACAGCTATGAGCTCAGATACTTCCAAAAGCTGGATGATGCCCAATAGATAGCAGCGGCTCTTAGCTACTCTTTCATAATCTCAATGGTTCAGGTAAAACCAGTTTGTACTAAATTGTACCTGTAGCTCATTTTTAAAGACTCCTACAGGTTTGGTGCCAGCTTAGAGCAGTTTAACTAGATAGTAAGATGTGTACATGGTATTCCATCCAGAGTACATCATTTCAGTTGTTGATCTGGTACTAGTATTAGGCTCTTCACTGACTTCCTAATTATGACCAGTTAGAGGTTCAACATGTGGCCTTTTGTTGTTGTCAGTTTTGTTTTCATTCTCTAAAAATCTATTTCATTACACCAAGCTCTTACAAAAATAGCTGGAAATACATATTTCCATTCAATGTTTAGGCTCATTTGTACAGTGGAATCAGAGAAGACAAATATTTTCAGAGTTATAATAGCATTGAAACCTACCTCCACTTTCTTTGTTTGCAGTTCTCTGAAGAGTATCCAGGTGCTGAGATAATTCCGGCAGCTTCATTCTTAAAAGGTCTCTGAAGACAGCCATATCCACAGACAATGCCCGGAGATTATTGACGAAATAGCTTTCGGGAAGTACCTTATCAATAAGGTAAATCATAATCTAAAGAAAAAAAGATAAAGCTTAAGACTGCTTTGTAAAAACTGGGATCCCAACACGTCCTAAAGAGAAAATAAGTATTCAAATAGATAAAACGCTGTTAGCCAAAGCACGCTATCCTTAAATGCATCAGTACCAAATGTTCCAGATTTACAAGGCTCTCCTACAGCCTGGCTAGGGAGCATGTGGCATAATCATCTAAGTAACTCAGACCCCAAGTCCGCTGCTGTCTGAAATTTCTAGATGGGTTGCTAGACCTGAGTTCGGCCCATAAGTAGCTGTGATTATGCAACCCTTAGCGTCATTCTGAGAAATGACAAAGCCCAAGCTTGTGCAGCAGCCAGCAGAGCCTCAGTATTGGCTCCTTGATGTCAGCACAGTTTTACAACCTCAATATGAAAACTAAGAGCAGGCCTATCATAAAACACCCCCACTGAAGCAGCTCTCAAGATTTACTCACCATCAACCTGGGCTATTAGAGCAACTCATGTTGGCTCTTTGTCCGCTTCCTGGGAAAATGCAACTATGCTTTGCTTGAACAAATAGTACTTTTCAGAATCTGTATTTCTTTCATAAGGTTGTTATAGAGGTTCTTCAAATTGCTATTTTCATTTTGATTTTTCTACTTGTATTACCTTTCCTAAAATGTCAAGAACCTCTAGAATGACCCAGCCAAACACATACGAGCTCTGTATGTCAATCCCTGGTTCTTTCCCACCAAACTCTTACCAACAAAAATACCTGGAACCATGTATTTCCATTCAATGTTTAGGCTCATTTGTACAGTGGAATCGGAGAAGTCAGATATTTTCAGAGTTATAATAGTATTGAATCACTACCTCTACTTTCTTTGTTTGCAGTTCTCTGAAGAGCATCCACGTGCTAATTCAGGTGGCTTCATTCTTAAAAGGTCTGGCATGCTATGTACCTGACCCATTCCCTAAAAGACCAGCTCCTTCCCAAAAGCACCAGAAAAACAAAATTAAGAACAAAATCATAACTGGTTCTATATATATAATGGGCTCTATGTCGATGGAAAAGTAGCTATCTCACATTTTGACACTCAGGATACTATAAAACTCTATTTCCACCCCCTAACCCGCCCCACAAAAACAAAAATCTCCCACCCTGCCAAGGGCCCATTTTCCCCTCCTCCCCAGCTTATAATTTCCACTTTTCAGGGTCACAGTTTTGAACGAGTCAGTAGGGCAGGGGCATGCTCTTGAGGAGGACCCTCTCCTTTGCTGTAAGGTGGCCAGACCCAGAAGGCCTTAGCCTTCTTATGTTAGGATAAAATTTACCAGGTACACGTAACATCATCTTGCAAATAAGAGCTCAGCAACAAGAAAGGAGTAAATTCTGTCTCTGCGGGAAGAGGAGGTTCTGGGAGGCAGCAGCTGATGAGGAGAGCAAGTTTCAGCATGGTAGAGTACCCTTGCAGGAACCTAGCACTCTATGGATCAGGATTAGAGGAATTTACAGGATCATGAATGCAGACGTAAAGGATGTACACTGACAACTGTTGTATTTTTCATCTAAGGATAAGACATAATGCTGAGAAAGATATTTGGTTTTTATTGAGAAATTATGATCTCTCAAAATTACATGAAAACAAGCAAAAAAAAAATTCTTCAATTATCATACTAATTCCTGTGACAGTGAAATTCTCTATCTGAAGGCATCTCAATGTCTGATGTGAAGACATAGAGCCAGCTCACTCAAACCACCCACCACTGTATTTCCAAGGTCAAATCTTAGATCAAAAAAAAAAAAAAAAAAAAAAAAGCCCGGCACGGTGGCTCATGCCTGTAATCCCAGCACTTTGGGAGACTGAGGCAGGAGGATCACCTGAGAGGTCAGGAGTTTGAGACCAGCCTGGTCAACATGGTGAAACCCCATCTCTACTAAAAATATAAAAATTTGCTGGGCGTGGTGGTGTATACCTGTAATCCCAGCTACTCGGGAGGCTGAGGCAGGAGAATTGCTTGAACCTGGAAGGTGGAGGTTGCAGTGAGACAAGATCATGCCACTGCACTCTAGCCTGGGTGACAGAGCAAGACTCTATCTCAAAAAAAAAAAAAAAAAAAAGATTTGGCTAAATAATGGGAGAGCTCTGAATTTTTAACAAAAGGTTGAAAATGAAAGATTTGCTAAGTAAAAACTTAAGTGCTAAATAGCAGGAAAAATGGTTCACCTATTTCTAATAAACTATATGTTTCCTTAGTAATTATGACTTGTAGAGGCCATGCTGAAAAAATAGATGTCCAATATTTTCCTCAACATCAGAAGTGTTTCTTCATGAAGCCAACCTTCCTCTGCATATTAAATGTCTAAACACAAGATCTATACACTCTTAAAGGATGATGACATCATCTCATTGCATGGAGCCCATTTTCGTGGGGGCTGAAATATTCAGTTTCTCATCTTTATCTAATCCATATTTTTACGTGAGTTTTTAATTTCCAGTTTCTCAAGTATTACTGAGCCCTTTTATAATTTGATTGGCATGTACATTTCCTTCCCTGAACATCTCCATCCGACCCCCTAACTTGATTCACTTATTCCAATTGCTCTAGAAAACAATTCCCATTTTATCATCATACCAATTCCATCTGAAAAAAAAAACTGATGAAAGCTGATAGACTGAGTAAACAAAATTGCTTCTTAATAAAAAACATCTTAAAGTCATGTATTTGTCACTGCCTTCCTCCCTCTCCTACCCTCACCTTTTTGATGAACAAGTAACTTCAAAGCTGCTTCCTTAAATACATCAATGGAAAAAGTGAGAGGTTGAATACAGATTTAGATCATGTCAAGCTGGATTTATAACTAGTCCACCATCATTTGTATAAAACCAAGAGGAACATTTGTTTATTTTTCCACATCACATTAATCAGTGATTGACAGTATCAATAAGGTATTCACCATAGTCAAACACAAGTTGTTGGGAGTGGGGTTGTGTCGGGGGGCGGTTCTTGAACACGAAGACTAAGTATCTATCTCATACATCACAAAGCATTGCAATCAAGAGCAGTTTAAAGGTTCAAATATGAATTAGTAATCCCACATTGCCTTAAGCAAATAGGCATTAGCCTCCACATTTAAAATGCTTCATTTCTCATAAGCACTCTATTTCTGGTGACTCACTGACACACATGCAAACTAAGCTTAAATCACTAGTGCCCCATCTCAACATGTTTTTAAAATTTGTTTTAACTAATAAAGGTCGTAGGCATCAAAGATTAAAAGATATTAATGTAAGTCAATTCCATAATGCTTCTCCATGCAAACACCTTCCTTAGACACTCACTCTCAGCCCAACTCCTCCATATCTTGCTCCAAATATGAAAGAGTAAAGCAACTCAATAAGGCAATCCAATCAAAATTAAGCATAACTAGTGTGGGAGGCAGTTCTAACATGACCCCTGAGTCACACCCTTGTATGAGCCCTTCTCCTTGACTATAAGCTGAACCTGGTGACTGGCTTCTAAAGAACAGAATATGGAAATATAGTGGGATGTCACTTCTGATGTTTGGCTACAAATCTGTAACTTAAACTCTTTTGCCTTGCTCACTATCTTTTACTCTCATGTTCACTTTGGGGGTGCCAGCCACTGGGTTGAGAGATGGAGAGGCTACATGGCAAGGAACTATAAAAGGCCTCCAGTCAACAGCCAGCAAGGAACCATGGCCTCAGTCCAACAGCCTGTGAGGAATTAAATCTTGCTAACAACCACATAAACAAACTCGAAAGCCAATGCCCACCCCCAATTGAGCCTTCAGATGAGATCGCAACACCAACCAACAGCAACAGTGATGTGTCCTTGAGGCAGTTAGGCTGTGCCTAGATTTCTGACGCAAAGAAACTGTAAGATAATACATTTGCTGTTTTAAGCAGCTAATTTGTTGAACAGCAATGAATAATTAATACAATTAATATTTAACTTGCTTTAAAAATATGATGTCTTATAAATGAGACTAAATACATAATCATTTGCCTCATAGTTGGCAGCTACATGAATCTGTCACTTGACATGGCTCTAACCTGGAGGAAATGCTATCATAGGTCATTACAAAGGTGTGGCAAACACCTTGGAAAAGGATGAGACATCAAGGAAGAGAAATTATGGTTCCAATTTCTCACTCTCAGAAGAATGTCCATGGCCTTTGTCAGAGCCTGCTACTCACTTTCAGGGCATCCCCTTCATTGCCTTCCATCACTTCCAGAATTAGTGCAGCCAGGATGTTAAAGCCTTGGCAGTACCCAACAGTTTTGTTCCATCGGGCATAGGCCAGCAGCACCCGCTTCAACACAACCCTGTCCTGCTCAGCCTCCTGGCCACAGTAAGAACTACAGCCTGTGCGGTGAAGGTCCTAAATGGAAGGGAAACAATATTTTCAAAAATAACTCCTAATATTCTTTCCAAAACAATACCTTTTTTTTTTGACTCAATAAACAGAGTCAAATCATCGACATAAAATTTTTTTAAAATGTGTATGTTTTTATACATATGAGCCAAAATGCATTTTTAGCTTTCTTTTTCATAATATTTTGTAATATGCTGTTTAAGAGAGATTTGCAAGGGGAATTTCAGTCAGGCAAATTTTCAACTTAAAACGTTTCCAGGATTACCACAAAAAGTAGCTCAGAATTAACAATAATTACAGTATAATTTCATGTAAATTGATTGTTTTAATAATATTTCTCAGGTAAAACAATAGTCATCACAATACATGTATGATTGAGGCTAACATTCTTCCTTTCTACAAATAAAGTATAATATTTAGCTATCAAAACTCTAAATAACATAAAGGAGTGAAATCAAAATAGCAAAAAATGTGATTATAGAGAGAAAAATCATTCTATTCAAATTATTTTATGAATGTATATAAGAAAGACAGAAATATTTGCTATGCTTTAATGAAGGCAATATCTATAATTTAATTACTAAGCAGGAACTACAATTTTCAAGAGCTGAAGTCATTAACTGACACAGCATTCACTTCAATGAGAAAACAAAAGATACTCTTAAAAGATGATTGTTACAAAAGGTGCATTGCCTTAATTCACCAGTTAGACAAAAAGGAAATATTTCAAATATGAGATACTTCATCTCTGCGAAACATATTCTAAAATTCCAAATATATAGCTTAAATGTGAATAATGCAAAGGCTTTTTAGTACACAATGTAAAATTGCATAACTTTTTTAGCATTTGTCTGAAACCAAGTTAGAACAGAAAGTAGCTCATTTTAGTTAGTACTTCCTCCTTAAAAAAAAACCTCCAAATATGCCAAAACATTAGCCATCTTGAGGTGGCCAAAATTTGGATGAAACAACTTTCCTTTTAAAACCCCAGCTGAGTATCACACTGTAATGTACTCATATAAAATCAAAAACCATGTGCTAGAGCCTTATGTAAGAGGATAATACTGGGATCAAACAGAATCAGTATCCTTGGCTTTTAGCACCAGGCTCTGTTCAACTGTAATAATCCAGGTAAGCGAGCCACAACTGCCTACACAGCTGGCTTGAACCCACAAGTATTTGGTTGGAAGTAGGCCCCACCTGTGAACCTGTCTTTAGAAATTGGCAGTTAAGAAACTATCAAAGACCCTAATAAGAACCAAATCATTCTCATATGAAATATACTTAACTAACTTTTTCAATCAGTGACTTTTATATAAAAATCCAGTTGGCATCATTGACCCATGACAAAGCGTCCTTCCTATAGTGTGAGGAAGATTAATAAGTTGAATGTGAATGAAAGCTCATTTGCAAATATTTTCTTCTTACCGGTAACATTTAAATTTATGCAGACAACACATTGTCAAGGTTCCCCATGAAAAAGCTAATGAAATGAGAAGGCAGAAAATATACAGACATTCAAACCAGAAGGTAGAGATCATTTGATCCTCTGTCCAAAAAGCAACTGGCTTTTAGAGTCTTTCTTCTATATTAGGATGACAGGCCAAGTTCAGGGGCATTACCTTGACTATCTGAATTCCCATGGAGTCATCATCAGGATTACTCCTTTCATTGAAAGTGAAGCGCATGGTTTTGTCCCAGTCAATGGCTATACTGTGCAAATAATGATCTGCCAAGGTCAACCAAACCTAAAATATTACATAGACAAAGGAGAATGCCAAAGTAGAATATATAACTTCACCTTTATTAGAAAGTAGTTATTGCATTCGACAAGAAAATGGGAAGTGTCCCTAGACCAGCTATCTATCGCTCATAAGTAGAAATCTACAAGAGTCTCACTGAAATGTTTGTTGCACTGATTTGCACCATTTAGGGCCTTTCATTTACTCTTTCAATAAATATTTGTTGAGTTCCCACTATGTGTCAAGCAGCAATCCAGGCATTAGGGATACTGTTAGAAAGACAAACCAAGAAGATTTTCAAATTGTATTTCTGTTCATTGAATAACCTGTATAATCTCATAAGCTTGTTTTACTTGGCTCTGTATTGCTCTCCATACTTAGGCAAGAGCCATCTGGTCACTCATGGTGAATGGGGCTTTTTTTCACCATGGAGTGGCCTCTGCCTTTAAACCATCCCTCTCACACACATACACAAAACTGACAGATGGGCTCCCATAATGAGTAAGTTTTTTAAAAGAGCCACTGGATATTTTTACCCTTTGATTATCTTATCCAGAAAATCTGTTTCTGAAAGTTATATTTCATAATGTCATTTTCATGACTATTTTGAGGAACCCTCAATTTTCAAATTCTAGAAATATAAAGATTAGGCTTATAAATTAATATCCTAAGTGTGTATTTCAAGTTTTGGTATTTAAACATGATTTAGCAGAAATAAACATTGATTTATATATCCAGCCAGACTTCTCTCCTAACCTCAGAAGCATATATCCAAATGCTCACTTGATACCTTCAAATTAGATATCTAATAGGCATGTCAACCTTAACAGATCCAAAACCAATCACTTATTCCACCACCTACCCTACCTACACGTACAGACACACACACACCTCACCTACTCCTCCCATCTGAGTAAACAGTAATTCTACCTCCCAATCACTCAGGCCAAAATCCTGAAGTCATCTTTGACATCCCTTTTATACCTTATATTCAGTCCAAGAGGAATTCATGTAAGCTCAGCCTTCAAAATACGTCTAGGATTTCCATCTCCACTACCACAACCCTGATGCATCTGTTGCCTGAGCTACTGCAAGTCTCCTACTGGTCTCCCTACTTCAGCCCTTGTCTCTCATATTCTCAAGTCAGTACCCAGAGTAGCCCGTTCATAATAAAAGTCAGATCATGTCACTCCCCTGCTCAAAACTTCCCAGTGCTTCCTAGCTCACACTGAGCAAAAGCCCAAGACCTATGATAGCCCACCAGGTTCTCCACGATCTGCCACCCCTCAACCCACCACATTACCTCTATGACCCCCTCACCTATTGCTTCCCCCTTTGTTCACTGTGCCCCAGCCCCGCCCCACCCCATCTTTGCTTGAATACAACCCAGATGCAAGATGCTCCCGCCTGAGGGCTGAGGGTGCTTGCGCTGGCTGTTCCCTCTGCCTGGAGTATCTCCTCCCAGGTACTTGCATGGCTGGCTTCTCACCTCCTTCAGGGGCCTACTCGAATGTCACCTTGCTATTTAAAATTCCACCTCCTTACCCCTTTTCTCCTAAACGCTCTTTATTTCTCTCTACACTTTATTTTTATCCATGGCACTTATTACCATCTGACATACTTTATATTTTATTCATTGTAAGCTCCATGAGGACAAAAAACTTTGGTCTGTTTTGTTTTTTTCCATTGCTATATCCCTAGAACCTAGAACATTACTTGGCACAGAATAATCAATAAATATTTATTGCATGAATGAATAATCAAGACAGGTTTTCAAGTAACTAAACCTAGAATATATTTTTTGACATTCCAGAGGCTCTAAAGAAGGGCAGTGATGATCCTTCTGTATTCTAGCCCTATGAGTCCTCCTTACCTTTCTCCTCCATTCCTTTGGTATTCCTGTGGATAGCCTGGCAACTGCCTTGAGAGCATCGTACCACTAGGAACAAAGAAGAAATCCCAGGAGGTGATCACAGTGACCTAGATAAGCACTTTGCAATCTTTTTCCCATCTTGACATTCATAGAATGTGCTGAAATTTGCACAGCACAATGGGGTAAACAGTCAAAGCTTCTTTCAGACAGAAGTGATCAGTCCATGGCTATTACTGTGCCACGTCCCACCCCTTGGGCACCCTTAACACATCTGTGACCCCTTTGCAGTACAAACAAAATGGTTGGGAAGCTCTGGTTAATAAGCCAAAATATATATTATGGGGTTCAGAATAAAAGACATTATGGTACAGGTGTGAAATTTATTCATTTTAAAATTTTTCACACATGTACCATTAATAGAAAGTGCAAAATTTGTCACTGCAAATATAAACCCAGGCCACTTGTAGCTCAAAAGCTACTTTAACTGAAATATTGTTGAAGTGACTCATCTTCACATTCATATCAAAGAATACGTTATTTCCACTTTGAGAATATATCTCAATGTGCCCTGTTGGTAACCCCAAAAGAAGAGTGTTTTCAAAATCAAAGTTACCTGCTGAAAACCATTTTGACCTAAAGATGGCTCAAGAGTGAATTTCAACTTGGTATCAACTCCTGAAAGAAAAATACATAAATAGATGTTATTTTTGGAGACTATAACAAGTTATATCAAAAATACTAGTAAAAGCTTGATTCTACTGAATCATCACAATTTTTTTTAAAGTATGTATCTTTACTAAATTTTAGTCAATTTTGCCAAAAGGTAAGCATATTGATTCTTAAAATAGGAAAATACCCTACAGCAATAGAAAGTGCCTTACTACATATGACGGTGGTTTACATAGATGCCTGGAGTACCACAAAAGCAAAAACAAAAACAAAAAATGACACCACAGGCTTGGAGTCATACAGTCCTCCATTCGACTTGGTTCCTAGACTGAAACAATTTATCTAACCTATCTCAGTCTCAATTCCTTTTCTTCTTTTTAAGAGATACAGTCTCAATATATCACCCAGGCTGAAGTATAGTGGCTATTCACAGGCACAATCATAGCACAATGCAGCCTTGGATTCCTGGGCTTAAGCAATCCTCCCACCTCAGCCTCCCAAATAGCTGGGATTATAGGCACGTGCTACCACGCACAGCTAATTTTTGTATTTTTTGTAGAACAGGGTTTCGTCATGTTGGTCAGGCTGATCTGAAACTCCTGATCTGAAGTGATCCACCTGCCTCAGCCTCCTAAAGTGCTAGGATTACAGACATGAGCCACGGCACCCGGCCCCATTTTTTAAAGGAATTATTGCCCAAAAGTTCAAGGACCAAGAAATGCCAAATACTATCAATAACATTAAGTTTTACAAATTTCAAAAGTCAAATGATGGCATTTTTGTTTCTAAGATTGTTGATTGTAGATTAGGTGTACTAAAAACTTCTCCACAACTTCCACTTCTTAGTGGTTGGTATGAATAGGAGCAATCTTCAGAATTTATGAAATAATAGTAAGTAATCAAGTAGACTGGTCTTTTAAAAAATATATATATACACGGAGTCAAGAAGCTGGAAAGAGATGTATCTGATTTTTGCAAGCCCATATCAGTATGCAGGTGTTCTTGGAACCCTGGAAGAGCGCTGTAAATTCCTGAGTTGGGTCCTAGGTTTCCAAAGTAAGCTGTGGCAGAGAATCCCAGGCATCCAATCAATGCCTTGATATTTCTTTTTAAAGCTTCAGGGCCATAACCATACTCTGCCTGGATAGATAAGTTTTTTTTTTCTCCGAAGGAATATTAAGTACCACATGGATCCGCCTCTCTCTGAGGTGGTTTAAACGAAGTCCTGCCCAAACATAGAACGGTGATAACAACGGCCACGGGAGTGTTTCCAGCCCAGCGCACGCTTTAAGGCACGCTGAAAACAAGTGAGGTTGCTGTCCGGACGCGAGGTGCTGAATGGAGGAGCGTATAATCATGACGTTTGCTTGATAACAAAGACCAGGAAATTCGGTCCCGCGCTGACTTATTCTTGCCACACTACAAGGATTCCCTGTATGTCTGACCAATATGCTCTTCTGACTTTTCCGGGGCACCTGCTGGGCATCATGCCGATTGCCTTCTCATAGTGAAACCCAGCAGGGGTTAGTTGGCCAAAACCACAACTATCCTCTCATGATCAAAAATGAGCAAGAGGATTTAACTGAAATTGATTCGCCGCCTGCATGCAAAAGCTTAAACCAGGTCACTTTCACCCCACTTTTCTTTTCTTCTAACAGAATACGGGCAGAGAGAAGGTTTATGTTTCATCTGATAATCACAGCTATTCCGGATTCAGAAATACAAAACACTTACTTTTAACGTGGGAAGGAGATTTAAAAGAAAAAAAAAAGAGGTAAAGGAAGATGGTGAATAAATACTACAGCCTCTGCAACTAGACACTTCCTAGGGGAGAACAACAAAGAAACCACGAGGTTGGGAAAGGCAGTGCCGCATCCCACCCTTTGGGACTCTGCAGCTCGATTCTCCTGCGGCTCTACAGCAGGTCCCCAAGGCGCTGGCGCTGGGGGGCGGGGGCCGGGGACCGTGAACCCGCCTGGAACGCAGCCGGTGCCACTCCAGGGAACAGGTGAGCGCCAAGCACCAGTGAGAGTACAGCCAACTCCCTCTGCAGCCACTCCTTGCCAGAAACCTCCGTGCCCAGGAGCCCGCGCTAGGGCCAGGCTCTTAAAATCCCGGGGAGGGATGCCGGGTGATGGAGCCGACACGGAGTTATGCAGTCTGGAGAAGCAGGGATGGGTAAACACAGGCTGACAGTGGGAAGGGCCTTGCCTAGCACGACCAGGCTCGTTCCTGGACCTCACCTATGAAAAGGATCTCCTGCTGCTCCCCACTCGCACTCACAAATTACAGGCTCCAGTTCGAGCTGACCCCGGCACTCACGCTGAAGGGACTCTTGGGAAAATAACACCCGATTTTGCCTTTGCAGCCACTGTCTTCCTCCTCCGACCTGCAGTGTCAAACCTGTGCCACTCTCCGCCCCCACACACCTCTCGCAAGGTCTGGCTTCCTGCGAGCCTGGAACACAATAGGTGGTGCGGCCTCTGAGGGCCCGGGCAGCCACCCGCACTTCCCCGCCACGCGGAGAAAGCCGAGCACACAGGCCGCAGGGTGGGGGTCCGCGGGGAGAGGGTGGAAGCAGCGGGTTCTCCGCGCCTGGGGTGGCCGCTGCCCCACCCAGGCCCCCGTCTGCCCTCTACCCTTCCAGACCAATCGCTCCCTGCAGGTGCCAACGCGGTGCCCCGCACCAGGTGGCACGCGGACTTTCCCCAGAGCTCCCCGGCCTAGACGGAGTCAGGCTAAGGCAGAAGCGCGGGCAGCCCCGGCGCTACTTTACAGCGCCCCATCTGCAGCCCTGGGGTCCTCACCCGGCTCCAGGGTGCACAGCAGCCGGGGCGCGGTCCGGGAAATGCAGCTGCGCTTCTTGAGCACATTGCTCAGGATGGTGCCCACGCCGCCGCCCTGCCGCTTCAGGCATCTCCCCCCGCGCCTCAGAGACCCGGTCAGCTTGTCCTGCCGCATCCGAGAGCGCCCCGGGCTCTGGCACGGCTACCGTCCGTCTCGGTCCCCGCTACCCCACTCGCTGAGCGGCTGAGCTCGCGGAGCTGGGTGAGTGTCTGCGGCTGACCGGCCCGTGGGAGCAGGGAGCGCACAGCCGGCTGGTGCTGGAGGGTCACGGGGACTTACGGGGCACCGCGGGAGCCGCCGAGCGCAGGGAAGCCAGCAGGCATCTGCAGTGCGGAGCCTGCAAGGCTGAGGCAGGAGATCGCTCGAGGCGGGGAGGGCGGGAGCGAGCGAGCGAGCGAGCGCGTGGGAGACGGAGGCGGCGTGCCCGCCCCCAATCCCGGCACCGCCGTGCGCAGGCGGGGCCGCCCCAGCTCCCCCGTGCCCAGAAGCGCCAGAGACAGGGAGCCAGTGGGCGCGTAACTGCGTTCGGGGACCAAAAGCAGAAACAGAGATGTCCGTGCTTCTCCCAAGATCTGGGAGGGAACAGAGGGAGCACCAAGGGGCGCCAGTCTCAGGGGCAGAACACCCGTAAGGGCAAGCATCCTCTCCCACTTCCGAGCAGTCTCAGAAGGGGCCATGACCCAACCGCAGGCGGCGAGGCACACGCTTCAGCCCGAATTGCGTTGAATTATTTCCTGGCAGATTAGAGAGGCGCGGAGAAAATGAAGGAAAAAAAAATTATTGTTTCTTTTAGAAAAATGGGCTTCCAGAAAAAAAGTGTTCTCTTTTCAAGCAGTATTAAAAAGTAATGTTCCTCATCTCTCCAGCCAGACTTCAGTAGTTCTGAACTATTGCCCATCATTATGGTTTAAAAAAAAAAAAGTCATTCTCAAACGGCAATATTCACCAATAGACTATTTACCATTAAAATGGATGAAAGAAAGGGTGTGGGGGGGGGATATAAAGATACTTGTGTTTGCTAATATTTATAAAAAGAAACACTAAATGGATAAACCAAAAACAAATTAGAAAACTTGTATAGGAGAAGGAACATCGTGGAGGAGACAAGAATGGAAAACTGAGTCCTCTCTTGATGTGCCTCCTGTAGTTTTGGCTCTGGAATAACACTATATTAATAATATTAACAAATTAAATTTTTAAAAAACCAGGATGATGGAACAGCATGCCTATAGTCCCAGCTACTTGGCAGGCTGAGGTGGGAAAATTGCTTAGCCCCAAGAGTTTGAGGCCAGCTTGGGCAACATAGCGAGACCCCATCTCTTAAAAAGACATAAAAATAAAAATAAAATTTGAAAATACATAAAATAGTCTGGGCACGGTGGCTCACACCTGTATTCCTAGCACTTTGGGAAGTCAAGGCAGGAGGATGTCTTGAAACTAGGAGTTCAAAGCTGCAGTGAGCTATGATTGCACCCCTGCATTCTAGCCTGAGCAACAGACCTAGTCCCTGACTATAAATGAATAAATTATTTTTAAATTGTAAAAGAAAACCCTAACAATTGAAAATTAATGGAAACAAATCAACCTAATGGACTATCCCACTTATAGCATAAGAACACAGAAAAAAATAATTCTCTCTTAAGTTGACATAGAACACAATATTATGACTGTACATCAACAGTTGTACATATTCCCAGAGCAAATAAAACTGCAAAGAAACCTTACATTTCATTCAGTAGTATTATTGTTATTAATAATATTCATATTTCTTAAATTCTTATATCCACTACAGGATAAAGCAAATAAATAAGTATGCTAACATCAAATGGAGCCAAGATGTTTTCAGTGTAATAGAAAATATGTGTATAACCAAAGTAATTAAGTTTTCTTTAAAATATTACAATTATATATTTATATGGGAAACACTAGTATGAACTCATTTTTTTTTCTTTTCAAAAAAATACATACATTCATTGAATAGGTTTAGAAGTAAGGACAACTCAGCAGCAATGAACACCCACAGCACCCAGGTTATGGTCTCTAAAAACCATTCCCCACTCAAAGGAACTAAGGCTCCTTTGAGGAGTGACTGATTCCAGGTTTGGGACAGAAAAAGTACAAGATGACCCTGAAACATTTTGATGAGCTCAAAAAGAAAGGAAATGTTTCACAATTAATGGGGTCAAGTCAAAAAGACACAAGAGTCACATAAATAGGCTCCTTCCTATTGGCCAAAGATGAAACAATTTGAACTTGAAAAACAATGGCTGAGCCTGGACAACATGGCAAACCCCCATCTCTACAAAAAAAAAAAAAAAGCTACAAAAATTAGCTGGGCATGATGGCACACACCTGTAGGCCCAGCTACTCAGGAGGCTGAGGTGGGAGGATCACCTGAGGCCAGGGAGGTCAAGGCTGCAATGAGCCATTATCGCACCACTGTACTCCAGCCTGGGTGATGGTGAGACCCTGCCTCAGAAGTAAAAACAAAAACAAAAAGCAATTAATTGCTGGGTCAGGTGCTGTGGCTCAGGTCTGTAATCCCAGTGCTTTGGGAGGCCAAGGTGGGACAATCACTTGAGGCCAGTAGTTCAAGACTAGTCTGGGCAAAATAGCAAGACCCTGTTTCTGCAAAAATAAAATAACTTAGCCAGGTGTGGTAGTGTATGCCTGTAGTCCTAGCTACTTGAGAGGCTGAGGCAGGAGGATCACTTGAACCCAGGAATTCAAGGTTACAGTGAGCTATGATTGGCCACTGCACTCCAGCCTGGGTGAGAGAGCAAGACCCTGTATCAAAAGAAAAAAAAATGGCTGCTATTGATTGAAAAAATATTGAATATTTTTAAATGCCTTCATAAAGATAGCCTAAACAAGCCAGAAAAAGAAGGCATTCCTATGACGCTTCCCAGAATTTGAGGACAATGTCAGAAATGGTGCAACCCTAAGAATGAGCTGTAAAAGAATCTATTAAAAATGAGATGAGCCATCTGCAAAAGTAAAGCAGGCTAATAAAGGACATGCAAGCTATTCAGTTGTAGCTGCCTGGCAGAGGTAAAGATGCTTTCAAAAGGGCAGTACTCTTTGAAAAGGCATCACTTTAGAAAATGAAGTCACTGTTTAAGCTGGTCATGACTAATTGCTTGGCTTAAATTTCCCAACCTTTTGCTGCGAGCTCCGGTACAGAAATTTATCCTCCATCAACCATCAACTTTTTACAGTTTTGGTACATGTTTGTATCCTTCAGCTTTGTATTAATTTTAATAAGACACTCATTGGCTGTTGCAGCCTATCTCAGTTGTACTGAGAGCCATAGGAAGAGGTCTGATGCTTCCCTTTGACCAGTTTTTTAGAGGGCACAGTATACCCTGGGGCTGAAGATGGTGATGAACACCCGAAGTCAAAGAGAGGGAACTGGCAGGAGAGGGAAAATCCAGCAGGACAAGTTGGTAACTGCATGCACAGTCTCGTCTTCCAGACCTCTCATATGCTCAAATCTTAGAGGGTTTTGTGTTCTATTTTAACAAGAGAGGCTATTCATGCTCGGTTTCCATCACTAGGCAAGCCAAGAGGACAAGCAATCAGCTCTGTTCTACAACACTGTCTCTGGAGTGGAGAGGAGGACGTCCTGCCCCTGGGGCTGTGACATATGCCACTCAGACCATCCAACTCCCTTTGGCTCTGACGTCATGCTCACCAAGCAAACTTTGGATTGTCATTTGATTTCCCATATAGACTCTGCTGCAGCACAGAGAATATACTGACCAGTTAATAGCAGTCAATACCCCTGAGTTCACTTACCAGTCAGTAACCTGAAGACACCAAATTTCCAGACTGCCAAAGCTGACATCTAGACTCTAGGCTGTCAACTCACCCATGTGTCATGACTGATAAAAAGACCTCTCTTTAGATTCTTCTTTACTTGTAATACTTTTCTTTACTAGTAGTGACAGAAGCTTGTTTGCTTGCAAAAGGAACATTCAATTTCACCTCTTTTAGATCTATTACGAGGAAAATCTAACTCTGTTTTTAAAATAAAATTTAAGAGTTTCTGCTATGATGGCAATAAACAGCAAAGGAATTAGATAATATTATTTTGTTTACATTGGAGAGGAAAGTCAGGACTGCCAACTTTTATAGCAAACAGATAATTACATGAGCACTAAAACACAATACTCTAAAAGCAGCGATGGCCCAAGCCTAGTATTATGTTGATTGTGTGACTCACAGTTTTTTATTTCATGTCTGGAATATTGTTTTACAAACGTGAAAGATGTCATCTAAAGTCAACTTACAGAGAACTCAAGCCAGCATGGACTTTGCCTGAGAATCTCAGGAGCCAGGCCAATTTACCATTATTCTTTACTAATCAAGCTTTACCAATCAAATAATAGTGAATTCACATTTGGGCAAATTATACACTGCCACAGTCTACAATGGTTATGACTTATGCTGAATTTAGGGGAAGGAAGGCTTAATGAACACTTCACATTGGATGAGATAATGTTATTTGGATTGCTAAAGAAAATGAAGGCTTTGAGGAAATGCCCCGAATGTCACAGAGCTAATAACCTGAGGACATCCCCCACAGATGTGAGCTCCCAGGCTGAAACAAAAAAAAGTATGGACCATTCGGCATACCCTGCATCTTCAGGCCTACATGCTGGGAATGAGGTTTCCTTGAGAGCGAACTTTTCCTTTAATGGGAGAAGGGGGAAGAAGTCAGTAAGAAAAGAAAGCCCAACACAAGGAATAAAAACTATGTCCCAAGGGGCTTCCAGAAGGGGAAGTGGGTCTGAGACCTGTGATTTCCTAATGCTGCTATTTTTTTTGTTTAACAGTAAAGTCTTAAAATAAAAAGGGCCTACGTGCTTATCTTCAGGGACTGACAATTACCAAGAGAAAAGGCCCTGGAAGCCTGCTATGAGGAGAGAGAGACCACAGGGAGCCAGCCTGCTCTGGGGAAGTGGGCCTGGAACTCATCTGTACAGCTGCGGAGTTCCCTGGCAGGTGCTGATATGCACACAAGCTGAGCATCAGAGATCTCATCAGACCACCAGATCTAGTGCTGTCTCCCATTCGGCAGGAGATGGGGACATTTTGCACCTGTGATAATAAAAAGAATGGAGGTCTGGTGGCATAAAAGCCACTCTTCCTCCTCTCTCCTCATCCCACAATTTTTGAACATGTGTAAACAGCTCCTGAATAGTGAAGTGGCGTCTGCTAACCAGACAAGATCTGTGGCCTTTTCTACAAGAAGTTAACACTTTCCTCAGACCTACTAAAGTAGGGACTTAACAAGTAGTTCCTTCAAGGCCGAGTGCAGTGGCTCATGCCTATAATCTCAGCACTTCGGGAGACTGACCAGCCTGGCCAACATGGTGAAACCCCATCTCTACTAAAAATACAAAAATTAGCTGGGTGTGGTGGCGCACACCTGTAATCCCAGCTACTTGGGAGGCTGAGGCAGGAGAATCGCTTGAACCTGGGAGGCGGAGCTTGCAGTGAGCCGAGATCATGCCACTGCACTGGCAGCCTGGGTGACAGAGCGAGACTCCATTTCAAAAAAAAAAAAAAAAAAAAAAAAAAAGTAGTTCCTTCAATTCATTATCCAAGACAGAGTCCACAGACTATGAGCATTGTAACAGTTTCCCCCTCATGACAGAGATGAAGGGGCAGGGCAGCAGGAGGAAATTGAGGGGGAAGAAAAAAACTACAATTATTTGACAGATCACATTACCTACATGGGACATTTTCTATTTATATGATTTTCTTTTCTTAGTCATAAAAATAACTTCTCTATTTAAATACAGGCATCCTTTAAGACAATCAGGTGTAGCTTTTGTATTTTGTTAATTTTTGAGAAAGGACTCTATCAAGCATGGAACAGAGAGGCTTTAAAATTCCAACACCAAATCACACTCAGAATGTCATACAGAAATGTACTTAAAACTCTGCTGCCAGATCCATGTAACCTTAGATGCATAACTAACCAAAGATTTTAGATCTCATCGTATTCTTCTTGTCGTGGTATTTCCTGTTAAGTATTTTCTTGCTTCAAAATGACCGAAACTGACTCACTACTACTTGAGCTAGATTGATATTGACCATATAAAGACACCTTTATATTTCTTTTATTCATTCACTTATTCATGAAAAAAATCATTAATCAGATGCTGTGGGAAAGGCACGGTACTAAGAACTATGAGAGAGAAAATTATGAACACAGTACATACGCTACCCTCAAAGAGTTTACAGTTGGCCAGGTGCAGTGGCTCACGCCTGTAATCCCAGCACTTTGGGAGGCTGAGGCGGGCAGATCACGAGGTCAGGAGATCAAGACCATCCTGGCCAACATGGTGAAACCCCGTCTCTACTAAAAACACAAATACTAGCTGGGCGTGGTGGCACGTGCGTGTAATCCCAGCTACTTGTGAGGCTGAGGCAGGAGAATCACTTGAACCAGGGAGGCAGAGGTTGAGTGAGCCAGGATTGCGCCACTGCATTCCAGCATTCCAGCCTGGCAACAGCACGAGACTGTCTAAAAAAAAAAAAATAGTTTACAGTTTACTGAGTGAGTAGTGACAAGGACACAAGGATTGTGTGAAAGGTCCTTTAAAATACTATGTGAATAATTGGAGAGATACCATTCTTGCTACATCTTAAGTATTATATATGTTGCAATGTTTTCCCAGAGCTCCATTTCATTGAGCTACTAAATTTCACCTGAAAACAGGCCAAGGACAAAGCTCATGTATGCTCTTCTTACAGTTGTGCTATTCAGCTCTTTAGTTCCACATCAGGAATAGAACTGGAAGACTCACACTCATCACTGCAGAAGATGAAATAACTGTTTAACCTGGTCATGATGAACCATTTAGCTGAGATTCCCCAACCTTACACCAAGCCATTCTAAGATTTTTTTTTTTTTTTTTTGGTAGAGTCTCACTCTGTTGCCCAGGCTGGAGTACAGTGGAGGGATGTCGGCTCACTGCAACCTCCACTTCCTGGGTTCAAGTGATTTCTGTGCCTCACCCTCTTGAGTAGCTGGGATTACAGGTGCATGCCACCATGCCCGGCTAATTTTTGTATTTTTAGTAGACATGGGGTTTCACCATGTTAGCCAGGCTGGTCTCGAACTCTTGACCTCAAATGACGCGCCTGCCTTGGCCTCCCAAAGTGCTGGGATTACAGGCATGAGCCATGTGCCAGGCCCAAAGATTCTTTTGACCCTGTTGAGGAGAGGTATGAAAGGAGAGGTTTCTCATATCTATTGAGGTAGATTTAACTTAGAAATGTGTCCCTAGACAGGAGAAGGGTGATGAGTTCGAATGTAATATGCTTGATTTTGGTGATGACAAGAGGGAAGTACCGGAAAAGGAGAGAGATTGGAATCAACAATAATGTTGGTTTGGCAGGTCTGGAAGCCTTCGCTCTCCAGGTTGAGTTCATTCAGAAGAAACAATGTAGAACGTGTGCTCCAATGAGGAGACGTGTGAAGAGACACAGGTCAGGTCATCACCCCTGGTGAGACCCTCCAGGAGGCAACGCAGCAGACAAAGGTTAGAATTCTGATGCCAGTACTTGCTTCCTCTATGTCCTTGAGCAAGTTACTTAATGTCTGGGTTTCAGTTTCCTCATCTTTAGAATAATGATATTTGAGTTACGGTGAGAATTAAATGACATAATGAAAGTCATGGCATAAAGCAGGCGCTCAATACTGTCCTTTGATTAGTGCTTGTTGTTGCTGCACTAGAGGCTAAAATGGCGCTGTGAGCAGTCATCCCAGAGGTCTATCCAGCACAGGACCCAGACTCTGACCCACAGGGTGAGTCTGACTGGCCAGGATACCCCACTGAGGTCTTCGCCGCATACTCCTCTAGTGCCCTCACTCACTTGGTAGAAACTGTGAAATTAGTTTTGTGTTTGCTCCAAAGGACTAAGTTAGAACTGCTAAGTGGGAGCTGTGGTGAGGCAGATGTCAGCAAAATTTCAGAATGCTCTGTTGGGCATGGTGGCTCACACCTGTAGTCCCAGCTACTTGGTGGACTGAGGCAGGAGGATCACTTGAGAGCCTAGGATTTCAAGGCTGCATTGTGCCCTGATCACACTACTGTACTCCAGCCTGGGTGACAGAGCAACACCCTGATAGAAGGAAGAAAAGCAAGAAAGAAGAAAGGCAGGAAGGGAGGGAGGAAGGGAGGGAGGGAGGGAAAGAAAAGAGAGAAGAGAAAGAAAGAGAAAAGAAAAGAAAGGAACAAAAGAATGCTGTGACTATAATATAACATCCAGCCTCAGGAGATCATAAATGTCCTCTGCTTTGGAGTTCTCAGGCAAAGGCTGCAAGCCCAGCAGTCGGGGATGCTGTGAAAGGACATTTAAAATGAGGTGAGGCCAGACTAGCAATACCAGTAGAGCAGCTTCCAACCCTAGAATTCTCTGAGACCAATTTAACTGATATTCAGACAGTCTTATTACTCTATTAGAATTCCTCAATCCAATATAAATGTTGGCCAACAGCAATGCTTGGACAATACAGTTTGAGTTGCTGTGTTTTCAGATAAACTGAAATTTAAACAAAGAAATCCTTTTGGTGTCAGTCCTCGTTAAGAATATTTCTACAAGGTATTACACTCTCTTGACTTAAAAAGAGTATTCTGGGCCTGGATGCCGGGGCTCATGCATGTAGTAATCCCAGCACTTTGGGAGGCCAAGGCAGGCAGATCACCTGAGGTCAGGAATTCGAGACCAGCCTGGCCAACATGGTGAAACCCCATCTCTACTAAAAATACAAAAATTAGCCAGGTGTGGTGGTGCATGCCTATAATCCCTGCTACTTGGAAGGCTGAGGCACAGGAATCGCTTGAACCCAGGAGACGGAGGTTGCAGTGAGCCAAGATTGCACCACTGCGCTCCAGCCTGGGCAACAGAGCGAGACTCCATCTCAAAAAAAAAAAAAAAGTATTCTGAACAAATCAAATTTTCATATATTTATTAAGAACCTTAGCCTGAGCAACATGACAAAACGCTGTCTCTACAAACACTACCAAAAAAATTTGGCCAGGCATGGTGGTACATGGCTATCGTACCAGCTACTGGGGCGGATCACCTGAGCCCAGGAGGTCGAGGTTGCAGTGAGCCATAATCACATCACCATACTACCAGCCTTGGTGACAGAGTAAGACTCTGTCTCAAAAAAGAAAAAAAAAAGAATCTTACATTATCTTTACATCGTTATTCTCATTGTTTAAGAGTTCAAGACAAGTATTGGAAGTTCACGTAATTAAGCTGAACCCAAGTCATCATCTGAAATATGAAAGTTTAAAAAATATATTTATGCATGATTGTATATGTGCATATAAAACTAAATGCTTTATGAGTTTTTTCATGAATTTATTTCCTTGTGATTTCTCTACGGATATATTTGTTATATTCCAATGCAATGAGGTGCTGCTACAGTAGTCTTACTTTGCAATAAATTTAAAGTTTAATTTAAAAAATGAAAGTAGAGACGCAGGATTCTTCACAGAACCTCCTTTTAAAAACGTCTTTTTTAATAGCTAAACTTCATAATTCCTGCTTCCACATTTGCTTTTCTATTATTGCTTTTTCTAGAAACACCATAAAGTAGCTGCGAATTTTATTTCTTAAAATGAAACTTATTTTCAAGGCAGTTCAGAGAACCAGAAAGAAAAAAATGTGAGCCAAAAAGTCATACTAAGCAGGTTAACTCCCATGAGTAAAATTAAGACCTGTGTAAAGAGAATTGGCATTGTATTTCAAAAGTCAATATTAAAAAATTGACTCAAAAGGAACATTTAACAGAATTATCAAATGTTTTCCCTTACTATGTTCTAGAGATAAAGGTTAACAGAACATTCAGCTGTGGTTGAATCATAGAGGAGTGAACGTAAAGGGATTTCAAATCACATCAGCATCTACATGAAAAGGAACGTACATGTCTCCTGAATTATACAGGTGACAGATATTTGGGGATAAGAGGAATTTAATGGTATGTCAGTCACTATAGGCCTCAGCATTTCAAAAGGTAGCATATCTGGTGATTTACTTTCACTTTTATCTTTACCATCATAAATATATAAGAATCCACCAGTAATAGTGGGCCCTGGTAATGGTCAAATTTATGTCTTGTTTTTGAAAGTCAATCTCAAGTTTTGGTAGTAGAGAAATACTCCTAAGGAAGCAGACAGCTCTTAATATATACACTTTCTATGTTCTCCTTCTCTTTTAGAAACAGTATAAGCGTGGCCTATTATACTCATGTACTTAATATAGCAGTGCCAGCACTGTTAATTACCACTGTCTTTAGTCCGTGCTTACAACAGAGTGTCACTTGGCAGTGCATCAGTATGGCCCAGTGCCAGCATCAATCAGATATGCAAGCTCCTCAGGAGGACAGATTCTATCTTTTTAAAAAATTACTTCTAGTTTCACTAGATTTTAAACCTTCCTGATACTTGAAAACTAAGTACCCACAGTGTATTTTTTAAAAATTCAAAGTAGTTTTTTAGCACATGACCTGATACAAACTAGGCTCCCAGTAAATTTTTTTTTAAATTTTATCTATGGCACATGAAGAATATCAGATTGGGATCCTGCTGATTTGACATTTAGAAATGGTACCTTCCTGGCCAGGCATGGTGGCTCATACCTGTAATCTCAGTACTTTGGGAGGCTGAGGCAGGTAGATCACTTGAGACCAGGAGCTTAAGACCAGCCTAGCCAACATGGCACAGCCCCGTCTCTACTAGAAATACAAAAGTTAGCTAGACGTGGTGGCACTCGCCTGTAATCCCAGGTACTCAGGTGGCTGAGGCACGACAATCACTTGAACCTGGGAGGTGGAGTTTGCAGTGGACCAAAATCACACCTCACTTCAGCCTGGGTGACAGAGCCAGACCCTATCTCAAAAAAAAAGTACCTTCCTTAACACCTGTATTCCAAATGGTACACTTCTCCACACTCCCACACCTGATTCATCCACGCCCTTGTATTATTCATAGGCAGTCTCTTTCCTCTCAATACATCATAAACTGTGACACAGGAACTAAGTCGTACTCATTGTTGTCTCTCTCTCCTCCCCTGCCTGCAGCTAGCATGGGGCTCCGTGCACATTTGACAGTCAGCATGAACTTTAAAAAGACAGAAAATCATGAGCTCATCATGTCAAGAAGGAAGCCATACCATCCCACTCATTAGAAAAGGACTTTTTATCCAACTACAAGAGAAATTAGCAGATGTATTTACAAATGGTTATTTTGACTAAGATTTACACCACGTATTAAAAAATTCAAACACTATTCTTAGTCTCCCTGACAAGTTTCCAAAACATGTGATGCTCAAATGTCACATGTTTGCTCTACTCATCAGGTGAAAATGCTCTTGAAATTCTAGATATAATGGCAGTCAGCATAGAATAGTAGCTAAAATGTACAGCTGCCTGGGTTTGAAACCTGGCTCCCACAGTCAGTGGCTATGTAAACTTGGGTAAGTTCATTGTCTCAGTTTCCTCATCCAGAAAATGGGACAGCAAAAGTGCCTATTTCATAGGGGTTTTCTTTTGTTGTTGTTGTTGTTGTTGTTGTTGTTATGGACTCTTGCTCTGTCGCCCAGGCTGGAGTGCAGTGGCGCAATCTCGGCTCACTGCAACCTCCACCTCCCAGGTTCAAGCAGTTCTCCTGCCTCACCCTCCCGAGTAGCTGGGACTACAGGCGTGCACCACCACATCCGGCTAATTTTTGTATTTTTAGTAGAGACGGGGTTTCACCATGTTGGCCAGGCTAGTCTCAAACTCCTGGGCTCAAGTGAGCTGCCCATCTCGGCCTTCCAAAGTGCTGGGATTACAGGCTTGAACCACCATGTCCAACCCTACAATATTTTTAAGGACATTTAAACCTACCTTACAACATTTGTCATAGATTACCAACAATGCCGCCAGGTCACCCAAGCTTCTTTGCTCTTTATTTTCGTTACCACCCAATTTGACCTAGAAATTTAATGCAAGATCACTCCAGGAAGCCCA
This sequence comes from Homo sapiens, assembly GCF_000001405.40. NCBI lineage: Eukaryota > Metazoa > Chordata > Mammalia > Primates > Hominidae > Homo > Homo sapiens. The sequence continues at coordinate 64,812,953 of NC_000012.12, read as the reverse complement.
TAAAAAGAACGTTTGTTTAAATTGACAAATTGCTCCAATTTTTCAGCATCTTGATTTTTTTTAACATGTTACTTGAGAAGAATGAGCTACGATGCAGACAAGCCAACCCTTTTCTGCTCTTCATAAATTAATAAAGCCCCAGCATTAATTACTCCGTAGCCACTGGTTTTGCAAGATCACTGCAAGCAAAAAAAAAAAAATCAATCTTTCACAGCAAAGTTTAAGTGAGTAATTTTCTTCTCAATTGTTCTATTTCTCCAACATCATAACTTTTTAAATAATGCATGCAATTTTCTAAAATTTGGTTCAACCATTTTTTTTAAAGTTTACCAAGTGCAGTCCATCATTTATGAAAAAGGTCTGGTCTTGAATACATTTTCATTATTTGCAATATAAATAGGTTTTACAATGTATTCTACATTCCTACACGTATTAACACCAATTCTTCCAGTTGTGGCTTACAAATATATCGTGGGAAGAGAAATAGTTTGTCCAAAAACAATTATTTTTATAAGTTTGTTGATTTGCCAGGACTATATTTGCTAACAGAGATGCGCAAATATAGGAGGAGGATTAACAATAATAACAACTACTGCCATATACCAATTGTTTACTGTGGATCAGACACTGGGCAGGATGCTTTAATTATTTTATCTTGTTTAGCCCAACAAAGTATATATTATTACCCAAGAAACAAGAAGTAAAAGGGGAGTGTATGCATATATCAATAGGGTAATTTTTTCCTAGGCATAGGAAAAAAACAACTAAAGGAAAATATAGTCATATAAATATAAGTAGATAATTCTAGGTAGTTAGAATATTGGAAATTATTATATTTTTCCTTGCACTTTTCTAATTATTTTATTCTGGAAGGAAAGAAAAAAGAATGAACAAATGAATGAACAAACTGACCAGAAGGTTAAATAACTTTTCCAAGGTCATGCAATTACTAAGTGGTGAAGTTGAGATTTGAACCCAGGTCTGTCTCACTTGAAAGCCATACTCTATCTACTAAGTCAATAAAATATAATCAGGTATTTTGTATCTTAGCAGGATCAAAACATTTTGGAAGTTCTGAAAGTAGACTTGTTCACAGCCCCCATTTAAGTTACCAACTGAACAAAATGTCCATCATTTCCAAAAACTCTTCTTCCATTATTTAACTACTAGTACAAACAAGGTACTGGTAGAAATATCAAAGAAGCAGCAATAACAAGGTCAGCCTAGCACTGCCAGTTAACAAAAAAATCTCATGATAACAGAACAAGTGAAGTTCTCAGGTAAGGGCTACAAATACTGGCTCTATCTTATACGATGCCATGGCTGGACATACAGGAGTCAATTAGGGTACACAGTGGGATGGGGCTTGGTGAGCACCTCACAGAGCACTCCTTTCTGCATCAACCCACCCTGTAACTCATCCGGGAGAAATCTGAGCCCCTGTAGTTTCCTTAGAAACTGCAGACATGATTTGTCCTGAAAATTAATTTGCCAAATGTGAGAAAGGAACAGGAAGCTGATTAGTTAGCTGAAAAAGCAACAAACTGAAGACCCTCTCCATAGAGAGAAAATGTTCAATGATGCAGACTCAGTATAATCAGCCTTGAATAATTTTTGTGCCATTGTTGTGTTCCCTCCCATGCAGGGAGCAGCTGTCATAATCACTATCTGTGTTAAGATAACTTTTGAGATGATTCGAACAAAATTGTCCAAAGACTTTTTTAAAATGCTTTAAAAATCTTGCACTATATTACACTTACTCATTAAATCTCATAAAAATCTCATTAACTACTTACTGATGTTGACATTTTGATAGAGTGAGTCAACATTTCAGATGTTCCCTTGCCATATGTCTAAGACTTGCATTACAAAATTTGGTATACAACTTGATTCCAAATGAACTTTGTTCAAAGAGAAATGTTTAGAATGCCTCCTCTATCCTGCCTGATGCCATCCAGGTGAGTCAGAATGGCACAGAGTGAAGCTAGTAGGCAGCAAATTTATCTACGGCTGACTCCTCCATGAGGGAAAAATTGGATTAGGCCAGTGATGTGAGTTTACCTTCTAGGCTCTGGGGCTTCTGGCTTCCTAACAGTAAGGATGGTTGAGCAACAGAACAGATTAGTAGAGCCTAGAGGAAAAGATTATCAGGAGGAATTCCCAGGAGAAGAAAGTCAAAGGTCATTTAAGAACAATATTGTCTAGGATTTGATTCAGTAGTTAGCCATTGCCTGTTTTCTTTCATGCTACAGCTTCTCTCCATGTTACACTAAAGCCTTCTGTAAACTGTGTTACATAGCATTAGGTCAGTAGTACTTCGGGGTTTTTTTTTTGGTTTTGTTTTGTTTTTTGAGACGGAGTCTCGCTCTGTTGCCCAGGCTGGAGTGCAGTGGCACCATCTTGGCTCACTGCAGCCTCCCGGTCCCAGGTTCACGTGATTCTCCCACCCCAACCTCCTGAGTAGCTGGGATTACAGGCGCCCATTACCACGCCCAGCTAATTTTTGTATTTTTAGTAGAGACGGGGTTTTGCCATGTTGGCCAGGCTGGCCTCAAACTCCTGACTTTAGGTGATCCTCCGAAAGTGCTAGGATTACAGTGTGAGTCACCAGACGATGATGGGGGAGGAATAGAGTAGAGCAAAGAAATGAGGCAAAAAGATGGTGCTGTAAGAACAGAGAAAACATGGAGAAGGAGAATGGCCCAACACAGACCACGTATGAAGCAAATCCCTCCCCCACCAATATGGGCTGTTGGAAGTGGGAGCTATATTTTGCTATTGGTTGTCTCAAATACCAAAGGTCACTTTTCATTTCTCCGAGGCCTTGAGATCATTTCTCCGAGGCCTTGAGATCACAGGAGATGGAGCAGGGTGGAGGGAGAGCCATATGGACGAGGGGTTAAGAAAGGAGGGCTTCATCAACGGAGCATGGGAGGGTTGCTGTCAGCTGCAAAGGTGGAGATAAAGCCACTTTTGATGGAGAGGAAGAGGAGGAAATAGCGAAGAAGAAAAGGGGAAGGGAACACATTCTACCAAGGATCCCAAACTCTATGAGGTAGAGAATTAAATTATAAATTATTTTTCTGGGTGGTATTAATAATAAACCATCTGGGGGAAGGATGCTTTAGCTTTTGATCCATGATTAATTAGACTGGATCTGTAGCATTATTGATCCAAAGCCACAAACAAGAAGCAGAGCACGAATCACAGATGCAGAGGGAAGCTGGAGAAAGTTTTAAGAAAAACAAATCAAGATGAAAGCCAGAATGACTGGAACAGGCCAGAAGGCGGATAGTTCGAGAAAAATGTTTCAGAATGCAAGCTATAAAGAATTCAGGTTATTAACTACAGGGTGTTAATAAAAAGAAGTCATTATTTGAAAAGGACACTTGCACATGCATGTTTATAGCAGCACAATTTGCAATTGCGAAAATATGGAACCAACCTAAATGCCCATCAACCAACAAGTAGATAAACAAAAGTAACATTCTACCATGGAATATTACTCAGCCATAAAAGGAATGAAATAATGGCATTTGCAGCAACCTGGATGGAGCTGGAGACCATTATTCTAAGTGAAGTAACTCAGTAATGGACAACCAAATATCATATGTTCTCCCTTATAAGTGGGAGCTAAGCTATGAGGACACAAAGGCAAAAGAATGATATAATGGACTTTGGGGACTTGGGGGGAAGAATGGGAGGGGGGCAAAGGATAAAAGACTACACATTGGGTACAGTGTACACTGTTTCAGTGACCGGTACATCAAAATCTCAAAAATCACCACTAAAGAACTTATCCATGTAACCAAAACCACCTGTTCCCCAAAAACTATTTAAATAAAATTCACAAAAAGAATTCCAGTTATTAGAAGTATAGTTTTGTGTGGTATTGAATGGATAGCACAAAGACAGACTTGCCATGTTTTAAAACACAGAGCTATACCATGTTCATAGCAGCCAAACAGGTGGATGCAACCCAAGTGCCCAAAGATGGATGAATGGATGGATGAATGGAAGAACAAAATGTGGTAATACATACAATGGGATATTATTCAGCCTTAAATATCCATGTTGTAGCATGGATATATTACTATATTATATAATCCATGCTACAGCATGGATGAACCTTGATGACATTATATTAAGTGAAACAAACCCATCACAAGAGGACAAATACTGAATGGGGGTTGCCAGGGGCTGGGGAGGGAGGGAATGGGGAATTACTGTTTAATAGGCACAGAGTTTCAATTTTGCAAGATGAAAAGAGTTCTGGTGGTGATGAATGCACAGCGTGACTGTACCTAATGTCACTGAATTGTACACTTAAAATGGTTAAGATAGTAAAATTTCTGTTATATATATTTTACCACAATAAAAATAAGAGATACCCTTAGAAAAGCCAGAGAGATACAAATCAGTTGGCAATTTTCAGTATGTCTCTCTTATGGCAGTATCTTCCAAGGTATAGTTCATCTTATGGCAAACATTTTTGAGCACCTCCCCTGTGCAAGCAATGTGCTAGACACAGAGCATTGAGACAGGCACGGCACAGTCCAGTGGGAGATGCAAACCAGGAAATAGAGTATTGCAATGCCACGTGGCCAGGACGACCCTGGAAGTAGTAAGCACCTAAATCAGACTATGTGGTCAAAAGAACTTTCAAAAGGGATGGTGCTTCAGCTGAATCCTAAAAATAGAAGTACTACATAAACGTGGTGCAGAAAAGAGTACCAGGCGGAGGAAATAGCATGTGGCAAGAGAGAATGTGATAAATTGTAAGTACTGCATGTAACTCATTCTGCTTGGAGCACAGAGTGGGAAGGAGCCATCTGAAGGAGAGAGGAAGGTGGAGAGTCAAACAGCAGCCAAGTTCAAACAATGAAATTTATTTTTCTGGCTGGGCATAGTGGCTCATGCTGTTAAATCATAGCACTTTCCAGGACTGAGGTGAGGGGATCACTTGAGGCCAGCAGTTTAAGACTAGCCTGGAAGACATAGGAAGACCCCAGCTCTACAAAAAAAAAAAAAAAAACTTAAATTAGGCAGGGTGGCATGGGCCTGTAGTCCCAGCTACTCAGGAGGCTGAGGCAGGAAGATGCCTTCCTTGAGCCCAGGAGTTCAAGGTTACAGTGAGCTATGATTATGCCACTGCATTCCAGCATAGGCAACAGAGAAAGACCCTGTCTCTAAAAAATTTAAAAAATTAAATTTTTTAATTGGTAAAATTTTTTAAACTGGTAAAAAAACCAGTTTGGGAAAGGATGCTTTAGCTTTTGATCCACGATTAGTTTGGTAGAAAGAATGCCACGAATGGCATATTAGGAAAACCACAGGACAGGGAGTTGAGAGCAAATACAGCACCAACTACCCATGTGACTTGAGAGCATCTTTTTTTCACTGTTGTAAAATATATACAAAGTTTACCATCTTACCCCTTTTGTGTGTACACTTCAGTAGTGTTAGGCACTACTCACACTGTTGTATACCCAATCTCCAGAACTCTTTTCATCTTGCAAAAGTGAAACTTTATACACATTAAACAACAACTCTCCATTCCTCTCTGTATTAGTCCATTCTCACGCTGCTATAAAGAACTGCCCGAGATTGGGTAATTTATAAATGATTCAGAGTTCAGCATGGCTGTGGAGGCCTCAGGAAACTTATAATCATGGTGGAAGGGGAAGCAAACACGTCCTTCTTCACATGATGGCAGGAAGAAGCGCCAAGCAAAAGGGGAAAAACCCTTGTAAAGCCATCGGATCTTGTGAGAACTCACTATCATAAGAACAGCATGGGAGGAACCACCCCCATGATCCCAGTCACCTCCCACTGGGTCCTTCCCTCCACATGTGGGGATTCTGGGAACCACAATTCAAGATGAGCTTTGGGTGGGGACACAGCCAAACCAGCTCACTCTCTCTCTCCCCAGCCCCTGGAAACCACCATTAAACTTTCTGTCTCTATGAATCTGACTACTGCAGGTACCTCTTATAAGTGGAATCATACAGTATTTGTCCTTTTGTGACTGGCTTATGTCACTCAGCATAGTGTTCTCAAGGTTAATCCATGTCACAGCATGTGTCAGTCTCCTTCCTTTCTAAAGCTGAATAGTGTTCCACTGTATGTAGATGCTGTAACACATTTTGTTTATCCATTCATCCGCTGATGCACACTTGGACTGCTTCCACCTTTTGGCTATTGTGACTCATGCTGCTATGAACGTGGATGTGCAAATATCTCTTTGAGACCCTGCTCCCAATTCTTTTCAGTATACACCCAGAAATAGATTTGCTGGATCACATGGCAATTCTATTTTTATTTTTTGAGGAACCACCATACTGTTTTCCATAGCAGCTCCCCCATTTTACATTCTCATCAACCGTGCACAAGGGTTTCAATGTTTTTCCACATTCTTGCCAACATTTGTCATTTTCTGATTTTTTTAAACAATAACAGAGCTCCTAATGGATGTGAGCTGGCTGTATGCATCTTATTCAACTCTCTGAGCCTTCAATCTCCTCATCTGTAAAATGAGCAAATTGGACTAGATGATCCCCGAAGGATCTCAAATTTCATTATTGTATGAACTGAGAGAAGGATTAGGTTCATTTTCCAGGAAAACTCAGTCACTTCATTTAATCACTCTGAGGCTCTCATTTCCTAACTATATTCAAAGCACTGACACACACTTTGGATATGGTTTCAAGTAAAATACAGATTGAAATTCAAGTGCAAGGAGAATTAACTTAATGGGAAAGTTGAAGAAAGCCTAGCCCCAGCCTTCCATGGAGAAGACACAGATGTCAATGGATGCTGAAATTGAACAGTACATACAGCTGAAGCAATTTTACATTCCACTGGTCTTCCCATTGGTGGGGTTGAATGAACAATGACAACAGCAGACACACCTTCTGCTCATTGTTCAACATTCACTCTTAATACAGAAATAAATTGCAACTAATTTTTTTTAGTGGTCAGACTGGGATGGCAGAGAGAATTGCTCATTCCCCCCAGGAAAGCTGTTATGTTTTCTGATATAGGATTAATCCTCCTTACTATGGCAACTAAAATCTTAAAAGAAGAAACTATTTTATTTATTTTATTTTATTTTATTTTTTGAGACAGAGTCTCACTCTGTCACCCAGGCTGGAGTGCAGTGGCATGATCTCGGCTCACTGCAACCTCTACCTCCTGGGTTCAAGCAATTCTCCTGCCTCCACCTCCCAAGTAGCTGGGACTACAGGTGCCCGCCACCACGCCCGACTAATTTTTGTATTTTTAGTAGAGACAGGGTTTCACCGTGTTGGCCAGGCTGGTCTTGAACTCCCGGCCTCAAGTGATCAGCCTGCCTTGGCCTCCCAAAGTGCTGGAATTACAGGCATGAGCCACCACACCCAGCCAAGAAATGTATTTTCTCAATGAGACACACTGAAGAGGAGTCACCAGTAAGTCAACAAAGAAAAACAGGATGATGTGCAGAAAAACCCAGTAGCATCAAAAACAGGATTCAGGACTCCAGAACCCACAGCCCAATACTGTTCACAAATTTAGCTCTTCCTCTAAAAGGGATGATTATTATTATCACACTTTTCTAGAAACAACAACAACAATCTATTAACATGGATACATAAAGACTGTTTAGCGCCATAAAGCCTGTGTCTTTTTATAGGAGTGTGGTGCACTGCAGACCTTAATGTGGGACCTCAAACACAAGAAGTCTCTTTTTTATTTTGTTTTAAAGTCTTCTGAATGAAGGCCCAATTTCTCTGTGTCCCAGGCTGGAGTGCAATGGCATGATCTCAGCTTACTGCAACCTCTGCCTCCCAGGTTCAAGCAATTCTCCCACCTCAGCCTCCTGAGCAGCTGGGATTACAGGCCCCGCCACCAAGCCCAACTCATTTTTTGTATTTTTAGTAGAGACAGGGATTTACCATGTTGGCCAGGCTGGTCTCGAACTTCTGACCTCAGGTGATCCGCCCGCCTCAGCCTCCCAAAGTGCTGGGATTACAGGTGTGAGCCACGCATTCAGCCAAAAGAAGCCTCTTTAACGGTTCTACTTAGAATCATCATCCAACACCTGACGACTACAAACCTCCCCACATCACAGGGTTGAGGGTTGAGCCCCGTATACCTTTTGTGGGTGATTTTAGGAGAATTAGGGCAGAAAATGCTCAGGGAAGGCCACCAATGTGGGCTAAAAGAGATCTGCCCCAAAAACCTCAAGTGGTTTAGAGGAAAAAAATGAATTTTGTGCCCCTTTCCCACTAGTTTTTTCATTACATAACTGATTCTAGAGTCTGCAATCTGACACATCAGAAAATTGGTGGGGATCAGCCAATATCATACTGAATGGGCAAAAACTGGAAGCATTCCCTTTGAAAACTGGCACAAGACAGGGATGCCCTCTCTCACCACTCCTATTCAACATAGTGTTGGAAGTTCTGGCCAGGGCAATCAGGCAGGAAAAAGAAATAAAGAGTATTCAATTAGGAAAAGAGGGAGTCAAATTGTCCCTGTTTGCAGGTGACATTATTCTATATTTAGAAAACCCCATCATCTCAGCCCAAAATCTCCTTAAGCTGATAAACAACTTCAGCAAAGTCTCAGGATACAAAATCAATGTGCAAAAATCACAAACATTCCTCTACACCAATAACAGACAGAGAGCGAAATCATGAGTGAACTCCCATTCACAATTGCTTCAAAGAAAATAAAATACCTAGGAATCCAACTTACAAAGGATGTGAAGGACCTCTTCAAGGATAACTATAAACCACTGCTCAACGAAATAAAAGAGGACACAAACAAATGGAAGAACATTCCATGCTCATGGATAGGAAGAATCAATATTGTGAAAATGACCATACTGCCCAAGGTAATTTATAGATTCAATGCCATCCCCATCAATGACTTTCTTCACAGAATTGGAAAAAAACTACTTTGAAGTTCATATGGAACCAAAAAAGAGCCCACATTGCCAAGACAATCCTAAGCAAAAAGAACAAAGCTGGAGGCATCACACTACCTGACTTCAAACTATACTATACAGCTACAGTAACCAAAACAGCATGATACTGGTACCAAAACAGAGATACAGACCAATGGAATAGAACAGAGCCCTCAGAAATGATACCACACATCTACAACCATCTGATCTTTGACAAACCTGACAAAAACAAGAAATGGGGAAAGGATTCCCTATTTAATAAATGGTGCTGGGAAAACTGGCTAGCCATATGTAGAAAGCTGAAACTGGATCCCTTCCTTACACCTTATACAAAAATTAATTCAAGATGGATTAAAGACTTAAATGTTAGACCTAAAACCATAAAAACCATAGAAGAAAACCTAGCCAATACAATTCAGAACATAGGCATGGGCAAGGACTTCATGTCTAAAACACCAAAAGCAATGGCAACAAAAGCCAAAATTGACAAATGGGATCTAATTAAACTAAAGAGCTTCTGCACAGCAAAAGAAACTACCATCAGAGTGAACAGGCTATCTACAGAATGGGAGAAAATTTTTGCAATCTACCCATCTGACAAAGGGCTAATATCCAGAATCTACAAAGAACTTAAACAAATTTACAAGAAAAAAATCAAACAACCCCATCAAAAAGTGGGCAAAGGATATGAACAGACAATTCTCAAAAGAAGACATTTATGCAGCCAACAGACACATGAAAAAATGCTCATCATCGCTAGCCATCATAGAAATGCAAGTCAAAACCACAAGGAAATGCCATCTCACACCAGTTAGAATGGCGATCATTAAAAAGTCAGGAAACAACAGGTGCTAGAGAGGATGGGGAGAAATAGGAACACTTTTACACTGTTGGTGGGACTGTAAACTAGTTCAACCATTGTGGAAGTCAGTGTGGCGATTCCTCAAGGATCTAGAACTAGAAATACCATTTGACCCAGCCATCCCATTACTGGGTATATACCCATAGGATTATAAATCATGCTGCTATAAAGACACATGCACACGTATGTTTATTGCGGCACTATTCACAATAGCAAAGACTTGGAACCAACCCAAATGTCCATCAATAACAGACTGGATTAAGAAAATGTGGCACATACACACCATGGAATACTATGCAGCCATAAAAAAGGATGAGTTCATGTCCTTTGTAGGGACATGGATGAAGCTGGAAACCATCATTCTCAGCAAACTATCACAAGGACAGAAAACCAAACACCACATGTTCTTAATCATAGGTGGGAACTGAACAATGAGAACACTTGGACACAGGATGGGGAACATCACACACCGGGGCCTGTCATGCGGTGGGGGACGGGGGAGGGATAGCATTAGGAGATATACCTAATGTAAATGAAGAGTTAATGGGTACAGCACACCAACATGGCACATGTATACATATGTGACAAACCTGTATGTTGTGCACATGTACCCTAGAACTTAAAGTATAATAATAAAAAGAAAGAAAGAAAGAAAGAAACAAAATTGGTGGGGATCAGAGACAAACAGGGCAGGAAGAGTCGTCCCAGGTACTGGATCAGGGAAAGGAGCCAGCCTGCCCTCTGCTGGCCATCTCGGGTAACAGCAGCAAAATGTGGGCGACCCTTTTCGTCTCCACCCAGAGCTCGAGGGCCCAGATATGCCAAAAACAAAACAAGGTGCCCAGGGACAGCAACATTCATACATGACCAAAGCTTTTTGGGAAAGATCACAGGCCAAATGGCAAGCTTTAATGCTTCCTTAATGACCATGTCCTGGCATATCCTTTTCTGCAAATGATGTCGGGGAGGCAATACTGGACAGAACCAAAAAAGAGCTGTAATGGGCTAGGCGTGGGATAGGACATGCATTCATTAGCAACAATTATTTTCCAACACACAGTGTCAAAATATATTTCTATACAGAGTCCATTACAAACAAGTACTTGTTCGTGCCAGTACCAGAAAAGAAAAATGATGTTTCATCATTGTTCAATAGCATATAATCCACTGAAAGTAAAAATTCACAGCAAAAACGCCAAAAAGCAGGTAGGAGAAAACCTCCTGCAGTTTGGGGAGGGGATAAGGTTAGATGCACATTTAAGACTGGGTAAATAAAATTTCACAATGCTGTTAAGGAGGTCCTCAGAACACATCTGAATTTACCTGTCTTTGCTATTCTCCTGCTGCCTGATACATAGGTTTTTGAACTATTTTTCAGTCTTTCTAACTAGAATGATAAACCTAATTTTCTCTATTCCCTCCTCATGTAAAGATTGTATTAACACTGTCAATTAATAAATGTTTACTGGATAATTGCTATACTCTCAAAATGCTTTTAATCTAGCTAGGAAGGCAGCCCACATACACTAGTGCCCTGTGTTCAACAGGAGGTGGCACTAGATTAACCCTACAGCTCCCTCTAGCTCCAAAATCCTAAAATGTTACAATTCCATAAAATTCCTCCATGTTTATGAACTAAGAAACTCCGATCTCAATAGAACCCTGTTGGTGCCCCTTCCCAAGCAGTCCCTTTCCTGTTTGTCAAAGTGATGATTATAAATATGTACTGTTGTTCATAAGCGCTAAGCCTACCCCACCTGCCTCTCTTGCTTTCATAGCCAAATCACCTGCTTCATGTGTGCACACACATGCACACACACACACAAACTTTGATCCAACCTCTTAACTTATCCACCCACCCATCTATCCATTCATCTCACACACATTCAATGAGTCCTACTGTAATGAAGCTGTGTAACAGATGCTGAGAAAAAGAAGATGAATGATACGGCCCCTCCTCCAGAAAATCTATGTCTAATGGGCAGGGAGAGAGAAGACAGATGTATAAAGAAACAAATATCAAATATAATTAGCACTCTAATAGACATAAGTATAGGGAATGGTGAGGTTCAGAGGAGGAAAAATTCATCAATTCTAACAAACGGAGAGGGACAGAAGCAGCTCTGTACGAGGAGCACAGAACAAGCCTAGTTCTCATCCGTCTCACCTCCAGAAAACTCCAGAATGACTCTAATATCCTTGCTGAGAAACCAAGTGTAATGTGGCTTCTGTCCCCACCATTGCATGAAACAGAAACTCCTCTTAAATGAAACATCATTTTTAAAAGGGAAAATTCCAATGCTCTTTCACAACCTTTTCTTACTTCTCTATTTAACTATATGTACACATGTTGTTGACAGCTGTTCTGTGGAAGCTAACCCTGCATCTCCCTGAGACCCTGCCTCTAGCCTCCCACAGCATCTTCCACGCTGCTCTCCTTGTTGGCTCTTCTCTCTCCCAGGGTTCTGCCCTCTCTAACAGGTCACTCCCTTCCCTCGCAGTCTACATGTGGTACCTGAGGGATCTCTGCTGCAGCCTCCCACATCTTACTCAAGCCCTCACATCCACCCAGATTCCTCCTCTTCCCATATCACACTCTCCAGTCCCACTGAATCTCCCTCCTAAATATCTCATTGCCTTTCCTCCACTTCCAGGAGCCCCTTTCCCAGGGCCCATCGACTCTACGAGCTGATTCCATTCGCCTCTCCCAATACTCCTCACATCCACTCACCTTATCCAGCCTGTCCTCACTGCTGTCAAAATGACCTCTGAAACATGAAAACCCAGTCGCATCACTCTTGTGCTCAGGGAGATATTGCTACAGGACACACAATCTAAACTCCAGTCTCAACTTCTGCCACTTCCCTCCAGCCTCTAGTTTTGTATCTAGCAATTGTTGATTACCAAGAGTATCCCAAATACCTGATGCTCCCTCAGCCTCTGTGCCCTTATCTCTGCATGGAATGTCTGCCACCCCTCCTACCCCTGTCCACAGGGCACATTTCTATCAGGCTTTTGTTTTGTTTTGTTTTGTTTGAGAGGGAGTCTCACTCTGTAGCCCAGGCTGGAGTGTAATGACGCGATCTCAGCTCACTGCAGCCTCCGCCTCCAGGGTTCAAGCAATTCTCCTGCCTCAGCCTCCCAAGTAGCTGAGATTACAGGCACCTGCCACTACGCCCAGCTAATTTTTTGTATTTTTAGTAGAGACAGGGTTTCACCATGTTGGCCAGGCTGGTCTGGAACTCCTGACCTCGTCATTTGCCCACCTCAGCCTCCCAAAGTGCTGGGATTACAGGCATGAGCCACTGCGCCCGGCCTCTATCAGCCTTTTCTAATCGCACTTCCCCATGTTCCCTAGTGCTTTGAAGATTAGGGTGGTTCCCACCTTTGCTCCTATTGCCCTTTGTACACACAAGGCTGACCATCAGATATAACATGTATCCCCAAGACACATTTACGTATCACATTCTCAATGGAAACACACAGAGGAAGAGCACTCTTCTTGCATGTTATTGGAGAAGAGGAAGCAATCCTTTCCCGAAGAGTTAAAAAATTATATTATCCCTAACAGTGATTATTCAACACCTGCTCCTCAAATAACCCATCTCATCAATTTCTTTTATAAGTGAAAAGCCCAGCAACCTTCATAATTGCCTTACACAGGCTAGGATGCAAATGCTGATGGCAAAGGCAACCTCTGAACCTCCCACAGTGGGAATTATTGCAGTAGTAGTAAATACTACAGCCAGACAGTTTTCTAAACATTTTACATACTTTAACTCACTTAATTCACATAACCATCCTATGAAGTGAAAGTACCATCATTCCCATTTTACTGATGAGAAAACTGAAACACAGAGGGGTCGGGGAACTTGCATGAGACTGTAGAACTAGTAAGTGGCAAAACTGGGATCTGAGCCCAGGGGACATGGCTCCAGAGTCCATGTTCTCAACCAATGTGCCCCCCTCCCATCCCATCAGCTCTCCAGAGGCACATCGTCAGAAGCCCAGGCTTCTCTCACCTTTCTCCATCCCTGCTCTTAAGAAAGGTGCCTGATCCCAGCACTTTGGGAGGCCGAGGCGGGCAGGTCACGAGGTCAAGAGGTCAAGACCATCCTGGCTAACAAGGTGAAACCCCGTCTCTACTAAAAAATACAAAAAATTAGCTGGGCATGGTGGTGGGTGCCTGTAGTCCCAGCTACTCGGGAGGCTGAGCCAGGAGAGTGGCGTGAACCAGGGAGGCGGAGCTTGCAGTGAGCCAAGATCGTGCCACTGTACTCTAGCCTGGGTGACAGAGCGAGACTCCGTCTCAACAAAAAAAAAAAAAAAAAAAAAAGGTGCCTGAAGCCAGACCAGCCTGGCAGATGCTGAGGCCCAGTCTGTACCCTGAAGAAGTGGTCCCAAGGAAAGAGAACCAAGAAGAGAAGAGGATCTGCATACACAGAGAACACTCTGAGCTCCCATTCCATCTTTCTACCACTCATCCCCAGAATAACTCTGTTGCATAATTGAGCAAACGTCAAGGTTTTTAAATTTTACAATAGGAGGTCTTTCAGGTAGTCTAATACCACTCAAACGAGTCCTTGTCTTGAGAATATCAAATCAGCCTTGACTTGCCTGAAATTCTCCTATGTCAGCAACACCTTCTCCTAAGCATTTTCCTCCAATTTCATAAAAATACATAATTCTATCCTGAAACAGTGTAAGACTCATTGGAATGTCAAGCTGAAACCTGGTACAGTGAAAACCACCATTTGTTAGCTGATTATATTGGAAAGATGGATTCAGAATACTTCAAAATGTCAGCACATGATGTGTAAAAATGGCAGTTGTCAAAAAATCTATTTCAATATACCACAACCTCCATTAGAACTATTATACTGTAATTTTTTATTTGCTTCTCTGACTTTATTCTTCTGAAAGCTCACTGAGGATACTGTATATTTTTCTTCTTCTTTGCATGTTAGCACCCAGCAGGTACTCAACACAGAACTTTTGAATTTATAAACAATTACATATATACATGTACACATTTAACATTTCAAAGTACTTTCAATTCTGTCTTCAAAACATAGTTCTAAGAGGTAAGTAGGGCCAATACTATTGTCCATTTTACAGATGAAAAAGCAGAGGCACAGAAAACCAGAATGATGGCTGAAGAGAGGTGTAGAGATGACTTTAATGTTTGGTTTCAGATTAAGGATAAAATGACATGCTTCTATACTGGTTGAAATCATCCAGCAGAGATGGAAAACCTGATGAAGGAAGAGAGACAAGAAGAAGGATGATTCCTTGAGTAGGGAAGACAAGATGGATCCAGGGTACCCCAGAAGAGCTGAACAGTTCATCTCGAGGTTCAGAGGAATGCCACCTATACAGGTGGGAGTATGAGGACATTCGCTTTTGATTGCTTACATTTTCTCTGTTAAAATACACAGCAAAAATCACCAGCTGAGAGCGAGGGGAGAAAATAGGATGTAAAAAGGGAAAGAGAGAGAGAGTATGAACAGACTAAAGAAATATCATAGGATTGCTGGTTGTACCAAGGGTGTCTGTGAGGCTGGTGGTCACATATTTAAAGAGAGTCGTCCCCATGATATGTGTTTCTGCAGCTGCAGTTAGCTAGGTAGATGCAGAGACAGAATGTGCAGAGACTTGAGTTTAATCAGGCTTGGGGTTTTGCAAGGTGAAAATGACAAAGAGTGGAATAAATAAGTTAAATATGTACACAAGTGAGTCATTATGCTGATGACCATAAACTCTAAGCAGAGTTAGTAAGAAACCAAGCACTGGATGTTTATTGATCACTGCTAGGTCAAATATGTTGTGCAAGGTGACACAACAGGAAGAAAAGAGATTCAAAGGAGCTTGTCTTCAGGAAGCTGTCACTATTAGGAAACAGTCCAACAGTTCCCAAACTTTTCTGCACATTAGAATAGCCCAGGGAGCTTAAAAATCACAATGTTTAGATCACACTCCATGCCAGTAAAAGCAGAATGTCTGGGCTGGGGAGCCAGGCATTAATAGCCTTTTTAAATTTTTCAAGTGATTCCAATATGCAGCAAAGCTTAAGAACACTGGAATAGTCTTTTTTTTTTTTTTTTTTTTTTTTTGCAGAGGAGAATGATACTTGAAGATATATGTGAAATTCCTAAAAGTAAGCATTCAGTATAAGTCATATTATCATCTTATATTTTGCTGTTGACATAGGAAAAATGCAGTTGATTGTCCTACCAAATTAAAGAGTCAATTCTTTTGGGGGAAAAAGTATTTCTTTTAGGCTTGTATTTACACTTCGTATAAAAGAACTTCAAATCGTGAGGTCTTAATCTTGATATATTGCTTGTTACCATATTCCCAGCACCTACAATCATGTGTGGGAAATAGTAAACACAGAATATCTGTTAAATGAATAACGCTTTTGAAAGATATAGTCTCTAAAAAATGGTTTAATGTAAATGCCTCTTTTTAAACTATAAATTGCAAAATATCCCCACTTCTAGAAGTATTCTCTCATAATATAACTAAACACAAAAATGGTCACAATACATATACATGGTAGTTCCAACAAAAGTTCCCTTTATTTCTTTCATATGGTGTCTATCTGATGTTGTATCATTTTTAGTCTTAAAGGCTGTCTTACCCTTGTGGCAATACAGAGAACATAAATAGTATAATACTTCTCTCACGTAAGCTTAAGGGAAGGAGCTCCCCCTGCTGGCTGTATATATAGTTTTCTCTTGCCATAACTGACAAGAGAAAACAAACAAAAAACTCCTGAGTCACTAACCAGCTGAGTGAGTTTCAGCAAAGTTCAACTTTTCCAAGTTTCCCTTTGCTCAACCAAAGGTTGTGGGTAAATGGAGATCATTTTTTAAAAATTTCTAGTAGCTCCCAATTACCGTGACTAAGATTCAGTTTTCCTACAAATCAACCCCTTTATAACGAGGTCATAAGAAACACAAGTAAATTATGACAAAATGAAAAAAAAAAAAAAACTCTTAACTTTAAGATGCTAAAGAGCTTAAAGAAAATGAGGAGAAACTGTTGCTAAAATATGCTGTATGCAAGCTCAATCAGTTTCTTTCATCTAGTCATATTCTAAGTTATTTCAGGGTAGACCAGGCTGCTAATTATATATCAAAAACATACCTAAAACGGTTATCAATATTAACAAATTTGTAATTAAATTCACAATTTTGCAGGCAAATTCCAAATTTAAGGCAAATCTACCCTAATCTAAATGATAACTTATTTTTGTCTCTCAAAAGAAATGAGTTTATGAAAAAGGAAAAAGCACATCTGGGTAAGACGGAAGATTGAAAAAAAAAAGCATCTAACTTTGGTCCCCACCAAAACCACACTAAAAATATTGTAAAGATAATTTTTAAATCATAACCCGCAAGGACCAGAGTGAAGGACAAAAAAAAAAAAAAAGGAGCGTGGAGAACAGCAATGAATTTTTGAAGCTGGAAAAGCAAACAAACATAAATTGACAGAGGATCCTAGAAAGCCAAATCCCAAACTAACAGGAAAGCTGAAATCCAACTTATGTTATACTACACAGTCCACAAGAGACTTGGGGATTGGCAACCAGTTCCCCAGGAGGCTTGACAAGAAATATGGGGAGAAGGCTGTTGAGAAGTAGTTGGATCCCTCGTTCCTCTCTTCATAAGGTTGGGCAATTACCACTTTCCCACCCCTGCAAAAGTTTAAGAGTCTTATTTTTGAAGAGAGTGATAACAGAGTCCTTGGACAACCAGCTGAGGGTGAGTACCTTACCTAAAACAGGGACTCAGTGGCCATATGCATACTGAATGCAGAGACTCCCAGCTCTCTTCACCCCACTCGGCTCCCAAAATACCAGCAGCCAGACCTTCACCCTTCGAGCAGGAGATCAGAAGACTCTTCCTTGAAGAATCTGACCAGCCCAGATGAAAGACTTGAAGATACTGACCTGAGGGGTTCCACAACAAAGGGCCCATCCACATGGCACTTCAATGAAGCTCAAAGTCAATAAGCCCTGCCAGGGAGCCCAGAGTTCAAGTCAGCATTTAGACTCCCACACTTACTTATGAGCAGACAGCCAAAGAATACCAGACATCTAAGGAAAGCTTCTAAATATAATACAGTTTTGAAAGTTTCTTTCCTCCCTGTATAATCTTATCTCTTCCAAATTGTTTTCTTTTGTCTGTTTTAGTCTCTATCATAATATCTTTAGAGCAATAAGAAAATATATTGCATCTATGAAACAAGAACAGGATACCATATAAAAGAAACATTCAAATAGCAACCCAAAAAGATTTCTCAATAACAGGACTGGAAAATAAAGTTGAGGTAATCTCCAAGGAAATAAATCAAAAGAACAAGGAGTTGGAAAGCGAGAAAGAGAGAAAACGTTACAGCCAGGTGCAGTGGCTCACACCTGTAATCCTGGCACTTTGGGAGGCCGAGATAGGGGGATCACTTGATTGAGCCCAGGAGTTTGAGATCAGCCTGGGCAATGTGGTTGAAACCCCATCTCTACAAAAAATACAAAAATTAGCCAGATGTGGTAGTGTGCACCTCCCAGCTACTCAGGAAGCTGACATGGGAGGATCACCTGAGCCCCAGGAGGTCAAGGCTGCAGTGAGCCACGATTGCACCACTGCACTCCAACATGGGCAACAGACGAGACCCTGTCTCAAAAAAAAAAGAAAGAACATTACAGAACTTGTCTATAAGTTCCAACAGCCAAACAATAGAACCCCAGAAAGAGGAAAAAGAAAAAAGAAAAAGGAGGGAGAAAAATCAACAAAGAAATAATTCAGAGAAAATTTCCAGAACTGAATGACAAAAGTTGCCTGATTGAAAGAGCCTGTCTAGGCCCAGTGACAATGACCTGAGTGAAAACAGACCCACTCCAAGCAACATGATTGTTGTATTTCAGGAACACCAAGAACAAGGAGAACAGTCCACAAGCTCTTAAAGGGAAAAAAAATAAACAGTCCAGGATAAAGTGTCAGGCATCAGAAAGGCTTCAGCCTTCTCAAGAGCAACAAGACAAGTGAGAAGGCAATACAGCAAGTATAGAATAGTCGATCAAAGCGCATATATTTAGAATCAAGACATTTGACATTTTCACCCGTGCACAGTTACCAAAAACTTACTTCACAAGCACTCTCTCTCAAGGGGATATGGGAAACAAAATAAAAAGAATAATCAAGAAAGAAATATAAGATCCAGGATACAAGAGATCCACCACAGGAGAGAGACAAAGAAAGCCTCCACAATGAGGCTCCCAGGATGGCAGTGCATGCAGATGGAGCCCAGCCAGTAGGGAGTGGAGCAGCGTGGCTCAATCAACAGTCGTGTGAGGGAAGTCAACACAAGAGGCTTCCTGCTGCCGGACCATCTTTCTAACTGAAGGACAGAATGCCCAGGAGAACTCATCCATATTTTCATCTGTACTTGTGGTTTTTATTTGTGTTTTTGTTTTTTAGAGATGGAGTCTTGCTCTGTTGCCCAGGCTGGAGTGCAGTGGTGCAATCTTGGCTCATTGCAACCTCCGCCTCCCAGGTTTTAAGCAATTCTCCTGCCTCAGCCTCCAGAGTAGCTGGGATTACAGGTGCGTGCCACCACGCCCAGCTAATTCTTTTTTTTTTTTTTTTTTGTATTTTTGGTAGAGACGGGGTTTCACCATGTTGGCCAGGATGGTCTTGAACTCCTGACTTCATGATCCTCTTGCCTCAGCCTCCCAAAGTGCTGGGATTACACGCATGAGCCATTGCGCCCTGCCTATTTTTATTTTTTATTTTTTGAGTCAGTATCTCACTCTGTCACCCAGGTGGGAGGGTAGTGGCACAATCTCAGCTCACTGCAACCTCTGCTTCCCAGGCTCATGTGATTATCATGCCTCAGCCTCCCGAGTAGCTGGGACTACAGATGCATGCCACAACGCCCAGCGAATTTTTGTTTATTTTTTTTAGTGATGAGGTCTTACTATGTTGCCTAGGCTGGTCTCCCACTCGCAAGCTCAAGCAATCCCTCCTGCTTCAGCCTCCCAAAGTAATAGGATTACAGGTGTGAGACCCCACACCCAGCGAGCTTGCTCTTTATTTTTTATTCAAAGCTCACCATGGCCTTGCTCCTGCTCCTAGAAGTAGGCCAAAGCACAATACTTCTGTGGGCATGGAGGGGAGAGCATGGAAAGGCCTTGCTGAGCTTTGAATCAAAAACAAAAAGCAAGCCTCTCCCCCAACCTAGTTGATTATTCCATAACTAGCCTAGGCTGGGCATAGTAGTTCATGCCTGTAATCCCAGCACTTTGGGAGGCCAAGGCAGGTGCATCATTTGAGGTCATGGGTTTAAGACCAGCCTGGCCAACATGGTGAAACCCCATCTCTACTAAAAATTAAAAAAAAATTAGCTGGGTGTGGTGGCACACACCTGTAATCCCTGCTACTTGGGGAGGCTGAAGCAAGAAAATCGCTTGAACTCGGGAGACAGAGGTTGCAGTGAGCCAACATCGCACCACTGCACTCCGGCCTGGGCAACACAGCAAGATTCCATCTCAAAAATAAATAAATAAATAATAACTAGCCTAAAGCATAGCCTGGCAGAAGTCACAGGGCTCGTTTATAACCTTGCCCTTTGACTTCCCCAGAAGGGAACCTAAAACCAGGTTGGGACCCAGAGACAGTATAGTTTATCTTCTGAAAGGTTTTATCTAAGATAGCAACATTACCCTTTCCCCACATAACAAGGCTTGGGCTTGCTACTCTGTTTTTCAGAACCATATATTGCTTAGGAACCTATACAGGAAGTGGAGAAAGTATAAAGAAAAGCAAGGTAATGGTTAACACAAATGTGGGGGAGAGAGATTTCAGCCAGGAAGGAGCACACAGGGAGCTTTTAACATGCCAGTGATATTTGTTACTCAAGCTTGACAGGTGAATATCCACATGTATACACCTTTGTTTACTTATTCTTTAAAAAATACATATATGTATTACATTCTCTTGTTTATGATACATTCTATAATAAAAGATATTTTAAGTAGTAAGTGAATTCCTGTTTAAAATCAGTGAAATTGTTTTAACATCTTGAAAAACTAAAGGAACACCCAAAATATTCTTAATAATTTTATGCCTGCAAATGTGAAAAGTTATGGCAAATTCTGTATAATACACCAGGGATGACACAAGAAGAAACAGAAGATACAAATAATCCTGTAGTTATTTTAAAAGCTGGATCGATAATTTAAAACCTTCCTACAGGCCAAGTACGTTAGCTTACGCCTTATAATCCCAGCACTTTGGGAGGCTGAAGCAGGAGGATCACTTGAGCTCAGGAGTTTGAGACCAGCCTGAGTAGTATAGCAAGACCTTCCCCCACCACCCCCTCCATGCCTCCATCTCTACAAAAATATTAAAAAAAACATATATATATATACACACACACAAACACACACACACACACAAATTAGCCAGGTGTGGTGGCACACACCCGCAGTCCCAACTACTCGGGAGGCCGTGGGAGAATCACTTGGGCCCAGGAGGCATAGGTTGCAATGAACTGTGATCACACCACTGCATTCCAGCCTGGGTGACACAACAAGACACTGTCTCAAAAAACCAAAACCAAAACAACAACAACAACAAAACATCACTTGAATATTCTAAGGGACTGTCTTTAAAAAATAATTTTTTCTCTTCCTTTTACATTTCTGTATTTTCCAAAGCTTCCATGGGTATATTACATTTTTAACACTTTATCATATTTTATATAATTCACATGCCATAAAATTGTACAACCATCACCACTAACTAATTCCAGAACATTTTCACCACACCAATAAGAAACCTATACCATTAGTAGTCACTGCCCATTCCCCTACCCCCAGCCTCTAGCAACCACTAATCTACTTTTTGTCTCTACATATTTGCCAAATGGAATCATACAATATGGTAATTTTTTTGTCTGGCTTCTTTCACTTAGAATAATGTTTTCAAGGTTTATCCATGATGTAACATGAGTCAATACTTCATTCTTTTATGGCTGAATAATATTCAATTATATGAATAATAATCACATTTGATATATCCATTCATCCATTGATAGACATTTGAATTGTTTCTACTTTTTGGCTATTATAAACAATGCTGCTATGAACATTTTTGTACAAGTTTTTGTGGGGACATATGTCTTCAATTCTCTCGGGTAGAAATCTAGGAGTGAAAATGCCGGCTGGGTGGATTATTTTTATAATTTTACAAAGAGAATTGTCTTTTAGTGGAAAATGTTGAGTTTTAGTGCCACCAAACTCAGGACCACACAAATTCTTTTTCCTGCCACAGAGGACAAGGTATTAATGAAGAGAAGACACTCATTATGAAAAGAAAAAGATTATTCACCTATTTCACAAACCATCAGTCTCTACCAGGCATTTTAGGCATTTATCATAGTAAGATTTAATCACATTATTATCAGGATGTGAGAGTGGACACATTAATAAAATTAGGCTGTAAGCTGTCTAAAATTTCTATATTGATCAGCAAAGCTAAGATAATATTTCTGCATATATTCACATTTTGTTCATGTTTTTTTTCAGTTTTCAAGTGACAGCTAGATTTTATCACTTGATCTGTAAAACTACTTCACAAATTCAATCAGCATAACTTAAACATTTACTATACCAATGCAGGAAATAGCAAAACTATACAATGCTAATAATTAATATGACCTTCCTTCTGCTTTCAGGAAAAACAGGTTAAGCAAGCCACTTAAAAATCCTAACATCAGAATCAACCTTCTGACCAAATACTCTTTTTATTCTTCTAATTGTGCCTTGAAGCTTTTAGGTGTATTTTCCTGCACACTAAGCTACATTTGTTCAATAATCCATTTGGCCCAAGAAAGATAAAGTACTGATTTCATATGCAAACTATGCTGAAGCCACACGTTCTAATAAACCAGAAACTCTGTATTTATAACTCATGTTATAAATTTATTCTTGCTCAGTTGTATTCCAATAACATTACAGTTATCTATCTAACTGCTAAGAAAAAGTAGAACCCTCTTATGTCACAGTTTATAATGTAAAGTGTGGACTTTTGAGATACCTATCTTCAGATCCTATCTCAAATACTTACCAGCTGTGTGACGCTTGCCAAATTACTTAACCTTTCTGAATCAGTTTCCTAATAAAATATGCCTAAAGCTACATACCATTTTGAAGTTGCTGTGAGAAATAAAAGCAAGTTTGGCATAAAGCATGTACTCAGTGAATGGTAACAGCTGCTGCTGCTCTT
Organism: Homo sapiens; assembly: GCF_000001405.40. Lineage (NCBI taxonomy): Eukaryota > Metazoa > Chordata > Mammalia > Primates > Hominidae > Homo > Homo sapiens. The sequence goes on along the minus strand of NC_000012.12, from coordinate 64,789,849 downwards.
ATTATCAATTTTCAGTATTAAATTGGTTATACCATGGTTATCCTTAAATGGTTAAATATAGGGGAAAAAAAAGTATGATCTTCTATAATACAATATTGATCTTGTTTTTCTTATTCCCAGCCCAGTTTTAAAACAAGGAGATACTACTATAAGGCTTGGTGTAGGAAACCATAAAATGTAAGTAGCTATGTCATTTGTGTTAGAAATAAAAATGATCTAGCCATTTTGGTTCATTAATTATATTTACTTGTGACTCTTATTTCAAAATTACTATATTCCCTTTTGTGTATTAACAAGAAATAACCCAGTTTAATAAAACAATAAAATAGTTTTTATTCTATAGCATGTTATAGAAGGAGAAAAATATGTCAGGTGAGGTGGCTCACACCTGTAATCCCAGCATTTTGGGAGGCCATGGAGGGCAGATTGCTTGAGCCCAGGAGTTCAAGACCAGCCTGGGTAACATGGTGAAACTGTGTCTCTACAAAAAATACAAAAATTAGCTGGGCATAGTGGCACCCACCTAAGTTCCAGCTACTCGGGAGGATGAGGTAAGAGGATCGCTTGAACCCGGGAAGCAGAGATTGCAATGAGCCAAGACTGCAGCACTGCACTCCTGGGCCTGGGCGACAGAGTGAGACTCTGTCTCCAAAAAAAAAAAAAAAGAAGAAGAAGAAGGAAGAAGAAGGGGAAAAGTCACTTATGCAAAGAATCATAAGCATCAAATCTATGTGGAGGCCAAAATGGGGATTATCTGAACTTCTGCAAACTAAATACAAGAAAGTCAATATGTTATTCAGTGTGATAGTGAAATCTCAGTTTTTTTAAAAAATCTCAATTCTTTAGAATTAGTTGACTTTGAGGAAAGAGGCAAAACATGCAACTACTGGAATCAGGGATTTAGTCATGAAATATCTAACCTCTGGAGTTTTAAGATGGGTAAATAACCATGTAGTCAAATTTTTGACAGTGTCTATATCAAAATACAGTATCCTGTGATGAAAGTAATAATTCTAATGCAGTTATTTCTTACCAAAAAACATTCTGTTCCATTGAATAGGGTCTTATTAGCAAAGAGAGAATTGAACTCTCAGGAAAGGTGCCAGACAACCCTGTATTCTCTGAAATGCAAAACCCTGGCTGGAATTAAAGAGACAAACTCTAAAATACATAGGAAGGATGCATTGACAAATTCATGAATTACGGTGAGCGCTTGTGGGCACATTTTTCTAAAATGACATAAATGCCAGTCCTTATATAAATCAAGTAAATTTAAATTCCAAATGATAATCAGTCCCTAGTAACTAACAATAGAATCCACCAATCTGTGACCCTGGACTAACCTGATATACCTCTCTATCTCCTGAACTTGTTCCACCCTCCCTTATACTTTCCCACACATCAAAAACCCATGCATTTACCATTCTGTGCTTTCAGCTGCTGGTACAAACAATAATAATGAGTAGGATATAAACATAGTTGAAAGGAGAAGAATCAAAACCAAGGTATCTCATAATAGAAGGGGAAAATATTTTTTAACTTGACATGTGTAAATCAATCAGAATTAATGGAAAACTATCAAATACTTATAATACATGCCACCTTTCAATAGCTACACACAAATCACACACACACACACACACACACACACACACACCCCTACACACCCTTCTTCCTTCTCTAGCTATGTCAGACAAGTGCTTGACTCTGGAGAAAAGCCTATTCAAAGTCAGTCTACTCAATCGCATTCCTGTTTGTATGAACGACAGTGATATTATTATGATAATCAAGCAGCACTCTTTCTTTTTTTTTTTCTGAGACAGAGCCTCACTCTGTTGCCCAGGCTGGAGTGCAGTGGCGCAATCTTGGCTCACTGCAACCCCCGCCTCCTGGGTTCAAGTGATTCTCCTGCCTCAGCCTCCTGAGTAGCTGGGATTACAGATGTGTCACCACACCCAGCTAATTTTTATATTTTTAGTAGAGATGGGGTTTCACCGTGTTGGCGAGGCTGATCTCGAACTCCTAACCTCAGGTGATCTGCCCACCTTGGCCTCCCAAAGTGCTGGGATTATAGGCGTGAGCCGCCATGCCCGGCCTGCAGCAATCTGTTAATATCTATTAGGTAAAACCTTCTTTAATAAACAGCATAAATAATACTTTAGGGATAACAAACAGCAATATAATAGAAGAGAAGCAAGAAAATACAGGATTTTCTTTTAATAATAAACATAAGAATGAAATTTAAGCGATTAATTTCATTACCAGAAACTAATCAAACCCCAAAAATTGTTTCATGAAAGCAAACACATCTTAATTTGCAATTTTGAAAAAAAAGCACTCTAGGAGGTGTCAATTTACGTACAAAATGTGACAGAGTGAAAGAGCAACAAAAGGCAACTTCCACAATCGCCTGAAAAGCTGTCACAGGCATTTTATCAAAAACATCATTGTACCTATATTTACCATACCTGAGCATACTGTTCTGCCATGCTGCATGTTAATAAAGAATGCAAAACAAAAATAGTTAAATGTTAGCAGAATAAAACATAAGGCTATTGCATGGAGAATTTTAAAATTAATTCACAAGGTTTTATACCTAGTATTTAATGTGTATCAGCAATTTAACAATTTATTTTTAATTGATTAACAAACCACACAGCTCCCACACAGCTCTTAGTTATGATTATGCAAGAGATAGGTTACATTTGCTAAACTATGTTGCCATCTTCAGATTTCAGAGCAAGTTGTTAAGGTCCTGTTACAAGAATCGATTTCTTTAAATCAATTATTTAATTCACTTACTGTAGCAACACAGAATAAGAGAAAAAGGACATGCCTTTTAGGTTATGTCTGTGTGATGCTGTTTTATTTATTTATTTTTATTTTTATTTATTTATTTTTTTTTTGAGATGGAGTTTCGCTCTTGTCGCCCAGGCTGGAGTGCAATGGTGCGATCTCGGTTCACTGCAACCTCTGCCTCCCAGGTTCAAGTGATTCTCCTGCCTCAACCTCCTGAGTAGCTGGGACTACAGGTGCCAGCCACCACGACCAGCTAATTTTTAGTAGAGATGGGGTTTCACCATGTTGGCCAGGCTGGTCTCAAACACCTGACCTCAGGTGATCCACCAGCCTCGGCCTCCAAAAGTGCTGGGATTATAGGTGTGAGCCACCACACCCAGCCAGTGATGCTGTTTTAAAAATAAAAATTTGTCCAGGCGCAGGGGCTCACGCCTGTAATCCCAGCACTTTGGGAGGCCAAGAAGGGTGAATCACCTGAGATCAGGAGTTTGAGATCAGCCTGACCAGCCTGACCAGCAAGGTGAAACCTCGTCTCTACTAAAAATACAAAAATTAGCCAGGCCTGGTGGCGGGCGCCTGTAGTTCCAGCTACTCAGGAGGCTTAGACAGGAGAATTGCCTGAACCTGGGAGGCGGAGGTTGTATTCAGCCAAGATTACGCCACTGCACTCCAGCCTGGGTGACGGAGTGAGACTCTGTTTCAAATAAATAAATAAATAAATAAAATAAAATTGTAATCATCATTCAGCATTAGGTAAAATTATTGTCAAAGTAAAGTACTACTTCAAATCTAGAATAATAAATCTAAGGTTGTAACATTAGACATGAAGTATACATTTTAACTGAAAAATAGGAAACTGTCTGAGTTGTTCCTTGTTCTTAGTTCTGAGGGTATAAGCTTGCATTTAAAACTTCTCAATATATTCACAAACACAGACTGTTGGCTCAGCTTTCCTAACATTCTAGTTGCATGTGGCAAAAGAAGTAACCCAATTCCAGTACTTACTTCTCTTCTGTGACACAGCCTGCAAGCAGGCAGTCACAATATCACAGTTCCTCTGCACTTTATGCAGAAGCCTATCTTTCTGCTTCAGATGCCGAAGTAACTTGGCCGACTGGATGCCAATTCTGTACTTTAGCTCTCGAAGGATCGTCTTCAGTTCATTAGCGTCTATCAGTAAAGAAAAATAAGAATAACGATTAATACCTTGAGAGGAATACAAATTCCAGTGTGATATTAGTCCAAAGATAAATAGAACATCCATTTAAACCAACTAATTCTAGGTTTTCACTCAAGATTACATGTATGCATTCAGCTCGGACATTCCGATCAAATAAGTCACTCATTTATCTGCCCTGTCCATGAGACAGATACTGTAAGGTAAATTTATCCTTAAGCCTATCTGTAACATGGAGCAAAAACTCCTACTTTTACCATATCTAGCTCTGGCTGCAAATTTACTTTTCATTGCCTGAAAACTGGCATGTATATTTTGTACCACTGAAGTGTTCAGATGGTAAGCTTGCTAGAAAAGAATCTTTTTTAGTCTGTTACATTAATAATAAACCTAACAGCTAATTAAAAAAAAAAAAAAGTCTTTAAAGGCCAGGCGTGGTGGCTCACACCTGTAATCCCAGCACTTTGGGAGGCCAAGGAGGGCAGATTACCTGAGGTCAGGAGTTGGAGACCAGCCTGACCAACATGGAGAAACCCCATCTCTACTAAAAATACAAAATTAACTGGGAGTGGTGGCACATGCCTGTAATCCCAGCTACTCCAGAAGCTGAGGCAGAATTGCTTGAACCCGAGAGGAGGAGGCTGCAGTGAGCCAAGATCGCGCCATTGCACTCCAGCCTGGGCAACAAGAGCGAAACTCCGTCTCAAAGAAAAAAAAAAAAAAAAAGTCTTTAAAGTACTCATCTATGTTTACAAATGATGAGCTAAAAGTAAATAATTTTACCACATTTTGTAATGTAGATGAATGTGGCAATACTGATTTTGTTTTGAATATCCAGTCTTCCAATAGCCTAAAAACATTTTGTCTTAGAGGTACAATATTTCATCTTAGAGCCTCAGCAATTTTTCAAATATGGTAGAAAATAAATTTCCTTTACACAGATAAATTACAATAATTCTACATTCATAAAACTAATATTCACAACAGCAGTTTTTTTTTTTTTACTTTATTTTACTTTAAGTTCCAGGATACATGTGCAGAGTATGCAGGTTTGTTACAGGTATACATGTGCCATGGTGGTTTGCTGCACCCATCAACCCATCACCTAGGTTTTAAGCCCCACATGCATTAGGTATTTGTTCTAATGCTCTCCCTCCCCTTAACAGCAGTTTTTCTATAGGTCAAAACAAATTTGGGAACCAGAATTGTCTACTGTCTTTATATAAATGATCATTACGATTTGGGAGGAGGTTTTTTTTGGTCACATTTGATATGATTAGTCACTAGAGCATGATCTAGTAGGCAGGCAAAGCCTTCCACTCAACTTAACCTTAGCTAGCCCCCCATTAGAGGTTCTCTGTGGGGTTTGGATCTACTCATTTTTAAAGGGATATGGAGAAACTAAAGAGAATCAGAAGAGAAGAAAATAAATGCTCAAAAGTAGAAATGCACTCTAGAGATCAAAGTCAACTTTTGGGGTCTGTAACAAACAAATGCAGGGTTCTCAAACCTGACCTCACCATGGAAAATGCATTTGGCCCTGAGTTAAAAAGGACTGCTTTTGGATCAGCCAACTCTCTGAGTGATTTTTAGGCAAGGAAGTGTGCTCCAAGTCTCAAATTATGCCTAGCATACAGGATTATGCTGAGAAACAAATGGGTATGGTCTTTATAAACACTAACATAAATAACGCTTTAAGTAAAAATAAGGAATTACCATGAAGAAGAGGGCAAAGGCTAGTTCTTCCTGTCCCCCTAATTTTAAACATAGTAGGATATAATGAAAAGAGAACATTTAAGTTAAATGAAAATATGATTAAATATGAGAAAAAGCCTACAAGAGGCAACCAGAGGCTCTTCATTCCTAGATGCCTTCAGATAGAACAAACATCTTTCTCTGAATATTTCAATATTTTGGGCTGGGCACGGTGGCTCACACCTGTAATCCCAGCACTTCAGGGGGCCGAGGCAGGCAGATCACCTGAGGTCAGGAGTTTGAGACCAGCCTGACCAACATGGTGAAACCAAAGAACCAAATCAACATTTTCCTTCTAGAAATAAAAGGGGTAGGAATATAATCACAAAACATTTAAATTATACTTTTCCTCCACAAAAGGGTTCTTACATTATCTCATTTCCAGTGATCCCTAAGGTGCCTACAACTCCAGTTCTCTGAATTACATTTATTGTTCAATATGGGAAAATTTTTTCAGAGTTGAGGGTGAAAATGTCTTTTACAGCAATATCTGCTGGTATAGAAGCCTCTTGGGGATGGAAACAGGTCTCTTTCATCTTTGAATGCTCCATGACATCGGCCATAGCCTCTTACACAGTGTTAAATAACTGAGGAAAAATAAGGACATTGTCAACTCACAACCTGTGCTCAGTGTCCTAAGGAATTCCAGGGTATATGATAAAAAGTTATATCTAACATCTGTTGAGCACTTCATACACTCTAACTTATGTAATTCTCACCACAGCCCTCTGAGGTAGGTATTATTATTATCCCTATTTATAAGAAAGTGAGACACAGAGATGTTAAATAGCTTGTCCAAGGTCACACAGCTGGTAAGGAACTGCGGCCGGATATCAACCCAGGAGTCTGACTCCAAAATTCATCCCCTTAACCAAGGAAATACTGAAGAGAGCCCAGATGTCCTGAGAAACCATTCTGGTGCCTCACCTAAAGGACCTACACATGTTAAATATATAGCTAAATAAGTGCTACAGCAAAATCCCTGGCAGGGAGAGGAGACAATACACAGGCTATCAGTATTGTATGACATTCTTACTGAATGCAGAGTAGTTATATTGGGGGGAATATTTTTTGAGCCTGAGAAAAAGATCAAATAACCTGATAAGCAGCATTCTTTACGCAGACAGCTGTATCATCACCTGATACTTTAATCTTAGCACGCGAATGATGTTATCAATAAAGGGGAGAGGGAGCATGTTAGTGTGTGTATGTGTGCACACGTAAGCACGCATATGTGTGTATAGGACTATTATGATATGGCATTTTGTTCATCTTAATAGGGTTGACTACAAGGGAAGAAAGGTTTAACCAGCAACTAGCTATGCAATAAGACCGAACAGGCAAAACGAACTATTACAGGGCTTGTGGATGGTTAGTTGTGTGGCCACTCATATGAAATCCACTTGCATAGTTAGCTGTACCGTTACTACTTCTTTAAACTTTAGTCTGCCAATTTTCCTCTTCAAAAAGGAAATTACTAATCCCCAGAATTCCCTCGGTGATGAAAAATGTAAAACCTTGTAAAAAGAGAAATCATAATTCTTCAAAATTGATTCTGTTGGAGTCTGAAAGAACTATTGCCCTATGGGACTTGTGGCATACACAGACACTCTGAGAACAACCAAATAATTCTATAAAATGAAATGGCACAGCTACAGCCAAAGTCCCAGGCAGGGGGAGGAACCTGGAAGCTATCTGTAACAATCAGCTGGGGAAAAAAAAAAAAAATCTTCACTAGGAAGTCAAAAGAGGAAGCTAAAAGCTGTTTACGTAGGTCTGAGAAAGCAGACAGATTTATTCTTTTCCTAGGTTTTTTTTTTTTTTAATACAGTGAGGAGATGGGAGACTCTCCTTCCTCCCTCCCCTGGTAACTCAGCCCAAGGACATTACTGTCAAGAAATGTTATGGTGGCTCGGCATCTGTTTTCCATACGTCACCTCATTTTGTAAATGGAGGTCTTGATATTTCTATACCAAAAAAGACAACTCTAATAACTGTGTTACTGCCTGAAAGGCAAGCTATTATGACCAGATGAAAAAAAAAAGTGTGACACGAGCTCAAGACACGAGCATCAGAGTCTCATAACAAAAGAAACACCAAATTAGCCTCTCTCCCTGAAAGCCAAGGCCATTTTCTCAGGTCGACCTCTCCATGCCAACTGAAGGTACCAGCAGTTAAATTCTGTAATAAACCTCAACACTCTAGGGCCCTCCACTAACCTGCCACCGAGAAGGAAAAAAAGAAAACAAAACAACAACAACAAAAATTCCTAGTGAGCTGCCTGGAACCGTACGCTCTGGCAGAAATAGAATTCACACGCTCTGCTTCGAAACCGCATTATCGAATTATTCTGCCTCACTAGTTAAACACTAAGTGGTGTGACCAGAGAAGGCGGACTTTAAAAACAAAAAAACAAAAAAAAAAAAAGGAAAGAACAGCCCTACGACTCGCCTCGATTCTGGCGGCGCCCTCTAGGTAGGTCAGGTATACGTATCAGAACCTCCAACCCTGTCCTAACAGCTGTTCAGGTGAAATTAGAATCTGGGCTGCCTCTCCCCTGGGGCCTCCGCGAACACACCGGGAGATGGGAGGAGGGAAGAGCGGGGAAACTGCCCACTCCATCAACTGACGCTTGATTCAATTACTCCGGAGAACTTAAGAACTAAGTGTGGACATAAATCTGTGCCACGGTGGGTACCACCGTCAGATCCAAAGAGACAGTATCTGAGCGCTCCGCCGAGCAGCCCAGGTGCGCGCTGGAGCGCGGGCAGAGACGGCGAGGACAACCCGGCTCCAGGAAGCCCCCGGGACCCTGCTGCGCCCGGCCCTCACCTTTCTGCCGCAGGTACAGCATCTGATGCCGCTGGCTCGGTCGCTCCTGCAGCTCCTGCAGCACGCGGGAGTCGCCGGCACCGCTGCGGCCGCCCAGGACCACGTCGGAGCCCGAGGCCTCGGTGGAGCTGTCGAGGCTGTCGCGGCGCCGCCGGCGGCCCTCGGCCCCGCGGCCCCCGCCCGCCGCCTCCTCCTCCTCTGTGCAGCTGTACAGCTCGTTGAGCAGCCCGCTCACCAGGGACGCCGTGCGGCTTGTGCGGCCGCCGCACGCCTCGCCGGGCTCCGTGTCCTCATCGCCGTCCCACGTGTCCCGGGAGCGCCGCGGCCGCTCCGCCGCTCCCCGGAGGCGCGGGGCTGGGGGAGCTGCAGGAATCGTTTCTTCCTCCTGACTCTCCAGCCTCGCCTCGCCACCGCCGCCGCGGAATTCCAGCTCCGTCCGGAGCCCCGGGCGGCCCCCGCCGGTGGGAAGGACGTCCATGGTCCCCGGCGCGCGGCTGCCCGGCTCCCGCTGCTCCTCCCGCCTCGCGGCGCCGGCCAGTTCCGGGAGGAGGCGCGGCTTCGTCCTCGCCGGTGGTGCCCTCCCGGGCGCGGCGCCAGCGGGCTCTGGATCCCCGAGGTGCCCGGGCCTCCCCCGAGCCGGCACCTGAGCCGCTCCCCTCCGCTCCGGACCGGGCGAGAAGGAGACTGCCACGCCACTGAGCTACCTGGGGCCACCTGCTGCCCGGGCCCGGCCTCTACCCAGAGCGCTCTCCCGTGCGCGAGAAGGCGCAGGACGTGGCCAGAACACCGTTGGGAAGAAGCCAGCAGCACGGAGGGGGAGGGCGCTGAGGCCGCCGCCACCTTCACTTTTAATTAAGCACGTGATTTAACTCAAAAAGAGGGTGACTCTTGCCTCTTATTCAGCCGCCAGCTAGAAATAATGCCCAGGAGGGTTCTAAACGCCCATCAATAGGCCCAGGCCAGGAGCTCCTTCTTGACATACTCGGAACACAATACCAGCCCTTCTCACTTTCCCACCTGATCTGAGCGCCTTCAAAAGCCTTCTTAGTTTAGTCTCTGACAATAAGCTTTCTAAAACTCTGAACACCTGGCAAATATCTGGGACTTAATAACGCTGTGAACTTTTTTCCTCCAGTGAAAACCAAAGCACTGGATTAAAATCAACTAATTCCCTGATACAAGATGTAACCAGAGTGAGGGTTTAATAAATGTTCTTGAGATGACCGAACTGATACATTAATTGAGCTAGTTTTGATGATGGTAGAATCAAAAATTTACAAGATACTGTGAGAGATGTATCTTACACTAGACCTCAATAGAACTCGGAACTGCCGCTCCACTGTAGATATTTTTGTGAAGTTAATAATTGGCAACATGTTTAGCGCTTTTTGTATGTCAGGCACTGTTCTTAGAGATTTGCATGAATTATCCCACTTAATCCTCACTTTAACCCTATAAAGCAGTTAAGTGTCGTTATATTCTCACTTTTCAGCTGAGGGAGCTGAGGCACGAAGAGGCTAAATAACGTGTCCATTCACAAAGAATAAAGTGAACTTTTCATAAAGTGTCTGGCTTTCATTATGGATGAATATATATTAGTCAAATGCTATTAAATACTTGACCACACTTCCAAAAGGGGCAACAACACACCTGGTGAACAACACTGGTGTTTCGTGTTTGTTCAGCACAGTTTTGTCTTCCAAGGCACTTTCATAATAGAGCCTGACCCTGCCGGTAGAAATCTGGTGTACCTTGACACCAGCACTGCAATAAAAGGGCCCTTTTTGAAACTGGAGTTAATATGAGACAAGCAGAAGTTGTACTTTTCGCTTAGGTATTCGGAATTTTAAATTATACTGGAAATATTATTTTATGGTTTTATAACTATATTAATGACTATTGTTACCATTTAATGTTTAAATGTATGAAATGAGAGTAGAATTCATTATTATATTGCTGTTTTGTTTTTTGAGGTCTTTTTCCCTGTTGTCCCTGGCATTCAACGAGTTCCAAGTCCTCCTTCGTATGCCAAACTTTGCAATGAGCAGGACTTTCAGAGGAGTAAACACTGAAATTGGACCTATTTTTTTAATTGGCTTCCCAGCCCTTTTTATCTCTTCCCCCTAAGAAGAGATGTGATTAACTGTTAGTCTTCAGCACTATTCTCATTTAGGGAATCTCCATCAGGAATTACAGGTAAAGAAACTCAAAGTGAGCTGAAGGGAAAAAAGAGACCAAGAAAACAATAGGTTATTGACATTCAACATTTCTAAGTTAATAAGAACTTCAAAATTATTTCCCATTCCCCATCATTACCAAATCTAAAGAGAGGAAAATGGCAAACTAAAAACTAACAAGGAAAGCACGCTTAAGATCATTGTACTTATGGAATGATCTTCCCCTAGATATTGGCATGACTCTGCTCTCACCAAGTCTCGTCTCTGCTTAAATGTCTTCTCTGTGAGCCGGGCGCGATGGCTCACACCTGTAATCCCAGCACTTTGGGAGGCCGAGGTGGACGGATCATGAAGTCAAGAGATCGAGACCATCCTGGCCAACATGGTGAAACCTCGTCACTACTAAAAATACAAAAATTAGCTGGGTGTGGTGGCCCATGCCTGAGAATCACATGAACCCAGGAGGCGGAGGTTGCAGTGAGCCGAGATCACGCCACTGCATTCCAGCCTGGGTGACTGAGTGAGACTCCATCTTAAAAAAAAAAAAAAAAAAAAAAAAAGGCTTCTCTGTGAATCACTCCATAACCACCCTATTTGACATTGCAGCTCCCCATCCCCCAGGTTTTCCTTAGTTCTCTTCCTTGTTCTTTTTTTTCCCATAATACCCTCTTCCCACATACTACAGTATATAATCTACTGATTTATTTTGTTATCTGTCTTTTGCCACTAAAATGTAAGCTTCCGAGCGCAGGAATTTTGTCTATTTTGTTCATTGATATATGCCCATCACTTAGAACAATCCCTGGCACATTGTAACTGCTCAATAAATATTTGTTTAATTAACTAATTGAATGAATACCATGAAAACCAGAGAAAAAAACAACCAATTACCTACTTTCCTAAGAAAAGTTAACTTTAGTAAATATAATCCTAGAAGCGGTATTGGCAAAGGACAGCCGCTTTTCTCACCCTACACTACTGCCACCAGGAAACTGGCAGGCCCCACACAAGTTCCCTGAAGCTCTGGATATAAGAAAGAACCACTGATGGCTGGGTGCAGTGGCTCACGCCTGTAATACCAGCACTTCAGGAGGCCAAGGCAGGTGGATCTCTTGAGAGCAGGAGTTTGAGAACAGCCTGGCCAACATGGCGAAACCCCATCTCTACTAAAAAAATACAAAAATTAGCCAGATGTGATGGCACACACCTGTAATCCCAGCAACTTGAAAGGATGAGGCATGAGAATCACTTGAACCTGGTAGGCAGAGGTTGCAGGGAGCTGAGATTGCACCACTGCACTCCGGCCTGGGCAACAGAGCAAGACTCCTTTTTGGTTCCATATGAATTTTAAAATAGTTTTTTCTAGTTCTGTGGAGAATGTCAATGGTAGTTTAATGGGAAAAGCATTGAATCTATAAATTGCTTTGGGCAGCATGGCCAATTTAATGATATTGATTCTTCCTATCCATGAGCATGGAATGTTTTTCCATTTGTTTGTGTCATCTCTGATTTCTTTGAGCAGTGGTTTGTAGTTTTCCTTGTAGAGATCTTTTACCTCCCTAGTTAGCTGTATTACTGGGTATTGTATTTTTTTGTGGCAATTGTGAATGGGAGTTCATTCCTGATTTGGCCCTTGGCATGACTGTTGTTGGTGTTTAGGAATGCTAGTTATTTTTGCACATTGATTTTGTATCCTGAGACTTTGCTGAAGTTGTTTATCAGCTTAAGAAGCTTTTGGGCTGAGATGATGGAGTTTTCTAGATATAGGACCATATCATCTGCAAACATGGATTGTTTGACTTCCTCTCTTCCTATTTGAATGCCCTTTATTTCTTTCTCTTGCCTGATTGCCCTGGCCAGAACTTCCAATACTATGTTGAATAGGAGCAGTGGGAGAGGGCATCCTTGTATTGTGCCTGTTTTCAAGGGGAATGCTTCCAGCTTTTGCCCTTTCAGTAGGATATTAGCTGCGGGTTTGTCATATATGGTTCTTACTTTTTTGAGGTATGTTACTTCAATACCTAGTTTATTGAGAGTTTTTAACATGAATGGATGTTGAATTTTATCGAAAGCTTTTTCTGCATCTGTTGAGATAATCGTGTGGTTTTGCCTTTAGTTCTGTTTATGTGATGAATCACATTTATCGATTTGTGTATGTTCAATTAACCTTGCATCCCAGGGATGAAGCCCACTTGGTCCTGGTGAATGAGTTTTTTGATGTGCTGCTGGATTCAGTTTGCCAGTATTTTGTTGAGGATTTTTGCATCAATGTTCACCAAGGATCTTGGCCTGAAGTTTTTTTGTAGTTGTTGTATCTCTGCCAGGTTTTGTTTCAGGATGATGCTGGCCTCATAGAATGAGTTAGGGAGGAGTCCCTTCTTTTCAACTTTTTGAAATAGTTTCAGTGGGAATGATATCAGCTCTTTTTTGTACATCTGCTAGAATTCAGCTGTGAATCCATCTGGTCCTGGGCTTTTTTTGGTTGTTAGGCTATTTATTACTGCCTCAATTTCAGAACTCATTATTGGTCTGTTCAGGGACTGAATTTCTTCCTGGCTCAGTCTTAAAAGGGTGTATGTGTCCAGAAATTTATCCATTTCTTTTAGATTTTCTAGTTTATGTGCATAGATGTATTCATACTATTCTATGATGGTTGCTTGTATTTCTGTGTGTTCAGTGGTAATATTCCCCTTACCATTTTTCACTGTGTTTATTTGAATCTTCTCTGTTTTCTTCGTTAGTCTACCTAGTGGTCTATCTATCTTATTAATTTTTTCAAAAAAAACTAGCTCCTGGATTCATCTTTTGAATGATTTTTCATGACTATCTCCTTTGTTCACCTCTGATTTTGGTTATTTATTGACTTCTGCTAGCTTTGGGATTTGTTTGCTCTTGCTTCTCTATTTGTTTTAGTTGTGATATTAGGTTGTTAACTTGAGATCTGATGAGGGTGTTTAGTGCTATAAATTTCCCTCTTAACACTGCCTTAGCTGTGTCCCAGAGATTCTGGTATGTCATATCTTTGTTCTCATTAGTTTCGAAGAGCTTCTTGAGTTCTGCCTTAATTTCATTTATTTACTCAAAAGTCATTCAGGAGCAGGTTATTCAATTTCCATGTAATTGTACAGTTTTGAATGAATTTCCTAATCTTGAGTTCTAATTTGATTGCACTGTTGTCTGAGATATTGTTATGATTTCAGGTCTTTTGCATTTGCTGAGAGGTGTTTTACTTCTGATTATGTCACTGATTTTACAGTAAGTGCCACGTGGCAATGAGAAGAATGTATATTCTGTTGTTTTCATGTGGAGAGTTCTGTAGATATCTATCAGGTCCATTTGATCCAGTGCTGAGTTCAGGTCCTGAATATCTTTGTTAATTTTCTTTCTTGATGATCTGTCTAATATTGTCAGCAGGTGGTTAAAGTCTCTCACTATTATTGTGTGGGACTCTAAGTCTCTTTGAAGGTCTCTAAGAACATGCTTTATGAATCTGGGTATTCCTATGTTGGGTGCATATACATTTAGAATAGTTAGGTCTTCTTGTTGAATTGAACCCTTTACCATTATATAATGCCCCCTTTGTCTTTTTTTATCTTTGTTGGTTTAAAGTTTGTTTTGTTAGAAACTAGGATTGCAACCCCTGCTTTTTTCTGTTTTCTATTTGCTTTGTAAATTTTCCTCCATCCCTTTATTTTGAGCCTATGTGTGTCATTGCACATGAGATGGGTCTCTTGAAGACAGCATACCACTAGGTCATGGTTCTTTATCCAACTTGCCATTCTGTGTCTTTTAATTGGGCATTTAGCCCATTTACATTTAAGGTTATTATTGATATGTATACATTTGATCCTGTCATCATGATGTTGTTAACTGGTTATTTTGCAGGCTGGTTTATGTAGTTGTTTTATAGTGTCACTGCTTTGTGTACTACAGTGTGTTTTTGCAGTGGCTAGTAACAGTCTTTTCCTTCCATATATATCTATATCTATATCTATATATATATATTTTTTTTTTTTTGAGACACAGTCTCACTCTGTCACCCAGGCTGGAATGCAGTGGTGCAATCTCGGCTCACTGCAACCTCTGCCTCCTGGGTTCAACCAATTCTCATGCCTCAGCCTCCCAGGTAGTTGGGATTACAGGTGTGCAACATGACACCCAGCTAATTTTTGTATTTTTAGTAGAGACGGGGATTCACCATGTTGCCCAGACTGGTCTCAAACTCCTGGCCTCAAGTAATGTGCCCACCTTGGCCTCCCAAAGTGCTGGGATTACAGACATGAGCCACCATGCCCGGCCTTCTTTCCATATTTAGTGCTTCCTTCAGGAGCTCTTGTAAGGCAGGTCTGGTAGTAATGAATTCCCTCAGCATTTGCTTGTCTGAAAAGGATCTTATTTCTCCTTCGTTTATGAAGCTTAGTTTGGCCAGATATGAAATTCTGGGTTGAAAATTATTTTCTTTAAGAATTCTGAGTGTTGGCCCCCAATCTCTTCTGGCTTATAGGTTTTCCTCTGAGAGGTCTGTTGTTAGTCTGCTGGGCTTCCCTTTGTAAGTGACCTGGCTTTTCTCTCTAGGTCCCCTTAACATTTTTTCTTTCATTTTGACCTTAGGGAATGTGTTAATTATGTGTCTTGGGGATGACCTTCTCATGGAGTATCTTACTGGGGTTCTCTGCATTTCCTGAATTTGAATGTTGGCCTGTCTAGCTAGGTTGGGGAAGTTCTCAGGGATGATATCCTGAAATGTGTTTTCCAAATTGGTTCCATTTGCCCCATCTCTTTCAGGTACACCAATCAGTCAAAGATTCAGTCTCTTTACATAATCTCATATTTCTCAGACGTTTTGTTCATTCCTTTTCATTCTTTCTTCTCTATTCTTGGCTGCCTATCTTATTTCAGAAAGACATTCTTCAAGCTCTGAGATTCTTTTCTCTGCTTGATTATGCTATTAATACTTGTGATTGCATTATGAAATTCTTACAGTGTGCTTTTCAGCTCTGTCAGGTTGGTTACATTCTTCTCCACTCTGGCTATTTTGTCTGTCAGCTCCTATGATGTTTTATCATGATTTTTAGCTTCCTTCCATTGGGTTACAATATCCTCCTTTAATTCAGTGAAGTTTGTTCCTATCCATATTCTGAATTCTACTTCTGTCATTTCAGCCATCACAGCCTTGGCCTGGTTCCAAACCCTTGCTGGAGAGGTGATGCAGTCATTTGGAGGAAAGAGGGCATTTTGCCTTTTTGAGTTTTCAGCATTCTTGTGCTGATTCTTTCTCATCTTTATGGGATTATCTATTTTCAATCTTTGAGGTTGCTGACCTTTGGATGGTTTTTGTTTTTGTTTTAACAGCTTGATCACTTTTCTGTAGGGCTGCTGTGGTTTGCTGGCAGCCTGGTCCCAGTCACCTTGGGTTTTCCAGTACCTGGAAGTATCACCAGTGAAGGCTGTAAAACAGCAAAGAGGGCAGCCCACCCCTTCCTCTGAGAGCTCCATCCCAGGGAAGTGCACACCTGTTGCTGGCTCAAACACACCTGTAGAAGGTGGCTGAAGACCCCAGTTGGGAGATCTCACCCAGTCAAAAGGAAGGGGATCAGGGACCCACTTAAAGAAGCAGTCTGGCCATGCTTTTGTAGAGCAGCCATGCTGTGCTGGGATATACTTCCTCTCCCAGTTGGCTTGGGCTCTTCAACACCTAGAGGCTGGAATGGCTAGGTCACCCAAATAGCAAAGATGGTAGCTCACCCTGCCCTTTAGGAACTTTGTCCTAGGAAGTTTTCAAATCTCTGTTGGCCAGAGAACACTGGCAGGGGTGGCTGGAGGCCCCAGTTGAGAGGTCCTGCCCAGTGAGGAGGAACAGATCAGCGACTCACTTAAAGAAGCAGTCTGGCCATGTTTTGGTAGAACAGCTGTGCTGTGCTGGGGGATCCCTTCCACCCTCAGTTGGTTTGGACTCTCCAAAGCCCACAGGGTAGAATGGCTGAGTTTTGCAAACAGCAAAGATGCAGCCCCAATTTTAGTACTTTTTAAAGCCATCAAACCTTAGACAGAATTTAGGAAATGCATATTAATACACAGTAGACAGTGAGTAAACTATTAATGCAGAATGATATTCAAGTCATGATGCTTACAGGAATTGTGGGTATCTAGTTTACTACTTAATTATTATTACACAAGATTCCAAGTGACAGAGTATAACCTTTCCTTTGCAATAGTAGAAAGAAAGTTTATGGCTGCTCAATACATATCAGCTAAAAATTAAGCCTCTGTCTCTCATCTGTATTAAAGTGATTTTCTTTTTTTAGAGACAGAGTCTTGCTATATTGCCCAGGCTGATCTCAAACTCCTGGCACAGTGACATTGTTTTAAAAGAACTGATGTAGGCCAGGCGCAGTGGCTCACGCCTGTAATCCCAGCACTTTAGGAGGCCGAGGCAGGTGGATCATGAAGTCAGGAGTTCAAGACCACCCTGGCCAACATGGTGAAACCCCATCTCTACTAAAAATACAAAAATGAGCTAGGCACGGAGGCAGGCGCCTGTAATCCCAGCTACTTGGGAAGCTGAGGCAGAAGAATTGCTTGAACCGGGGAGGCGGAGGTTGCAGTAAGCCGAGATTGCGCCACTGCACTCCAGCCTGGGCGACAGAGTGAGACTCTGTCTCAAAAAAAATAAATAAAGGAAGTGATGTGCCTATTGTACCAGCACTTGAATGGCCACCAACAAAGTCTGGTTAATATCAATTGACTAAGCCATTTTGTCTAATTGGTTGTCTAGTGCCTCTTCCAACATGAATGCTTTCTGCTGGGCATAAGCATGTGATACAAAGATCTTCATACTTTGTGCCTATTCCTTTTTTTTTTTTTTTTTTTTTGAGACAGAGTTTCACTCTTGTTGCCCAGGCTGGAATGCAATGGCACGATCTCGGCTCACCACAACCTCCTCCTCCTGGGTTCAAGCGATTCTCCTGCCTCAGCCTCGGGCATGTGCCACCACGCCCAGCTAATTTTTGTATTTTCAGTAGAGACAGGGTTTCTCCATGTTGGTCAGGCTGGTCTAGAACTCTCGACCTCAGGTGATCCGCCTGCCTCAGCCTCCCAAAGTGCTGGGATTACAGGCATGAGCCACTGCGCCTGGCCATTTTGTGCCTATTCCTGTATGTTCATCCACGTGCCACAACCCCAGACCTCCCTTTCTCCAATCTTCTGATCTTCTTCCTTCCAGGCTCATGACCAGTCAGCCAATGCCATTCACCACTGCCAGTGAGTCCATATATATTCTAATCTCAGACCACTTTTCCTTCCACACAAACTGAATGGTCAGGTGTACCACCCAAAGCTCTTCCTGTTACTATGTTGTTGTTTTTTTAAACTACTATGATTCAAGGCCAATGCTGAGTGATTGCAGCTATCATCCATTTCTACCTTGCACCTATAAACCATGCTGTTTTGTCTATAAACCAAGTTGGGGCTTTTTCCTCCTCCTTCAGCTGGTCATACAGGCCCTTGGACGTGAGCTGAGAGAGAAGCAGTGGTGTAACTATGACTAGTGATATGGGAGTCTGGGCTACCTATTCATGCACTTGTTTGTTGCCCTCTGGTCCTGCTTGTGCTTGTTCCCAAATGCAGTGTTTTAGCTTACAAAGGATTAATGCTGGTCCTGACCAACTTAATGACTTGGTAGATCCAGGAGAACCTAACTCATGATGAATAGTTCAGAAAGCATGGTCATTTGGTGCCTCGTGGATAAGAGTTCCATCTCGATCTGGGCTCAGTACACTAGAAGCTGTTTTTCAAATGGTGTGTAATTCCTGCTATAGATGTCATGACCTTGCCCCAAAACCCTATGGGCCTGCCTTGTGATCCTCCTATTGGGGTTTGCACCACATTGCATCTTACACACGGAATACCTTAGGCTCTGCTGGAGTATATGGCCCAAGCAGAAGGGCTACTTGAACCACAGCTAGGACCTGCTACCAGGATGGGCTTCATGGATATGTTGTACAGAACCCCACTCTCAGAAGGTCTTTACTCCTGGTTTAATGCTGTATTATCACCATCTTGAAATGGTGAACAATTTTGTTTTTAAATTTGGTGTTTTGGCCGGGCGTGGTGGCTCACGGCTATAATCCCAGCACTGGGATCTGCTGAGGTGGGCAGATCATGAGGTCAGGAGATTGAGACCATCTTGGCCAACATGATGAAACCCCATCTCCACTAAAATACAAAAAAAAAAAAAAAATTAGCTGGGTGTGGTGGCATTCGCCTGTAGTCCCAGCTACGTGGGAGGCTGAGGAAGGGGAGTCGCTTGAGCCCGGGAGGCGGAGGTTGCAGTGAGCTGAGATCGCACCACTGCACTCCAGCCTGGCGACAGAGCAAGACTCCGTCTCAAAAAAAAAAAAAAGAAGAAAAAGGAATTGGTGTTTTATAAGTGCAGTCATATGGGACAATGGCCACGTGCATGAGAAGTGGAATTATGCCAAGCTAGGAAGTCCAGCAGGCAGCACCAGGCACCATGCAGTTGTCACACGTGCACACCTAAGGGCAGTCATGGGCACTTAAGGGCCCCAAAGTAGCTAGGTGGGGACCAGTGCCAGTTGACAGCAGCAATAGCTGAGAAGCAGCAGCAGTGGTGACAGCAATAGGAGAGTAAAGGGATTCTGCATAAAGCCAGCCCTGGGACCTGCTGTGGAAGCCTAGCTTGCCTGGCTACTTCCCAAATCCCATCTTTGTGGCATTTGCACAAATCTTAATTTTCAGGCTTGAGAGATGGGACAGAAATTGCCAGTTCAGGCAGTACACACTGTCAGTAAATTGTTACCAAAAAAAAAAACAAAGCATACTCAGACATTGTAATAAACCATATCAGGGAACTATTACAATTCTTCAGAGTGTAGAGTCTCTACTTTTGAAAACTTCTGCAACATGGCAAATCAAATATCCACAGCTTTAGAAATATAAAGATGTTCACATTTGACAAAAAAGAACGCTATTTTCATAGGAAGTTTCAGATGAGCCTAGTATTAATTAAAATTACTTTTTCCTTATAATTAGAGATACGGTGATAGAATGTATAAATAAGCACTTTGAATCGTATAAAAGTTTGAAGCCATGGAGTTTTTCAAATGACCTTCAAAAGTTACTGGAAATGTCAAAGAAAATGTTACAATTTCATTGTTATGCCAGTTACAATTTTACAATTGCAAAATTACAATTTATACTTTACATTAAAAATTAAATTCAACTTAAAACTGATTTGTAGGGAGAGTTAAATATTTTTCAAAAAATTTTTCAGCCGAGCCCAGTGGCTCACACCTGTAATCCCAGCACTTTGGGAGGCCAAGGCAGGTGGGTCACAAGGTCAGGAGTTTGAGACCAGCCTGGCCAACATGGTGAAACCCTGTCTTTACTAAAAATACAAAAATTAGGCCAGGTGCGGTGGCTCACACCTGTAATCCCAGCATTTTGGGAGGCCAAGGCGGGCAGATCACGAGGTCAGGAATTCAAGACCAGCCTGTCCAAGATGGTGAAACCCCGTCTCTACTAAAAATACAAAAAAAAAAAAAAAAATAGCCCAGCGTGGTGGCATGTGCCTGTAATCCCAGCTACTTGGGAGGCAGAGGCAGAGAATTGCTTGAATCCGGGAGGTGGAGGTTGCAGTGAGCCGAGATCATGCCACTGCACTCCACCCTGGGCAACAGAGCAAGACTCCGTCTCAAAAAAAAAAAAAATTACAAAAATTAGCCGAGCGTGGTGGTGCACGCCTGTAATCCCAGCTACTCAGGAGGCTGAGGCAGGAGAATCACTTGAACCTGGGAGATGTAGGTTGCAGTGAGCCAAGATGGCACCATTACACTCTAGCCTGGGCAACAGAGTGAGACTCTGACTCAAAAAAAAAAAAATCTACAGGAATCATCAGTTCTACATGTACTAAAATTTCTTTCTAATTTTTTTTTAGACAGGGTCCAGCTTTGTCACCCAGGCTGGAGTGCAGTGGTACAACTACTGCTCACTGAAGCCTCAACCTCCTGGGCACAAGCGATCCTCTCATCTCAGCCTCCTAAGTAGCTGGAACTACAGGTGCACACAACCACACACAACTAATTTTTGTATTTTATTGTAGCGATGGGGTTTTGCCACGTTGCACAGACTGGTCTCGAACTCCTGAGCTCAGGCAATCCGCCTGCCTCAGCCTACCCAAGTGCTGGGATTACAGTCATGAGCCACCACACTTGGCCCATGTGCTAAAATTTCTATTTTGAAATAATTTGTCAAATTTATTCCTTTGTTATACAGCCTATAAAATAGTCTTAACAGCAACAGTTACATCAGAAGAAAGATCCTTCTCAAAATTAATGTTATCAAAAAATATTTGCAATCTTGCATTTGCCAAGAGTCACTGACATTGCTTTCAACTACATCAATTGAAAATGAATTTGCTGAAAACGTATGATGGCCTAGGAAATGAATTTGCACGCCAGGCAGGGTGGCTCACACCTATAATCCCAACACTTTGTGGAGGCAAAAGTGGGAGAATCACTTGAGGCCAGGTGTTTGATATTAGCCTGGGCAAGGTAGGGAGAGCTCATCTCTACAAAAATATGTAAAAATTAGCTGGGTGCGATAACATGCACCAGTAGTCCCAGCTACTCAGGAGGCTGAGGCAGGAGGATTGCTTGAGCCCAGGAGGTTGAAGCTGTGGTCAGCTGTGATTACACCACTGCACTCCAGCCTGGGTGATGGAGTGAGACCCTGTTTAAAAGAAAAAACAATTGAATTTGCAGAAAAGCAAGTCGGAAGAAACTTGTAATCAAGATATCACATAATAAAGTCTCATTATTTATATTATATAAATTTAAGATTATGTTGTTACTCATGTATTATTATAACCCCTATTATATTTTGTAAGTAATAAGATATTTTTAAAGAAAAAGTTTTATATTTTAGTAACTTAAATGGCACATTTTTTCTGCTTTTTGAACAAAGGAACCCACATTTTTGTTTCACACTGGACCCCACAGATTATGTAGTCAGCCCTGCCTGTTACAGAGCACTTTTATGCTCCAGTCCCCATCAAAGCTGGCAGCCTTTCATATATGGGCTGGTCAGTGTTCCTAAGCATACAATGTATTGCACCCAGAATCCAAAGAGTTCTACCAAGCACTGTGCTTCTTTCTCACTAGTAAGAAATGCAAAATGCAGCAGTTTTTTTTTTACTTTGGAGGCAATGTCATGACACACGCCAGGACCTCTAAAAATCTTTACTGAAGTACCAAGTTTCTAAATTTTCATAGAGCCTATCTCCCCCCCCTCCCCCCCCCCCCGCCGGAGCATGTGTATCTTATCAAGGTGTCCAGATGCTAGTCACCTCTTTTTCATCCTGCCTGATCAGCATGATGTCATCAATGTATTGGATGGGTAAGATGTTCTGCAGGATACCTGGGCAGTCTGGATTTGTCAGGGCTGTATTATAACACATAGTCACATAGTTACATATTGTGACACAGAGATGAGTTAACATAACCTTGGGGCAAAACTGTAGATGTCTTTTGTTGTTCATTCTGTATGAATGTGAAGTGTTTCTGAGCCTCTTTTCTGATAGGGACAGAAGAGAATGCATTCACCAAATCGGTGGCTGCTTAAAATTTACCTGTAGTCATATTGATTTTGTCTAGCAAAGGTATCAAATCCAGCATGGCCACAGCGTCAGGACTAATACTTGGTTGAGCTTGTGGTAGGCTATGATCATTTCCCATGATCCTTTCTGCAGGGGCCAGACTGGCTACTTAAATGGAGATATGGGATATCTCTGATAGGGACCACCAAGATTTGACAATTTTGTTAATCTTTCCAAAGAATCAGCTTTTGCTTTCATTGATTTTTCTCTATTTTTTTCTATCCTCGTTTCATTAATTTCTGCTCTAATTTTTATTATTTCCTTCCTTCTGCTTGCTTTAGGTTTATTTTGCTTTCTTTGGTGTCTTAAGGTAGAAGGTTAAATTAATGATATGAGATCATTCTTTTTTTAAATATAGGCATTTACAGCCACAAATTACTCTTCAAGCTCTATGTTAGTTGTATCCCAAGTTTTAGTATGCTGTGTATTCATATTCATTCATCTCAAAGTATTTTCTAATTTCCCTTTTGATTTCTGTTTTAATCCACTGATTATTTAGGAGTATGTTGTTTCATTTCCAAATATTTGTGAGCTACCCAAATTTCTCTGGGAATCTTATGTTCTAATTTTATTTCACTGTGGTGAGAGAACATACTTGTATTATTTCTACCCTTTTAGATTTATCGAGGTTTGTTTTATGGCCTAGTACATGGTCTATCCTGGAGAATATTCCACAGGCACTTGAGAAGAGTATAGATTCTGCTCTTGTTGGGTGGAGAGTTCTGTAGATCTCTGTTAGGTCTACCTATTTTATAATGTTATTCAAGTCTTCTATGTCCTTGTTCATCTTCTGCCTAGCTACTCTATCCATTATTGAAAGTGGAGTATTGAAGTTTCCAACTATTATCGAGTTGTCCATTTTTTCCTTTATTTCTATCAGTTTTTACTTCAAGAATTTTGGTACTTTGTTAGGTCCATATATATTTATAATTGTTATATCTTCCTGATGGATTGAACCTTTTATCATTATAAAATGCCCTGTTTTTATCTCTAATAATATTTTTGTCATAAAGTCTACTTTTCTTTATTACTAGTTTCCAGAATTTTGATTGTGATGTTTCTCAGTATGATTTTCTTTATGTTTTTTCTGCATGGGGTTCACTGAATTTCTTGAATCTGAGATCAGAGTTTTCTCTATATGCAGACAGCAACTATTATTTCTTCGAAAAATTATTTCTTCCTTCTGGAATTCCAGTTATGTAAATAGTAGACCCCATGATTTTGTTTCACAGGTCACAAGGGCCCTGCTCATTTTTATTTTCGTTTTTTTCTCTCTTTGCTTTATTTTGGGTATTTTTCTCTTGCTATACCTTCAAGTTGACTTATCTCCCCCCCATATTGTTTAATCATCTCTTAATCCATGTAGTGAATTTTCAGATATAGTGCTATTCAGTTATAGATTCTATTTGTATTTATTTATTTTTGAGACAGGGTATCCCTCTGTCACCCAGGCTGGAATGCAGTGGCACAATCATGGCTCACTGCAGCCTGGACCTCCCCGGCTCAAGTGATCCTCCCATCTCAGCCTCCTGAGTAGCTGGGACTACAGGAGCATACCACCAAGCCCAGCTAATTTTGTGTATTGTATTTTTTTTTTTTTTTTGTAGAGGTGGGGTTTTGTCAAGTCGCCCAGGCTGGTCTCAAACTCCTGGGCTCAAGCCATCTGCCCACCTAGGCCTCCCAAAGTGCTGGGATTACAAGTGTGTGCCACTGTGCCTGGCCCAGTTATATATCTTCCACCTCTCTTCTCAGTTGGCTCATGTTTTCCTTTAAATACTTGAACAAGTTATAATAGGAGTTTTAACACATTAATCTATTAACTTCTTCATCCCTGTCATTTATTATCTGTTTCTATTGACAATTTTTTCTTCTGGTCATGGGGTCACATTTTCCTGTTTGGGAGCCTATATAGTAATTTTTTTTTTTTTTTTTTTTTTTTTTTTTTGGAGACAGTCTTGCTCTGTCGCCCAGGCTACTGGAGTGTAGTGGCGCAATCTCGGCTCACTTCAACCTCCACCTCCCGGGTTCACGCCATTCTCCTGCCTAATCCTCCTGAGTAGCTGGGACTACAGGCACCCGCCACCATGCCCAGCTAATTTTTTGTATTTTTTAGTAGAGATGGGGTTTCACTGTGTTAGCCAGGATGGTCTTGATCTCCTGACCTCATGATCCGCCTCGGCCTCCCAAAGTGCTGGGATTACAGGCGTGAGCCACGATGCCCGGCCCTGTGTAGTAATTTTCTTATTCAACGCAGGACATTGTGAATTTCATATTGTTGAATATCTAGGTTTCGTAGTCTTCCCTGAAAGAGTGTTGAGCCTTATTCTGGAAAGCAAGTTACTTTCCTTGCAGATTAGTTTGATCTTTTGAGGGCTGTACCCAAGCTTTGTTTCTGTGGGTGCACAGTACTTTTTACTCATGATAGTTTAGCTCCACTATTAGGGCACGACCTTTCCAGGTTCCTAAGGAGTGCTCCTGATGATCAAGGAGGACTTTCCCCTATGGCTGGCTGGATCTCAAACATCCCAACCCCTCTGAGAATTATTTGTTTTACATTACCTTGGTCATTCTTTGCCTTGCCTTCTGGTGGTGTTTCACCCTGTGAATGCACATCTCAGTGTTCAGCAAAGTTTCAGAAAGACATCTGTACAAACTTATGGAGCTTTTAAATCTATACAGCACCCTTCTCTTTGGAATTCTTCCCTGCAAACTTCCAGCTGCCTCAATCTCCCTCAACTTTGATCTCTGTCCACCCAAAGTTAGCAAGTCAACTTTGTCAAGCATGAGATCCTATTTCCTGCTCTCTGGTTCAGAATGTCCCTCCACCAGGCAAAAAGTTGGAGCAATTGTTTGTTTCTCTTTACATGTGGATCACAGTCCTTCACTATTGTCACTTGTATAAAGGCATCTATATTGCCCTGTTTTCTAGTTGTTTTTAGCAAGAGAATTAGTCTGGCACTGTTACTCCATCGTGGCCAGAGATGGAAGTTTTGAGGTTATTAAACGTTAAGTGAAAGTTACACTTCAGAGGTCATGATGAAAAGTACTATTGTTCCTATAATGAAAATTCCACAGGAATTTTTCAACTAATAGCTGAATTGGATGCATTTTTGCTTAAGCTCTTGGAAAAACATGTCAAAATGAAAACACAACTTATTTTACTAAAACAATTTATGGAAAAAATTGAAATAATGAAAAAAATGTTTAAAAAGTGGTAAGTCAAACACATAACCAAACACCAAATACTATTATGTATTCTATTCTGGATATGACAACCACTGATGAGTTGGCAATTATTGGGCACTACTTTCTAACAGGAAAACCTATGAGCAATTTTTAAATATTTTTAGCCAACTGAAAACATCTGAGACATTATTCAACAAAGTAAAACAAGATTGTTATTTTAACCTGTGGTTAAACAGCATTTATAATCAGTCATCTGTTAACACAGCTATTATAATGATTAGGAAAAAGGGCTGCATGCTCTTTAAAAAACAGCTTGGCTAGGCTGGGCATGGTGGCTCACGCCTGTAATCCCAGCACCTTGGGAGGCCAAGGTGGGTGGATCACCTGAGGTCAGGAGTTCAAGACCAGCCTGAGGTCAGGAGTTCGAGACCAGACCAATATGGTGAAACACTGTCTCTACTAAAAATACAAAAATTAGCTGGATGTGGTGGTGTACACCTGTAATCCCAGCTACTTGGGAGGCTGAGGCAGGAGAATCGCTTGAACCTGAGAGGTGGAGGTTGTAGTGAGCCGAGATCATGCCACTGCACTCTAGCCTGGTGACAGAGCAAGACTCTGTCTCAAAAAAAAAAAAAAAAATTAATAGGATACAAAACCAAAGTGATAAAGATGAATGAGAAAGTAAAGAGAAATTATCCTGACATTAAGAAGTAAAGAGTAACCAAAAAAAGTTTAAATCATAAGAAAAACAGTAATTCATTAAGAGGAAGAGAATAATCATTTCACACTCTATACGTATATGAAAACATCATGTTGTACACCTTAAATACACATAATTTTGTTGTCAATTATATCTCAATAAAGCTGGAAAGAGGAAGAGATAAACTGCAAATGAAAGTAATAAATAGGCTATTAAATTGACAACTTGTGAATTATATAAACTCATTGAAAAATATTCAAATTTCTTTCGATTTGATCTCACACTAGCATTGAGGAAGATAACATAAAACTCACGCCTATAATCCCAGCACTTTGGGAGGCTGAGGCGGGTAGATCACCTGAAGTCAGGAGTTCGAGACCAGCCTGGCCAACATGGCGAAACCCCATCTCTACTAAAAATACAAAAATTAGCCGGGCATAGTGACGCATGCCTGTAATCCCAGCTACTCAGGAGGCTGAGGCAGGAGAATTGCTTGAACCTGGGACGTGGAGGTTGCAGTGAGCCAAGAGCGCAGACAGATCAAGACTCCATCTCAAAAAATAAAATAATACAAAATAAAATGCAGAATGTCACGAAATGCCTATGTTAAGAGGATATTTGATAGAGTTTTCTGAAATTTGACAAAAATACTAAACATATATATAAAACCAATAATGAACTGAGGTGAAAAATAATTTTTCTGAATTATCACCAATAAAAGGCAAATACTGATCAAACACACTAGAGAAAAAACTAAATTATCTTTCTATTTTCTTTAGAAAATATTATAAACTAACATCATATGAAGAGATGATTAAAGAGCACATAGCCATATAATGTAAGGGGAAAAAAGTATGAAGAAGTATGCCTGGCAGTTACTTAATAAAAATATGTTACGTTAAATTTTTGCATTATTTGTAATATTTTTCAACTTTTAAAAATTTATAACGTTATATTTTGTTTTAGTCTAAATACATATTCAGTTGTGTACCTACTTTTGTATCTAAAATTGTTATTCTTTTTCTTAAGGAGCCTCCACTCGCCAAATGCACATAAACTTCAGGCCCCACAAAATTTGAATCTGTCCCTGTTATCCACTTTTCTCTCTACCTAATTGGTCTACCCTCACCCATGCTTGTCCTCTTCCAATCTGTTCTTCATGCCACAGTCTAAAGGATCTTCTAAAAGTTCATGTATGATTATATTTATCTTACATTCTTTCAGTAATTTCCAATTAGCCTTACTATAAAAACCCAAGTCCTTAAAATAGGATCTGGGTCCTCACCACCTCTCTCCCTCTGCTCTAACCACACTGGCTTCTTTTAGTTATTGCAATGCACCAGCTCAGAACCTTTGCATATGCTGTACTCTGTGCTTAGGAGACATTCCACCACCCCAATACTCCATTAACAAATTATCTCCTACTCAAACTTCAGATTTCACTCAAAGATCACTTCCTCAGGGCACCTTAGACTAAATCAGCCTCCCACCACCTTAAATGCTCATTGCACCCTTTACTTTTCCTTCATAGCATGTCTATTTGTAATCATATACAAGATACAAGATTAGATTGTCCATCTCTCTGCCATTAGACTGCAAATTCCATGAACGAGGGACAATGTCTCTTCAGCACTAGTGTAGCAGTGTTACCGGAAAGGGGTCCTGATCCAGACATCAAGAAAGGGTTCTTGGATCTCGAGCAAGGAAGAATTCAGGACAAGACCATAGAGTAAAGTGAAAGAAAGTTTATTAAGAAAGTAGAGGAATAAAAGAATGGCTACTCCATAGGCAGAGCAGCCCGAGGGCTACTCGTTGCCCATTTTTATGGTTATTTCTTGATGATATGCTAAACAAGGGATGGATTATTCATGCCTCCCCTTTTTAGACCAGAGAGGGTACCTTCCTGACATTCCCATGGCGTTTGTAAACTGTCATGGCGCTGGGTGGGAATTTAGCAGTGAGGACGACCAGAGGTCACTTTCATCACCATCTTGGTTTTGGTGGGTTTTAGTCGGCTTCTTTACTGCTACCTGTTTCATCAGTAAGGTCTTTATGACATGCATCTTGTATCTTGTATCTTTATGACCTCCTATCTCATCCTGTGACTTAGAATGCATAACCATCTGGGAATGCAGCATAGCAGGCCTCAGGCTTATTTTACTCAGCCCCTTTTCAAGATGGAGTTGCTCTGGTTCAATCGCCTCTGACAGCAGCATCCTGAACAAAGTGGGCAACTAATTACACAATTTCTGGCCTCAAATAGTTTATAATCTAACCTTGAAAAAAATAGAAAAGAAACAATTTTACAATTTGGGGCTTCGATACAGATGAAATAGGTTATTTTTTTGTGCAAGAAAGTCTTCCTGGAAGTCTTGAAACCTGAATACAGAAGGATTAGTTATTCTAACCAGCTTGAAAAATTGGCCTAGGCCAAGGCTGTAACCAAGTATTCTGGTTGTCTAGGAACTGCTCTGACCACACTTCCGGCATAATTGTTTCTTGCAGAAAAACTACTTCAGTTTTTTTAAAGCTTCTTTTGCCTTCTGTAGGCTTACTTAAAAAAAAAAAGTATTAAGATCCTTTTGTGGTTCATAAGCCTGATGATTGGGTTTTCATGCTATTGTGTGAGTTACCACCCCTACCTCAAACCTTGTTAGGACTCCGCGCATTACCCCTCTGTGTGAAAAAAACAAAGTAATAAAGGTAATTTTTTTTTTTTTGCATAAGCCCTATCCTTGTACACATCAGGTTTCAACGTGTTTCCATCATTATTTTTACCTTATAGTATAGTGTTTTCACGAGTTTTTTTTTTTAATACTTTAAGTTCTGGAATAGTTTTCACGAGTTTTAAGAGACTCTTCTTGGCAAACAGTTCAACTCAGAGAAAATACTTTTACCAGCAAGGAGGTATACCTTGTTATATCGGTCTGGGGATGTGACTTGACAGTTCACCTTGCCAGGAATATCTCTGTGATTTTTTGTTTGTTTGTTTGTTTTGAGACAAGAGTCTCGCTCTGTCCCTGAGGCCAGAGTGCAGTGGCTCACTGCAAGCTCCGCCTCCCGGGTTCAAGCGATTCTCATGCCTCAGCCTCCCGAGTAGCTGGGATTACAGGCGCCTGCCACCACGCCCAGCTAATTTTTGTATTTTAGTAGAGACGGGGTTTCCCCACGTTGGCCAGGCTGGTCTAAAACTCCTGACCTCAGGTGATCCACCCGCCTCCCAAAGTGCTGGGATTACAAGCGTGAGCCACCGCGCCCACGGTGGGCGGTGAGAGGAGAGGGGCAAAGTCTAATTATTCCAGAGCGACCACAGAAATATCTGGAGCTAGTTTCAAGGGCTATTCCCCGCTAAAGATTACTTAATAATGCAGTTGGATGACCACGTTTCAAGATTTTTGTTCGATCTGCACATCCTCCAACATGTTCCAAGAGGGTGTTTAAAAAGTCACCAAGGACCATTAGGATAACCATTAGGATAAAGCTGTCAGGACATCCCTAAATTGTTTGAAACTACGATGTCTGCTGAGGAAAGAAGAACATAATTAGGCTTTGGAGTTAAGAGAGCTAACCAGTTCCGAATTTAATGTCTGAGCCAAATGAGAATGTTAAGATTTATCTCACAAGTTGTAGAGAAAATTAAAAACGATTAAACATCCGGGCCTTGAATAAGTGCCCGTCGACTTGGGGATTAAATATGGTAGAGTCCACTTTCCTCACCAGCTGATGATAATTTCTGTTATGTACAGTCCTCCTTTCTCTTCCTTTATCGGTTGGTTAGTATTTGCCAACTCTTTCCTGCTTTTCATCTTCTCTTCCCCCCATTTAAATCTTTCCACCAAGCGCTCAGAAACACGTACGTCCTACCAGAACGCAACCCGAGCCTGCGCGAGAGGTACGTACAGGTCTTGACCTTTTCCCGGTTCTCCGCCCTTTTCCCGGTTCTCCGCCCTTTTCTCCGGTTCTCCGCCCTTTTCTCCGGTTCTCCGCCCTTTTCTCCGGTTCTCCGCCCCTTTTCCGCCACTGCCTGATGCCTCCCTCCAGGCTGCGCCAGTCCGCAGCCCCGCCCACGCCGGCCGTCACGTGACCGCGCAGCGTGCTCCGCCCCCTGTCCCTGGCTCACGTGATCGCGCCTAGGGAGAAAACGTCTGACTCCAGCCACCGGCCTTCAAGGCACGGCTTTTTATTCCTTCGGCTGGTCGGCCTCTCGCCCTTCAGCTACCTGTGCGTCCCTCCGTCCCGTCCCGTCCCGGGGTCACCCCGGAGCCTGTCCGCTATGCGGCTCCTGCCTCTAGCCCCAGGTCGGCTCCGGCGGGGCAGCCCCCGCCACCTGCCCTCCTGCAGCCCAGCGCTGCTACTGCTGGTGCTGGGCGGCTGCCTGGGGGTCTTCGGGGTGGCTGCGGGAACCCGGAGGCCCAACGTGGTGCTGCTCCTCACGGACGACCAGGACGAAGTGCTCGGCGGCATGGTAACTCTTCTGTTTCTGCCCCGCCCCTCTATCTCTTGGGCTGACTACCCGGTTTGTTGCTCTCTTTCCCGGTCCCCACCACCCTCCTCCCCGAACTGGCTGTCTTATCCTTGGGTAGGTTTGGTTTTCCCACCTGAGGCCCTTTATGCCGGTGTAAGGGACTGCAATACTCTTTTCCTTTCTGGATTGAGGCACATGCGTACAGCACACAGAGCTTCTAGTCTGGACCGTACTGCTGTGGAGTTTACGTTAATATCTCAAGATAAACATGTGGAGACCAGTGGAGGATGGGTTGAACCAATGAGGATCAGGTGCTGTCTAAGAGCACTCAAGGCCTGATTGTTTTTCTTTTGGATTAGAGGATCACAGACAAGTCCAGTCCCCTTTATGAGGGACCTAGACCACCTCCACGTTTGTGCCTGTATACAATGTCTGTATCTGATGTCAATAAAAATAAGCCTGGGCCGGGCGCGGTGTGTCACTCATGTAATCCCAGCACTTTGGGAGGCCGAGGCGGGCGGATCAGAAGGTCAAGAGATCGAGACCATCCTGGCCAACATGGTGAAACCCCGTCTCTACTAGAAATACAATAATTCTAGCTGGGCGTGGTGGCGCGCAGCTGTAGTCCCAGCTACTTGGGAGGCTGAGGAAGGAGAATCGCTTGAACCCGGGAGGCAGCAGTTGCAGTGAGCCGAGATCGCGCCACTGCATTCCAGCCTGGCGACAGAGCGAGACTCCGTCTCCAAAAAAAAAAAAAAAAAAAAAAAAAAAAAAAGGCCTGAAGTGAACTAATCTGGTAGGCCGACCGTCGAACTATTGAGGGTGTGTGTTGCCTCACAAGAATCAAGAAAATTCAATTAGTGTGATTGAACACCTGACTGTTGCATTAGAGACTGTCAGTGTTTCATTTTCTATCTAATGGGTGTTGTCACAAGACTTCATTTTTTTTCCAGAGTAAATTTTGCTTGTGTATTGCAGAATTATGGAATGTGTGACCTTTGGAAACATCCACTCCAACCCCTTCCCCATGGAGGCCCAGAAAGCAACTTGCCCAAGACATGAGTAGTTGAGGCAGAGTCCTCTGACCCTGGGTTCAGCATTCCTCTCTTCGCTTTAAAACCAAATGCTTTATTGCTTTCTTCGTTTCAGTTCTCTTTTTGCTTTCAGCTGAATGCTGAGACTATGAAATACTCCAGGCAAGACGTTCCTAACTTTTCTTGTGTAGTTACACACCCTAGCTCAGTGTCCTTCAAACCTCTGGTCCCAACCCTTGAGTGAGTTATGAAATCAGTTTAGTGAGTAACTACCAACATTTTTTATTTCCTCTGGAATAGAATAGAATAGAAAAGGTCCATGTGTGTGAGTGTGTGTGTTACACTTGATAAAGGTAATCATTATCTATCTCTCTTTCTTCCCGAGTTGTAAAATATATTTCTTAGGTTGATGCTCAAGAGCTTGAGAGTCTTTTATAGCTGATGTTTTAAGAGGCTTGCATTTTGACTACACATTTCTTCCTGCCATATATGCTTCATTGTCTGTTAGTTTCTACCAAGCCATGTTGACATTGGTCTTAATTTAATTTTCCTCCTACACTTTAGGTTCACTACTCTTCCAACTACTGCACTTACTTGTCTGCTCACAAAATTCCTTTTTTATTAAAAAAAAGAAAATGTGTCCTTGAAGAGTGTTTTGTCCAGAAAAAGCAAGCCTTCTCTAGCAGTGACTTAAGTACTCAGTTAAAAGGTCAGGCTTTTTTAGGTGTTGAAAACAAAATTGATTACTTAAATATAAGGTATTCAGAGTTGTTTCTTCAATTCTTATAAACCACAGCTGTAGTCTGTGTGTATTTGAGGTCTCTTTAGTATGTTAATCCAATTTGCTTCGTTAAGCCAGTAGCAGATTTTTTGAGTCAGGGTCTTGCTCTGTCATCCAGGCTGGAGTGCAGTGGTACAATCAAGGCTCATTGCAGCCTTGAACTCCTAGTCTCAAGCAGTCCTCCTGCCTCAGTCTCCCTAGTAGCTGGAACTACAGGCACATGTCACTACGTCCAGCTAATTTTTAAATATTTTGTAAAGACAGGATTTCTCCATGTTGCCCAAGTCGGTCTTGAACTCCTGGACTCAAGTAACTCTTGAACTCCTGAACTCTTGAACTCCTGGACCTCAGCCTCCCAAAGTGCTGGGATTACAGGCATGAGCCACTGTCTCGGCCCAGATTCTTTTTTTTAATAAGTGTTTCTACTGGAGAGAGGTACCAAAATTGAGTGGAGGGCATAAGTCAAACTTAATGTTCCAAACTCAAGAATTCTGGCTTCTCTTCTAGGCTTTTTCAGAATATTCTACCACTAATTGTCAAACAGGACTCCAAGGGGAAGAGCTAGGACAAGAGCATTTGAGAACTTACTTGGAGCCGAGCAGAGTATGAGGATTTTTATACTTGTGCTTCAGTCATCACAGGAGTCCTCTGCTGTACATAGTATCCTTATCTTAAAAGGAAACTAAAACTGGAAGGTGGTTAAGTGACATGACTAAGTTCATATAGCTAATATTGGACAAAGCCTGGGTATCTTATGACCTCAGATCACCATGCTTTTTCTCCTATTCTAGAATACTGTGATAATAATCAGATTTCATTCCACATACCCACACCAGCATAATCACACCATAGGTCAGAGAGTCTGCAGGTGACATTCGGGGATGCCAGTGACATCATGGAACTCCTTAATTTACATGTAAAACTTTGTGTATAATATCTTCATTTTTGTGGAAAGAGCTCTAACCTAAAAAAGATTACAGATTGCTGCCATAGTTGGCAAAATAAATAGTGGTTAACCCCCACCAATCTCACTCAGGTCAAAGGATTGTATATAGCATTTACAACATGATTTAGATTTATAGTGGAATTTTTCAGGCATCTTTGAAATGCTCTTTTATATAGTAGCATCGTCTTTAACATTTCATTGTATTTGTTCCAGGTATCTGTGGGACTCTGTTTTTATTTTTTATTTTGCCAGGACACTGTTCTTATCACTTTCTTGATTTTATTTAAACATCATTATAGTGTGGTGGACACACTGTTCTTCACAGAAGCATAAGCTGCTCTTTTAAAAATAATTCATGGCCGGGCGCGGTGGCTCACGCCTGTAATCCTAGCACTTTGGGAGGCCGAGGTGGACAGATCACGAGGTCAGGAGTTCAGGACCAGCCTGGCCAGCATGGCGAAACCCTAAAATACAAAAATTGGCCGGGCATGGTGGTGCGTGCCTGTAGTCCCAGCTACTCGGGAGGCTGAGGTGGGAGAATCACTTGAACCCAGGAGGTGGAGGTTGCAGTGAGCTGAGATTGTGCCACCGCACTCTAGCCTGGGTGACAGAGCAAGACTCCATCTCAAAAAAAAAAAAAAAAAATCATTTACTCTAAGAAAAGTGACATTTGGCCAAAACCACAGGCAAGTGAAAGAAGAAACTATGATGAAAGGTAGGGGAAGAATAATTTTTTTTTTTTTTTTGAGTTGGAGTCTTGCTCTGTCACCCAGGCTGGAGTGCAGTGGCGCGATCTCGGCCCACTGCAACCTCCTTCTCCTGAGTTCAAGAGATTCCCCTGTCTCAGCCTCCCAAGTAGCTGGGTTTACAGGCACCCACCACCACGCCCGGCTAATTTTTGTATTTCTAGTAGAGACGGGATTTCACCATGTTGGCCAGGCTGATCTTGAACTCTTGACCTCAAGTGATCCGCCCACTTCAGCCTCCCAAAGGGGTGGGATTACAGGTGTGAGAATAAATATGTCATTGCTTCACTGAAAGCAAAACAATTTCCATTGTTAGCCACAGAATTATCAGAATTGTCGTTTCAGAGCAACTGTGCATGGAACCAGGAAAGTAAATGATTCTTTAGGGTTTTAATGAAAAGGGTTCTGCTTGGGGTGAGTAGAGTAACATGTTTGCCCACATGAAGGCATGAAGTTGGCTGCTGCTTAAAGACTGTTGCATGGCCTTAACTTGACCAGCCACTGTCTTTGCTTCGATCTTAAGGATTCATTTTACATTCTAATTAGCATAGAGACACATGACACATTTTGAGTAGTGTGGTTTCTTGTTTGGGACTTTTTCAATTAAGCACGGATTATGGTTGTCTTTTGTACTATAGTTAGCAGTATAAAGATGGCAGTTAATAAAAACTTCTTTTTTTTTTTTTTGGAGACAAGTTCTCACTCTTCTTGCCTAGGCTAGATTGCAGTGGTGCAGTCATAGCTCACTGCAGCCTCGAACTTCTGGGCACAAACAATCCTCCCACCTCAGCCTCTTAAGTAGCTGGGACTACGGGCATGCACTACCATGCCCAGCTAATTTTTATATTTTTTGTAGAGCCAGGGTCTTGCTGTGTTGCCCAGACTGGTCTCAAACTCCTGGCCTCAAGCAGTCCTCCTGCCTCTGCCTTCTAAAGTGCTGGGATAACAGGTGTGAGCCACTGCACCGGGCCTAAAGTCTAAATTCCTATGTGGCCCTGCATCACTGACTCCTGCCTGCCTCTCTGACCTCATCTTACCTCACTCTCCCTTTTCCTCCCTAAGCTGCTTCCATCACCACACTGGCTTCTCTGTTTCCTCCCAGGTGCCTCTCTCCTTCCTCTGGCAGCCCTTGTACTTGCTATATACCCAGCCTGAAACATCTTCTGAATTTTTGCATGACTGACTCCTCATCGCATGGCTCTCCGTACTGAAGTTACCTCCTGAGAGGCCTTTTCTGACCACCCATCTAAAGTAGTTCCCCTTTCTTCCCACCAGCTGTAATCACATCATCCTGGTTTATTCTCTTCATAGCACTTACCACCACCTGAAATGACTGATTGTTTACCTGTTAGTTGTTTTAAGTCCCCAAGAGTGCAGAGATCATGAGGGCGAGGACCATCTATCCTCTGTCCACCACTGCCTAGATTAATGCCTGGCACGTGTTGTGTTTAATAAATGTTATTACACAGTCTTACTGTAAATCAGATATTCTTTCATAATTTTACATATTTATCAGACAGTTTGACAATTAAGTCCCATACAGTCAACTCTGGTCCTTTTCTCCACTTACTCTTTGAATCCTCATTTCACCTTCAAATGTCCTCACAGTAACTCAGGTGTTTTATCAAACCAATGTCTCATGAAGCCCAGTATTCTTTTCCTGAGGATGGTACCCAGTGATGCTTTGAGGAGAGTATGGCTGACGACCTTGCTTCGGAAGGCTGGCGAAGATCTTCTGCTTCTCTAGCGTCTCTTGGCAGCCTCTTCTGGATCTACTCATGAAATTATCAGAGCTTTTTTTGGATAAGTTAGAATCCTCATCCTTTTGAGTTTATGGATTCCGTAGGTTTTGTATTTATATAAAACAATGGGGAAAAGTCATTTATACATTATTGAAAATGAGGCTCCTGTTAACCTACTTATGTATTTAGATTAGCAATCTTTAAGGAATTATTGCACAACAAAATATACTTAAAACTGCATTCAATATGGTCTTAGGTTTCAAAGGTATCTCAGAATCATCGTGAACTGACCCATATTACAACTAAAATGACCTCTTCAATGGTGCTTTTTGCTGTCTGGAATCTGAAGAATATTAGTGTTCCTTTTATTCGTATTTAAATGACTGTCTTCATACTTTTGTCCTCATTCTAGAAGGAAGTTAATTGTTCTCTGTACTTGTAAGGATCTTAGATTTTGAACAAAAGATGAAAAGCAGGACATAAAATAGTTTCTGAGTAGCCTTTTGCCTGACAGTGTTCTGTGTACACCTGCTTGCCACCTGGTTCAAGTCCTTATCCTGAGGTGCTTGTGGGTCTATGCAGACAACAGTAGTTGGTAGTTGAACAGTGTGTGTCTGGCCTCCACCACTGAGTGTGTGAGGTTTGAATCAGTCTCGGAGTCCTGGGGCCTTGTCTGGCTTTCAGAATCCAACTGTTGTCTTACTTCTGTTCTATAGGGCGGAAGGCTCCCTTTATATCATTTCCCACATCCTACTTCTAAAGATTAATTCATGGAGATAGGTCTGCCCTATCTGCCTTATCTGGGCGCTGATGACTAATAAGGGCACAAAGATGTTATTGCCATCAACTGAACTTTCCCTTCCTGCAAGCATTTTGACTTCCTGCACTTTTATACAGGATGGAGCTGGCCGGAACCAAACTTGTCTCTAGAATCATACAAGACTCTCTTTGGCTGTTGCTTAGAGCTGACCATTTGGGAATAAAAGATTGAGTAAGATGTAACAAAACAGGAATTCTGGGCTGTGTGTCTCAATTTATTGGAAGAAATTGTTTAATGGATAATTACTTACTTTTACAGACACCGCTAAAGAAAACCAAAGCTCTCATCGGAGAGATGGGGATGACTTTTTCCAGTGCTGTAAGTTTGAAAGTTAATTCAATTTTGTTAATTTAACTGTGTTTGTATTCTAAGAAGATACTCTCTTCTCGGGAATCTGGTATGATCTATGTGGTTTTTTCCTTGTTAAATGCCTGATCTGAAGGAAGGATTTATTTAATGTGAATTTTAATTGAAATATTACCTCTTATCAATTGAAGATTAATTGCAGATATTTCTAAGCCAGTCTCAGAACTAGAGAATTTTATTTTAAACCTTACCATTTGAGGTTTGAAAATGGATTATAAAAAATCAAGGAATATGTATGCTGTGTAAACTTTTCCTTGGTAAAAACCCAATTAACCCTAATAGCCAAAACTGACAAATAGCAACACACACACCCCATAAATATAGATGCAGAAATTCAAAATAAAGTATTAGCAATTCATTTTCAAGAACCATGTACATAACCAAGTGAATGGTAGTCTAGGAATGTAAGGGTAGCCTACTATCAGGGAATCCCTTGAACAGTAGCATAGTGTTATGTTTAAGTGCTCAGACTCTGGAGCCAGACTGCCTAGTCTGGAACACCCTCTCTGCCTCTTTTCTAGCAGTGTGACCTTGGACAAACTATTTAACCTCTCTGGCCCTCTTCCTCCCCATTTATAAAAGGGAGTACCAAAATCTTCTTCAGAGTTGTTGTGAGGTTGAGTTAATAGGTGTAGAGCACTTCTATCAGTGCCTGACTTATTTTTTCTTTTCTTTCTTCTTTTTTTTTTTTTTTTTTTGAGTGGCGCAATCTCGACTCACTGCAACCTCGGCCTCTGGGGATCAAGCAGTTCTCCTGCCTCAGCCTTCTGGGTAGCTGAGATTACAGGCACCCACCACCATGCCCTGCTAATTTTTTGTATTTTCAGTAGAGATGGGGTTTCACCATGTTAGCCAGGCTGGTCTTGAACTCCTGACCTCAAGTGATCTGCCCGCCTCGGCCTCCCAAAGTGCTGGGATTACAGGCATGAACTACCGCACCCAGCCAATGCCTGACTTCTTATAGTAAATACTACATGATGTTGGTTATTATATGTCTACCAACATGATACAAGTAAGTGAAAGAAGGAAAATTGAATGTTCTTCCCAATAGATACGAGAAAGTACTCTGAAATTTTAGCATTCTTTCCTGGTAATAAGCTATCATAAGAATACATCCTGACTATGATGCCTATTTCAAATACATAAGGTAAAAGACTCAGGGCATTGCTGTTAGGGATGAAACAGTGCTCCATTTAATGTTGTTCCGACTGTCTAGTCATAGCCATAAGTCTTATGGAAATAAGAGGTAAAAATATTGGAAAAATTATTTCTGCTTGTTTGGATTTTCTATCTAAGAAACACAGGAGAATTATTGAAAACCCTTTAAAATCACTAGAATTCAGCAAGATAAAAATGAAAAAATAAAAATTAATAACTTTCTTCCATGTAATCAGTTAGAAAAATAGAAGGCGGGAGACAAAATATCTCATTCATAATTATTTCTTTTTATTCTATATAAAGACAGAGAAAAGGTCTCACTCACTATGTAGCCCGGGCTGGTCTGGAACTCCTGAGCTCAAGTGATCCTTCCATCTCAGTCTCCCAAAGTGCTAGGATTACAGGTGTGAGCCACCATGCCCAGCCTCATTCATAATTTATAAACTCTCTAAGAGTAACTGGTTGGGGCCAGAAATGGCTATGACCTATGTATTTTACAAAATGATGCGAGTGGTAAGATAAAAAATATTTGATACGTAGATATGCACATCATTTTATATACATTTCTTTCTTTTTTTTCTTTTTTGAGACAGGGTCTCACTCTACCGCCCATGTTGGAGTGCAGTGACGTAGCTCACTGAAGACTTGAACTCAAACTCCTGGGCTCAGATGATCCTCCCGCCTCAGCTTCCCAAGTAACTCGGACTACAGGCATGCATCACCACACTTGGCCAATTTTTTTCCACTTTTTTTTAGTGACAGGGTCTCACTCTGTTGCTCAGGCTGGTCTCAAACTCCT
The DNA here is from genome assembly GCF_000001405.40 of Homo sapiens. Taxonomy (NCBI): domain Eukaryota; kingdom Metazoa; phylum Chordata; class Mammalia; order Primates; family Hominidae; genus Homo; species Homo sapiens. Next base: position 64,750,692 of record NC_000012.12, on the reverse strand, counting down.
GGCCTCAAGTGATCCTCTGCTTTAGCTTCCCAAATAGCTGGGATTACAGGTGTGAGCCACTGTGCTCAGCTAAGACACAATATTATGTAATAAAATGTTTATTCTAGTTGTAATCCTAACAAGATTATTTGAGACTCAAGTGATTCCAAAAGTTATCTGGAATAATAAATAGATGAGAATAATCAAAGTAATTTTTTTAAAAAATTACAGTGGCTCATGCTGTAATCCCAGCATGTTAGGAGGCTGAGGCAGGTGGATTGCTTGAGCTCAGGAGTTTGAGACCAGCCTGGGCAATATGGCAAGAGCCTATATCTACTAAAAATACTTAAAAATACCTGGGCATTGGGCCAGGCATGGTGGCTCACACCTGTAATCTCAGCACTTTGGGAGGCTGAGGTGGACAGATCACCTGAGGTCAGGAGTTCGAGACCAGCCTACCCAACATGGTGAAACCCCATCTCTACCAAAAATACAAAAAATTAGCCGGGCGTGGTGGCGAGCGCCTATGAGCCCAGCTACTTGGGAGGCTGAGGCATTAGAATTGCTTGAACCCAGGAGGTAGAGGTTGCAGTGAGCCAAGACTGTGCCACTGCACTCCAGCCTGGGTGACAAGAGCGAAACTCCATCTCAAACCAACAACAGCAACAAAAACAGAGGCATGGTGGTGCACGTCTGTGGTCCCATCTACTTTGGGAAGTTGGGGTGGGAGGATTGCTTAACCCTGAGGTTGCGGAGGTTGCAGTGAGCTGAGATCGCACCACTGTACTCCATCCTCGGTGACAGAGTAAGACCCTGTCTCAAAAAAAAAAAAAAAAAAAATTGCTCTACCAGATGCTAAAATGTAATATTAAGATAAACTGTGTACTGGCCATAAAATTGATCAGAAAACAAAAAGAGAAAGAGTTAAGAGTTGCCAATTTAAACTTAAGAAGTCAAACATCTAATAAAAGGCAAAAGTAAAAATGGGAAGTATTTGTAACATGACTGAATTCTTCCTTAACTTAAATCTTATGTAACAAGAGGCCGACAGCCCTGGGGGAAAAAAATGAGCAAAGCATATGAACAAACCGTTCACATAAACACAGTCAGTTAGTACATGTGGAGAATGTTCCTCCTCACCATTTTTTAAAAATGTCAAATCGGCTAGACACGGTGGCTCACGCCTATAATCCCAGCACTTTGGGAGGCCAAGGCGGGTGGATCACGAGGTCAAGAGATCGAGACCATCCTGGCTAACACTGTGAAACCCCATCTCTACTAAAACTACAAAAAATTAGCCGGGCGTGGTGGCGGGCACCTGTAGTCCCAGCTACTTGGGAGGCTGAGGCAGGAGAATGGCGTGAACCCAGGAGGCGGAGCTTGCAGTGAGCTGAGATCGCGCCACTGCACTCCAGCCTGGGCAATAGAGCGAGAATGTGTCTCAAAAAAAAAAAAAAAAAAAAAAGCCAAATCAAGGCCGGGCACAGTGGCTCACGCCTGTAATCCCAGCACTTTGGGAGGCCGAGGCAGGTGGATCATGAGGTCAGGAGATCGAGACCATTCTGGCTAACACGGTGAAACCCCATCTCTACTAAAAATACAAAAAATTAGCCAGGCATGGTGGCGGGTGCCTGTAGTCCCAGCTACTTGGGAGGCTGAGGCAAGAGAATGGTGTGAACCCGGGAGGCGGAGCTTGCAGTGAGCCAAGATCGCGCCACTGCACTCCAGCCTGCGTGACACAGCGAGACTCCATCTCAAAAAAATAAATAAAAATAAAAATGCCAAATCAAATTTGAAAGGCAAAAAAACTTGCTAATATTGAAAGGATAATACCCAATTTTTGCATGAGTGTGTGCTCAAATGCCCATTCCTTCCCTGCTGGTCCAAGTATAAGCTAGTATTCCTTCCCTGCTGGTCCAAGTATAAGCTAGTATTACCTTTCTGTGAAGTGGCTTGGTGATGTGTACCAATATGATTGGGTAGAATGGGGAAAATCTGTTGCTGACAGTAGCTAATGGAAATATAATTACAGTAGGGAAAAAAAGTCTGTGTCCAGTGTATAAAATGATATAGGAAATGTGTAAAGCTGCAGATCAGCCTGCAAATGAACCACTGTGTCTCAATTAGATCCAAGTAGTATTCTTTGTCTTTGGTTAAGACCCGTCTCTCACCATGCTGTGCCCCCTGTGTATAAATATTATTTCTGGCTGGGTGCAGTGGCTCACACCTGTAATCCCAGCACTTTGGGAGGCCAAGGTGGAAGGATCACTTGAATCCAGGAATTTGAGGCAAGTCTGGACAACACAGGAAGAACGTTATCTCTACAAATAAAAAAATGAAAAAAAAAAAAGCCAGGATGGTGGCACACACCTGTACTCCAAGCTGTTAGGGAGGCTGAGGTGGGAGGATCACTTGCGCCAGGAGGTCGAGGCTGCAGTGAGCTGTGCTTGTGCCAGTGCACTCCAGTCTGGGTGACAGAGTGAGAGCTCGCCTCAAAAGAAAAAAAAAAACAACTATCTCTGCGGCAGATGAGACTAGAATTACTGTTATCCTGCAGAAAGAAGCCACTTGAGAAAGAAATCCGTTCTCAGTTTGTTCTGTCTGCTTTAATGTCTCCACTATGATTTAAAGCAGCCCTGAAGCATGTCATGTGTAGAAAAAAATATATATATTCCATGAGAAACTACATATTTGAAGTTAGAGTATTAAGGAGCTTTTCTTTACTCTCTTTAACAATGATGAGAAGTCCATCTTTCTTGTGTGACTTTGTCGTTTTTGCTTCCTTTCCTTTGTAGTATGTGCCAAGTGCTCTCTGCTGCCCCAGCAGAGCCAGTATCCTGACAGGAAAGTACCCACATAATCATCACGTTGTGAACAACACTCTGGAGGGGAACTGCAGTAGTAAGTCCTGGCAGAAGATCCAAGAACCAAATACTTTCCCAGCAATTCTCAGATCAATGTGTGGTTATCAGACCTTTTTTGCAGGGAAATATTTAAATGAGGTATGTTGAATGATCTGTTTCTTTTTTTATAATGGCTTTTAAAATGTGAATATAATTCATGTTAATTTTATTATTTCAATTAATGTTAAAGGATTTCTTGGTATACGTTGTTTTCTGTGAATCTGCCCATTAAACAAGTACCCATATCATGTAAATATGTTCATATAAGTACACATGTACATATTTACATGATTTGGGTAAGAACTTGTGTATTTATATGATATGGGCACTTGTTCTTCCTTTCAGTAGTCCCAGGAGCATGTATTTAAAAATTGTCCTAAGAGTGCTGCTGTCTGATGCGTCTTCCCTTTTTCCTCAGGAATTCTGTTTGTCATGTGGCTGTCATGGTATCTTTGTTTCCATTCCTTGTTATCAGTATCTAACTGAAGATATTTTTCGTCTTAGAATCTTTCCTCAGATTTCTTAGAATCTTTTCTGAATTATAACAACTTAATGCTTAATTCATTTTCTGATGTGAAACATGGCAACAAAATGTGCAGAGATTAGTTACCCAGAGTCAGGGTCGTGCAGGTCATTAAAGTGTATGGCCAGCAGCTGGTACACCAGCCTTGTAGACCTGGATGGAGGGATACCTCGTGGTGACCTGTCAAGGCTGGATTCCATGTGCCCACATTCACACATTGGCCTTAGCTTTTACCCAAAGTCCAAGCTTAAAGGAAATAGTATGTTCGAGAATGTTTGGGGTTAGCTCTTACAGTTAAAGTGGGGGTTCAAGACAGAGAAAATGTACTTATGCTCTTTATCTGTAGTTGCTAGAGATCTTAATATCTGATCTGGATTTTCTGTTAATTCTCCCCTCCCCCCAATAATTGGGGAAATCTGCAACCTTGTGAGTTTACAGGAAGATGAGTCAGTTTGAAAAGGATCATGAGAAATAGGAACTGTGGATACTGGATCATTTGGTTGGGGCTATGGGTCATAAAGAGAGCTTACACTACTTTGCATATTTGAAGGTCATCTGATGTGTATATAAAATTAAGAGAGATCGTTAAAGTATAAAGATTTTGTTTTCAGGGATTAAATTCTGCCTTAAGTGGATGGCATTAAACCTTGTAAGGATAAAGTGGGATAATTCTGTGGTTTCTTTATTTTATTCATCTCATCAGATAAATCGAGCTCTAAAAGTGGGTTTCATCTGCAGGGCAACTGAAATACAGATTATCCCTTATCCAAAATGCTTGGGAGCAGAAGTATTTTGCGTTTCAGATTTTTTGGATTTTGAAATATTTGCATGATACTTACTGGTTGAACAGTCCAAATCTGAAAATCTGAAGTGCTCCAGTGAACATTTCCTTTGAGTGTCGTGTTGGCACTCAAAAAGTTTTGGATTTTCAGATTTGGGATGTTCAACTTATAATAAGTCAATAGCTTATAGTCTGATTATTTGAACTGCTTAGGGTCAGTTGGACTATTCAGTCTATGGTATCAGCAGCTCAGCATTCACCCCATGAATAGGCTGTGTGGGGTAGGCTGTGTGGACTTTTTCTGTAGTGGGTCAGATAGTAAACATTTCAGGCCTTGCAGGCCATATGTCTCTGTTGCTACTATTCAGCTCTGCCACTGTAGCGTGAAAGCAGCCACAGACACTGCACTATGTAAATGAATGTGGCTGTGTTCCAATAAAACTCTTTATCGCTGTTAAAATTTGAATTTTATGTAATTGTCACATTTCACAAAATATTCTTATTTTGATTAACTTTTATATTTTAAAATTGTTAAATTCTTAGCTTGCTGTTCATACAAAAGTCATCAGGCCAGATTTGGCTCACTGGCTGTAGTTTGCCAACTCCTGCTTTAGAAGTTCCTAGGATTATTAGCGTTTATTTTTGACTAGTGTCTATTTGGGGAAATTAGGTACCTACTATGTTTCAGGCACTGGTCTAAAAAGATTGTAAAATTTCCTGTTTCTTTCTGGTCTGGTCATATCTAAGGACTTGTAATTGTCCCTACTTGTTTTGCTTTTCAGTACGGAGCCCCAGATGCAGGTGGACTAGAACACGTTCCTCTGGGTTGGAGTTACTGGTATGCCTTGGTGAGTGATTATTGAAGTCTGTGACAATTTTATGCAGCCCTACAGATGCAGAATATGTTTAATTTAGCTCTGATATTGACATAACTTTATTTGCTTTTACAATTAGTCATTTTAAAAACCTTAAAATTTATTGACTTGTGGCCAGGTGTAGTGGCTCACGCCTAGAATCCCAACACTTTGGGAGGCAGAGACAGGAGGATCTCTTGAGTTCAGGAGTTCGAGACCAGCCTGGGCAAAATGGCGAGACCCCATTTCAACAAAAAATTTTAAAATTAGCTGGGTGTGGTGGCGTGTGCCTGTAGTCCCAGCTACTCGGGAGGCTGAGGTAAGAAGATCACTTGAGCCCAGGAATTTGAGGCTGCAGTGAGCTGTGATTGTGCCACTGCATTCCAGTCTGGGCAACAAAGAGAGACTCTGTCTCTTTAAAAAAAAAAAAAAAAAAAAAAAAAAAAAAGTCTATTGACTTGTGAGTCACTCCTTTCTGGGATGTTTTTCCTGCATTGTACAAGGTTTAGCAAAGTAGTTTGCTTTTCTACCTGATCTACTTCTGGCTTTTAAACTAGAATGCATAATTGAAACTATGCTTGTCTTTAATAAAACCCTAGTCAAAAAATCCAATTCAGTATTGACTTGAGTAATTATCTTTTTAATGTCTTATCACTGCTCAGAGTAGAGTTTAGCCCAGCACGGATTCAGACTTCCACTTTGTGCACTGACCTCATAACAAATTTGACTTTCCTCTTTTTAATAGGAAAAGAATTCTAAGTATTATAATTACACCCTGTCTATCAATGGGAAGGCACGGAAGCATGGTGAAAACTATAGTGTGGACTACCTGACAGATGTTTTGGTGAGTTGCAGAAGCTTTGTAGCTCTGTCCTTACAGGGTTGGCTCACATTTGATTGAAGACTCTGCCTAGAAAACCTATAATCTTATTCGTTTGTGTTGGGTAATATAAATGCACAGTAACTTGGTCTAACTGCCCAAGAGTATTTCCAGCTGATTACAAACTCCTCAGGGTGTTTTCTTTGTGTATAAGCCAGGCTCAGATCTAATGCTCTTGAAATTCCAGCAACAAATCCCTTTTCCAAAGGTTAATCTCTTCGACTACAGAGATTACTTTGTAGAGGTTTTACTTTGTAAGTGTACCTACTCTTGACCCCGGTTTTACTCACAAGCTACAAGATGTCAGCTTCACAGGCCCCATTATGAGGATGGAGAGATAGGGATACTGGATTTATTTGGGCATTGGGTATTTACATATAAAAATTACTGAAAGCAGGTGAAATTGGGACTTTCCTATTCTGAGGCGTTTCTAATGACAGTCTTCAATAGTATTATATATTCACTCAATAGTTGAGCACCTAGTGTAGCCAGTGTTCAACAGTAAATGAAGCAAAGTCCCTGATTCTGTGGAAGTTAATTTTATTTACACACACAAACACACACAGTCTTACGTGTTGCATCATTAGCTGGTGATCAGTTCGAGAAATAAGTTAGGGTATGAGGTTACTTAGATAACATTTAAGCAGAAACCTGAAGTAGGTGAGAATGAGCTGTGCAGATCAGGGGGAAGAGTGCTACAGAGTCAGGGAATAGTAAGTAGGAGGGCCCTGAGGCAGGAGTATACCTGGCATATTTGAGAAACCACAAGGAAGCTGACAGGACTGGAGTGAAAGGTGGATGGAGGGATTATAGGAGATAGATACAGTCAGTATCTGTTGAGTTAGTGTTGGGAATACATGAAACTACTTCAGAACAATGAAAAACAACATGTATGTAGCATGCTTTCATTTTCATAAAGTATCTCCTGATAAGCAAAGGCAAAACTTAAGTCCATGTATTAAAACCCTAGTGGAATGTATTTGAATCTAATATTATTCACTTAGCTACTTCAGTGCATAATTTATGACATCTACTTTCTACATATTTTCATAAGGTTAAGGTAACTTAATCTACCTTTCCCACTGTTTTAAGTTGACTGTCTTTTTACATTCTTTAAGGCATCACATGTAGATACCATAATCTCCATTAGTGTAAGTTAATAGTAAAATATCCAAGTTACTGTTTCCTTCTTTGTGGGAGACATGATTTCTAGGTCATAAAAAGTCATCAAGATCTTAATTGCCTTCTTATGTTGGTATGCTTCTCAGTTTTTAAAGTATTGCCTAAAAAACAAATATATTTGTTCCAACAATATGCTTGCAAATGGCTATGACATAAGATCATGTGCTAAGATTGCTTAAAAGCTAGTAAGACCCTGTACTGTCTGCTCACCAGAAGACATTTATCTATTAAATACTCATCTGTTGGGTAAGGTAGGAGATGACAAATCTTTTTATGTGTCAGGCTAATGTCTCCTTGGACTTTCTGGACTACAAGTCCAACTTTGAGCCCTTCTTCATGATGATCGCCACTCCAGCGCCTCATTCGCCTTGGACAGCTGCACCTCAGTACCAGAAGGCTTTCCAGAATGTCTTTGCACCAAGAAACAAGAACTTCAACATCCATGGAACGGTAGCTTCCCCCACCACTTGTATTCAGCCATACTAAGTATCATTAACTATATGGTATACTTGTCAGGAAGCCTTTGAGCCATGTAGTGGGTTTTTCTTCACAATATTTTAAAGGTAATTGCATCTGTCCCTAGTACAACCAATAGTATAAACTTGCATTGCAAGTACAGATAAAGTTCCTGCTACACATCCAGTGAGCAGCTGGAGAGTTGACAGGGAATGGTAAAGAATGCCATCTTTCCCAATTTACAGGAATATCACTCAGGCTCTCCTGGTAACCTCTGTGCTGACTCTCCTCCCTCCTGGCATAGCCGGGACTGCACCAGCCTCCTGGTGGCCCTCACTAGCCTTTGAGGCATGGGAAGAAGGGGTGGCACAGAGCAATATGGTTGGAAAGGGAAGTTGAATGGAAAAATGAACGAGGTGACATGATTAAGAACCACAACAACCCATGTATTTGCCTCACGTGCCAATTACTTATACTTCCCTTGGCTTGGTGTATAGACAGTTCCCTGGTTCAAAGACAGAAGGCCTGCATTGCCTCAGGTTTGTTATCCAGAAATTGTAATTGCTTGTAAGGTTATAGAAAGAATGAGTCATAAAGTCAAACTCAGTACTACCACTTTCTAGCTCAGTACAGACTATGAGCACGATGCTTAACTTCATTTTTTCATGTGAAGTGGGAGTTCTTGATCCCTCATGGAACTACTGTATGAATTCAAGTACATAGAAACAATTAGCATATTGTCTGGCACATTATAGGCATGTGCTTGTTAAATACAGTTTCAAAGCTGAGTGAACTGTGTTTTAAATTAGAGTACTGGCCGGGCGCAGTGGCTCATGCCTGTAATCCCAGCACTTTGGGAGGCCAAGGCGGGCGAATCACGAGGTCAGGAGATTGAGACCATCCTGGCTAACACAGTGAAACCCCATCTCTACTAAAAGTACAAAAAATTAGCCGGGCGTGGTGGTGGACACCTGTACTCCCAGCTACTCGGGAGGCTGAGGCAGGAGAATGGCGTGAACCCGGGAGGCGGAGCTTGCCGTGAGCCGAGATCGCACCACTGCACTCCAGCCTGGGAAACAGTGCAAGATTCCATCAAAATAAAATAAAATAAGATGAGATGAGACAAGATAAGATAAAATAAAATAAAATAAATTAAAAAATAGTAAAATAGGACGATTCTCAATCTGTGTTCCAAAAGAAGTTAATAAAAAGTTCCCATGGTCAAGTAAGTTTGGAAAGTTTGAGTTAAATAAGTCACTCTGCTACAGGACTTCTCAGAGTTATTCATGATCGAATGTGAATTTCTAGCAGGAGAATATGCTATACAGCATTTCTCAAACTTAATAACACTTTGAGGAGCATAGTTTGAGATCTGGTGGCTTAGGGTTTTACGAATAGAGAAGAGAGAATAGTATATAGGGATGTCTTTGTTTAAATGGGAGGGCCCTCCAGATTTAGACTTGAAGTTTTAGGAAATTGCTGTAATAAGATTTTTCCTTAGGATCTAGGGTGACCGATATCTTGGCTAGGCAAAACTTAGAGGAAGGTAGACCAGGTATGGTGGCTTATGCTTGTAATCCCAGCACTTTGGGAGGCTAAGGCAAGAGGATCACCTGAGGCCAGGAGTTCAAGACCAGCCTGGCGAACATGATGAAACCCCATCTCTACTGAAAATACAAAAATTAGACAGGCATGTTGGTGCACGCCTGTAATCCCAGCTACTCAGGTGGCTGAGGCATGAAAATCGCATGAACCCGGGAGGCACAGGTTGCAGTGAGCCGAGATCGTGCCACTGTACTCCAGCTTGGGCTTGGGCTGGAGTGTAGTAGTGCGATCTCGGCTCAATGCAACCTCCGCCTCTGTCTCAAAAAAAGCAACTTAGAGGAAGGTAAAGTTATTTGCCCATTTTCTTTTTTTTTTTTTTTTTTGAGACGGAGTCTCGCTCTGTCGCCCAGGCTGGAGTGCAGTGGCGGGATCTCGGCTCACTGCAAGCTCCGCCTCCCGGGTTCACGCCATTCTCCTGCCTCAGCCTCCCAAGTAGCTGGGACTACAGGCGCCCGCCACTACGCCCTATTTGCCCATTTTCTAATTGTAGTAGACCAAAGGCATAAGATCAGAGTTGTAAATGTAATCTCGCTTTAGCTAGTAGTTTCCCAGTGACATCCTCTAAAATCTCTTAATACTGCCAACAGAGAAGCCAAGACCTTTTATGGTTTGGGAGGTGCTGGGAAGCTGAAGAATGAGAGATTGAGTTAATCTACAGAAATTTCTATTTTAGGAACACAGGAAGGGAGAGAAGTTCTGAAATTGCTTAAACAAGTTCCAGTTAGTTCCTTCTTGCTGAAGTATGAGTGAAACGGTTCTATTTATTATCTACTGTAGTAATCCAGTAGTTTGTTTGACTGTGGTGACTTGGTGTTAACATTTTTTTTCTTCTAAATTTTAGAACAAGCACTGGTTAATTAGGCAAGCCAAGACTCCAATGACTAATTCTTCAATACAGTTTTTAGATAATGCATTTAGGAAAAGGTAAGAGCTGCTGCTACATAACAATCTGAGTGGTTTTAAAGACCCTGCAAATCAGCTCATGAAGAGGAGACCACACCACATTGTTGTCTCTGAAACAAAAACAGAGGGAAGCAAGTCAGTGGGAGAGAGGCTTCGATGGGGCACCAGAAGCAGAGAGATTCCTTTACACTCAAATGAATGAGGTGGCATTTGGACCCCAGTACTAATTAGACTGCCCATTTTTAGGACTTGGCAAAAGTCTTGCAAACTTGAACCATGTGGTAGAATTTTTTCTCCTGCTTTAAAGAAAAGGTGACTTGGTTGAGAGAGCCCATTGTCATATGTGACAAATGACCCAAAAGCTTAGACAAGATCAAAATATCTGCCTTTGCCATTTGGAATTTTCAAGAAATTCTCTTAAGTCAATTTTTAAAAATCCATTACTTTCTCTTAGGAAGTGTTTAGTGTAGACCAGGGATAAGCAAACTTTTTCTGTAAAGGGGCAGATAGTAAATATTAATAGGCTTGCAGGTCATACATTCTGTCACAACTACTCAGCTCTGCTGTTGTAGCACAAAAGCAGCCCTGGGTAACATGTAAATGAATGAGCATGGTTGTGGTCCAATAAAACTTTATAAAAACAGACAGTGGGCAAGCTTTGGCCCATGAGTCATAGCTTGCCAGCTCCTAGTTCAAACATCTTAAGCTTTTTTGTAGCACAGTCCTATCTGAATTAATCTGTAATACACAGTACTGAGAATGGACAACTCTTCCTTCCGATTGTCTCTACTCTCATCACTATTGCCAATAAAAAGTAAAGCTAACTGGTTATTTAAAAACGAGTTTATTTCTTTGGAAACAATTAACTTTGGAATGAATTAATTATGTTCTGGAATTTTCTAATCTGTTTTTTACAATGGGAAGGTCTAGGGAATGGAGATTGGGGATTTGAGTTTTGGGGGAGAGTGTTTTGCAATTTTTTTTTTTTAAACGGGGGTTGTTTTGGATTTTTTTTTTTAAACGGGGGTGTCTTTGTTTTTGTTTTTGGTTTTTTTTTTTTTTGGCAAGATAGTGATACCTCAGCCATTGCCCCTGAAGTCCCATTTCTACCTTCTGTTCACATCCAGGTGGCAAACTCTCCTCTCAGTTGATGACCTTGTGGAGAAACTGGTCAAGAGGCTGGAGTTCACTGGGGAGCTCAACAACACTTACATCTTCTATACCTCAGACAATGGCTATCACACAGGTCAGAGGCAGGAGTAGGTACTGCTGTGATCTTTGAGAATATGTCTTTCCTTTTTCACCCAATGAGCCCTGGGAGGGAGTTCTAGTCTTTTTATAACTGTGGACATGCCAGAGGGAGGATCTTGCCCTCAGGACCCCTCCAGTTGGAGCACCACATCATACCCACGTGGAGAAACCAGGTTTCATTATTTGCTGTTTCACATGCAAGATGACATGGTGTTCTAGGAGTGGGAGCAGAGCATGAGCTTGATGGGTTGGAGGCAGGCCGTATGGAAGGCATTTGAGATAGGAAGACCAAAAGGAGGTTGTCTTGGGAAAACTTTCTTGCCATTCATGGAATTTGTTTTTTGGGTGTTTTTGTTTTTTTCAAAAGCTGCAGGATGAGTCAGCTCTGTGTCCTTGACTTTCATGCTTTCTGCTTGGACCTTCTGTTGTTAAAAGCAAATGTTTTCTTCTTTCCACATATATAAATGTCCACTTGAATGGGATTCACTTGAGACTTGCTTGCATAGGAGGAGATCGCTTAGGCATTTAATGCATTATTGTGATTTTTTTGGGGGGCTGGTGGGGGGACAGAATCTCGCTCTGTCACCCAGGCTGGAGTACAGTAGCGTGATCTCGGCTCACAGCAATCTCTGCCTCCCAGATTCAAGCAATTCTCCTGCCTCAACCTCTCGAGTAGCTGGGACTACAGGCACACGCCACCACGCCTGGCCAATTTTTGTATTTTTAGTAGAGATGGGTTTTTGCCATGTTGGCCAGACTGGTCTTGAACTCCTGACCTCAGGTAATCTGCCTACCTCAGCCTCCCTAAGTGCTAGGAGTACAGACGTGAGCCACACGCCTGGCCTGTGAATATTTTTAAACACTCAAAGTAGAGAATAGTAAAATAACCTCCATTATCCAGCTTAGATTTTCAGCTGCATGAGGCCAGTCTTTTGAATTCTTCCTACTCTCCCTGTGTTTTTCTTTTGTTACTAGAAGGTTTTGAAGCAACTCCCATACACATGACTCCAGGATTCAACACCGGATTATGCATCTGACTCTGGTTATTATGTATCAAGATGCAGACCACCAGCCTCAGTGGCTCACACCTATAATCCCAGCACTTTGGGAGGCCAAGGCAGGTGGATCACCTGAGGCCAGGAGTTCCAGATCAGCCTGGCCAACATGGCATAACTCTTTCTCTACTAAAAATACAAAAATTAGCCAGGTGTGGTGGCACATGCCTGTAGTCTCAGCTACTCGGGAGGCTGAGGCAGGAGAATCTCTTGAACCCAGGAGGCAGAGGTTGCAGTAAGCCAAGATCGTGCCACTGCACTCCAGTGTGGGTGACAGAGCGAGACTCCATCTCAAAAAAAAAAAAAAAGATGCAGGCAAAGTCCACATACTACCTTTAGTTCTTGTATCTCCTAACTCTGTCATTTGCCACGAATTTACAGGGAGAAGTGGGTCTTTGTCCATCAGAATGTCTCACATTTTGAATTTGGCTAACTGCTGTCTTATAGTGCCTTAACTTGTTCATCTCTAGTTAGCATTTCCTATAGATTGGTAGTTAGATTAGGGACTTGATAGAAGTTTGCATTTTCAGGTGACAGTGCATCCTCACCTGCTGCTGTGTACTTCCTGTTGCATCATGTCATGAGGCCCGTGGCATCTGGCTGCACTGTTTTTGGAGTGCTGGTGTTGATTGATGAGTCAGGTGGTTTCAGCCTTAGCTCTTCCTATGAGCTTTTCTGTTGTTCCATTGATGATTGCTGCCTAAATTCATTATTCCCTCAGAAACTGCAAAATATTGATTTTGTAATCCTGTCCTTTCTTTTGTATTTATTAGCTGAAATTCCTCAGAGAAGAACTTCCCCTTATCAGTTATTTGGTTATTTTGAGATGCAGTTTATTCAGGAAACACAGGATAGGTGTTTTTGTTCATTTGACAGTTTTTGGAGTAAACTTCATTCAGTTGTGATGAGGCTGAGTAGCATGCATAATTTTTTATGTATTTGTGTTTCAATACTTTCCTGTCATTATTTTTGCTTATTTTGTTCTATCATAAGCCAGGGAGTCCCTTCTAGTCATTTGTTTAGAGAAGATGAATTTGTTGTTTTCCTGCCTTGTAGTAACAAGAGACCCAGGCAAATTTCAGCTTTCTATTAAAACACCAGAATCAGTAGAACAAAGTTGTTTTAGTTTTGGCTGTGGATTAAATGAGTGAAACATAACATGAGCAAGGCTCCTGTCTTGGCTCCATCTTTACATTGTGTGTTTTGTTTTCAGGACAGTTTTCCTTGCCAATAGACAAGAGACAGCTGTATGAGTTTGATATCAAAGTTCCACTGTTGGTTCGAGGACCTGGGATCAAACCAAATCAGACAAGCAAGGTAGGTGCCTGACAAGCTGGTGCTGTGGACAGGTAGGCACTTGCCTGAGAAAATAAGGTGTTTCCTCCTGAGATAAGATTGGTTAGGTTCCTCTTCCCACTAGGGCTGAGCAGCAGAAGAGTTTTTAAGTGGAAACAATGATTGCTTTTTTTTTTCCTTAACTTCCCACTGCTCTCTGTATCTGTATTTTCACCCCACATATACATGTCTCATTAGAATGCATAGCTTTTCTTTGTCTTTTGAGACTAGATCTTTACTTTGTTCTGGAGCAGTGACTCTCAACAGAGGATGTGCATCAAAATTGCCCTCCGAAACTGAAGAAGAAAAATGGTACGTGCTTGGGCAATATCCAGAAAGAGTATGATTGACTCACTTGGTCTGGAATAGGGACCCAACATCTGCCTTTTTTCCTTTTGAAGTTTGCAGGTGATTCTGAGAGGCAGCCTGGTTTGGGGCCCACTGCCTTGTAGAGCAGAGCCCCTCAGGCTTTTCTGTGTGTGAATCCCCTGGGATCTGGTTAAAATGCAGATTCTGCTTCTCCATTTCTGATCAGCTCCCGGGTGATGTCTGCTGCTGGCCTGACCTTGCTTTGAGTATAAGGCTATCAAAAACATGTCTTCTAGGAATTAGTCTTTCCCTGTGCTGGGCTCTTCCTTATGAATGCTTTGTTGCTTTCCTGGTTCTCTCTCCTAGAACTGCCATAATATGCCACATTGTTCTGTTGTCTTTCCCATTTGGTTTCAGTGTCTTTTTCTAAACGTGGTACCTAATGCTGAGGCACTTTGTTCCTAGCAGTCATGAGGACCTTCATCCAAAATACTGTCCTCCAACACTCAGGAGAAAAGAATTGACAGCCTCCACCAGCTATGTCTTCTCTCCTTCCTGATATCACAATTTCAGTTTCAGTCCCAGTTCTGTGAGACCAAGGAAGATGAACAAATACACACTTTAAGCTAAAATTGCAAAGTGGGTTTTTAAATGGGCCAGACTTTCTGGGTATATTGGGTACTTTAGTTTAATTTTGGAGCTTGATGTTTACTTGTTTAAATGTCTATTTTTCACTTATTTCCTTTTAAAACACTCTTGATGGAATTCTGTTAAAATTCTCTTGGAAGGGTAAAATGGCCTTCATAATTACGTTTTGTGTTTTTCTCTGAAGACCCACATTCCTAAAGCTAGTCACTTTTCCCTACAAATTTCAGTGCCTTCTAAACAGGCTTCCTCTTTCAAAGGAGATAAGCAAGTTTAGAAGACCATTAAATCTTAAAAGTGTTTTCTTGAGGTTGGTGTTTGGAACTGATTGAGGAGACCATGTCAGCAGCCATGTTCTGTTTTTAGGAGCAGGGCTACCTCAGCCCACATGGGAAGGAGGCTGAATGAGATCATAGTGAAATGTGTCAGCCAGCTGCCTGTGGAAAAAACTGTTCCTTTTTTTCTTTAAGTTAACATTGCCATCTAAATGTTAAAAATCAGAAACTTCACCTTCTCTAAGCAATCTAAATGAAGTCTGGTTCCTGAGAAGCCATTTCAATAATATAGCTAACATTTATTGAGTGTTTAGTATGGGACAGGTGCTATTCTAAGTTTATTACCTGATTTAACTCATTCAATCCTCACAGTTGATGAGATAGAGGTACTGTTATCCCTATTTTGCAGATGAGGAAAACTGAAGCAGAGAAGTTGTTTGCTGAAGATCACGTAGCCAAAAAGTAGCAGAGCCCTGCATTTGAACTGGGGCAGTCTGGCTCCAAAGTCTGTATACTTAACCATTACATTATAGTTCAGTCAACAAGTATTTATTATCTTCCTTGCCAGCACGGTACACCAAGGAGCCTTGCATACGGCAAGGAGCAATCAAACAAGATGAGTTTTGTTTTGTTTTTTCATTTTTTTTGAGATGGAGTCTTGCTCTGTCACCCAGGCTGGAGTGCAGTGGTGCGATCTCAGCTCACTGCAAGCTCCGCCTCCTGGGTTCACGCTATTGTCCTGCCCAGCCTCCCTAGTAGCTAGGACTATAGGTACCTGCCACCATGCCCAGCTAATTTTTTGTTTTTGTTTTTGTTTTAGTAGAGATGGGGTTTCACCGTGTTAGCCAGGATGGTCTAGATCTCCTGACCTCATGATCTGCCTGCCTCGGCCTCCCAAAGTGCTGGGATTACAGGCGCGAGCCACCATGCCTGGTCACAAGATCAGTTCTTAAATCCTTGTGTCAGGGAGCACCAGATATTTAAGCTGCAGTGGTCAGTGAAAGCCTCTTAGGCATTTGGCATTTGAGCAGATGTGGATGTTGAGAAGGATTTAGCTGTGCAGAGATCTGTGGGAAGAGTGTCCTGAGCAGGACGGTAAATGCGAAGGCCCAGATGTAGGGATAAGCTAGGCTTGTTCAAGAGACAGAAGGTAGCAGTTGTACTGAACTCCTTGTACTTCCTAAGCGGACCTTCTCTGTCACCTCCTGGCTTTTGTACAAGTGACTACTCCTTCCTTCTGGAATGCCCATCTCGCGCCTTCTTCAGCTAGTCAAGTTAATTGTCCTTTAGGGCTTTGGTTTACCGCTCCCTCTGGGAAGTCGCTTCATAATCCTGCTCCCACATGGGGTAGATGCCCCTTCCTATATGTTCCCAGCTGGCCTCACACTTGTCACACCCTATTAAGTTTGTCTTTTTCAGTCTAGGATGTCCTAGAAAAGAGGAACTATCTAAACTTAAAATATCCAGCCCCTAACATACACTGGGGAACATCCACATTGGTTGAATGGATTTTGCCAAGGTCGCAAAGTAAGTGGCAGATCAGGGACTGAAAATTAAGTCTGTGCATTCTCAGAATTTACATTGCTGCATTGACAGGTGTAATTTGAGAAGCATGAAATGCCCCAGCTTTCCCCTGGCACAAAGAATGTCGGAGACGATGGGTGATGCATCATGTGTTGGCAGCATAGTTGTCTCAGTGCCAGCTGTTCTGTGTGAGTGGCACAGGCTTGTGAGTTGGGCATAATGAGCTGAGCTGTCAGCAGCCTTGACAGCCAGATCAGTGCACATTTAACTGACTGGTGGACTTAAGCTGTGTGGGAGAAATGGGACAAGGTCATATGTGTAGATGTCAAAGATTGACTATTGACGTTTTCTCCTCTGACTAGTTTAGCTTTAGATTTGGTGGTAGAAGTTCTGCAAAAGGAATTCTAAAAAGGAAAAGGTTAGTAGGAAAACTAGAATGACACAGCACCGTCCCAGGGAAATAGAACTGAACTGGGAGTCAGGAAGACGACCTGTTGGCTTTGGACAAAATCAGCCTTGGTTCCCCTACTTTTGTAAAAGTAAGAGGATGTTAAGCCTCCATTATCAGGTGGAACCAGGTGATGCCCCAGCTTCTTCCTTGTCAGGAAAGCTGGAACTGAGGGGCAAGTCCAGCTGAAGCAACCAAGATATGGGATTCTGCACTTTCTCATGTAGTTACAGTGCTTTTCACTAAATGGATTTGGGGTGCTTTCTGGTATGTTTGGAGCCTTTTCTTTGATAACTCTACAGAAATTCAACATCAGGGTTTGGGTGTCTGGAAACCTGATGTGTTCTGAGAGCCCGTTGCCATCTTGTTCTTTTCAGTAATTATGCAAGTGTCATTCTTTCAGAGCAAGAATAAGCAGGTTCAATGCATGATACCCTTTGATTTAAGCCCCAGGAATTTTTTTTTTTTTTTTTTTTTTTTTTTTTTTGAGACAGGGTCTTGCTCTGTAACTTAGGCTGGAGTGTGGTGGCACAATCTTGGCTCACTGCATCCTCCACCTCCCAGGCTCAGGTGATTCTCCTACCTCAGCCTCCTGAGTAGCTGGGACTATAGGTGCACACCACCATGCCCAGCTAATTTTTGTTTTTTGTTTTTTGTTTGTTTGTTTGTTTTTGTAGAGACGGGGTTTCATTATGTTGCCCAGGCTGGTCTGGAACACCTGGGCTCAAGCAATCAGCCCTCCTCCCCTCATTACAGGCATGAGCCACCACAGCCAGTCTACCCCAGGGTTTTCTAAGGACTTTCATTTGATTAGGATATTTATATACTTAAATCCTAAGAACATTCTCAACCTGAGAAAGTGATTTATCAAATAATTTATTTTTTTGTCTGGGCATGGTGGCTCACGCCTGTAATCCTAGCACTTTGGGAGGCCAAGGCAGGTGTGGATCACCTGAGGTCAAGAATTTGAAACCAGCCTGGCCAACATGGTGAAACCTTGTCTCTACTAAAAATACAAAAATTAGGCCAGGCGCGGTGGCTCACGCCTGTAATGCCAGCACTTTGGGAGGCCGAGGCAGGCGGATCAGGAGGTCAGGAGATCGAGACCATCCTGGCTAACACAGTGAAACCCCGTCTCTACTAAAAAATACAAAAAATTAGCCAGGTGTGGTGGCGGGCGCCTATAGTCCCAGTTACTCGGGAGACTGAGGCAGGAGAATGGTGTGAACCCAGGAGGCGGAGCTTGCAGTGAGCCAAGATCACACCACTGCACTCCAGCCTGGGCAACAGAGTGAGACTCCATCTCAAAAAAAAAGAGGCTGGGCGCGGTGGTTCACACCTGTAATCCCAGCACTTTGGGAGGCTGAGTCAGGCGGATCACGAGGTCAGGAGATCGAGGCCATCCTGGCTAAAACGGTGAAACCCCGTCTCTACTGAAAATACAAAAAAAGTAGCTGGGCGTGGTGGCAGGCGCCTGTAGTCCCAGCTACTTGGGAGGCTGAGGCAGGAGAATGGCATCAAACCGGGAGGCAGAGCTTGCAGTGAGCTGAGATCGTGCTACTGTACTCCAGCCTGGGTGACAGAGTGAGACTCCGTCTCAAAAAAAAAAAAAAAACAACAAAAAAAAAAAATTAGCCAGGTGTGGTGGCAGGTGCCTGTAATCCCAACTACTTGGGAGGCTGAAGCAAGAGTATTGCTTGAACCCAGGAGGTGGAGATTGCAGTGAGCCGAGATCGCACCATTGCACTCCAGCCTGGGCAACAGAGCAAAAAATCTGTCTCAAAAAATAGATATATTTTTGGTCTTGTCAAAGCTTTTTCTGTTCCAATCCGTAAATGATTTTTTTGTTTGTTTGAGATAGGTGCTCTCTCACCAGGTTGGAATGTGGTGGCTCAAACATGGCTCACTGCAGCCTTGGCCTCCTGAGCTCAAGTGATCCTCCTGCCTTGGCCTCCCAAAGTGCTGGGATTACCAGCGAGAGCCACTGTGCCCAGCCCTTAAATGAATTTTTAAGTTTATACTAGACAAAAGCAATACTGTGAAACTAGTGTTTCTCAAAGTCATCACATTGATGGGTGAATCCATCCAAATTCTTGGTTATATAAAAACCAGAGGTAGGTATAATTCTTTTTAACTCTTCATTCATACTTGGTATTTGCTAGAAGTCTCCCATCTCCTGATATAGTATGCTAATTTTGAGACTGTCCGCTTATTCAAATAAAATTCTAGAAGAGGAGACATTTTATCCATTATATTTAGGGGAGTGTGATCATTATAGATTTCTAGGGAGAAGGAGTCCTGGAATGACTTGTGCTTACGGTACTTGTGCTGAATCTTAGTGACTTTGGATTTATACTGGAACTTACCCCTTTATCTCCAGAGAGCAAAATGCCATTAGAAAGAGCCTCGGCTGGGTGCAGTGGCTCACGCCTGTAATCCCAGCACTTTGGGAGGCCAGGGCAGGCGGATCACTTGAATTCAGAAGTTTGAGACCAGCCCAGGCAACATGGCATTGCTACGAAAAATAAAAAAATACAAAATTTAGCTGGGCATCATGGTGTGTACCTGTAGTCCCAGTTGCTCTGGATGCTGAGGCAGGAGGATCAGTTGAGTCTGGGAGGTCAAGGCCACAGTGAGCTGTGATTGTGCCACTGCACTCCAGCTCGGGTGACAAAATGAGACCCTGTCTCAAAAAACAACAAAACAAAAAAGAGCTTCCCCCCACCTCACCAAAAAAGGAACAAGCCTCCCATTATACAGGTGGTGGCTCTTGCAATTTTTGGTGAGATGACAGTCACCATTTTATATCTCTGGGTTTTTTTATGTTTCCTCTTTTCTTTTAAAACTGCCTTGGACATCATAGTAGTATCTGAGGAACTGGCTTCACCTCATTCATTTTACAGATATCACTGAAGATCTGTTAGTCACACTTCAGGGTCTGTAGATGGCTTGTTGTCTTGATCTCATTCTGGAGATGGTATCTCTCTCTGACCCTCCTTTCCTGCTGTGACCTCTTCCATATTGACATTCACACTTGATGACTGTTTTCCAAGCTGCTCAGTTTGCCTGGGGGTCTTCGAACCAGGAAAATTATCTGTAACAGTGGGTCTTGTATCATCCCTGGAGACATCGTTTTTTGTGTGTGAGGTTTTTCCCCCACTGAGTAACATATGGATTGCCTTTCTCCTGAAGTGCCTGCCTTTGGGCAGTAATACCTGACAGCTGCAGAGTTAGACTAATTGATTCAGGGCCAGGATATTTATCATTCTGCCCTCTAAGAGCTGTCCTGGCCATCAGGAAACCTGGCCCCTGATAATATTCTGAAGCTTTTTTTTTTTTTTTTTTTTTTTGCCTTTCATATCTGTACTTTTGGTTTTGTTTTTAAATTAAAAGTGGCAGGGCTGGGGTGTTTTTGTTTTGTTTTATCTCCCTGTTTGGCCTCTCCTAAGATGATCTAAATGTTCTCAACAGTTTTGAAGACTGTTACTTCCTGTCAGTAAGTAATGGCTTTTCCAGTTATAAGCTGATAACTTTGCTTCAGTGATTTGTGTTTCATTTCTTCACCTATAAACACTGTGTCCAAGGACTGTGATGAGGAATAAATGAGAATAAATGTCAAATGCCTGGCACAGTAAACTTTAGTTCCCAGTTTTTCTCACTTCCTCTTTGTTTCGCTCAATGGATTGTTTCAGTGCTTGAAGATTTTTCTAGCCTGTGACCAAGTGACTTCTATGCTTACATTCTCTCTAGGCCTGCATTATCCACTTGTGGCTGTCGAGCACTTGAAATGTGGATAGTCCAAATGGAGATGTATTATTATTGTGAAATACCAGATTTCAAAGGCTTGGTTCACAAAAAGTTAAATCTCATTGATTTTTTAAAAAATATTGTTTACATGTTGAAATATTAATATTCAGATATTTTTATAGGAGGTTAAAATATATACAGTTTTACCTGTTTTTATTAATGTGGTTATTGGACAATTTTTAATTACATATGGGGTCCCCTTTATATTTCCATTAGGCTACTCTGGATTAGGCCCTGTAGAGGCATTGTCTTACAGAAGGAAAATAGTCTAATAACCAAGGAAATAAGTCAAAGTATAAATACAGGACAATGCCTTTAGTTTCTAGAATGTTTAAAAACATCTAAGTCTTTTGCTCTTAAAAAAACTTTTATTGCTACATTTTTGGAATAAATTTTCTGCAGCCTTCACAGCCTGTTGCAAACATATTTTGGCAGTGTTGTCCCTTTGAGAAGCTATAAAAAGAGCTAATAATTCTCACTGATGGGAAGCATTCCTTTTTTGAGGCCTTCCAAAATGTCTGGAGTTCATTTGAAATCAAACTTAGTTAATCTGAATAATCAAGTTGTAAGACACTTTGTATAAAATAATTAGACCAACATTTTTCTCATGATTCGCAACAAACTCAAAGCAGTCCCAAAGGAGTTTTCAAAAAACATTTTGATCAATAACAGAATGGGTAGAATAAATATGTAACTTGCCAGGGGGATATACTATTATACAAGCCTTATAAGCCTTTATATTTTGTTTGAAGTTATTATAGTTATATTTGGATCTATGAAACAGACCAAAGTATGGGCTGTATAAAAGGTAATAGTGCTGTTGTCTCATGGGCGGGGTGGGGGGAAGAGAACTTTAGTATAGGTAGAAAAGGAAAATGAGACCAGCTGTGTTCTAGATTGTTTTTCCCTCATTCTCATAGATGCTGGTTGCCAACATTGACTTGGGTCCTACTATTTTGGACATTGCTGGCTACGACCTAAATAAGACACAGATGGATGGGATGTCCTTATTGCCCATTTTGGTAAGTATAGCGCCCTCAATCAGGCCTGAGCCAAGACCGCAATAAATTCTGGGTTGTGTAAAGACTTAAGCATTTAAATATTAAATAATACTATTAAATTTGGGGGCAGAAAATCTTGTGATGGGAAGGAGTTTTCTAAAATAAAAAATTAGACCACATGTGAAATCGAGAGTTGTTTCCTCCCCTCTTTTGCTCTCCTTTAAGAACACCCACCATAAATAAAGAGAGGTTGGGAACACACTTGCAACATACATAAAAAAGAGTCATTAGTCCAAATACATGAGTTCTTAGCAAAGATTAATATCCCAGTGGGAAAATGGGCAAAAAAAGTGGCTAATCAATTTGCAGAAGAATTAAAAATGGCTAAAACAAACGCAAAAAGATTACTTCAGTGCTAATCACAGAAATGCTTTAACTGAAGGAGACCTCTCTCTGTGAACTGGCAAAGATTTTTAAAATACCCAAGATTTCAGAAGTCTGAGAATTTGGAAACTGCTTCATATACTTTTCATACAAGTGTAATCAGTATAACTTACCAAGAGTTTAGTTTAACAAGACATACCACTTCAGAGAACACATGTCAAAAACAGTCAGACAAGTTAACTTTTGCCTGTCTGGTGAGTGAAAAGTGGCATTTGGTCTTACTGTGCATCTGTTTGTTTAATAATGAGGTGAATTATTTTTTAACAGCTTAATTCCCATACCATACAATTCACTCATTTAAAGTGTCGGCCAGGCGCGGTGGCTTACGCCTGTAATCCCAGCACTTTGGGAGGCCAAAGGTGGGTGGATCACCTGAAGTCAGGGGTTCGAGACCATCCTGGCCAACATGGTGAACCTCTGTCTCTACTAAAAATACAAAAAACAAGCTGGGCATGGTGGCGGGCACCTGTAATCCCAGCTACTCGGGAGGCTGAGGCAGAAGAATCACTCGAACCTGGGAGGTGGAGATTGCAGTGAGCCGAAATTGCGCCATTGCACTCCAGCCTGGGCAACGAGTGAAACTCCATCTCAAAATAAATAAATAAATCATTTTTTTTTAAGTGTCCAATTCAATAGTTGTTGGTGTATTCAGAGTGGTACAACCATCATCATAATCTAAGAGCATTTTCATCACCCTAAACTCCCAGGCACATTAGTCACTCTAATAGGAGAAAACTGAAAATCCAGATATCTAGTAGAGAATTGATTAAATTGTGGTGCAGGGAATTGATTAGATCTGTTGCTCCCATTCCCACCATGAATCTTCTTTACGTCTGTATAGATTTGTTTGTTCTGAACTTTTCATATAAATGAAATTACATAATATGTGGCCCCTTGTAACTGGTTTTTTCACTGAGCATAGTGTTTTCAAGGATCATATCATTGTAACGTGTCAGTACCTTCTTCTGTTTTACTGCCGAATAACATTCTGTGTGTGAATATATCACATTTTATTTATCCATTCATCAGATATTTGGGCTGTTTCCACTTTTTGGCTATTATGAATAATGCAGTTGTAATGGTTTTGTTTGTTTTTGAGATGGGGTCTTGTGCTGTCACCCAGGCTGGAGTGCAGTGTTGCCAATCACAGCTCACTGCAGCCTCAGTCTCCTACGCTCAGAGGATCCTCCCACCTCAGCCTCCCCAGTAGCTAGGACTGCAGTTGCTGGCTACCACGTCTGGCTAATTTTTTTTTTTTTTTTAATAGTAGAAATGAGGTCTCCCTACATTGCTCAGGGTGATCTCGAACTCCTGGGCTCAAGAGAACCTCCCTTGTTTTCCAAGATTTTAAGAAAAAAAAAAATATCCTCCCCCCTCAGCCTCCCAAAGTGCTGAGATTACGGGTGGGAGCCAATACTTGCTATTATCTGTCTTTGTGATTATTATATTGTAGTAGGTGTGAAGTAGTATCTCATTGTGGTTTTGATTTGTATTTCCCTGCTGACTATTGGTGGTTAGCATTTCATCATGTGTTTGTCAGCCATTTGTATAGCTTCTTTGGAGATGTGTTCATATTCCAATCCTTTGCCCAGTTTTTTTTTTTTATTGTGTTATTGATCAGGGAATCACTTTTCATTTATGCCTTTTTGTGTTTCTTCCCTTGAGAAATGCCTCTGCATTTTTGCGTATCATAGTCTCCTTATTATGACTTGTCTTTTCCATGTATTAAGATATGGGAGCCAGGTGCAGTGGCTCACACCTGTAATCCCAGCAATTTGGGAGGCTAAGGCAGGCTGATCTCTTGAGTCCAGGAGTTCAAGACCAGCCTGGGCAACATGGCAAGACCCAGTCTCTACAAAAAATACAGAAAATTAGCCAGGCATGATGGTGTGCATCTGTAGTCCCAACTACTTGGAAGGCTGAGGTAGCAGGATCGCTTGAGCCAAGCAGGTGGAGGTTGTAGTGAGCAGAGATCACACCACTGCACTCCAAGAATTGAAGGTATATATTGTTTCTTTTAATGTTTAGTGTCCTTTGTGTATTTATAAAGATGCTTCTAAACTTTGAAGCCAGAAAGCTATTCTCCTATATTTTCTCCTAAAAGTTTTATAGCTCTGCCTCTTACATCCAAGTCCTTGATGTATCTAAAATTTATTTTCTTGTAAGATAGGAGTCAGGGATTCAGTTTCTTTTTTTTTTTCTCTATAGATACTCAGTTGTCTTTTTTTGCTCCACGAATCTGTCCATCCCTGTGCCAATATGATTTTGTCTTATAAAGCTGTGTAACTAAATCTCAATTTGCATAGGCATACCTCTCTGCTTATTGTCCTCATGGGGATCCTAGCCCGTGTCTTCCACATACATAAACTTTAGAATCAGCTTTTCAGATTATCTGAAAAATGTTGGCTTTTGGTTGGAATTGCATTTAACCTATAGATCAGTTAGAGGAAATTTTACGTCTTTTAACTTTTCATACAAGTCTTATACTTTGTACCTTATTATGTTTATTTCTTTTTTTTTTTTTTTTTTTTTTTTTTGAGACAGAGTCTAGCTCTGTCGCCCAGGTTGGAGTGCAGTGGCATGATCTCAGCTCACTGCAAGCTCCGCCTCCCTGGTTCACGCCATTCTCCTGGCTCAGCCTCCCGAGTAGCTGGGACTACAGGCACCTGCCACCAGGCCCGGCTAATTTTTTGTACTTTTAGTAGAGTCAGGGTTTCACCGTGTTAGCCAGGATGGTCTCGATCTCCCGACCTCGTGATCCCCCCTCCTTGGCCTCCTAAAGTGCTGGGATTACAGGCATGAGCCACTGCACCCGGCATTAAGTTTATTTCTAATTAGAAAAAAAACTGATTCACTCTAGGGGTAAAAATCATTATGTTGTGTATAATTTCTCTGCACAGTTCTCTAAGTGCCACCTAAGATGTGGTTCTTTTCCTTGTTCATGTTTTGTTTTTGGAGGCTATTCCGATGAAATACTGATGTATTAGAACAGTTAATTAGCCATGTGTGGCTATTTGAATTAAAAATGAAATTCAGTTCTTCGGTTGCACTAGCTGCACATCATGTGCTCAGTAGCCATCATATTGAACAGCAAAGATCGAGAATGTTTCAGCCAGAAAGTTCTGCTGGACTAGCAGTTGGCAGACTACAACCTGTGGGCCAAATCTAGCGCACCCCCGTTTCTGTAAATAAAGTTATATCAGAATACAGCCACACTCATTCATTTATGTATTGTTGATGGCTGCTTCCCTGCTACCTGAGTAGATGTGACAGAGATTGTATAGCCAGGAGCCTAAGTATTTACTCTGTGGCCTTTTACAAAAAAAGTTTAACAACTCCTACAGACCATGAGTCTCAAATTTGGTCAGACATCAGAATCACTCGGAAACTAAAATACTAATGCCTGGGCCTCACCCCTAGAGATTCTGATTTAATTGGCATGAGATAGAATCCCTTGGGATTTTTCAAGTTTCCCTGGTGATTTTAATATGCAGCAAAGTTCAGGAACCACTGATCTAGACTTCTCAGGTGCTCTTTTCTCCTCTGGACACTTTGACATTCAAGGGTGGGATTTTGAAGTTCACTCAATTCTGACAGTTCACTCAATTCCACCTTCTGGCTTCCATGGCTCAGGTTTGGCAGCATCATGAGGTTTGTTTGTTTGTTTTTTCCGAGACAGAGTCTCGCTCTGTCACCTAGGCTGGGGTGCAGTGGTGCAATCTCGGCTCACCACAACCTCTGCCGTCCGGGTTCAAGCAATTATCCTGCCTCAGCCTCCCAAGTAGCTGGGACCACAGGTGTGTGCCACCATGCCCAGCTAGTTTTTTGGTATTTTTTAGTAGAGACGGGGTTTCACCATGTTGGTCGGGCTAGTCTCGAACTCCTGACCTCAGGTGATCCACCCACCTCGGCCTCACGAAGTGCTGGGATTACAGGCGTGAGCCACCGTGCCCAGCCAGCATGAGCTTTTTAAGTCTCCAGTGACTCATGATTTCTGAGATCCTGAGCCGCACAGGATTGTTCAAGTTTCATTGTAGAACAACAAGTTAGGAAATAATTCCTATCTCTAACTCCTCCTTTTCAGGTGGCTGCGGCATTCAAGGCCTTGCACAAGCCGTTACCCATTCCCCACTGTACTCACCCACATTTAGCATTCTTTAGAGCAGTGATTCTCAAACAGGCATTCCCCAGAATTGCCTGTGGGACTTGCTAAAACCCAGGTTGCTGTCTACCTACGTTAGGAACTAAGAATTTGCATTTGTGACAAGTTTCCAGGTGATGCTGCTTGTCCTGGGAACCACATTTTAAGAACCACTTTTTTAGAGCAGTGCTGCTCAGATTTTTACTATGCGTGGAAATCACCAAGAGTTCTTACTAAATGCAGGCTTTGGCTTATTAGAGCTAGAGTAGGACCTGAGATTCTGCATCTCCAAGCTCCCAACCAGACTTTGACCATTTTAAGAGCAGCTTCTAACCTGGTCTTCCTGTCTTTCCACTTTTTGACTGTTATGAATACTGCAGTTTCTGTCTCTAGATTCTGCCACTAAGCTGACTTTTCTAAATCACTGCCTTGATTGTGTTACCTCCCTGCTCAAAAACCTCCTATGATTTCCCATCACCTGCTGTTCTTTATAGGACAAGCCTGGGCAGCATGATGTTCAGGGCCTTTTCCTGTGTGGTACCAGCCTGCCTCTCCACCCTCACTGTGCACTGCTTCCTTGTCTGAAAGCTGTGTTTCAGGAAGCCACACATCTAAGTGGTCTGCGTTCAACCTATATTCATGCTCTTTGAATCTAAAACTTGCTCCCGTTCCTAGATTCTTTCTCCTTTCACCATTTGTGTCTTAAACTTGCTGCTTTCAAATGCTGCCACTTCTTTCCTTCCACACCATGAATGTACATTGAAAAGTGAGTGAATTAATGTACTATACCTTCATTCTGACCATCAAGAGGTGCTTTGAACCTGTTACAGTCTTTAGCACACAAGTCTGTGGAATATTTCTTTATTGTCCTTGTGTCTATTAGGTTATAAGTTTCTTAGTCTGAGCTTAAAACAGTTCTTACATAGAGCATATGACAGTATTATTTATTCTAGTCTGGACTTTCAGCAACTTGCACTGTGACTTTGATTCTTGCTTAGCTACCTTGTCAGGTTCCATTCCTGACCTGATTCACAGAAGTAGCCTTGGGAAGGAACTATTAAATTTTCAAAGCATTTCACCATCGTTTGTAAAGGCCCTTAACTACCAAACATACTGCTCAGTAGCTTTCATATGTACCTGTTTTAGTCATTCCCTTTAGTTACTGAATGAACAGTCCAATTACTTTTGACTCCCAGGTCCCCTTTAGCAGTCAATTACTTTGTGATCTTTATCATAGTCTATGTGCATCACAGAAATTCCACTTGCTCTTCTTTCTAGAGAGGTGCCAGTAACTTGACCTGGCGATCAGATGTCCTGGTGGAATACCAAGGAGAAGGCCGTAACGTCACTGACCCAACATGCCCTTCCCTGAGTCCTGGCGTATCTGTGAGTAATAGCTTGAATCAACTTAGACAGCTTTCTCACTGACAACATGGCAAGGTGCTGGTTGCCATGTGTCAAATATTGAAACCTTTCATCTGAGTCCTGTTCCTTTGTCACTGACTGTGAGTGGTTAGTAGATGGACAAAGGTAAATCCAGTGATCTTGGAAATGATGCTGCTGACCTGTCATCAGAATGTGCACTGTTAATCTTCCAATTTATGTAGCAAGTGCATGTATCCACCCGTGTTCTTATCAATTCCTCTTCCCTGTTTTTCTACCCCTCCCAATAACAGTACCATTTTTTTTTAATTAGGGATAATGTTACTGAGGCATGCAGTAGAGAGATGTGGTTCCTGCCTGTAACCATGCCATTATGAGTGCCTCGCATTGGCGGCAGCCAGGCAGGTCACAAAGAGGGAAACAGCCATGTTGGCCTCACTTTGGAGAAGGGAAAATAGGCTTCCACTTGGAGTTGATTGATTCTTCTAACACCAAAGTGTTACAGTATAATGAACCAACCAAAAGTGCAATAACAGATCATATGGTAGACAAATTAGATTTAAGTCGTACCTGGTGATAAGAACACTCATAAATAACTTACTTGCACATGACTCCACAAAACTCATTTTAGCCTTCTCCTCCAACTTCTTAGGGTGACATTTCCTAGTAGCTCTTAGAAATGAGTCATTTGGGCTGGGTACTGTGGCTCACACCTGTAATCCTAGCACTTTGGGAGGCCAAGGCGGGTGGATCACCTGAAGTCAGGAGTTCGAGACCAGCCTAGCCAACATGCCGAAACCCCATCTCTACTACAAATACAAAAATTAGCCGGGCGTGGTGGTGCATGCCTGTGCTACTCAGGAGGCTGAGGAAGGATAATCGTGTGAACCCGGGAGGTGGAGGTTGCAGTGAGCTGAGATCGCACGACTGCACTCTAGCCTGCACGACAAGAGCAAAACTCCATCGCAAAAAAAAAAAAAGAAAGGAGTCATTTGAGTTGATTTCTTCTCCTTGCCAACCCATACATTTTACAGGTGCCCATTTTAAGTAATTATTGTCAGGAGTTTAGCAGACAAGGATGGCAACAGTCTACAAATGGAACAACCCATATACCTTGATCAAGTTAGCCAAAGGAACAAAACCTCACATCTGTTTTTGAGTTACTGGCTTCCCCATGGAAGGTTTTCTAATTGCTGTCAAATTGCATGTCCGGCATGAGCCAAGCCGATTGCCCTTCTAGGCAACTAGGTATTTGTTACTATGGAAGAACTGTCTTCATTTAACTTTTGAAATATCCCTACAGCAATGCTTCCCAGACTGTGTATGTGAAGATGCTTATAACAATACCTATGCCTGTGTGAGGACAATGTCAGCATTGTGGAATTTGCAGTATTGCGAGTTTGATGACCAGGAGGTAAGAGGGACTTCTGCCTGCACTTCCCCCGCTCCTTTCTTGCTGGTGCTTTGTTGGCTGGACTTGGTGGCATAAGAGCAATTCCAAG
The DNA here is from genome assembly GCF_000001405.40 of Homo sapiens. Classification (NCBI taxonomy): domain Eukaryota; kingdom Metazoa; phylum Chordata; class Mammalia; order Primates; family Hominidae; genus Homo; species Homo sapiens. Next base: position 64,721,506 of record NC_000012.12, on the reverse strand, counting down.
GCTGCTCCCTAGGGAAGAGGTTGTGTTTCTTATCTGTGCTTCACTTTAGGTTTCCTTCAGTTGTAAGGCCATGTCTCACTTCTCTAATTGTAATCTTTCTGAATTGAGTTCTCTCCACTCCCACCACCACCCAAATATACACTTTAAATGCACAATTCACGTTTTCAGAATGATAAATGCTTTGTCTGTTAGCTTCCCTGGTAGATTGGTTGGAGCATTTTCTAGAAAGCTTACCAGCACCTGGTGTATTCGGAAACTCCTGTTCCCACCACAGCATAATCCAATGCTGCTGTAATAGATTAGAGTGGGGGTCAGAGGCCCAGGAGTCCATCCATGGAAGAAGGTGGTTTTTGGCCAACACAGGTTGGTATGGATTATCTGAAGGATCCCATGGACTCTAGTCCCTTGTGGTTTCTTACTGTTTATCAGCATATGCTCACCTGCCCCATCTGGCAACCCTCATCTGACCATCTGGAACAGATGCCCATCTGTGTTTCTCAGAAATGGACTCATTCTCCACTCCATTTGCAGCTGATAAGCACTTTGGACAACAAGCAAGAGAGCTTTCCTCAAACTCAGTTCCTGTTCCCTGCTCCCCCATAATGTTTATCAGTTTGATAACTACTTTATAAGTGATTGTGTGAGTGAGGGCAGCTACCTGAAGCCATTATAGGCAAAATTACCTACCATCTTTCTAGCCTCACATTTGACTCCAATTTGGAGAACAGCATACAGATTATAGAGGGAAAAGTACTGCGTTAGACCTGTCTTATTTTAGAAATAATAATTAGTATTGTGTCCTTCCCCAATATATCCACAATTACTTTTTAAAATAGGAAAACTTAACATTTGTATAACACAGGCAAGAGTACTTTCATATCATTCTCATTTGAACTTCACAATTCTAGGGCAAAAATCACCTTTAAATATTCGCTCTCACTTTAGTAACTTTATTGCCAAGTCTTGTTTCTGAGACCTTGCCATTGGAGGCTCCTGCTTTCTGTTCTAATTACAGAAGATAATGCATTTCTTCCCCATACCCTCTCTTGCCTCTGCCTGAAGGCACAGGGTGTGCAGGGGCCCCTTTTTAGCATGTGGCTAGAGACCCGAAGCAACTGAACCCCCAGAACAGATGCTCCCTCATCTCAAGGAAGCAGTGAGCTCTTTGAGGATCTTGAAAACAGATTGAGAGTCTCCAGGGCCTTGATTTTTTTTTTTTTTAATCTACCTCCTCCCTTCCCCTTTAGAAATAAGTCACGTTAAGAGTATTTCTTCACGGCTAACCTTTGCTCTTTTCTTTCCTCCATTCTTTCATGTCCTCTAGGTGTTTGTAGAAGTCTATAATCTGACTGCAGACCCAGACCAGATCACTAACATTGCTAAAACCATAGACCCAGAGCTTTTAGGAAAGATGAACTATCGGTTAATGATGTTACAGTCCTGTTCTGGGCCAACCTGTCGCACTCCAGGGGTTTTTGACCCCGGGTAAGTTTCCTTTCTCTTCATTTACTTGGCCAAGTTTTTTCTAGTAGACATGCTGTTCTTGAAGGCAAAGGGAGCCCTTTTTGCTGTGAGATGATGATTCTTCTGCTTTAGAGGGAATACTGTGTTCTAATTGCATCAGCCCGTTGTGCTGGGAAAATCAAGCTTTTGAAACTTTTGTTCTCCACTGCCAGTTGTTACTTTAGCCAGAGGTACAGCCCTGCTCCCCACCAAACATGGGGCTCTTGTTATTTTCGTGCTGTGATTATTGTCATGGTACCACTTGTTTGCATTGGTGACACTTGGGGCTTCTTTAAGTAAGCTGCGACCCACTGCTGCCCTGTTCACCTGTTCCCTAGAGCTTGCAAGAGTATATGCCTTCATTTCATTTCTCAGAAACCCCTACTACAGAAACTTGAATGTTTGCTGGTGAATTTAATATATTAAACACACAATGAAAATAGAAGGTGTAAACTCAGATGTTGAAATATATAAGCCCATTGCACGATATGGAGGTATAAAGGATGTTTAGCTGTCACCTGCTATGTCAGATTTGTTCCCCACACGGTCCTTCTTAGTAACTTTTCAGCAGTAACACTGGGTGTCAGTACACCATGCATTTGAGCTGCTGGTGGCAGGAACCTTGTCATTTATCTTTTGCTTGAAGATCATGAAGTTTAAAAATCAAACTTTCACTGGGAAAGGAATATTTTAGTTCCTACCTTCAGACTGTAAGAGAGGGAAGAATGATGTCCTAAGTTGATGGAAAGTTATCACTTAATTTTTTAGCCGTCTTTGTATTAAATTTTATCTTTAGTCCAAATTAGAGACAAATGAATGTGAATGAGTAGAAAAACTCGATGATAGACTGTTCATTGTTTGCTTTTAAATAATGTATATAGTGCCAAAGTGGCATGGACACCAGTAAACTAAAGCCAGGTAACAATATAAAAAGATAATATTTATTATTTTATATCACTTAAATGAAATAACTGTTTTTATATGGATAATCCCATTAGTACAATAAGAATGGTCAAGAATTTTGACCATTGGTCTTTCCTTTGGTCTTTCCTCCAAGTTAGTGAAATAGATCCTAGCTTGGTACCAGTTACCTGAAATAGGAAGTCCAGTCCCTAAAATAAAAGCACAAGACTTCCAGTTTACATGTGCTGACTTTGCAATTTCCAACAGTTACTTAGCTCAGAATGTTCTTTTAAACCAAATTAAGTTAGATGTCGATAGCAGTTAATGTTTTTTAACCATGTACTCCCTGGCTGACTCTGGGAACTTAAAGCCAGCATCTGATTAAATCTTAAATGGAGGGTCAAGGGACTGGACCTCTTGGATTATGATGTGTGGCCAAACAGTCCCTGACCATGCCACTGCTAGGACATGGACCTGCCAGGCTGGCATCTGGTTGGCCAATGCAAGGTAGATGGAGCCAGCTGTCTGTTTCTTCTGAACATCTGGCTCTAAGTGTTAGAATTCATAGAATTTCCACACAGCCCTTAGAGCCCAAACAGGTAAATTTCAAATGAGGAAACTGAGCTTGCAGTTGTGATTTGCCCAAGGGTCACCCTATAAGGAAGTGAATACGTTATTTCCTAAGCAAGTTTTGTTTGGTTTTTAACTGCAACAAATTGTCTTCCTCACATTTTAGAAGCTTATAACTAAAGTGCTAGATGCTGGCTTTGCTGATGTTAGCATGAACTACTTAAACTTAACCTGATTTTCTGTTTTAAATTCCTTAGCCCTGATTATTCCTTTCCTATCAAACATTTGGGCCTGTTAGCCTGAACTACTTAAACTTAACCTGATTTTCTGTTTTAAATTCCTTAGCCCTGATTATTCCTTTCCTATCAAACATTTGGGCCTGTTGAGTCCTCCAAAATGGGGTCATCAGACCAGATCCTGTGAGCCCAATCTAGCCCCACCTGCGGGAACACAGCCTCACACATTCGTTTACCTGGTTTTGGCTGCTTGTGTGCTTCAGCAGCAAAGGAGAATGGTTGGGACAGAGACTGTATGGCTCCCATACCCTAAAATATTTATTATCTGGCCCTTTACAAAAAATCTTGGTCAATTGCAGTTCTAAAATGCAGTAGTCCCCCCTTATCCACAGAGGATCTATTCCAGAACCCACAGTGGATGCGTGAAGCCCCAAGGATAGTGCCAGGCCCAGTTGCCATCAGTTGGAAGATGTTTCTGTTCATGTCTTCTACCCACAAATTTTATGCCTTTTCCATCTTAACTAAGCTTTTGTCATGCACTGTGGCCCTAACTTTTGCAGTTTAAGGTGTGGCAGCAAAACTAGAATTCGTTTTTCCTTCTTCATGATTTCACAGATAGAAGATTCATTCCTGGCTGGGCGCGGTGGCTCACATTTGTAATCCCAGCACTTCGGGAGACCAAGGCGGGCAGATCACATGAGCCCAGGAGTTCTAGACCAGCCTGGGCAACATGGTGAAACTCTTGTCTCTACAAAAAAAAAAAAAAAAAAAAAAAATTAGCCAGGTGTGGTGGCGCACGCCAGTGTTCCCAGCTACTCTGGAGGCTTAAGACAGGAGAATCACTTGAGCCGGAGAGGTGGAGGTTGCAGTGAGCTGAAATTGTGCCACTGCACTCCAGCCTGGGCGACAGACTGACTCTGTCCCCCTGCCAGCGCCCCCACCAAAAATGACTCATGTTTATGGTGAGGCTCTTGTAGGTCTTAGCAGTCTTGCTGTATGATTTTTTTCTTTCCTTATTAAGTCAAGAGCGTTCACTTTTTCACTTAAAGGAAGCACTTTATGGCTTCTCTTTGGCATTTCTGAATTGGCAGCACCACTACTCTTGTGGTTTGGAGCCATTGTTAAATAAAATCAGGGTGACTTGAACACAAGCACTGTAATAATGTAACAGTTGATCCACCCCTACTCCCTCAAAAGAAAAAAATCTCAAATCTTGCTGCCTTCTGACACCTTTCAAGACTAACCTACTTGTTTTTCTCCTCTTGACTTGCACTGTGTGACTTTGTGTGTGCTGACTGGTGATAGAAATGTTCGGAACTGTCGAGGGCTCATGTTTTGTACCATAGACTTTCTCACTAGAGTCCCTTCTGGTGATTTGTTTCTTTTACACCCCTTCCTGCTATCCTTTCCACTGAATAATATTCTGAGTGAGAAGCTAGTGAGAGCTAATGTTACATTTGGTTTTTCCTCCCCAGATACAGGTTTGACCCCCGTCTCATGTTCAGCAATCGCGGCAGTGTCAGGACTCGAAGATTTTCCAAACATCTTCTGTAGCGACCTCACACAGCCTCTGCAGATGGATCCCTGCACGCCTCTTTCTGATGAAGTGATTGTAGTAGGTGTCTGTAGCTAGTCTTCAAGACCACACCTGGAAGAGTTTCTGGGCTGGCTTTAAGTCCTGTTTGAAAAAGCAACCCAGTCAGCTGACTTCCTCGTGCAATGTGTTAAACTGTGAACTCTGCCCATGTGTCAGGAGTGGCTGTCTCTGGTCTCTTCCTTTAGCTGACAAGGACACTCCTGAGGTCTTTGTTCTCACTGTATTCTTTTTATCCTGGGGCCACAGTTCTTGATTATTCCTCTTGTGGTTAAAGACTGAATTTGTAAACCCATTCAGATAAATGGCAGTACTTTAGGACACACACAAACACACAGACACACCTTTTGATATGTAAGCTTGACCTAAAGTCAAAGGACCTGTGTAGCATTTCAGATTGAGCACTTCACTATCAAAAATACTAACATCACATGGCTTGAAGAGTAACCATCAGAGCTGAATCATCCAAGTAAGAACAAGTACCATTGTTGATTGATAAGTAGAGATACATTTTTTATGATGTTCATCACAGTGTGGTAAGGTTGCAAATTCAAAACATGTCACCCAAGCTCTGTTCATGTTTTTGTGAATTCTAGGCTGGTGCTGCACTGAAATAGAGCAGTAAGCTTGTGATAAAGGCCAATTCCAGGTAGCTCTTGAAGGTGATAGCCATCTACTTTCCAGTGGCTGCCAACCACAGGGAGTGCCAGTTAACACTGGAAGGATTAAGGCAAGGTCCCTTCTCTTGAGACTCCCCTCTGAGATCTGAAAAATGAAGTGGCTTAGGAACATCAGCAGTGAAGAACTGCCAAGAGTTGGTGAAGGTTGTCTCTTCCGAGGGCCTTCTGAAGACAGGGCTCTTGAACAGACAAGTGGAAGGGCTGTACCAGGGATAAAGGAAAGAAGTGCCTGTCCAGCAGGGAGCTTGAATTTAAGTTCCATGTATGAAGTCATTGGCTCTATCTGCATTTTTCTGTCATTCTCTTCATTTGTTTTAAGGTGGAAAATTTTCTTACAGTTGATGCAAAGTATCAACTACTTTACCCTACCTTCTCCCCTTTTAGATGGGTTCTTCCTGAGTTTTGGAGTCTTGTATGATTATCAGTATTCCCCTGTCAAAATCAAATCTATTCAGGTTTCTTCACTGTTGAGAACACCTAAATGTTTTTATTTTTGAGAAGTGGGGACAGAGTCTCACTATGTCACCCAGGCTGGAGTGCAATGGCATGATCTCAGCTCACTGCAACCTTCGCCTCCTGGGTTCAAGCGATTCTCCTGCCTCCGCCTCCTGAGTAGCTGGGATTATAGGCACGCACCACCACGCCCAGCTAATTTTTTGTATTTTTAGTAGAGACAGAGTTTCACCATGTTGGCCAGGCTGGTCTTGAACTCCTGACCTTGTGATCCACCCACCTCGGCCTCCCAGAGTGCTGGGATTACAGGCATGAGCCACCACGCTTGGCTAAGAACACCTAAATTTTTATGTTTCTTGGCTCAAAAACCAGTTCCATTTCTAATGTTGTCCTCACAAGAAGGCTAATTGGTGGTGAGACAGCAGGGGAGGAGGAAGAGCTGTGGTTTGTAACTTGTTCAACTCAGGCAATAAGCGATTTTAGCTTTATTTAAAGTCTTCTGTCCAGCTTTAAGCACTTTGTAAGACATGGCTGAAAGTAGCTTTTCTATCAGAATTGCAGATAGTCATGTTGGGCTAACAGTCAATTGGATATATTCCTTTACCTCACATGACCCCAGCAACTGTGGTGGTATCTAGAGGTGAAACAGGCAAGTGAAATGGACACCTCTGCTGTGAATGTTTTAGAGAAGGAAATTCAAAAAATGTTGTAACTGAAAGCACTGTTGAATATGGGTATCGGCTTTCTTTTTCACTTTGACTCTTAACATTATCAGTCAACTTCCACATTAATGAAAGTTGACCATAGTTATTTCCAAATAAAAAGAAACCAACTCTTACCAGGTCTTGGACTGTGATGTCATATTATTCAGTTTTATGCTTGTTCCTGAGCAGAACTCATAAGAGTGACATAGTCAGCTGCTGACGGCACCTCAGCCACGCCACTCTTACTCAGTTCAGTGGGTGTGCTTGCGTGGTAGGATGTGGTGCAGCCCTCTCTACGCTCTTCTATTTTTGGTATATTTCCTATCTAACCTTCAAATAGCTTCCAATTCTTTTTTTCTTGGACTGGCTTCATTCTGAATTTGTGCTAAAATAATCTTTCATAAAGAGACCTCAGTTTATAGCGTAACAGACTACACAATGCACTGATGTTTTCATAATGTTTAAGGGACCCACTGCAAGAAGCTTGCTGCCTCCTTTTAATTGTATTCATTTAGATTTTGATTTTCCATGTTAAGAAGGTGAGGTCCATGTTGGTGCCCTTCAGAGTAGAGAACCATGTAAACATTAGGAATGAACAGAGGCCTTAGGAATGAATAGAGAGTTTGCCTTATACAATTTCCTGTTACAAAGCTCTCCCTCTCATGCAAAGTAGGGAACACCTTTTGAGCATCTTTGAATTTGACAAATGGTGCTGTTGCAAACACTTTTTTTTTGAGATGAAGTCTCGCGGTTGTCACCCGGGCTGGAGTGCAGTGGCGTGATCTCGGCTCACTGCAACTTCCACCTCCTGGGTTCCAGCAGTTCTCCTGCCTCAGCCTCCCAAGTAGCTGAGATTACAGGCGCCTGCCACCCCACCTGGCTGATTTTTGTAATTTTAGTAGAGACGGGGTTTCACCATGTTGGCCAGGCTGATTAACTCCTGACCTCAGGTGATCCACCTTTCTCGGCCTCCCAAAGTGCTGGGATTACGGGTGTGAGCCACCGTGCCCGGCCTGCAAACACATTTTAATTGACAACACTAGGGCTGTTGTACAAAATAGTAATGATAGCCATGGAAGTTTTACCTTATTCTGTGAGAAGTGTTCTTAAACTTATTAAGTGTCTAAACTAAGGTTTAGTGCTTTTTTAAAGGAAAGTTGTCCCAGGATTCATCCTAAAGAAAGCAAAAGTTAATTCAACTGATCCACCAATGGAATTAGATGGGTAGAGTTGGGTTCTTGAGTTTTACCACCACTTAGTTCCCACTGAATTTTGTAACTTCCTGTGTTTGCATCCTCTGTTCCTATTCTGCCCTTGCTCTGTGTCATCTCAGTCATTTGACTTAGAAAGTGCCCTTCAAAAGGACCCTGTTCACTGCTGCACTTTTCAATGAATTAAAATTTATTTCTGTTCTAGTGGGAATGTGTCCTTTGTTTTAGTTCACAAGTAGTAATTTTGACAAGATGCTTTCTTCTGATGCAGTTTGTTTTAATCACTCACCTAGTACTGGAAATGGGCTTTCTAGTCAGATCCTATAGTCTCTACCTGTATAGCTCTTACATACATGGCCCCTACTGATAACCCCTGAATGAAGCACCATGTAGAAAATATTTCCTGATAAATCTGTATGTATTTACAGCTTTGGAGAAAAAGTCTTATCTTGGCTGGCTTTCAAACAGACTAGGCTCGCCTTCAAAGGTGCTTTGCCATGTGATCCATTGCTCTAGATGAGGAATGACTTCTTACGGGGTCAACAAACTTCTTATAGGGATAGACGGCCAGTATTTTAGGCTGCCAGGCCATGTGTTCACTGTCACAGCTATTTACCTCTGCTGTTATAACACAAAAGTAGCCATAGAAAATGGATAAGTGTGTGGCTGTGTTCCAATACAATTTTATTTTCAAAAACAAGTAGGTCATAATTTGCCAACCCCAGAGCTTATAGGTTGCCTCATATCTTAGCAATTCTGAAGACCACATAGAAAACAATGCTAGACACTCATAAAATTGCCAGATTACTATCAGAAAAACAGGTGATTTGGGCCAGGGGCAATGGTTCACGCCTTTAATCTCGGCATTTTGAGACCCCAGCAGGAGGATCACTCGAGCTCTGGAGTTGGAAGACCAGCCTGGGCAACATAGCGACATTCTGTCACTATAAAAAATATTTAAATTGTAAAACTGAAAAATAATAGGGGATTTGGATATATCACAATTTTAAGGTCATTTATTAGGGTCTGGGATTTGTACCCTTCTTGCAAGCTAATTAAGTAGGTCTGTTATTTCATGAGACTCCTGGGATAAAGACAAAGGACTGTAGTACAGCACAGCAAGCAGTAAGAGCCTGTCAGTTCACACTTAACACCCAAGTCCTACAGGTATGATGCAAAGGGCCCAGAGGGATGCCTGCACATGCAGTGGGTTTTGTTACAGGAAAAGAACATTAGGCTTGGGGAGGCTTCATCCAGGCTGGAGTGCAGTGGCGCAGTCTTGGCTCACTGCAACCTCCGCCTCCTGAGTTCAAGCAATTCTTGTGCTTCAGCCTCCTGAGTAGCTGGGATTACAGGCACACACCACCACACCTGGCTAATTTTTGTATTTTAGTAAAGACGGGGTTTTGCCATGTTGGCCAGGCTGATCTCAAACTCCTGACCTCAGGTGATCCACCTGCCTCGGCCTCCTAAAGTGCTGGGATTACAGGTGTGAGCCACCACACCCAGCTGAGCCTGCTGTTTGTTTGTTTTATAGCAAGCACTGAGCGAGGCTGCTCTTTGTTCCAGAAGGAGACATTAACTTATCCCTCAAACTGCTCACTACAGACAACCCTGAGGAATGGCCAGCATAAAAAGTGGTCAGCCTGGCCAACATGGTGAAATCTCGTCTCTACTAAAAATACAAAAATTAGCCGGGCGCAGTGATAGGCACCTATAATCCCAGCTACCTGAGAGGCTGAGACAGGAGAATTTCTTGAACCCGGGAGGCGGAGGTTGCAGTGAGCCAAGATTGCACCACTGCACTTCAGCCTGGGTTACAAGAGTGGAACTCTATCTCAAAAAAACGGTCAGGACCTTGTGTTCTTGGCATATCCAGCAAGGAGGTGCAAGGATGCTTGGGGTTCATAGTGGATTGCCTCTCCCAACAGCTGTCAACTGTTCAGTAGCAGGGGATCACCTGGCTGGATGTTTCTTCCCCCTCCAGAAGGGCTAGAATGCTAGATCAGGCCAAGAATAGCAATTGTAGACCTAAATGCTTAAGTGAGATTTTTTTTTTTTACCTGGGACCTAAGGCCAAAAGAAACATGGGAAAGAGAAGTGGGTGCTGGCCTTCCATATTTCAAGACAAGACATCAAGAACTTAAAGTGATGAAAAGGGAAAGGATAACAAGATTAAGCATCGGGTCAGATTTAGTGTTGAGAGCTACCTGGTCTGGCCTTTGTCTAAATACTAGAGAAAGGTGGCAGAGAAAGAAGAGCCCCTGTGATCACTGACCAAATACTAATAGAAACGCAAGATGGTACAGAGCACCCGTAAAGTCACTAAATTACCATCCTAAACATTGGAAATTTGATTACATCACAGTCAAGCCATCAACAAGGAGGAAGAGAATCTTCACTTGCATAGACTCGGAATGAAGATAAATACAGACTCCATTAGATCCTTTTTTTTTTTAACTTATCCCAGCTATTCCCACTGAAACTGGTGCCTGCCCTGTAGAACCAAATTCCCTACAGAAGTAGTGTTTGTTTCATCTTCCTCTACCACCAGTGGATTTATTTTTATTTTTTGAGACAGGGTCTCGCTCTGTTGCCCAGGCTCGATGCAGTGGCCCTATGTTGGCACACCACAACCTCTGTCTCCCAGGCTCAACTGATCCTCCCATCTCAGCCTCCCAAGTAGCTGAGACTAAAGGCACACACCACCATGCCCAGCTAATTTTTGTATTTCTAATAGAGACGGGGTTTTGCCATGTTGCCCAGGCTGGTCTTGAACGCCTGGGCTCAAGAGAGCCATCTGCCTTGGCCTCCCAAAGTGCTGGGATAATGGGCATGAACCACTGCACCCAGCCACCACCAGTGGATATAAAGGGCTGGTAATATGTATACACGAAAGTCTGTTGAGGCAAGAGCTGACAACCAGAGAACCCAAAGGATACAAGCTAAAAGCATCGTGCTGAGATCTCTATTGATGGCCTAGAATCACTGAATAAGACAAGATTTAGATGTGGGACATGGGAGCTAGCTCCTGGAGTATGGTAGAGTAGATGACAGTTCTAAATCTTTTTTTTTTTTTTTTTTTTTTTTTTGAGATGGAGTCTTGCTCTGTCGCCCAGGCTGGATTGCAATGGCGCAATCTCGGCTCACTGCAACCTCCGCCTCCCGGGTTCAAGCGATTCTCCTGCCTCAGCCTCCCGAATAGCTGAGATTACAGGCGCCTGCCACCACACCAGGCTAATTTTTGTATTTTTAGTAGAGACGGGGTTTCACCATGTTGGCCAGGATGGTCTCCGACTCTTGACCTCGTGATCTGCCTGCCTCGGCCTCCCAAAGTGCTGGGATTACAGGCGTGAGCCACCGCGCCCAGCCTTAACAATTCTAAATCTTAGTCTTTGAGAGGAAGATTTCATGATCACCTGCTGGTGAGACTGATATCCATATATGTCATCATAACCTGCACCTCTAACTGATGATGATAGGTTCTCAAAGGATAGAGAGATATAAAGATGCTTGTAATTATCATTTTAGGAGGATAAAACAGCTCCATAAGATAGATTTATTTCCCTCAGCTTAATTTATCGAAACTCACAAAGCTAATTCGTCAAAGAAGAGTCAGAATTTCAAAGATGTGGTTTTAAAGCCATCTTTCCATTAACTCTGCTGTCACCATGATCTGTGAGGCTGTGTCCCCACCTCATTATATATGTGAGTGCCTACTCTGCCTGGTGGTGAGCTTAGTTACAAAAGGGAATTATTCTATTCCTCCAGGACATTACTATGTAGACTGAAAAGAGAACTCGTCTCTCATACCTGTACTTACAGGGAAACTATGGTTTCAGACTAAGAGGAGAAGGTGCCACTGCCATTCAAGTGTCTTCTTGTCCTGCACTATAGCCTTGCTGTCAGAAAACAAGTAAAAAGAGGGCTCCTCTCTGTATGCCTCATTTAACTGTTTCCAGCATGGCTGTGGTAGCCAGCCTCCAAGATGGCGCCTAATTATCCTTGTGCAGTTTCCTCCCACAATGCATCAGGGTTGGTCCATGTGACCAGTAGAATAGGGCACCTGTGATGCTGTGTGACTTCCACAACTAGGTCCTAAAAGACATGGCCACTTCTGCCTTGCTCTCTCTTGGATAACTCTCGGAGAAAACTATTGCCATATCAATGACACCAAAGTAGATCTTTGGTAAGGTCCACATGGTGAGGATCTGAGGCTTCTTGAAAACAACCAGCCCCAACTTGCCAGGCATGTGAGAGAGCCACCTTGGAAGCAGATCCTCCAAGCCCCAGTCAAGACTTCAGATGACTGCAGCCCTAGCCATCATCTTAACTGCAGCCTCGTGAGAGACCAAGCAAGGACCATCAAGCTAAGCTGCTACTAGACTCCTGACCCACAGAATATAACAACATGATCTAAAAAATGGTTTTTGTTTTTTGTTGTTTTTTTTTGAGATGGAGTTTCGCTCTTGTTGGCCAGGCCGGAGTGCAATGGCACGATCTCGGCTCAGGACAACCTCTGCCTCCCAGGTTCAAGCAATCCTCCTGCCTCAGCCTCCTGAGTAGCTGGGATTACAGGCATGCACCACCACGCCTGGCTAATTTTGTATTTTTAGTAGATACGGGGTTTCTCCATGTCGAGGCTGGTCTTGAACTCCTGACATCAGGTGATCTGCCCTCCTCGGCCTCCCAAAGTCCTGGGATTACAGGCGTGAGCCACTGCGCCCAGCCTAAAAAATGTTTAATGCTGTTGTAAGCTGCTGGTTTGGGGGTAACTTGATATGCAGCAATATATAACTAATATAATGACCGAAGCTGGTTTACTGAGAGAAACTGGGCCAGCCTTTTGCCAAATCTATTAGGCGGGTGCAAAAGTTTTGCCAATGACAAAAAACCGCGATTACTTTTGCACCCACTGCACCCAACTGTAGGTACCTGTAGTGAAACCGTGCCCCAAAAAGTTAAAGAAAAATGACTAAATTCTTGGACTTACAGGATAGCAGATAAGAAAAGAACTTGCTAAAAAACTAAAACTGGCTGGGCATGGTGGCTCATGCCTGTAATACCAGCACTTTGGGAGGCCAAGGCAGGTGGATCACCTGAGGTCAGGAGTTCGAGACCAGCCTGGGCAACATGGTGAAACCCCCGTCTCTACTAAAAATACAAAAATTAGCTGGGCGTGGTGGCAGGTACCTGTAATCCCAGCTACTCAGGAGGCTGAGGCAAGAGAATCACTTGAACCCAGGAGGTGGAGGTTGTAGTGAGCCAAGATCGCACCACTGCACTCCAGCCTGGGCAACAAGAGTGAAACTCCATCTCAAAAAAATAAATAAATAAAAATAAAAAGCTAAAATTAAAATTGTGCCCTCAAAGGATTAAAAAACAGTAACAAAAATTCTTGAATTTACAGGATAGCAGATTTTAAAAGAAAACTAGCTAACTAGATTTTGCATAGAACGAGTCTGCTGACGTCACAGCCTGAATTTCCACTGCATATTTCACATGAACTCCCCAAATTTGCACCTTTGACCCATGAGTTTGCATAAAGAAATAACTACATGCACCCAAGGACTTTCCAGACTTCCCTTTTCCTTCCACCAAGCACCTGCTAATCCCAGTATCCACCCCCAAACTCCTTTATTTTTTTGTAGAGATGGGGCTCTATGTTTTGGGGGTTTTGCAGGGGCAGTTTGAGACATGGGCTTGCTATGTTGCCTAGACTGGAGTACAGTGTTGTGATCATGGCTCACCGCAGCCTCAACCACCCAGCCTCAAGCAATCCTCCTGCCTTAGCCTCCCGAGTAGCTGGGACACAGGCACATGGCACCACACCCAGCTAATTCTTTGTAGAAATGGAATGGGATCTCACTATGTTTCCCATGCTGTTCTTGAACTCCTGGCCTCAAGTGATCCTCCCACCTCAGTCTCCCAAAGTGCTGGGATTACAGGCATGAGCCATGGTGCCTGGCCTAAATCTTTTTTTTTCTTTTTTTTGGAGACAGGGTTTCAGTCTGTCACCTAGGCTGGAGTGCAATGGCACCTGTGCTCAAATGATCCTCTTGCCTCAGCCTCCCAAGCAGCTGGGACTACAGGCATGCTACAGGCATGCTCCAGCATGCCTGTCTAATCTTTTCTAATAAAATTACTGCCTGCCTTAAAGACAGCACAGGGAGAAATATTTGAGCTTGACACTCCTATCTCCTTGTGAGTCGACTTATATATAATATAAAGCTTTTCTCAAAAACAACAAAAAACCCAGTGTCGTGGTATCAGCTTCCGGTGCATCGAGCAGTGAGCCCTTTTTACTACAGGGTAGAGCAGAGCTGTCCAGCGGTAGAGGCTCAGATTGTCTCCAAAGTGGGGGAAAATATGTACATTACATACTGAAATAATAGAAATAAGCACTGGTTCCTAGCTATTGTTACTAAAACCAAATGGAAGCTTCTTTGTTGGAATGGTTGCTAAAATGTTCTCAGCACATGTTGGAAAATATTTTAATGGACTCTTGGCTGGAAGGCTCCAGTCATGAGTCCAAAGTCTTCTCTCTAGTGGGTCTCTGTAACTTCCAAAAGCTGGTGCGAGGGAGAGTTGCAGCTTGGGAGAGTGGCCCCTCAGCAGCTGCAGCACGCCAAGATTCTGGCTGGGTTTCCGAGGCACCTGTTGTCCAAATCAAGACCATCAGTCACTTCTCCCTTCCTCCTCCCAACGATGGGAAAGTAGCTCAGATGCACAATTGATTCTGTTCCCACTTAAGTCCCTAAGAAAGGGGCTGCTTCGTGTACATTTTCTCCCAGTCCCTTTTACCCAGCGTCTCCCAGATTAAGTGAGCAGCACACTAATTAGGCCTGAGATCAACATGACAACTCGGGTTCTTTCCAGCAGTCTGGTGCAAGTGACTATTCACTTTGTCATCTATCAGGGCAGGCTTCAGCCTAAAGCTCAATGCCCATCAATGCTCCCACAGAGGATGAAGCCCATGATGCCACGTCTGGTCCTCTGCACAGCAGGGGATAACAACACTCTGGCCTGCAATCATCCTGGCCCCTCTCCTTCTTCCTGTAATGCCAACGAAGGTCCTGTTTAAGAGTTCAGCCAAAGGTGAACACTGGCTGGATGAGGAGCAGCAGGAAGCTGCAGCTCCGGGTCTCTCTGTAGAGGGCTACCTTCCTGTCTCAAAGCTGCCCAACTAGCTGTTTCCAGACATGTCTATGAAATGTTTAGTCCCACAAATGCTGTGCCCTGCAGCTAGGAGAGATGCAAAGTGAACTGAAGATATGGTCCAGTCTCCAAGGAGATTACTATCTAGGGGAGAATTTACATGCATAAAAACATGGACTAGAAACAAAGGTCAAGGCCCCCGACTGCACCGACACACAGCCGTCTGGTTTGGATCATGCAACACCACTCTGTGCCTTATGTTGATATGAAAACCTGGGCATCCCCAGTCTCAGCTGCTCTGAGCATTTGGACTCTATCTTGTCAAGGAAGAAAGAACACTTTGTGACTGTATTTTTAGGGAGCACAAGGCAAGGCACTAAACAATCTGGCCTACCAATCACCCTAAGAATCTTGAATGTTTTGCTTTTAACTCTATTTCCTTCCCTTAGCATGAATTTTTATTTTATCTTATTTTATTTTTTGAGATGGAGTTTCGCTCTTGTTGCCCAGGCTGGAGTCCAATGGCGCAATCTTGGCTCACTGCAACCTCCGCCTTCCAGGTTCAAGCGATTCTCCTGCCTCAGCTTCCCGAGTAGCTGGGATTACAGGTGCTCACCACCACGCCCAGCTAATTTTTGTATTTTTTTTAGTAGAGATGGGGTTTCACTATGTTGGCCAGGCTGGTCTCAAACTCCTGACCTCAGGCGATCCACCCACCTTGGCCTCCCAAAGTGCTGGGATTACAGGTGTGAGCCACCACGCCCGGCCATGAATTTTTAAAAGAAAACAAAACCCTTTCTGCTTGGAAAAATGTCCATCTTGGAAATTGGCACCTAGGATGCCTCTAGAATGAGAGATAAGCATCTATCATTGGCCCAGAATTGAAACAGCCACATTATTGTAGGAACAAATAGTTGGAAAATAATACCATCTCACGCTATACCAGGAATTACAATGCACAAGATACTTGCACATTCCCAATTTGGTCCTCACAGCAGCCCTGTGAGGTAGGCAAACAAGTGATATCCTCTCCATTTTACAAGGGGAAAAAATATGTTTGAGCCAGAGCAATTGCCACTGTAAATTTTTCTGGGGGGAGGGCGGCGGGGACAGAGTCCTACTCTGTCGCCCAGGCTGGAGTGCAGTGATGCGATCTCAGCTCACAGCAACCTCCATCTCCCTGGTTCAAGCAATTCTCCTGCCTCAGTCTCCCAAGTAGCTGAGAGTTGGGCGCCACCATGCCCAGCTAGGTGCATGTTGGCCAGGCTGGTCTAGAACTCCTGACCTCAGGTGATCCTCCCGCCTCAGCCTCCCAAAGTGCTGGGATTACAGGCGGGAGCCACCGCGCCTGGCCTGCCATTGTTAATTTTAACTCCACCCTTGCCAAAGATGAACTCTTAACATGAGGAGAATTATTTAGGCCTAAAGTTCTTTGCTTATAATATTATAGGTTGGTACAAAAGTAATTGAGGTTTTTGCCATGGGGAGGCGGCGAACCGGCAAGAGTAATCCCGATAAAACACACTGTCAAAAAGAAAGACCTCAGACACCAGTCCCCACCATGCAGAACATGTTCATGTAAGTTATTCTTCTAGGTAACCCCTCCTCCTCCTCCTCAAGATCTCAGCTCTAAATCACTTTCTCAAGGACGCCTTCTCTGTCCTCCTGTTATACACTCATAGTACACTGAATTTTATCTCTATGACACTTAACAGTTTACACTACACATGGACTCTGATTTTCATAACAGAGTTCATGATGTTCTCACTCATCATAATCTACCCAGTTCTAGGGGGTGGGTCATGGGACCAGGCAGTGCGGACTTGAAAAATAAAAAATAAAAACAGGCCAGGTGTGGTGGCTCATGCCTGTAATCCCAGTACTTTGGGAGGCCGAGGTGGGCAGATCACCTGAGGTCGGGAGTTCGAGATCAGCCTGACCAACATGGAGAAACCCCCGTCTCTACTAAAAATACAAAATTAGCCAGGCGTGGTGATGTATGCCTGTAATCCCAGCTACTTGGGAGGCTGAGACAGGAGAATCACTTGAAAGCAGGAGGCGGAGGTTGCAGTGAGCCGAGATGGTGCCATTGCACTCCAGCCTGGGCAAAAAGAGCGAAACTCCATCTCAATTAAAAAATAAATAGGCCGGGATGGTGCCTCACACCTGTAATCCCAGCATTTTGGGAGGCCGAGGCGGGCAGATCACAAGGTCAGGAGATCGAGACCATCCTAGCTAACATAGTGAAACCCTGTCTCTACTAAAAAAATACAAAAAAATTAGCTGGGCGTGGTGGCGGGCGCCTGTAGTCCCAGCTACTCAGGAGGCTGAGGCAGGAGAATGGCATAAACCCAGGAGGCAGAGCTTGCAGTGAGCCAAGATTGTGTCACTGCACTCCAGCCTGGGCGACAGAGCAAGACTCCATCTCAAAAAAAAAAAAAAAAAAGAGTACAGATATCACAGGATACAAGGACATTAAATAAGATAGAAAGGAGGGAGGGAAAGAGGGAAAGAAGAGACCACATGTAGACCCGACTGTGTTTCCAATAATGTGGAAGCTTAAATGTTAGGTTAGAATATTATAGATCATATGCATTAAAGCTTCATACTGCAGACACTTGTAAACAGTAAATTCCTGAAAGACCTATGAAGTTGGTTGCAGCAGCAATATCAGCACTTGTCATTTGGCAAGCTTCTTTGAAGCTAGCCAATAGATAATAGAGGTCACTATATACATACATATATATATGTATGTATACATACATATATATATGTATGTATACATACATATATATATGTATGTATACATACATATATATATATATGTAGAGAGAGAGAACAGAATAAGAGTAACAAGAGTAATTTTTTTTTTTTTTTTTTTTTTGAGAGGGAGTCCCACTCTGTCACCCAGGCTGGAGTACAGTGACAAAATCTCGGCTCACTGCAACCTCTGCCTCCTAGGTTCAAGAGATTCTCCTGTCTCAGTCTCCCAAGTAGCTGGCCACAAGTTTCGCTATGGCCGGCACGGTGGCTCATGCATGTAATCCCAGCACTTTGGGAGGCCGAGGCGAGCAGATCACCTGAGGCCAGGAGTTTGAGACCAGGCTGGCCAACATGGCGAAACGCCATCCCTACTAAAAAAAAAAAAAAAATCTGCCAGGTGTGGTGGTGGGCACCTGTAATCTCAGCTAATTGGGAGGGTAAGGCCCAAGAATCACTTGAACCCGGGAGGTGGAGGCTGCAGTGAGCCAAGATCATGCCACTGCACACCAGCCTGGGCAACAGAGCGAGACTCTGTCTCTAAATAAATAAATAAATAAATAAATAAATAAATAAATAAAATTTTGAGAAAATCTAGTTGATCAATGGCCTTTCAACAGAGGTCTAAGATCCAATTAGCCATGGTCCAGGGGAACAGGGTATATAGAATTGTCCTTTCCAGGGCTAAGTGAGGCAGGTCAGAAAGCCTCTTTGCAGGCTAGTCATTACTCTCAATTTGGAAGTAATTTATTTAAAATTTCAAAACAAGGGGTATGAGGGAAATACTCTGTGCACAATGATGTATCCCTTCAGCCCCAGAAACCCTCTGTAGAGCTCTAGGATTTGCAGTCAGCATTTGAAAAAATAGGGGGCACTTATTAAAATGGCAGATTCTCAGGGGCCAGTACCAGAGATTCAGATTAAGTAGCTTCAGAGTCAATGAACAGAAAAATCTGCCTTTAAAAAATCAGCCTGGGCAGTGGCTTACACCT
The DNA here is from genome assembly GCF_000001405.40 of Homo sapiens. Taxonomy (NCBI): domain Eukaryota; kingdom Metazoa; phylum Chordata; class Mammalia; order Primates; family Hominidae; genus Homo; species Homo sapiens. Next base: position 64,702,742 of record NC_000012.12, on the reverse strand, counting down.
ATAATCCTAGTGTCTTGAGAGGTCAAGACAGAAAGATCATGAGGCCAGGATTTCGAGACCAGCCTGGGCAACATAGCCAGACCTCATCTCTACAAAAAAATTAAAAAATTTGCTGGGCATGGTGGCATGCCCCTCTAGTCCCAGCTACTTGGGAGGCTGAGGTGGGATGATTGCTTGAGCCTAGAAACTAGAGGCTTCAGTGAGCTATGATCATGCTACTGTGTAACAGAGCAAGACCTACCTCGAAAAAACAAAATTCAGCACCTTCCACAGTTCCGAAGGCAGTCTGTGAAGAAATAGTGTGGTAACCTCATTTTGTCTTGAAATATCTTCCGAAAGATCCTAAACGTTGCCTTTTCCTAACTACCACCTTCATAACAAATAACTTTCCATGATAAAGGGGACATTATTTCTGGCCTCCCCAACACCACTACACCCTTAAAGCCCACTTCCTTCCCCAGCACACACAAACTCCTATACAAACTGTATCTAGATAAAGGCGATAGAACTGGAAGTTTTCTGATGGCTGGGCACAGTGGCTCACCTCTGTAATCGCAGCACTTTGGGAGGCCGAGGCGGGTGGATCACCTGAAGTTAGCAGTTCAAGACCAGCCTGGCCAACATGGTGAAACCCTGTCTCTACTAAAAATACAAAAATTAGCTGGGCGTGGTGGTGGGTGCCTGTAATCCCAGCTACTTGGGAGGTTGAGTCAGGAGAATCGCTTGAACTTGGGAGGCGCAGGCTGCAGTGAGCCAAGACCGAGCCACTGCACTCCAGCCTGGGCGCAAGAGTGAGACTCTGTCTCAGAAAAAAAAAAAAAAAGAACTGGAAGTTTTCTGAAAGCTGGTCTTTTTGTTCCTCAGTTTCTATGGTTGGCCTTACCTGCTCAGTCAAGCATCTTTTATTAATAAGGCCTCGAAATACTCAATCTGACCTAAACAAAATTGACTATGAATGTTTTCCTTGCAAAGATCACATATGCAAGAAAAATGTTTGAAATGTTCACCATCTTTAAAAGAATCTGAAGACACCATTTATAGTTCTGAGTAAAAGGTTTGAATTTAAGCTGTTGCCTCCCTGCCTGCAACAGCAGTAATTCAAGAATTCTAAGTTTTGGCAAGGCACTAAAGTTTGCTGCTTCAGAATTTTTAGAATTTAAACAAATTTTATTGCACCTGTAAATGGAAAAACCCTGTAGAGCAGAGCCTCCCTAGAAAGCCACTTCAGAGACAGGAACCACAGAGGGCTTAATGAATCCCACGTGTCCACAAAGCGTGGCTCAACAGCCGGCAGTACATATGCCAGCAAACACAAACCAGATAGATGCCCTTAATGACCCAGGCCCATTGTAATCGGAACTCCTCGTTTAGAAAGAGAAAAAAATGAACTCTCCTGATTGAAATAACTCCCTCCCCAAAACAAAGTCAAATCCCAATTTCTTTTGAGGTTTACAAAGAGCCCTGATGTTTTGTTGTTTGTGCGTAAATAATACTTAAAGGTGCTCACATTTCTCAGAAACAAGAAGAAGAGAGGAGCTTTCAGAGTTCACTTGATGCCAAATGCAGCCTCAGCCAGACACGTGAGAACCACAATCATCCTTTGGAAACACTATTTAAGATCAAAGGGGTCTATCCTGTACCCTGCTATTCTCATCTCCTGGAATAGGGAAAGACTTGTCAAAAAACAAAACAAAATGAAACCAAAACCAACAGGCAAAAAAACCCCAAAAGACAAAAAACAAAAACCCAAACCCAGATCCAAGCCTGAAGATGGAATAAATGATTTAGCTTCAGAGTTGTTGGTATATAACCCAGCTAGTCCCCACTCCCTCCTATTCCAGCCTTCACCACACCTGCCCCCCCACCTTTATCCTTATATAAAACTTCTTTCTTGAACATTCAATTAAGCAAGTAGTGATTCACACCACACAAGCATATGCTTTAGACTTTGAATACTTACCTCCTAGTTTCTCTCTGCAGAGGATGAGCCTTGTTTGGGGGAATGGTTCCATGAGTCAAACCTTTGCACAAGTTTTGTGGCTCCTATAGCACTCTGTAGTACTGAAGCTGTTCTTCTGGTGGTTCCAGGAGAATTGTCTTACCAACTACAGTGAGACCACTAAGTTTGGTTACCTGCCGTGTTATTTCCCCCATGCAACAGAACCTCTAAATGAAAATACAGGTCTGGGCTGGGCATGGTGGTTGTAATCCCAGCCCTTTAGGAGGCCAAAGCAGGAGGATCACTTAAGCCCAGGAGTTTGAGACCAGCGTGGGTAATATAGCCTGACTCCATCTTTACAAAAATGAAAAAAAATTAGCTGGATGTGGTGGCAGGCACCTGTTGTCCCAGCTACTTGAGAGGCTGAGATGGGAGGATCTCTTAAGCCCAGGAGGTTAAGGCTGCAGTGAGCCGTAATCACGCCACTACATTCCAGCCTGGATGACAAGGTGAAACCCCATCCGAAAAAATAAAAAGAAAGCACAGGTCAGCATTTCATTCTATGTGACTTAGTATAATCACCTGAATGAAATGATAAATGAACCAAAATGGATGAGAACACACTGATATCAACAAACCCCAATGGCACCAAAACAGTTACGCTTCTGGGCAAACTGTCCATTACGGCAATTTAACAGACTTTTGCTCCTTTACTCAATAGGCAATTTAACTGAGAAACTAGAGAGCACTTACAGGAAAAGATGGTAGAGAAACGGGGCAGTGTCCGGCTCTGCCACTCACTCACACAGTGGCCTTGAGCAAGCTGCTAAACCTCAACATGTCCATTTCCACATTTGTGAAAAAAGGGATATGACGAAATAGTGTGATAACGTCACAGGAGAGTCAATGAGTTGATACATATTAAGCATTTCAGAAGAATGCCTAGCACATGGTAAGCACTTTGTTGGCATTGGCTACTATAGTGTAGACCTTCACCACCACCCTTTTTTTTTTTTTTTTTTTTTTTGAGATAGAGTCTTGCTCTGTTGCCCAGGCTGGAGTACAGTGGCGCAATCATGGCTCACTGCAGTACTCACGGCTCACTGGAGTACAGTGGCGCAATCACGGGGCTTGAACCCCGCCTCCCGGGTTCAAGCAATTCTCCTGCCTCAGCCTCTTGAGTAGCTGAGACAGCAGTCGTGTGCCACCACGCCTGGCTAATTTTTATATTTTTAGCAGAGAAGAGGTTTTGCCATGTTGGCCAACCTGGTCTTGAACTCCTGGCCTCAAGAGATCAGCCCGCCTTGGCCTCCCAGAGTGCTGGGATTACAGGCATGAGCCACTGTGCCTGGCCCCTTTTCTTTTTTTTTTTTTTTGAGACGGAGTTTCACTTTGTCGCCCAGGCTAAGTGCAATGGGGCGATCTCGGCTCACTGCAACCTCCGCCTCCCTGGCTCAAGCAATTCTCCTGCCTCAGCCTCCTGAGTAGCTGGGATTACAGGTGTGCGCCACCACGCCCAGCTAATTTTTGTATTTTTAGTAGAAACGGGGTTTCACCATGTTTGGTCAGGCTGGTCTCAAACTCCTGACCTCATGATCTGCCCACCTCGGCCTCCCAAAATGCTGGGATTACAGGCATGAGCCACCGCGCCCAGCCCCCTTCTTTCAATAAAACAAAATACCTAATTAGCGTTATCTGACAGTGTCTCCGAATTTGTCACCAACTGATAACTGTTGTTTCAATAAATATTCATGTGAGCCAGGCACGGTGGCTCACACCTGTAATCCCAGCACTCTGGGAGGCCAAGGCCGGCAGATTACCTGAGGTCAGGAGTTTGAGACCACCTTGGCCAACAGGGTGAAACCCCGTCTTTACTAAAAATACAAAAATTAGCCAGGTGTGGTGGCACACGCCTGTAATCCCATCTACTCCAGAGGCTGAGGCAGGACAATTGCTTGAACCTAGGAGGTAGAGGTTGCAGTGAGCCCAGATCGTGCCACTGCACTCCAGCCTGGGAGACAGAGTGAAACTCTATCTCAAAAAAAAAGGTTTTTTTTTAGTAATAAAAATTGACTTAAAAAAAAAAGTCCTACCTGTAATCCCAGCACTTTGGGAGGCTGAGGTGTGTTGGTCACTTGAGGTCAGGAGTTTGAGACCAGCCTAGCCAACGTGGAGAAACCCCGTCGCTACTAAAAATACAAAAAAAAAAATTAGTCGGGTATGGTGGCAGGCACCTGTAATCCCAGCTACTAGGGAGGCTGAGGCAGGAGAATCGCTTGAACCTGGGAGGTGGAGGTTACAGTGAGCCAAGATCATGCCACTGCACTCTAGCCTGGGTGGCACATTGAGACTCCATCTCCAAAAAAAATAAAGGATAAAAATATAAAAATTCCCAAACATTCTCCACGCACCTTGGGTAGTAACCCAAGTAGAACCCCCAAACCTGATTCCTCTGAATATTTCAGTAGAAAAGCAAAATTATACAGAGCCATAATTTTCTATCACAGTATTTTTATTTAGGGAGCAGCTATGGTACGTGAAAGGCCTCTACCACCTGGTGCCAGCCTTGCTCCTTTCATCAGCCCCTCCAGGGGGCAGTGTAGTAGTAAAAACACTCCCAACAGCAGGCATGGAAGCTGAAACCATGGCACAAAGCCGAGGTGCAGGTGCGCAGAGGGTGGCACTCCATCGTCCCTGTGGTTCCCCAGACACTATCCATCCCATCTGTGTAAGGCAGTCATGGTGACCAAAAAAATACAAATACTCACTTTATGTTGAAGTGGTATGTTTCAGGGGTAGGAGACCTCAGGGCAAGAACAGGGGTGGAGGGAGAGATTTCTAAAGAACTGACAAGGTTCTATTTTAGTAATGGTCAGGGGGTGTCCATTTTATATAATAATCCTTTAAACTGTTCGCATGCTTTTTTATTTTTATTTTTTCACTCTCGGCCTCCCTCCTCTTTTGCATGCTTTATATACTTTTAAATGTGTATATTTCAAAAATTAAAACAATTGTTTTAAATACATTGGAATATGCTGTGTGAGCTTAGGGTTATTTTTCCTCAGAGGATAAGGCAAAGAGAAAATGATATCTGGGAGAACAAATATGACCCACGCGAACCTAGTAAAGTTGTTGCATTCCAGCATGTGTCCCTGTGTATATGTGCAAAAGCAGCTCAGCGCACTCCTGTGACCTTTTTAAATCTAGCATATTATCATAAATAAACACACATAAACAACTAATAACTTCAATTTTTAATAATGGAAACAATTTTGCCATTCTAGAAACTATTTTAGGGGAGAAAAATCTTCCCTACAAAAATAAACTTAAACCCATCAAAATTATAAATATTATAACTTTTTACTTCTGCCATTTAAAATGCTCTCCTGCAATACCACCCCTTCATTTAACATCCTTCCTGTACCATCACATATTGAAGAGAAAACAGTATTACAGCAAAGCTTAGATAGTTTAACATAATGATTTGTACAATGATTCTTAAAAAATCTTTGGCCTTAGTGGCCTTTTTTCTTCACTTACACATTAAAAATGCTGCTGCAGTAACCAGTGTTTGGGAAAGGACATCAGTCTTCAAGAACCATAAACTGACAGAATTTCAATACAGTAGGTTTCCAAATTGCAATTTGTAGTGCACATGACAGTAAGCGAGGTTTTGGGTAAATATAGATGAGGATGCCTATTCAGACAATCTACTTCAAGTAAAAAAAAAAAAAAAAAAAAAATTCACAGATACCCATCAGCTACTACTTTAGGTTCTAACAGTGTCTTAATCTGAGAAACAAATGCTTCACAAAATATAAGTTTACTGGGATGAATAATTAAAAAACCAGGTGGTAATAACAATATACTCAAATCCAGGCCATAGTCTGAATAATAAAACCAGTACAAAAAATCACGAAGGCATTCCCTGAACAATAAAGGTAAAGTGTTGGATGACAATGTCACTAAAACCTCATCAATGTACAAAAGAGAAGTTACATGCAAAATTAAACAAGATGTGCCATACATATTTTATAGCTAATTCTATTTTTTTCAACTTTCCTTAAATGCTTAGGAAGATATGATTGTCTCAGTAAATTGTGTGGCACAGCATAACAACTTAAGTCTGCCTCCAACAAGATGGGTATTCTCCAAAAAGTCAGAAGAGCCACCAAGAGACGAACAGAAATGCAATAAAAGGCACAGTTCACTTGGGCAAAGAACTGAAGCACCTTGGAATTTCAAAAAGAATCCATTAGGTGTCACCAAAGTGTTAACAATTCCTTGGGAATTTATAAACAAAAAATATCTAGACTAAAAATAGAATATAAGGCCCCTCTGGAACCACTGCACACCTTTCCCTCTGTTCTCAGATTAAACTGCTGCATAAAATGAGGTTATTTAGCCTGTTTTTAAGGAAGGCTTCTATTGCACATGCATCTCTTTGGTTGGTAATAACATGTACTTTTGTTAAAATATTTCCATAATGAAGCCCTGTTGTGTGGTTAGCTGGGTGTGGACTTTCCTCCCTTTCTTGGGGGCCCTCCTACTCACAGTCAAGTTGCCCTTTAGAACTAAAGATCTGGTAGGATTGGGTCTTTATTCAATAGCCCTGTTCTCTATTATGTAAGAACAGATTTCAATGTAGAAAAGAAAGGGAGAGGGAGAGAGAGGGAGGGAAGGAGGGAGGGAGGGAGGGAGGGAGGGAGGGAGGGAGGAAAAGAACAAGGTAGGGTGGGAGACAGCAGGGAAGGAAAGAAAAAAGGGAAGAAAGGAAAAGGAAAGGAGGAATAAAAGGGAAGAGAGTGATTGTCACCAAAGTTTACTTGACAAATATCCTAGCTAACAATCAAGGGAAAAACAGCTGCCCCTACCCAAATTCCGTCTCAACTTTGAAAACCACCTGTGGGGGGAAAGCTATACACTATGTAACTTAACAAGAGTTAGTGAACTGTCACTGTCCTGCCTATGCAGAGCAGCTACACCAATCAGACCTTCCACTCCAAAAGGGCAGAATTAAAGGGTCGGATCCAGCTGCGTGAGGCCCACCTCTGCCCAGGTCAGTAGGCTACACCTGCCTGATTCTCTGATTGGTCAGCTGCAGAGTTCATGGGTCCCTCCTTTTGGTTTAGCTCCTGCCTCTGGCTCTGTTCCCATATTCTACCCACCAGGAAACCAAGCGATCCTAAAATGGGTTTAACACCTCCACACTGAATGCTTTTAACTCGTTTACAAGCAACTACCCCTTTCTCCACTACCCCTAACTGAAAAGCCAAGTCACCTTCCATAGCCCGCAGCACTCGCCACCACCGCACATGCCTTCTTCCAAACTTACACTTTGCTTTCTCTGTCAACCCCCTAACAAAATCCTTCACAATAAATTCCTCAGAGTTCCTAGATTCCTGTGCCTTTCGATTCACATGGATAGATTCCTCTGACATTAAAAAAAGAAAACAAAACCAAACAAAAAACCAGACAGGTAGTTTCAAAATAGGACAAGTATTCAGAAAGATTCCTAGTTAAGCTTTTTAAAAAATCAACTGCATATCTGTAAGCTTAACAGCATCATCACATAATTAAAATAACCAAAAAAAAAAACACCCCCAGAGTTCATGCTTCCAAGCACCCTCGAATGCTCCTGATGAGGCGACAGGTTCACAGCTTGCCAAGAGGTAACACTGCGGTGCTGAACAACAAGCTTGCAGAGTCCCTTACATGGGACGCTAAGGTGCAGGATGCTGTGTGACCAGGTTTGGGGAACAAAATCTACAGATAGAAAGGCGAAGACCCTAGCATAGTGGGGCAAGACAGCAGCCCTCTGAGAAGAGAGGCACTTGCTGCTGTTTTGTACATCGGTCCTGCACCGGGCCTCACGGGCAGGGAGCCCCGCTTTAATCAGGCTTCCACACCTCACGGAGGGCTTCTTCCAGCTTCTGCCTGTAGGCTGTGTAGCGCCTCTTCAGGTTCTGCAGCTGTTCATCTTCTTCCTTGTCCAAGATGCGCAAGAAATTCTGTAGTTCTGGAAGGCTGAAGGCTTCCCACTGTCAGGAAACACAGAAAGAAAAATGCCAGATGTTTAATACTCAGTTAGACTTAGGAATGCTGACCAGGAGCTCCCAGAGGTGCGGCTGCCCTCCCCTCCCAGCCCCATGCCGCAGAAGGTGTGGTCTGCAAGAGCTGGGGTGTTGCCAGCCTAAGGGCTCCCTCCACTCCCACTCCCACCTCAGCTCACACCAATCACCTTCCTACCCTCTCCTCCCACTGTTCAAGACGATCTCCCTAAAAGCCAGAGACCTCCATATCCCTAAGTCTATTGGACACTTTCATTCCTTACCTGATTTGACCCCCAACAGCATTAAAAACAATTCGACAGTCCTTTCATCTTAACCTCGAGTCCTCATTGTAACTGACTTTCTTACCTCGCATAATCAGTCTTATCACCCCCAAACAGTTCTCCATTCAGCCTTTTCTCCCTCGGTACGGCCCCTTGGTGCTAGCTACTATCATCTATTCCTGCATCGCTGGAACAGCTTCCTACCTGGCCTCCTCACTCGGCTCTTATGCTCCCCCATCTGTTCCCCAAACAGAACATCCTTTGTAAAATGCTCATCTGGCCAAGACTCTCCCCTGCTTAGAACCATCCAATGGCTTCCCTTAGTTGCTGATGCTGTCTGAAAGACTCTAAACTCTCCGGCCCCATCTCTCTCTCACCGAGCTTCACTCTCTGCCCAAGTGGCACGCATTCTCCCCTCCTCCACTTTGCCTGGCTATGAACTACTCATCCTCCCCATCTCAGCTTAAATGCCACTTTCTCTAAGCAGCTTTCCACAACTTCCTCTCCTCTCTTCCCACCCAAGGCTAAGTGTATCAAAAGCCTTCACAGAGCCCCTGATCACAACCAAGATTTTTAAATTACAATTATTTGCTTAATATCTATCTCACCTGCACCTTACCTACACCACAGCTGCCGTACTTCTCGCTATTTGGAGTTTATCTCTTGCCTTGAGGCTCTGAGCCTTGTTTCCCTAACAGCTCCTAGTACTTATTTAGCAGGCACAAAATAAGTTTTTAGGCTGGGCATTGTGGCTCATGCCTATAATCCTAGCACTTTGGAATGCTTAGGCAGGAGGATCATTTGAGCCCAGAAGTTCAAGACCAGAAGTTCGAGACCAGCCTGGGCAAAATAGTGACACCAGGTCGCTACAAAAAATTTAAAAATTATCTGGCTGTGGCAGTACATTCCTGTAGTCCCAGTTACTTGGGAGGCTGAGGTAGGAGGATTGCTTGAGCCCGGGAGATTGAGGCTGCAGTGAGCCATGATTGCGCCACTGTACTCCAGCCTGGGTGACAGTGCAAGACCTAGTCTCTTTAAAAAGAAAAAAAAAAAAATTAAAACAGATTTTAAAAAATAGAAGCAGTGAATGTCAAGGAGGGTATCTAGCATCATCTACGAGGTTTTTTCCAAACACATCCTCCTCTCCCAAAGGGGGCCCTGGATCCTGGTGGAGAACTGCTGTCTGATGGTGTAGAGAAAAGATTCAAGATAACCAAATACAAACAAAGAGTGAAAAATAAGTAAATCCACCAAATGGGCTCAGTGGTAGAAGAATTCCTGGAGAACAGTTTAGGCTGGTTATTTAAAAAAAAAAAAAAAAAAAAGAGCAACATGGAGTAGGAGAGCAAAACTTCTACGTTAGAATATTCTGTTAATTTTTAAAATTTTAACAGATTATCTTTCACCTATGTTGAAGTCTCCAAAATAAAGACATCATATAAATATCCCTCCCACCCCCTAACAGCTATGGAAATTTCTTCCTCAGTTCAGTTTTCCTTAAATAACTGAGAAATAAGAACACCATACAGAGGTCCAGTACAGCAGTCTGGAACAATAAAACCCAATGTCAAGTCAATTTCAAAACTAAGTTAAGGCCAGGTGCAGTGGCTCATGCCTGTAATCCCAGCACTTTGGGAGGCTGAGGTGGGAGGATTGCTTGAGCCCAGGAGTTTGAGACCAGCTTGGGCAACGTAGTGAGACCCTATCTCTAATTATAATTAAAATACAATAAAATAACCAAGTTAATAAAATTCTTGCCCAATGTAGTTCTAGTTGCTACTTAAAACACTAAGTACAAGAAAAATAAAACACTGAGTAGACTATGCTAATGTGTCTGGCTTAAGCTGGCAGAGGGAATGGTCACCATCTGCAAAGCCAAGTCAGATTTCTGCACCCTGCCTTCTCCCCAAAATGAGTCTGAATGTCTTGAAAAGCTTCAAAACACCAGAATCAAAAGAAACTTCAAAAACATGTAAAACCACTGTCTTCCTAAAACTCCCTTCACTTACATGTATACATTTCTAATTGTGACTCAAAGCCCACCTTGTAAAGTGTTTAGTCCCACTTAACAGATTTTAAAACTGAGGGCTAAAAGATTAGAAGACTTATCCAAGGTCATGCTACTAATCTAACAAACAGTAGGAAACAGAGCCGTTTCCTAACTTTTAACCTAGAAACCCTATTCTCAATTGCACCATGTAGGACATTTCACACCATTTCCTGTTCCAGACAGAAGACTGGGACAGGAGCTTGGGATTTGCTCAAGTGTCATTTAAAGCTGACACTTGATCTAGAGGGCAGGCTCAAGTGCTTTTTTTCTTCTACTGAACTGGCTAAATACAATCCTCCCTGGAGACAACATGGCAAATGATGCACATGGAAACATAATTTCTTAATCAGTTGACTGGGCAAGGGGGAAAAAAAAGATGCTAGAAAGCTAAATGCCTTCCATGGTAAAGAGATCGAATTTCCTTTTATATCCCTTTAGAAGGGAATTAGCCTGGAGACTTTTGTTAGTAGCAAACACATGGTGAGTGTCAACTTTCAAAGTTCAGCTGGACTGGAGTATTTTGGAGGTGGGAAGGGGTGAAAATGACTCTCTGGATGGAGATCAAGTAAAAAAACTTTATTTTCTCCCACCTCTGAAAATGACAGACTAATAATATAAGGTTGTGAGAGAATGACATCATAGGCTAACTTTGGGTTCATTTCTGACAATTCAAAATCCCTCTCCCTCTCCCTGCCCTCCAACTCTCTTCTCTTCCCATCCCCCTGCCCTCCAACTCTCTTCTCTTCCCATCCCCCATCAATAGCCAAGTCACTAGGCTACTGCAATAAAATAGGGCCAGCTGTTCTGTATAGTTTAAAGCAATAGTGAACAATAACTTACCTCTCCAATTTCATGTTCACGAAGAACAAAACTAAGTGTGTCTGTTCTGGGCCCTGCTACCAAACGCAGGTAGAGTGGATGTTCCCGGTCTGAGAGCTTGCAGGCGTAGACTGGGTAAAGAAACAAGCAGCATGTTACAGAGTATTCAGCCATTCCTGAGACCACTTCCCCATTGTGATCCCCTCCTCCAGATCAAGGTAACCATCCAAGTTACCCCAGCCTCTAAGTCGCCAGTCGGCTCATCTTATTATTTAATACCAGTAGCCCACAGTGGAATAAAATCTATTCTGTTTCTGTTCAAATATAAACTGTGCCTTGATTAAGAAGGAAATTATTTTCAAGAATAAATTTTAATAGATATTAGTCCCAAAATATGCTTATAGTTAGCTCTGCTCTTCCTTTTAGAAAACAAGGTAAGAGCCAGGCATGGTGGCTCATGCCTGTAATCCCAATACTTTGGGAGGCCGAGGTGGGCGGGTCACCTGAGGCCAGCAGTTTGAGACCAGCCTGGCCAACATGGCAAAACCCTGTCTCTACTAAAAATACAAAAAATCAGCCGGGCGTGGTGGCGGGCACCTGTAATCCCAGCTACTTGGGAGGCCGAGGCAGGAGAATCACTCAAACCTGGGAGGTGGAGGTTGGAGTGAGCCGAGATCGTGCCATTGCGCTCCTGCCTGGGCAACAAGAGTGAAACTCTGTCTCAAAAAATAAATAAAATTTTTTTTAAATGAAAAAAAAAAGGCAAGATAAGAAACCTAAAAAAGGGTCCACTACTCCTTTAAAAACAATAAAAATAGGCCAGGCATAGTGGCTCGCACCTGTAATCCCAACACTTAAAGGCTGAGGCAGGAGGATCACTTGAGGCCTGGAGTTCGAGACCAGCCAGGGCAACATAGCAGGACCCTGGTCTCCAAAAAAAAAAAATTTTTTTTTCTAACTAGCCAGGCATAATGGGGCCCGCCTATAGTCCTAGCTACTTAGGAGGCTGAGGCAAGAGCATCACTTGAGCCCAGGAGTTCAAGGTTACAATGAGCTATGATCATGCCATGGTACTCCAGCCTAGGTGACAGAGTAAGACGCTGTCTCAAAAACCAAGGCCAGGCGTGGTGGCTCATACCTGTAATCCCAGCACTTTGGGAGGCCGAGACAGGCAGATTGCCTGGGGTCAGGAGTTTGAGACCAGCCTGGCCACCAACATGGTGAAACTCTGTCTCTACTAAAAATACAAAAGTTAGCTGGGCATGGTGGTGGGCACTTGTAATTGTAGCTACTTGGGAGGCTGAGGCAGGAGAATCACTGGAACCCAGGAGGCGGAGGTTGCAGTGAGCCGAGATTGTGCCACTGCACACCAGCCTGGGCAACAGAGCAAGACTCCGTCTCAAACAAACAAACAAAAAACAAATTTAAAAAAAAATGTATATACCATCCAAAGAACATAAAAACAAGAGTTCTAAAAGCAAATCTCTCTACAGATTAATTAAGAATTAGCGAGGCCAGGCGCGGTGGCTCACACCTGCAATCCCAGCACTTTGGGAGGCTGAGGCGGGCGGATCACAAGGTCAGGAGATCGAGACCATCCTAGCTAACACAGTGAAATCCCGTCTCTACTAAAAACACAAAAAAATTAGCCAGACGTGGTGGCGGGCGCCTGTAAGTCCCAGCTACTCGGGAGGCTGAGGCAGGAGAATGGCGTGAACCCGGGAGGTGGAGCTTGCAGTGAGCCAAGATTGCGCCACTGCACCTCCAGCCTGGGTGACAGAACGAGACTCCGTCTCAAAAAAAAAAAAAGAATTAGCGAATTAGCAGCTACAAACCAAGCAATCAGAATATAAGCTCCGGTAGCTTCAAGCACAGCTATATATGTCTCATGCTAGACACACACATACAGTGACATTGCCAATCATGTTAAAGGATTTGCCAGCCATGGGGGTAATATTTCAACAAGTCACGATTACTTTCAGATTGTACAGCTAAAGTCCAGGTGAGCAGGCAAAGAAACTGGCAGATAAAAATGCCATCGAGCTTCTCTACATTATTGTGGCACTTCCAGATGCACTGCATCGCAGGTGCCAATTTCCCTATAGATATAAGCCCCCACAATACTAAGCTTGTGACCTCTGAAGGTAGGAACCCTGGCCTGTTCATCTTTGTATTCCACAGGGTCTAGCCCCATGGTTTGTTTTTAAAAAGATGTATGCATACTCAGCAATGAGCTGGGTTTCATCCTGTGTAACTGAAGAACATTACTATCATGTCAAGGTTAATATATTTTCTTCTATAGCTACATTAGGCTTTACCGAGAAAAACCAAAGAAAGCTTAAATAGTTTATTGTACACACACACACACACACACACACACCCCGATTTCAAATCGCATGTAGTGAGTCACTGAATCACTACTGTCCACCAATGTTATCAATTTCTGGTCACTGCCTGACCTGGAATATCTCATTCTGTTTCACGCAGTAATTTAATATTTAATGTTCTCTTTCTATCCCCTGAATGTGGATATGAAGTTTTAGTCAGACCCTAGATCAAAATGTTATTCACTCATTTGATGAGCCTCTGGGGGACAGAGTACCAAAATGTCCCGGCGTAACACCAAGTGAGACAAGCTAAGGCAACAGGAGAGCCCAGGGCTGGGCCGTTTCCATCAGTACGCTGAAATGTGCTGTGATGCACATGTGCCTCCCCAGTCGCAAGATCTCAGCACACATCCACCAAACCACTCCACGTACTGATGCACATCAAATGTGGAATGTGCTATTGAAAACTTCAAACACAGAGGCACTCTTTTGTGTCCTAAAGAAAACTAAAATCAAAGCCACTCCTAACAACCACCAAAAACAGCCCCCGCCCCATCCCCCCACCAACACCACAAAATACTCGTAACTGCCAATCACATATGGATGCTTCCAAGCTCCTCAGACCCTCAACTGTCCAACTCAAAAATATGGACAGCCAGGAAGCACTAAGTGCATGCTAAGATCACCATGGCTTCCAGCATCGGACTCCAGGCTCTGACACAACTGACATGGATGAGACCCACCAGTCTTCCCTCTGCTAATGAGAACAGCAGATGCAAGTAGAAGCACAGACCATTTTCCTTTTAAGCTGGCAGCGTACCTTGGTCTTCCCTGTGACAACGCTTATAAAGTGCAAACTTGGCAGGGCTCTCAGTCACGAGAAACTTTTTGAGCAGGGCCTCGATCACTTCCCCGACAGTGTTTGTGCTGCTGATATGAAGTGTATTCATACAGCCATTGCTACTGGGAGAGAGTTTTCCAGAATTTGGAGAAGTCTGTGGAGGTTTGCAGAGTTCCATCTGTACTTTAATGAAGCCAGTGTAAATCCCATTTGAATTCTGAAGCAGGGAGAGAAGCACACACTTAGCTGGGTGGATGGTGGCACTTTAGGGAAGAAGCATATCAAAACAAAACGGGAAGGTGAAACACTCCTTTGTTCTCTTCTCTTGAGGTTTGTGGCAGAACTTCACTAAAGATTGCCCCCAAAGGAATGACCTCAGAGGGCGGTTAACACACCAGGCAAAGTGCTTCCAGAGGCAAGGTCTGCAGGGCAGATGTGGACACTGAAGAAGCCTCCTGATGCTGTGGCTGACTGCCGGCCCCAGACTCATGCCTCTGAAGCTACTGGCAAAAGGTCAGGGTCCATTTGCGAGGTTACAATCCAACGGAGCAGATGCTAGCCAAACCACAAAACTTATTAAAGCTTGGGGGATATGTCTAGGCTACAGGCTCAAAGGAAACAACATCCTCAACTGGTGACTATTATACACAAAAGGAAGGTCACAATTAGGGCTCTGAAATACTGAAGTCAACAACAAGGGGACAGTAAGAAAACAGGCTATTTTCATTCCTAGTGGCTATATTCATATGCACTGAATTACTAACTCTGCTTAAACTTTTTAATGCAGCATATATGCCATACAGCATAGAATGCATTTCGGGTCTCTTAAGCAGCATTTTAAAAAAAAATTCAATCGCTTGAAACCAGAAGGTGGAGGTTGCAATGAGCCAAGATCACGCCATTGCACTCCAGCCTGGGCGACAGAGCAAGATTCTGTCTCAAAAAAAAAAACAAAAAACAAAAACAAAACAAAACAAAAAAAAACAAATTCAAACCACTATACTTCACAGTACAGATCTTAAAAACAACTACCTTCACTGATGGTAGAATTACTATTTCTTAGTTGCCAAAAACAGTAATAACAGTTTGGTCTTCACTTTTTATTTTTATTTTTGTATTCAGTATATTTGGGGCCAGGCGCAGTGGCTCATGTCTGTAATCTCAGCACTTTGGGAGGCCGAGGCGAGCAGACCACTGGAGGTCAGGAGTTCGAGACCAGCCTGGCCAACAGGGTGAAATCCCGTCTCTACTAAAAATAAAAATAAAAAAAAATTAGCTGGGTGTGGTGGCAGGTGCCTATAATCCCAGCTACTCGGGAGGCTGAGGCAGGAGAATCTCTTGAACCCAGAGGTGGAGGTTGCAGTGAGCCGAGATTACGAGATTACGCCATTACACTTCAGCCTGGGCGACAGAGACTGCATCTCAAAAACAAACAAAAACAGTATATTTAGAAAAGATTTATTGTACTGTTTTATTAAACTGTCAAGTGTTACATATAAATGCCACAGTTAAAGTAGAACATTTAAAACTATCTTTATGGTGTGTTATTTTTCTTCCTTCCCACAAGATCAATTTTCAATCCTAATTCTCTAGTTTGTTCTTTTTTGAGACAGGGTCTCACTCTCTCACCCAGGCTGGAGTGCAGTGGCACGAACACAGCTCACTGCAGCCTCAACTTCCTGAGTTCAAGTGATCCTCCTGCCTCAGCCTCCTGAGTAGCTGGGACTGCAGGCACCCGCCACCATGCCTGGCTAATTTTTCTATTTTTAGGAGAGATGGGGTTTTGCCATGTTGACTAGGCTGGCCTTGAACTCTTTTTTTTGAGATGGAGTCTTGCTCTGTCGCCTAGGCTGGAGTGCAGTGGCACGATCTTGCCTCACTGCAAGCTCTGCCTCCTGGGTTCACGCCATTCTTCTGCCTCAGCCTCCCGCGTAGCTGGGACTACAGGCGCCCGCCACCACGCCTGGCTAATTTTTGTATTTTTAGTAGAGACAGGGTTTCACTGTGTTAGCCAGGATGGTCTCGATCTCCTGACCTCGTGATCTGCCCACCTCGGCCTCCCAAAGTGCTGGATTACAGGCGTGAGCCACCGTCGAACTCTTGACTTCAAGTGATCCACCCGCCTCAGCCTCCCAAAATGCTGAGATTACAGGTGTGAGCCACTGTGCCCAGCCTAAAATTTTTATCTTTAAAATGACATGGATAATTTGTATCTGTTTTAGTCTCTATCAGGAAAGGAAAAAAAAAAAACATAGCAAGTGGATTTCTCCTTTGATGAAAAAATGTGTTTGAAAAAGAAATCTTGCTGCTGGAATGATGAAGAGTTATCTTGGGATTCTCTGCTCCTCTCCCCTCTTTTTGGAGGAGTTCTACCAGGGAGGGGTCCTTTACCACAAGGGTTTCTATCTGAAAGCTCCTCCCCAAGAATCACCGATTCGGTAGGGCCTGTTTTAAACCAATCACCTTGTCCTTTACCAAACTCTGTCAGTTCACAGTAAACAGACTGAGAGACGGGGATCCAAGTGCCCTGGAAACTGGCGCCAAGGGCTGACAAGTGCCATGAAGAAGGCGGGCCACCCAATGGGTAGGCGAGACCTAGATGCCAGCTAAGTTTAGAGGAACATGAATACTCTAGCTCCGCTGTCAGCTCGTTTCCCTATCCCCAGGCCCTGAGGCTTCTCCCTCCTGTACGCCGACTCCCTGCATGCTTCAGTGTGGCACAATGCTGTGGAAGCCTGCGACAGCGACGTGGAAGAAACTGAGTATTAAGTACCTTGTCTTACACTAACGACCGGCAGAGAAAACTATCCTATTATATACCTCTATATTCCAATCCATGGGCTCAAAATCCTTTCCCTGACACTTCCATATTTATTTTGTACAAGACAAAAACTTAGGGGCTTCTGATACCTGTAATCCCAGCACTTTGGGAGGCCAAGCTGGGCAGATCCCTTGAGCCAAGGAATTTGAGATGAGCCTGGGTGATATGGCAAAACCCCGTCTCTACAAAAAATACAAAAATTAGCTGGGCATGGTGGCAAGCACCTGTGGTCCCAGCTACTCGGGAGGCTGAGGTGGGAGGATTACTTGAGCCCGGAGGTCGAGGCTGCAGTGAGCGGTGATCGTGCCACTGCTCTCCAGCCCAGGTGACAGAGCAAAACCTTGTTTCAAAACAAAACAAAACAAAAAACCTTACCTGAGGTCTTCTTAGAATCTGAGTCACCATTTCTGTATGTTAGGCAATGATGCTAAAAATCCTTTGAGGAGGGAGGGGTGGGTCACAAAATCTTTTAAAATAAAATTATAAGTGTTTCACTTTTTTAAGGTTAACCCAGCAACTGATTTTTGAGACAAAGCTACTTCACAATACAGATTTAAATGGAAAGCCACAGAAATATTCCACTTTCCTGTTCTGTATACCTTGACTACTACACTTCTACAAATGCTATTCAGATATTTAGAACTATAGATTGTAGTACCAACAATTTATATTTGTCTTTTGACAGGTGTCAACCTAAATAGTATTTTGAGTGCTTACCAAGGTCATCTTCAACTTGTCTGTGACTGCTAAGTTGTATTTATGAACTTTCTCTTTGATCTCCTCTTTGCTGAGGTAACTGTGGGTTTCCTTCTCTTTCTCAACATCCTAGAAGAAAAACAAGACATGTCACATGTGAGCAATCATAAAAAAAAGTGCGGATAGGCCGGGCGCAGTGGCTCACGCCTGTAATCCCAGCACTTTGGGAGGCTGAGGTGGGCGGATCACCTGAGGTTGGGAGTTCAATACCACCCTGACCAAAATGGAGAAACCCTGTCTCTACTAAAATTACGAAATTAGCTGGGCATGGTGGCGCACGCTTGTAAACCCAGCTACTTGGGAGGCTGAGGCAGGAGAATCACTTTGAACGTGAGAGGCAGAGGTTGTGGTAAGCTGAGATCACGCCATTGCACTCCAGCCTGGGCAACAAGAGCAAAACTCTGTCTCAAAAAAAAAAAACAAACAAACAAACAAACAGATAAGTCAGGATTTTTTAAAAATTCCACACAAGGGCCGGGCACGGTGGTGGAAGCCTGCAATCCCAGGACTTTGAGAGGCCAAGGACGGCAGAGCTTAAGCCCTGGAGATTGTGACCAGGCTGGGCAACATGAGGAAACTCTATCTCTACAAAAAATACAAAAATTAGCTGGGCACAGTGGTGCACACCTGTAGTCGCAGCTAGTTAGGAGGCTGAGGTGGGAGCATCACCTCAGCCCAGAGGTCGAGGCTGTAGTGAGCCATAATTATGCCACTATGCTCTAGCCTGGGTGACAGAGTGCGACCCTGTCTCAAAAAAAAAAAAAAAAAAATTACAACCACACAAGAAGAACCTTATTGTTCTTGCATGTTACCTTGAAACACACACACACACACACACACACTCACTCTCTCTCTCTCTCTCTCTCCTTCTCTCCCTCGCTGCTTCTCTTTCTCTCTTACCTTCAAACTCTCCAGGCTCATCCACCAATTACGGTTCTCATTCTTTCATACTACAGTCTTCCTAGGGGATATATTTTTTAAGAAAACTAATTTGTCAGCAGCTACAAGTAACACTTCATTACCAATATATTCTGCAAAACTGTCATTGCTAAATTTCCCTTCTGCAAAAACATCATTTCCTCAGCATGCCTGCTAGATTGGCCATTTCTATTTTAAACAACATTTAAAGACATTTACCACAAGTTTCTCTTTAGCAACTTGTATTAACTCTGTTGTCTTTATAGCTTTACAATATTTATTGGCAAAAAGTACAGCAGTTAATCAGTATTAACTGGCACTATTCACGGACTCATACTAATCACTGACCTGTAAACTGTACACAACTACCAGAGGATAATTCATCTTCCAAACAAATCCCCAGGCCAAGATACAAGTAGCCAGACTTCTCCTTCCCACCCTTCCAGTCTCACCCACTTCTCTACCTCCCCACACTCTAGAGGGAGAAATATCGGTTAAATCCTCTTCTCACTGTGAAGAATTTACCAATAATTAGCTGTCTAAAGAGTCCCACCAGTGCATGACATTATGCAGTAGCAGACATGATCACAAATGACCAAATGACAGCATTTTGTCACCCTGATGAAGTATACCAGGCACCAAACTTGTATTGCCTTTACTTCTCCCAACAACCTAATCAAGGAGGCATTATTATGCCAGTTTCAGTAAATTAAACTGCTGAAAAAAAATGTGGAAGCAAATGAAAGCCTGCTAATCCTCCCTAACTCCAACCTTTACTGGGAGCTCTAAGTAATTCCACAGGGGTGTTCTCATTTAATCCTCCCAACAATGAGCTAATTAATGCTAATTAGCACCCCTACGTTACAGATAAGGACAGAAGATTTACAGAGGTCAAGCAGTTTGTCCAAGGACAACCCAACTAGTTGAGAGACCAAGTTCCACTTTAATCCAGGTCTTCTAGGGTGCTCCCACTAAATCCAATCAGTCCCCAAAGGTCTGGTGTGGGTAAACATTTAAAAACTTACAGAAAAGCTGCATAATCAGATTCAACACAAAGAGAGGAAGAACAGTTAAAATCCAATGATTTACTCCTGCAAAATAAAGCCTTTGTAAACACGCCTCTTTCTGCCAGACACATCACATCATTCTCACAGCTGGATAGTCTCCAGGCAGGCACTGGTTTCCATCTGCCCACTGGAAGCTAGTGTCGTAAATACAGCAGGAGGGGCTACTACAGAACTTGCGTCAATACCACGTAGAGTAAGAAAAGGCTCTTGATCCATTGAAGCCTCAAGATCTTTGACTTTAGACCCTAAGAGGGGTGTGCTGACTACAAATTATCTCGGTGACTTTTCTTTTTTTTTTTTTTTTGAGACGGAGTCTTGCTCTGTCACCCAGGCTGGAGTGCAGTGGCCGGATCTGGGCTCACTGCAACCTCCGCCTCCTGGGTTCACGCCATTCTCCTGCCTCAGCCTCCCGAGTAGCTGGGACTACAGGCGCCCGCCACCACGCCCGGCTAATTGTATTTTTAGTAGAGACGGGGTTTCACCGTATTAGCCAGGATGGTCTCGATCTCCTGACCTTGTGATCCGCCCGCCTCGGCCTCCCAAAGTGCTGGGATTACAGGCGTGAGCCACCTATCTCGTGGCGCCCGGCCTATCTCCGTGACTTTTCAATGTCAGCACCATCCTGGTGAAGTCTAATGGGTCAGTATATTGGGTAATACTGGATAAATACCAGCACAAGATAATGTGTTCATTCCCTAGCTTCAGGGGTAGGCTTCAAAGTCCCTTGGGAGCATCCTATTTGCCAAGGTAAAACCCCAAAGTAATCTTATTTTTGGTATTAGTGTTTGGTGGGGGAAAAGCTGTGGATTAAAATAAACTTTCAAAAGCTCCAGAGACTACTTCCAAGAAAGTGTTTTGTTTTGTCTGAGACAGGGTCTCACTTTATCACCCAGGCTAGTGTTTAGGGGCGTGATCACGGCTCACTGCAGCCTTGACTTCCTGAGTTCAAACATTCCTCCCACCTCAGTCTCCTGAATAGCTGGGACTACAGACAAGCACCACTGCGCCTAGCTAATTTTTTGTACAGATGACGTCTGGCTATGTTGCCCAGGCTGCTCTCGAACTCCTGGGCTCAAGCAGTCCTCCCACCTTAGTCTCCTAAAGTGCTGAGATTACAGGTATGAGCCACTGCACTGAGCCCCAATGAAGTTTTAAACATGTATCATATCTCTGATTGTCTTGCTCTTACCAATCCACAATTAGCTGGGTACCAGTCATAGCTGAAGAAGAAAATGAGGTAGTCTTGGCTTGTACATTCAGTTTTAACTGTCCAAAGACTCTTCAAAGCATATACTAAAAAGTGTACAATAAGGGACTTAAAATCTCATGGATGTGGGATGGGAAGTTGGCAGGGCAAAGGGGTGTTGCAGAAAGTGCACCACACCTGCAAGACTTGGGCCCCAGTCCTGGGTCTGTCACCAACTAACCCTGTGCCTTGGGCTTAACCTTTCTGAGCCTGTTCCCTCATTCTCTACCAAACAAGGAACTAGA
Source organism: Homo sapiens (assembly GCF_000001405.40). Classification (NCBI taxonomy): domain Eukaryota; kingdom Metazoa; phylum Chordata; class Mammalia; order Primates; family Hominidae; genus Homo; species Homo sapiens. The sequence continues at coordinate 64,681,379 of NC_000012.12, read as the reverse complement.
GTCAATCACCTCCTCTAAGGTGCTTCCTGGCCTAGGCTGATCTGATTGCAAAGATGTGGAGGTGCTTTCACAAGTGTGACCAAGGGCAAAAGGGTTCCATGTGAGGAATCACCAAAGGTTCACCATTAAATACACAGGAAATGGCTAAGCACATACACAGCAGCATACATACATCCTAGGGGCTTACTACCACTCACGTGAGAATTCTAAGAATGAGGAGAAGGAAAAGGGGTAATGGGAGTTAAGTAAAGCTGGTTAACCCTAAATTACAGGTTTTGCTCATGCTATGGGACTTAACACCCAGCCTTAGGCCCCTTCGCACAGGCAGACCGAGAAGCTTGAGGAAAATCCAAAGAGTAAGCCAGTCTGGAAAGAGAAATTTTCCCTGGATCATCCACACATAGATAACTGAGACATCCTTACGTAACAATTATCTTTCCTTCTCAGAGATTAAAAACTAAGGAAACTGGCTGGGCGCGGTGGCTCACACCTGTAATCCCAGCACTTTGGGAGGCCGAGGCGGGCGGATCACCTGAGATCAGGAGTTTGAGACCAGCCTGGCCAACATGGTGGCCTTGTCTCTATTAAAAATACAAAAATTAGCTGGGCATGGCGGCAAGCACCTGTAGTCCCAGCTACTTGGGAGGCTGAGGTAGGAGAATCGCTTGAAACCGGGAGGCGGAGATCGCAGTAAGCCGAGATCACGCCATTGCACTCCAGCCTGGGCGACAGAGCGAGACTCTGTCTCAAAAACAAAAACAAAAAAAAACAAAGATCAGCTGGAAAGTATATCCCAGAAAAGCAGGTAAAACCCCAAGGGCCCTGATGCTGTACTTTTTAAGCCAAAAATGTAGCAATCATACACCAAGGCCTCATCATTCAGCAAATATTTGCTGAGCTTCTGCCATGTGCCAGGTACCTGCCTAAGTGTGGGGCAGTCAGGCTCAGCAGCAGACACCACGCCCGTCCTCACGGGGCGTGGTGTCTGCACAAGTGGAGTGGGGAAGGTCAAAGGACAAGCTGCTTCCAAAATGGCCCCCAAGCACTGTTTCTCTGGGTCTCATAGCAAAGAAGATATAAGCTCAGGCCTTGGAACAGAGGACAGTGGTTTCATTTAGCATCAGAGAAAGACCCTTAACTCTAAAAACTTTCCAATTGTTTACCCCTTTAAAAAAGACCCTCCCGTCCCCTCACAGAGTAGAATCCTGCCCCTTCCTCCACATACAATGATTATGAATCAGAACCACAATTTCTAGGAACGCAGCTGTATGCCCAGGAAAAAGGAAGAGAAGAAAACGAAACCCAGGAGGGGCATAGTAGCTCCAACAGGTAAAGGGGTGAGAGCAAGAAAGAAGGGTTAAAAGAAAATGGTGCAGCGGACGTGGAATAGATACAATACCAAGTGTCAACCCTGGTCTTTCATTGTGATGGCAGGAGAGGAAATGGCATGGGGCGCAGCCGTCTGTGGATAATGTGTCAGTTATTGTTCTTGGCAGCCAGTGAGGGCATCATGCCACGCCTGAGAGCGTCTGCTTGGTGAGTTACAAGTCATCTTTTCATAAGTCAGTTTTGTTTTGTATTCCCCAAACCCTCCAGCAGTTTCTCAGAGGAAGAGTTCTTCCACAAAAAAATATTTCATAAATCCTAGACTCTTCCCTCATTGTTTCCAGCCAGCAAGCCCTGGAGAGCTGCTCTCAGGCTCACTTCAGTTCCTGGGTGGGGTTACGTCACTGTTTTTCAGTAGCGAACTTTCTCAGATGGGACACACCCAACCTCACAGGCACCCAGGAGTTCTCGGGTAGCATGACCCAGGCTCTACTCAAGAAGTGCGGCCCAATCCCACAGGCTCACAACTCAGACTTTCTAAGAATATGTCCCAACAAATCTCAGTAAAGGGTCTGAGAATTGTTTATACTCTTTTGGTTAATTTTTCTATAACTGTGAAATTATATCAAAATTAAAAACATAAAAACATAACAAAATGCCCAAATAAACATAGTGCAATTAAGAGTGACTGTTCAGGCTGGGAGCGGTGGCTCACGCCCGTAATCCCAACACTTTGGGAGGCCAAGGTGGGTGGATCACGAGGTCAGGAGTTCGAGACCAACCTGGCCAACATGGTGAAACCCCATCTCTACAAAAAATACAAAAATTAGCTGGGTGTGGTGGCACACCTGTAATCCTAGCTACTCAGCAGGCTGAGGCAGGAGAATCACTTGAACCTGGGAGGCAGAGGTTGCAGTGAGCTGAGATCGTGCCATTGCACTCCAGTCTGGACAACACAGCAACTCTGTCCCCACCCCCGCTTCAAAAAACGAGTGACTGTTCAAAAGAGAGAAGGTGAATGTGGCCCTATCATTTCCTCTACTTTAGCTTAGTGACGGCCTGTGGACTATGATTTAGACATACTTAGGTCTAAAATCACACAGCTCTGCCACATTCTAGCTGCGTGACCAGAGGCAAGTTACTTAACCTCTCTGGGCCTCAGTTTTCTCATTACTGTAAAATGTGCAAAAGAATATCTACACAACTGTTATGAAGATATAATATAAGCCATTATTCAACAACTATTTATTGAGTGCCTATTGGTGCCAAGCACTTAAAGCTGTGAGAGACAGTTGTGGACCCCACCTTTCTGCCTTTGCTTGGCTGACAGCCTAGTTTACCTTACTCCCCACCCCAGCCCCACAAGAGGTTTTTGGGTTTTTGTTTGGTTTTTTTTTTTTTTTTTGGTATTACGGATCTCTTTAAAAAATAAAGACCTTTTACCAAAAACAAACAAACAAACAAAAAAGAGCAAATATTAATAGCACAGATGCTCTGATTGAGTGGGGGACAATATATGCACAGTGCCTGATGCCAGTGGCATGACACTCAGTAAGTGGTACCATCACACTGCCACTAGGAGGTCCCAGAGCTCTCACAGGTGCTCTGACACCTGGTCAGGTGTGGGGTCCAGCCTGTGTCAGCAGAGAAGGGTGAACTTCCCAGGCCAACAGGTGCTTTCTCCAAGTGAGGCTAGATTCTGAAATCATGAATTCCTACTTTTCATCTCATCGTCTCTTTTGGCAATAGGCAGTCACCTGCTGATGACCAACAGACTGCAATACCCAGTGCAATAACAGACAGAACAGGTTCTAGCCTAGGAATTGCATAGAGCAAAACATCAAGCACCTTTCACATGTAAAACATCACATTTATTGGAGCAGTGGGCCCATCCCATGTTGCAAATGGAATTCAAGCCTAGCTCAAACTGAACTGAGTCTAGGTCTTGACTCCTCTAGATGTCTTCTAATAAGGACATCAAATAAAGTACCATGGACCAGACCTTAAGAGAAAAACATTCTCTGGGAGAGACATTTCCACTGAATTCATGGAGGGACTTATAAGCAAACCAAAGCAGGTTTGCAATGAAGCATGGTATGAAGTAAGTGATTTCCATGAGCTACAGAGCAAGCAGTGTGGGGGTTTCAAAGGAAATTTCAAAAGAAAATTTCAGCATGTGAAGTTAGATGCTCCTAAACTAGATTTTAAAGTATGACTAATAGGGAAAAATACTGTTCTCAGAAGTCTTTTAGGTATACAAAGTGGAGACCGCCCTGTGATGAATACAAAGAGAACTGTCACACAGAGCTAAACCTACAAAGCCCTAGGAGGGTCTTCCAGGTGGGGAGCATGTCCTGCTCAACCCTAGTGAAATGTATGAGAAGAGCCACCTGGGACAGTTTTGTATTTACGTTTGATGTCTGTCCAATGTTCTTCACTTTCAGTACCAAAACTTCTAAGATATTAAAGTAAGCAGAGTCACCAAGCATGGTGTCTCACGCCTATAATCCCAGCACTTTGGGAAGCTGAGGCGGAAGGGTCACCTGAGCCCAGGAGTTCAAGGCCAGCCTGGGCAACACAGCACACCCTGTCTCTAAAAAAACAAACAAAAAAATAGAAATAGCTGGGTATGATGGTATGCACCTACAAAAAATTGTTTTAAAATAATAAAGTAGGCAGAGGTATTGAGGGAGCCCAGAACGTTTTCTCAAATAATGATCAGCATTGTTGATATACATCAGGGCTATCCAGCAGTATTTTCTGCAGTGGAGGAAATGTCCTGTGACCGTGCTGTCCATCAGAGCAGCCAGGAGCAACATGTGGCTTCTGAGCCCTGGAAATGAGAACTGAATTTTAAGCTCCATCTAATTACTGTAGTAAACATTGCAAATACAGACTATAATAGACAGAGGTGTAAATGAAGAATGAGGAAGGAAAAACCCCACATAAAACGATGTGAAACAGGATGTTCTAGAGCAATACTCCAGGCCAGGCACAGTGGCTCATTCCTGTAATCCCAGCACTTTAGGAGGCCAAGGCAGGTGGATCCTTCGAGCCCAGGAGTTCAATACCAGCCTGGGCAACACAGGGAGACCTCGTCTCTACTAAAAATAGAAAATTAGCTGGGCATCGTGGTGTGCGCTTGTAGTCACAGCTACTTGGGAGGCTGAGGCAGGAGGATCACTTGAGCCCAGGAGATGGAGGTTACAGTGAGCCAAGATCGTGCCACTGCACTCCAGCCTGGGCAACACAGCAAGACACTGTCTAAAAAAAAAAAAAAAGTGGCCAGGTGCAATGGCTCACGCCTGTAATCCCAGCATTTTGGGAGCCCAAGGTGGATAGATCACCTGCAGTCAGGAGTTTGAGACCAGCGTGGCCAACATGGTGAAACCCCATCTCTATTGAAAATACAAAATTAGCCAGGTGTGGTGACGTGAGCCTGTAATCCTAGCTACTTGTGAGTCTGAGGCAGGAGAATCACTTGAACCCAGGAGGCAGAGGTTGCAGTGAGCCAAAATTGTGCCACTGCACTCAAGCCTGGGCGACAGAGCAAGATTCCATCAAAAAAAAAAAAAAAAAAAAAAAAGCTGGGCACAGTGGCTCACACCTGTAATCTCAGCACTTTGGGAGGCCAAGGCAGGTGGATCACCTGAGGTCAAGAGTTCAAGACCAGCCTGACCAACATGGAGAAACCCTGTTTCTACTAAAAATACAAAAAATTAGCCCAGTGTGGTGGCACATGCCTGTAGTCCCTCAGACCTGTAAGCTACTCAGGAGGCTGAGGCAGGAGAATCGCTTGAACCCTGGAGGTGGAGGTTACACCACTGCACTCCAGCCTGGGCAACAAGAGCGAAACTCCGTCTCAAAAAAAAAAAAAAAAAAAAAAATTCTACTCCTGAAGGAAAGAATCAGAACAGTTGTTTCTGGGGTGTTTGGTGCTGCTGTTCTTGTCCTTAAAAGTACAGTGTGCTGCTTGCTGCAGTGTTCTCACGGCACCAGTGTTGATAATCTGCCATGGTGCCACATCTAGAGACTCAATGCTTATCTTGGTGTATGGCCCTGGCATGCTGATTCATCCTGGCCACTCTAGGGCTGGGATTTTTTTCCCCCTGCCAGATGAGAGGATTTTTTTTTTTTTAAATGGCAGGATACAGGGTGGGGCTCTATTTCCGTTTATGTGAGGATTCAGGAGTTCATTTTGCCTGAGTTCAGCTTGTAAGCGGGCAACTTTTTTAGTGCAGCCATATAAGATGTTCACTTTGTTCATGCTTTGAACAGCAGGAAAAGGTTAGAGAGGGACTTAACAGCCTCTCCCCATCCCCTAATCCTCCTTGTAGCAATAGATGCATCACTGTTATCTCAGGGTAGGAAAAGTAAGTGGAAAAACAGAGGGCAACTGGAATGAACAAGGGCAAGGCACACAGCTTTGCAGAACAGCGGGGGGCCATGCTTTCCAAAGAGTGTTCCATGGAACACCAATCCTCCAAAATGTGCTGTGGACAGAAAAGGCCCTCCTGTTCTTCCTCCTCCTTCACTCCTCTTAGAGATTCCCAGTGTTCCTTAGAAAGTTAAAGACTCTAAGAAATCCTGCAGTTAAGAAACCAGGCCGGGCACAGTGGCTCATGCCTGTAATCCTAGCACTTTGGGAGGCCGAGATGGGAGGATCACTTGAGCCCAGGAGTTCGAGACCAACCTGGGCAACATTGCGAAACCCCATCTCTATTTAAAATTTAAAAAATTAAAAAATAAACCAGTTAAAGGACATAGCAAGAAAACCTTAAGCGACTTTTAATCTTATGTGATATTCATTAACTATGAGCAAATGAGTACATTATAAAGGAACAAATATTTCTTTTTTCTTATTTTTCATTGAAGTGAGCAGATTCTATTCATTAGAGGATTATTAGCACACGCAATCCCCATCTGTTGAACTTGAAACTTTAACCTCTTTCTTGGTCCTTGAGGTTACTTGTTAAGCAAGAAGCCGGGGTGGCGGGGGGGGGGGGGGCTAGGTGGGTATTTTAGACAACTTCTAACACATAGTCTAAAAAATAAAATGAAGCGGCAACCTTACAAGGCTGGAGTACTATACTAGCCTTCCTTAAACATACTTGTAAGAAAGAAAAACAAGAGAGCAAGAGAGAAAGAGTGCACACAGAAAACCGAAGTGTACCACCCGCTGCTACTATACTCCCCCAACTTTACCTCTCACTACGTACTGCCCTACCCAGTCAGCACAAGCTAAGAGCACCACTTGCACCCCATCCTGCTCCTCACCTGCGTTCAAGGCCCACCCCACCCAGGAAGCCGTCCTAACCACAACAGCCCTCAGTTACCTCCCTGCCCTCAGAACCCCCATGCTACCCTCATCAATTCAGGTTTAGGATCCACAACACCTTCTATGCCTTGTTGTTTCCTGTGCATACTTTTGCTTCCCAAATACACAACAGTGCTTTTACACTTTTGTTTGTTTGAGACAGGGTCTCACTCTGTCGCCCAGGCTGAGGTGCAGTGGGGCCACATCGGCTCACTGCAACCTCCGCCTCCCAGGCTCAAGCGATCCTCCTACCTCGGCCTCCCAAAGTGTTGGGATTACAGGCATAAGCCACTGTGCCTGGCTGCTTTTTTACATCTTTCACTCCCAGAATACTGTGCTGGAACTACCTTAGTGTTGGATATAGAAGAGGGCTCCATTCCTGTTCAGCTGATTCTGATCTGGTCATAGAGCTCACTGCTGCAAGACTGCATTTGCAATCCACCCTCTTTTGTACATCTTATCAATTGGCATGAAGCTTTTTGCTCTCTTCTCAAAACTGAATGAATCTACAGAGGCAAACAAAAGCCCTTTTAATGCCAGATACAAAGTTTGATGTACTTCTGTTATCCATGTGCATCATCAAAGAACAAGAATCCTTCAAAGCATGCCCCCTAAATACTCTCACACACCTGGGGCAGCGAAAGCAGGAACAGGCCCAGCATGTTAATAAGATTAATTGCAGTTGTGATACACATTAAAAGAGCTTCATCTGGGCCTTCCATGACCTCACTTTTTAAACCCCCTGGTTACCAGCCCTCCATACCCTATATGGTTGTACTTTTAAAACTGGGTAGTGTGCCAACAGTCAAACAGCCACTCATTTGTTTGGAGCCAGAAAACAAACTTGGAGGTGGACCAGTCTCCTCTGAGTGCCCCAGCATGAGGTCCCCACCTCAAGGCATACCAGATTACACTCAGAAATCCCAGTCTGATGTGTTCTCAAAGGGAATCAATTAAGATGCCGTTCATTTCTGAAACGTGATATATTTCACAACTGGTTTAATTTTCCTCAAATTCTAGGTGAGCTATGTAAGAAAGGAAAGATTATTAGAGGACTCCGAGCCACGCACATCCAAATCCACTAATCAGCTTTGACAATTAGAAAAGGAATGCGGCTGCATGGGAGTCAGCACTCTTGCTGCAGCCGTCCTCTCGGAGATCTCTGTGGGGTCTGTCTCAACAGAAAAAGCAGTGGATTCTTAGGTTTTCAAAGGCAGGCGTGTCTTCATGGACTCAGTTTTCCCTGATTATTAAAAGAGGCCACTGGACTACGGTCCCTTTCAACAGTAAGTTTTCAAATAGTAATACCATCTACAACACTACCCCAAACAATAAATACAAAGTAAGTTCACTGGATAGTAAGAAAATTGAAAACATTAATAAAGACGATTGCCAAGAAGCCAGGAGGGAAGTGAGACTGACAACATAATTCCGAGTGGTGACACAAGCACCACCCCAAATTCAAGATTATATATAACATCTCACTGTTCAAGGCGTCACCCAGCAGCCATACATCTCCTTCAGCTAACAGCAATCAAAAGCCATAGTCCACTCATTCAGGTTGGCTGGGTTTAAAAAACCAGTTTTTATTAAGGTCAAAGTTTGGAGGTCAAGTCTCAAGACTGCCATATCCTTTATGGAACTTTTGAACCTCAGTGATAAGGACAGTTTCCGGAGAAAGGAAATGAACAGGCTCATTTGGAGGCGAGCCAGACAGGAAGCACGAAGCAATGAATGCTGCAGCAACCGAGGAGGAGGCAGGTGGAGCCCATCTGGGAAACTCAGCCGGCTCCACCAGCAGCAGGAATCTGAACATCAAGGGCAGAGGCTTGCAAACAAATGGAGTAGCCACTCTGCCAGATGAAACCTAATTTGAAGGGAGAACAAAGTCTGAAGAAAATTAGACATTTCTGTAGACCAGGCTAGCCATAGTGGTTCATACCTGTAATCTCAGCACTTTGGAAGGCGGAGGGAGGAGGATCGCTTGAGCCCAGGAGTTCAGGATCAGCTTGGGCAACACAGCAAGAGCCTCCCCACCGTCTGAACAAAAAATAAAAATATTAGCCAGGAGTGGCGGCTGTGCACCTGTGGTTCCAGCTACTTGGGAAGCTGAGGTGGGAGGATTGCCTGAGCCCAGAAGGTAGAGTATACAGTGAGCATGACTCAGCCTGGGCAACAGAGCAAGATCCTATCTCTCAAAAATAAATAATAGGCTGGGTGCGATAGCTCACACCTGTAATCCCAGCACTTTGGGAGGCCGAGGTGGGTGGAACATCTGAGGTTAGGAGTTCAAGATCAGCCTGGCCAACATGGTGAAACCCCATTTCTACTAAAAATACAATAATTAGCTGGGCATGGTGGCACCGGCCTGTAATCCCAGCTACACAGGAGGCTGAGGCAGGAGAATCGCTTGAACTCAGGAGGCGGGGGTTCCAGTGAGCTGAGATTGTGCCACTGCACTCCAGCCCGGGTGACAGAGCAAGACTCCGTCTCAAAATAAATAAATAAATAAGATAACAAAATAAAATAACTAAAAGAATATATATGGATTGTTTGTAATACAAATGATAAATGCTTGGGGTGATATTACTCTGATATGATTATTATATGCCTGTATCAAAAAATCTTATGTACCCCATAAATATATACACCTACGTACCCACAAAAGTTAAAAAATTTTAAATAAATAAAAATAGACAAATGTAAAAGTCTGAAGAGGGCCACAGGGGGTTAAACTATTTTATGTCACTCTTGTTCCCATTAATTCCATCCACTTTCTTGTCCTGTATTCTCCCTTCCGCCCTACAGGCCACTCAAGATGGCTCTTTGATAAGTCTGTTCACAGCCCTTAAAAGGCATGGCTGAAATCCCAAGTGTACAAGTATTCATTCTGCCTCAGGCAATAAATAATGAAGAATGAAGAAAGATACCCCTCTGCTGCCGTCAATTCAGGACGCTGGTACAGGCACGGCATGGGCCCATGGAGAACACCTACACATCCAGCCCTACCTGAGCAGCAATTTCCTTCAGAAGTGCAGCTCTAGGTTTTGGTTTTATCTGAGGAATCACCTTCCTCCTCCTGCCAAGGAAGTAAAAAGTCCTCCGGAGTTATTAAATGATAAGTCAGAGCAATTCAAATAAAAGTTAGGTGATTAGCACCTCAAAGAACCTCACAAAAGCAATTTCTAGAGGTACTCTTTGCTGCAGAAGTCCTCTCCGTCCTCCTGCTTGGTTGCAGATAGGGTGTGAAACACTTACATCATCAAAAGAATGCCAGGAACACAGGCTGGTCAGAGTCAGAAGGCTCAGAGTGAGTAAGGAGTGAACATGCATAGAAGATCACAAGAGGCGAGGCCAGGGAGGCAGATCCCCCTGCAGGGAGAAAGCCGAGGGTCCAGTGCCCCTGGCCCACTTCACTGAACCCTGCTGGGGTGACCCAGGACCAGCCCCGATCAGTCTTCGAGGGTTCACGTACTGCCTGAAACAAATACTTGCAGAGGGAAAAAGAAGGTTTTTCTCAAAAACACCTCCCCTATCCTGCCTCCCTTTCTTTCCTGGTCCCTCATCCAAAACCAGACAGGGCAGGATTAGCCAACCCAAATTCTTGGGATGGGGCAAAGGGAGAGTCCCCAGCACAGAGGTGGCAGCAGCTCCCCTTAGGGAACTGTATCATCACCCATTCCAGACACCATGCCACACCCTTCACAACTTGCCTCTGAATTCTTACAATAACCCTGGAATTGGGTAATACTATCATCCCTATTTTGCATATAGGAAATAGAGGCTTAGGGAGATTTATTTTGCCGGAGGACACAAAGTTAGTGGAGGGGCTAGGTGAGGTTCCTACCCGGGTCTATCCGATTCAAAGCCAATGAAGCCAAGCAAGTGAAAGAAAGGAGGAAAGCTGAGACCCTAACGTTTGCCCACTGCTGGTTTCTGACGACTTAGCCATTTTGATACAGAAGGTCAATATGGATTTTGGAGGGTGGGGTACTAGCACAACTGGCAACTTAGTAGGGAATTAGTAATCTGGCCAGGGCCACTGACAATTTAAAAAGAAGAAAACTACATGTGCAGCACTCCAGAAATGGCGAAACACCTTCATCTCCTAAGGACCATGCAAGTGCTGTTAAGATACCTACAGAAGAGTTTTTTAATGAAAAGATCCCCCCCACAAAAAAAAAAAAAAAAAGAGAGAGAGAGAAACCGTATCCAGTATGACAAATAGTTTCTGCCTGATTGGTGAGATTTGGGATGGGCCCCCACTTTGTTTCTCTTTCTGCATAAAAATTTCAACATTTTTACAAAATTTTCAAAAACTTCTCCTCAGTCTGTACATCTTTGTTAATCAGGAAAAAAAAAAAAACAGTAAAATCTAGGAGGGAAAAAGGCTTTCATGTGTAAAAAATAAAATAACCTTGGAAATAAAAATAAACACAATGCAATTCAGCACTTGGCCAGCATAACTGAACACCACTTTGATGTGCTGCTCCTGGGGCAGCCACCCCCAAATAAATAGCTTTAGACACAAAACAGAGGCACCAACGCCACAAGGCTGTCCGTCCTCCTTAATGCAGGCACCAACTGCACATACAGAGATGACACGTGGAAGCTGCTAGATAGAGCGAACCTGAGCTCCCTCAGGTAAAGATATGCAGTTATTATCTGTAAAATAAAAAAGCTTCTCTATCCATTAAAAAAAAAAAACTGATACTGCCAAGAAGTGCCAGAAGTAAAGGTGGTTTTTAAACATTACTCAATCAGCTGACCAATGTATAAATAAAAGCTACCCTCCATCTGCCCTGGAAAGCAGATTGCCAGCAATTTTTTTTTTTTTTTTTTTTTTGGTAATTTACAGCAATTTACATTTTCTTTGTTGCATAGAAGTGCTGCTTGTATAACCTGAGGGTTCACACACCCTCCAGCTCCTTTTCCTCCTCAGTGGCTTGCACAGGAAGCCCGAGGCTGGGAGGAAAGGGCCTCCCGCTCCACCTTTCCTCAGCACTGCGGTCAGTGGCCCAGCCGGACTCCCAACCCTGGCCGTGGTCTGCTGCTTGCAAAGGGACGGGTCAAGGAGAACAGCAGCCCAGCTACCAAGGCTGGACTGGAAACGTGCTAAAGTACAAGGCTGATGTGAAGCAGAGAAAAGAAAAAGAGAAACTGAATTTAACATAATGAACGCCTTAGCATTACAAGTCTAGGACTTCACAGCTGTACTTCACTCAAAACTAAAGACCTAGGCAGGAAACAAGTGGCAGACACTGTAAAAGAAGAGTCAACACAGTCTTAAACACAGGATATGCCCTGCCTAGAGCCACATCCTTATCTCCACGTGTGACAGGGGGAACTGTTTCATCCAGAACATCTGAGGAAAAAACGAAGCCAAGAAGGACTACATCAAATTTCACACATTCTGGGACAATCCCTTACACAATAATGTGAAGGTTTCACCTTTTTCACCCTTTCATCTAAGTCACCAATTTCCTCCCCTAGGAACTTGTTCATATAGAGTCCTCTAATGTGCCTAACAAAACAGAAACTCAAACAAGCACCTAAAGAATGTCCCAGAGAAGAAATGAGAATGTTTAGAATGGAAAGCCATTTGCTCCTCGAGGTTAAACAGGACACATAGTTCAACGCCCTACTTCAAAATCAATCCCAGGTGTAACCCAAGTTTTTCTAGGGTTTGTGTAATATATGAAAGTCTTTCAATTTAGGACTTGACTTCCTTAGGAACAATTTTTTTTCCTCCTAAAAAATCAAAATTGGGCTGGGTGCGGTAGCTCACACCTGTAATCCCAGCACTTTGGGAGGCCGAGGCGGGCAGATCACGAGGTCAGGAGATCGAGACCACGGTGAAACCCCATCTCTACTAAAAATACAAAAAATTAGCTGGGTGCGGTGGCAGGCGCCTGTAGTCCCAGCTACTCACAACGCTGAGGCAGGAGAATGGCGTGAACCCGGAAGGCAGAGCTTGCAGTGAGCCGAGATCGCGCCACTGCACTCCAGCCTGGGCGACAGAGTGAGACTCCGTTTCAAAAAAAAAAAAAAAAAAATCAAAATTAAAACAGTCAACATCCAAGTCCCACCCTGCTGAAAGCTAAACTCCAATCACCATGTTTTCTGAGGTGCCAAGCCAGGGTGATTAAAAGAAAGAACAACGAGGCTGGACATGGTGGCTCACACCTGTAATCCCAGCATTTTCGAAGCCTAAGTCAGGCAGATCGCTTTGAGCTCAGGAGTTTGAGACCAGCCTAGGCAACATGGTGAAAACCCATCTCTACAAAAAATACAAAAACTAGCCAGGTGTGATGGCACGTGCCTATAGCTACTTGGAGGCTAAGGCTGGAGAATTGATTGAGCCTGTGAAGTGGAAGCTACAGTGAACGGAGATTGTGCCACATTCCACCTCAGCCTGGGCAAGACAGTGAGACCCTGTTTCAATTGAAGAGAAAAAAAAAAAAAGAAGAAGAAGAAGAAAAGGATTGGTAAGGTTTGATAGAGGAAAGTGCCCCAGGCTGGCTGAGTGATATTTACATTGCTGATTCTGAGTGCAAAGCACTGGTTCAGGTCATTCAACAGTTACACCTTAGGTAACCCTCCCAGGAATCCCGAGGGTAGAAATTTTAACCCCATGGTATAGATGCAGAAATGAAAGCTAAGAGCACAGAAGCAGAATGTGGTGAACACAAGGCCTGGCCAACCCCATAACCATGCCCTTTCTACTCAGACCAAAGGCCTCTAGAGCCCAGGAGAAAAACCTGTTGCCAGCTATCTGCGTGACCTTGGGAAAGTACATCTTTCCAGGTGTTACTTTCTTACCTCTTAATTCAGAAGGAAAACAGGCTCAGTGAATCTGGAAGAAGGGAGTGAGCATGCATGCATAGCCAGTCCTGCCCTCTGTCCTCTTTTGAGGGCAACATTCTGCTGCACAGCTCTGGAGATGAGCCTCAGGAAGGCCACTTGCCCGCAGAGATAAGCCATGTTCTGCATAGCAGCTCTAACCCTGATCAGCATAAAGGTAAATTTTGGTCTCCAACAATTGAAGACTGGCTGAATTGAAGACCACCTTACTCCTGTCTTTCTTCTCAGCTGATTCCAGGACACAGGCAGGGAAAGAGGATGAAATTTGGTCCTCTTTGAACACTTGTAAAATGGGAAAATTTCTAAGACAGAACTTCTGTTCATTTAGAATAGGAGCTACGACCATCTTTCCCGCAAGGGACTTGTAATAGAAAGAAAATAGGCCGGGCGCAGTGGCTCACACCTGTAATCCCAGTACTTTGGGAGGCTGAGGCGGGAGAATCGCTTGAACCTGGGAGGCAGAGGCTACAGTAAGCCGAGATGGCGCCACTGCACTCCAGCCTGGGTGACAGAGCGAGACTCTGTCTCAAAAAGAAAGAAAGAAAGAAAATACACACACACATTCCAAGTAACCAAAACACTATTCCAGAAATTAATAAATGGAAACTGTTAACTAGGTACACTTACTTTCACAAAATAAATGTGTTCCCCTTGCAGCAAAGAAACCATATTTTTGAAAGTACAGATATTGTTTTAAAAACAAAAACACACCTTAGAAATTCCCAATGCAGAGGAAAACTCTGGTAACGGCTGGTAACCTTCTCCACACCCCCCCATTTCTTGCAGACCTGCCCCCAGCCCAGCTGAGCCTCCGTATCTGGCTCCCCTACCCATTAACGGGCTTCTACCACACCCTGCACCGGTCAACACTCCTGAGCCACTGTGGATCTCAATTACTTTTGCTCCCACTTTCTTGCTTTTCTGTCCCCACTTCTCAATTTTCATGGGAAAAGACAAATCTCTTTGCAGACACTGCCAACAAAAAATATTTTCCTTTCTTTCTGCTTAGTAAATGAACCAATTTTGGCATTCAATAAATATTTGTTCAGCACCTAAATACTGTGCAAATAGTTGTGTCAGGCACTGGAATACAACAGTGAACAGAGCACAGGTTCTGCCCTTCAAGGCCTAGGTGGGACATGTGGGACAGTGGCGGGATAAGGAAGGGAGCACTGCCAAGGAAACACCTTGGGAAGGTTCCCTGTAGGAGGAAGTATCTAAGCTGGAAACTGCTTTGTAAAGTATTCTGTTAGAAAGTAAAGCCATTCCTGGCTTTACCTTTTAACACCCATCAAACGTGTTATCCAGAAAGATAACAAAGTACACCAGAATAAGAAGTCACCTAATGGAAGGCTTTGGAAAACCAGAGTACACTGCTCAAATCTGCTCAAATCTGCTAATTTTAGACAAACAGAAAATACTTCAGTGAGCACGCTACCAAAGGGTATTTTTAGAGTCTGTTTCAGTTAACCACTCTGAACTCCTCAGTAGGTCAAACAAAAAAAAAGCAAAAGAAAGAAAACTATTTCAAATCTATAGCAAGTAGAAAATTATCTTCCTTCTTCATGCCTAATTTCTTTCATCCTACATAGAAAATAAACAATCAGCATTCCATAGCTAATTCCATTCTACACCTAACCACCTTATTTACTTAGTACTTGGGGAAGAAAGTTGACTACAGCTGTTACTTCTCATTGCTTATCTTGAGAAAACACTGAACAATGTAAAACACATATGAGCAATAGGCAATAAATTAAGCACAAAAAAGC
Organism: Homo sapiens; assembly: GCF_000001405.40. Classification (NCBI taxonomy): domain Eukaryota; kingdom Metazoa; phylum Chordata; class Mammalia; order Primates; family Hominidae; genus Homo; species Homo sapiens. The sequence goes on along the minus strand of NC_000012.12, from coordinate 64,666,103 downwards.
ATGGCTCCATAAAAAAGTGATCATTTAACATAACTTTTTCCTTTCATTACTTTCTAAATCTCAGTCTCACTAAGCCTCAGTTTCTTGTCAGCAAAAAGAACATAAAAATACCTGCCCTTTGAGGGCCCTTGTTCAGAGTAACTGAGAACACATAGAACACTTCACTATATCTGGCTGGCTACCATCATCATTACTATTACTACTGCTATTGATGAAGGGCAGGCAAGCTCCCAAACTGGGGCTCAGCCCAGGAAGATTCTCAACTGCACTTAGGAAAGAGCTGAAGAGCGACCCTGCGGTAGAAGGAAACTGCTTTACTGACGTGGCAGTGTTAAGCTCTGTGACTGCTCCATAACAGCAGCTCAAGGGCAGTTCTGCAGTCATATTTATGCCCATTTTTAATTACATGCAAATTAAGAGGGCAGGTTAATCAGAAACCTCTAGAAAAAGGGTGGTAACTTCCAGGTTGTTGCCATGGAAAGGGGTGGTAATTTCCAGGTGTTACCATGGCAATGGTAAACTGACATGGCACTGGTGGGCGTGTCTTATGGAGAGGTGCTTTCACCTCTTCCCTGTTTCAGCCAGTCTTCAATCTGGTCTGGAGTCAAGTTCCACCTCCTACCTCACTAATAGTATTTATTATCAAACTTGGTGTTTAATAATAAGTTAAAAATCTAACAGTAAAAATTAATGTGTATCAATTAAGCAATCTGACTGGAGACTTTCAAAATCAATATTAAAAGTGAATAAACTCTGACTGGTGCCAAGTCAATCATTTAATTTTAGCATCTACATTATGCTAGACACACATACTAATCCACTTTGTCACATGAGCCTTGCAAAATAATAATTATTTCACAAAAGAGAAAATGGAAATGGAGGGACTAATCTGCCCACATTTTAAACAATTGGTTGCGAGAGGCACTGAGATTCTAACCCAGATCCATGCAACTCCTAGAACCTTCCACTGCGCTGTCTTTCTGATTTTAGACAATGATTTAGCCCACAAAATACTATGACCAACAGAGGACTTCATACCTTTTCATCCTGAACTCTGACTTTTTAGAGGTGGAAGGGTACAATTCTAATATTTTTCAACAGAGACCTATTATTTAAATGACTTAGTAAGCACTATTAAACTGAGGTACGAATACTATATAGAGAACTGAAATAATTAGTAATAGCCTTCAATAGTTTTAGAAGTATAATTTTTAATACCAATAATAGGATCCATATTCCTTAAACTAAAAAGCAAGGCTAGCAGCCAAAGATCAATGCTTGTACTGAGGCAACCAGAGATGACCCCCCAAAATCAGAGCTGTCTTCTATAACTATTGAGTAATTTTGTGATTTGGCTTCATTTTTGTTTTTTGGAAAGTGCCGGTGCTTGGTCTTATACATTTGAATTTAATTTTTTAAACAAAAAAAGCCAGGTGGTGGGGGAAGGGGAGATTGGGAAAGAATTTCCCTTTTTACTTTGTGAGCCCTGAAACTGATTTTATTTTTCATAACTGAGAGATTGCTTCTGTAGTACACAATAACATGATGTTGAAACAAGTACTTAAGGAGAACTGGTTGACTTAAAACATATACCAGGGCCAGGCGTGGTGGCTCACGCCTGTAATCCCAGCACTTAGGGAGGCCGAGATGGGTGGCCTATGCAGGTGTAAACTGCACAGAATAAGCTTGCATCCCTGATATGTATATTTTTCCCAAACTCAAATTTTGTCACTAACCTAGAAGTATTTATGGTAAGCTTTCTTAAAAATTATTAGGGTAAATACTTCTGAAATGCAGCATTTTTTTAAGCTTTGTTATTTCTATTATGATTTTTCATGGTGAAATTTTGGTACTGAGATGGGCATTCTCTATTCTCTGTACCTTCATAGTACCACTCCAAAGGCAAAGAACCATGATTGACAACAGTCAAGTTGTGGATGAAATGACCAGGAACGGAGAATGAAGTATGTAAATCCCAGCTTCACAGGAACTCTTCTCATATTGCTTTTCTGACTAAAGTTGCTGTTTACCAGGTCTCTGAATGTTAATGCCTGACTAATTAAGTCATTGCCCAAATCAGTTTTCCCTTTGCCCCATCAATATGTTCTCTTGTATATATTGGCGTGCTGCCATAGAAAGTAAAAATTTGGAGATATTCTATATTTTATATATAGGTTTATGTATTGTTGGGATGTTTTTGTTGTGCTCTTTTGGACATAATAAAGAATTCTCTGTTGAGGCAAAAAAAAAAAAAAAAAAAAAAGGCAAGGCTAAAACGTGGTAAAGAAATTGCAGGATGGCCGGGGGTGGTGGCTCACACCTGTAATCCCAGCACTTTGAGAGGCCGAGGTGGGCAGATCACCTGAGGTCAGGAGTTCAAGGCCAGCCTGGCTAACATGGTGAAACCCCATCTCTAGTAAAAATACAAAAATTAGCCGGGCATGGTGGCATGTGCCTGTAGTCCCAGCTACTCGGGAGGTTGAGGTGGGAGGATCACTGGAACCTGGGAAGCGGAGATTACACCACTGCACTCCAGCCTGGGTGACAGAGCAAGACTTCATCTCAAAAAAAAAAAAATAACAATAACAATTGCAGGTGTAAACTGCATAGAATAAGCTTGCATCCCTGATATGTATATTTTTCCCAAACTCAAATTTTGTCACTAACCTAGATATGGTCAGAGTTTCGGAAATCATTATATTCTTTTTTTGTCTTCCCCATCAATTAGCATGCACCACACCTTTACTAGATTTCTTACCCTTTTCCCCCTTATCTAAGTACATTTTAAGGAATCTGACCATGCTTTGAGAATGTGTTTCTTCCTTTTGCCTACTGATCCACTAGACAGTAACACAAGAAGGCCTTTGTTACGTAACACATCCGAGGTTCCCGCCTTAAAATGTATTCCTCCAAAATGGCCTAAGGGAATGAAAGGGTGAGGGGTAGAGAGAGATCAACATTATGTGCATGCTCCAAATTTGGCACTTACATAATTATTAATACATAATTACTGCTTCTAACACTGAACATTTTTTCCAAGAACGTGGCCCTTCTAGTTTCTATTTAAAGGTCTGCGTTTTATAACAAAAGGCACAGTACATTATATATGTTAATAGCTAAAATTTATTGAGTGCTTAGCACTATTCTAAGCACTCTTCATGTATATCCAAAGACATCTCCCCCTGAGCCCCTTAAAACACACACACTATTTCCCCTTCAAACCCTAAGCCTTGCTGCTGGAGCCCTCATTCCCAGCCAGGCAAGATCCAGAATCCACCTTCTTCCACAGACACCATGCCCCAGAAACAACCAGGGAGTCCCATTTCAACACGGGATGGGGTCTGGACCCCAGCAGGAGCTTAAAGACACATTTCACACGGAAACAAGATGCAGCTACAATCACTCATTATTCCCAATATTCCTTCTCAACACACATATACACACGCAGAGACCATGGAAGCTTTATTTACTTCTTGCAACTGACCACTAATCTAACATATATCTAGGCATTTATCTTGTTTTTGTTTCTTTGTTTGAGACAGGGTCTCAATCTGTCACCCAGGCTGGAGTGCAGTGGTACAATCACAGCTCACAGCAGCCTCAACCTCTTTTATTTACTTCTTGCAACTGACCACTAATCTAACAGATATCTAGGCATTTATCTTGTTTTTGTTTCTTTGTTTGAGACAGGGTCTCAATCTGTCACCCAGGCTGGAGTGCAGTGGTACAATCACAGCTCACAGCAGCCTCAACCTCTTAGGCTCAAATGATCCTCCCACCTTAGCCTCCTGAGTAGCTGGGACTACAGGCAAGCGCCACCAGGCCTGGCTAATTTTTTTTTTTTTTTTGTAGATACGGGGTTTCACCATGTTGACCAGGCTGGTCTCAAATTCCTAGACTCAAGAAATCCACCTGCCTCTGCCTCCCAAAGTGCCAGGATTACAGGTGTTAGCCACCACACCCAGCATTTATCTTATTACCTACTTCCCCAACAAGAATCTGAGCTCCACAAAGGCAGGGATTTTTTTTTCTCTCTCTCTCCATTTTTGTCTCCAGCATCTAGAGCAAGGCTTGGCACACAGCTGGTGCTTAATACACTTTTTTTTTTTTTTTAAGAGATGGGGGCTGGGCATAGTGGCTCATGCCTGTAATTCCAGTACTTTGGGAGGCCGAGGTGGGCAGATCACCTTAAGTCAAGAGTTCGAGAACCGCCTGGCCAACAGGGTGAAGCCCTATCTCTACTAAAAATATAAAAATTAGCCAGGCGTGGTGGTGGCACCTGTAATCCCAGCAACTCAGGAGGCTGAGGCAGGAAAATTGTTTGAACCCAGGAGGTGGAGGCTGCAGTAGGCCAAGATCAAGCCACTGCACTCCAGCCTGAGCAACACATGAGACCCTGTCTCAAAAAAAAAAAAAAAAAAAAAAAGAAAAAGAAAAAGAGAGATGGGGTCTTGTTATGTTACCCAGGCTGCACTTAAACACCTGGGTTCAAATGATCCTCCCATCTCAGCCTCCCAAGCAGCTAGCTAGGACTTCAATATACATTTTTGAATGAAAGGAACAAACAGGGTTGTGTGAGCATCACATTCATGGAAAGAACCCCCTGCGCCCCTTTTTTTTAGAGACAGGGTCTCACTTTGTCGCCCAAGCTGGAGTGCAGTGGCAATCACAGCTTACAGCTGCCTCAAATTCCTGGGCTCAAGTGATCCTCCCATCTCAGCCTCCTGAATAGCTAGGACTACAGGCGCCACACTGTGCCCAGCTAGTTTTTTAATTTTTTGTAGAGACAGCCTGGTCTCAAACTTTTGGGCTCAAGTGATCCTCCCGCCTTGGCCTCCCAAAGTGCTGGGATTACAGGCATCAGCCACCATGCCCAGCCCAAGAACCTGCTATGTACCAGGTAAATCAGATCATTGTATCTAAGCATTGTTATTACCACTTACATACGAGCAAGCCGAGTTTAACTTACTCACGGCTACGGCTACCATTTGAGTGAGGCCAGGATCTGAACCCAATGCCTCCAGCACTAGGGCTCTTTCCTTCCACAAAACACCTTCTGACATGTCAAGCCTCAACTTGGAAACAAACCCTGAGAGCACACGTTCACAAGAAAGGGGTGTTCTATTATATTAACATGAACCACTGAGCTCAAGTCTCACAGATTCGGAGGAAAGCTCGTGTGCTCCAGTGGGAAGATGGGAAGTTGATGGGGAGAGAGGGCCATGTGACTCCCCGCCAAATCCTCCAAATTCAAGGGATCACAAGAGGAGGCAGGAAAGGACTACTAAGCACGAGACAAGTCAGCAGAACAAAGCTTGCTTCTGACTCAAAGCAAAACCAACAGTCATCCTGAAAGAAATTTTTTTTCAAAAGCTCCTCCATTTTTTCCAATTTCCAAGTCTTCTGCATTGAGTATACATTATTTTAGCCACTGGGAAAAAATACGTTAAAAAGAAATGTCCCTGCTTTTACAGAGAAAAAGCAAATGATAGTCACTACCTTTTTTTAAAGAAAGATTTTGTGACCTTCTCCTTAAAGGCCAAGAAATTAGAATTATGTCAAAGTATTAATCTTCCTTATGAAACACAAAGTTGTATTTGTCCCTCATAGCACCAAGCCAGGTGCAAGCAGCAGCTTTCTCATAAATACTGGGCAATACAGACTTCTCAGTGTACACACCCTTACATACAATGAGACAGCTCTTTAAAGGTGCCTTTAGAGTGCCTAGTATAGTGGCTCCTGAATGTAAATGGTTAATGATGATGGAATTGTGAGAAAGTAAAAAGAAATACCACTTTCAGTACCATTATTATCTACTTTTTCTCTTCTTGAAAAAACAAAGAATTTGTTTCCAGCAACATTAGGTTAATAATTATTAGCATTTCAGGATGGGCACAGTAGCTCACACTTGTAATCCTAGCACTTTTTGAGGCAGAGGCGGGCGGATCACTTGAGCCCATGAGTTTGAGATCAGCCTGGGCAACATAGTGCGTGCCATATGTGTGCGTGTATGTGTATATATATATACATACACACACACATATATATATACATACACACACATATATATACACATACACACACACACATATATATACACGCACACATATACACATACATACACACACACACACACACACACACACACACACGTATTAGATGAAGTCTCGCTTTGTCACCCAGGCTGGAGTGTAGTGGCGCCATCTCAGCTCACTGCAACCTCCGCTTCCCAGGTTCGAGTGATTCTCCTGCCTCAGCCTCCCGACTAGCTGGGATTACAGGCATGCACCACCACATCCAGCTAATTTTTGTATTATTAGTAGAGATGGGGTTTCACCATGTTGGCCAGGATGGTCTCAAACTCCTGATCTCAAGAGATCTGCCCACCTCAGCCTCCCAAAGTGCTGGGATTACAGGCATGAGCCACCATGCCCAGCAATATTATTATTATTAGCATTTGATTTTTCTACATTTCCTTTCAAATTATGCTATATTCTATTAATAGACTGTTGCAAACCTCTCCCTCCCCTCCCTCAGCAATAGGAAAACAAAGACTCTGATTTATTGTAAAATTCACAGACAACCCTTGAACCAAAATAAAGCAGTCCACAAAAATGGACCCCTCTGTATCCTAAAGCCAACTTTTTGGAGTATGCTCAGACCGCCTCGGAATTCACCACCAGGGCTAGGAACCCTGTTCTTCCATGTTTGTCGGTTTGCTCTGACCTTGTCATTAGTAAGAGAATGAGGACAGTACAGGTTCCATTTAGGAGAAGAATAATCTTATCAGGAAATTACTTTATATCTCAAACTGTGCTAAAAATATCACATCCTTATCCCCACACTTCACCTCTGACTCCACCTCTCTCTCACCTCCTCCCACCAAGTAAAGAATTTATTTAACAGATGAAGGCTGCCTCTGAGAATGATCTGTCTAAAAACACAGGCAGGACCATGGAATGTGTATGTTTGAAACTAGAGTCTCTGGGCTCTTGGTCACTGACCCACTGGACTTTAACATGTCTCTTCCACAATTTGTTCTTTTTTCTGTTGCTCAGGCTGGAGTGCAGTGGCACAATCATGGTTCACTGCAGCCTTAATAAACTCTTGGGCTCAAGATATCCTCCTGCCTCTGCTTCCTGAGTAGCTGGGACTACAGGTGTACATCACCACACCTGGCTAATTTTTTATTTTCTGTAGAGACAGGGGTCTCGCTATGTTGCCCAAGCTGGTCTTAAATTCCTTGAGCTCAAGTGATCCTCCTGCCTCAGCCTCCCAAAGTGTTGGGATTACAGGCGTGAGCCATCATGCCCAGCATAATTCATTCTTCTTTTTGAGATAGAGTTTCACTTTCAGTTCACTGCAACCTCCACTTCCTGGGTTCAAGCAATTCTCATGCCTCAGCCTCCCAAGTGGCTAGGGCTACAGGTGTATGCCACCATACTTGGATAATTTTGTATTTTTAGTAGAGACAGGGTTTCACTATGTTGTCCAGGCTGGTCTTGAACTCTCAGCCTCAAGCGATCCGCCCGCCTCAGCCTTCCAAAGTGCTGGGGTTACAGGCATGAGCCACTGTGCCTGCCGTAATTCCTTCTTATTAAATTTACTTTCACTAGTTTAGACAGTGCTCCATAACCATGCTTACAAAGCGCAAAAACATTGTGTTTGTATTTGAGTCTCCTCCATGGCTGGCCCATCAATTCCTTAAGGCCTTGACTATGTCTCTTAAGTTGCCTTGGGAAACCGTAGTCAGTGGAAAACCTCATGCTGATGGGCTCCTCACCAAAAGCACACAGTTCCTTTGGCACCAGGAGGATCTTCATTCCATGGAGAATTTTTAGGCTATAAACAAGTCTCATTCTTTTAGAGACACTCTAGCTTTAAAAAAAAATATGTCTGTGGGTATCAAGTCTCACCCACGTGTTGATTTTACTACTTTAAATTAGGTTTCCAGACATCTGACGGGCACTCTCCAAGTACTACCTAAATAACACCACCCACACTTCTACCACAGGGGAGCATAACGCAACCTGACAATTTATTTATTTTTTAGAGACAGGGTCTCGCTCTGTCACCCAGGCTGGAGTGCAGTGGCACAATCAACGCTCACTGCAGCCTCAACTTCCTGGGCTAAAATGATCCTCCCACCTCAGCCTGCACCACCATGTCTGGCTAATTTTTTTTGAAGTTTTGTAGAGATGAGGTCTCGCCCAGGCTGGTCTTGAACTCCTTGAGCTCAAGTGATCCTCCTGCCTCAGCCTCCCAAAGTACTGGGAAGTGCTAGGATTATAGGTGTGAACCAACACACCTGGCCCTGACAATATTTTTCAAGCAAATGTATCTTTGCCAACCTTCCTCTGGATTAAAAGTGCCTTGGGGGCACAGTTTTATCCTGCTCCTGTGCCAAGGCACTGGCATTTCTGAAACACAAGAGATGCTCCATGGGTGACTGGTGGAAGGACCAGAACGAAGGGAGCAGGCAGAGACCTGCCCTGGGCATCCTCATCATCCTCCTCACACTCAGAAGGCAGGCACAGAGGCAAGACCACTGAAAAGGGTGCCTGGCCTGGTAGACAATCCAAATACCCTGGTCCCACCCTTTCTTTTCATCAAAGTGATTTTACTACTCTTACTTTTTAAAAATTTACTTTATTGTGATTAAACACAACATAAAATTTACCATTTGAATCATTTTTCAGTATATAGTTATTTGACACTGAGTTCATTCACAATATTGTGGAACCATCACTACCATCCATCTCCAGAACTTTTTCACCTTCCCCAGCTGAAACTCTGTATCGCCCAGCGTGGTGGCTCACCCCTGTAATCCCAGCACTTTGCGGGTGGGCAGATCACTTGAGGTCAGGAGTTCGAGACCATCCTGGCCCACGTGGCGAAACCCCAACTCTACTAAAAATACAAAAATTAGCCAGACGTGGTGGCGTGGGCCTGTAGTCCCAGCTACAAGGGAGGTTGAGGCAGGAGAAAATCGCTTGAACCTGGTTGATGGAGGCTGTAGTGAGCCAAGATAGCACCATTGCACTCCAGCCTGGGCGACAGAGTAAGACTCTGTCTGAAAAAAAAAAAAAAAAGAAACTATACTATTAAACACTGACTCCCTATTTCCCTGTGACTACCATTCTACTTTGTCTCTATGAATGTGGCTACTCTAGGCACTTCATGCAATTGTAATCATACAGTATTTGTCCTTTTAGTGACTGGCTTATTTCATGTAATGTCCTCAAGATTCATCCACATTATTCCATGTCAGAATTTTTCTCTTACTTTAGACTGCTACTTTAATGACAGCCTAAAATGGTCCACAAATTAAGGGACCAACATCAGGAAATCCCAGATATTCCATCAGACGGGCAGGCCCATTTCTCTGGTAGGTTTTTGCCTGATGGGGCTTCAGCCTGGTGTGATTTTTTTTATCTCTGAGTTTATAGACTCAGGCTTGTGTAAACAACTTTCACTGCACAAAGTCAGGGCCACTCAGCATTTCCCCACCACCAGAAGATAAGAGTGTTTGATGTTCTTTATCTTTCACTGCAACTGCTTTGGGAGATCTGGAGAACAGAAAAAGGTAGAGAATCACAACTTTGGAATCTTTTCAGCACTGCAAATTCATTAACAGCATTTTTTAAGCATCACTGAGATATAACTCACATAACATAAAATTCACCCATAAGTATACAATTAAATGGTTTTACTATATTCACAAAGTTGCACAACCATCTCTATTTTCATCAACCCACAAAGAAACCCCAGGCCCACTAGTAGTCACAGCCCCATAGCCCACTCCTGCCCAATAATATGTTTTTAAGCTTTATAATCTAGCTGACAAATATTCATATACTCCTACATGTCCCACAGTACATAGCAAGTACTTAAGAGTCCAATAAACACATCCACTACTATCAAATGCATATATACATATATCACAAATAATCTAAAAAATAATTCTTTCTAGTAAACCTCATGTTCAGAAATTTTGTTATTAGGCATATCCCAATTAACCTGAGATCCAAGTTAGGGGAATAAAAAGGATTTATAATTTTTTTTTTTTTTTTTTCTGAGACAAAGTCTCACTCTGTTGCCCAAGCTGGAGTACAGTGGCACTGTGTCAGCTCACTGCAACCTCCATCTCCTGGGTTTAAGCAATTTTCCTGCCTTAGCCTCCCAAGTAGCCAGGATTACAGGCACCCACAATCACGCCCGGCTAATTTTCATATTTTTAGTAGAGACAGGGTTTCACCATGTTAGCCAGGCTGGTCTCGAACTCCTGACCTCACGTGATCCGCCCGCCTCGGCCTCCCAAAGTGCTGGAATTACAGGCGTGAGCTACTGCACCCGGCCCAAATTTATGATATTTTTAAGACTAGATGTATGCTCCTGAAATGGTAGCATTTTTTTTGTTTGTTTTGGTTTTTATCTTATACAATTAAAACAATTTAAAAGAAGTAACAGTGACTAAGATATGCATTTCAAGACCAGGCATGGTGGTTCACACCTGTAATCCCAATAATTTGGGAGGCCGAGGCAGGAGGATCACTTAAGGCCAGGAGTTTGAGACAGCCTGGGCAACATACTGAGACCCTGTCTCTATTTTTTGAAAAAAAGGAAAAAAAAATATATATGTATGTTATGCATTTCAGGAGAGGGCTCTCCTTTAGGACATCAGGGCTCTTCTTGCTGTCTCATGGGCAAACTATGTCTGTACACCTGCTTTACGCAGATTCCTGCCTCTCTCTTATCAAAGAAACCATGTACAGACGATTACACAACACTTCGTTATGTGTATTTTTGAAAATCCTGATGTTGCATCCTCTTAAATGAAGCAATGAAGACACAGTATATCACAGGCCTTCAAAAAGGTAAATTATTTACTTATCATCACAGACAGCTAAATACTAAACTAAAAACTGATGAGCATTACATGGATTTAAAACTTCTACAGATCTATAACAGTGCAGCTTAGAGGAAAACCTGTACTTCCTCCATAAAGCAGTTTTGAATTAAAGCTCTCCCCTTGCACTCACTCCACTTTGGAGCTGATTTGTCTTGGGATACGTACTGGTGTAATGAGTTCTTGATAGTCAGTAAATCACAGCATACATGCAAGGAACAAAGGAGAAAATGAAATCATTTACTTGGAGATGAGAGAAGTCAACTTTATCAGTGAATTCATTCTATTTTATTTTATTTTACATTGTATTTTATTTTATTTATTTTATTTTGACAGAGTCTCGTTCCGTCAACCCAGGCTGGAGTGCAGTGGCATGATCTCGGCTCACTGCAACTTCCGCCTCCCAGGTTCAAGGGATCCTCATGCCAAGGCCTCCTGAGTAGCTGGGATTACAGGTGTGTGCCACCACACGTGGCTAATTTTTGTATTTTTAGTAGAGATGAGGTTTCACCATGTTGGCCAGGCTGGCTTCCCCCCACCCCCCCCCCCCCGCAAAGAAACACGGTCTCACTATATTGCCCAAGCTGGTCTCAAACCCCTGGGTTCAAGCGATCCACCCACCTCAGCCTCCCAAAATGCTGAGATTGCAGGCAGAAGCCACCGTGCCCAGCCACGGTGAATTAGTTCTAAGTGGAATACAGAGTTTTAACTAAAATTTGGCAGATTATGGGGCCGGGGCAGTGGTTCATGCCTTTAAACCTAGCACTTTGGGAGGCCAAGGCGGGCGGATCACTTGAGGTCAGGAGTTCGAGACCAGCCTGGACAACATGGCAAAACCCCATCTGTACTAAAAATAGCAAAAGAAAAAAAAAATTAGCTGGGCGTGGTGGTGCATGCCTGTAATCCCAGCTACTCAGGAGGCTGAGGCAGAAGAATCTCTTGAACCTAGGAGACAGAGGTTGCAGTGAGCCGAGATTGCACCACTGCATTCCAGCCTGGGTGACAGAGCAAGACTCTGTCTCAAAAAAATAAAAATAAAAATTAGTCAGATTATGGGCAAGATTACTGTGCCAAAGTAGAAATGACTCTTCTCAGTGCTACCAAATTAATTCTAGTCAGAATCAGAGTGGGGAGAACAGAGGAAAAACTGGCAAACTGACACTGAAGCAACATCATCCTTTTCCAAACCAGACTTGCCTGTGCCCCATGGAGAAGGGGATCCACTAACAGCCCACCACCAACCCGGTGATTCTTGAGGGCCAGCCTCCAAGCTGGGTCCCATGGCCACCATCCCGCAGGCAGTGCTCTCTAGATACACTACTGGAGAGCTGTTAAAGACACCGTTAAGGGCTGAGCGCAGTGGCCCACGCTGTAATCCCAGCACTTTGGGAGGCCAAGGCAGGAGAATTGCTAAGGCCCAAGAATTCAAGACCAGCCTAAGCAACACGGTAAGATTCCATCTCTACAGAAAATTTTAATTGACATGGGAGTGCCAGCTACTAGGGAAGCTGAGGCAGGAGGATCACTTGGGCCCAGGAGGTGAAGGCTGCTCCAATGAGCCATGTTTGCGCCAATGCACTCCAGCCTGGGTAACAAGGCAAGACTCAGTCTCAAAAAAAAAAAAAGATACTGCTGAATATTGATTTGTGTCCTCCCAAAAATCATATGTTGAAGTCCTAACTCCCAATAACTCAGAATGTGATCTTCTCTGGAGACAGGGTCTTTATAGAGGTCATCAAGTTAAAATGTTAAGGCTATCAGCATGGTTCCTAATGCAATATAACTGATGTCCCTAAGAAAAGGGGATATTAGGCCAGGTGTGATGGGTCAGTCATGCCTGTAATCCCAGCATTTTGGGAGGCTGAAGTGGGAGGATTACTTGAGGTCAGGAATTTGAGACCAGCCAGGGCAATACAGTGAGATCCCCATCTCCACAAAAATTTTAAAACATAAAAAAATTAGCAAGGCCTGGTGGCACATGCCTATAGTCCCAGCTACCTCAGGAGGCTGAGGCAGGAAGATCAGTTGAGCCTGGAAGATCAAGGCTGCAACGATTCATGATCACACCACTGTACTCCAACCTGGGTGACACAGTGAGACCCTATCTCAAAAGAGAAGGGGAAATTCGGACACAGACATGTACAGAGAGAAGATGACGTAAAGATACTGGGTGAAGACAATCATGTATAAACCAATGAGAGAGGCCTGGGACAGATCCTTCCCTCCTAACCCTCAGAAGGAAGCCACCCTGCCAACATCTTAATCCAGAACTTATAGCCCCCAGAGCTGTGAGACAACACATTTCTGTTGTTTAAGCTGCCTTGTTTGTGGTGCTTTGTCAAGGCAAACTAACACAGACAAGATTTTACATGTAAATAGAATTATACTGCAAATCATATACTGAAACAAAATCAACATTTCCCAAGTTCCACATAATTAGAAAATAATAAGAGTGTGATTACTGCAGTAACCACTACATAATTCCATCATATATTCAAGGAACTCTCTTAGAAGCAAGATGAAGCAAAAAACAACACTGAATTAAGAGCAAGAATCCTCATTCATCTCTGGATTGGACACTCCCAGAGTGTGCTCAAGCACCAGCTGAACAATTAAATTAACCCATCTGTTTCCTCTACAGGATGGAAACAATGTCTATAAAATCACAGTCCTCGAGCCAAGCCTGGTCCAAGCTACTCAGGAGGCTGAGGCATGAGGCTCTCTGGAGTTTGAGGTCAGCCTGGACAACAACAGTCTAAGTAAGAAAGAGGAGGGGGGGAGGGGGAGGGGGAGAAAAAAACACCTTTGCAGTCCTCAGACGTGTTTAAAAAAAAAGCCCAAACACCTGCGATGGCCATGAAGAAAGCACTGTGCTACAGAACACACTGAAAGATACAGAAAGTTTATCAATGAACATTGTCTTTAAAGCAAAATTAAGTATAATATCTATTAAGAAGATTACATTATTCAAGCAATGTAAAACTACAATGTTAATTTTGCCATTAGAACCTCAGCCCTCTAATTTAGAGCCAAAATACCATCCTTCCTCATCTCTATTCAACAAGGAAATAACCAATATATTGCAAAATATGGTAATCTATTATAACACCTTAACACCAACTAGTCTGTTGTAAATTTCAAAATTATTGCCTTAGCACGTCTAATAATTCCAAATAAGAATATCTAGTAATTAATACATAAGAGTCACCAAGCCTACAATTAAACATTAAATGGAGCTGGGCGAGGTGGCTCATGTCTGTTATCCCAGCACTTTGGGAGGCCAAGGCAGGAGGATTGCTTGAGCCCAGTCTGAGAACAGCCTGGGCAACATGGTGAAACCCCATGTCTACAGAAAAATGCAAGAATTAGCCAGGTGTGGTGGCGTGCACATGTGGTCCCAGCTACTCAGGAGATTGAGGGTGAAGGATCACCTGAGCCTGGGAAGTCGAGGTTGCAGTGAGCTGTGACTGCACCCCTGCACTCCATCCTGGGTAACAGTGAGACCATGTCTCAACAAACAAAAACAACAACAACCAGCCAGGCATGGTGGCTTATGCCTGTAATCCCAGCACTCTGGGAGGCCGAGGAGGGTGAATCACTTGAGGTCAGGAGTTCAAGACCAGCCTGGCCAACATGGTGAAACACTGCCTCTACTAAAAATTCAAAAATCACCCGGGTGTGGTGGCAGGCGCCTGTAATCCCAGCTACATGGGAGGCTGAGGCAAGAGAATCACTTGAACCCGGGAGGTTGGAGGTTGCAGTGAGCCAGTATCAAGCCACTGCACTCCAGTCTGGGCAACAGAGTGAGACTTCATCTCAAAAATAAAAACAAAAACATTAAGTGGGCAACCTTAAAAATAACTTCTTAACATATGTTAACATACGCATCTCCAGGCACCATTGTCATTATCATTTTTATTGTCTCTCCACATATCTTGGGACTTAAACTAGGTAAGCTACAAAATTTCCTGACATTTAGTTGTAACTAAATTTTTTTTTAAAAGAGGGGACACGAGAGAGGCACAGCCCATTAAGACACTGATTTTTCTATTACTAGATGTGTCTGAAATGCAGTAACATATCCTTAGTAAGTCAGCTCTGTATATGGTCATATGGCACTTTCAAACACTAATCTCAAATCTATTTATATCAAATGCAGCCAAGCACACACAGCAAACAGATCTTGGAAACCACTTTACAAGCCTGTAAGAAATCAGTGTTGGTCACAGTAGAGGCAAAAGGCAAAGAGCCAGCCATACAATCGCGCATGCACAAGTCATAAAGTTTATAGCAAAGTGTGACTAAAAGTAAATACTCGGTGCAAGGGTTTTCCAATGAGGATGATACAGCTTAGGCAAAAATGTGTAAGATTCAACACGAAACATCTAAGACAGCAATTCCCTTTAGTGAAACCATTGTTTAAGGTACAGGAAAAGACTTTTTTTAAGACTCCTAAAAATCCTTTAGAAATAAACAACTCGGCCAGGCGCGGTGGCTCACGCCTGTAATCCCAGCACTTTGGAAGTCCAAGGCGGGCAGATCACAAGGTCAGGAGTTCGAGACCAGTCTGGCCAACATAGTGAAACCCCGTCTCTACTAAAAATACAAAAAATTAGCTGGGTGTGGTGGCGCGCACCTGTAATCCCAGCTACTTAGAAGGCTGAGGCAGAAGAATCCCGTGAACCTGGGAGGCAGAGGTTGCAGTGAACCCAGACTTGCACCATTGCACTCCAGCCCAGGTAACAGTGCAAGACTCTGTCTCAAAAAAAAAAAAAAAAAAAAAAAAGGAAAAAAAAAGAAACACCTCCTGGCTGAGGACAACTATCACTGAGGTCATCACTGAGCACAGCACAAAGGTCCTATCAAGGACCTGTCAAGGTCCTGTCATGGCAGCGCTGCTTCAGGCTTGCCTTGAGGCACTGCTTCCTCTTTGGCATGGAGATAATCGAATTTGTTTATCAAATTGGCCAATGACATCTGGGAGGGTAAGCCAGATCACAGGCTCAAACAGGGTGAATCCAAGATAGAATTAAAGGCACATTTAAAGTTTATACTGGGGATCCCCTGTCCCTGCCCCTGCAAATACATGCGTGTATCATCTACATGACAAGAGACAAATAAATGGTCCCACTAAACAATGCTGGTGCGTAAATTTGGGGTTGCCTTATTTGAAAAGCAATACTGGCAAAGAGCAACAGTTCAGAGGGAATCATAACAAAGGCTCTGAAAACTACACAAGAGCATACTGGGGATGTTAGTGTGGGAAAAAGGAAAACTGGGAGAAACAGTAAAAAGTGTCTTTATAATCGTAAAGAATATCATGTATAGGGTGGGCTGGCCTTGTGCTCCCTGCAAGGCCCACACTGTGAAAGCTATTCAGGGAGACCGTTTAGTTTATTTCACCAAAGAGCTTTTCTGATCCTCAAAATTGCCCACAAATGGCTTGCCCAAAGAAGTTGGCACACTCTTTGTTTTGGAAGTGTTAAGCATGACGACTTTGGAAACAAGATCTTTTCGAGACATTTGACACTGATAACTTGGCTATCGAGACGGCATGATTTTTCCTGAGTTCCCTGAGAACTCAGAGATATGACTATGTCCTAACCGGGTACCCTAGGACCATTTTCCTCACTGCTTCTTACCTGCAGAGTGGGCAGAGAATATGCACTAGAAGCCAAGGTGCTTTTAAAAATCCAGATGGCTGGCCAGGCGCAGTGGCTCATGCCTGTAATCCCAACACTTTCGGAGGCCAAGGCAGACGGATCACAAGGTCAGGAGATTGAGACCATCCTGGCTAACACGGTGAAACCCTGTCTCTACTAAAAATACGAAAAATTAGCCGGGTGTGGTGGCGGGTGCCTGTAGTCCCAGCTACTCCAGAGGCTGAGGCAGGAGAATGGAGTGAACCCGGGAGGCGGAGCTTGCAGTGAGCCGAGATCGCGCCACTGCACTCCAGCCTGGGCGACAGAGCGAGACTCCATCCCAAAAAAAGAAAAAAAAAAACCCAGATGGCTGCTGAGACCCCAAGAACACCAATTAGAAGCTCCAGGGTCAGACCAAGCCAGAGGGTTTTCAAGAGCTGTATGAGTAGCTGGACTCATTCCTTTACTTTAATCCCAGCACCCTGAGAGGCCAAGGCAGGAGGATCGCTTGAGGCCATGAGTTTGAGACCAGCTGGGCAACATAATGAGACCCTGTCTCTACAAAACATTTTTTAAATCATTAGCCGGGCATGGTGGCACACACCTATAGTCCTAGCTACTCGGTAGGCTGAGGGGTGAGGATCACCTGAGTCCAGAAGTTGGAGGTTACAGTAAGCCAACACTGTACTACTGCACTCCAGCCTGGGTAACAGATCGAGCCCCTATCTCTAAAAAAAAAAAAAAAAAAAATCAATGTAAAAACAAGAAGCTTGGCCGGGCTTGGTGGCTCATCCTTGTAATCCCAGCACTTTGGGAGGTCGAGGCAGGCGGATCACAAGGTCAAGAGATCGAGACCATCCTGGCTAACATGATGAAACCCCGTCTCTACTAAAAATACAAAAATTAGCTGGGTGTTGTGGCGCATGCCTGTAGTCCCAGCTACTTGGGAGGCTGAGGCAGGATAATCGCTTGAATCCAGGAGGTGGAGGTTGCAGTGAGCCAGGAACGTGCTCCATCTCAAAAAAAAAAAAAGCTTTATGAGTGATTCTGACACCACACCCACCGCTGGTTAACCCACTATGCCCTAGAGCTCTAGCCGGGAGCCTCTGTCTATTCCCATAGCTCCTACAACCAGTTTTGTGAGTCCCATGTCCATTTTCTCCAGCCCAGATATACCTCCCAGCTAGCCTTCAGTCCCACATGATGGACATCCTACTGCAAGTTCTCCATCAGCCTCTCCACCTCCACATGCTGCCACACCACTGCCCAACTAATCGTCCAGCGGGAAATGCCTCAAAAGGCCACAAGGCCTGACATTCAAGAGTCTCCCTGACCTGGTCCAAATCTGGGGCCACCTACTCACTAAGTTTATGCCTGTCACACATGTACCCACCAAACAGAAGTATCTGCAATTTGAGGCACAAATTCTATCTCCACCCACTGGCCCAACTCCTAGTGTTCACATGTCTATGATCCAGCCACTTTGCAAAGCACAGCTCAAACATCTTCTGCTACACAAAGGCTGGTACCACCAACAGCCCCAGCACTTCCTCAGGACCTGTCCTCTGTACTTTCCATAGATGTCATGGCTGAACATATGCATTTCTAATCTTGGGTGCTATACACAGTGCTCTTGAAGGTTGGACCTATTTCTCATTTATTCTATTTTATAAGCCTCAAAGGGCCTAAAAACAACCTTGGGAGGCTGGGGACAGTGGCTCATGCCTGTAACCCCAGCACTTTGGGAGGCTGAGATGGGAGGACTGCTTGAGCCCAGGAGTTGGAGACCATCCTGGGCAACAGGGCAAAACCCTGTCTCTATAAAAAAAAATACAAGGCCGGGGCCGGGCGCGGTGGTTCATGCCTGTAATCCCAGCACTTTGGGAGGCCGAGGTGGGCAAATCATGAGGTCAGGAATTCGAGACCAGCCTGGCCAACATGGTGAAACCCCGTCTCTACTAAAAAATACAAAAAATTAGCCGGGCGTGGTGGTGGATGCCTGTAATCCCAGCTACTCTGGAGACTGAGACAGGAGAATCACTTGAAATCGGGAGGCGGAGGTTGCAGTGAGCCAAGATCATGCCATTGCACTCCAGCCTGGGCAACAGTGCAAGACCCCGTCTCACCAAAAAAAAAAAAAGAAAAAAAAATTAGCCGAGCATGGTGGTGTGTGCCTGCAATCCCAGCTGCTCAGGAAGATCACTTGAGCCTGGGAGGCTGAGCCTGCAGTGAGCCATGATCGTGCCACGGCACTCCAGTCTTGGTGACAGAGTGAGGCTCTGTCTTAAAAAAAATAAAATAAATAAATAAATAAATAAAACCCTTGCTGAGAAAAACAACTATGGGTTTCATTTATCTTTTACCAGAACTGGGGTGCCAGGAGGTGGAGGGATTCTCAGTTTAAAAGATAAAAGAAATTGGGTTAGTAAATCCTAACTACATAGAGATCATTTTTATTAATAATCATAAGAAAGGGGCCTAATTCCATCCTTTGTAGTTAGACAGACCTAGATTAAAATTCTAGCTTCTGCACTTACTAGCTAGATAAACTTGGGCAAATTACTTAACCTCTCAAAGCTTTAGCTTCTTCATCTATAAAATGGGGATAGCAAAGATACATATACTTTATTGGGTCATGATAGAAAGTAAATGAACTAAGGAATACAAATCACTTCTCACAGAGCCTGACCCAGAGGAGGCCCTCAGTAACCGCTACAGTTGTTATTATTACCAGATCTGCAAAATGTACACACAGGCATATTATTCCTGGGTCTTTCACTCTATTTCAACAGAAAAAAAAAAAAAATGGAGAGAGAAACCAAACACTGATCCCTTTTGAAGTATGAGGTTTTCCATAGGAATTTGCAGTGATTTTTTAATATTTCAGCATGAATATAAGAGGGGAGAAGAAGAACATAAGCATAATTAGACTAGAATTTGGACAATGTTAACTTACAGTAGATGGGTAGGGAGGGTCCATTCAGAAATTATTTTTGGTTGTCATTGAAATAAATACTACATCTGAATAAGATGCTGAGCAAAGCTTTAGGCTATGTATTGGTTATTCATCTTCATCCCACCCAACTTGCACTAATCAGAAACTTCCTTGGGAGTTCCTTTCTCCTGTAAGTGAGGGTGCTTCCTACTTGAAGACACAATTAAAAATGGAACAACTAAAGAGACTGTTAGCAAGGATGTGGAGAAAACAGAACTCTCATCCATTGCTAGTGGGCATGTACGTCAGTCTAACACAGTTAGAAAACTGGTAATATCTACTAAAGCCAATGATACACCTACTCTACAATGCAGTAATTCCACTCTTAGGTATATATATAGCCAAGAAAAATGAAGGGTTATGTCCACCAAAGGACACGTTCTACAAGAATGATCAAAGCAGCTGATTGACAATCCAAATGTTCATCAAGAGAATGGATAAATAATGATATATTCAAACAATGTAATATTTTACAACAATGAAGAATTACTGATATATGCAATAACATGGATGAATCTCAATGTGTGGCACTGACTTGGGCAAAAGATGTCAGCTGCAAGAGTGCATACTGCATGATTTTACTTATATGAAGTTCAAGATGCGGCAACATTAACTCAGGGTGATAAAAGTCAGACTAGTGGTTCTAGCCAAGGGCTGGGGAGATTACTGATTGTGAACAGTCACATAGGAACCTTCCTGGGTAACAGAAATGTACTGCATTTCTACATCTGGGTGGTAGTTAAACATAGAGACTCATTAGATTGTACAATTAAGATTTGTGCATTTTATTGTATATAAGTGATACCCCAATTTTTAAAAATTCAAAAGAATATCTACACAAATAAACATTGATACAACATGCCCCATTCTTAACCTCAGGAGTAAAACTATTTTTCTTTTTCTCTTTTTTTGGTAAGGATGGGAAGACAGGATAGAAGGCTAGTAATACAAACTTTGGCTTAATGAAACAGAATACACACCTAAAGCACACAAACTTCTCAAAATAAAAAAAAATTTCTTTATTTTTAAAATTTTATAATTTAAAAAGATAGAGACAGGGTCTCACTATGTTGCCCAGGCTGGTCTCAAACTCATGGCTTCAAACCATCCTCCCACCTCAGCCTCCCAAAGTGTCATGCCTCGCCAAAGTGAAAATATGAGCTGCCATGCCTCACCAAAGTGAAAATATTTCTTAAGGATAAATTCATCTCTCATGTACTTTATCCTATAAATGAGGGTGATAATAGAACCTCCCTCATAGAGTTACTGTGATGATACACATATTCAATACATATTCATCACTTAATACATTAATTAATGAATACAATACATATTCATTACTTAATAATGGTTTGCCAAAATTATTTGTTCATTTCCTTCAGTCCTTTTGATCCACTCCACAAAAATTCACAACCTGGCAGGTGTTCAATATTTGTTGAAAAAATTCAGAAAATCTCTCTCAGCATGCAAACCATAAATAATTCCCACCTTAATCCATAAGAAAGTCCTCAGGCTGTCACCAAGGCTGGAGTGCAGTGGCGTGATCATGGCTCACTGCAGCCTCAACCTCCCAGGCTCAAGTGATTCTCCACAGTAGCTGGGACTACTGGCACACGGCACCATGCTAAGCTAATTTTTTTATTTTTTATTTTGTAGAGACAGGTTTTGCTGTCTCTACACAAAAATGTGTTAGGGCTTCTCACACTAACATAGACACAAACCTCTGGGTATTCCCAGGTATCCTGGAAGTAACAGGATAAACATGGCATATGTATCTGAGGACATTCTACTTAAAAATTGACAGGAAAACCACACATATACATATACATTATATATATTTTTGTTTGTTTGTTTGTTTTTGGTTGGAGACAGGGTCTCTGCTGCCCAGGCTGGAGTGTAGTGATGCAAACACAGCTCACTGCAGCCTCAACCTCCTGGGCTCAGGTGATCTTCCCACCTTAGCCTCCCGGGTAGCTGGAACTACAGGCATGTGCAACCACGCCCAGCTAATTTTTGTATTTTTTTGCGGAGATGGGGTTTCTCCATGTTGCCCAGGCTGGTCTCCAACTCCTGGGCTTAAGTGATCTGCCCATCTCGGCCTCCTAAAGTTCTGGGATTATAGACATGAGCCACCTTGCCTGGACAGAAAACATATTGATATGTAAACAGATACTATTAAGAAGACTACAAATTTGCCTAAGATAATACAGGACACTCCAGAGAAACCTCTGCTGCTCAATTCAAGCTACGCTCTAGGCCATCACTCTTCCTGAGCTCCTCAGGTACTCTTTCCCTCTCTATATATTTCAGGAACAGTTTTGACAGGTTAGGCATAGGATATTTAGAATATTTCTGGTTCTCTACCTTAAACAACTCTAATCAATGTGCTTCAGGTTTTTTAATGCAATTTAAACTGATGACAAAGTTTAAGCTATTTCCTCAAATTATAAATACCACTCCATCTGGCTTACTATCCCTGCAGAGCAAAATATTTATTTTCAGCAATGTTGACATGCAAAAGCAAAAGAACAGGAAACTGTGTTTAAGAAAAACAAAATACCACAATAAGATTAACAAACTACATACAAGTTTACACTTACCTTTAGGAAGTTGTCTTTGTATGAAAAGTATATTTTCGATTCAATTGCATACACACAACAATGAAGCTTTACTTTGTTAAAATAATTAGTCAATCACTGGGAAACAAATGAAACTCTGAGATAAAGTGAAAAAACAAATTGCCCTTTTTAGAATTAACCTGCCAGTAATCTCTAGGTGCTTTTACCCAAAGACCCCAGTCTAAAATTCACATGCAAAACATTTTTTTCAGTTATAAAACAGAAGAGTTGTAGGACAGAAAAAACACAGAAGCCAAAAGAGATTGTCCTATCACCCAGAGTAGATCATTCCGGTTTTTTTTTCCTATTCTTATATTTAATGATACATTATACATGCTGTTTTGTTGGGGTTTTTGGTTTATTTTTGTTTTGGGGTTTTATTTTTTTTTTAAGAGACGGGGTCTCACTAGGTTGCCCAGGCTGGAATGCAGTGGCTATTCACAAGAACAATCATCCCATACTACAGCCCCAAACTCCTTCCTCGGCTCAAGCGGTCGTTCTGCCTTAGTCTCCCATGCAGCTGGACTACAGGTGCTTGCCACCTCACCGGCTTCTATACATGCTGTTTTAAAATTCTTTTCCATTTGAAAAATGTTGTGAGTATCTGTGCATCTAACACTTTAACAGTAACAATAGCTAAATCTTTATGGAGCTTTACTATGGACCAGACATGTTCTAAGCATTTTACAAGGTATTAATAACTTCTTTCATACTCAAATAATCCAAGGACAGCTGTTAAGCTACAATTAACAATTGCATTAAGAAACTTGCCCGGGCCAGGCGTGATGGCTCACACCGGTGATCCCAGCACTTTGGGAGGGTGAGGCGGGTGGGGAGGGGCGGAATCACCTGAGCTCAGGAGTTCAAGACCACCCTGGGCAACATGGTGAAGCCCTGTCTCTACTAAAATACATTAGCCAGGTGTGGTGCCATGTGCCTGTAGTCCCAGCTGAGGCTGAGGCACGAGAATCACTTGAACCCCAGAGGCGGAGGTTGCAGTGAGCTGAGATCGTACCACTGCATTCCAGCTTGGGCAACAGAGTGAGACTCCATCTCAAGAAAAAAAAAAAAAAAGAAAGAAAGAAACTTGCCCAAAGTCATAAAGTTCTAAGTGGCAGCACAACTATCAGAATTCACTTAGTCTGAATCCAGAAGCTATACTTTTAAACCACTGCACTCTACAAATAATTTTAAATAATTGAATATCTACTGTTTCCAAACTTCTCACTATTACAAAGTTTTGTATTACAAAACTTTGTATTAATTACAAAACTTTGTATTAATTTGTATTAATTAACTTTGTATTAATTAATTACAAAACTTTGTATTAATTACAAAGTTTTGATGAATCTTTTTTTTTTTTTTTTTTTTTTTTTTTTTGAGATGGAGTCTCGTTCTGTCGCCCAGGCTGGAGTGCAGTGGCATGATCTTGGCTTACTGCAACCTCTGCTTCCAGGATTCAAGCGATTCTCCTGCCTCAGCCTCCTGAGTAGCTGAGACTACAGGCACCCGCCACCATGCCCAGCTAATTTTTGTATTTTTAGTAGAGACAGGGTTTCACCATTTTGGCCAGGCTTGTCTTGAACTCCTGACCTTAGGTGATCTGCCTGCCTCGGCCTCCCAAAGTGCTGGGATTACAGGCATGAGAAACCGGGCCCGGCCCTTGATGAACCTTCTCATAAGAAATATTTTCATATATCCTTGACTTTTTTCCTTAAGATAGTTTTTTAGAAGTACAATTGCTAAGCCAGAAGATAAAGCAAACAATTTAAATAACCAGGTGAGCTGTCAACCAGAACATTTTAATCAGCCCATAAGGAAACTTAATGCAGTAGAAAAGATAATTTGCAACAAATAATTATAATTAGATGGCTCCATATATAGAAATCAGAATCACAGGCCGAGCACGGTGGCTCACGCCTGTAATCTCAGCACTTTGGGAGGCCAAGATAGGCGGATCACCTGAGGTCGGGAGTTCGAGACCAGCCTGACCAACATGGAGAAACCCCGTCTCTACTAAAGATACAAAATTAGCCGGGCGTGGTGGCACATGCCTGTTATCCCAGCTACTCGGGAGGCTGAGGCAGAAGAATCGCTTGAACCCGGGAGGCAGAGGTTGCAGTGAGCCGAGATCACACTACTGCACTCTAGCCTGGGCAACAAGGGCGAAACTCCATCCAAAAAAAAAAAATCACTAGGTACTTTAAAGTCACAAGGGAGGTGCTAAATAGCTAAAGAAATGCTGATATTCAACCGCTTAAATGCCCCCTAGGAGTCAGTAACTTAAAAAAAAAAAAAAAAAGAGAGAGAGAGATGGGGTCTCACCATATTGCCTGGCTGGTCTCAAACTCCTGAGCTCAAGTAATCCTCCTGGCCTTGGCCTCCCAAAGTGCTGGGATTACAGGCATGAGCCACCACCCCCAGCTGGAGTCAGTTACTTTCTCAAAACCAGGCTTGACAACTGTACAGGTCTAGTCCCCCACGTCCATAGGGTTTCTCATTTGTTTTCAACGCGCGCGCGCGCGTGTGTGTGTGTGCGCCTGTGAGACAGGGTCTCACTCTGTCACCCAGGCTGGAAGGCAGTGGTACGGTCTCGGCTCACTGCAACCTCCACCTCTTGGGCTCAAGAGATCCTCCCACCTCAGCCTCCTGAGTTGCTGGGATTACAGGCACACACCACCACGCCCAGCTAGTTTTTGTATATTTAGTGGAGACAGGGTTTCATCATGTTGCCCAGGCTGGTCTCCAACTCCTGAGCTCAAGGGATCTGCCTCCCTCAGCCTCCCAAAGTGCTGGGATTACAGGCCTTTATTTTCAACTTTAACATCACCTGTTTTAAAGCTCTAAGTCACATGGAAACGATCCAAACGATGATTGACGTTAAATAAGTATATCTTATTTAATGTCATGAAATAAGACTATTAAAAATGCAATGTATATATACATTAGAATATTATTTCACCTTTAAAAAGAAAATCCTAGGCTGAGTGAGGGAGTGAGGCTCATCCTAGGCTGGGAGTGAGACCTCCCAGCACTTTGGGAGGTCGAGGAGGGAGGACTGCTTGAACCCAGGAGTTCGAGACCAGCCTGAGCAACATAGTGAGGACCCTGTCTCTACAAATAATAATAATTAGCTGGGAATAGTGGCACATGCCTCTAGTCCCAGCTATTCAGGAGGCTGAGGTGGGAGGATCACTTGGGCCCGGGAGGTTGAGGC
The DNA here is from genome assembly GCF_000001405.40 of Homo sapiens. NCBI lineage: Eukaryota > Metazoa > Chordata > Mammalia > Primates > Hominidae > Homo > Homo sapiens. The sequence goes on along the minus strand of NC_000012.12, from coordinate 64,640,722 downwards.
TGCAGTGAGCCATGACTGCACCACTGCACTCCAGCATGGGTAACAGAGTGAGACCCTGTCTCAAAAAATAAAATAAAATGAAAAGGAAATCCTACCATTTGCAACAACATGGATGAACCTTGAGGACAATATTCTAAGTGAAATAAAATCAGTCACAGAAGGACAAATACTGCATAATTCCACTTTTATGTGGTTTATCTAAAATAATCCAACTTATAAAAGCTGAAAATAGAAAGGTAGTTGCCAGGGTATAGGTAGAGAGGGAAATGAGAAGTTGTTCAATGGGAATAAAGTTATAGTTACACAAGATGAATAAGCCCTCGAGATCTGTGTACAACATAATGCCTATAGTTAATGATACGGTACTGTACACTTTTGTGTTGAGAGGGTCAATCTCATGTTAAGTGTTCTTACCACAAAAAAAAGTGACACAGGAAAATTTGGAGGCAACAGATGTTTATGACCTTGAGTGTGGTGGTATCACTGGTGTGTACATATGTCCAAACTCATCAAACTGTATATATTAAATATGTACAGGTTTCTGGTATATCAATTATACTCAATAAAGCCTTAAAAAAATCAACTGATTAAAATAAAAGTAACATGGTCCACTGGGGAGAAAAGGTTTGACTTAGGTCAAACTAGCTGGAAAGCAGAGAATATAAAAGACCCTCTGAGGCCTCACATGAATTAAACAGGTCAGTTATCTACCTACATTAAATCTGCATAAATGCAGTTTACCTTTAATTTCTTCATCATAGAATGTCAAGGAGATCTTTCACGTTGCATTTCCTCAAAAGATCTCTGCAATATAACGACACATCACAGACCTTGTGGCCAAGATCCACCAGAAGTGGCTCTCTTATTGATTCCTCCCAGTAGGTAGTTAAGTGTTTGGAGAAGCAACTATACCATAATAGGAAAATTGTTTTAGAGCCTTATTGAAGAATGCAGTTACATAAAATTTCTAAAAACAATGTGAAAAAAATATGAAGGAACCAATATTATCAGCCTAAAGCCAGTCCAACAGGTATCTTGGAAACCACAAACTACACCTGGGCAACTTGAGCAGGAAGAATATGATAAGAGAACAGAACCTTCTTTCACCCAAAGGGAGCATTCCAGGTGACTTCAAAAAGACCTTGTCATGATTTATGCCATTCTTCGTAATTAAGGCACCTGATCCTTTCTACTTGATCACTTTGAGACATGATGGTTTAAAAAGAGTTTCAAATAAATTATAGAAATTTTAAGGCCACGCAAAAATGTTATCACCTGTTCAAAAGTCTCCCCTGCCCAAATAAGCCACATTCACTGTAAGTCAAATTACAGGTGGGCACAGATATACAAAAAAAAAAAATACAGTTTAGGAATTTCTTTTTTACGGAGTCTCTCATTGTGGTCCTAGGTATTACTATGCAGCCAGTATTATTATTTATTATTTAAATTAGATGGAACTTTACATAAGTCACAAGTTATGAACCATTAACACAGTAAATATTTCTTATTGTGTATATTCCATTTACCCCCTAAACCACAAGTATGCAAAGCGCCATTACAGCTTCAAAAAAAATCAGCATACAGGTTTAAAAAAATAATTTCTTAATCCTCAGAGCTTCCCATTTCAAAGAGAGAACTGAAGAATCTGCGTATGGCAGTAGCCTATGAACATGAAGACACAGCCCCTTCCCTATGACTAAGCAGTTCCAGGCCTTGGATTATAACTACACAATGTCTCTCACACATGCAAAAGGAGATCCATAAAGATGTTTATTGCAGTATCATTCATAATAGAGAAAAATGGGAGGAAAGAACAATTAAATGTCCATCAACAGTAAAATGGGCACACTATGGCGTGTTCAGCAGCTCAGAAGAAGGAACTAGAACAAAAGTCAATCTCAAAATCAAGGTTCAACAACAGAAACAACCTATAGAAGAAAACACACAATATGACACCACACATCCTTAATAAAAGTATAAAGTAGATGGATGGCAATGATCAAAATGAACTGGGGGAAACGACAGGGAGAAGAACAAATGGGGCCAGCAATTGAGACCCAAGGGCTTCAACTATGATGCAATGTTTTCTTTTAAACTGGATGGTGACTAAAAGGTATTCATATTACTTTTTTTTTTTTTTTTTGAGACGGAGTCTCACTCTGTCGCCCAGGCTGCAGTGCAGTGGCGCGATCTCGGCTCACCGCAAGCTCCGCCTCCTGGGTTCACGCCATTCTCCTGCCTCAGCCTCCCGAGTAGCTGGGACTACAGGCGCCCGCCACCACGCCCAGCTAATTGTTTGTATTTTTAGTAGAGACAGGGTTTCACCGTATTAGCCAGGATGGTCTCGATCTCCTGACCTTGTGATCCGCCCGCCTCGGCCTCCCGAAGTGCTGGGATTACAGGCATGAGCCACGGCGCCCGGCCCATACTACTTTTATAGAATTACCGTATGCCTGAATTACTTTAATAGTAAAAAGAATCCTTTCCTAGCATTTGACCTACTTCAATAAATTAATATTTACAACATAATAGTTCAAAAATAATTCCTTTCTATTATAATCTTGCATTCTTCAGTAGAGATATATGATAACTAGGCCGGGGGCGTAGGCTCATGCCTATAATCCCAACACTTTGGGCAGCTGAGGTGGGCAGATCACGAGGTCAAGAGATGGAGACCATCCTGGCCAACATGGTGAAACCCCATCTCTACTAAAAATACAAAAATTAGCTGGGCGTGGTGGCACATGCCTGTAATCCCAGCTACTCCGGAGGCTGAGGCAGGAGAATCACTTGAACCCAGGAGGCGGAGGTTGCAGTCAGCCAAGATTGTGCCACTGCACTCCAGCCTGGCGACAGAGCAAGACTCTGTCTTTAAAAAAAAAAAAAAAATCTGATAACTATAGAAAAAGGGCACAAAGCAACATCCTAATTTTAGAACCAGCCCAGTCACATACACACACTTTGGAGTGTTTCTAGAAAGGAACTACTCAAGGGGCTGGGCATGGTGGCTCATGTCTGTAATCCCAGCACTTTGGGAGGCTGAGGTGGGTGGATCGCTTGAGGCCAGCAGCTCAAGACCAGCCTGGCCAACATGGTGAAACCCTGTCTCTACTAAAAATATAAAAACTAGCCAGGCATGGTGGCACACGCCTGCCATCCCAGCTACTCGGGAGGCTGAGGCATGAGAATTGCTGGAACCCAGCAGTCAGAGGTTGCAGTGAGCCGAGATCACGCCACTGCACTCCAGCCTGGGCCTGGGCAACAGAGCAAGAATCTGTCTCAAAAAAAAAAAAAAAAAAGAAAGAAACTACTCATACTACCCACCTATCTCTGGAGACAATCCCTAGAAGTCTATAAAACTCATTATGCTTTTGAGACAATCTAAACTTTTCAAACACACACCAATGCTTTTTCTACAGAAAAATAAAAGACACCCACTCAGTCAGTTTGAACTTCTATCCTTTCAAAACCCAAATCCAAGCTTCTCCTACCTTCAGGAGGTATGCCCTTTTCTATTCAGCCCCCAAGGCGCCTGCTGCTCAACAACAGTTGCACAAAAGAATAAATCAAGGTATCACTGTGGGCTTCCTTAAATGTATTTATTTTAACCTCCTCTGGATTGCTTTATACTCATTTACACAGCTGTTACTGTTTGCAAATTGCATCATATTATATTGGTCTCCCCATATAAACTTGGGAATATATGTAGGGAGGAAGCAAGACTCTCATGGAATAACCTAACTGTATCTAGTACAAAGTTCTGTGCATTGTCCATACTCAATAATACTGCAAGCATTTAAGGAATCCCAGTGTGCCAGTAAGGGTGTGTGTAACTTACTTTTTTTTTTTTTTTTTTTGAGACGGAGTTTTGCTCTTGTTGCCCAGGCTGGAGTGCAATGGCGCGATTTCGCTCACTGCAACCTCCACCTCCCAGGTTCAAATGATTCTCCTGCCTCACCCTCCCAAGTGGCTGGGATTACAGGCATGCACCACCATGCCCGGCTAATTTTGTATTTTTAGTAGAGACAGGGGTTTCGCCATGTTGGCCAGGATGGTTTCGAACCCCTGACCTCAGGTGATCCACCCACCTCGGCCTCCCAAAGTGCTGGGATTACAGGCGTGAGCCACCGCGCCCGGCTACTTTAATTTTTGGAACTCACCCAGGTCCTTTACATTTTCTTTGTGATCTGAGAGGAAAACAAGCATGCAGCAATATACAACCACTTTCTAGAACTCCTTCCTTACCACTCCCTGAAACAAATTTCCGAAGCCTACTAATAACAGACTGCTTTTTAAATTATAATAAACTGGCCAGGTGCAGTGGCTCATGCCTGTAATCCCAGCAATTTGGGAGGCCAAGGTGGACAGATAGCCTGAGGTCGGGAATCCAAGACCAGCCTGGCAACATGGCAAAACCCTGTCTCTAATAAAAATATAAAAATTAGCCAGGCGTGGTGGTGCATGCTTGCAATGGGAGCCTTGGGAGGCTGAGCGGGGAGGATTGCTTGAACCTGGCAAGCGGGGGTTGAAGTAAGCAGAGATCGCACCACTGCACTCTAACCTGGGCAACAGAGTGAGACTCCATATCAGAAAAAAAAAAAACCGTAAGTTATAATAAACCCACAGAAACCCCCAACTTCTTTGGAATTGTGAGCCACTCTCATTACAATCATTATCATTTCCACCCATATTGTACATGCATATTTTTAAATAACAATGAATGTAATCAGTATGTTCATAAGAAATATAGTTTCGGAATTTCAGGGTAACACTTGACATAAAAAAGAGATACTGCCTATTTTCATAATCTGGTTCCCATCCCCCTCTCTATCCTCACCTTCTACTATTTGACTTCAAACTAGTCCGTCTAGGCTTACTTTAACCATAACCTTTTAATGTCCCTTCCCATTGTCCCTTGACCCTCACAGCCCAGGCTCCACACACATGCACAAAGTCCTCATCCCCTCATCTTCAATAACACAACAGTCACCCTAACTAGGCTGCAGCTTCCCCTCTTCTTACCGCTTTTTAAAAGCCTGTGCTCTCACACCAGACCACCCAGTTTCTAACGTTGGTTAATCTAATTACCAGCTACTATTTAACCTCTCTGTGCCTCTTCTAATAACTGTACCACATCACAGAGTTGGTGTGAGAATGAGATGAATCAGTATGGGTAAAAGGTATTGCAAGTGTACCATAAATGTGAGCCATCCTTATCAACAGCAGCGTGCTCTTCACTGCCCTTACACAGACATTGACAGTGGTCATTAAATGGCTCTTTATGACTTTCCACTAGCCCATGTGCTAGAAGGCAGAGCTACTAGCTTACTCCTCTTTGAATTCCCAGAGAAAACCACAGCAATGGGTATTAGACAGGCACGTAATAAATGTGTGATACTATAAAACAGGAATACAGATACGAGGGGTCATCAAAAATTTCAAGGAAAATGAATATTATGAAAAAACTACGGCCAGGCATGGTGGCTCATGCCTGTAATCCCAGCATTTTGGGAGGCTGAAGCAGATGGATTGCTTGAACTCAGGAGCTTGAGACCAGCCTTGGAAACATGTCAAAACCCTATCTCTCCAAAAAATACAAAAATTAGCCAGGTGTAGTGGTATGTACCTGTAGTCCTAGCTACTCAGGAGGCTGAGGTGGGAAAAGGGTGACAGAGGTTGCAGTGAGCCAAGACTGCACCACTGTATTTCAGCCTGGATGACAGAGATAGATCTTGTCTCAAAAAAAAAAAAAAAAGAAAAGAAAAGAAAAGAAAAAGAAGAAACTATGCATGGATTTGAAAAATTTTTTGCACCAAAATAAACTTGTACTAACTTGTCATAACATGTCTGAGCAAAACCTAGTTTGAGGCACTAAGAAGGATAAACATCAGTTTGAAAAGAGCCCCTATCAGAGCAACATAAATTCTGCTAATTTTTTTTTTTTTTTTTTTTTTTTTTTTATGAGATGGTGTCTCGCTGTGTCGTGCAGGCTGGAGTGCAATGGTGCCATCTCGGCTCACTGTAAACTTTGCCTGCCAAATTCAAGCGATTCTCATGCTTCAGCCTCCGGAGTAGCCGAGAATACAGGTGCCTGTCACCACGCAGGGCTAGAATTCTGCTAAAATTGAAGCAAAAACAAACATCAAATTTATGGTGAAGCTTGGGCAGAATGGTGAAATCACTGTTGCTTTTTGAAAAGTTTGTGGGGACAATGCCCCCCAAAAATCAGCAGTTTTCAAGTGGATAACCCTTCAAGAAGTGCCGGGTGCAGTGGCTCACACATGTAATCCCAGTTGGGAGGCTGAGGAGGATCACTTGAGCTCAGGAGTTCAAGACCAGCCTGGATAACATAGTAAGAACTCATTTCTATGAAAAAATGAATTTTTTTTTCAAAGTAGGAAAAAAAAAAAAAGGACAAGATGATGTTGAAGATAAAGCTCACAGCAGCAGACCCTCTGTGTCAATTTGCAAGAAAAAGGTTAACCTTGTTCATCTCCTAGTTTAAGAGAACTAATGATTAACAGCAGAAACAACAGCCAACACCATAGACATCTCAACTAGTTCAGCTCACACAATTCTTGTTTGTTTGCTTGATACAGGGTCTGGCTGTCACCCAGGCTGGAGTGCAGTGACTCATACTGGCTCACTGCAAACTCTGCCTCCCAGGCTCAAGCCATCTTCCCACCTCAGCCTCCCCAGTAGCTGGGACTACAGGGACATGTCACCATGCCCAGCTAATTTTTGTATTTTTTGTAGAGATACAGTTTTGCCACTTTGTCCAGGGTGGTCTCAAACTCCTGAGCTCAAGCAATCCTCCCACCTCAGCCTCCCAAAGTGCTGACTATAGGCGTGAGCCACCCCACTTGGTCCATATTTCTATCAGCATTTTGGTCAAATTTAATCAGTCTCTAAGAAGTTCCAAAACTTTCCCTTGTCTTCCTGTCTTCTTCTGACCCCTCCAAACTCTTCTAATCTCTGCCTATTACCCAGTGCCAAAGCCAGTTCCACATTTTCAGGTATCTTTATTGCGATGCCCCTCTCCTGGTACCAATTTTCTGTGTTTGTCTTTTCTTCATTGCTATAAAAGAGTATCTGAGGCTAGGTAATTTATAAAGAAAAGAGGTTTATTTTGGCTCACAGTTCTGTTGGCTGCACAGGAAACATGGCACCAACATCTGCTCCTGGTGAGGACCTCAGGAGGACCTCAGGAGGTGAAAGGAAAAGGGGAAGCAGGTGGTCACATGGCAGGAGAGGGAACAAGAGAGAGAGGAGGAGGTGCCAGGCTCTTTTTAAACAACCAGCTCTCACGTGAACAGAGTAAGAACTCACATATCACCAAGGAGGTGGTACTAAGCCATTCATGAGGGATCCATCCCCATAATCCAATACCTCCCACTAGGCCCCAACTCCAACATTGTGGATCACGTTTCAACATAAGATTTGAAGGCAACACACATCCAAACCGTATCAGTATCCACTGGTGTCAAAACCAGAGAATAATTAATGCAGTGTCACCACACTCAAAACATATGTTTCATCTTCAAAGACTTTTCAAAAACATAACCAGCTAGTCCCTGTCAGTCCTCTGAAGTCTCTTATCAAAAGGAATAAACAAAATGATTGAAGAAACAGATTTTAACCTGATAGGAAAAAAAACAAATAGAGCCAGATCAAGATAACAGCATTTCTATTGAAACTGCTTAGATTTATTTTCTAGCTTATTCTAGATGTGCTAATTTTGAGCTATTTGTGGAGCACCACCACATTCTGGTCTTCAAAGACTTTTTTTCTAAGAAAGTTAAAAATACACTCAAATGGTCTGTGAAGTTTACTCTTCCAGTCCATATCCACATCAAGATTTATTTTTCTCTTGTTATTTCAAATAAATCTCAACCACTTCCAATTCAAGGATGATGATCTCATGCTTCCATGAGATCTGAGGTCTGTCCTGAGCTTCAGACCCTTAATTCTGGCTGCAGCTGGATGCTACACAAATGTTGCGTATAGGCCCTAAAACCGAGTTGTTCCCCTACCTCACTAAACCTGTTCCTCTTCCTCCCGTGCTCCCCATTCCACAGTGGCATGGCCATCCTCCCACCCAGCCACCTTCCATACCTCCTTCTTTTCTCTCGTCTCCTTCCTTGCCTCCCCTCACCCTGGTCGATCAGGTGCCAATGTGACAACTCAATTTCTGGAGTCCTTCTCTCTCCCACTGCAACTATCCTATTTCTAGCCCTAATTACCTTCACCCAGGTTACCGCAATCACCTTCCAAACAATATCCCTACCCCTCTTGCCCTCTAAACTCTGCTGTCAGTTTTAAAATCATAGGTCTGACCACTTTATTTCTCCCTAAGTGGCTCCTCCTTACTCACAAAATATTCAATCCTCAGGCTGGCAAGCACGGCCTTTCAGAGCCTGCCAACCCTCCCTCCTTTCCAGCGTAGTTTTTCACCACACCTTTGGCGTGGCAACCTTTGCTGCAGCCATACCACCACTTGGTCCCAAATACCCCAGCACTCCCCTCTTCTGGCCCGGTGCCTGCCTGTGTGGGCTTCTCTTCATGCACCACTCCCACATGTGCATACCCACCTCCTCCATCAATATCCACCTGCCACCAACTGAAAGGCCTAGTCACCCCCTCTTGTATTATATACACATTTCTAGATTGAACTTCTCCTCCACTCAACGATGGGAGAGACGTCTTCTTTCTAAGCAGCCTTCTACTTAGAATCCAAATATCATCCCTTCCAGTGCGAAGGGAGGCATCTCTTTCAATGATCCTCACTCCCCTGACACTCAGTCTTCTTTCCATTGAAGTCCTCTCATCTAAAAATAAATAAAAAACAGGCCGGGTATGGTGGCTCTCCCCTGTAATCCCAGCACTTTGGGAGGCCGAGGTGGGCGGATAACCTGAGGTCAGGAGGTTGAGACGAGACCAGCCTGGCCAACATGGCAAAACTCCATCTCTACTAAAAATACAAAAATTAACTGGGTGTGGTAGCAGGTGCCTGTAATCCCAGCTACTTGGGAGGCTGAGGCAGGAGAATCTTGAACCCGGGAGACAGAGGTTGCAGTGAGCAGAGATTGCACCACTGCACTCCAGCCTGGGCGACAGAGCAAGACTATGTCTCAACATACATACATACATACATACATACATACATACATACATACATACATACATTACATACGATGACAACACCCTTACCACTTCCCTCGCCCTTGTAGGCTCCTCATTTTACTACACCATCCTCTCCTTGCCAGACAAGCCTCACGGAAGAGCACCTCTACTCACTCTCCTGCTTCCTCTGCACTATTCACTCACCACCCACTGCAGTGTGACTGTACGCCTCCAGTTCACTGGAGTGGCTCTCCTCAAGGTCTCCAGAGACTGCCACACAGTTCCACCCCAGGCCTTCTTGGCTTTTCTGAAGCACTTGTCCCATGGCCAAGCCCTTGTTCTTGAGGTGGTCCCAACCTCCGATCCCAGGACAACCACCCTTTTCTTTTTCTCCAGCTTCTCTGACCACTCCTTGGTTCCTCCATGGACATGCCCTTCTCTGCCCACTTCTTACCTGCTGGTGCCCCCATGCTTCTGTGGTATCCTCCATGCTTCTGTCTAAAGACACCTTTTTTGCTTTACACACATAGTTCATCTAAGCCCATGACTTCAACGAATCCTGAAGCTCTCTCTGCAGACCAGGTCTACCTTCTTGATAAGAAACTCCAGAAACTTTGATAGCCCACAGACATCTCAAAACACACATGCCCAGATTTACTCACTCAAAATTTATTGACTGCCTGGTGTATGCCATATATTGATTGCCTGAATGTGTCTTCCCTCCTAAACCTGATCTTTCTTCTTACTTGATTTCTTGGTGAGTGGCTGCTTGCTAGCACCATCTTCCAAGGCTCCCAAACCAGAAACCTACAACTCTTCCTTGACTCCTCTTTCTCACCACCTCTCTGCCCACATTCAGTGTTACTAATGCCTCCCAATTAACCAGTATCTCCAACCCAGCCCCTCCTCTACTTCATCCCCACATTCATGCCTTCATTCCATTTTAATAACTAAACATCTACTGAGAACTAGCTATAACTCATTCCTGAGTAGGCATATGATCACATGTCCTGGGAGTAAAAAGAACAGTTCAGGATTTCTAAGCACCCTTTTTTTAAATTTCGTTTTGTTTTTGAGATAGGGTCTGTCTCTGTCATTCAGGCTACAGTGCAGTGGTGTGACCATAGCTCACTGCAGCCTCAAACTGCTAAGCTCAAGCAAACCTCTTGCCTCAGCCTCCCAAATAGCTGGGACTACAGGCACAAACCACCATATTTGGATAATTTCTCTTTTTTCAGTAAAGACAATGTCTCGCTCTGTTGCCCAGTCTGGTCTCAAACTCCTGGGCTTAAACAATCCTCCTGCCTCAGCCTCCCAAAGTGCTGGGATTACAGGCATGACCCACCATGGCCTTGCTAATTTTTAACTTTATATCTCTTTTTTGGATGACAAAAATTATACATATGGCAGCCCACATTTTCCCTTTTGATGAATGAAAAATCTTAAAATCAATGAGTGCTTACATGAGTGGAATGCCTATGTGTAAATTCAGAGGTACTTCAAATATTTCATAACTGAAACATTTAGGATCTGGGAATTTGGTGCTGTTATTTGCCACAAAATGCAAACAACCTTTTAGTTCACATAAACCATTTTTCTTTCTTGTTCTTTTTTTCTTTTTCTTTTTTTTTTTTTTTTGAGATGGAGTCTTGCTCTGTCACCCAGGCTGGAGTAGTGGCACAATCTCAGCTCACTGCAACCTCCACCTCCCAGGTTCAAGTGATTCTCCTGCCTCAGCCTCCCGAGTAGCTGGGATTACAGGCGCACACACCATGCCCAGCTAATTTTTGTATTTTTAGTAGAGATGGGGTTTCATCACGTTGGCCAGGCTGGTCTCAAACTCCTGACCTCAGGTGATCCACCCACCTCGGCCTCCCAAAGTGCTGGGATTACAGGCATGAGCCACCGCGCCTGGTCCACATAAACCATTTTTATACAACACTCATTTTCATAGGCCAACTTTTCCAATTAAAACAAACATAATATGTGAGCAGCTACCAAAATCAGCTATTTCTTCATATTATCACATTACATATAAAAATCCACCACAGAATTTCAGGACTACTAGGATCTGTTTAATGAAAAGGGCAGGAGTTGCTAGAAAAATAATTTTTTATGATTTTCATAACATATCAAAAGGTTGTATAATTATGCATTTAAGTATAGTCCTTCTAGCTGGAAGAATAGCAGTGGGACGGGCGCAGTGGCTCATGCCTATAATCCCAGCACTTTGGGAGGTCAAGGCAGACAGACGGCTTGAGCCCAGGTGTTTGAGACCAGCCTGGGCAATGCTGTGAAACCCCATCTCTACAAAAAAAAAAATACGAAAAATTAGCTGGGTGTGGTGGCACGTACCTGTAGTCCTAGCTACTCGGGAGGCTGAGGTGGGAGGATTGCTTGAACCCATAGGCAGAGGTTGCAGTGAGCCAAAGTCACGCCACTGTACTCCAGCCTGGACGACAGAGTGAGACCTTGTCTTAAAAAAAAAAAAAAGAAAATTAGTCGGGTGTGGTGGTCTGCACCTGTGATCCCAGCTACTAAGGAGGCTGAACTGGAACGATCACTTGAGCCTGGGAGGTGAAGGCTGTGGTGAGCTGTGTTCACGCCACTGCACTCCAGCCTGGGTGACAAAGCAAGACCCTGTCTCAAAAAAATAATAATAATAAAATAAAATAAAAATTAGACAACTGACTCTGGCATTTTATAATAGGATTTAACTTGCTGAAAGTTTCCTAGGAATATTTACCTCTATGTGTAGGCTGGAATAAAGGAGACACTTGAAGCAAGTAAAAGAAATTAATCAGGCCGGGTGTAGTGGCTCACACCTGTAATCCCAGCACTTTGGGAGGCCAAGGCAGGCAGATCACCTTAGGTCACGAGTTCAAGACCAGCATGGCCAACATGGCAGAACCCCATCTTTACTAATAATACAAAAATTAGGCAAGTGTGGTGGTGCATGCCTGTAATCCCAGCTACTCGGGAGGCTGAGGCAGGCAGAATTGCTTGAACCTGGGAGGTGGGGTTGCAGTGAGCCAAGATCGTGCCACTGCACTCCAGCCTGGGCGACAGAGAGAGACTCCATGTCAAAAAAAAGGAAAAAATTAATCTTCCAAAGGAAATGAACATACTCCTTCAATCCCAAAAAGCTGCAGCAACCCTCAAGTACTGATTCTTCCAGGAAGTATAGTGGCTAAACTATCCCTTCTGTCCTACCATTCTCAGTAAGAAGATGATTCTCATACATTCATCCTGTCCTGGTTTTGAGGAACGTGGAACTGCTGGTGGGCTCTTATTAAATAGTTCTTGATATTATATTTATAACTCCTGCAATATATACAAGTTCAGAACAATCAAGTGTTCTTTTGGCTTACATGAAATCCATTCTTAGAAAAAGGAAAAGAAAGAAAGAAACTTGTTCTTGTTGGCACTAGATAGGGGATGAATCAAAGATATCACCCAGGTTCCCTTTGATTTCTTTCCCAAGACATTCCCTCTTTTGGAAAAGAAATAATTCTACATATTCTATTCATTTCTCAAACACCCATGACTCAACTCACTTGGGTTCTCCCTATCCAAGCAGATATGACCTAATATAGCTGTTTCTAAACTAATTCATTTGGCATCTCAAAACATTTGTGAAGCCCTCTCAAATCCTATTGCTGTTACTTTCCCTCCAATCAGTAATTCTGCTCCAGAATAAACTAACCATTTGCCACACAGCTGGACAGGGCCTTTGAGGAAGAAACTGAAGCCAAAAATGGTTAAGTAACTCTCCCAAAGTTATCTCTGCTATTTAATAAAGGACCAGTCCTAGGAGCTAGATCTCCATACCCCTGGCCCAACGTACTTTTCACCTAAATGTCCTATTTCCACATGAATACATAAGCTATTACTGTTGTTTTATTATTACTCCCTCTGAAACCAAAAGAAACTCATTTTAGTGCCTTTGCCCAACTTTTCCTTGATTATAATTCTGACACAAGTCTGATCAGATGAAAACCAGGTGGTCAATTAACAAATATAATTGGGACTCCCTCTGTCCTCTGTGCCAGGCACCAAGATAGCACTGAAAATATCATGGTGAAAACTAGAGATGTGGTCTGCCCTTGTGAAGCTCATAGGCAGGATAATCTGGAAGGCTTAAAGCTAAATTAACTCAAGTTCCCTGATGCATCCAACAGTAAGCTAAAATGTCATCTTCCCCCAAATCACCAGTGCTTCATAAACACAATCATCAATTCATAAAGCAATTTAAAGTTGATGCTTAGCTATCAATTGTTCAAGTCCCCAAACACAAATCACGACTTTGCAGATAAAAGCAGACATAGAAGAGATGGAGAATAAATTCATTTTCAAAAACTGTTTATCAAGTGTCAATACTACAGTCGACTGAGAATGTGTCATTAATTTACATCAGACAAGATTAAAAGAGAAAACCATTTTTTAGTAGTCTCTAAACACACCTGTGATTGCTACCACACTTACAATTATGTAATAATCTATAATCTAGGAATACATTCCACATACATTATCTGATTTAACCCCTCTATAATGTTTTAAAGATCAAGAAACTGTTACTCAAGGAACTTAAGTAAGGAACCTGCTCAAGCTCCCAGAGCTAGTAAATAACAGATCCAAAATTAAAATAGTCTCCCAATTCTGGATCCCCAAACCTTTCTACTGAACATACTGCCTTCATAAAATCTCCTACCAAATTATTTTAATTAAGAATGCTGGATGAGCATGGTGGCATACACCTGTAATCCTAACACTTTGGGAGGCCAAGGCAGGAGGATCACTTGAGCCCAGGAGTTCCAGACCAGCCTGGGCAACACAGCAAGACCCCATTTCTACAAAAACATTTTTTAAAATTAGCCAGGCATGGTAGAATGCACCTCTAGTCCCAGCTACTCAGGAGGTTGAGGTGGGAGGATCACTTGAGTCCAGGAGTTCAAGGCTAGCTACAGTGAGGCATGATCCCACCACTGCACTCCAGCCTGGGTGACACAGCGAGACCCTGTCTCAAAAACAAAAAATAAAATAAAACAATTCTAATACCATTAGAAATACTGTTAATCTTTTTCTTTTTTTTTCTTTTTTTTTTTTTTTTTGAGACAAGAGTCTCACTCTGTTGCCCAGGCTGGAGTGCAGTGGCATGATGTCGGCTCACTGCAACCTCCGCCTCCTAAGTTCAAGCAAGCACATCAGGCTAATTTTTGTATTTTTAGTAAAGACAGGGTTTCACCATGTTGGCCCAGGTTGGTCTCAAACTCCTGACCTCAAGTGATCTGCCCACCTCGGCCTCCCAAAGTGTTGGGATTACAGGCGTGAGCCACCACACCCGGCAGAAATAAGTTAATCTTTATTAAACATGTACTTATATGCCAGGTATAGTTCCAAGCCCTTTATATGAATTAACTTGTTAATAATAACATTTATACAAAAATATATCAATAACACTACAGCTCAGCCAATTAAAAATTTTAAAGGCTATTAAAAATCTTCACAGTGGCATTTGGAATTATTACAAAGCCAGTTTCCAACAACCAATTCATTGTGAGAAACATACAACCAAAGGAGGGGGAGGTTGGGGGTGGAGAGATAATATGAAAACTCAGAAGGCGCATCCGGCCTGTAGGACTAGGAAGAGGTTTCCCACCGGGTTCCAAGACTCATACTAATTTTACTGAGTACAAACGAACTCTGAAGAGTCGGCCAAGCAGATCACATGACTCATTGAGCTTTAATGCCTGCACTGGAGCATAAGCAGGCCTATTTCCTAAATGTGGAAGCATCCAGTATCGCTGAAACCCTCAGAGCCGAGACAGTCACTCTGTGGAGAGAGAACAGAGGGCTGGGAACCCAGCCACGGCCAGGGAACTGGACTCTAAGGACAGCAGCAGAGTCTGCCTTTGCAGCACGTTATACAGTTTGCACGTATTACCTTATTTGATTTGATCTCATGAAAACCAGAAAGACGACAGTGACTAAGTTCCTAAACCATGAGCACAAGACTTTCTGGAGGAAAAAGGAAAGCCCCAGGAAGAAGCGGAATTTGTCACCAGGTCAAGCGAGCTGCCCTGAGCAAAACTAACCAGGATCCCGTGATCAGAGGCAGATAAGAGAGAAAGAGGAAGTTTAAAAAAAAAAAAAAGTGTACAATGTGTTAACTTATACATAAACTCTTGGGCAAACAAAACCACACTTTCATATGTCTAATCATTCTCTTTCAACTGGAGTGGCTTGCTTTAAAGGAAAAAGAAGTTGGGAAAGACTTGTGATTAGGTGCCCCCAGGCGTGGTCAGCAGGCAACAGCTCCATTCCAAAAACAAAGGCACCACAGTGATATGGTATGCAGCTAAAAAATAATAATAATAATAATAAATTAATCCTCCAGGAATGACTGGAGCTCCTTCCTGATCAATTACATTGAGATTCCCAATTCATTTTGGTTAATAAAGCCAATGAGACAGACCTAATTTCCAATTTCCTGCCATTTTTCGCTCTTTGGCTGGACTATTAGTTCCCTTCAAATCTCTCAACCACTGTCAGTTCTCCATATGGTCTACTACCCTCAAATGAAAAGGGGCATATAATCACATGTAGGAGGATCTTTTAAAAATAACTATTGCTGGCCAGGCGCGGTGGCTCACGCCTGTAATCCCAGCACTTTGGGAGGCCGAGGCGGGCAGATCGCGAAGTCAGGAGATCGAGACCATCCTGGCTAACACAGTCAAACCCCATCTCTACTAAAAATACAAAAAAAAAAAAAAATTACCCGGGGGTGGTGGTAGGCGCCTGTAGTTCCAGCTACTCGGGATGCTGAGGCAGGAGAATGGCATAACCCAGGAGGCAGAGCTTGCAGTGAGCCTAGATCGCGCCACTGCACTCCAGCCTGGGCAACAGAGCAAGACTCCGTCTCAAGAAATAATAACTATTGCTAACATTTATTAATGCTTATGAACTTCCAGGCATCCTACTAGTTTACAAATGAGGAAACTGAGGCTCAAAGAGGTACAACGATTTGCCAGGCGTGATGGCCCATACCTGTAATACCAGCGCTTTGGGAGGCCAAGGCAGGAGGATCACTTGAGCCCAGGAGTTCAAGACCAAACTGAGCAACATAGTGAGACCCTGTCTCTTAAAAATGTAAAAAATAAAAATAAATTAAAAAAACAAAGAGGTACAATGACTTGCTCAAGATAATACAGCTAGCACTGATTTAAACACAGGGTGCCCTACATAGCTGCTTGCAATTAATCAATTAAGAACACACACCCTTTTAGCCTATAGTTCTCCCTCTTTTTCATTACTGAGTTTTAAGCCCTCACCTCAAACAAGCAAGATGCATTGTAATGTTAATTTTAAAACTGTAACAGAGCTTCCTCCTTTAGGAATGGATTGTAAGTGGATTTGTTGATATCGGTGCTAGGTTTGCCTTTATGAAACGTACTCGTTCCGCTACACAATAAGCCCAAATTCTCTTCCCCCAAATTTCACAAATACTAATTTGGATACAGAGACCATCAACATGACAGCCAAGGATCAAACCCCTGCATGGCAGCAGCACCTCATTCATGCTAATTGACAGTTTCACGTGACCAAATCTGGTCAGAGGAAAAGCAAGAAAGCAATTCTAAAACAGAAATATGGCCGGACATGGTGGCTCACCCCTGTAATCCCAACACTTTGGGAGGCAGAGGCGGGCAGATCGGTTGAGGCCAGAAGTTTGAGGCCAGTCTGGCCAACACGGTGAAACTCTCTCTCTACTAAAAAAATAAAAATAAAAATTAGCCAGGCATGGTGGCGGGTGCTGGCAATCCCAGCTACTCGGGAAGCTGAGGCATGAGAATTTCTTGAACCTGGGAAGCAGAAGCTGCAGTGAGCCGAGATCGTGCCACTGCACTCCAGCCTGGGTGACAGAGTGAGACTCCATCTCAAAAAAATAAAAGAAAATAAAATTCTGAAATATCTGAAAGGGCTGTACCTTCCACCTAAAGGAACACTGGCAAGAAAAGCAATCCACAAGCCTGTCTGAACAAACAGAAACAGACCTTAAATGGACAAACGTAATATTGTTTCTTTATACCATCTACATAATATTTACATTTTCCCATAGCTGGGAAATTACTCACTACAGTCAAGTACCCCTAAATTTACCTCTGGCATGTCATGAAACCTGCATCTGCTTAAGGCCTAAACGGATAAACGTGCTAGTTAAATTTCTCATCTCAGAGTTCCTCTGAAATTAAAGTCCAATAAAATCAACTGAATTTTAATTCCCTTGGAATGCCCTGTTAACTGTAAAACACTAAGAAATGCTAAAGTTAATTTTGGTACTGGTACTTTTCCTCCTACGTGATATATTTAACTATGTTGTTTTCTATTTTCATTTAAAAAAATTTTGCTCCTATGACTTTGCTGGCAAAATATCAAAAAAGATTCCTCGAAACAAGCATTTGTAGAAAATTTTCACGGTGGCCGGGCGCGGTGGCTCATGCTTATAATCTCAGCACTCAGGGAGGCCGAGGCAGGCGGATCACCTGAGGTCAGGGGTTCGAGACCAGCCTGACCAACATGGTGAAACCCCGTCTCTACTAAAAATACAAAAATTAGCTGGGCATGGTGGTATGCGCCTGTATTCCCAGCTACTGGGGAGGCTGAGACTGAAGAATCACTTGAACTCAGGAGATGGAGGTTGCAGTGAGCCAAGATCGTGCCACTGTACTACAGCCTGGGCAACAGAGCAAGACTCCATCTCAAAAAAAAAAAGAAAGAAAAAAGAAAATTTTCACAGTAAGCTTGTTTGAATTAAGAAATTGGGGATTAAGGAGGGCTCATAATCTATCAATCATAAAGTCAGAAGTAACTCTTCACATCTTTTTAAAAGATTCACTTGATAAAAAGATTCTGAAAGAAAAAATTTAAAGTAGGAGTTAATCAGAATAAAAGAGATTAAGCAACAATTTTCTACTTAGGCTTCAACAAGCCTGAAAGTATTAAGTTGGTGCAAAAGTAATTGAGATTTTTGCTACTGAAAGTAATGGCAAAAACCGCAATTACTTTTGCACCAACCTAATAGATGCCAATGCCGATTCCTTTCTCATCGCAATTTTTCAACAAAAGACAGTAAGCCTATAAGTAAACAGTATAAATTATCTTTGGTGGGTAAGGTTTCCAGCAGTTTGTCCTACCATCCTTTTTTCAATACCTAGTATACTTACAAAATAAGTTAGGACTGGCCAGGCACGGTGGCTCACACCTGTAATCCCAACACTTTGGGAGGCCAAGGCAGGCGGATAACGAGCTCAGGAGTTTGACACCAGCCTGACCAACATGGTGAAACCCTGACTCTACTAAAAATACAAAAAAAAAAAAAAAAATAGCTGGACATGGTGGTGCATGCCTGTAATCCCAACTACTCAGGAGGCTGAGGCAGGAAAATAGCTTGAATCTGGGAGGCAGAGATTGCAGTGAGCCAAGATCGCGCCACTGCACTCCAGCCTGGTGACAGAGCAAGACTGTCAAAAAGATAAAAATAAATAAGTTAGGTTCTTCTAAATTCTACCAGAGTGGTTGGAAAACAAGCCCTAAATTTATTGAAATTCAAAGATAAACAGGAACTTCTAGTCACCCTTTTTTTTAAAACACATGGTTAGTAGAAAACACATCACCCAACTCCCCACCTTCTGAATCCCACGGGTTTATTTATGGTGATGCTTTCTTAGCAATGCCTTTCCCATGTTGTAACTACAGGAGTAATAAGTATTTTTCTGAGTTTCAGTGATGTCAGCCTGAAACACATTCTGAAGTATTTCAAAATGCCTGGGCCGGGCACGGTGGCTCACGCCTATAATCCCAGCACTTTGGGAGGCCCAGGCGGGTAGATTACCGGAGATCAGGAGTTCGAGACCATCCAGCCTGATCAATCCTGTCTCTACTAAAAATACAAAAATTAGCCGCGCATAGTGGCGCATGCCCATAATCCCAGCTACTTGGGAGGATGAAGCAGGAGAATCACTTGAACCTGGGAGGCGGAGGTTGCAGTGAGCCAAGTTCGCACCATTGCTCTCCAGCCTGGGCAACATGACCGAAACTCCATCTTAAAAAAATGAAAGCCTGAATATGTAATATCCTTTTGGTACAAACAGTGTAAGTCAAAAAAAACCCTGAAGTTCAGCTGACCTCAAAAAAGCAGAACCATCTACCAAGCTAAAAATGCACAGACTCAAGCAGTGCTCTCTCAAGATTTTGCCTACCTAATAGACAAATGGGCAAAGGTCATGCATGGACAATTCTCACACAAGGGAGATTTACTCAGAAGTATTTAAAAAGTATTAAATTCACAGTTAATTAAAGGAATGTGCCAGGCGCAGTGCCTCACGTCTGTAATCTCAGCACTTTGGGAGGCCGAGGTGGGTGGACCACCTGAGGTCAGGAGTTTGAGACCAGCCTGGCCAACATGGTGAAACCCCATCTCTACTAAAAATACAAAAATTAGCAGGGCGTAGTGGCAGGCGCCTGTAATCCCAGCTACTTGGGAGGCTGAGGCAGGAGAATCTCTTGAACCTGGGAGGCGGAGGTTGCAGTAAGCCAAGATCGCGCCATTACACTCCAGCCTGGGTGACGAGTAAAACTCCACCTCAAAAAATAATAATTTAAAAAATAATAATAAAGGAATGTAAATTAAATAGCAATAAGGTGCCTTTAGTTATTGAAGTTTTTTTTCTCTATTTTAATGACTATATCCAATGGAAGTAAGGGTGTAATGAAACTTAAAAATAGACATAAATTGGCAATATATAACTAGAATCATAAAAAGTCACACCCTCATAATTAGTAAAATTCCATTTTTGTACAACTATCCTATAAAATTAATCCATAATGGAAAAGGTTTCATGCTCAAGGTATTTATTAGTGCTATTTACAGTAGCAAAAATTAGAAACCTCCACATTTTCCAATATTTGGGAATAACGCCAATTCAATAAAATACAATGTAGACAACAAAATGACAGCTGAAATCAAGCAGCAGTATTCCATAATCCTGGGTTTAAATAAGGATTCAAATTTGTCAGTATAGTATTCCTCAAAAAATTAAAAACAGAATTACCATATGATTCTATAGCAACTGTTACTTATGGGTATATATCGCAAAAAGTTTTAAGAGGGGTCTTTAAGAGATATTTGTACACCCCTGTTCACAGCATCATTATTCACATGAGCCAAAAGGTGGAAGCAATCCTAATGTCTATGGAAGAATCAATGGATAAACAAAAAGTGATATATACATACAATGGATATATTATTCAGCCTTTAAAAGGAAGGAAATTCTGACACATACTCCAACATGAATAAATCTTGATGACATCAAGCTAAGTAAACTAAGCCAGTTACAAAAAAACAATTACTACACAAATTCACTTATCTAGACTAGTCAGACGAACCTATATACGCCCCCCATGAAGGCAGGTTTCAATCTGTTTCGTTCACCACCAAATCTCTAGCACTTAGTCTAGCATCATTGTGAATATTCAATACTTGAAAAATGAATTCAGAAAACTACACACACACACACACACACACAGTCAACCTGCACTAATTTCTTTTTTTTTTTTTTTTGATATAAAGTCTCACTCTGTTGCCCAAGCTGGAGTGCAGTGGCGCAATCTCGGCTCACCACAACCTCCACCTCCCAGGTTCAAGCGATTCTCCTGTCTCAGCCTACCGAGTAGCTGGGAGTACAGGCATGCACCACCATGCCTGCCTAATTTTTGTATTTTTAGTAGAGACGGGGTTTCACTATATTGGCCAGGTTAGTCTTGAACTCCCGACCTCGTGATCCGCCCGCCTTGGCCTCCCAATGTGCTGGGATTACAGGCGTGAGCCACCACGCCTGGCAACCTGCACTAATTTTAAGTGAACTCTTTGCTGACTATATTCTAAGTCCGTTAACTCCAAGATCTTCTAAATCCATCCTTCTGGTCTCCAATTCCCAAACTCACCCTTTTTCCTCCTCTAATTATCTCACCTTGTTTAGCATCTGGAAAAAGAACCAAGTGAGGCAATATATAATTAGTAAATTATTCTTAGCTGACTGAATCATGTAGCAGCAGTTAGCAATTACAGTCCACAAAATGCAAAATATTAAGCTTGCTCCTTTAATACTCTATGAAACATGAGCCCTCTTCTGTCCTTAAACTGAAGGCAGAGTTGCACCGAGAATGCCATTAGGTCAGTTTTATCTTATTGGCTCATGTGGAAAAAAAAAAGGGAAGTTCCCCACACAAAAGTTTCACAACCCCAAAATGCTGGTATGTGTGTCCCTGGATAGGCTGAGAAGAAACTATCCCCAACAGTAAAGGGCAAGTTCCCCTTCACAAAGAAAAATCTTCCCAACACACCAGGCTGGTACCCCCACATCCATCCATCTGCAGCCACCAAGACAATGGAGATTCAAACCTCTGGCAAGGGCTGCCAGCCCTGCTTCAGCAAACAGCATTGTTCAACAAAAATATCATGCGAGCCACATGCATAATTTTAAGTTTTCCATAGCCATGCTAAAAAATAAGTAACATTAAATTTACTTAACTCAAATATTATCGAATATTATCATTTCAACATGTAATTGCAATTTTTTAATTATCATATTTTACATTCTTTCTTTTTTTTTATTATTATACTTTAAGTTTTAGGGTACATTTCTAATCTTCAAAATCCAGTGTGTATTTTTCACAGCAATCTCAATCAGACTAGCCACGTTTCGATTGCTTAAAAACTACATGTAGCTAGTGACTACTGTATTGTACAGCACAGTTTTAGAATGGTCACTTCTATCTCAGAATATATTTTCTGATTTGTTACTTAAGTTTTTACATATATTTCAAATACTCATCATTTTTTATGGGTTCTGACATCCTTCCTAGAGCATTATCTGGCCCTCTCCATTTAAAAAAAACAAAAACAAAAACAAAAGGCCGGGCGTGGTGGCTCACGCCTGTAATCCCAGCACTTTGGGAGGCCAAGGAGGGCAGATCATGAGGTCAGGAGTTTGAGACCAGTCTGGCCAACATGGTATAACCCCGTCTCTACTTTAAAAATACAAAAATTAGCCGGGGATGGTGGCATGCCCCTGTAATCCCAGCTACTTGGGAGGCTGAGGCAGGAGAATTGCTTGAACCCAGGAGGTGGAGGTTGCAGTGAGCCGAGATCACGCCACTGCACTCCAGCCTGGGCAACAGATCAAGACTTGTCTCAAAAAAAATAAAAATAAAATTAAGCAAACAAAAGCTATTTGACAACACTACTGATAGCCAAACCAGAACTACCTGTTTAAACTATTAAGAAAAACCTGGAATACTCAGGAGGCTAAGGCAGGAGGATCATGTGGGCCCAGGAGTTCGAGGCTATAGGGCACTATTATCATGCCTGTGAATAACAATTGCATTTTAGCTTGGGCAACATAGCAAGATCCCATCTCTTTAAAAATGAAAAAAGAAAAGAAAAAAGAGACCTGGAAAATAAACCAAATTTGATTTGGTTAATTTTGGTTAACATTTTGGTGAATTAACCAGTTTGGTTAACGCTGGTTGAAGTTATTTAAAAAACATTTTCTAACCTTGAAGATGATTACGTTTCTGTTGGAAGACAGTCATCAATAAGGAAATGTGATTGTTTTACACAGGGACGTAAAACAGGAAGTGATACACTTCCACGTCAACATTCCCATCTAAACAGATGTATAGGGCCGGGCACGGTAGCTCATTCCTGTAATCCCAGCACTTTGGGAGGCCGAGGCGGGCAGATCACAAGGTCAGGAGTTCAAGACCAGCCTGGCCAATATGGTGAAACCCCATCCCTACTAAAAATATAAAAAATTAGCCCCATGTGGTGGCACGCACCTGTAATCCCAGCTACTGGGGAGGCTGAGGCAGGGGAATTGCTTGAACCCAGGAGGCAGAGGTTGCGGTGAGTGGAGATCGCATCATTGTACTCCAGCCTGGGTGACAGAGCAAGACTCCGTCTCAACCAATCAATCAATCAATGTATAGCTTTACCACACTACAAAATAGGTGTGTTCCTGAAAAACTACATTTCAAAGTTTCCTCAAATACACTAAAGGAGCAAGCTCTTTAGGGAAAAATTAGAGAGATATTTTCATTTGCCTATTGGGTAAGCTTTTTAAAAACATTGCCAAAAGAGGCCAGGGACTGTGTATTGTTCACCACCCTAACCCCAGAGGTTAGAACAGTATCTGGCACATAGGAGGCACACAATAAATTGTCAACTAAATATATTAATGAATAAATGATGAGTTTTCTTAAAACAAGGGGAAAGTATATAAAGTGAGTTATGCTTAACCAGTAATCACAGATATTACCAATATCATCCCATTTTAAATCACTACTACCTGTAAGATACTGTGAAGGCTTATGGTCTAGTTTGGAAAGGGGGAGACATTGTGTACATTTGTGTATAAAGGAAAACTAACAGTACCAAATACTGGGACATCCATCCAAAATGAGCAGGCTTTCATTTGTTCAAGCACCTTAAGTGCCAAGCATTTATATTATGTAGTAGGTAAAAAATGCTAGTCTCTGTCCTCATTAAACAAAATATAATGATAAATTATAATTTTTGCTATGAAGGGAAAGAACAGCGGGCTTTAAGACTTTTCTGAGTCGACATGTTAAGGAGAATGGAGGGCGGCAACTCCAGGCCATGGTTCTGAGATGGCGATGGGGCCTGAAAGGAATTAAAGAGAAGGCTAATATTGTTGGAGTCCTAAAAGCTCTTACATCACAGGGTGAACAATAAGCGGGGCCTTGTAATAGAGGTAATGCCTGCTTGCCATGAGAATAAAAACTTCCTACAAGGCAAATGTGTGTAGCTCTTCAAACAGAGGAAGATGCAAAGAGGCTAAGTTAGCCAAGACTTGTCATATAGAAGAGAAGCTCCTTTGCATGCATTTATCATATATCCTACTGTCTTTTCACCATCCCCTCTGAAGAGGGACTGCTAGCCAATGGCCTTTGGCCAAATTAGGAGTGAAATACACGTTTCAAACTGGGGCCTTTATTGAAAGACAGCTACTTATGCTTGGAGACTTGGGGGTGGAAAATGCGAGGGCTAATGCCCAGGGCTAAGAGTTGGTGATCAGGCCACACTAGAAAGTATTTGGTCAGACTCAGTTTTTTTTTCTCCCAGAAAAAGAATGTTAACCGTATGACATGCACTGACTGCCAAAGGAAGTCTAAAAAGAATAACCACATTATTGGATATTTTTAGCCTTTCTTTTCAAAAATGTTTTGTGTCACTGCTTTCCAAATAATTCCAAATCTTGTGAGTTGGCCAGAAGAAGAAATGGGATAAGGAGTATACTACTCAAATATGAGGCTTTATAGGACTGGAAACTTTTTCTTCTGAAATTCATTTAAAGGAATATGCCTTTGTGAATCTTGCTCACACAAACACAAAATTCCAATGGATTAATATCGTGTAAGAACAGAACATATCAGACATGCAGAAAAGATGTGTAAATCACCTTGCCCTAGGCAAAATGTCTGGTGAAAATGTTTATGCCCCATAATACGGGAATTAAAAATCAGCATTTAAAAAGCTAGTATAGGCCAGGAGTGGTGGCTCACACCTGTAATCCTAGCACTGTGGGAGGCCGAGGTGGGTGGATCACCTGAGGTCAGGAGTTTGAGACCAGTTTGCCCAACATGGTGAAAGCCCGTCTCTACTAAAAATACAAAAAATTAGCCAGGCACTGTGGCGGGAGCCTGTAATCCCAGCTACTCGGGAGGCTGAGGCAGGAGAATCATTTGAACCCAGGAGGCAGATGTTGCAGAGCCGAGATCACACCACTGCACTCCAGCCTGGGTGACAAAAGCGAAACTCCGTCTCAAAAAAAAAAAAAGAAAAAGGCTAGTAGAGTCAAAATACCTATTATGTCATAAACCACTATTCTTTTACCCCAGTGATCTAGCTCTAAACTTCTAATGGAAACACTAATAAAAGAGTGCAGCTCATTACTGTTGATTCTAGCAATAAGACACAACCAAATAATTGAGGCACAAAAATATTTGAATAAGAAAGAGAAAACCGAAAGGGTGAAGTTGAGGCCTGCTATGGGGAGTCTAATAGACTTACTTACTGAAGTAAAATTCTTCAGCGCAATTTTTTTTAAAGTGTGGGTTGTTCAGAAGACAATTTCACGTTTCTCAAGACTTCTTGACTACCCTACTTCTAAAGCAAAAATACTGTCTCATTTCCTTATTCCCATGAACTACCAAAGGCTCAGGAGGAGAGGTAGCTTAGCTAAGAGGTAAGACACACTCTGACAGATTATAACTTTAGACCATTTCTATTCTTTGGAAATCTGAATGTGTCCTGTATTTACAGGTAGTTTGATTTTGGTGGGAAATCAAGAAGGCAAATAATAAATTACACAACTGTCCACATTTTTGGTTTTGCTGAAAACAATGATTAGGTGGATCCTTTGAAACACAGCGAATCCACAAATACGTGAATCCACAAATACAAATTATAAACACTGTCATGACTATATGCAGGTCAGGGAGTTGAAATTTTAAGAAACAGCCAGGCGCGGTGGCTCATGCCTATAATCCCAGCACTTTGGGAGGCCAAGGAGGGCAGATCACTTAAGGTCAGAAGTTCAAGACCAGCCTGGCCAACATGGCAAAACCCCATCTAGACTAAAATACAAAAAAAAAAGCCAGGCCTGGCAGCGGGTGCCTGTAATCCCAACTACTCAGGAGGCTGAGGTATGAGAATCAATTGATCCTGGGAGATGGAGGTTGCAGTGAGCCAAGATCCTGCCACTGCACTCCAGTCTGGGTGACACAGTAAGAATCTATCTCAAAAAAAAAAAAAAAAGAAAAGAAAAGAAATTTTAAGAAACTCTTAAATTTTAGGTGTCCTTATTTGCAAAGGGAATATGGAGCCATAAAATTATTTTTATAGCTAAAAAGTAACAAAATAGAGAGTGTAATTTGAGTCTGAAAACCTGAGTTCCAGCCTTCTTGCTATCTAGGTGTGGGCCTTATACAATCACTAAATAATACCTCCCCCTTTCATTAAGTTAATGTTTCATACAGTTTTTGGGAGCACCATAAGATACAGTACATTTGAAAATGGTAAAGATCAGGGGCCAGGTGCGGTGGCTCACGCCTGTAATCCCAGCACTTTGGGAGGCCGAGGCGGGCAGATCACCTGAGGTCAGGAATTCAAGACCAGCCTGGCCAACATGGTGAGACCCCGTCTCTACTACAAAATTTAGCTGGATATGGTGGCAGGTGCCTGTGATCCCAGCTACTCGGGAGGCTGAGGCAGGAGAATCGTTTGCACGCGGGAGACGGAGGTTGCAGTGAGCCGAGATCACGCCATTGCACTCCAGCCTGGGCAACAAGAGTGAAACTCCATCTCAAAAAAAAAAAAAAAAAGAAATGGTAAAGACCCAGTTACTATCAAATCAGGAAAACATTCATTCATTCAGCTTGCATTCACTGAGCAACTACTGTATATCAGGTACTGATCGAGACCCTGCGGATACAATAAACATGACATTCAAACTGCCACAAAACGTCATATGTTCGTTCCCTTTATATCTTTTAGACAGTTTTGTTTTTGAGACAGGGTCTCGCTCTGTTGCCCAGGCTGGAGTGCAGTGGTGCGATCACAGCTCACTGCAACCTCTGCCTCCCGGCCTTAAGCAATGCTCCCACCTCAGTCTCCCGAGTAGCTGGGACTACAGGCGAGCACCACCATGCCTGACTAATTTTTGCATTTTTTTTGTAGAGACAGGGTTTCACCATGTTGTCCAGGCTGGTCTCAAACTCCTGGGCTCAAGCAATCCTCCCATCTCAGCCTCCCAAAGTGCTGGAATTACAGGCATGAGCTACCACACGTGGCCTAGACAGGTTTTTTAACCCTTTTCCATTTTTGTTGTTGTTCTTGTTGTTAAGAATGGGGTTTAAAGTAAGAAAAAAAATGAAAACATTTTCTTTATAAGGTTTTTGTTACTGTTGGGGATAGAAAGAAGTTGCACTATGTTCCCTTGCCTGGCAAGAGAAGAAAGAAATTTCCAGTCCACCCGCTCCCTCACCCCTTTCTCCCCATTCTGCATTTACCACAAACATCTTGTTTTCTCCGGATATTTTCAAGAAATCTAGAAACCTCATTTTTCTCACTTTTCCACCAGGTGGTACAGCATCCAAAAAAAAAAAAAATCACTGTATCTCTAATAGATCCTTCTAGCAATACCTCTCTTTCCATCTCTCTAGAGAAAGGATAAATTTCACTACTATGATGTATGTCAGAAGTGCTTATCTTATTCTTATAATCATCAGCATGAAAATGAAGAAAAAGGCTTATCTAACGTTAGATAAAAGGAACATTCTACATTAAGAGTGTTTTGCTTTATATTTATGATGTTTTACTTCCCTAATTCACCAATCTTACCAGGAATTTAAAACATTCATATCACTTCTTTAAATAAACCACAATGCTCACTAAAATTCGTAGTTTAGAACACTTTCTCTGCCTGGCAAATAACTTCTACAACTCAGCACCTTACATGTGTTATGTTAGAAGGGAAAAATATGCAGGCAATAAAGCTTCAAATACACATATGAAGCTCTTCAACCACGAACTATGTCTTCCTGTCCTGATTTCCAACACGATATTTCAAAATACATATTAATGTTAGACTAATTCTAAATGCTAAATAATACTACCCTGAGTATAATATATATGCTAGATGATACATAAATGATTGCATACAACATAGAAACAATAAATGTGCCGGGGGCGGTGGCTCACATCTGTAATCCCTGCACTTTGGGAGGCCAAGGCGGGCAGATTACCTG
The DNA here is from genome assembly GCF_000001405.40 of Homo sapiens. Taxonomy (NCBI): domain Eukaryota; kingdom Metazoa; phylum Chordata; class Mammalia; order Primates; family Hominidae; genus Homo; species Homo sapiens. Next base: position 64,612,708 of record NC_000012.12, on the reverse strand, counting down.
AGGCCAGGAGTTCGAGACCAGCCTGGCCAACATGGTTAAATCCCATCTCTACTAAAAATACAAAAATGAGCCAGATGTGGTGGTGCATGCCTGTAATCTCAGCTACTCGGGAAGCTGAGGCAAGGGAATCGCTTGAACCAGGGAAGCTGAGGTTGCAGTGAGATCACACGACTGCACTCCAGCCTGGGTAACACAGTGAGACTCCATCTCAAAAAAAAAAAAAAAAAAAGAAACGCTAAATGCATATAAACCTAGAAAAAAACTGATGTCTTTACTCTTTAAAGCACTAAAGGATTCTCATACAATTCAAACCTGAATAGTTTGGCCCTTGTGGCATCTCACCCCTGGAGAATCCAAGAACCAGCCAGTTTTCAGGAGATTAGCAGACACCTCTGGAATAAACTTCAAACTACCATGAGTTCCTTTTCATGTCAAGTGGTGAAAGCAACATAAATGAAAGGAGAAAATGCAAAACGGAGAAGGGGAAGAGAGAGGCCAAGAAAGAGAAAGCAAAAATGGAAAAAGCATAAGCAAATGCAATTTTTCTACAACCCAGGGAGGGTGGGCATGGGGGAGGAGAGGGCGTTTCCAACTTCCAAACTTCACAGCAATCTCATGCTCTCAGAACACACTCTGCTGAAAGTAAGAGATCCCACTCAAAGTGACTCGTAAATAGTGGGGCCTTAAGCCTTAGAAACAATACAAGACGGACAACTATGGCACCGGGACTTGAGATTAACTGCGGTTACTGAATAAGGGCACTTGACTTCAGCTTACCCTTCACCGTCTCCTCTCCTCCTCCTGGTTTGGGACTTAAGAGCCTGAAAAGACTAGAACTTCCGAATTTTAGAAAGAATTTTACTTCAGAAAGTGGCTAAACTTAAGAGGTCTGGCAAGACCACCCTGACAGATTGCACCCTCCCACATCCACCAAAAGAAGTTATCATCCGGCCCCTGAACGATTCTTCTTGCTTCTAGTCTCTAGGTCTCAGTCCGGTATTAATAGAAATGTTTGGCGAACGCCTGTTTTCTAAAAGCAACAAATTTGTGCCATTACAATCTTCTGTAATCTGATGTGAGCGTGGCCGGGTTGGCCCGGCTCCCCTGGTGCGGCTCCTAGTGCCAGGAGGCCGCGGGCTCTAGCACCGGGCTCCTCAGTCCAGCCGACGTGCCCCGTTTCGGGAAGGCCTCCCAAAAAACACGGCTACAGCTGGCGAAACTGGCACAAGTTCCCTTCCCATCTTTTCCCAACTCGTGCTTCCCACGGCATGCTGCCTCCAAAAAAGGAAGAAACCGGCGAAAAGGTTAGCTGTCGCTGGCTAGTATTTAGCATAGGAGCTTGTTTGCAAAACATCTGGGCACCAAAAAACCTAGCTTTACAGAAAACGCACAACCCTGAGTCCCGCAACGGAGATTTAGTGAGAGCCTATGGTGGCGAGGCCCACGGTGCCCTTGGACCCCCACTCCACCAGGTCGCCCGGGCCAGGAAGAGGGGAGGTCAGGTCACCCGGCCACCCCTAGCTATTACACGTTGACCCAAGCCACTCTGGGGGCCACAGATGAGTAAGCTGACTAACAGGAAGGACAGGCGCGCGAACCCGACCGTCGACCCAGCGGGGACGCGAAGGGGAAACCTGGGGGAGTGGCCCGGGGACGCCTGCTGGCTCCGGGGCTGCTCCCCGCAGGCGGCAGCCCGAGGCGGAGCTGCAGAGGCCATCTGGCGCGGAAGGCAGAAGCCGGCCCTCAGCCTCCCCGCCCTTCCTCCGCCTTCCCTCGCCTACACGCACAAGCTCCAGGCACGTTCCCGGGACCCGAAAAGGCAGAAGCCACTTCTCGGCCCGCTCCTCCTTCCCGGCGAGCATCCCCCGAGCGCCCCGCAGAGACACGTGGAGGCAGGGGGCGCGGGCTGGCGGGTTCCCCGGAACTCTGGGGCGCGGGCTGCAGCGCCCGCCGCGCGCCACTCACTTGTTGGCCGGAGCGGGGCTTGCCCTGGGGCGCTCTCCTGAAGAAGGAGGTCCTGGCGGTGAAGAAGAAGTCCTCGGCGTCCTCCTCCAGGCTGCTGTAGCCGCTGCTCATGCTGCCGGTCCCGTCGCGCGCGGGCGGCCTCCCCGGGGCGCAGGCGGCCAGGGAGGGGGTGCGGCGCCCGCCAGCCCCGCGAGGTTCCCGGCGCGCAGCCCCGGGCAGTCCTTATGCAGCTGCGGCCGCCGCTCAATCAGGCTCTCCCGGCCCCTCCTGCCGCCTCCCCGCCAGGCTCCAGGCGCGGCTCGGCCCCGGTGCGCCCGCGACCCCGCCTCCCTGGGCCCCGCCCCGGACGGGCGACCGGCCGAGCCCCACCCCGCGCGGCCGCGACCCTCCCCGCCCGCCCGCAGGTGGGGGGAGCCCGGCCCGCCCCTTCCAGGCGCGCGGGTTTCTCCCGACAGCGTCGCGGAACCCGGAAAGCCGGGCGCTAGGGCTGCGTCTGCTGGGGCTGTGCTCGGGTCGCTTCCTCAACCTCCCGGAAACTGCAAATTCCTCTGCGAGCCGTCCGCCCGCCCCCAGCCTCGCTGGCTCGAGTTTCGGAGAGGGCGGGAGCAGAGCGGGGAACTTTCTCTGCGTCCACTCCCTGCTCGCCCCCGCACCAGGGTCCTGTAGGGGTGGGTGGGGGTTGCCCGGCCGAGGGACCCCCCAGGTCCCACGGCTTCCTGCAGCCGCAACGCCCAGTCCTGAACCCCAGCAGCTCGCCCCTCCAGGAGGATTTCAAGTTGGCAGAGATGGGTGGGGAGGTCAAAAACTGGGTTGAGTTTATTCGAATGAAAACATCCTTTCTGGTCATTCATTTGAGCTTCGGTCTTACCCTTTTCCCCTTCTTTCTAGCGAGGGCTCACTTCCAAATAAGATCGTTATCTTAGGCGCACTCAGTGCAACTGAAAGGTGAACTAGTTCTATAGTTACAGAACAATCGAGTGCTTATCAATTAAATGTGCTTTGTAAATGTCCCCGCCACAATCAGCCTTCCACGGTCACCCACAAGGCATGGTTTAAGTGGTGGGGATAAGGAGATCAGGGAATTCCATCCATCCACGTACAAAAAAAGTTTCCATGTTTTCTAAAACTCTTCAGTCAGCTAATCCTCTTAAAGCCACCAGTGGGTAACAGTCTTTTACACCTTGGTGTTACTGCACTGATTTAAATAATACTAATTTCAAGATCTTGACTGAAAGGTTTTTTTGAAGCTGCAAGCCCTGCTATAGTTAGCGAGCTTCAGAAGAGGTTTCATTAGGAGGGGAAGAGAGACGTTAGAAAAGAGAAAATGTCCATCCATCATAGCCAAACTAGCCAAACTCTCTTACATTATCTCCTTCAATCCTCCGAGCAACTCTGCAAGGTACGTAGTGCTATTTTATGCCGGTTTTACACCTAGAGCAGCAGCTGAGGCTTAAAGAAAGGAAAGTGGCTGTAGGAGGCAGTACTCGGACCGTTCTGCTTTGCGTTCTGTTGATCTGAACGTGGTCACATACCCTACTGGGTTCTCTGCTTGGTATCGGTCAGCCGTGCTCTTTTGTGGACTACAGGAGGAAGAGTTGGACCCGAAATGACGGGAAGGAGAGAAGAATTGACTCATGAGTCATCCTACTGTCCCTAGGCTGAAAGAAGGCTTGCAAACCTGCTCCACCTTCGGGCTTACACATCCATCTTGTAAACTAGTATATATTACCCCACGTGATTCACAACAACTCCAGAAGGAGGGCCTTTGAGTTACAGCCCATTTTAAAGGTCCTACAACATTAAAGTCTTCTTCTCGGCCACACAGCTACTGAATGATAGGAAGCCAGGAATTCTAACTCCATATAGTTTCACCCAGCTTAAGCTGATCCGTGTGTGTGCCATGCACATAATCTAATGTAGGAGAATAGGGCTTTATGACAAATTTTTCTTATTTGGTTTCTCTTATTTCATTATTCAGATATAATATTAGCGCAGCTCTTATTAAATATTCCAAGGTAAGAATAATGTGTAGGTTAAGGGCTTAAATTACTCATTTTATTGTGGGTAGAAAGGGGAAAATAATTTTACCTAGAACAAGTTGAAGTTTATGAATACTTTGAGGAAAAATGCATTAAAATGCTTTATTGGCCGGGCGCGATGGCTCACGCCTGAGGAGGCAGAGGCGGGTGGATCACTTGAGGTCAGGAGTTGGAAACCAGCCTGGCCAACGTGGTGAAACCCCGCCTCTACTAAAACTACAAAAATTAGTTGGGCGTGGTAGCGTGCGCCAGCTACTCGGGAGGCTGAGGCAGGAGAATCGCTTGAACCCGGAGTGGCCTAGGTTGCAGTGACCCGAGGTGGCGCCATTGCACTCCAGTCTGGGCGACAAGAGCAAAACTTCGTCTCAATAAATAAATAAATAAACTTTATGATGCACCACACCATAAAAATGATTTTTTTCATTGTATTATTTTTAAGCTCCAAAGGACTGGATTAATTTGTATATCTGTCAGCATACCATCAGAATCAGTTATAATAAAAAGGCATGATTGAGTGGGGCACAGGGGGAAGCTGAGGTGGAGGATCACTTGAACTCAGGAGTTCCTATCCAGCCTGACCAACATAGTGAGACCTTTTCTCTAAAAAAAAATGATTTTTTTATAAAGGCATGATTAGGCCAGGCATGGTGGTTTACGCCTGTAATCCCAGCACTTTGGAAGGCCGAGGTGGGAGGATTGCTTGAAGCCAGGAGTTCAAGACCAGCCTGGGCAACAAAATGAGACCCTGTCTCTACAAAAACAAAAACAAAAAACAAAAAAAAATTAGCCAATGTGGTGTCACATGCTAGTGGTCCCAGCTACTCAGGAGGCTAGGTGGAAGGATCACTTGAGCCCAGAAGTTTGAGGCTGTAATGAACTATGATCTTACCACTGCACTCTAGCCTGGGTAACAGAGTAAGAGTCTGTCTCTTAAAAAAATAAATAAATAAAATAATTTTAAAAGCCATGATCAAATAATGAAATGGAAGCACTGCTTTTAAGCAACAAAAAAAACATAAATAAAGGAAAGGGCCGAGTGAGGTGGCTCACGCCTGTAATGCCAGCATTTTGGGAGGCTGAGGCCGGCAGATCACTTGAGGTCAGGAGTTCAAGACCAGCCTGACCAACATGGTGAAACCCCCATCTCTACTGAAAATATATAAAAAAATTAGCTGGGCATGATGGCACATGCCTGTTGTCCCAGCTATTCGGGAGGCTGAGGCAGGAGAGTCACCTGAGCCCTGGAGGCAGAGGTTGCAGTGAGCCAAGATCACGCCACTGCACTCTATCCTGGGCGACACAGGGAGACTCTGCCTCAGAAAATAAATAAATAAATAAATAAATAAAGGAAGGAAGAATTGTGATTTTGTTTCCTAAAAGCAGCATAATGATATTTGCATATTTTTCTGGTAGCTTTTTTTTTTTTTGAGACAGGGCCTCACTTTGTTGCTGGAGTGCAGTGGTGCCATGTTGGCTCACTGCAGCCTCGACTTCCCAAGCTCAAGCAATCCTCCCACCTCAGCCTCCCGAGTAGCTGGGACTACAGGCATATGCCACCAGGCCTGGCTAATTTTTATATTTTTTTTGTAGAGACAAGATCTCACTATGTTGCCCAGGCTGGTCTTGATGAACTCTTAGGCTCAAGTGATCCTCCCACCTCGGCCTCCAAAAAGGCTGGGATTACAGGTGTGAGCCACCATGCCTAGCCTGGTAGCATTTTTAATTAAAATATTGTGAATTTAAAATTTAGCTCATGAAAATTGTATCTGTAAAAATTCAAAATGTCATGTTAAGCAACTAGACACTTTTAACATTTCAAATTCAGGGAAGGGGGTGGAATAAATAAAATTAAATGTATGCAACCAAGTTCAAGTTTTGTTTTGTTTTTTTGAGACGCAGTCTCACTCTGTCACCCAGGCTGGAGTGCAGTGCTATGATCTCAGCTCACTGCAACCTCTGCCTCCCGGGTTCAAGCGATCCTCCCGCCTCAGCCTCCCGAGTAGCTAGGATTACAGGCACGCACCGCCTCACCCGGCCAATTTTTGTATTTTTAGTAGAGACAGGGTTTCACCATGTTGGCCAGGCTGGTCTCAAACTCCTGACCTCAGGTGATCTGCCTGCCTTGGCTATCACTGACTCTTATGTGACCTTTAACAATTTAATTAACTTCTCTATGCCTCAGGTTCATCAGCAGCAAAATGGGGATGACAATGTCTTCATTTTATTTTCTTTGGTTTACTGTAAGGATTAAGTGAAAGAATCCAGGCAAAGTCCTTGGCATAGAATAGGATCAAGCAAATATTCATCTTTCTTGCCCCAAATATTAGACCTTATTGCATACTTAACATTCATCACTCACTTCTTTCTTGTTAACTAAACAAGGACTTTAATTCAAGAATCCCCTCGGGAAAAGAAGTCCAATCTCAGCTCACAGGGGTAAGGCCTGACGTGCAGAGTCAGTCGTAGTGGTCCCATTCCCCTTGCCAGGGATTGCTTTAGGCATGGACAGGTCTCACAGACCTGACCACTGAGACCAGAAGGAAACCTGGCTTGGTGCCTTTTAGGAAGATGTTCCTCACTTTTAAAAGAAACCTACAAAAAAAGACTATGTCTTCTTCCTCTGGATCTTGCATGCTTGCATATGGTACCTAGGAATTCTGTAGCCATATTGTGGACAAAATAGACACCATGGCAAAGCAGAACAATACAAAGACTTCATAGCTCTTTGATTAACCAGGTTTGACACCACCCTAATTAGGACTTCTTGTTATGTGACATAAGATATTATCTCGCTGCTTTTTTTTTTTTTTTTTTTTTGAGACGGAGTTTCGCTCTTTTTACCAGGCTGGAGTGCAATGGTGCAATCTCGGCTCACCGCAACCTCCACCTCCCGGGTTCAAGCGATTCTCCTGCCTCAGCCTCCCGAGTAGCTAGGATTACAGGCATGCGCCACTACCCTGGCTAATTTTGTATTTTTAGTAGAGATGGGGTTTCTCCATCTTGGTCAGGCTGGTCTTGAACTCCCAACCTCAGTTGATCCACCTGCCTCAGCCTCCCAAAGTGCTGGAATTACAGGCGTGAGCCACCACGCCCGGCCTAGATACTGCCTTGTTTAAGCCAGTTGAGTTGACCTGTTATCATCCTATATTCCCATCATTTTGTTCCTGCTGGAATAGTCATATCTCTCATAATATTTCTGCCACGTTCTGTTCTCCTCCATTGACATTGGTAGAATCAGTAGAGACAGATAGAAAAAGAAGTAAGAGTTTTTAAATGATTGCTAAGTTGTTCCCCTGAAGATAATTTAGAAAGTTCATTTTCTTACCTTAAAAAAAAAAGCAACCCATAGCAGAGGTATTTAAATTGGCTTTAAAAAGGAAAAAAAATATGTTCTAAAATTTCTCTCAAAAATTCTGACAGGCTGGGTGTGGTGGCTCACACCTGTAATCCCAGCACTTTGGGAGGCTGAGGCAGGCAGATCACCTGAGGTCAGGAGTTCAAGACCAGCCCGGCCAACATGGTGATACCCCATCTCTACTAAAAAAAATACAAAAATTAGCTGAATGTGGTGGGTGCCTGCAATCCCAGCTACTCAGGAGGCTGAGGCAGAAGAATCACTTGAACCAGGGAGGTGGAGGTTGCAGTGAGCCGAGATGGCACCACTGTACTACAGCCTGGGCAACAGAGCAAGGCTCTGCCTAAAAAAAAAATAAAAATAAAATAAAATAAATTAAAAAAAAAATATATGACAAACTCAAAGATGATAGGAGTTGGTTACATGGCCGGGCACGGTGGCTCACGCCTGTAATCCCGGCACTTTGGGAGGCCGAGGCGGGCGGATCACAAGGTCAGGAGATCGAGACCACGGTGAAACCCCGTCTGTACTAAAAATACAAAAAATTAGCTGGGCACGGTGGCGGGCGCCTGTAGTCCCAGCTACTCGGGAGGCTGAGGCAGGAGAATGACGTGAACCCGGGAGGCGGAGCTTGCAGTGAGCCGAGATCGCGCCACTGCACTCCAGCCTGGGCGACACAGCAAGACTCCATCTCAAAAGAAAAAAAAAAAAAGAGTTGGTTACATCAGCCTGGTAGCTGGAGGACAGGCTCTTAATAGTTGAACCGATACAATCAGCGGCTGTTCTCTTTGGTCAGTGCCTATTGGCTGCAACTATCACCCTGGTTGCTTCCATTTTGTTCATGGCAATGACAGGAATAAATGGTATAATAACTGAAAGGCAATGTGTTTGGTTGTTAAGTATGTGGGGTGAGAAATCAGCCTGGGCTGGGCACAGTGGCTCACACCTGTAATCCTACCATTTGGAGAGGCTGAGGCAGGCAGATAGCTTGAACGCAGGAGTTGGAGACCAGCCTGGACAACATCACGAAACCCTGTCTCTACAAAAGATACAAAAATTAGCCGGGCATGGTGGTGTATGCCTGTAGTCCCAGCTACTCAAGAGGCTGAGGTGGGAGGATTGCTTGAGCCTGGGAGGTCAAGGCTACAGTGAGCCATGATCAGGCCACTGCACTCCAGCCTGGGCAACGGAGTCAAACCCTGTCTAAAAAAAAAAAAAAAGAAAACCTGTAATCCGAGCACTTTGGGAGGCTGAGGTGGGCAGATCATGAGGTCAGGAGATCGAGACCATCCTGGCCCACATGGTGAAACCCCATCTCTACTAAAAATACAAAAATGAGCTGGGCGTGGTGGCGTATGCCTATAGTCCCAGCTACTCAGGAGGCTGAGGCAGGAGAATCGCTTGAACCCAGGAGGCAGACATTGCAGTGAGCCAAGATCGTGCCACTGCACTCCAGCCTGGCGACAGAGCAAGACTCCATCTCAAAAAAGAAAAAGAAAAAAAAAAGGAAATCAGACTGCCTGTGTTCAAATGTGGGCTCAGATGGTGTGACCCACAGCATATTATCTAAACTGGTTAAACCTCAGTTCTACATCTGGAAAGGGAGGGTAATAAAATCTTACCTTATAGGATTCTTAAAGGGATTAAGTAAACTAAGACATGCAAAACATTGTGCCTGGCACATAATAAAAGCTCATGATGTTAGCTAATATGATTACGTATAAGGATAGTATTTCCATGTTTGGGCACATCCTCAATAATCAAGGAAAGGATGTGTTACCTGTGAGCCTGGAGGTAACCCCGGTTTATAGGACAAGGTGGGGGAGAAAAGCAAATGGCTTTTCCATCACTAGATTTGTCCATCCAACATATCTAGGACCTAATGAGCTGAAATATTTTGTGCAAAGGGCACTACCTGGTACGAGGACTGCAAGATAAACCCCATAGTTCGGTATCTGTGTCCAAGTGAATTTCATCATAGGCTTCTGCATTTCCTCATTACTGTGATAAGAACTGGCCAAGGGAAAGCATATACCTGATGAAAAAATCCTTGATCATCATAATCATGTTACCTTGTATCTCAGACCCTCAAAGCCCTTGACATTAATGCTTACTCTGACCAAGTCATAATTACCTTTCTCCTTTGAAAGATAAAGAAACAAACAACAACAACAACAAAAAAAAAAGTTAAAGAAACCAAACAGATAAATTGAAGAGCTACACTCCCAACTCTTTTTTTTTCTTTTTTTTTGAGACAGAGTTTTGCTCTGTCACCCAGACTGAAGTGCAGCAGTACGATCTCAGTCCACTGCAACCTCCGCCTCCCAGGTTCAAGCGATTCTCCTGCCTCAGCTTCCCAAGTAGCTGGGATTACAGGTGCCTGCCACCACGCCCAGCTAATTTTTGTATTTTTAGTAGAGATGTGGTTTCACCATGTTGGCGAGGCTGGTCTCAAACTCCTGACCTTGTGATCCACCCACCTTGGCCTCCCAAGTGCTGGGATTACAGGCGTGAGCCACCACGCCTGGCCTACACCCTGAGTTTGGGAGAGTAAAGAGTATAGGGAGAAATCCTTCTTTAGTTGTGAGGCTTTCTGTTTTCTCTTTCTTTCTTTCTTTTTTTCATTTTTAGAGATTGGATCTCACTATGTTGCCCAGGCTGGCCTCGAACTCCTGGGCTCAGCGTGGTGTATAGCTGGGACTACAGATTGTGTGTGCCACTGCTCCGAGCTGACTTTTTTTCATTTTTTTTTCTTTTTTCTTTTTTTTTTGAGATGGAGTCTCGCTCTGGCACCAGGCTGGAGTGTAGTGGCGTGATCTTAGCTCACTGCAACCTCCGCCTCCCGGGTTCAAGCAATTCCCCTGTCTCAGCCTCCAGAGTAGCTGGGACTACAGGTGTGCACCACCATGCCCAGCTAATTTTTTTTGTATTTTAGTAGAGATGGGGTTTCACCATGTTGGCCAGGATGGTCTCGATCTCCTGACCTCATGATTCACCCGCCTCAGCCTCCCAAAGTGCTGGGATTACAGGCGTGAGCCACCATGCCTGGCCCTGTTATAATATTTAAAAAAAAAAAATAGAGATGAGGTCTCACTATGTTTCCCAGGCTAGTCTCAAACTCCTGAGCTCAACCAATCCTCCCACCTCAACCTCCCAAAATGCCAGGATTGTAGACGTGAGCCACCACACCTGGCCTATGCATGGAATATTTCTTAATTTTTTTTTTTTTTTTTCTGAGACGAAGTCGCTCTGTCACCCAGGCTGGAGTGCAGTGACATGATCTCAGCTCACTGCAAGCTCTGACTCCCAGGTTCACCCCATTCTCCCGCCTCAGCCTCCCGAGTAGTTGGGACCACAGGCGCCCGCCACCACGCCCGGCTAATTTTTTGTATTTTTAGTAGAGACGGGGTTTCACCTTGTTAGCCAGGATGGTCTTGATCTCCTGACCTCGTGATCTGCCCGCCTCGGCCTCCCAAAGTGCGGGGATTACAGGCATGATCCACTGCACCCGGCCTTATATTTCTTAATTATTTTTAAGAGACAGAGTCTTGCTCTCTTGCCCAGGCTGGAGTGCAATGGCCTGATCACAGCTCACTGAAGCCTCCCCCTCCCAGGGTCAAGGGACCTTCCCACCTCGGCCTCCTGAGTAGCTGGGACTACAGGCACGCACCATCACGCCAGCTAATTTTTTGTAGAGACGGGGTCCCTCCATGTTGCCCAGGCTGGTCTCAAATTCCTGGGCTCTAGCAATCCACCCACCTCAGCCTCCCATAGTGCTGGGGTTACAGGCCAAGCCCAGTCATATTCTTAATTTTATAGTAAAATAAACTGAAAGGCAGATGGTAATTGAAATTTTTTAAACAACTACATTTTAATACTATGAGGATCTTCATCCATAGATGATGGCGTTAGAGCAGGGCCTCAGACCTAAAGCTTCTGAAAACTTAAGTCATGGTAGTAAAGCAGACTCTCACGAACAATTTTGTAGAAAATATTTTGTTTTGAAATAGCAATAACTACTAGAATGGTTTCTATTTTTTAAATTTTTTATTACATATTTTTAAGACAAGGTCTCACTCTGTCACCTAGGCTGAGTGCAGTGGCAGGATCATGGCTCACTATAGCTTCAACCTCCCAGGTTCAATTGATCCTTCTGCTTCAGCCTCCCGAGTAGCTGGGACTACAGGCGTGTGTCACCATGCCCAGCTGATTTATTTATTTATTTATTGAGGCATGGTCTGCCTGTGTTGCCCAGGCTGGTCTCAAGCTACTGAGCTCCAGCAGTCCTCCTACTGTGGCCTCCCAAAGTGTTCGGAGTACAGACATGAGCCACTGCACCCAGCCTAAAATAGTTTAAATAAGGCCTAGATGGATAAAAATAGAATATGACCCTGTTTTGGGCACTATGGAAGGTTACAATGACATTAAGAGAAGACTGAAGAAAGGAGAAAGCAATATAGCACCTCTATATCTAAAAACTGATTTCCCATAGTAATCGAATCAGAAAAAGACAGAAATCAATTTAAGCCTGAGAAACCAAATATAGTAACAATGTTTTAAAACTCTAAGTTATAGCTTCATAAATAAAAAATTCTAAAACCACACAAAACCACTGGGGTCTAAGATGTCTGTTGGTAATTTCCACTTACTATTATTACGTACATATAGGTCACAGTTAAAAATTTTTGTTAATTCTTTCAGTCACGCTACAAAGATGATGCATATATGGTGAATGGAAGCAGTGGAGAATTCTAGCTTCCCTCAAATGAGAAAGAAAAAAAACAAAATCCAAACTTCAACATTTGGATCTTTTTGGCAAAGATATAGGACTCCCAAAGGGCATTTGAAACTAAAAATTAATTAGGCAGGTTGTTCCTCAAATAGTTGGGAAATTTACCGAGTAAACACACATACTGTTTGCTCAGTATGTTTAATGAGTTTGCTCATTAAAGTACTAGTTTATTCATGTCCAATGAAAGAAAGCCCACAGGGGGGACAAAAACCTGAAGAGCAGTTGGTGGTGATGTGTGTGCGTATGTCTGTGTGTGTTTGTGTGTGTTTTGAGATGGATTTCCCATGCTGCCCAGCCTGGTCTGGAACTCCTGGATGTAAGCAATCCTGCCTCTACCTCCAAAGGTGCTGGGATTACAGATGCATGCCACTGTGCCTGGCTAGTTGTTTGTTTGTTTTTTTAACTTCTGAGATATTTTTTCTAGAAAAGACCCCTCAGATAAGGAAAAAAGATTAATTCATTGAACATTTTTTGACCTCTTACTGTGTATCAGGCACTATTCTTTTTTTTTTTTTTTTTTTTTTGAGATGGAGTCTCTCTCTCTCTCGCCCAGGCTGGGGTGCAGTGGCGCGATCTTGGCTCACCGCAAGCTCCGCCTCCTGGGTTCACGCCATTCTCCTTCCTCAGCCTCCCGAGGAGCTGGGACTACAGGCGCCCGCCACCACGCCCGGCTAATTTTTTGTATTTTTAGTAGAGACGGGGTTTCACCGTGTTAGCCAGGATGGTCTCGATCTCCTGACCTCGTGATTCACCCGCCTCAGCCTCCCAAAGTGCTGGGATTACAGGCGTGAGCCACCGCGCCCGGCTTATCAGGCAGTATTTTGAGCGCTCCTAAACTCATTTAATCCTCCTAACACTTCTCATCTTCCCCTGGAAGCGTGGCATAGACTTTACAACGGCAAGCGGCAAGGCAGCCCGAGCTCCCACGTTCACCCTCCTGATCACTACACTACACAGCCTTCGGGCTCAGCCAACCTAGGGTGAGAGGAGTGTCAGACAACTTCAGAGGAAACCACAAGGGTTTCCAGCCACAAATGATTTGCAGTGAATTGATTTGAAATATGTTATTAGAGAGTGTCTTTGTGTGACAGAGATTGTATTCGAGGTTTTTAAATGAGAGAAAAGATTATTTTTATTCAATTGTCTGGGACATTGAACTTTCCAACATTGATTTTGATCAGTCCTTGCAATTAATTTGTGCTCCCTACCCCCACGCTTCTGCTAAGGGCTTTTAGCCATCTATCCCTTAGTTTGAATACAGGTAGGGAGATCCTGAACTTTTTTTGCCATGAGGCATTGACCATGATTATGACCCATCCATAGTGATATTATGTCTTACAGGGGCTTCTAGAAGCAGAGCTGAGGCTGGGAGATTAATGCTGTCCTCAAAGTGAAGAGTCACCACTACTTGTCAAGTCATGTCATCTCTGCAGCCACGTGCATTTTGTAAACTGGGAAGAATAAACAGACATTTCTGACATTTTTGCTTGAGATTTAACCTCAGCGCGTCAAGAGATAGAGAGGGGAACAGAAATAAATAAAATGTGGCTAAATAAGGACTGTTTATCACAAACACAAGGCAGAGATCTGGTGACCATATCTGACTTTGAAATCTGTGTCTCCAGGAAGAGGAACATCACACACCAGGGCCTGATGTGGGGTGGGGGGAGGGGGGAGGGATAGCATTAGGAGATATACCTAATGTAAATGACGAGTTAATGGTTGCAGCACACCAACGTGGTACACGTATACATATGTAACAAACCTGCACGTTGTGCACATGTACCCTAGAACTTAAAGTATAATTTAAAAAAAAAAAAGAAATCTGTGTCTCATGACAACAGCTTTAGGAAAATAGAAATGCTTTTTTGTTCAAGAAAGGCATTCCAGGGAGAAATTGAGCCTTCTTAATAAATACAAGTAAGAGACCTAACAGTGCCCTCAGAATTTCTGTGGAGGCCTTAGTGGTAGCCTAAGCTGGGCTGCATAAATTGTCCATATCAAAGGAAAATTGCTGATGGATATAATTCAGCAATTGTTCTCCCTTGTTCCCTGCTGTGCTATATCCATGCCATAGCTATAGCTACATCCACTCTTTCACTACCTTAAGTACTGAGATCTTATTATATGCATAGCACCATGGAAACTGGGTAAGACATAAAAGAAGAGTTAGATAGATTTCTGGCCTTCAAAACCTTATAAACTAGTTAACGAAAAAAATATTCCCCATAGAACAATTATGTAATGATAACAGACTGTGATTACCCAATCAATAAACCTGTGAAGAATGTGTCAAAATATAAGCCAAAGTCAGAAGAATGTGATAAGATTTGGTCAAGGGCCGGGCAAGGTGGCTCACGCCTGTAATCCCAGCACTTTGAGAGGCCAAAGTGGGCAAGTCACTTGAGGTCAGGAGTTCTAGGTCAGCTTGGCCAACATGGTGAAACCCCATCTCTACTAAAAATACAAAAAAATTAGCTGGGCATGGTGGCTTGTGCCTGTAATCCCAGCTACTCGGGAGGTGTGGAAGGAGAATTGCTTGAACCCGGGAGGCAGAGGTTGCAGTAAACTGAGATTGCACCACTGCACTCCAGCCTGGGTGACAGAGTGAGACTCTGTCTCAAAACAAAATAAATAAAAGATTTGGTCAGGAAGCCTTCAAAGGAGGTGGGATTTAGTTTGATTCTTAAAGGAGAAGGATACGTAAGAGGAATAGAATAGGAAGTTCAGGGAGAAGACAGGTCACTAGCAAAAACTTAAGCACAATCTATTTGCCTGCTAAATCAAACACTTAAAATAGGCTAGGTGTGGTTGGCGCATGCCTGTAATCCCGGCACTTTGGGAGGCTAAGGTGGGTGGATCACCTGAGGTCAGGAGTTCGAGACCAGCCTGGGCAACATGGTGAAACCCCATCTCTACTAAAAATACAAAAATTAGCCAGGCGTGGTGGTGCACGACTGTAAATCCCAGCCACTAGGAAGGCTGAGGCAGGAGAATCACTTGAACCTGGGAGGGAAAGGTTGCAGTGAGCTGAGATTGTGACACTGCACTCCAGCCTGGGCAATAGAGCGAGACTCTGTCTCAAAATAAAAATAAAAATAAAATAAATAAAATAAAAAATAAAATAGGCCGGGTGCCATGGCTCATGCCTGTAATCCCAACATTTTGGGAGGGTGAGGCAGGTGGATCACGAGGTCAGGAAATTGAGACCAGCCTGGCCAACATGGTGAAACTCTGTCTCTACTAAAAATACAAAAATTAGCTGGGTACGGTGGTGCATGCCTGCAATCCCAGCTACTCGAGGGGCTGAGGAAGGAGAACTGCTTGAACCCAGGAGGTGGAGGTTGCAGTGAGCGAAGATCGAGCCACTGCACTCCAGTCTGGGCAACAGAGCAAGGCTCCATCTCAGGAAAAAAATTAAAAAATAAAATAAAATGGAGAAAAATTGACCAGATATGTGAAGGCCAACGTGTTAAAAAAAAATACACTGAGGCTGGGTGCGGTGGCTCACGCCTGTAATCCTAGCATTGTAGGAGGCCGAAGTGGGTGGATCACCTGAGGTTGAGAGTTCGAGATCAGCCTGGGTGGATCACCTGAGGTTGAGAGTTCGAGATCAGCCTGACCAACATGGAGAAACCCGATCTCTACTAAAAATACAAAATTAACCGGGTGTGGTGGCACATGCCTGTAATCCCAGCTACTTGGGAGGCTGAAGCAGGAGAATCACTTGAGCCTGGGAGGTGGAGGTTGCGGTGAGCTGAGATCACGCCATTGCACTCCAGCCTGGGCAACAAGAGCAAAACTCCGTCTCAAAAAAATATATATATATATACTGAAGAGTTAAGATTTTATCTGCAGGGAATTTGGGAACTAGTGGAGTCAGGGCATGACATGAAGAAAAGAGTGTTGGGGCATGGGGTGAGGGTGGAGGGCTGTGTTGTAACACCAACTGGGAAGGATCAGACAAACAAGCTCTGACCATAGTTTGTGAAACTTCCTGTCATTTAGCGAGGGACACATGCAGTGCACAGGATGAGCACTTGTTGGGCACTGGGAAATTTAACTCCAAATCCTTGAACATCACTGGTGCCATGCTTGTACAGCCTGCAGAACTGTGAGCCAAATAAACCTCTTTTCTTCACAAATTTTGCAATTTCGGGTTTCCTTTATAGCAACACAAAACAGACTAACACAGGAGCCAAGGGAGAGCTTTCCCCTTGTCCCTCTGAAGGTTTGCCAAAAAATCAACTAGCATAAGGTAGATTAACTGAAGAAAAGGCAAACAAATTTATTTAACGTGTATACACGAGAGCCTTCAGAATGAAGACTCAAAAGTACAGGGGAAAATGTCCATTTTATGCTTGGGTTCAACAAAGCACAGAGAGCCATGTAAAAATATAATTGGACAAAAAGGGTCTGATCAAATGCTAGTAGACTGAGTGGGGAAACCCAGCAAGGCCTGTCTGCCTAGATTCTTCCTGGCCTCTCTGAGCATGCATTCCTTCCTTCTGGGTTTGGGGCAGGACCCTTGTTGACCTACAGTCAAACAAGTTAGGTCAGGTGATTTCTTTATGGATAGCTTTTACAAAGAAAGGGGGAGGGAAAGTCTGGGTAATATTTTTAGGTTTTATGGCTGGCTTTGGAGAAAAGGGGTTCTGGTTTCTATGACCTGCCTTGGGGAAGAGAGATTCTAGTTTCGATGACTAGACTTGAGGGAGAATGGGATTGAGAGAAAGGAGGACAGGAAAAGGTCAGAGAAAAACTTTTGCTTCTTAGGCTGCTTCTGAAACCCTCATTTTGGGGTATTGTTTTATGAGCCCTAATAGTTCAAAAACAATCAAACACATTTCAGTCTTCCACTAAGCTTGCAAGGTTCCTGTGATGTGGGTAGTGTAGAAGAAGAAACTTTTCCCTGCATCCTCTTAGGTTCTGTACATGGAGGCCTACAAATTAGATTGACAAAAAACAAATTAACAGGAGAAAAAGATGTATTACATACGCATATGGGAACTTCACAGAAAAAGGAATGAAAGCACAAAGATGCAAATATTCCCCAGGGTTTATATATCATTTAATAAGTCCTGGAGAAGGTGGTTTTGGACTTCCAGGTGCAGGGGGAAGTAGGTTTGGGGAAGATGACTAGGAAATGTGTGGTGTATAAGAGTTGTTTTGTAAGATTTGTTATGAAGAAGCTGGGTGCAGTGACTCATGCCTGTAATCCCAGCACTTTGGGAGGCCGAGGCGGGCTGATCACTTGAGGTCAGGACTTCGAGACCAGCCTGGCCAACATGGTGAAACCCCTTCTCTACTAAAAATACAAAAATTAGCCTGGCGTGGTGGCACACAACTATAGTCCTAGCTACTCAGGAGGCTGAGGCAGGAGAATCACTTGAACTGGGGAGGCGGAGGTAGCTGTGAGCCAAGACTGCACCACTGCACCCCAGCCTGGGCGACAGAGCAAGACTGTCTCAAAAAAAAAAAAAAAAAAAAAAAGATTTCATATGAAAAGTCATCTCAGATGGTAAGAGTTGTGTTTGTGTGTATGTAGTGTGCATGTGTGTGTGTGTCTGTGTGTGTGTCTGTGTCTTTGGAGTCATTCTCCTCTTTCTGGTAGAGAAGAGGACATCTTCACAAACAGAAATTTCTGCCAAACACGGTGGTACCTGCCTATAGTCCCAGCTAATTGGGAGGCTAAGGTGGGATGATCGTTTGAGCCCAAGAGTTCAAGACCAGAAGACCAGCTTGGGTAACATAGCAAAACCCACCACCGTACCACCCCCAGCTCAAAAAAAGAAAGAAATTTCCTTTACAAATGTAAATTTTCTTTGCAAAAGGGAAGGGTATGCTGTGTTTTTAGAGTTTTCCCTGAGTCTGCTGTTTCTCTATTGCCTTCAGCGCAAAATAATCGCTATACCAAAGTGGCATATTTTGGAGTGGTATATTTTGATTTCCTTATAGCAGCATGTTGGAAATAGCAAGAGTATCAAAAGTCTTTTGAGGCTACCTCAAAATTACCTAATTGCTTTCATTACCTTTTAAGTAAAGGTTATACATTCAAATTTATAAAAATAAATTTATAGTAATAAAACATTGTTTTTGTTTATTCAGTGAGATTCCACACAAGATTAAAAACTTTATTGGTGGGAGGAGAGGAAAGGGTTCTGCTAAAAAGGTTTGAAAGTACTAGGCTACTACATGCCCCACACCCCACCCCTTTTTTTTCTGAGACAGAATCTTGCTCTGTCACCCAGGCTGGAGTGCAGGGGTGCAATCATAGCTCACTGCAGCCTTGACCTCCTGGGCTCAAGCAATCCTTCCACCTCAGCTTCCTGAGTAGCTGGGACTACAGGTGCATTCCACCATGCCTGGCTAATTTTTAAAATTTTTTGTAGAGATGGGGTCTCACTACGTTGCCCAGGCTGGTTTTGAACTCCTGGGCTTGAACAATCCTCCCACCTTGGCCTCCCAAAGTGTTATGATCACAGGTGTGAGCTACCACGCCCAGCCATGGCCCTCCCCTGCTTTTTTTTTTTTTTTTTTTTTTTTGAGACAGAGTCTCACCCTGTCGCCCAGGCTGGAGTGCTGTAGTGTGATCTAGGCTCACTGCAACTTCTGTCTCCTGGGTTCAAGTGATTCTCCTGCCTCAGCCTCCTGAGTAGCTGGGATTACAGGCACCTGACACCACACCTGACTAATTTTTGTATTTTTAGTAGAGATGGGCTTTCACCATGTTGGCCAGGCTGGTCTTGAACTCCTGACCTCAGGTGATCCGCCTGCTTGCCCCATGACCCTTCAAATAAAAAGGAGCAATCCTATTCAGCTTTGCTACAGGATTTCAAAATTTTACCTTAGAGGTTCCTTTAACAGAAAGAAGTTAATTTATACTAGTTATAATAATGTGTCCTCATATCCCCAGCTAGAATATACATTAGGCCTATATAATCTGTTTGTTTAAAACACAGAAGAGAATTATGAGATATTTGTTGAAAGAACCTGTTTACATTAAGTCATGGATGTAGCAGCTAAAAAAACACAACTTCAGCCAGGCACAGCTCATGCCTGTAATCCCAGCACTTTGGGAGGCTGAGGTGGGCAGATAATTTCAGGCCAGGAGTTCAAGACCAGCTGGGCAACATGGCAAAACCCTGTCTCTACTAAAAATACAAAAATTAGCCAGGCATGGTGTTATGTATCTATAGTCCCAGCTACTTGGGAGGCTGAGGCAGGAGAATTGCTTGAACCCCAGAAGCGGAGGTTGCAGTGAGCTGAGATAGCTCTACTGCACTCCAGTCTGGGTAACAGAGTGTGAGACTCTGTCTCCAAAACAAAGCACAACTTCATGGCAAAATAGAATGCAATAAGCAGAGTCCAAAGGCAAATGACAGGAACTAATCTTGATTGTGGTCATGGTGGGTTACACAATTATATACATATACTTCTTGCACTGTGCTCTAAAATGTGTGAATGTAATGTGTTTGTAAATTATACTTCTACCTTGATTTTTTTAATGAGGTAATTCTAATTAACAAATGAGGAAAAGGTACTTGCAAATTTTTTCATAAACAGCAAATATCTATAATCTGTAGAACATTCCCAAACATCGAGAAGAGCAAACGCCAGTCATGCACAGTGGCTCATGCCTGTAATCTCACTACTTTGGGAGGAGGAAGGAGGATCACTTGAAGCCAGGAGTTCAAGACTGGCAAGACCTTGTCTCTACAAAAAAATAAAAATAAAATAAAATAAAATAAAAATTAGCCAGGCATCTTGGCATGCACCTGTAGTCCTAGTTATTTGAAAGGCTAAGGCAGGAGAATCCCTTGAGCCCAGGAGTTCAAGGCTGCAGTGAGCTATGATTGTACCACTGTACATCAGCCTGGGCAACAGAGCAAGACCCTATCTCAAAACAGAAAAAACTTGGTAAAAATACAAAAGTTAGACAACTTCCTTACTGAGGTTGCAGAAAAACAGGCATTCTCACATACGGTTGTTTGGAATGCAAAATGGTACAATTGCAAGACAGGCTAATCCCATAGTATCCAGCAAAATTACATATGCATTTCCTCTTGTAGGAAACAATATCAAAGACACACTGAAAAAAAATATAAATGCCTCATGGTCAAAGTTAAGACTGTACCATTATTTATAGTAACAAAAAAAGGAAACAACCTAAATATCCATCAATTAGGCAAATTGGCTAATGGAATATTATGTAGCTATTAAAAAGAAATCAGGACTCTCTCAGTACACTGATATGGAATAACCTCCAGGATAAATCATTTAAAAAGAATAGTGCAGAACAGTGTTCATAGTATGCTGGCTATTTAGAAAATATTTTTTTAAAAGAAGCAACAGAATAGCTGATGTGGTGGCTCATGCCTGTAATCCCAGCACTTTGGGAAACTAAGGTGGGCAAATCACTTGAGCCCAGGAGTTCAAGACCAGCCTGGGCAACATGGTGAAACCTCCTCTTTACAAAAATTACAAAAATTAGCCAGGCATGTGGCATACGCCTGTAGTCCCAGCTACTCAGGAGGCTGAGGTGGGAGGATCTCGTGGGTCTGGGAAGCAGAGGTTGCAATGAGCCAAGATCGTGCCACTGCACTCTAGCCTAGGGGACACAGTAAAACCCTGTCTCAAAAAAAAAAAAACAGCAACCGAAGGAATAATAAAAATTAGTTATTTGTAGGGGGATAGAGGGAAACAGATGAGAACACATAATGGAAGCACAACTGATGTGACTATATCTAGGTTTATAGTTCTGATTTTGAAATTCTATGAATGTTTACATAACTAAAAATCTAAGTTTAACCAAAAGTGGGAAAAAGCAACTCCTAAATTGAAAACAAAATAAATGAACCTACTGAATATTTAGAGGCACGCACACAAAAATTGCTCAAAAATAAAAAAGGAAATATATCTTGAAATATGTATTGATGAAATGACATGATGTCTGGGGTTTGCTTGAGTAAAAGGAAGAAAAAAAGAATGGACAAAACAAGTGTGGCAAAATCTTGACAACTGCTAAATGCACATGATTGGTTTGTTATATCATTCTCTCTCAGGTTGACTTTTTTTTTTTAGATGGAGTCTCATGCTGTGGCCCGGGCCTGGAGTGCAGTGGCGGGATCTCGGCTCACTGCAACCTCCGCCTCCCAGGTTCATGCAATTCTCCTGCCTCAGCCTCCTGAGTAGCTGGGATTACTGGTGCACACCACCACATCTGGCTAATTTTTTGTATTTTTAGTAGAGATGGCGTTTCACTATGTTGGCCAGACTGGTCTCAAACTCCTGACCTCGTGATCCGCCTGCCTCGGCCTCCCAAAGTGCTGGGATTACAGGTGTGAGCCACTGCGCCCGGCCAGGTTGACTTCTATAATAAGAGGTTTTAAAAGAAGCAGCTGCCCACTTTTAATAACTCCACCAGAACACAATCACCATCCCTCATGTCATTTAACACAAAATCAGGTGGGACCAGAATTAATGTGAAGAAACCTCTTAGCATCCTTTCATCTTCAAAGCTCTACAAAAACTCTCAAAGATAAGGTTTCGCTGTGTCATTGAGAGGTATTTCAGTTAATAGCTGTATTTCTACATGGAGAAATTAGATAACCGGAGTACAATAATAATAGTTTGCTGTGTCTTGGTTGATGCTCTTTTAAATGCTCACAGCACTTTCTCACCTAGTTATCCCACTGTTACCTAAAGGGTCTGTAATTACTGCCACTTCACAGATGAGAAACTGAGTCTTGGTGAAGTTAAGTGATGGGTCCATGCTCACAGCTGACCTACTACTGAGACCAGGGTTTCCTATCAGCCAACTGGCTATCAGGTACTAGTGGATAGTTGGTAGTCAGCTACCAACTATCATATACAGACCACAGAGGAAGTTAACATCAAGAGATGAGATTAGAATTCATATTTTAGCTTTTACTCCAGCACTCTGGTTAAATAGTAGACATATTAGAGAGATCACCTTTAAACCCTAAATTTCACATGTAATAAATAGTCTAAAACTACTTAAAAATGTTTGCGTGCACATATGTGTGTTGTGTGTATATGTGTTCATCTCTCTCCCTTGTCAACACTACAATAAAATGAAGGGTGTCTCTTCCCCTTTATTTGAAAGTCAGGTTCATGGGCTCATGTCTACAAAGTAAACATGGTAGAACACAGTGGTTATTGAATGTTTTTACTGTTTACTGTCTTGGCCTCATTCCTTCCTATAGAGAAGGATTGAGCTTATAAGTTAATGTTCATTTAATAGTTACAGAACACATTGTTACAGGGCAAGCCTAAGTCTTGAACACCATTTTTTTTTTTTTTGACAGGGTCTTTTGTCACCCAGGCCAGAGTGCAGTGGCTCCATCTCAGCTCATTACAGCCTTGACCTCCCAGGCTCAAGTGATCCTCCTACCTGAACCTCCAGAATAGCTGAGACTACAGGTGCACACCATCATACCTGGCTAATTTAATTTTTTTTTTTTTTTTTGAGATAAGAGTTCTGCCACTTTGCTCATGCTGGTCTCAGACTCTTTTTTTTTTTTTTTTTTCCTGAGACCGAGTCTTGCTCTGTCACCCAGGCTGGAGTACAGGGGCATGATCTTGGCTCACTGCAACCTCCATCTTCTGGGTTCAAGCCATTCTCCTGCCTCAGCATCCCCAGTAGCTGGGGTTACAGGCACGTGCCACCATGCCCAGCTAATTTTAGTATTTTAGTAGAGATGGGGTTTCACCATGTTGGCCAGGCTGGTCTCAAACTCCTGACCTCAAGTGATCCACTCATCTTGGCCTCCCAAAGTGCTAGGATTACAGGCATGAGCTACCACACCCAGCCAGGTCTCAAACTCAAGCTCAAGTGATCTTCCTGCCTTGGCCTCAAAGGTACTGGGATTACAGGTATGAGCCACTGCACTTGGCCAAACACCTTTTCTTTATGGAAAAAAAAAAAGTTGTTGATTTTAAACAGCACAGCTAAGTGCTTTAAAATTATGCTCAAGCTTGTGGAAGCAATACTGGCATGTGGAGGGCTATCTTTAGTCTTTAATTGTGGACTGTCATCTTTAACTATTTGATTATGCTGACATTTTTATCTTATTTTATTTTTTGAGACAGGGTCTCACTCTGTTGCCCAGGCTGGAGTGCAGTGGCACAATCTTGGCTCACTGCAGCCTCCGCCTCTGAATTTCAAGCAGTTCTCCTGCCTCAGCCTCCCCAGTAGCTGGGATTACAGGCATGTGCCACCACACCCGGCTAATTTTTATATTTTTAGTAGAGATGGGGTTTCACCATGTTGGCCAGGCTGGTCTCGAACTCCTGACCTCAAATAATCTACCCGCCTCAGCCTCCCAAAGTGCTGGGATTATAGGCGTGAGCCACTGCGCCTGGCCTATGCTGACATTTTTAATGTGAAAAAGAGAGTTGGCTGCCACATTAAATTCCCAGGTGGCTCTTGTTCTTTGATTTATGTAGCATATTTGGTGTTATTTGAATACTTTGTTTTATTTTTCAAAAGGCAGTGTTTCCTTCAGGTTTTCTTATAATTTGGGTCATGACAGCTTTTGCGAATCAGAAACAAAAAGAAGTCACGTGAAAAATTATAGGAATTAGAAGATATGCATTTTGACTCCGTTAAAAAGATTCAATCACATTAAAAGTTACATAAAGAGGGTCTTTATGTGTTTCTATTATATAGACATTAAAGTCATCTTTAAAAAAAATTCCCACTCAAGTGGATGGAAAAAGTCATCTTACTTAAAACCACGGAGAAATGCTCATTATTTAATATTAAGTCAGAAAGTAGAATATAAAACTAAATATACAGAGTGATTCCAATTTTATTTAAAGATAACTAATGCAAAGAGAAAAGGCCAGATGGAAATATACCATATTGTTTATGAATATAATTTTAGCCTAGTGGGAGTATGTGTTGTTTAAACATTTAAAAAATGCTTTCCTACATTTAATGAATTTTTAATAATAGATATATTTTATTTATTATATACATTTATCATAAGAAAAAAGATATCTTTTTTTTTCCTTTTTGTGCAGAACAAAGTCTTGCTATATTCCCCAGGTGGGTCTGGCTTAAGCTATCCTCCTGCTTCTGCCTCTGTAAATGCTGGGATTACAGGCGTGAGCCACCACGCCCAGCAGAAAAAAAGGTATTTTAAAGGCTTCTATGCCAGTTTTTAATCTGTAATAATGAATATTATTAATAGTGTTTTTGTATAGCCCTCAGCAATTCTGTATCATGCAGAAATGGCCTACAAAATGTACAGTTGACTAGACAATTCAAGAATTCACTTTTCTAATCTTTCATTCATCCCCAGAGCAAAAGGCAAAATGTATTACTCAGGAGGCTGAGGTGGGAGGATCGCTTAAGCCAAGTAGGTGGAGATTGCAATGAGCTGAGATGGTGCCACTGCACTCCAGCCTGGGTGACAGAGACCATGTCTCAAAAAAAAAGGTTGTGGGGGGATGTAAAGAATGATTCCCTATGATATTATTCCTTCTTATTCTCAGTAACCATTTGAGCGAAACTTGGAATAACTCGCTCTTTCCTGATAAACTAATTTAGCACATAAATGTACTTTGGTAAATATAGAAACTTAAAGATGCAGCTGGGGGTGGTGTTCATTTAGTTAATACCATGGAACTACCAAATGGTATAATCTTGGAAAAAATCGTGGGTTGAGATATCATTGTCTGTGTTGCAGTATTTTAAACTAGGACAAAAATAGAAGTCCTACAGTTTCTATTTTCTTCAAACAGTTACTCGCTGGAAGTGGTGGGAATCATAAAAAACAACCAGGACCTTGCATCCTAGTATAGAAGCCACAACTGTGGAAGCTTAACAGCCAGGCAAATGCCCACAAACCACCACCCTCTGCATTGGATGCATATGTCCCTGACCTCGCAAGTGAAAAAGAGAGGAAGACGGCGACACCTCCAGGCTTCAGACTCATTAATCCTGTGAATCGTGACCCACTCTTAAAACCAAGGTCTTTTAAATTAAATGATGTATTTTACATTCCACTTGGAAATACTCTGGCCAGGCAGCATAACAGTCTTGTAGATGAAACAGCCAAATTAGGTTGTTCTCAAACTCTTAGCTTTTTTTCTTAGGGAAAAGAAAAATTTAAGAACCACATACACATGCAACTACTACCACTTCACAAATTAAAAAGTGAGGAGAGGAGGCCGGGCACAGTGGCTCACGCCTGTAATCCCAGCACTTTGGGAGGCTGAGGCAGGTGGATTGCCTGAGGTTGGGAGTTCAAGACCAGCCTGACCAACATGGAGAAACTCTGTCTCTATTTCAAAAATACAAAAATTAGCCGGGCATGGTGGTGCATGCCTGTAATCCCAGCTACTCGGGAGGCTGAGACAGGAGAATCGCTTGAACCCTAGGAGGCGGAGGTTGCAGTGAGCCAAGATCGCACCATTGCACTCCAGCCTGGGCAACAAGAGCGAAACTCCGTCTCAAAAAAAAAAAAAAAAAAAGTGAGGCGAGGAATACGAGGAATATGGAAAATAGATTTTAAAGAACATATCAACTTGGAGATAGAGCATTTGACTTATGAGCTGAGTAGTTTGGGGTAAATTATTTTACTTTTCTTTTTTCTTTTTTTTGAGATGGAGTTTTGCTCTGTTGCCCAAGCTGGAGTGCAGTGCCATGATCTCCGCTTACTGCAACCTCCACCTCCCGTGTTCAAGCGATTCTCCTGCCTCAGCCTCCCAAGTAGCTGAGATTACAGGCACATGCCACCACATCCAGCTAAATTTTGTATTTTTAGTAGGGAAGGGGTTTCACCATGTTGGCCAGGCTGGTCTTGTACTCCTGACCTCAAGTGATCTGCCTGCCTCGGCCTCCCAAAGTGCTGGGATTACAGGCGTGAGCCATAATGCCTGGCCTATTTTACTTTTCTTGATCTTACTTTTCTCATCTGCAAAATGAGGATAATAATAATAATACTTGTAATATAAATCAGTGACTATCTCTGGAGAATGAATTTATGGGGGATTTTTACTTTTTAGTCTTTTTTTTTTTTTTTTTTTTTTTTCTGAGAAGGAGTCTTGCTCTGTTGCTTGGGCTGGAGTGCAGTGGCACAATCTCAGTTCACTGCAACCTCTGCCTCCCAGGTTTAAGTGATTCTCGTGTGTCAACCTCCTGAGTAGGTGGGACTACGGGTGCATACCACCATGCCCAGCTAATTTTTTTTTTTTTTTTTGACACAGAGTCTCACACTGTCGCCCAGGCTGGAGTGCAGAGGTGCAATCTCGGCTCACTGCCGCCTCCGCCTCCTGGGTTCAAGCAATTCTCCTGCCTCAGCCTCTCAAGTAGCTGGGATTACAGGCGCCCGCCACCATGCCCAGCTAATTTTTGTATTTTTAGTGAGACAGGGTTTCGCCATGTTGGCCAGGCTGGTCTCAAACTCCTGACTTCAGGTGATCCACCCACCTCCCCCTCCCAAAGTGCTGGGATTACAGGCGTGAGCCACCGTGCCTGGCCCACCTCGCATGGTCTCCTTTCTAGTTTTTTAAGAGAATGAAAATGCTTAGTTCAGGAGATTCTAAAGAGAACCAAGGGACACTATGAATGTAAATGTTTTTGTAGAGACTCTCTACTATAACAATTGTTAAAGACTTGGCCAGGTGCACCGGCTCATGCCTATAATCCCAGTACTTTGGGAGGCTGAGGCAGGAGGATCGCTTGAGCCCAGGAGTTTGACACCAGCCTGGACAACGTGGTGAGACCTTGTCTCTACAAAAAAATTAAACAATTAACCAGGCTTGCTGGCACATGCCTATAGTCCCAGCAACTTGGGAAGCTGAGGTAGGAGGATTGTGTGAGCCTGGGAGATCAAGGCTGGAATGAGCCGTGATTATGCCACTGCACTGCAGCCTGGGTGACAGAACAAGACCCTGTCTCAAAAAAAAAAAAAAAAAAAAAGGACTTGCCTAGCAAAATGCAGTAACAGTGTAGATGAACCAGTGGGGAAAGAAACTTCTCATTTTCCCCCCTCTTCACTCATTGGCATCTGAGTTAGGAGCTATTGTGTCAAATCATAGTGCTGAAAACAATGTACTATATTCCCAAAGTTCTCTCCCTAGCCTGGTGCCCAGTCAGGGAGAGAAATCTTTATGGTCTTGGATTTTTCAATGATTGCCCAAGAAATCCCCTTTGGTGACCCTAGGTCGTCAGCCTCCCTCCTGCTGGAGAGTCTCAGTTCCAAGAATCCTTCTGGGCCAGGCGTGGTGGCTAGATCATGAGGGCCTTCTAAGGCTTGGTAAAGCATGTGGATTTTATTTTAGGGAAGTAGGGATTTTAACATCAGATGTAATCTGGTTCACATTTAAGAAAATATTCTGGCCGGGTGCGGTGGCTCATGCCTGTAATCCCAGCACTCTGGGAGGCCGAGGCAGGCAGATCATGAGGTCAAGAGATTGAGACCATCCTGGCCAACATGGTGAAACCCTGTCTCTACTAAAAATACAAATATTAGCTGGGCATGGTGGCATGCGCCTGTAGTCCCAGCTACTCAGGAGGCTGAGGCAGGAGAATCGCTTGAACCTGGGAGGTGGATGTTGCAGTGAGCCAAGATCATGCCACGGCACTCCAGCTTGGTGACAGAGCAAAAAACTCTGTCTCAAAAAAAAAAAAAAAAAAAAAAAGAATCCTTCTGTGCTTTTCCAGGGTGATCCTGAGAACAACATTGAACAGGTATAATGTGAGTTGCTGCACTTCAGCCAACCAAACCTCCCTCTCCCCCGAAATTTGCTAAGGGTTGGATGCTTCCCATCAGAAATCTATTCTCTGTGAGGCCTCTCCCTAACCACTCCTCACCTCCACCTCCCAAGGGTGACCGTTATGTCTTTCTTAGACACTTTGGCTGAATGTATTTGTTTGCGTGCATTTCCTTTGGAATTCATAGGAAAGGACACAGTCATGAAGATGTAGGATATCTGAAGGGAGAGAAAGGAGATCAGAAATAGAGTAGTTCAGAAATAGAGCACTGACTTTCTTTAGCTTTTTTTTTTTTTTTTTTTTCTTAGCCTGGACCTCTTTTGTAGAAGGCAGCAAGACCTTTAAGGGTATAAAAAGTGGATGAGAGAGACAAAGAGGGAGGTATGGAAAACAAGGGTGATAGGAGATCTCCAGGACAAACTACCTCATTGTTTTGCCTGACTCTGGCTCCAGAAATGAAAGGTCCCTCTTCCCCTCTGGGCAAAAGAAAGAATCAGCATAATTAAATGTTCAAGGTTTGTTAGATGTTAGGTGCCTGCATTTCAGCTGAGGAAGGAGCTGTTCCATAAAGTGGAGATTTCTCTGTTGAGAACTGCCCTGCAGAAATCAAGCTGGCATCAAAGCCTGGTCTTTTTAATTCTGTTTCTTTCTGAGTTTTGCTGCAGCTCATAAGTTATAATCAGAGGAAGGAAACGCCTGAGAGATCTGAAGGTTTTAATTGTTGTTGAGTGCAGATGGTTTGGATTACCGCACAGGAATGGAGCTCAAGGTCAGTGTCTGTAATCAGCTGCCTGAATGTATGATTTTAGCTGGACGGCACCATTTCTGGGTAAGAGCTGTGCAGCTACATTTAAGCAGCATTAGTGCCTGGAACACTGGCTGACAGATTAAAATGTACGTTTATCAGAAATTGATAGCACAGATAAACCGAACATATTTGTCACATAAAATAAGATCTTGTCAGTGAACTTTAAAAGAAAACAGGAAGTGGACGTGATTGGAGGACAAGAAGTCAAGCAAATTCCACCACCAAGATCCTTGGTTTCTTTTAGTTGAATACAGTAAGGATTGTTAGGGTGGAGGAGTTGGATGGAAACCGAGGCAGAGAGGTTGCAATGTGTGCCTGGTGCCAGCAAAAATCATGTGGATGACTGAAACGCTGGTGTTTTGTTTTGTTTTGTTTTTGAGACGGAGTCTCACTCTGTCATCCAGGCTGGAGTGCAATGGCGCAATCTTGGCTCACTATAACCTCTGCCTCCCGGGTTCAAGCAATTCTCCTGCCTTAGCCTCCCAAGTAGCTGGAACTACAGGCGCACGCTACCATGCCTGGCTAATTTTTGTATTTTTAGTAGAGATGAAGTTTTACCATGTTGGCCAGGCTGGTCTCCAACTCCTGATTTCAGGTGATCCACCCCCATTGGCCTCCCAAAGTGCTGGGATTACAGGCGTGAGCCACTGACTTTGCTTTTGTATGAAACACAAATCTGATTTCCCCTGTGTGACATGGAACACTTGAGCTTTTCACCCCATTAACAGTGAGTAAAAAGGGAGATTCTTTTTAATTTCAGAAACAGCCTAAACAAAGCAGCTGCATTAACTGCCTCAGAGGGTAGAGATCATTTTGTTCCTATTCTGGAACACAGACTCAATACTTTGTGTCATGTGAAGGGTCCTCAGGTACCTCCCATTGCCTTGAGTAGAAAGTGGGGCGGAGGTGGGGTAGAGGAGATCTCTCCAGGGGAGAGAACTGCTTGTCTTGCAAGAGAACAAAAGGTACAGGGCTCTCTTTGAAATATGCACTTCCAGGTCCAGGGTTTATGCTGCTATGCACAAAGATTGATCAAGTACTTCAAAATGAGTAAGTAGTGTCTCGAAGATCTTTCTACACTTCCAGCCTGCTCATGTGAGAAATGAGAAAATAAATGGACATACACGCTGGCCAAAAGTGTGGGAAAATCAATAGTAGTGCCAAATCAGAAGGCTAGCTCAACCTTCAGTGTCTTTCTTGAAGTAGAAAGCCCCAAACAGTTAGAAGCTATGAAAGACTCCAGGTCTGATTCTTCCCTCTAAGAAGCACACCGCAGGGTACTTGTTCCTAAGCCAGCTCGAGGGTGGGTGTTGAGAGGGAGACGGCTTCAGAATGAATCTTTTTCTAACTCCACAACTTCTTTCCTTCATTCTGAGGTGCACTCCTCACCTACCCCTCAAAGTCCCATATCCAGGAATCTCTGTGCCAAAATGGATTGTAACTGACGAGACTTTGTTTCCAATCTGAATGTCTTGAAGACAGAAAAAGATTCAGTTACCTAAAGTGTCCTTCAGGCTCTAAATTATCATCTATGAAGAAAATAGTAAAGCTTTTCAAAGTAAAATAGGCACAATGATTTATGAAATTACCTAAAGAAAAATGAGTGTAGTTAATCTTTTTGGCAGGAGGCATTTTCACTAGCTGAGCAGGCTGGTGCTGTCAGCAAAGTTTCTGAGTAGACAAGGAAAACTTGGCACATTTCAGAGAGCTGGGCAGGGTGGTGGCAACGGGCTGAAAGATCTACAAGGGAAAGCGTTATGATTTTACAATAGACCCTAATCTTTTGGTTAGGGGATCTTTGACCTAGTTCATTTTTCTGTCTCCTACAATAAAAAATGTCATCGTCAGCTGGGCACAGTGGATCTCTCCTGTAATCCCAGCACTTTGGGAGGCCGAGGTGAGAGGATCACTTGTGCCCAGGAATTTGAGACCCCCACCTGGGCAACCGCATCTCTCTAAAAAATTGGCCGAGTGTGGTGGGGCATGCCTGTAGTCCCAGCTACTCAGGAGACTGAGGTGGAAGGATCTGTTTGAGCCTGGAAGGTCAAGGCTGAAGGGAGCCAAGATCGTGCCACTGCACTCCAGCCTGAACACCAGAGTGAGATCTTGTCTCAAAAAACAAAAAGAAAAACAAAAAAAAAAGGTCAATCTCTTTTGAAAGGTTTTCAGATTTAAAAAGAAGAAACAAAAAAGAAAAACAAAAAAAAAAGGTCAATCTCTTTTGAAAGGTTTTCAGATTTAAAAAGAAGAAACATCCTTCTTTGGGCTTTGGCAATGAGGTCTTCATTATATGTAACCCCTCAAATTTGCCTATAACTTTAAAAACATTCTAATTTTCATCACTACTTTTTCCCCAGGCTCAAGCAATCCTCCCACCTCATCCTCCCTAGTAGCTGGAACCGCAGGCATACACCACCATACCTGGCTAATTTTTATTTATTTTTATTTTTTCTGTAGAGACGGGGTTTCACCATGTTGCCCAATCTGGTCTCAAACTCCTGGCTCAAGTGAGCTGCCTGCCTTGGCCTCCCAAAGGGCTGGGCTTACAGGCTTGAAAAGCATGACTACTTTCAAGTTGTATTATATTTTGTTTCAAAAGAGCACTTTACCTGTAACCACTGCTGCTACAAACTAACCTGATGTTTTAAGTTGCTCAGCTAGGTCCCTTATAAGCTACGTGTAGAGTTCTAATAAATTCTTCTCTGATAGCCCTGCCAACAGTCAGAATTGTCCAAACCCTGGGGAATCTACAGAGATAGTCACCTGTCAGTGGGCTCAGTGTAGGCAGAACTACTATCGTCAAGTTATTACCAAAAGAAATGAAGAACTGGATGAGTGCTTAGCTTAAATCAGTGTTTATAAGCTCTCTCTCTCTCTTTTTTTTTTTTACCACAGTAATGTTAAACACATTTTTGCATTGTGATTCAATACATAGGTTTTACATATATATGTAAATATATATGATGTATAAATGTGTAAGTAGATACATGTAAATATATATATATGTTACAGGTTGAATGAGTTGAATCCCTACCCCCAAAAGATATGAAGTCTTAACCCCTGGTACGTGTGGTTGTGACTTATTTGGAAATAGGATCTTTGCAGATATAAACAAGTTAAGATGAGGTCAGTAGGATGGACTCTAATCTAGTACAATTGATATCCTTATAGGAAGAGGGAAGTTTGGACACAGACACACACAGACAAGAGAATACCATGTGACAAAGGCAGAGATTGGAATGATACAGCTGCAAGCCAGGGATGCCAAGGATTGCAGGTGAAGAGTCAAGGAAGGATTCTACCCAGAGTTGCACGGCCTTATTGACACCTTGATTTGGGCTTCTAGACTCCAGAATCATGACAGAATAAATTTATCTGTGTGGATGTGTGTGTGTGTGTGTGTGTGTGTGTGTGTGTGTGTGTTTTCCTAAAAAAGAGACAAGGTCTCATTCTATCCCCCAGGATGGAGTGCAGTGTCATGATCATAGCTCACTGCAGCCTCGATCTCCTGGACTCAAAGCATCTTCCCACCCCAGCCTCCCAGGAATCTGGGACTACAGGTGTGAACCACTGTGCCGGCTCTGTTGATTTAAGCCACCGAGTTTGTGGAACTTTGTTATGGCAGTTCTAGAAAATGAATATAATAATTAAAATGAAAGTTTTGCTAACTGCTACCTTTACCTTTACCATGTGCAATTTTATTTTATTCTTTTTTTAAGCTTCTTATAACTCAGTTCACTGGTTTCATAATCTACTAATGGGTTGTAATCCAAAGTGTGAATAATATACCAGAAATACCCTTGAAAGTTCTTTCCAAACTTGAGAGTTTGTGATTCTATGGGACCTAAGTGGGGCACAGATCAGAAGAATCAAAACACAAAAAAGGCTGCGCGCAGTGGCTCATGCCTATAATCCCAGCACTTCAGGAGGCCAAGGTGGGCAGATCACTTGAAGTCAGGAGTTCAAGACCAGCCTGGCCAACGTGGTGAAACCCCATCTCTACTGAAAAAACAAAAATTAGCCAGGCATGGTGGCGCATGCCTGTAATCCCAGCTACTAGGGAGGCTGAGGCAGGAGAATCTCTTGAACCCAGAAGGCAGAGGTTGCAGTGAGCCAAGATTGCGCCACTGCATTCCACTCCAGCCTGGGCAACAGAGCGATACTCTGTCTTTAAAAAAAAAAAAAAAAACCCAAAAAAACACCTAGTTTTGTACCCTACTCAGCATAGTCCATCTTCACCCTATAATCTCTTATAGTTTCTGGAAAAAGACAGAAATATTTTAATATTAGACAACACAAAGCAATAGCATTAATAAAAAGTTGTTTATTAAAGAATTTGGCTATTGCTGGCCGGGCGCGGTGGCTCACGCCTGTAATCCCAGCACTTTGGAAGGCCAAGGCAGGCGGATCACAAGGTCAGGAGATTGAGACCATCCTGGCTAATATGGTGAAACCCAGTCTCTACTAAAAATACAAAAAAAATAGCCAGGCGTGTTGGCAGGCACCTGTAGCCCCAACTACTGGAGAAGCTGAGGCAGGAGAATTGCTTGAACCAGGAGGCGGAGGTGGCAGTGAGCTGAGATCGCGCCACGGCACTCCAGCCTGGGCGACAGACAGAGAGAGACTCCGTCTCAAAAAAAAAAAAAAAAAAAGAACTTGGCTATTGCTAATAATTCCCTTCCCCCAAATAATAGATATTAAAACACTTAATTATAACTTAAATATGATTATTTCCATGCCTTGATTACTTGACAATTCCCACTCTATTAGAAACTCTTTTGAAGCTGAAAAAAGGTGCAGACTTTCTAACACGGTTGTGTCATTAGTAGGTTCAGCTGGTACCCCATCAAAAAGGCATTTTTTTTTTTTTTGAGACAGAGTTTTGCTCTTGTTGCCCAGGCTGGAGTGCAACGGCTCAATCTCGGCTCACTGCAACCTCTGCATCCTGGGTTCAAGCGATTCTCCTGCCTCAGCCTCCCAAGTAGCTGGGATTACAGGCATGCGCCACCACACCCAGCTAATTTTTTTGTTTCACCTTGTTGGTCAGGCCAGGCTGGAACTCCTGACCTCAGGTGATCCACCCACCTCGGCTTCCTAAAGTGCTGGGATTACAGGCATGAGCCACCATGCCCAGCCAAAAAGGCATGATTTTATAGAGTTTATGAATTGCAAGCTGGCTGACGGAGGCAGTTGCTTCCCAGTGTGGCTGATGCCTGGGCAGCAGTGTAGGCGAGTAGTCAAGAGCATTGGCTTTCCTGCCAGGCAGCCCTTCAGGGTCAGGTGGATTTAGTTTCACGACCTTGGGTATTTATTTAGCCTCTCTTGCCATCAATTTAATTATCTATTGCTCTCTTTTTTTCTTTTTTTGTAAAGACAGGGATCTCACTATGTTGCCTGGGCTGGTCTCAAACTCTTGGCCTCAAGCAATCCTCCCACCTCAGTGTCCAGAGGAGCAGGGACTCCAGGCTTGCCCTATCATGCCTGACTAAATTAATTTTTTCATTTTTTGTAGAGACAGGGTCTTGCTATATTGCCTAGGCTGGTCTTGAACTCCTGGCCTCAAGCAGTCCTCCCGCCTTGGCCTTCCAAAGCACTAGGATTACAGGCAGGAGCCACCACACCTGGCCTAATTATCTCTTAAAATGATAACAATAACCTCTGCCTCCCTGGGGATGTCGTTGGAATTAAATAAATTAACGTACATAAAGCATTTAGCATAGTTCCTGTCACATTGTAAACCCTCAGTAAATTTTAGGTTTTTGTTTTTTTCTTCTTTGTGACGGAGTCTCACTCTGTTGCCCAGGCTGGAGTGCAGTGGTGTGATCTTGGCTCACTGCAACCTTCGCCTCCCAGGTTCAAGTTATTCTCCTGCCTCAGCCTCCCGAGTAGCTGGGACAGATTACAGGCATCCGTCACCATGCCCAGCTAATTTTTGTATTTTTAGTAGAGATGGGGTTTCACCAAGTTGGCCAGGCTGGTCTCAAACTCCTGACCTCAAGTAATCTGCCCACCTCGGCCTCCCAAAGTGCTGGGATTACAGGCATGAGCCATCACACCTGGCAATTTTAGGTATTTTTATCATTACCCTACTGTAAGTTCCTTGAAGGCAGAAACCATGATTGAGACATCTTCGCATATAATCATAACTCTGAAAAAGTCTCTTGTCCACAACAGGTGCCCAATAACAAATGTTGGTTGCAGGAATTCAATGTCTGACAACATAACAGCACTCCTACTGTTTTTTGTTTTTGTTTTTGATTTTGTTTTGAGACAGAGTCTTGCTCTGTTACCCAGGCTGAAGTGCAGTGCCGTGATCTTGGCTCGCTGCCACCCCTGCCTCCTGGGTTCAAGAGATTCTTGTGCCTCAGCCTCCTCAGTAGTTGAGACTAGAGGAGCCTGCCACTACACCCAGCTAATTTTTGTATTTCTAGTAGAGACGGGGATTCCCCCATGTTGGCCAGGCTGGTCTCCAACTCCTGACCCCAGGTGATCCACCTGCCTTGGACTACCAAAGTGCTGGAATTATAGGCATGAGCCACCAAACCCAACCACTCCTACTGTTTATCTTCTTCACAGACAACACCGATTTCTCAAGGAAAGCCAATCACCTGAACATCCTGGGCTGTAAATGCACCTCATTAATTTTTAAAACATTGTAGCGCTAAATGGCAGCAGCAAGTGGAATTTCTCCCAGCCTCAAAGATGGGGAAAGCTTAAAGGGCATGCATGAGTTTCATCATCAGTCTGTCAACAGGGCTAGAAATAGAAGCCAGAATTCCTGCCATCACAACCCTTATGGGGCAGGCTAATCTTTTAAGAAACTCAGCCGAGTAGCGTTTAACAACCTGTAATACATTTTTGGAAAAAATAGGATTTCTCAAAGAAAAGAAAGTCATTCCCTTCTTTCTTAGTTTATCATTCATAGAAAGACTATGCAACAATTTTGGGAATCATTTTGAGAAAACTTGCTACCCTAGACAACTATTTTTTATTTTTTGCAAAACACCCTTTGGTCCTTGGCCTGATGCACTCATATTTTCCATAGTTGTTATTATAGCATGCATGCCACTGCTTCCTTTACTTTGTATAATATCATACTCTTCCATGTTCCCATACTTCATCATCAAGTTTTTTTTTTTTTTTTTTTTGAGACAGGGTCTCACTCCATTGCCCAGGCTGGAGTGCAGTGGCCCAGTCATGGCTCACTACAGCCTCAACCTCCCAGGCTGAGGCTCCCATCCCACCTCAGCCTCCTGGGTAGCTGGGCCTACAGGCATGTGCCACCATACCCTGATAATTTTTGTATTTTTTGAAGGGCAAGAGTTCTCCACATTGCCCAGGCTGGTCTCAAACTCCTGGGCTCAACTGACCTGCCCTCCTCAGCTGCCCAAAGTGCTGGGATAACAAAAACAGGTGGCCAGATTTGACCTGAGGGCTGTAGTTTGCCAATCCCTGGTCTATGTATCAGTTACTTCCTTTGTAATTAGTGGTTTTTGTGTCCTGTTTAATAAATCTTTTCCTACCCCCAAGATCTTAGAGATATTCTCTTGTGATATCCTCTAGAATCTTTATTGTTTTAGTTTTCACATTTAGATTTACATATAATTCAATTGGAGTTGATTTTTTATGTATACAGTAAGATAAGGGTCAAGATTCTTCCTTCCTTCCATAGATATTCAACCGTTCCAGAAGGATTTATTAAAAAGACCATTCAAGGGCACCACGTTTGTCATAAATTAAGCATCCATAAATGTGTCAGTCTGTTTCTAGGCCCTCAGTTCTGTTCCTTTGGTTTGTTTATTTTTGAGCCAAAATCACAGTCTTAATTATATTGGTTTAATTTTTCTGTGAAAAAAATCCTCCCATTTTTGTCTTCTCCAAGATTGCTTTAACTATTCTTGCTTTAACATGGAGAAACCCTGTCTCTACTAAAAATATAAAATTAGCCGGGCATGGTGGTGCATGCCTGTAATCCCAGCTACTTGGGAGGCTGAGGTAGGAGAATTGCTTGAACCTGGGAGGGGGAGGTTGTGGTGAGCCGAGATCGCGCTATTGCACTCTAGCCTGGGCAACAAGAGCAAAACTCCGTCTCAAAAAGAAAAAAAAAAAAAAAAAATCTGTCGAGAATTTTCAGAATGTACCAAGGAGATAAATTTGGGGACAATTGACATATTTACAATTCACAATCGAATATTGACATATGGAGTCTTCCAATCATGAATATGATGTAACTCCTGTTTTTTTTTTCTTTTTCCAAGGCCTTCAATCATGAGTGACAGATTATAAATCATCCTTACACTGAAGTGCACCAGAGTCAAATAAGCATCATTTGGCTTTCTCTCTCTTTTAAAAAAATCTTTAGTTTTTCATAATAGTCTTCTATATGGAGATGTTGAAAATCTTTCATTTGTTTTATTCCTAGATATTTGATTGAAAAAACAAACAGAGGTGAGGTTGCCCGGGCTGGAGTGCAGTGGCCATCCTCAGGCACGCTTATACTGCATTACAGCCTTGAACTCCTGGCGTTAAGTGATCCTCCTACCTCAGCCTCCCGAGTAGCTGGGACTACAGGTGTCCACCACCACGCCTGGCTAATTTTTTGTATTTTTAGTAGAGACGGGGTTTGACTGTGTTAGCCAGGATGGTTTCGATCTCCTGACCTCATGATCTGCCCGCCTTGGCCTCCCAAAGCGCTGGGATTATAGGCATGAGCCACCACGCCCAGCCAGATGTTATATTTAAACATTTCAGTTTACAATTATTTTTGTTACTGGTATATAGAACATACAATTGGTTTATGTGTGTTGATTTGAATTCAGTGACCTAGATAAAATTCCAAAACTTGATCTGAAGGTTCTTTAGGATTTGCTATGTACATAAATGACAGCTTTCTTTCTTTTTTTATCCTTATTTCTGTTATTTCTTTTTCTTGCCTTATTGCATTGGCTAAGGTATCCATTCAAGGTCAAATAGAAGTGGTAGCAGGCAAACTTAGCAAGTTTCCAGTTTCAGAGGAAAGCTTTTAGCATTTCATCATTAAGTTGATACTTGCTGAGGTATTTTTGTAGATAACCTGTATCAATTAGCTTTTGTTGGATAACAAAAGAACCACAAAGCCAGTGATATATAACAATAGATACTTATGTCTTACACATATGTGGCAATCAGGTGATCTGGGCTATGCTTAGCTAGATCACTCTGCTGGTCTTGGCTGAGCTCATGCATGCATCTGCAGCTCAGCTAGGAGCTCTGTTCTCAGCTAGGCTTGACTGAGTACCTTAGCTGGAGAACTCATGTTCTACGCATTTCATATCTTCTTCCTGGAACCAGAAGGAGCAGCTTAGGCAGGTTCTTTTCATGGTAAAGAGTAGAAGAACAAAAAAGCAAACCCCAGTAGGCAAGCTCATTTCAAATTTTTACTTGCATCACATATGCCAATATCCCACTGGCCAAAGCAAGTCATATGCCTGAGTCCAGAGTCAAGGGTAACTTTGCCCATGATTGAGGGCATTGCAAAATTATATAGCAAAAGGTGTGAAACAGGAGGGGCAAAGAAGTGCAATCTACTATATGTTATTTTATATCTTATTTCCAGAATAAGAACAATTGCTCCCATTTCTAGTTTGCTAAGGATTTTTATCATCAGTGGATATTAAATTTTATCAAATATTTCTTTTTTTTTTTTTTTAAGACAGAGTCTCGCTCTGTCGCCCAGGCTGGAGTGCAACAGCATGATCTTGGCTCACTGCAACCTCCGTCTCCCAGGTTCAAGCCATTCTCCTGCCTCAGGCTCCTGAGTAGCTGGGACTACAAGCCCCAGCCATCACACCCGGCTAATTTTTGTATTTTTTTTTTTTTAGTAGAGGCAGGCTTTCACCATGTTGGCCAGGTTGGTCTTGAACTCCTGACCTCAAGTGATCCGCCCACCTCGGCCTCCCAAACTGCTAGGATTACAGGAGTAAGCCACTGTGCCTGGCC
The DNA here is from genome assembly GCF_000001405.40 of Homo sapiens. Classification (NCBI taxonomy): domain Eukaryota; kingdom Metazoa; phylum Chordata; class Mammalia; order Primates; family Hominidae; genus Homo; species Homo sapiens. Next base: position 64,574,020 of record NC_000012.12, on the reverse strand, counting down.
CAAATATTTTTTTAATCTATTGAGGTGATCATATTTTTCTCCTTTGTACTATTAATATGACACATTACATAGATTGATTTTGAATTATTAAAGTAACCTTGCTGTGGTGGGCAGCCTGTGGGGTGATCTGTGATCCCTGACTCCTGCTGTTGACACCCTGTCTAATCCTTACTTTTGAGTGGGGGCTGGATCTAGTGACTTGCTTCTAATGAATAGAAAATGGCCATGGTGATATGAAAAGTCATTGCTGAGGTTAGGTTACAAAGATTTAAACTTCAATCTTTCTCAGCCCTTCCTCCAGGGAAAGCAAGCTGCCATGTTGTGAAGGCTGCTTTGGAGAGGCCCAAATAGCAAGGAACTGTCTCTGTCCAACAGCCAATGGGACCTGAGACCAATAAATACACATGACTGAGTTTGGAAGTGGATCCTTCCCTAGTCAAGCCTGGGGCATTAAATGAATTTATAAATGGAGGTAAAACATGTAGAACAATTGTGGCACCTAGTAAAAGCTTAATACAATTTAGCAACACTACCTCTGAGTTTGCCTTTTCATATTTGTTAAATGGGGATAATATGATCTATTCCATTGGATTGTTGTAAACATGAAATAAAATAATGTATTAGTAAGCACTTAATGAATAATCACTACTGTTTATCTTAACTGCCTAAACTGCTGTTTAGATGAAAAGTGTTTTTGTTTGTTTGTTTTTAAGACAGGTTCTCACTCTGTCACCCAGGCTGGAGTGCAGTGGTGTGATAACAGCTCACTGCAGCCTTGACCTCCCAGGCTCTAGTGATCCTCCCACCTCAGCCTCAACTAGGACTACAGAGGCATGACACCATGCCCAGCAACTGGGTCTCACTAAGTTGCTCAAACTGGTCTCAAGTGATCCTCCCACCTCATCCTTCCAAAGTGGTAAAATTACAGGCACGAGCCACCATACCTGGCAAGAAGAAAGCTTTTTAAAAATAGGAATTGCATTTTGGGCTGGGTACAGTGGTTCATGCTTATAATCCCAGTGCTTTGGGAGGCCGAGGCAAGAGGATCACTTGAGGTCAGGAGTTTGAGACCAGCCTAGGTGACAGAAGGAAACACTGTCCCTTGAAAAAATTTTAAAAAGAAATTGCATTTTATCGACCTTTGAATTCTCTAACATAACAAAAATAGATGTTCAATTAATGGTTTGGAATTGACACATTCAATCTGTCTTTATATATGTGAAACAAAAAAACAAGCTTCATAGACTTGGACAAGTTGGAAATGTAACCTCTGTTTCTTCATCTATTAAGTAAAGACACTAGACTTACTTTCTGTGATTTCTTCAAGCTTCGTTCGTACATTTATTCACTCTTTCATTAATTTAGTAAATATTTATTGGGCCCTATCATATGCCGAGCTCTGTGCTTGGTGCTGGGGTTCAGTGATGTGCAGAACAGATGTGGCTTGTGTTCTCATAAAATTTACTGTCTGTATTCATCTGCTCAGGCTGCCATAACAAAATACCATACACTGATGGCTTAAACAACAGAAAGTTATTGCCTCCCAGCTCTGTAGGCTGAAAGTCCAAGATCAGGGTACCAGCATGGTCAAGTTCTGGTGAGGGCTTTCCTCCTGGCTTGCAGAAGGCTACCTTCTCACTGTGTCTTTATATGGCAGACAAAGAGGGAGACAGAGCATGCCAGTGACAGCAAGCTCTCTGGTGTCTCATCTTACAAGGGCACTAATCCTATCATGAAGGTCCCCAGCCTCATGGGCTCATCTAAATCGAATTGTCTCCCAAAGATTTCTCTCCCGAATTATCTACATTAGGTGTTAGGGTTTCAACATATAAATTTTGGGGGAACACGATTCAGCTCATAGCATAGTCTAATAAGAAGACATAAATAATCACACACACACACACACACAAGTCTACAATTACAAACTGTGATCAGTGCCATGAAGGCAAAGTTCATGAAGCCATGGGAGGAATTAACCAGGTAACTAGGTCTAATCCCAGGTAAGGAGTAGCTTATGAACGTCATAACCTATGAATTCTAGGATTGGTGGAAGGCCCTTTGTCCTCCAGCTATCAGAAAGAAGAGAATAAAGTAAGTGATTCTGGCACCAGCAGAATCCCAAAATCACTGCTTGTCCCCACTGTCTATACCAGCAAGCCTTACTTTGTGTATGCAGCAACTCATAGCTGGGCATGGCCAAGCACTTGGGAACCTGGGAAGAGAGAGGAGACACCATATGGACAGAATTTGTTCCCCATTTAAATGTATGCATTGGAACAGCACAAAAAAAAAGTGTCACGAATCTCTCTGCAGAACTTTTACGATAGGGAGATAATTGCTGGAAATTACTGTATGGTGCTGTTAACACCAGATCAGAAGAGGCTGCCAAGCTTGGCTTCCTCCCACCCCCATGGCAGCCAAAAAACACAGGTGTCTTAAAGAAAAAAAAGTACAAAGGAGAATGCTGAATGATCAGGAAGCTTATGTGTGCTGAAGCCTCAGCCCAGCCCAGCACATCTCCAGACAGATGTCACTGAACCCACTTTCTCCTTTGCTGCCAGGTCATAACAAGGCTTCCTGATTGTGCTCACTGGTGTGGGTTTGAGGATCATGTTCTCGTTTCCTGTGGCCAGGTAGCCTCATGATTCTCTGAAGTCCATGTCCTGAAAAAGCGACAGCCCCTCTTCTTTGTCTAAGGATCGCAGGGCCTGGCATCTGCAGTGTGTCATTATAATGCACCAACCTGGGCAAGCTTGGAGACAAACTATCATTCTTTTATTTTTGTTTTTATTTTTATTTTTATTTTTTTGAGATGGAGTTTTGCTCTTGTTGCCCAGGTTGGAGTGTAATGGCGCGATCTCGGCTCTCTGTAACCTCCACCTCCCAAGCAATTCTCCTGCCTCAGCCTCCCAAGTAGCTGGATTACAGGCGCCCGCGACCACACCCGGCTGATTTTTGTATTTTTAGTAGAGATGGGGTTTCACCATGTTGGCCAGGCTAGTCTTGAACTCCTGACCTCAGGTGGTCCACCCATCTCGGCCTCCCAAAGTTCTAGGATTACAGGCATGAGCCACTGCGTCTGGCCTTTAGACACTTTTTATCCAAAAATCTGGCTTGCCAGATGACTTGAGTCCCCCAAGGTTAAGAAGTGTCTCCAGTTCGTCCTCTGGAGCAGGGTAGGACACTTCACGGAGCCACGCTGAGATGACAGAACCCTCATGTTTTCAGTGCTACCCAAAAAGCTCGTGAGAAATGCTGCAACTGACATTAATCCAAAAGCAGCTTCGATTCTTTTGGGTATTGTTCATATACGATAGGAGGGATGGGGTGGGGGAAACGCAGGCAGCTAAACAGCTCTTAGAAAGACAATTTTTCCCTTTGTTTTTGGCTGCTGGATAGAAGTATATTTCAATTTTCTAGTCAGCAAGTTAAGCCAGCTGCACACACAGTGGCTTGACAAAGAAGGAGGCTAGTATGAAAAAATATTAAAATGCAAAACACATTTCAGAGGCAGCCTTCTCCTCAAATTGCGTGGTCACAGGGAGAATTCATAAATCAGAAATGAGGTCAAGTGTTGGTGTTGAGTTCAGCTCTGTTTGTCCCTTGATATTATTATTATGATGCCCAGATGAGAAATATAAAGGAGAGAAGGCCAAGCGAAAACATCTGTCCTCCTAATCCATCAGCTGCAAAACATCAGTTTTAGGACAGCACCAAAATAAGCATTCCAAGAGAAGAAATCTGTATAATCAGCATCGGCCCATTTTTTAATTAAATCAGTCATTTACAAAGACACACCCTTGGTTTGGGGTTCAGGTTTCAAAAGAAAATAGTACATCCAGAAATCTATGCTCTAAAGCTTGTGAACTTTATAGGCCAAAGTCTGAGTGAGCCAAGGTCAAATCTGAAACAGCCAAGGCGGAAGGTAGAGTGAGCCACAGTTGTTCACAAGCTTAAGGGGTGAGGAGAAGAAAGTCAAATACATTATAGGCAGACCCGATATTTTTAGTGGGCTGTTTGTCCCCTAAAGATGTTTTTGTTGTTGTTGTTGTTTTGAGACAGAGTTTCACTCTTGCTGCCCAGGCTGGAGTGCAGTGGCACGGCCTCGGCTCACTGCAATCTCCGCCTCCCCGGTTCAAGCAGTTCTCCTGCCTCAGCCTCCCAAGTAGCTGGGATTACAGGCATGCGCCACCATGCCTGGCTAATTTTGTATTTTTAGTAGAAACAAGGTTTCTTCATGTTGGTCAGGCTGATCTTGAACTCCCAATCTCAAGTGATCTGCCCGCCCCGGCCTCCCAAAGTGCTGGGATTACAGGCGTGAGCCACTGCGCCCAGCTTAAAGATGTATTTTTAAGTTGCTTACTTGAAAAGACCTAGGAATACATTTCCTCATAAGAACAATGACTTTAAGATACTCGTATTCTTGGATCAGCCCACAGAATTCCATTAGGGACAGTGTAACTAAAAATCACCTCTGGTCACCCTAACATCCCCAAGGGAGATGGAGCTGGGAGGAACTGGTTGTAACTCATGGCAACGTTCGGGAGAGATTTTAGCAGCCAGGTGGGAAGGGGCCAACACCACAGGTGTGGAGTTTGTGCACTGCACAAAGCAGCTGGCTGGAGGCCAAGAAGAGGCTGAAATCCAGCCTGCCCTCTACCAGCCAAGCTGAGGCTGCAGCGTAGGGCTGTGTCAGCTGGAGCAGGGGCCTTTTTCTAACTTGTGCAAAGAGCTCTGGCCCAGATAAGCTCTAGAGGTTCCAATAGTTACAGCAAAGCATGGCTTTTCTAGAAGAGAGTATCAGTCCGGGAGAGGCAAGAGAGAAGCTGCCATTTACACACACATTTGTATGTCTGGGTCACTGAGCACTTGAGTGGGTTTACACTTGGCCCAGCCAAAACCTCTTCTTGCAGCCAAGCTTAGTCCTCTCCAAATTTTCTCATACTACTTTGAGACTCCCTAGTTGACCTGGCTACTTCAGTGAGAGGATGGCAATTAAAAGTGAACTCATGGCTGGGCACAGTGGCTCACGCCTGTAATCCCAACACTTTGGGAGGCCGAGGCAGGTGGATCACAAGGTCAGGAGTTCGAGACCAGCCTGGCTAACATGGTGAAACCCTGTCTCTACTAAAATAATACAAAAATTAGCTGGGCATGATGGCTTGTGCCTGTAATCTCTGTTACTTGGGAGGCTGAGGCAGGAGAATTGCTTGAACCAGGGAGGCGGAGGTTGCAGTGAGCCAAGATCATGCCACTGCACTCCAGCCTGGGTGACAGAGTGAGACTCTGTCTCAAAAAAAAAAAAGTGAACTCAGAAAAGGCTTATTACACCTTAGGGCTGGGGTTGGTGGGTGAATGAGAAGAAGATACCTCTGGAAATTTTCAGTAGAACCGAACCCCACCAAACAGACTGGGGAGTGCCTGACTGCAGCTCCTGCTGTGGTGGAATCCAGAAACTGTTCGGAGACAGAGGAAGGGGAAGAAGGAATTGCCGCCACATGGTGTGTTGGGGCCGTGAGGAAAGGGAGCTGCAGGAAATGGCCCCACCCAACTTGAATGAGGATGAATGATCCTTATCAAGGCCTCTGTTGTAATAGAAGAAAGGCAAACAAATGGTTCAAATAAACAATTTTCTGATATATATATGTTTTACCACACACTCTCACAAGTTTAAAAAACCAAACAAGCGGCCAGGCATGATGGCTCACGCCTGTAATCCCAGCTCTTTGGGAGGCCAAGGCAGGTGGATCATCTGAGGTCAGGAGTTCAAGACTAGCCTGGCCAACATGGTGAAACCCCTGTCTCTACTAAAAATACAAAAATTAGCTGGGTATGGTGGCCCACGCCTGTAATCCCAGCTTCTCAGGAGGCTGAGGCAGGAAAATCACTTGAAGCCAGGAGGCAGAGGTTGCAGTGAGCCAAGATCGCGCCACTGCACTCCAGCCTGGGCAACAGAGCGAGACTCCATCTCAAAAAAACAAAAAACAAACAAATAAAAACCAAACAAGCAAACACAGACACCACGGACACATGCATGCCTCAGGATGTGAGGAGAAAGATGTGGGGGTCTATGTAAACACTCTCTTCTATCCAGCCTCCAACTCGAGTTAGAGCAACAGCAGTAGCTTCACCCTGCCCGATGGAAAGGCTGTGTCTCCCATTACGCCTGCCTGGGCAGCAGGGACAGATGTGGACACCCCACAGCCCAGCAGTGCACGCTCTGCAGAGGCAGCTCTGGTGTGTGGAGCCACATCTCCCAGGCCAGTAGCTCCATCAGTGCGACTTGTGAGACTCTTATCAGGGAACAGGACGTTAGCAGTTGCAGTTCCAAAGTGTATTATTCAGGGCATGTCAACTGTCGTAGGGAATCCCAAAATCCTAGTCTTCATGCTGTAGCCCACTGTGGCTGAGCCGTCACTCAGGGCCAGGCTCCTTCCACCTCATGGCTGTGTCACTGTTAGTTTCCCAAAGATGTCTCTGTTCGGTCAGTGGAGAGGAGAGAGAATAACGATTGTGCAGGAGAGGTTTGAGGGGCCAGGGCTGAGAGTGGCCAGCAGCATTTCCACTCACATTTCATTGGCTGGAACACAGTTACTGGCCACACTTAACACAAGGGAGGCTGGGGAAGAGAATGTAGCTGTGTGCCCAGGAACCAGAGGAGATGATGGGTATGGTATTTGTTTGTGACCCCCAGGTAGGAGATTCCTTCCATTCCTTTGTATCTGCACTTGTTCAGGTAAGAGAGTTGCTGCTGTGACTGTGACTGATAAAGGCAGGGCCAGGAACCAGGGTGTAACTATCATCCTCTTATGTTCAGGCAAAATGTCACCCAGGGCCTCCCACGGGGCATTGGTGTGGTCACCCACGCCTTTGTCTCCCAGCCTGGCTCCTGCAACAGGTTTCCTCTAACCAGGCCTCTTTTGAAATTGATCTGCCCCAACAGTTGCAAACCCCAGCTGCTCCTTTACTTCCTCCACCAGTAGCAAGAGAATCAATTATCCCTGCCCTCAGTGAACCACCGCGTTTGCTGATCTGCCAAAGGATAGGATTCAAGGTCTCAGCCTTGCCCACAAAGCTACACTTAATCTGGACCTAATCGCTTCAGCAATTGCTTTTTGCCCTCGGTCCCCACCTGGCAACAACAAAAACACCACCTCAGAGTTTTAGGAATCTAGAAACCCTACCCCTCAGGGGAGACAGGGACAGGCATGCATAATAACTTCCATTTGTGTAGAATGGTGAGGAAAGTAAATGCTCACCATCTTTAAGGCTGAGTCTCACTGTGGGCTTCTCACAGTGATAGCCTGTGGTTGCTTCGTCTCTAGCTATGAAAATTCCCGAGCATCTCTGTGTGGAGCCCTCAGTTCATATTCATTTTAGACTTCTCAGTGTTGCCATTTTAGGATTTATTCATTACCGTCTCTATCCTCTACTTTTTCACCTCTACTCTTGGTAATTTTGACAATGAGCCTCATGACTGAGCAGAACTGAGGCTCTGTCTCTCCTTTCAGGACCTTTTCAGGCATCCAGGTCTGTTTGATATACTTGCCGAGTTCCCACCAGGTGCAAGGCCCGACTGGACACTAAATTTTGAGGCCAGTGACCTTGCTTCCAATGAGTTCTGCTTTGGAATGTGTTTTTCAAATGCTTTGTAACAGTGCCATGCAAATGGATTCAATGGTAAAATTAAAAAATGTAAAACAAGATGGTTTGCATTCCTTGGTGAATAAAAGCAGAAATGTCTAGGATGGCAAGCATTCTTAGAAAACCTTCTCTCCTCTCTTATTCTAAATAGAGTTCTGTCAGCAAGACTTTTTTTTGAGACAGAGTCTCACTCTGTCTCCCAGGCTGGAGTGCAGTGGCACAATCTCGGCTCACTGCAACCTCTGCCTCCCGGGTCCAAACGATTCTCCTGCCTCAGCCTCCTGAGTAGCTGGGACTATAGGTGCCTGCCACCACACCCAGCTCATTTTTGTATTTTTAGTAGAGATGGTGTTTCACCATGTTGGCCAGGCTGGTCTCGAACTCCCAAACTCAGGTGATCCACCCACCTTGGCTTCCCAAAGTGCTGTGATTATAGGCGTGAGCCACCACGCCCGGCTGCAAGACTCTTCTATCCTTTTTTTTTTTTTTTTTCTGAGACGAAGTCTCGCTCGGTTGCCCAGGCTGGAGGGCAGTGGCGAGATCTCGCTTCAGTGCAACCTCCGCCTCCAGGTAAAAGCAGTTCTCCTGCCTCAGCACCCCCTAGTAGCTGGGATTATAGGCTCATGCCACCACATCCAGCTAATTGTTTTTGTTTGTTTTTTTGAGATGGAGTCTTGCTCTTGTCCCCCAGGCTGGAGTGCAATGGCGTGATCTTGGCTCACTGCAACCTCCGCCTCCCAGGTTCAGCAATTTTTCTGCCTCAGAAACCCCTAGTAGCTGGGATTACAGGCGCACGCCACTGCAGCCGTCTAATTTTTTTATTTTTAGTAGAGACGGGGTTTCGCCATGTTGGCCGGGCTAGTCTCAAACTCCTGACCTCAGGTGATCCACCTCCCTCGGTCTCCCAAAGTGCTGGGATTACAGGCATGAGCCACCGCACCTGGCCTAATTTTTGTATTTTTAGTAGAGATGAGTTTTTGCCCTGTTGGCAAGCCTGGTCTTGAACTCCTGATCTCAGGTGATACACCCGCCTCAGCCTCCCAAAGTGCTGGGATTACAGGCATGAGCCACCACGCCTGGCCAGCTCTTTTATCCTTTAGGTATCAGTAATTGGTGCAAAAAGACACCCTCCCCTCAGTGCCCTCCTAACAGTCTCCAAGTTGGACAGAAATTTTTCTCTATTCATGGACCAGGCTTTTTTTTTTTTTTCTGATTCTCAAGATATTTGTAGTTTACCTTCTACTACTTAAGTGTGCCAGTTTAGTTTGAGGTTGTTAAAAATATACCCAAAAAGTAGGCCAGGTGTGGTGGCTCACACCTGTAATCTTAGCATTTTGGGAGGCTGAGGCAGGTGGATCACCTGAGGTCAGGAGTTCGAGACCATCCTGGCCAACATGGTAAAACCCTGTCTCTACTAAAAATACAAACAATAGCTGGGCATGGTGATGCATGCCTGTTGTCCCAGCTACTTGGGAGGCTAAGGCAGGAGAATCACTTGAACCCAGGAGCTGGAGGTTGCAGTGAGCCGAGATTGCACCATTGCACTCCAGCCTGGGCAACAGAGCGAGACTCCCTCTCAAAAAAAAAAACAAAAAACAAAAAACACCTAAAAAGTGTTGAGCTATAACTACATTGTTTTCTTCAATAACGCATTTCTCTGTTGGAGATGGCAGCTTGTAGAAATGTGTTAGGGAGGGCTGGGCGCAGTGGCTCACGCCTGTAATCCCAGTGCTTTGGGAGGCCAAGGCAGGCAGATCACCTGAGGTCGGAAGTTTGAGACCAGCCTGACCAACATGGAGAAACCCCATCTCTACTAAAAATACAAAATTAGCCGGGCATGGTGGCGCATACCTGTAATCCCAGCTACTTGGAAGGCTGAGGCAGGAGAATAGCTTGAACCTGGGAGGCGGAGGTTGTGGTGAGCTGAGATCATGCCATTGCACTCCAGCCTGGACAACAAGAGTGAAACTCTATTTCAAAAAAAAAAAGAAAGAAAAGAAATGTGTTAGGGAGAGGAGGCCTTTACTGAATTTAGGGGGCTAACAAAGAATCAGTCCCCAATCCAATAAAGTTAGTACAGTAGTTTTCAGAGGGCAAGGGCCCCTTGGCTTCTTGTTTATAAAGATTCTCTTTAGAAATTATGCAGACTCCATTGTCAAACAGCAAATATTGTCTGTCAGTTGACAGTTGAAGTCAATACTTACAACTGACAGTGTATAGAACAACAAACCCCAACATTTGGGATACTGTATATTGAAAGCCAAAAGATTTATGTCAATGATCAAAATCCGCAATGACATTAGCTATAAGGGGACCATGTACATCAAAGGTACTATTCATTCATGTAACACACACGTTGTTGAGAACCCACTCCATGCCCAGCTGGGGTGGGTGCTAGGGATGCAGCTATGAGCAAAACAGACAGAGCCCCTTCGCTGATGAAACTTACATTCTAGATGGGGGAGAGAAGAAATAAATAAAATGATGTTGCATAGTGGTAAGTCATATGAAGAAACTAACAGAGTATGTAATATGTTAGAGGATGTGGTAGTGTGGAGGCTGCTTTAGTTTGGGTGGTCAAGGAAGGCCTCATTGAGAGATGACATTTGAACTGAGACCTGAATCAAGGAGCCAGTTGAGAGAGGATGTGGGAGAATATTCCAGGCAGAATGAACGCAATGGACCTCAGGACTGAGCTTGGTGTATTTAATGGACAGAGCAAGAGTCAGCAGAGCTGGCGGTGTATAGTGATTGAGCAGGGCAGGGGCATGAGCCAAGATCAGCAAGGTAGGCAGGGGCTAGATCTTGAGGGCCTTCTAAGGCTTGGTAAAGCATGTGGATTTTACTTTAGGGAAGTAGGGATTTTAACATCAGATGTAATCTGATTTACATTTAAGAAAATATTCTGGCCAGGTGTGGTGGCTCATGCCTGTAATCCCAGCACTTTGGGAAGCTGAGGTGGGAGGATCACCTGAGGTCAGGAGATCGAGACCAGCCTGGCCATCATGGTGAAACCCCATCTCTACTAAAAATACAAAAAAATTTAGCCGGGCCTGGTGGCAGGTGCCTGTAATCCCAGCTACTTGGGAGGCTGAGGCAGGATAATCGCTTGAACCTGGGAGGCGGAGGTTGTAGTAAGCCGAGATCACGCAATTGTCCTCCAGCCTGGGCAACAAGAATGAAGCTCCATCTCAAAAAAAAAATAAAAATAAAAATAAATAAAAGACAGAAAAAAAGAAAAAAATATTATGTGGCTGCTATATTGTAAAGGAAGCAGAGAACAAAGATAGGAGGCTGTTATATTGGTATGAGTGAGATGATGGTGGCTTTGACATGCAGTAGCTGTGGGCATAGAGAGAAGTAGACGGACATTGGTTAGATTTTGGAGACAGAGACAATTGAATTTGCTCATGGATTGGATTTGGGGTGTAAGAAAAAGAGAAGAATTGGGTTGGGCACAGTGGCTCATGCCTATAATCCCAGCACTTTGTGAGGCAAGGGTAGGAGGATCACTTGAACCCAGGAGTTCAAGACCAGCATGGGGAACAAAGTGAGACCCTGTCTCTACAAAATATATTTTTAAAAAACATTAGCCAGGTGTGGTGGCATACACCTGTAGTCCTAGCTACTTGGGAGGCTGATGTGGGGGGATGACTTGAGCCCAGGAGGTCGAGGCTGCAGTGAGCCGTGATCAAGCCATTGCACTCCAGCCTGAGCAACAGAGAAAGACCCTGCCTCAAAAATAAAATAAATAAAATTTAAACACCCAGGAGAATAGAGGAAGTTTCCCCAGTTTTTAGCTTGAACAACTAGCTGCAGAGGAGCATCATTTATTTAGAAGAGAAAGATGGGGGTAGAGACATGGAAGAGCAGTTTCGGAAAGGATGGAAAAGCAATGGTTTGATGCTGAAGTGCATTTCATTCACTCATATGAAGATACTAGGAAGGCAATTTGAACTATGACCAAATTGCCTACCATGGGTCTCCTAACCAGGATGTCTAAGGAGCTTATATATGCAAGATAAATGCGGTGGGTACTCAGGTGCAGTGCCTCACACCTGTAATCCCAGCACTTTGGGAGGCCGAGGCGGGCGGATAACTTGAGGTCAGGAGCTTGAGACCAGGCTGGCCAACATGGCGAAACTCTGTCTCTACCAAAAATACTAAAATTAGCTGGGTGCGGTGGCGCACGCCTGTAGTCCCAGCTACCCAGGAGGCTGAGGCAGAAGAATCTCTTGAACCAGGGAGGCAGAGGTTGCAGTGAGTCAAGATCGCACCACTGCATTCCAGCCTGGGCAACCACTGCATTCCAGCCTGGGCAACAGAGCAAGACTCTGTCTCAAAACAAACAAAAATAAATAAATAAATAAATAAATAAATAAATAAATACTATGGGCCATGCACAGTGGCTCATGCCGTAATCCCAGCAATTTGGGAGGCTGAGGTGGGTGGATCACTCGAGGTCAAGACTTTGAGACCAACCTGGCCAACATTATATTTGTATACAAATACAAAAATTAGCCAGGCGTGGTTGGGCTCGCCTGTAATCCCAGCTACTCGGGAGGCTGAGACACAAGAATCATTTGAACCCAGGAGGTGGAGGTTGCGGTGAGCTGAGATCATGACATAGTGAGACTCCATCTCAAAAAAAAAAAAAAAAAGATAAATGCTAAAGAGGTGCAGAGTACTCTCTGAAGCAGGAATGGTTGTGACTCCCTGAGGCATTTTTTGTTTTAGTGGCTCTCTTGATGTTATGGAAGTGCATTATACAGGGGTCTTGTTTGGATATTCATTTTGACTCTGAGATCAATGAGCTGTTCAGTGGTACTACTTGGGACTTTATTGCCTCCAGGGAGCTTTTAGAAATGAGGTGGTGGGGGAGCAATTTTGTTTGTCATGATGCAGGAGGTCAGGGAGAATACTGGCATCTAGTCCCTGGGGCCAGAAATGCCAAATGTGCGGCAATGCGTGGAATATCTTCACACAAAATAAAATGGTCCAATCTGAAATGCATGTGCCTTGGGAAAGTTTATTTTAAATTTTAAAGTTTCTCTTCTTTCATCATTAAAATGAAGACATCACGTGAAATCATCTCTGAGGTTAGATCTGGCTTCCTTATACTATGACTCACAAGATACACAAACAATAGTGATATAAGTAGCCTTCAAGGGACCTGGTGGGAGGCTGTGGCCATGAAAATGCATCCCTCAGCTCTCCGGCTGCAGGGAGCATAATTGACTAATGGCCACAGCTGCAGACCTCTGGACCCACCCCCATCTCATTTACAGAACGCCCTTTCTACAAGCTGCTGCTAGCCAATGACTGAGCAAGCAGGGCACAACTAATACAGACTCATTCTGTACTAATACAGACTCATTCTTTACTAATACAGACTCATTCTTTACTAATACAGACTCTTTTAATGACGGACTTTGGCTCAAGGATGCCCCATCAACCAGGCTGAGCAGCTTTTGTGACTGCAGCCTGAGAGTCTCCTATCAGATCCTCCTTCCTTCCCCGTCTCTCACAGAGGTCAGACCTGCTTTGCGTCTGAAGGCTCTTCTTGCCTATTTCGGCTCCTCTCCTTTATCCCGCACAAGTATTCCCTAAGGAGTTTCCTGCACATCCAATCCCATCTTAGCTTCTGCTTCTCAAAGAACTCAGACTAACCCGAGTAATGTCAGCAGTGGTCTGAGAAAACAAGAGTAAGATGGGGTTTGGAGACTGGCTCCCTCATTGCCCAGTAGGCTAAGAGGATGCTACCCTGAATGATATACGGGGCGTGGATAGTTCCTCGCACAATGTGGTGGTGCAACTGCTAAAGATTTCATCAGTGGTGATTCAGGAAGATGTCCTGGTGGAGGAGAATGCAGTGCAGGTGCAGAGATCCAGGCATTGGAGAGCTATGGTTGTGGGGGAATGATAGCTACAGGGAGAGCAGAGTTGACTGATTACTGCTAAGTTGTATTGACATCCCACCAAGTGATAACAAGCAATAGAGACTGTGAGAGCTAGAGAACCTGTTTGGTAGCTTAAAAAAGGGTCCTCCTCTCCTGCAGTGGAAGAACTGCCACAGCTGAGCCACAGACTGAGGCTCTGATAGTCCTAGAGCTCTAGAGATGCCTAAATGCTCAGCTAAAGCAAGTCAGTTAAGCTAAGGTCAGGGCCCTGTTTGGAGGAATCTGGGACTCTGAAACATGGGATGGGGGCATCTGAATGCATGCCTCTCAGGATGTTGACTTGGCAGAGCCCTCTGAACCCTCCAGGTCTGCCGGGCTGGCCCATCATTTCATAGTAAGAACTACCACTTTCAAAGGCTGGCTTCAGGAGACCTGGTGGGAGGTTGTGGCCATGAAAATGCATCCCTCTCCAGCAAGGCAACAGGTTGCCCTCTCAGGAGCTGCCCCCAATTCCTCTACTGTCTCCCAAGCCAATAAACAAATGCAGTATAATCAAGACAGGGAAGGGCTGGGCCTGATAGGGAAAAAAGAGATTATATATCAAAGGACCTATAAGAATTAGCGAGCAGGAACCAGTGGAAAACTTTGGAATCAGATTTGGGAGTACTTGTTCAAGGAGACTAGAAAGTAAGACTAGAAAAGCAAGACTTCCTTGACTAGAGGACAATTTTGGGGGGGACACAGGCCCCTGATAAGGACCCCAGAGGATGAGTGAAACTCACTGCTAAAGTGGCTCTTAGAAGCCTGCTGCAATATTAGGCCATGCTGAGAAAAGTGGAAATGCTTGAGTTGCCCTGGCAGGTGGCAGAGAAAAGAATAAAGAAGCTAAGGAAAATGGACCCACAAGGGGCCAGGCGCGGTGGCTCACACCTGTAATCCCAGCACTTTGGGAGGCCGAGGTGGGCAGATCACGAGGTCAGGAGATCGAGACCATCCTGGCTAACACGGTGAAACCCCATCTCTACTAAAAATACAACAACAACAACAACAACAACAAAAACAACAATTAGCCAGGTTTGGTGGCAGGCGCCTGTAGTCCCAGCTACTTGGGAGGCTGAGGCAGGAGAATGGCATGAACCCGGGAGGTGGAGGTTGCAGTGAACCGAGATCGCGCCACTGCACTCCAGCCTGGACGACAGTGTGAGACTCCGCCTCAAAAAAAAAAAAAAAGAAAAAAAGAAGAAAAGAAAATGGACCCACAGGACCCAGAGGACACGCCGTTCACCAGTGCCTTCAGGACTTGAGAGGGGCACCAGTATCACTAAGCAGTGGTGGCCCTCCTCCGCAGGTCAGCGCCGATGGCAGAAGTGACAGTAGCAGAGCTGGACTCATTAATATCCATGGGAATATGAGGCTCCAGAGTGTCAGGAGCCAGGCAGCCACAATCACCAGTATGACTAGCAAGGTCAGGCTGCAGCCAGAGGGCTGGACCTGAAGGGAGCTGTGAGACAGTAGAGCACGGTGTCCCTAGGGGTAAAAGTGATGGGGAGCCAAGAGGGTGCAGCGTCATGTTGACACTAGAAAAAGGCAGGAAAGGAGGGGCAGGAGGCTGAGGGAGATCACTCCAGTCAGAAGCCACATCCCTTCAACGTTCCCACACTTGATCCAGTTTTCAGATCTGCAACCCATTGACTGAAGGGGTGGCCGGGTCCCTAGGGAGAAGGAGCCTGCCATACCACAGCAAATATCTACTGTAATAATCCTTACAGCCACTCCTCAGAAAGACCTCTGGCCATTTACTCAGGTGATTATAAAATAGAGAAAGGGGAATCCTCAGTCATTTCAAGGATTATTGGACATAGGGTTTAAATTGACTTGATTCCTTGAGTTACGCCAGCCCTTTTCTCACATTTTACCGGGCTCTGATAAAGAGAATGCTTGACTATGGTTGTAAGTAACCACACCCCCAGAACTGCCCACTATGAACTGGCTTCTGTCAGATCCACCAAGTCATAAAGTAGGAATAGAGGCATGTGGCTGGACATATAGGAATGGCCATGGAGTATGAAAATTTTTGTGTCACATATTAACAACCACCAGAAAGCATCTCCCATGGAAAAGGTACCGATCAACCAAGTAGGCAAAATGACTTATCCAGGTGACATTAGCTAATCTTCATCATCAGCCACTCCACAACAGGCACCATGGGCACATGAATGGAGCAGCTATGGTGGCGTAAATGGAGCCCAGGCATCATCCCAATGCGTGAACTCTCACATATCAAGGCTGATTTAGCTACTGCTGACTTTGAATGTCCAACTGTCAGCAAAACAGACAACAGGCCCTCAGTATGGCACTATTCCTTGAGCAAGAGAACTGGTCACTTTTTGGCAAGCCTACTATATTGGGCACCCTCCATCCTGGAGGGCCAGTGGTTGATCCTTAAAGGGATAGATATATATTCTGAGTATGTGTTTGGTTTTCTGCCCAAAAAGCCTCAGCCAGCATGACTGTCTGGGGTCTTATACAATGCCTGATCCATAGGTATGAAATCACTTATGACGTAGCATCTGACCAGGGGACCCAATTATAATACAGGAGGTGCAGGAGTGGACCCATGACCATGGGATCCACTGGTCATATCGTGCATTATACCATCCAGAAGCAGCTGGATGCAATAGCATGGCTTCTAAAGATAACTAAAGTACCAGCTCAGAGGCAACACCATGCAAATATCGAGTGCCATCTTCAGGATGAGGAATATGCATTAAATCAGAGATGTCTCTGTGGTGCTGTGTTCCCCGTAGAAAGAATAAATGGATCTGGGAACCAAGGGATGGAAGCAGGAGCAGCCTTACCTACCATCACTCCCAGTGACCCACTGGGAGACTCCGTGCTTCCCATCCCTACAACTCTAGGCTCTGCAGAATTGGAGGTCCAAAGGGGGTACACTTTTGCCAGGGAACACTGAATTGCAAGCTGCAGTTATTGCCAGGGTACTATGAACTCCTGTGAGACCAGCAGGTGAGAAGAGTCACCATTGTGGCAGGAGTAATTGACTCTAGTCAATTACCAGCAGGAAGAGGTAGGGCTGTGCTTATACATGGGGTCAGGGAAGAATTTATGTGGAACCCATGTGACCCAGTTGGGCACTTCCCGGTACTTCCTTGCCCCACTGTAACTGTGTATGGACATACAGAGCAACCCCCAGTCTCAAAACAGCATGATTGCCAGGAACTCAGGCTCTTAGGAGTGACAGTTTGGGTCACATAACAAGGTAAGCACTGAGAACTGCCAAGGTGAGAGCCTAAGGTTAAGGGAATTTAAGATGGGCAGGGAAAGCTGGGCACGGTGGCTCATACCTGTAATCCTAGCACTTTGGGAGGCCGAGGTGGGCGGATCACCTGAGGTCAGGAGGTCGAGATCAGCCTGGCCAACATGGGGAAACCCCGTCTGTACTAAAAATACAAAAATTAGCCAGGCATGGTGGCGCACGCCTGTAATCCCAGCTACTTGGGAGGCTGAGGCAGGAGAATCGCTTGAACCCGGGAAGCAGAGGTTGCAGTGAGCTGAGATGGCACCACTGCACTTCAGCCTGGGCGACGGAGCAAGACTTGTCTCAAAAAAAAAAAAAAAAAAAAAGGGGTAGGGGGCAGGGATGGAAGGAAGAAATGAATACCAATTGTGCCCCTGAGACCAACTGCAGCTATAGGGCTTTCCCCTCGGGAAGAGAAGAGGAGCTGCTCCCCAGTCTGCACGGAAAAGTAGATCTGGGATACAGGGGTGAACTGTGGCAGCTGTGAGTCCCCACTGCTCAGCTCTTCTGCTGTGGCGAGCATAACTGACTGATGGCCCCGGCTGCAGACCCCTGGACCCATTTTCTTGAAGACCACACTTCCTACAGGCTGCCCCCAGCCTGACGGAGCAAGGAGAAGGTACTCATGTAGGCCGATTCCTGCAAAAGGAAGGACTCCTTTAACAGGCAGGGGCAGGCTCTTTTATAGAAGAACTCCCCACTTGGCCAGATGCAGGATTACACCCCTGTAATCCCAGCACTTTGAGAGGCCAAGGTGGGAGGATCTCTTGAGCCCAGGAATTCGAGACCAGCCTGGGCAACATGGCAAGACCCCATCTCTACAAAAAAAATACCAAAAAATTAGCTGGGTGTGGTGTGCATGCCTGCAGTCCCAGGTACTGAAGAGGCTGAGGTGGGACCTGAGCACCAGAGGCTGAGGCTGCAGTGAGCCATGATCACGGCCACTGCACTCCAGCCTGGGTGACAGAGTGAGATCCTTTCCACTCCCCACTCAAGGTCTTTTTAGAACTGTGCTGCACCCTCAGACTCTTCCCACCCAATCTCTCACCTTCCCCTCTCTCTTCACAGGTGTCAGCTCTGTGTTGCTGTGGGAAGGCTTTTCTCTTTCTCTGGCTCCCTCCCCTTTATCCATCACAGACATTCCCACGGTAAATCTCTCTCATGTGCAATCCCATCTTGGCTTCTGCTTCTTTGATGACCCAACCTATGCAGAGGTGTATCCTGAAGCCTCATTAATCTATTTTAAGGGGGAGACTTTTTCTTTTTTCTTTTTTTTAATAGATCTCTTTATGTTGCCCAGGCTGGTCTCAAACTCCTGCTTCAAGTGATCCTCCTACCTTGGCCTCCCAAAGTTCTAGGATTACAGGCATGAGCCGTGACACCTGGCCAAGGTAGAGGCTTTTTTTTTTTTTGAGATAGAGTCTTGCTCTGTTGCCCAGGCTGGAGTGCAGTGGTGCGATCTCAGCTCACTGCAAGCTCCGCCTCCTGGCTTTACACCATTCTCCTGCCTCAGCCTCCCGAGTAGCTGGGACTATAAGCGCCCGCCACCATACCTTGCTAATTTTTTGCATTTTTAGTAGAGACAGGGTTTCACCATGTTAGCCAGGATGGTCTCAATCTCCTGACCTCATGATCCGCCTGCCTCGGCCTCCCAAAGTCCTGGGATTACAGGCGTGAGCCACCGTGCCCGGCCGGTAGAGGCTTTCTATGGTAAAACAAAAATACTGTTCCATCAGAGTTTCTTAAGAGGTATACATTTCTTGTTTAAGACATTAAGATTCTAGCTGGGCACAGTGGTGTATACCCATAGTCATAACTACTCAGAAGGCTGGGGTGAGAGGATCCCTTAAGCCCAGGAGTTCAAGTCCAGCCTGGACAACATAGCAAGACTACATTTCTAGAATCAAATTTTTTTTTTTTTGACAGAGTCTGACTCTGTCACCCACTGGAGTGCAGTGGTGCGATCTTGGCTCACTGTAACCTCCATCTCCCGGGTTCAAGCGATTCCCCCACCTCAGCCTCCCGAGTAGCTGGGATTACAGATGTGCACCACCACACCCAGCTGGTTTTTGTATTTTTAGTAAAGACGGGGTTTCACCATGTTGGCCAGGCTGGTCTTGGACTCCTGACCTCAGGTGATCCGCCCACCTTGGCCTCCCAAAGTGCTGGGATTACAGGCATGAGCCACCATAAGTGGCCTAAAAAATTTTTTTTCAAACAATAAAACTGTAAGATCCAGAATCTTCCAGTTTTCAAAATGCATTATTCATTTATCCAACAAATATTAATTGAGCCTCCACTATGTGCCAGGGACTGAGAATACAATGGTGAAGGCGGCAAAGTCCTGCTGCCAGAGCTTATATTCTAGTGGGAGAAGATAGACAATAAACAAGTAAAAAATACACAAAAGTAATTTCAAACATGTTGTAATTGTCATGGGAGTTGGGTTCACTGTCATCCCATTTCTAGTTCCCCTTGGGAGCAAAATTCCTTGAAAGAATTGTCTGTACTCTCAGTCTCTGATCCTTTTCCCCTTTCTATTTAAAACACATTTTGGGCCAGGCACCGTGGCTCATGCCTGTAATCCCAGCAGTTTAGGAAGCCAAGGTGGGTGGATCACCTGAGTTCAGGAGTTCGAGACCAGCCTGGCCAACATGGCGAAACCCTGTCTCTACTAAAAATACAAAAATTAGCCAGGCGTGGTGGTGCGTGCTTATGATCCCAGCTACTCAGGAAGCTGAGGCAGGAGAATCTCTTGAACCTAGGAGGCAAAGGTTGCAGTGAGCCAAGATCGCGCCACTGCACTCCAGCCTGGGCGACAAGAGTGAAACTCCATCTCAAAAACAAACAAATGAAAAAACCACACACACATTTCAATCTACTGAATTTGCTCTTGTCAGGATTAATCCCTCCATTTGCTAAGCCCAGTGCTCATCTGAATTTTGACAGCATTGACCCTGAACCTTTGCTTTCGTCACATTTTATGAGGGACAGTGACCCAGAGAAGAGAAAGATAGTCATAGGTCTGAAAAGAGAAGAATGTGTTCTGTTGTGTTCTTCAAATCAGAAACTGGGCCAATGGGCTAAAACTACAGGGAGACAAATGCATTCTTAATCCAAAAGTGCATAGTCCTAACCATGCCCCAGACAACTTTTTTTTTTCTTTCTTTTTTTTTTTTTTTTTGAGACAGGATCTCACTCTGTCACCCAGGCTGGAATGCAGTAGCGTAATCACAGCTCACTTCAGCCTTGGCCTCCCAGGCTCAGGGAATCCTCCCACCTCAGCCTCTCGAGTTGCTAAGATTACAAGTACATGCCACCATGCCTGGCTAATTTTTGTATTTCTTGTAGAGACAGGTTTTTGCCATGTTGGCCAGGTTGGTCTTGAACTCCTGGGCTCAAGTGATTCACCCACCTCCACCTCCCAAAGTGCTGGGATTACAGGTGTGAGCCACTGCACTCAGTCCAGACAACTTCTTAAATTAAGAAACTTCCCTTCTGGAGAAATGCTTACGTAGAGGCTGGATGGTCACCTGTTGGATTATAAGCCTGATTGGAAAGGAAGTCAGGTTGCCTGACATCCAAGGTCTCGTCTCCTTCTGAGATTTGGTGATTTCTGTGACCTGGACAGTGCATCAGATGTTTTTTGACCCCAAATGGCATACTTCTCTTTGCAAATGACATATTATCCTGAAGCATCTATCTTCTTGTAATTCTTAATAACTCTTCCAAATTTCTTTGCAGTAGTTTACCAGTACCACAATTGGCAAACTTTCAACTCTCCCTGGCCCAATGTCAGGAATATTTAACCCCCCGGTCCACCCTCACTTGTCAGCAGTTCTGCACTTAGACATATAGCTGTTTGCTTCCTATTTAAACTGAACCTAGTGTAATTATTGAACTGGACTTCTAATAATGATATTAACAAAGTTACCGAAAAGGAAAAGCTAACAACTTGCAGACCTCTAAAGTTGGTACTGAGCATATAAAATATCATGTGATATCAAAAAGAGATTGTGTGGAAAGTGCTGCAGGATGAGGGCAGACAGAAAACGTTTATAGACTCACAGGCCTTTGGTGTGTGGCACCACACCCGGCTAATTTTTGTATTTTTAGTGGAGATGGGGTTTTGCCATGTCGGCCAGGCTGGTCTCGATCTCCTGACCTCGTGATCCACCCGCCTTGGCCTCCCAAAGTACTGGGATTATAGGTGTGAGCCACCGAGCCCGGCCCCAAGTTGCTATTTTTGAAAATAAGGACGGAGGCCGGTGAGCAGAGATTGCGCCATTGCACTCCAGCCTGGGTGACAAGAGCGAAACTCCATCTCAAAAAAAAGAAAGAAAGAAAAAGAAAATAAGGATAGAATCAACCCAAATGCCCACCAATGATAGACTGGATAAAGGAAATGTGGTACATATACACTATGGAATACTATGCAGCCATATAAAGGAACGAGATCATGTCCTTTGCAGGGACATGGATGGAGCTGGAAGTCATTTTTCTCAGCAAACTAACTCGGGAACAGAAAACCAAACACCACATGTTCTCACTTATAAGTGGGAGCTGAACAATGAGAACACATGGACACAGGGAGGGGAACAACACACACTGGGGCCTGTCAGGAGGTGGGGTAGCGGGAGGGAGAGCCTTAGGAAAAATAGTTAGTGGATGTTGGGCTTAATACCTAGGTGATGGGTTGATAGGTGCAGCAAACTGCCATGGCACACATCTGCCTATGTAACAAATCTGCACATCCTGCACATGTACCCCAGAACTAAAAATAAAAATTAAATTTATCCTGCACATGTACCTGCACATCCTGCACATGTACCCCAGAACTAAAAATAAAATTAAAAAAAGAAAATAAGGGCAGTGGAACCCAGGGTTCAAATCTCTTGCCCGAGTTCTCCTGGGTCTCAGGTCTCAGCTTTCCCTCTACCCTTTCCTTTCTCTCTTTCCTCCTTCCCTTTCTAGCCAAGCGCCCTGGCTCCCCAAAGTAAATTTTCCCATGTCCTTTAAAAAACAAAGCACAGAGAAAATGTTGCTTGCTCAGAGTCACATTACAATATTTAAATAAAACTAACTCTAAGGCCCCCCTAAATTTAGGGTCTGGGTGTGACTGCATTGTTTCTGTTCTTGGACCAACAAACCCCAGGGGTTTTCTGATGGCTTTTGGAAAGCTGTTTGCTCTTGTGTAAGGCGGGTGGACGTTGCTGTGCACATCTCGTAATCTATTTGAAGATAATATCTCTCAGTCTCACAGAAAAACTGAAAATATTTTGGAAAACATTTCGTAGTTGTAAAACTAGCTGTGGACCTTTGGCAAGTTGGTTCGCCTCTCTTTAACTGAAGACTGCTGTTAACCACAAACACGCTTACAAACCATGTGTCTATGCCAAGTTCTAGGCTAAATGGACAAATACGATTGTTGTGAGTATTAAAGAAAACAATAATATTAGTTAACATTAATTGAAGTTTCCCACCAAACACCAGGCTAAGTACTTTTCTATGCATTGCCTAATTAAATCTCCACAGCAATGCTAAGTAGTAGACATGATTACATTTACTACATGCATATTATTTTTGAGACAGGGTCTTACTCTGTCTCCCAGATTGGAGTGCAGTGGCATGATCATGGCTCACTGCAGCCTCAACCTCCCAGGTTCAAGTGATCGTCCCACCTCAGCCTCCTAAGTAGCTGGGACTACAGGCGCGCACCACCATGCCCGGCTAATTTTTGGCATTTTTTGTAGAGCCAGGGTTTTGCCATGTTGCCCAGCCTGGTCTCAAACTCCTGGGCTCAAGTGATCCACTCGCCTCAGCCTCCCAAAGTGCTGGGATTACAGGAGTGAGCCTATTAAATACATTTTGCATGTTATAGTGCCCGCCTATTACATACATTTTATGGATGAGATTAAGTGACTTAACTAAGTCCATTCAGCAAATATGCGGCTGTATACCTTGACCGTCCTTGCTCTTAATCTGTGCATAGGTACTTTGTACATGTCTGGTACTGTAAAGTGCTGTAGAAGTAAGTCTAGTGGCCATCTTTGGGGGTTATGGATATTCCTAACATCTTCCTCTGGTCTCTGCCCCTACTTCTGAATTTGAATAAGGGTGAAACCAAGATCAAACAGCCATCTCGGGCAAGCTTGAGGAGGGAAAAGGAGTCATAGAAACAGTAGCCTAAGGAATGTGTGGGTGGAGGTGGGGTGCTGTGGGTTGAAGTATTCCCTTAGCAGTGAGCCGGCAGGATTGGAACATTTTCGGGCTTTATGGACATGAGCATCAGCTCTTTCTCTCTTTTTTTTTTCCTTTCTTTCTTTCTTTTTTTTTTTTTGAGATGGAGTCTCTCTCCCTCTCTCAGGCTGGACTGCAGTGGCTAGATCCTGGCTCACTGCAACCTCCTCCTGGGCTCACGCAATTCTCCCACTTCAGCCTTCCAAGTAGCTGGGGTTACAGGCACCCACCACCACTCCTGGCCTCCTTTTTCTTTTCGTTTTTTGGAGACGGAGTCTTGCTCTGTTGTCCAAGCTGGAGTGCTGTGCCACAATCTTGGCTCACTGCAACCTTGCCTCCCGGGTTCAAGCGAATCTCCTACGTCAGCCTCTGGGATTACAGGTGTGCACCACCACACCTGGCTAATTTTTGTATTTTTAGTAGAGATAGGGTTTCGCCACGTTGGCCAGGCTGGTCTTGAACTCCTGACCTCAGGTGATCCACCCACCTCGGCCTCCCAAAGTGCTAGGATTACAGGCATGGGGCACTGTGCCTGGCTATTTCTCTTTTCTTTTCTTTCTCTTCTCTTCTCCTTTTCTTTCTCCTCTCCTCTCCTCCTCTCCCCTCTTCTCTCTTCTCCCTTTCTTTCCCCTTCTCGTTTCCTTTCCCTTTCTTGTTTTCCCCTTACATGTTAAATATATTGAAGAATAATTTACACAAAATAAAACGCATTCTTCTTTGTTTCCTTAGTTTTAAAGCAAGATTTATCTCCTTTAGATTCCCAGTAGGAAAAGAGAAAAGAGAGGGCAGGAAGGAGAACTTTAATGGAGGTGGGAAGGGGGTGGGGGGCGCTGAGACTATAGATAAAATCTCTGTGTTATTTCTTCTTTTGTAAAATCACTTAATTTCTGTAAAACTTAATCACCTCCCTCATCAATCAAAGTGAGAATAATAATATCTTGATAGACTTGTGGTAAGCATGAAAGAATATCTGACAGACACAAAGAAGCTTAATTCATGTTAACAATGAAATGATATTGATATGATTGTGTCTAAACCTTAGGACTGTGCAAGGAGTGCTCAAAAACACAAGCAATCATTAGATATTTATTGTTTTTCTTTGAATCCGTGGCACACAGACAAACATATAGGAGTCAATGCTAGAGCTCCCTCTGGTGGCTTTGCTGTCACAAACACACCAACTACTGTATCCCTACCTCCGCTTATGGGGCTCAGGAGAGAGAGGCTGTGCTGGCTGCTGGCCGCCATGTCAACACCCCCCACAGGAGGGGAGCTTGGTAGAGGCCTTGCTACAGGTGCTTTCATCAGAAAGTTTTACCATTGACTCCTAATGATTAAGAATAATTAATTCCCCAGGTGTGAAATTGAACTGTGTGAAATTAGCTGGTATTGAATCTTTACTGACAGAAATGGTAACTTTATGTCATTGAATCTAGTAATTGCTGCTATAATTAAAAATCTGAGTGTGTAAAGTAGTAAATCAGTTACAAAGGAAACAAACATACAACAAAGGAAGCAAAGTGCACAATGACTTTAAGAATGACTTTGTGGCCTCTGATTAGCTTTCAACATTTAAAAATTCTTTTTAGAGATAGGGTCTCACTATGTTGTCCAGGCAGTTCTCAAATTTCTGGGCTCAAGTGATCCCCCCAAAGTGTTGGGATTATAGGCCAGAACCACTGCACCCGGTCTTCTGTAGGATCTACAACTGGCAGAAGAACAGTCTGTCTCTCCACATTTAGTCAAACCCCTCAGGGATTTTAATAACTAGGACTGTTTTCCTTATTTCCAGTATCTCTTCTAACACCTTCACCCTTATGTCCCCACCTTACCCCAATTAGAAATTCAAGTGTTGTTGGGCTATCGTACCCCACTTTTCTGGGAGTTCACTCAGACCTTCCCTTTCCTTTCCCACTTGGGAAAGGATCCACTCTCAGGGCCTTGAAGACAATTGATTGTGAAGTCCACATCCTCTGAGAAAGACCAGATCAAGGGCTTACAAAAATTACTAACCTCTGAGTCTTAACTTCACTAATGACAATTTGAAAATTGGAACAGATCAAACCACTGGATCATTCCCTCACCCTGCCCACCAAATCTTAAAGCACTAAGCCCTTTAAAATTGAATTTTAAAATGGATTTAAAATTTAAAGATTTTAGGTGGAATACATTACTCAGGAGACTATGGATGAATTTATAGTGAGCTAAGTTTGTTTGTGAACTGCTGGAAAGGGTATAAACTGGTATGAAGTTCCTATTAAAGAAGTTGGCAGTATGTATTAAGGGCTATTAAAACTCTTGACCGATAAATCCTCCTTCAGAATCTGTATTAAGGAAACAAGAAGAAATGTAGGAAAAGATTTTCATACAAAGATATTGTTGCAGCTTCATGTTCAACAGTAAGAAATGCACCAAAAGAAGTAAAATTGTTGGCCAGGTGCTGTGGCTCATGCCTATAATCCTGGCACTTTGGGAGGCCAAGGCAGGAGGATAGCTTGAGCCCAGGAGTTCGAGACCAGCCTGACCAAGATGGTGAGACCTCTTCTCTACAAAAAAAATAAATAAATAAAAATAAAAAAAACTAGCTGGGCATGATGGTGCCTGCCCATGGTCCCAGCTACTTGGGAGGCTGAGGATCCCTTGAGCCCAGGAGATCAAGACTGCAGTGAGCTGTGATTGCGCCACTGCACTCCAGCCTGGGCGACAGAGTGAGACCCTGTCTCAAAATAAATAAATAAAATACAATAAAAAATTTAAAAAGATATGAAGTAGAATTGTTAAATCAATATGAAAGATTCATAAATATTACACCTTAGAGCTCACTTTTTCAGAGAATATAGAGCGGCAGGAAACATGGTCACATTGTAAGGAAGGGTGAAAACATATCTATGTCTGTATCTATCCAAATACTGATTTCCAGTTTTACGAAGAAATACATATAGACAATGGACACTGAAAAAAGAGAGGAATGAAGGACACTAAAATACTAAGGGCAATTATATCTCTCTGGGTGGTGGGATTATAGGCAATTTTAACGTTTTTCTTAACCTTTTTACATTTTCCACAGTTTCTTTAATAATCATGCATTGTTTTTATAATCACAAAAATATATGCAATACAACAGGAATTTGATCCTGAATCAAGGTTGTGGGGGGGAAGAATTTGATTTGAAAAATCGATCAAAGTTGAGTTTCATCTTCTTCATGGTATTGAATTTAGAAACTGAATACCAGCTTTCATCAAACTCTAAAGCTGACAAATAACTAAATATGTTTTAAAATATTTTATAGTTGAAAAGTTCCTTCCTTCCTTCCTTCCGTCCTTCCTTCCCTTCTTTTTTCTTTCTCTTTTTTTTGAGACGGAGTCTCACTCTGTTGCCAGGCTGGAATGCAGTGACATGATCTCCGCTCACTGCAACCTCCGCCTCCTGCGTTCAAGCGATTCTCCTGCCTCAGCCTCCTGAGTATCTGGGACTACAGGTGTGTCCCACCACGCCCAGTTAATTTTTGTATTTTTAGTAGAGATGGGGGTTTCATTATGTTGGCCAGGATGGTCTCAATCTCTTGACCTTGTGATCCGCCTGCCTCAGCCTCCCAAAGTGCTGGGATTACAGGCGTGAGTCACCGTGCCTGGCTTTTTTTTTTTTTTTTAGATCAAGTCTCTCTCTGTCACACAGACTGGAGTACACTGGTGTGATCTCGGCTCACTGCAACTTCCACCTCCTGGGTTCAAGCAATTCTCGTGCCTCAGTCTCCTGAGTAGCAGGGATTACAGGTGTGTGCCACCACACTTGGCTCATTTTTTAATATTTAGTAGAGACGGGGTTCACCATGTTGGCCAGGCTGATCTTGAATTCCCAGGCTCAAGCAATCCACATGCCTCGGCTTCCCAAATGTTGGGATTACAGGTGTGAGCCACCATGCCTGGCCCCAACAATCTTTCAATGTCCTCTCCATATCAAAAAGTGGGAGCAAAATAAGAATGAGGGAATGGTTTTTGTGGTTCTTGGCCAAATTCTATAGCTTCTAGGAGTTTCTGCTTAAATAGTTCTTTTCAAGGACCAAATTGAAACCTTTCTGAAGTTTATCGCTCTATCAGTGCTTGAAGCCAACAACACTGGGGATTATAATTGGGTTGAGAGATCTCCTACATAATCAGCTGACACACATATCCAAAAGGCTAAAATCCTGGGTCTTGAGATATTGACAAGATTTAGAATTCTGTTAATGACTTGAGAACCATTGCATTTATCATTCATCACCTTTAAAGCCAATAAGAAAAAAAGTTAAGTGCAGTATCAAATCAATTCACAAGAGTAGACTGATTTGATAGACTATTAAAACAATGTATTGGCCAGGTGCAGTGGCTCACGCCTTTTATCCCAGCACTTTGGGGGGCCTAGGCGGGTGTATCACGAGGTCAGGAGATCGAGACCATCCTGGCTAACATGGTGAAACCCCGTCTCTACTAAAAATACAAAAAACTAGCTGGGCGTGGTGGCAGGCGCCTGTAGTCCCAGTTACTTGGGAGACTGAGGCAGGAGAATGGCATGAACCCGGGAGGCGGAGCTTGCAGTGAGCCAAGATCGCGCCACTGCACTTCAGCCTGGGCAACAGAGCGAGACTCCGTCTCAAAATAAATAAATAAATAAATAAAACAATGTATTACAGCACCACACTTCGGGTATGCAAAAGTATTTGGGAAATAATCTAATACTTATGATGCCTTATGAAGTACGTATCATTATCACCTGCGTGTATATACAGAAAATTATGTGCTGGAGTGGCATTTTTGGCATTCTTTTTTTTTTTTTTTTTTTTTTTTTGAGACGGAGTCTTGCTCTGTCGCGGAGGCTGGAGCGCATTGGCGTAATCTCAGCTCACTGCAAGCTTCGCCTCCCTGGTTCACGCCATTCTCCTGCCTCAGCCTCCAGAGTAGCTGGGACTACAAGCGCCTGCTGCCACGTCCCGCTAATTTCTTTGTATTTTTAGTAGAGACGGGGTTTCACTGTGTTAGCCAGGATGGTCTCTCTCTTTTTTCTTCGAGGCAGGGTCTCACTCTGTCACCCAGGCAGGAATGTAGTGGTGTGATCATGGCTCACTGCAGCCTCAACCTGCAGGGCTCAAGCGATCTTCCTGCCTCATTTTAAATTTTTTTGTAGAGATGAGGTCTCACTACATTGCGAGGCTGGTCTCGAACTCCTGGGCTCCAGTGATCTTCCTGGCTTGGCCTCCCGAAGTGCTGGGATTACAGGCATGAGCCATTGCGGCCCGCCAAGAGGAGCTTTCTTAAATGAGGGGATTCTCACCCTAATCTAGAATAATTTTATGCTCAACCCATTGGGAAGCCGCCTTTCACGTGATCTTTATAAACCCGTCTATCAAATCAAATCTGGCACTCTCTAAGACATCAATTTCTGAATCTTAAATTCTGTAATTTTATAAGAATTGAACTAAAATAAATTAAATATCAAAATACTTCATCATTTTCTAAAATTTTTAGAGCCACATCAGAGAGCTCAGTATTACTTTTTCAAAATCAATATAAGAAAACAATGCGAGTTACTCAAGTATCAGTAGTTCAGGTACCTTTTGAGAAACTTTGCAAAGCATTTGTTTAAACCTTACACTTGAACTCCACATTTTTTTCCAAGCCAAACAAGCATATATTCATTCTCCCTAGAGCTGCTCATAATACCTCTATTATCCTCGCTGCTGTCTCCCAAGTCATCCTATTAAATTACAAGCTGCATCCCCAATCCAAGCTTTTTTTCCTGACATGAAGGCATTTTCTTAATTTAAAGGCTAGTACAACTTTGCACAAACTCCAATCGGCTCCAGTTGTAAACTTCACATCAGATACTACATAAAACGAAGCCATCAATCTGCCAGAAAAGCTATTGTTCATGCCCTTTACAGATTCCCCATTAGCTTTCTGTGTCCCTGCCAAGTGTAATTGAGTTGAATGGGAATTTAGCATATGTAAACCACACACGCTGAACACACTCTTCTAAACAGCTATTACTGTTCTGATCAAGAGTTAACTTTGTTAGGGAAAAACAAGTGGCAAACTCATGTATTTGGTCTTTTGTACTCAGCATTGGTCAGAGGGCAGTGAAGAATCAGCCTCTTGGCCTAAACTGAAAATTAGTTTCATTACCATATGCAGGAAGGATAAATATTGCTGCCTAGTTTCAGTAATTCTATCCAGACATGCCTGTGAGCTCCCAGAAACTGACAAGACACTCAGATAATTTAATGCAAGTGCCCCCAAACCGTTGAAAAAATAGCCTTTTTTTTTTTTGAGACAGGGTCTCACTCTGTTGCCCAGGCTTAAGGGCAGTGGTGCGGGTCCCAGCTCACTGCAGCCTTAACCTTGCCAGCTCAAGTGATCCTCCCACCTCAGCCTCCCAGGTAGTTGGGACCACAGGCGTGCACCACTGTGTCTGGAATTGGTGGGTTCTTGGTCTCAGGGACTTCAAGAATGAACCCGCGGACCCTCCCGGTGAGTATTACAG
The DNA here is from genome assembly GCF_000001405.40 of Homo sapiens. Lineage (NCBI taxonomy): Eukaryota > Metazoa > Chordata > Mammalia > Primates > Hominidae > Homo > Homo sapiens. The sequence goes on along the minus strand of NC_000012.12, from coordinate 64,544,403 downwards.
TTCTTGAAAGCAGCATGTCTGGAGTTTGTTCCTTCTGATGTGTTAGAAGTTTGTTCCTTCTGGTTGGTTCGTGGTCTCGCTAGCACAGTACTGAAGCTGCAGACCTTCGAAGTGAGTGTGAGAGCTCTTAAGGCAGTGCGTCTGGAGTTGTTCATTCCTCCCGGTGGGTTCGTGGTCTCGATGGCTTCACGAGTGAAGCTGCAGACCTTCGCGATGAGCGTTTCACGGTGGGCGTTACAGCTCATAAACGCAGTGTGACCCAAAGAGTGAGCAGTACCAGGATTTATTGCAAACACCTAAAGAACTGTGCGGAACGGGACCCCCACCGAGGTGCCAAGGCGTGCTCTGGCAGCCTGCTTTATTCTCTTATCTGGCCCCACCCACATCCTGCTGATTGGTCCATTTTACAGAGAGCCAATTGGTCTGTTTTACAGAGAGCTGATTGGTCCGTTTTGAGAGGCTGCTGATTGGTGCGTTTACAATCCCTGAGATAGACACAAAAGTTCTCCATGTCCCCACTAGATTAGCTAGGTACAGAGTGCTGATTGGTGTATTTACAAAGCCTGAGCTAGACCCAGAGTGCTGATTGGTGCATTTACAAACCTTGAGCTAGATACTGAGAGCCAATTAGTGTATTCACAATCCCTTAGCTAGACATAAAGGTTCTCCAAGTCCTCACTAGACTCAGGAGCCCAGCAGGCTTCACCCAGTGGATCGCGCACTAGGGGCGCAGGCGGAGCCACCTGCCAGTCCCGCGCCGTGCGCCCGCACTCCTCAGCCCTTGGGCAGTGGATGGGACCGGGTGCCATGGAACAGGGGGTGGGGCTTGTCGGGGAGGCTCGGGCCGTGCAGGAGCCCACGGCGGGGGGCGGGGGAGAGCGGGGGGCGGCGGGGGGAGGGTGTGGGGGAGTGGGGGAGTGGGGGGTGGGCAGGCGGGTGGGGAGCGGGGGGCGGGCGGGCACGGGGGGGGCGGGCGGGGAGCCGGGGGGCGGGAAACTCAGGCATGGCTGGCTGCAGGTCCCGAGCCCTGCCCCGTGGGGAGGCAGCTAAGGCCCGGCGAGAAATCGAGCGCAGCGCTGGTGGGCCGGCACTGCTGTGGGACCCAAAGCACCCTCCGCAGCTGCTAGCCCGGGTGCTAAGCCCCTCACTGCCTGGGCGGGCGGCGCCGGCCGGCCACTCCAAGTGCGGGGCCCGCCACTCCAAGTGCGGGGCCCGCCACTCCAAGTGCGGGGCCCGCCACTCCAAGTGCGGGGCCCGCCACTCCAAGTGCGGGGCCCGCCACTCCAAGTGCGGGGCCCGCCACTCCAAGTGCGGGGCCCGCCACTCCAAGTGCGGGGCCCGCCACTCCAAGTGCGGGGCCCGCCACTCCAAGTGCGGGGCCCGCCACTCCAAGTGCGGGGCCCCGCCAAGCCCACGCCCACCCGGAACTCTATCTAGCTGGCGCGCAGCCCCGGTTCCCGCCCGTGCCTCTCCCTCCACACCTCCCTGCAGACTGAGGGAGCCGCCTCCGGCCTCGGCCATCCCAGGAAGGGGCTCCCACAGTGCAGCGGCGGGCTGAAGGGCTCTTCAAGTGGGGCCAGAGTGGGCACCGAGGCCGAGGAGGCGCCAAGAGCGAGCGAGGGCTGCCAGCATGCTGTCACCTCTCACCACCATGCCCTATTAATTTTTGTAGTTTTTGTAGAGATGAGGTTTTGCCATGTTGCTCAGGCTGGTCTTGAATTCCTGGCCTTAAGCAATCCACCCACCTCGGCCTCCCAAAGTGTTGGGATTACAGGCATGAGTCACTGTGCTTGGCCGAAAAAATAGCCTATCTTTTAAGAAGAACCTTGATGTGTCAGGAGAGGGGATGCTATAGTTGAGTCTGCAGAGGAGCAGGCATCACTGCCAGCTGTACCCCTTCCCTTCTGGTCTCTCAGCAAACCAGGAGAATAGAGTGAGAATGGATGTGCTGGCTGAAACCAGGTTGAGGATCTACTAGTTCTACCAGTTGAAGATCTTTGCTTTAACCAGTAAAACCTGACAGATTTCCCCAGCACAGTGTTCATGCTCAGGTTCTTTTGTTTTGTTTTTTTGAGGTGGGATCTTACTCTGTCACTTAGGCTGGATGGAGTACAGTGGCAGAATCTCAGCTTAATGCAACCTCCACCTCTGGGGCTTATGTGATCCTCCTGCCTCAGCCTCTTGAGTGGCTGGGTGAGTAGCTGGAACCACAGGCACATGCCACCACACCCAGCTAATTTATTTTTATTTTTATTTTTATTTTTTGTAGAGATGCGGGTCTCACCATGTTGCCCAGGTTGGTCTCAGACTCACGCTGAGGCTCTTCATCGGATTAAAAAAAAAGTCAACACACATTTACAGTTCATGTCCTATTTTCCGCAGCAGGAAGTATGTCTGTTAACAAGATTGCATCCTGAATGTGGCAAGTAATCAAGCAGATGAAAGCCTCATATCTTATGACAAATCTGTTGGATAAAACTACTGATATACTCTATCTTATTGTTTCTAAAATTATAACCCAAGATTAAGCTTCAGATGCAACAGGCGGCAAGGAGAGAAGCAATGGCAATGAATGAACCTGAGCTCGATCCTCTGAAGATACATACGTAAGCCATGGAGATAAAAAGACCATTCTATGGGGTATGAGTGATGGGAGTGACCGAAACGCACGATGTCCACAAGCACCAATAGTGCCTACCTGACTGTTCTTTTTGATTGAATATCTTACTTCAGAAGTCGGCATGCAGCTTGATACGTTCCCATTTTGTGGATAATCCAGATGTACCAGGTCTCGGCAGTGAGCATGACATATATATTTACCCTCTGAAAGAGAAAGCACGTTAGGTTCCCAGTTAGGTCTGTGTCGTTCTCTGTTCATCCAACAGGCCAAGGGAAATTGAACCCCCTCCCCTGCTCAAAAAGCCAGCATTCAACCTGGAATAATAAAAATGAGTTTGTGTGGGGCCCATCTGTTCACAAGGCAGAGCCATTTAACCTAGACTATCTTGGCCTCCTCTGAAATTCAATCACACTATCACTGAATATCTTTCACAAAGACAGGAGATTAGGCTACGATACATTTTTTTTCTTTTTGCAAGGTTTAAATTAAGACAACATTGGCCGGGCGCTGTGGCTCATGCCTGTAATCCCAGCACTTTGGGAGGGCAAGGCGGGCGGATCTATTGAGCCCAGGAGTTCAATACCAGCCTGGGCAACATGGCGAAACCCCATCTCTGTTAAAAATACAAAAATCAGCCAGATGTGGTGGTGGGTGCCTATAGTCCCAGCTACTTGGGAGGCTGAGGCAGGAGAATCCCTTGAACCTGGGAGGTGGAGGTTCCCAAGTGTAATCCCAAAGTGCTAGGATTACAGGCATGAGCCACCACACTGGCCTTACTTAGAAAAAAAAAAAATTCCAGCCTGGGCAACATGGCAAGACCCTATCTCTACAAAAAAAATACAAAAATTTGCCAGGTGTGGTGGCACACACCTGTAGTCCCAGCTACTTGGGAGGTTGAGTTGAGAGGATTGCTTGAGCCCAGAAGGTCGAGGCTGCAGTGAGCTTTGTTCAACCACTGCACTCCAGCCTGGGCAACAGACTGAGACCCTGTCACCAAACGCAGTGATGCAATCATAGCTTACTGCAGTCTTGACCTCCTAGGCTCAAGCGATCCTCCTGACTTGGCCTCCCAAAGTGTTGAGATTACAGGCATAAAACACCAGCACAGCCTCACCTATCAAATATTCAAAATTCATACATGTTGTAGCATATATCAGTTCTTCATTTCTTTTTACAGCTGAATAATATTCCTTTATATGAATGTAACACATTTTGTTTATTCTTTTATCTGTTGATGGCCATTTAGGCTGTTTCCCCTCTTTGGCTGTTATAAATAATAGCCAAACATTCATGGACAAGTTTTCCTGTGTACATAATGTTTTCCATTTTCTTGGATATATACCTTGGAGTAGGATTGCTGGGTCATATAGTAATTCTAAGTTTAACTTTTTGAGGAACTATCAAACTGTTTCCAAAGTAAGTATTTTTAAAACATTTACCTTAGCCACATTAAGACACATAAATAAGAGCTGCCACAATTTTATTCACCAGCAAATAGATTTCTCTCATCAAGAGTCTGGTAATGTAACCCACTGAAGACAGGTCTAACATAATGAAATTTTTAAGGAGCCGTCTTAAGAAAGAACTCCAATTGGCTTCAGTTGTAAACTTCACATCAGATACTACTTAAAATGAAGCCATTAGCCTGCCAACTATCTCATTGTTTCTAAAATTATAACACAGGGTTAAGCTTCAGATAAAACAGGCAGTAAGGAGAGAAGCAATGGCAATGAATGAATCTGAACTCAGTTCTCTGAAGATACGTATGTAAGCCATCGAGATAAAAAGACCATTCTATGGGCTATGAGTGATGGGACTGCCTGAAACCCACATGTCCACAATATTCTATCATACAGATAGACTATATTAACAGATTTAATAATAAAGTATATTAACTGATTTAATAATAAGTTTATTATTGGTCTATCTGTATGATGGAATATTGTGATCAGTAAATAATGTTGGAGAATAATAATATTTAATGGTATGAGAAATTTTTTTTTTCTTTTGAGACAAGGTCTCACTCTATTGCCCAGGGTGGAGTGCAGTGGGCAATCACAGCTTGCTGCAGCCTCAACCATCTGGGTTTAAGCAGTCCTCCCACCTCAGCCTCTGAAGTAGCTGTGACTACAGGCATATACTACCATGCTTGCCTAATTTTTGTATTTTTTGTAGAGATGGGGTTTCACCATGTTGCCTAGGCTGGTCTTGAACTCCTGGGCTCAAGTGATCCGCCCCCTTGGCCTCCCAAGGTGCTGGGACTACAGATATAAGCCACCGCACCCAGGCAAGAAATTGTTCATGAGAACAATCAAATTACAAAAGAGAAGATATGTTATGATTCTGCTATGGTTTGAATGTGTCCCCCAAATTTCATGTGTTGGAAACTTAATTCCCAAATTCATGCGTTGATAGTATTTGAAGGTAAGGCCTTTGGGAATTAATTAGGATTAGATGAGGCCATCAGGGTAGGGCCCCCATGATGAGACCGGTGGCTTTATAAGAAGAGTAAGAGACACCTGAGCTCACACACATGCTCCTGCCCCCTTGCCATGTGATGCCCTCTGCCATGTTATGATGCAGCAAGAAGGGCTTCACCAGATGCCCCTTGACCTAGAACTTACCAGCTTGAAGAACTGTAAGAAATAAATTCCTTTTATTTTTAAATTACTCTTTCTGTGGTATTCTGTTATAGCAATGCAAAACATACTAAGACAATTCCAATTTTTATTTTTATTGAGATGGAGTCTCATTCTGTCACCCAGGCTGGAGTGCAGTGGCATGATGTCGGCTCACTGCAACCTCCACCTCCCAGGTTCAAGTGATTCTCCTGACTCAGCCTCTTGAGTAGCAGGGATTATAGGCATGCACCACCAGGCCTGGCTAATTTTTTGGTATTTTTTAGTAGAGATGGAGTTTCACCGTTGGCCCAGGCTGGTCTCAAACTCCTGACTTCAAGTGATCCTCCCGTCTCAGCCTCCCAAAGTGCTAGGATTACAGGCATGAGCCATGGCACCCGGCCCCAATTTTTAAAAATATATACATAGAAAAAAGATAAGGATATATGCCAATGATCAATTCTGTTTGGTTGTTGAGATTACAGAGATTTTATGTTTTATTTGTGTTTTTTTTTGTGTGTTTTCTACAGAGCTCATGTAATTATTTTATAATCAGAACAATATTATTTATAAAGCATAATAGTCATGATGATGAGAATATTATAATTGTAAGAAATGGCACAGTTCTCAACTAAAAGGGTGGCAATTAGAGCTGAAGATGGAAAGTCAAATTTGAAAGATGCCTAAAAACTAGTGTTATGGGCTGAGTCGTGTGCCTCCAAATTTCAGATGTTGAAGTCCTAACCACTCGTACATCAACATGTGACTGTATTTGGAGACAGGGCATTTAAAGAGGTAGTTAAGATGTAATGAGGTCATGTGGATGGGCCCTAATCCAATATGACTAGTGCTCTTACAGGAAGAGGAAACTAAGGCCAGGCACAGCGGCTCATGCCTGCAATCTCAACCCTGTGGGAAGCTGACATGGGAGAATGACTTGAGGCCAGGAGTTTGAGACCAGCCTGGGCAACATAGGGAGGGATCCCATCTCTACAAAAAATAGAAAAATATTAGCTTAGCATGAGGTCACGCACCTGTAGTCCCAGCTACTTGGGAGGCTGAGGTGGGAGGATTGCTTGAGCCTGGGAGATTGAGGCTGCTGTGAGCTGTGATTATGCCACTGTACTCCAGCCTGGGTGACGGAGTGATCTTGTCTCAAAAAAAAAAAAAGAGGAGGCGAGTAGGACATAGACGACACACAGGCCAAGACGAAGAGGAGGCCATGTGAGGATGCAGCAAGAAGGTGGCCATCTGTAAGCCAAGAGGAAAGGTCTCAGAAGACACCAAACCTGCAGACATGTTGATTTTGGATTTCCAGACTCCAGAACTAGGAGAAGATGATTTTCTGTTGTTTAAACAACTCAGTCTGTGGTATTTTGTTATGGCAGCCTTAGAAAACAAAGACAGCTAGTATTGTCAGGATTTTGATATGGGAAGAGAGGACTCTAAAATGACTTCCAGGTCACCTTTCTCAAGGTAAAGACACTGATTGAGTTCTGGGTAAAGATTGAGTTCTGGGCAGTTTAAGCTTCAGATGCCAATGGAACTGAGCAGAGATGTTGAGTAAGAAGTTGGACGTGTGAGTCTTCAGGAGGGAGAGCTGAGATGGGGTTGGGAGATTGGGAGTTGTTTAGCTTATTAAGTTGTATGGGAAGTCAAGGGTGTGACTGAGAGCAGTCTGAGAGAGGGTGACCTATTTTTGGAAAGAGCACAGTTTGTGTGTCAGACACACTGGCTTTGAATTCTATCTCTACCTCTTTTTAGCTGTGAGACTTTGCACCCATTACTATCCTACTCAGAACCTCAACTTACTGTTTGTGAGACAGAGGGGATAGCAGGGGCCTCACGGGGTCTTAGGAGCTTTAAATGATGTACCACGTTAAGTTCTAGAATGTTCCAGAGTTGGAGTTTACACAAAGTGGCAGCTATTTCTATTTTAGTAAGAACTAGGGCAAGGAGAGAATACTGCTTCTGAAGAGGTGCTCAGAGGAAGGTGAGCATTGAGGGAGACTGAGAAGGAAAAGTCAGAGAGATAGGGGGAGAAATAGGCAAGAGTGTGGGGTAAGGAAGTCAAAATCCAAGAAGGCTTCAAGAAAACAATTGGTCAGCAATGTGATGTGCCGTAGAGAAGTCAAGAAGATGAGCACGGAATCCAGCACAGGAGATGTGGCCGTCAGGAAGTCTAGGGGCAAAGAGACCTCGCCTTGAAGTAAATGAGAGGTAAGGGAGTGGGTTTTAGGCGTAGGCCATTTCTTCAAGAAGTTTAACTCTGTTCTGCCAGGCAGTGGATGGAGTAATAGGACTGGATCTTGCCTGCAAAGAACAGAGATGTGACCACCAGCTATGTATTTTATTATTCAGTAAAACATAGACATGATATTGAAGGGAAAAGGGCACTGAATCCCTCACCTGCCTGCTCATCTTCTGTTTTCTACCCAAAATGGAACTAGAACTGAAATCCTATATAATTCCTTATTTAAATTCAAAATAGAATGGGATATATGATTCATTTCAATTCCTTATTCCATGTGCTTCTCCTTTGAAGACTATGCACCATTTTTTTTAAGTCCCAAGGCTCTCCTTTCTTATTTGAGAAATAGAATAAAGTTATTATGTTATTATTTATGTGTGTCTATGTGATAATAAAACCAACACAGACAAATTGAATTAGAGAGCTGTGTGCTGGTCAACAGTATTCTAAGAGGGAATTCACTAACAACACAGGAAACATTTATTCTTTTGATGCATTTTTGTTTCTCCATCATAATTATTTTTAACTTTTATCTCTACAATATCAGCCTACAGCAGACCCACTATTTTCTTCCATTAAAAACCTACTTTAAAAAAGTGAAAACAGGCTGGGCACGGTGGTTCATGCCTGTAATCCCAGCACTTTGGGAGGCCGAGGCGGGCAGATCACGAGGTCAGGAGATCGAGACCATCCTGGCTAACAAGTCACTACTAAGGTGAAACCCCATCTCTACTAAAAATACAAAAAAACTAGCTGGGCATGGTGGTGGGTGCCTATAGTCCCAGCTACTCGGGTAGCTGAGGCAGGGGAATGGCGTGAACCCAGGAGGCGGAGCTTGCAGTGAGCTGAGATTGTGCCACTGCACTCCAGCCTGGGCAACAGAGCAAGACTCCGTCTCAAAAAAAAAAAAAAAAAAAAAGTGAAAACAGGCTGGGTGCGGTGGTTCACACCTGTAATCCCAGCACTTTAGGAGGCCAGGGTGGGCGGATCACCTGAAGCTGGGAGTTTGAGACCAGCTTGACCAACATGGAGAAACCCTGTCTCTACTAAAAATACAAAATTAGGTGGGTGTGGTGGTGCATGCCTGTAATCCCAGCTACTCGGGAGGCTGGGGCAGGAGAATCACTGGAACCCGGAAGGCAAAGGTTGCAGTGACCCAAGATCATGCCATTGCACTCCAGCCTGGGCAATAAGAGCAAAACTCCGTCTAAAAAAAAAAAAAAAAGTGAAAACAAAACCTATGCATGTCCAGACACAGTGGCTCCTCATGCCTGTAATCCCAGCACTTTGGGAGGTCAAGGTGAGAGGATTGCTTGAGCCCAGGAGTTCGAGACCAGCTTGGGCAACATGGAGGGACCCTGTCTCTACAAAAAAATACAAAAAATTAGCTGATGTGGTGGCGTGTGCCTGTAGTTTCAGCTACTCAGGAGGCTGAGGTGGGAGGATCACTTGAGCCTGGGAAGTTGAGGCTGCAGTGTGCCATGATTGCACCACTGCACTCCAGCCTGGGCAACACAGCAAGACTGTGTCTCCAAAAAAGAAAAAAGGGGAGCTATTTATCCCTTATTGTAAATGTTGTTTATTTTGTTTTTTTTTTTAGAGACAGAGTCTCACTCCATCAACTAAGCTGGAGTGCAGTGGCATGATTGCAGCCCTGAACTCCTGGCATGAGCCACAGTGCTTGGCCATAAATGTAATTTTAATAGAATGGAATGCTCTTATATGGACCACCGATTTGCAGGATTAGCACTGACTCATAAGACTCAAAGGAACTTTGGACTGCCATCTATTGAATTTCATCTATATTAAAAGGTACTTTCCTTTTTTTTTTCATATAAACGTCTCTGAAATGAACATACATTTTATCATCAATGACACAGCATGCTGAAATTGACAGCATTTTCCTTAGTGGTACATAAAATGACGGTGTACGTCACAATAGATGGTGCCTTAGAGATGAGGAAATATGGTAATGCTATGCCTTACTACAAGGCAAGCTATTCTAGAAATACAACTACTTACTGGTGTTGTAAGAGCCTCTAGATAATGGTAGTAAGATGGTCACGTGGCAAACACACAGCCTGGCAACATTTTCCATAGCTTAGCATGAAGACAGGCATCTCGCTATCCACAAACAAGCAGGTCATGGCTTAAGATCAGGTAGAATTCCTCTCCAAGTCCATTCCACCCCTTCCCACCCTAAAAATACCATTGTCTCTCTCTGTCTCTCTATTCTCTCTTTCTCTCTCATACACACACATATACCTGCTCCTTGTGAGCTTCCTCCTTCCTACTACCAGCCTTGCAGAGGTCCTTACTAGCCTTGGGGTTGCTCATTTATCAGCCACTGGTGAGAGTAAAGTGGGAAATCCCCTCTTTTACTTAATATTTGATTTATTTTATTATTCTATTTTATTTTTGAGACAGTATCTCACTCTGTTACCCAGGCTAGAGTGCAGTGGCACGATCATAGCTCACTGCAGCCTCAAATTCCTGGGCTCAAGCGATCTTCTCACCTCAGCCTCCCGAGTAGCTGGGACCTTAAGCACACACCACCATGACTGGCTAGTTTTTTGTTATTGTTGTTAGTGTCGTTGTTGTAGAAATGGGGTCTCCCTATGTTGCCCAGGCTGTCTTTTCTTTTATATTTTTAGAGACAGAGTTTTGCTCTGTTGCCCAGGCTGGTTGTGCAGTGGTGCAATGATAGCTCACCACAGTCTTGAACTCCTGGGCTCAAGCAATCTTCCTGCCTCAGTCTTCCAAGTGGCTGAGACTACAGGTGCCCACCACCACACCCAGCTAATTAAAACAAAATTTTTTTAGAGATGGGGTCTTGCTATGTTCCCCAGGCTGGTCTCAAACTCCTGGGCTCAAGCAATCCTCCTACCTTGGCCTCCCAAAGTGCTAGGATTACAGGCATGAGCCACATTGTCCCGCCTTGATATTTAATTTCTGTTAAAGCTTTACTTAGATTTTGTTAATAATAAAGATCTACCCATTTCCCGAAGCCGCAGGAAGCCCCAAGCTCTACCAAGCATTTTATAGGTGCACTGCTGTTACCTGGGCACCTCCCACAATTCTCCTTCCAGGACTGCAAGCCTGCATGCATTTTCTGTTGCTTCCTGAGAAAGACCTGGGAGCCATGGCTTTAGCCTGAAAGTTCTTGAGTCTTTTTAGGAAGAATCTGAACTGCAAAACACTTGTCCTTTATATTTATAACTGGTCAAAATAACGCTGGAGTTAATGTTACATCTGTTACAGAAAATGAAACCTCCTGAGCTGTCCGGTAATAGAAAGAAGCTGCAGAACCCTGTTGTCTTCATCTTTTGTTTAACTCATGCAACATTTGAAAGCACGTTTGCCTACAAGAAATAAAACTTAAGTTGTGAAATGGCTTATTAATGAACTCAGATGACAAGAAACCAAAACAGCGGGCCTGGCTGAAGGATTCATCCCTAGCCCTGAAAGCCAGCGGGGTCTTTCTGTAACATCAAAGGCACAAACAATTGAACCGACATGGGGACTTATTCTGTCCAGCAGCCCTGGTGGCCTCAGACCATCCGAAGCAAGGGTAACCTACCAGGTATGTGAGTTTTCTTCACCTGAAAGTTGATTTTGCCCGAGAGCTTATAAATCGCAGTTCCCATCTTCGAGCCCGGCCCTGCTGTGCAGCAGAGTACAGAGAGACAGCTGATGGTAACAGGCTGAGCCGGCCAGGCCTGGCTGACCTGCGTGACTCAGAGCCCACCAGGGAGCAGGCCCTCGGCCTCTCTTCACTCCCTGGCTTCATGTATTTTTCCAAGTGGTCACCAGCATGCTCAGCAGCTCTGCTCACAGGGACCGTCAAGTGTTCACACCTGTGTCTGTAAGTCAAATTAGAAGAGGCTGAGGGAGCGTCTCTGAGACGGCAGTGTTGATTGGAGGTGCCTGTGGAGGTGGTTAAGGCCTCTGGACCCAGACACTTTAGGTGAGCTGTGTGACCTTTGGCAATGTATTTAACCTCTCTGTGCTTCCATTTCTTCTCTAAAATGAGGAAAATAATAGTTCCCATCTCACTGAGTTTGCTGATGCTGTTGTTTTTGAGATAGGGTCTCCCTCTGTTGCCCAGGCTGGAGTAGAGTGGCATGACTCGGCTCACTGCAATCTTGATCTCCTAGCTAAAGCACTCCTCCTACCTCAGCCTCCCAAGTAGCTGGGAACATAGGCAAGTGTCGCCACGCCTGCCTAATTTAAAAAAAAAATTTTTTTTTTTTTGGTAGAAATCGGGTCTCCCTATGTTGCCCAGGCTGGTCTTGAACCCCTGGACTTAAGCAGTCCTCCCACCTCGGCCTCCCATAGTGCTGGAATTACAGACATAAGCCACCACATCTAGCCCTCACTGAGTTGCGATAAGTATGAAAAGTGCTTAGAATGTTACTCAGCACCATAGTAAGTGCTCTGAAAGGGTGAGCCATTGAAAGAATCTCTCGATGTTTCTTGTTCAGAAAATTTGCATTTATGAGCAGGACTGCTGATTGATTAGGGTACTGCTTTCTAAATATTTCCAAGAATACTAGGAAACTCCACTTCACATGATAGGTTAGATCACAATTCCCAGTGTTTGGAGGGAAAGGCCCACTATAATAATAGTCAAGAATTAAGAGGAGAGGAGAGGCTGCTCAGCAGCATTCTTCAACCAGGCCTGTAAATAGGGCTGTTTTCTATTTGAACTCGCAGTCGGCAATCCATCCTGAGAGGGGGCAGAGCTGCTCAGTGTTGCCGTTGACTTGTGCTCAAGCTCTTTCGAAGCGCTCTCTCCCAAATGGCTGCCTTTTTAATGGTTAGAAATCTGCGGGTAGCTGTCCTTTTCTCTCCCTGATCTCCCACTTCTGTTGACTATGAGGCATTTTTACCCCTTGGTGAAACCCTCTAAGGAAGATTGCATTACTTTACTTTTCTGGTGTCCTGAGGCAGAGGAGAGTTGATTTCACCAAAGCCAGATCACGTAGAGGGGAGGCCATCAGGATTGGGTGCAAACCCTTCAGCAGCCCCAAAATAGCATTTCTTATTTCTCAGCTGGCTCTGTCACTTACCAGCCCTGTGATCTGGGTTCTCACTTTTCACATCTCTAAAACAAAGGGGCGTTCCTAGAAGACCTCTAAGGTCCCTGTAAATTCTCTGCTTTCTTTTGAGGTTCTGAAATGGGTGTTTACACACCCGAGGGAAGGAGGGAGGCCGTGGAATCACACAAAGCTACAGGCTAAACATAGCTCATCTTTCTAGAAAGGCAACATTATTTTTTATATTAAAACAAAACTGGGAGTTATTATGGAATACAATTCAAAGTTCCCAAGATTTTTAAAGAAAAAAGTGAGGTTAAAAAAATGTTCATTTTGGAAAAAATAGTGGTGATGGTTGCACAACACTGTGATTAACATTAATGCCACTGAATTGTAAAATTAAGAGTGGCTAACATGGCAAATTTTATGTTATATATATTTTTGCCATAATAAAAAAATTAAAAAGCAATGTTCAGGTAGACTAGAGAGTTCAGAAATAAACTCACACATACTTGGTCAACTGATTTTCAATAAAGGTAAAAAGGTACTTCAGTGGAAAAAGGACAATCCCCTGAAAAATGGTGCTGGGACAATTAGATATTCATATCTTTTTTGCATATTATTTAATCAACTTTGATCCATACCTTGCACCATACATAAGAATTAATTCAAAGTAGATCGTAAGGCTAAATGTAAAACCTAAAGCTATACAATTTCTAGAAGAAAACATAGGAGGGAATCATTGTGACTTTGGGTTAGGGAAAGATTTTCCAGGTAAGATGACAAAAGCACAATTCATAGAAGAAAAAATTGATAAGCTTGACTTCATCAAAATTAGGAACTACTCGTCAAAAGATACAATTAAGAGAAGGAAAAGACGAGAGACTGAAAGTAAATATTTGCAAATCACATGTCTGATATAGGAATATATAAAGAATCTAAAAACTTAATTAGAAACCAAGTAACCTACTTAACAAATGGGCAAAATACATAAACAGACTTCACAAAAAAAGACATACAGATGGCAAACAAGTACATGAAAAGATGCTCAATATTATTAGTCACTAGAGAAATGCAAATTCAAACCACAGTGAGATGCTACCACACACCTATTGGAATGGCTGAAATGAAGATGTGACAATACCACATTTTGGTGAGGATGTGGAGCAACTGGAACTTTTTCTTACAGGCTGCGGGTGAGAATGTAAAGTGATACAACTACTTTGGAAAAACGGTTTGTTAAAAAGTTAAATATACATCTACCATATGACACAGCCATTCTACTCCTACATATTTAACCAAGAGAATGGAAAGCATATGCCCATACAAAGACTTGTACACAAATATTTATAGTAGCTTTATTTTCAATAACCTAAAAGTGGAAACAACTCAAATGTCCATCAACAGGAAAATAGATAAATTGTTGTGCAATGGGCCAGGCACGGTGGCTCACATATGTAATCCCAGCACTTTGGGAGGCTGAGGCGGGTGGATTGCTTGAGCCCAGGAGTTCAAGACCAGCCTAGGCAGCATGGTGAGACCATGTCTCTATGGAAAAAAAAAAAAATTGTTGTGCACTGGAATACTATTCAGCAATTAAAAATGAATTATTGATGCACATGCAATATGGATAATTATACTGAGTGAAAGAAGCCAGACAAAAAAGAATATATATTATATCATTCCATTTATATAATGCCCCAAAAGATGCAAACTAATCTATAATGACAGAAAGCAGATCAGAGGTTACTTAGAGGTGAGAGGGATGGAGGAGTGAACAAGAAGGATTACAAAGGGACCTGGGGACACTTTTGGAGTGATGGATTTGTTCATTATCTTCATGTGATGACTTCCGGGGTTACAAAGTCAAGCTCTTCTGAGATGGGAGTAGGTTGGTAGAAAAGTTTGCAGGGTCTCAGTTAGCAGAATAAAAGCATAGTACTAGCAAGAAAATCTCTCACCAAGCTCGATTGTCACAAAATATGATGACTGAGTCCTCTGAAACCTCTCTCTTCTGTTTGTCATAGTAATACTTTGGGTGAACAACATGTTGGTTAAGTTTCTCTGTATTTTTCCAAAAATATTTTCCAAATCATATTGCCTATTTTATTGATGAGAGTATTTTGATTGTAAGTAATAAGAAATCTATCTCAATAGATAGGCCAATAAGGGAATTTATTGGCTCACATACTGATAAGTATAGTGATAGACTACATTCAGGTATGGCTGGGTCCAGGAACTCAAACAAGTTCATCGATTCTTGATCTATTTACATCTTTCTGCTCTCCTTTCCTCTTGACGGCACCATTGCCAGGAAAGTCTTCTCTCATGGTTGCAGGATGGCTCTCAGCAGCTCTAGGCCCACAGCTAGAAGACAGAGTGCTTACTTTCCTAAGAGTCCAGGATTGGCTCTGATTGAATGGACTTACAGCAAATGTCTATGTCTAGGTGTTAGAAAATGCTGATTGGTCAGGCTTGGGTATGTGTCCACTCATGGATCAGCTGCAAGTAAGGCATAAATGTCTCTCCAAGGAAAATCAGATATCTACTACATCTTCAATATTAAACCCTTAAAAAACAGTAATAATTAGCTTAATGTGGTGCTCAGTTTTACTTCCTGAAGACTTGACTTTTGGAAAGTAATTGCATTTATATTAAAGATACTTAGAATTGTGGACTCACATGATTAGAAAAGACATTTAAGGTCTAAGTATTCTGTTTAACAAGTTTCATATCTCCTAATACATTGAAGCTGTGGTTAAAAGCTACTTGCATTTCATGGCATATGATCATTCAATCTAGGGAAGTGCACCATGAAGTAAAAATAAAAGCTACCTCTGTTGTATTAAGCATTTTCTCTAGTTAGTACTTAATTTTTTCAGCAACCTGTGAGGATGTTACAGATGAGGGAACTGAGGTTCCGAAAGGCTGAGTAACCTGCCCAAGGTCAAGTTTGCGAGTGGTGAGGAGGGTTAGAACCCAGGCCCATCTGACGCTAAAGCTTGTGCTCCCAGCTGCTGTCATCCTTGGCAGACTCCTGTCTCCAGCATCATCAGTCACTGCGAGTCACAGCTGCGGGGGGCCTGGCATGTGGCAGTGCTAGGGCTGGGCCTCTTCAGCGTCACCTGCCCTGTGCACCGTTATCCAGCACCCACCCTGGGGCTGGAAGGGGTGAAATGAGGTGAACCTATGCTTTCAACGTCCTCTTCTGCTTAATGCTAAAGGGAGGTTTCCTTTGTAGCCTATTTAATACATAAGGTTTCTTTCAGTTTCCTAATGTCAGGCTAACAAAAGGATGTTCCTTTTTCAGTACTTTCCAATGTGCCTTTGAAGACCGCTGTAAAACCAGCAGGTTGATGTGGAATAAAGAGCCCTGGCCTAGTTAGAAAGAAATCTGAATTCCTGTATTTCTGGCTTTTCCAGCAACTCCCTGCATGACCTTTGAAAATCCACTTAACCACTCTAAGCGTCAGTTGCCGGAACTGAAGTTGGATGAGATCAATGTTTCCTGACAGTGGTTGACATACTCTGGTGGTACCTAAAATCAACATTTTGAAATTTTAGTAGTTATGTATCGATTTCTTTTTTAAAATTCTTTTTTGAGACAGGGTCTTGTGTTCTGTCTCCCAGGCTGGTATGCAGTGGTGGGATCATGGCTCACTGCAGTCTCCACCTCCTGGGCTCAAGTGATCCTCTCACTTCAGCTTCCCAAGTAGCTGGGACTACAGGTGTGCACCACCATGCCCCACTAATTTTTTTTAACATTTTGTGTGTGTGTGTTTAGAGACAAGATCTCACTATGCTGCCTAGAGTGGTCTCAAACTCCTGGATGCGAGTGGTTCTCCTGCCTTGGCCTCCCAATTTGCTGGGATTACAGGCGTGAGCCACCACACCTGGCCTGTATCAATTTTTTAAAATTTAAATTTATTTATTTATTTTTTGAGACAGAGTGTCGCTTTGTCACCCAGGCTGGAGTGCAGTGGCTTGATCTCAGCTCATTGTAACCTCTGCCTCCCAGGTTCAAGCAATACTTGTGCCTCAGCCTCCCAAGTAGCTGGGATTACAGCCATGTGCCACCATGCTCAGCTAATATTTGTATTTTTAGCATAGATGGGATTTCACCATGTTGGCCAGGCTGGTCTCAAACTCCTGGCTTCAAGTGATCTGCCCACCTTGGCCTCCCAAAATGCTGGGATTACA
This sequence comes from Homo sapiens, assembly GCF_000001405.40. Classification (NCBI taxonomy): domain Eukaryota; kingdom Metazoa; phylum Chordata; class Mammalia; order Primates; family Hominidae; genus Homo; species Homo sapiens. The sequence goes on along the minus strand of NC_000012.12, from coordinate 64,527,675 downwards.
GGCATGAGCCACCACACCCAGTTGCTGGTATCAATTTTAATGTTTTAAAAATGTAATCGTATATCAAATAATTCCCCAGGCATCACTTTTTAGGATGATGCTAAAAAAGGGGGTAAGGTACTTAGTAAAAATACTAGTAGGGAGTTATGCATGTATGGCAAAAATTGTGAAGATAGCCTGTGAATGACATTTGGGAAACACTGGATTGGGCAGGAAATGAGAGCTATCATTTATTGTGCACTTACTGTGTGCCATATTAGTGTACTTTATATGCATTAATTTATTTAATTCTTAAAACATCCCCAAGGAATAGGTACTGTCGTTATCTTCTGTTTTTTATGGAAGAGGACACTGGGGTACTGAAGGGTTAAGCTGCTTTCTTACAGTCATCTGCCAACACATGGCAGGACCAGGTTCTAACCTCAAGCCCTGTTCTTAGTCCGGTTCTCTGCTGGAGACCTTGATTGATTGTGAAGGACTCACTGGGACTCAATGATAGGATTCTGCAATTCAGCAGTTCTCAGAGGAGGACAGCATGAGCTTCAGCTGGGTAACTTGTTAAACTGCAGGTTCACTGAATCCCCACGTTCATTGCACCACCATTCACAGTAGCCAAGATAATCAACTTAGCTGTCCATGGACAGATGAATTAATCAAGAACATGTGGTATATGTACATGGTGGAACACTATTCAGCCTTTTAAAAAAAGGATTCTGCCATTTGTGATTGTGTAGATAAATGTGGAGAAGTTCAGTGCAATAAGCCAGGCACAGAAAGACAATTACCACATGTTCTCACTTCTATGTGGAATTTAACAAAGTTGAACTCAGGGCCAGGTGCAGTGGCTCACGCCTGTAATCCTAGCACTTTGGGAGGCTAAGGCAAGAGGATCACTTGAGGCCAGGAGTTCAAGACCAGCCTGTGCAACATAGTGAGACTCTGTCTCTACGAAAAGTTTTAAAAAGTTATCCAAGCAACGTGGCATGTGCCTATAGTCCCAGTTACTCAGTAGGCTGAGGTGGGAGAATTGCTTGAGCCCAGGAGTTTGAGGCTGCAGTGAGCTATGATCACACCACTACACTACAGCTTGGGCGACAAAGCAAGACCCTGTCTTTAAAAAATTTAAAAAAAAAACAACTCATTTTTTAAAAAGTTTTGTACTCACAGAGGTAGAAAGTAGAATAGTGGTTACCAAAGGCTGGGGGTTGGGAGGGGTTAGGGGAGATATTGGTCAAAGGACACAAAATTTCACCTAGACAGAAGGAATAAGTTTGAGAGCTCTATTGTACAACATAGTGACTATAGTTAGTAACAATGTATCCTATACTTGAAAATTGCCAAGTAGATTTTAAGTGTTCTCACCACAAAAAAATAAGTATATGAGACAATGCATATATTAATGAGGTTGATTTAACCATTCCGCAATAAGTACATATTTCAAAACATCATGCTGTATACCATAAATACATATGTATATAAGTTTTATCTGTCAATTAAAAATAAGAAGTAAATAAAAATGTAGATACATAGTCCCTTCTCCAGAAATCCTGGCCCTTACATTGTCCGAGTGTGGGAAAGCAGTATGAATAATCACCCCAGATAGTTCTGAGGTGGGTGGACCTGCAGTCTCATAGTGAGAAATGAAGGCAATTCTAGGAATCGTTAGAATAATGAGTTCTATTTGGGAGATGAGCTCACTACAGACATCTCTCCCTGTTCACCTGGCTTGTCACTCCCACTTGAGACTCTTTGCAGCCTTTGGGACGGAGGTAACGTGCTGATGATGTGCCTCTTTCAATACTGTCTTTCACACGCATCACAGTAGCAGCGAGGAATCAAATGGCCTTTATTCTCGTCTATTCTGACAGTAGATCTATATGCTTCTGATCACACTACAGTAATATAAGAAACTCCAAAGCAGAGAGCAAAAAAAAAAGTAGACTTTGAAAATGAAATGTTGAAGCAAACAAATTCTGGGTCTGCAGGAATTTCGCCCACGCTCACCACTGCCACCTGCCAGCCCATTTTCCCATTCCGCAGCCAAGGCTCATTATGATCTTAAGTAGGCCAATGAGATGGAACTGAAAAAGGCTGAAAATGAAGTGGGAGAATGCGTATGACTGTTCATATGAGACAATGAGGAGAAGAGCTGCCTGACCCAGGCATGGCTTTGCCAGTCAGGCCTGCTAAAAGGAGATGGGGGGAAAACAAAAGGAAAAATAAGTGAGGATGCTTTCATAGCATCTAAAAAGAAGGAAGCAGTCTTCTAGTTATAGTCCCCCTCAGACCCACAATCTTGAAACCAGATTTTAAGACATACACAAATATCTGCAATTCAGAGTAGAAAATGGCAATGAGCATCACAAAAGTAGTTCAAATATTTTCTTTTTTTATTTTTCTTGACACGGAGTCTCACTCTATCGCCCAGATGGAGTACAATGGTGCAATCTTGGCTCACTGCAACCGCGGCTTTCCAGGTTCAAGTGATTCTCCTGCCTCAGCCTCCCGAGTAGCTGGGGTGACAGGCACACGCCACCACGCCTGGCTAATTTTTGTATTTGTAGTAGAGATGGGGTTTCACCATGTTGGCTATGCTGGTCTCAAACTCCTGACCTCGGGTGATCCACCTGCCTCGGCCTCCCAAAGTGCTGGGAGTACAGGTGTGAGCCACTGTGTCCGGCCACTACAAATATTTTCAAAGAGCTGTAGAGCAAGTTTGATGAGCAAATGAAAGAAAATATTTTCACAACTCTAAGACCTGATGCCTAACAACTGAATAAAGAGGATGAAGCTGGAACATGAACTCTTCAGCTTGCCATAGTTCTCACCATTTCTGATTTTTCTTTTACTCAACTCCTTTTATTCATAAGGACAAGCATAAGAGTTTGCAGTCCTTGGTTCCAAGCATGATATAATAATGCTAATAATGCAGTTGCTGCAGAGGATGTGATGAGACTGGCCATGTGGGCCAGACTGGCATGGGCCTTGAATCTATGCAAAGGAGTTTGCACATTAAAAGTCAGTGGTTCTCAACTGGAAGGTGGGCCCCCTTTTTTTAGATCTGGGCACCTTGACATCACTGAGTATAATAAGAGGTCTTCTTCTGGGGGTGTGTTGTACGTGAGAATGTTGTGGAGGTAGAACAACAGCTGAGAGTCAAAGCTGTAGGCAGTAGGGAGCCACAAAACAGTGTGACTTGGGAATGACGTGAGCACACTTGAACTTTAGAAACACCACTCTGGGGAAGCTTGGAGGACAGAGGGAAGAGGGATGATTAAGAGCAAGTACAGGCTGGGCGCGGTGGCTCATGCCTATAATCGTAGCACTTTGGGAGGCCAAGACGGGTGGATCACTTGAGGTCAGGAGTTCGAGATCAGCCTGGCCAACATGGTGAAATCCTGATTCTACAAAAATAAATAAATAAATAAATAAATAAATAAATAAATAAATAAATAAAATTGCCGGGCATGGTGGCACACCCCTGTAGTCCCAGCTACTTGGGAGGCTGAGGCAAAAGAATCACTTGAACCCAGGAAGAGGAGGCTGCAGTGAGCCGAGATTGTGCCACTGCACTCCAGCCTGGGCAACAGAGCAAGACTCTTTCTCAAAAAAAAAAAAAAAAAGAGCAAGTACAGCTAGCAAGTGGTGATGGCAGTCTGGGTGGGATTTGGGAGCCTTCTCTCTACCACCAGCTTCCCCATTCCTCTCTGAATTAGTCACCCCGATGAGCTCAGGAACTGGGCTGTGGGGCAGGAGATCAAACTGAGGTGATGAAGTCCTCTTTATTGAAAACATTTGTCCCTTGGCGGGTGCAGTGGCATGTTCTTGTAATCCCAGCTACTCGGGAAGCTGAGGTGGGAGGATTGCTTGAGCCCAGAAATGTGAGGCCGCAAGGCACTGTGATCACACCTGTGAATAGCCACTGCACCCCAGCCTGGGCAACATAGCAAGACTCTGTCTCAAAAAAAAAAAAATTAAATTGAAAACATTTGTTCCTCTTGCATTTTTTTGCCCTTTTCCTCCAGTTACAGGAGGAGGAAGGGTAGGACAAAGGGTTTAAAGAGTCCTGGTTTCTGGTCTTAGTCTGCAAACAACTCTGGATCATATGCAAATTCGGGAGCTGGTCTTCACAGAGAGCTCCCACTGAAGGCTGCTTGACCTGAGGGGGTCAGGAGGGAGCTTTTTGGAACCTCAGGTGACATCTTTATCCACAAAGCAATGTCTGTACAAAGAAGCTTATTTTTTCTTTTTTATTTTATTTTATCTTTTTGAGACAGAGTCTTACTCTGTCGCCCAGGCTGGAGTGCAGTGGCGTGATCTTGGCTCACTGCAACCTCTACCTCCCGGGTTCAAGAGATTCTCCTGTCTCAGCCTCCCAAGTAGGTGGGATTACAGGTGCCCAACACCATGCCCGGCTATTTTTTGTATTTTTCATAGAGATGGGGTTTCGCCATGTTGGCCAGGCTGGTCTTGAACTCCTGACCTCAGGTGATCTGCCTGCCTCAGTCTCCCAAAGTGCTGGGATTACAGGCTTGAGCCACCGTGCCTGGCCAGAAGCTTATTTTTTTGAGCAAATCAACAGAGAAAGCATTCCAGAAAAAGAACAGGGCAGCAGTTTTAAAAAATATGGGCATCTTCTTTTGCGCTGGCATGAGTCAGCACTCTTCCCCACCCCTCCGGCCCTGTGCCTGATGACTTGGGCTTGGGGGATGTAGTTGGTGGAAAAGCAACACTCTTTTTCTGGATTTCCAAAGGGTCCCAGCAGCCCGGAGGAGTGGGAGAGGAATGGAAATGAAGATACACTTTTCCCCACCTTTCCCCCAGGAGCCTATTAGTTCTACATTTGTTTTGTTGCATCTTAAACTCCTACTGGGACAGAGAAATTTCTGTCCTCCCAGCCTCTTTAGCTGAAACCAAGTAGCTGAATGGCTATGACAATAGCCAAAAGGATAATTTAGGTGGGTGAAACTTCCAGTTTTTTTTATTTCTTGCGTTGAGACTCCTGGCACACAAGTTTCATAGTCCTTATATGAATCAACTCTCAATCCTCTTAGTAAAAAAATCTAAGGCGGCAGATCATTCAGACAATCTGGTAGCTGCAATCCTAAAATGGCTTTTGACAAGAGACTTGGTAGGTGCTAGTGTTTATGTGTGGGTAACATTCGTGGTCTTTTGTGAACGTGCTGGGCTGAGTGGGAGGAGGAGGGAGGATAGGACAAAGGGTTAAACGTTTTTAACCACATATTTCATCATCAGCATTGGGCATGCCCTAACATGCTAAAGGACAGTGAAAAGGGGTCCCTGCTGATTTCTCCCCACATCCCCCCAGCAGGAGCTGGGAGGAAAATAATAGATTTGACAGCTGGAGAACAGAAGTTCTGTTGCAATTTCTGTTTTTTATTTTATATGCCCTCAAAAAAAAAGAAAGCAATGAATAGTTTTGAGCCCGGAGAATATCCACCCTGTAACATAGACTTTTTGATATTTTCAAAGATGTTCATTCTTCTTTGACTGAGCTTCCCAGATCTGTCTGGAAAACCATGTCATAGAAAACAGTTCATTTCCAAAAGCATCTGCTTTCATGCTTCATGGTGTTCCAAAAAAGTTTACCGTGCCTAAAGAACTTCAAGTGTGAAACTCAAAATTTGAAGCTTCACAAGATGAGCGTTGTATAATTTCACAGACTCCCTTCTCCAATTGAGATGAATCAACCAAGCCAGCAGAAGGGCTGTGTTCCCAGCATTTGGGAGAAGGGACCCCAGAGGGTTCTGAAGGTGGGAGGAGAGCTCAGACTCAGGCATTGCTGAAACTAAAATTTACTTCTTCTGCCTATGCCTCTTTAAAGCTGTGTGACCTGGGCAAATTATTTACCCTCTTTGAGCTCCTGAAACCTCTCCTTTGGTCAAAATAAAGAGGGGTGGGGAGTAATAATACAATGTTTCAGTGTAGAATACAGACATAGAGCAGCCATCCAATAAATGGCACTGACGGGCATGATGGAGCTTTGGAAAACAGCGACATAGACGCATGGAAGAAGGGCAACATTACCAACAATCCTGATACCTGTGGAAATGATTCTTTCTTCCTTGTGCATAGGTGATACAATCCACGTGTCATTTTCAGCGTCAGATTATCCAGTGAGGACTTTCGAAATTAAAAGACAGACTTCTCTGACTTTAGTTTTGGCCCAGGGAGATTTACCTACTTTTAGAGTTGATGTCTTCTTGGTGTCTTTGACACCAAGGACATACTCATGAAAGGATGTGGTCCAGAGCAGGAGGGGATGAAAGAACAGAAACTCTGACATTGGGATCTTAATCTCAGCCTCACAAGAGGAACTTTGGGCCTCTTTCTCCTGCCACTGCCCAAGGAGTGGGGATGGATTTCTCCATCAAGGGATATCACCTACCTGTCCACTTTAGGAGCACACCTGCTACAGGGGCACAACTGGACATCACTACAGGGAAGGGCTGAGGAGGGTAGTCCCAAACATCAGAGGCATTGCTTGGGTGGGTCAGCTGGGGGAGCGGCACTGGGCCCAGGTCTGGGTGAGGTGGGGTCACAAGTCTCTGCACCCTTTCAGACCACAACAGGGAGCTTGTGCACTAGTTGAGGTACCCCAGTCTCCACATCCTTCTACAGATGACCCGACAACCATTTCCAGCTCAGTGCCGTAAATGTGGCTTAGTCCATTCACCTTCTCTCTCTGTAGATCTCTTTCATCAGAAGGCTACATCTGGAGCCCTTCGGGATGCTGTTTAGCCACTTGACATCACTTTCAGTTACTCTAAAGAAAGGTCATCTCTAGCTCCTTTGGGGTCCTAGATGTTTAAAGTCCATCTATTTTAAGACTTTAATGTAGACTCCCCAGGGGCTGTACCAACACCTCTAATTTCAATCGGTCATCTTGGTTTTTTGGTCCTTCTCTTTTTTTTCCAATGTCCTTCTTTCCATTATGACCGCAATACTTTTTTTTAGCTAGCAAGAATAGTAACAGAAATCCAAAGAACTGAAACACTAAATTCATATTTAATACATATTTCTAGGTTTCCAGTCTGGGAACCTACAACATATATGTGCATATATATATATATATATATATATATATATATATATATATGTGTGTATGTGTGTATCTGTGTGTGTATACACACACATATGCACGCACACTCACACACACAAATATGTATATATTTGCTTTAAAGAATCAGAAATTAGCCGGCGCGGTGGCTCACGCCTGTAATCCCAGCACTTTGGGAGGCCGAGGCGGGCGGATCATGAGGTCAGGAGTTTGAGACCAGCCTGGCCAACATAATAAAACCCCATCTCTACTAAAAATACAAAAATTAGCCGGGCATGGCGGCATGTGCCTGTAGTCCCAGCTACTTGGGAGGCAGAAGAATCGCTTGAACCCAAGAGGTGAAAGTTGGAGTGAGCTGAGATTGCACCACTGCACTCCAGCCTGGGCAACAGAGCGAGACTCCATCTCAAAAAAAAAAAAAAAAAGTCAGAAATGAGCAGATGTCTTGAATGCATCATTATGGCTAGATTTAGAGGCTACCATCTACTGAGTACTTATTGTGTGCCAGGTTTCAATATAAATGCATGATCTCTATCAACCCACTTAATCTTCATGGAGGAAGCCTGCAACAGTAGTACTATTATTATCCCCATTTGACAGACAGGGTGAGGAACTTGATCAAAGTCACGTACACAGAAGGCAGGGGGAGGGACTGGGATTATGGACCTAGGGAGTTTTGTTCTAGAGCCTATACTTTTAGCCACAATGCTACTCTGCCTCTTAAATCTCTTCAGAGCTTATATATATAAATACATACACATATATACACGCACACACATATATGCGCTTATAAACACATATATACGTGTTTATATACATAAACACTTTATTGAGATATGATTGCTTAGGTAATTAATCTTTTAAGCATAGTCATAAAAAAAATAGGGAGTAGAAGGAAGTTTCCCCATTTTTCCCTGTCCCAACTTCAGGTTGGGACAAGTGAATGTATGTATATATATATATTCACTTAGATTCATTTCCTTAAGGTAGAGTTTACATACAATAAAATGCACAGATTTCCAGTTGGGTCAATTTTGATGCACAGGTAAATCACATCCCAATAAAATGTAAAGTAACGACATATCGACCCTCATGATGGCCCTTCCCAGTCTGTCCTCCTCTCCTCTGTCCAGGCAACCTCTGATCTGATTTCTATCATCCTAAAAGTGTATATATATATATACGTATTTGAGACGGCCTTGCTCTGTCACCCAGGCTGGAGTGCAGTGGCACGATCTTGGCTCACTGCAACCACCACTCACCGTGCTCAAGAGATTCTTGTGCCTCAGTCTCCCAAGTAGCAAGTAGCTGGGACCACAGGTGTGCACCACCGTGCCCAGCTAACTTTTCTATTTTTAGTAGAGATGGGGTCTCTCCACGTAGCCCAGGCTGGTCTTGAACTACTGGACTCAAGCTATCCTCCCGCCTCAGCCTCCCAAAGTGCTAGGATTAGAGGTATGAGCCACCACACCAGTCCAGAGCTAATATATGTTTGACAATAATACGAGGGAGGTGGGAGAAAGGACTTCAAATCATATACCCATGCATGATCAATCATGTGACTTCTTGGGGTTTTGAGCTCTAGTCATAGAATAAAAGTAATGAACCTGCCAGTATTTCCCAAAATGTGTTCCCTGTTGATTATATGTTTGGTAATAAAGGTATCCCCATCACACTGTTGTGTCTGTTATCTTTCAGGGTCCTCTCCCTTTGGACCATATCTCTCTTTGAATATCTCTCTTTGAATTTAGGAGGTATGCAAATGAGACAGAGATAACAAGAGCAGGTAGATATGCTGAGGCCAAAATTACATTCGAATAAGTCTGGAAACAATGGTTCAACAAAGTTAAACATTTTTTTGTAACTGCAGAACAAAATAAGTGTGCTAATTTATGTTGGGTGTCTCCGAGGAGGAAATCAAGTATACAATGCTTCTCAGACTCATCTGGCCGCAAGATCCTTTATGATGGTAATATGGCTTGCATGTTTGTCCCCTTCAAATCTCACATTGAAATGTAATCCCCAATGTGGGGATGGATCCCTCATGCATGGCTTGGTGCCATCCTTGCGGTAATAAGTGAGTTCTCACTCTTCATGTGAGATCTGGTTGTTTAAAAGAGTTTGGAACTTCCTTCTGTCTTTCTTGCTCCCTCTTGCCGTGTGATACACTGTCTTCTTCTTTGCCTTCCACCATGACTGGAAGCTTCCTGGCCTTCACAGGAGCAGATGTCAGCACCATGCTTCCTATACAGTCTGCAGAACCATGGGCCAATATAGCTCTTTTTTCTTTAAAAATCACCCAGCCTCAGGTATTTTCTTTATAGCAATGCAAAAAATGGACTAACAGATGGAGTATATGAAAGAGCAGTGAGCGTTCTGCCAACCATAGAATGTGATGAATTGAAATTCATCCTGCAAAAGATTTTGCTTCTTTGTTTTTTGTTCTCATTAACTATGAATGATTAATTTTTTATCTTTTTAATTATTTTTTATTTTAAAAACACTTCTTTATTGAGTTACGATTGCCTAGATAGTCTTTTAAGTATAGTCATAAAAATAACAGAGAGTAAAAGGAAGTTTCCCCATTTTTCCCTGTCCCAACTTCAACCCCACTTCCCAGAGTAACCAATGTCTAGAAGTCTGATGTAAACTTTATAGCTATATAAAGTGAGTGTGCAGCTGGATGCGGTGGCTCATGCCTGTAATCCCAGCACTTTGGGGGCCAAAGTAGGAGGATCACTTGAGCCCAGGAGTTCAAGACCAGCCTGGGCAACATAGTGAGACCCCATCTCTACAAAAAGTACAAAAATTAGCTGGGCATGCTGGTGTGTGCCTGTAGTCCTAGCTACTAGGGAGGCTGAGGTGGGAGGATCGCTTGAGCCCAGGAGGTTGAGGCTGCAGTGGGCCATGATTGTGCTACTGTACCCCAGCCCGGGTGACAGAACAAGACCCTGTGTCAAAAAAAAAAAAAAAGTGTGTGTGTATATATGTATGTACAGTATACCTACTTTTCTGTGTGGAAGTGGCATCATACTTACATCTTGCCCTGCAACCTGTTCTCTCTCTTATCCTTCCATAGCCATACATTAGTAACTCCAGGTCTATTTCATTCTTTTTAGCAGCTTTGTAATATATTTTGATATCTGGTAGGGTTAATATCTTCTTTCATATTCTTCCATGTTTATTCTTCCAGATGAAATTTAGAACATTTTATTTTGTTTCCCCCAAAATATTTTTTGAATTTTAATTGTGACCACATCAAGATTATAGCTTAGTGGGGGGGGGGAGGAATTAATATCAATACAATATTGAATCCTTTCATTAAGAACAAAGGATACCTTTCTATGTAAATCATATTTTATGTTCCTAAGATGAATTTTTAAGTATTTCTCTGATAGGCCTTATACATGTCTTGTTAGGTTTATTTTTTAAGTATTTTGTTACTTCACTGATATTACAAGTTTGTTTTTTTGTTATTCTTGGTTATTATTTTTATAAAGAAAAACTATTAGTTATGGTATACTAGTTTTACAAATAGATACCTTATAGGATTCCTTCTTTTCTTTCTCTTTCTTTTTTTTTTTTTTTTTTTTTTTGAGACAGATTTTCACTTTCTCACCCAGGCTGGAGTGCAATGGTGCGATTTAGACTCACTGCAACCTCTGCCTCCCAGGTTCAATTGATTCTCCTGCCTCCGCCTGCGGAGTAGCTGGGATTACAGGCATGCGCCACCACGCCCTGCTAATTTTGTCTTTTAAGTAGAGATGGGGTTTCACCATGTTGGTCAGGCTGGTCTCTCACTCCTGACCTCAGATGATCCACCCGCCTCGGCCTCCCAAAGTGCTAGGATTGCAGGTGTGAGCCACTGCACCCGGCCAGGATTTCTTATTTTCAGTTAATTAATTTTTTTTAGTTTTCCTGATATATAATCATGTTGGGAGTAAATAATGCCAGTGGTATCTTTTTTTTTTTTTTTGAGACGGAGTCTCGCTCTGTCGCCCAGGCTGGAGTGCAGTGGCGGGATCTCGGCTCACTGCAAGCTCCGCCTCCCGGGTTCACGCCATTCTCCTGCCTCAGCCTCCCAAGTAGCTGGGACTACAGGCGCCCGCCACTACGCCCGGCTAATTTTTTGTATTTTTAGTAGAGACGGGGTTTCACCGTTCTAGTCGGGATGGTCTCGATCTCCTGACCTCGTGATCCGCCCGCCTCGGCCTCCCAAAGTGCTGGGATTACAGGCGTGAGCCACCGCGCCCGGCCGGTATCTTTTCCTTTCCAAAAATTTTCAGTCACATTATATCCCACTGGGTTTTTGCATCTTATGGTATATTTAGAACAATATTACCTATTAGTGGTAATAGTGGAAATTCTTGCTTATTCCTGACTTTAATGGCAATATATCAGACATTGATGTTGGGTTTTAGTTTGTAGGATGTATAAAAATCATGTCAAGAAAATCTATTTCCATTCATTTCTATTTACTAAGATTAAAAAATACTCAGAAATATATGGTGAATTTTATTATATGCCTTTACAACATATATTGAAAATACCATACAACATATATTGAAAATATCATAAAATATTTTCCAGTTTTTAAATCCATTGATATGGTGAATTACATTAATAGCTTCTTAATACTGAACCATATATGCACTACTGAAATGAACATTGAAGGTAATTAATAATGCAAGAAAATTTCCCATAACTGAAAGACATGTGTTTCTAGCTTGAAAGGCCCTAGTGAGTGTCTAGTTAAATAAGTACTTTTTAACCCATGTGTGGTGGCTCTTGCTTGTAATCCCAGCTACTCAGGGGGCTAAAGTGGGAGGATTGCTTAAGCCCAGGAGTTCGTGACCTGGCTGGGCAACATAACGAGTCCCCCATCCTTAAACAAACAAACAAATAAATAATTTTAAAAGCCCACTCCAAAGCACTTTATAGGGAAATTTCTGAATATTAGACACGAAATGCCTTTCACATATCCATTTTACAGAAAGCTGCTAGATGTTCCCCACTACAGTGAAGGATTAAACAAAGAATGAAGAAGAAGTAGGACTCAAGAAGTAAATGATCCAACTCAAGAAAGAGGTAAAGGGAATTCTCAGGATAAAGGCTCAACCAGGCCTGGAAAACAAACTGTCCACATTGGAACAAGAGAAAGGAGGGAATCAAGGAAAAAAAAGGGATCTGGGGTGGAGGTGGGGGTGTAAAAGTGCTCAGCTATCTAAAATGTTTAATTAGGCCAGGCGTGGTGGCTCATGCCTGTAATCATGCCTTTGGGAGGCAGAGGCAGATGGATCACCTGAGGTCAGGAGTTCGAGATCAGCCTGGCCAACATGGTGAAATCCTGACTCTACCAAAAATACAAAAATTAGCTGGGTGTGGTGGTGGACGCCTATAATCCCAGCTACTCGGGAGGCTGAGGCAGGAGAATCGCTTGAACACGGGAGGCGGAGGTTGCAGTGAGCAGAGATTGCAGCATTGCACTCCATCCTGGGTGAAACAGAAAGACTTTGTCTCAAAGAAAAAAATAAATAAAAATAAATAAATGATAAATAAATAAATAAAATAAATAAAATGTTTTATTATATGAAAAATTGTATTGGGAAGCTATTGGAAAACATGGAAAGAATTAGAGATAAAGAAAACAAAAATTTAAAAAAAATACAATAACTAACAAGGTAGTACAAATTAGTTTGGACAGAGAAAGTTCAACTCTTTCCTACTGTTCATCAGATCGGGAAGATAGAGACAGATAATGCTAATGTTTCTTTCTCTCAGGGACACAGGGCAGCTATAAAGTGTCATAATGATTCCCTAAGAAATCCCTAAAGCCATGCACTATGAGAAACTTTGCTAATTGAAATAAACATCAGCAGGAATGAAACATCCCACTCTTGCCTGGAAGATCTAAGTCACTCTGACACAAAAAAAGGCAGCCTTGATTTACAACCCAGGTGCAGAACTTCAGATACGAATTTTGTGTGATTTCTAAGGAAATAGGAGCCTGGGTCCCCCTCTGCAGTCCAGACCTGATGTTAATCTCTTCCCACACAGCCCTGCTTTGCACCTATCGAAACACTACTTCATTTAAATTTAACCTAAATTCTGGCCGGGCACGGTGGCTCACGCCTGTAATCTCAGCACTTTGGGAAGCTGAGGTGGACAGATCACGAGGTCAAGAGATCGGGACCATCCTGGCCAACATGGTGAAACCCTGCCTCTACTAAAAATACATAAATTAGCTCGGCGTAGTGGCACGTGCCTGTAGTCCCAGCTACTCGGGAGGCTAAGGCAGGAGAATCGCTTGAACCTGGGAGGTGGAGTGAGCCGAGATCATGCCACTGCACTCCAGCCTGGGCTACAGAGCGAGACTCCATCTCAAAAAAAAAAAAAAAAAAAAAAAGAGGCTGAGCGCTGTGGCTCATGCCTGTAATCCCAGCACTTTGGGAGGCTGAGGCAGGTGGATCACGAGGTCAGGAGTTCGAGACCAGCCTGACCAACATGGTGAAACCCCGTCTCTACTAAAAAAAAAAAAAAAGCAAAAAGTAGCTGGGTGTGGTGGCGTGCTCCTGAAATCCCAGCTACTCAGGAGGATGAGGCAGGAGAATTGCTTGAACCCAGGAGGCAGAGGTTGCAGTGAGCCGAGTTCCTGCCATTGCACTCCAGCCTGGGTGACAGAGCGAGACTCTGTCTCAAAAAACAAACAAACAAACAAACAAAACCTTAAATTCCACCCTTCTTCCAAATCCTAGAATAGCTCTGTAATTTCCTTTGATGAGATACTGCACGGTTCCTCTGGTGTGAGGTCTCTCCATGGTTGCATGGTCTACAGGTTTGTCTCCAGAGGGCTTAGGCTGACTGGACTAGAACAATTTGGAGGTTCTTGAGATTTGAGCCTTGCTGCTGCAACTGGGAGGGGAACCTTGCCTCAGTAATAATGTGCATATCTGAGACCCCTTATGTCTCACCTGCCCAAGGCCTCTCTGTCTCCAGCTGCATAGGATTTACATTGAATCTGGATGCTGATCACAATCTCCTTTGGCCCTTTGGTGTTAGGTTATTATATATCTCCTGAGATTTGGGAGTTCTAATCGGACTTTGGTATCTTCTGGTGAAATCTGGCTTTTTTTTTTTTTTTTCTGAGATGGAGTTCTGCTCTTGTCGCCCAGGCTGGAGTGCAGTGGCATGATCTCAGCTCACTGCAACTTTCACCTCCTGGGTTCAAGCAATTCTTCTGCGTCAGCCTCCTGAGTAGCTGGGATTACAGGTGCCCACCACCATGACTGGCTACTTTTTGTGTTTGTATTTTTAGTAGAGACGGGTTTTGCCATGTTAGCCAGGCTGGTCTCGAACTCCTGACCTCAGGTGATCCACCTGCCTCAGTCTCCCAAAGTGCTGAGATTACAGGTGTGAGCCACTGCACCCAGCCTGAAATCTGGCTTTTAACATCTCTCCTGTCTTTTAGCTGCTTGTCCAATGTGTTATATGTTGTTAGTCTCTGAGAACATTTCTCAGCCCTGTCTATGCTTGAATAATTTGCTTCGGGAGAGCTTCTGTTTATACATTTCACCTTCTGGGAGACTGCTGATTCTTGGGTCAGCAGTTGGGACAGCTTCACTTTATGGATGAGGGCAGGAACCCTTAGAAGCAATGTCTTTAGTTTTGACTAACCATCAGCCAATTTCTCATGGGATTGTCATTGTCTTCCAATAAACTTATGCTACTTTCTGATATAACTTTATTGAGGATGATTTAAAGTTGTAGTGACCACTTTGAGGAACATTGATATGAGTAAGATTGCTCATTAGAGCAGTGCCTCAGAATAAAAGGGGCTAGACTGTCTGCCTTAAGCAGAGAGAATGTTATTTAATGTAGGAGACCCCTCTCCATCCTTTGCTTGTGTATTTCAGGGACTAATAACTATTGATTTTTTTTGTATTACAATGGCTTGATAATATTGTCAAGGATCTGAGTTATCGTTAAACCATTAGTAAGAACTCTGTGCATGAAAATATTTTTTCTGCATCTAAACTTTCTCCTCTCTCCTTGCAGAGGAAAAATAAGTAGCCTTTTACAGTGATAGTTTCTTATTTGTTTCAAGCTGTCTCCCTCTCAGAGACAGAGAAAATCTGCCTTTTTTTTTCAGAGATGGGGCCCTCACCATGTTGCTCAGGCTGGACTTGAACTTCTGGCCTCAAGTGACCCTTCTGCCTCCTGGGTAGTTAGGACTAAAGGCATGCGCCACTGTGCCCGGCTGATCATTTATTTGCTTTTATAGGTCACTAAATATAGAACAGATTTTGTGATGTCATCTTGTCCATCAGCCTATTGCCCCACTGATGCACAGAGAGTACATTCTACTAGGAGGTTACACCCTACCCTCCAATAGACAAGACACCAGAGCATCCATGCTAGAGTGTTCCTCTGCCAGTTCTTCCATGATGGTTCTCTCTCTCAGGGCTTCTGATCTACATAGGTGTCCTTGAGAAAGCCATACAATGCTGGAGACAAGTGGGGTGCTGTCTAATAAGCAGCCCCCCTCCTTTCTCTTCTTCCCTGTGGTGAGAGGTGGGTTTCTGTGTTGTCCAGATGTGCTTACATCTGCCTCCTTACAAGAAGCAATAGACTTTCATTCAGTCATCAGATCTCATTAACTGATAAAACATGGGGCAGGAAGGGGTGAAAGGGAGAACCAGAGAAGATTGTTAGTGTAAAGAGACTGTCTGAAAACAGCTAGGTCTTCTAGCTCTGATTTTTTGACCATCCTGAGAGTTTGGTTATCTTATAAGTCATGATGAAAAGGAGCTGAAAAAATATTTTTAAAAATAAATTAATACGATAGGCTTTTATCTTCAAGGGGGTGTCCTGGAAACAATATTTGATTGGGCATTAGTAATGATTTGGAAAAGAAATGAAGAGGTAGGCTGTGAAAGTGATGTCCTTACCACAGAAATTAAATGACCAGGATGACTGCTGGGAACCCCAAAGTGCCCTGGAGCAGGTTACACAGAAAAGGAGGCCAGTTTCCATAAGCAGGAGCCTAAAACTTAGGGCTCATCCTATATGTGGAGAGTCTAGATCTCAAATTTGCTTTGTTTTGTTTTGTTTTTGAGACAGAGTCTTGCTCTATTGCCCAGGCTGGAGTGCAGTGGTGTGGTCTCGGCTCACTGCAGCCTCCACCTCCCGGGTTCCAGCAATTCTCCTGCCTCAGCCTCCAGGGTAGCTGGGATTACAGGTGCACACCACCACGTCTGCTTAATTTTTATATTTTTAGTAGAGACGGGGTTTCACCAGATCTCATATTTGTTTCTAAAAAAGAGCATGTATGCATTTGGTATATAAACTCCTTAAACAGGGTTTTACATAAGGTCTCAGATATTATGACAATTAACAATGCCAGTCCTGTTTCTGCAGATGAAGGACATGGTGACATACTATCTGACATCAAGAAACTTTCCTCCATGCCGCTCTTCAGCAACTCTGCTGCCACTTTTATTATTGTATCTTAGTTTCACGGCATTTATGAAACTGGAAGGAAACTTTAAGATCAAGTTCAATCTCCACATTTTACAGACAAGAAAGCTCACATCAGAGAGATCTAAGTGACTTGCTCAAAGTCACACAGCTCTCAGTAGCACAAGCCAGGTCTGACTCTGAAGTCCCACAAGCTCTCAAAGTAGCACAGCTCTCAGTAGCCAGGTTTGACTCTGAAGTCCCTTGATCTTCCCAGCAGCCTACAATGCTCTTGAGCTCTGTTTTTTATATATAGCTTGGGTTCCTCAACTAGATTAGAAATGGCTCCAGGCCATGGAATGTGGGCTTTTCTCATACACCCCTCCCCATTCTCCTTCAAGACCATAGTGTAAAATATGTACTGAATTCAGATTTACGACTTTCCTTCTATATTTCTTCCTAAATCATGCCTTGATGTAACTTATTGTCTTCTAGGGGGAGATAGAGGAGAGCTGCAGGAGAGTCAGCTAAATTGTGCTGTTACAGGGAGTAAAGCCATTTGGGAGCCTTAATTAATATTAAAATATCATGCACTGGTTTTGCCCTGAGGCCATTTATGTTTTCAAGTGGGTTGATCGGGATGAAGGTACTTAGGGAAACTTTGACATATTTCTGCCAACCTTTAGATGACTCTAGGATATTGATGAGTGACAGAGAGTTTAATCCTAAAGAGACAATCTGATGTTGATAGTTGCCACAATCCATTAATCTACACAGAAGGGTGGAGCAAGGATCCCCAGGCATTAGCAGATTTCTAAGAATACATTCATTCTTTTTTAACTCAAAATTCCATAGGGCTGTCTTCATAAGTCAATTCAGTAAAGCAAATAGTTATTGACTGCCCACATACAAAACACTATGTTAAACACTGGAGATAGAAGAAAAGATAGTTCTTGCTCTGGAGGGGATATAATCCTATAAAGCATATATTTAAATAATCCCATTATGATAGAGTAATATTTCAACAGAAATTTTTTTTTTTTTTTTTGAGATGGAGTTTCACTCTGTCGCCCAGGCTGCATGCAGTGTAGTGGTGCGATCTCAGCTCACTGCAACCTCTGCCTCCCAGTTTCAAGCAATTCTCCTGCCTCAGTCTCCTGAGTAGCTGCGATTACAGGTGGTTGCCATCATGCCTGGCTAATTTTTGCATTTTTAGTAGAGATGGGGTTTCACCGCGGTGGCCAGGCTGGTCTTGAACTCCTGACCTCAAGCGATCCGCCCGCCTTGGCCTCGCAAAGTTCTGGGATCATAGCATGAGCCACTGAGCTTGGCCTCAACAAAAATCTTTCTTTCATAATATTGTGTATAAGTAAAAAGATTGTTGGAATCAGGCTATCAATCTCCAAACTAATGAGAAAACTAATAAGCTTTACTTTGGAAAAACAGATAATCAAACTTTCTAGGTATAGATTATCTACTGATGAAGGCTATAAGTAAAATATTCAGTGAGGGCTCGTATGTTCACATTCTGTTACTTACTCACCATTGCTCTGTGGTGTGATAAAAAGAGCAGCAGACCAAGAATTAGATAATCTGGGATAAAGCTCTGGTTCTGCCTATGTAATAGTTTTGGGAGGTTAAGGTATCTAACCTTCTGGAGGCAGTTTGCTCATCTTATTTTTATTTTTTGAGGCTGAGTCTTGCTCTGTCGCCCAGGCTGGGGTGCAGTGGTTCCATCTTAGCTCACTGCAACCTCCACCTCCTGGGCTCAAGCGATTCTTCTGGCTCAGCCTCCCAAGTAGCTGGGATTATAGGCACCCACCACCACACCCGGCTAATTTTTGTATTTTTAGTAGAGACAGGGATTCGCCATGTTGGCCAGGCTGGTCTCAAACTCCTGACCTCAAGTGATCCACCCACCTTGGCCTCCCAAAGTGCTGGGATTACAAGCATGAGCCACCGCCCCTGGCCTTTTTGCTTATCTTTAAAATGAAGCAATTGGTGAAGATGATTTTTCTTAAGTTCTTTTGGGGCTCTAACTTCCCAAATTATGTTAATCCATATCTGAAGAATGGTACATATAAACAGAGACTTAAACGATTAAGTTAAATTCTCCCTATTTTGACAGTGAGAATGAAAAAAAATTAAAGAAAAAATGGAAGATTGAAATGTCCTAGGCCTTATATTTTATAAATTTCTTTTTTTTTTAAATGAATTGCATGGTTTTGTTTTTGTTTTTGTTTTTGTTTTTTGAGACGGAGTTTCACTCTTGTTGCCTAGGCTGGAGTGCAATCGCACAATCTCGGCTCACCGCAACCTCCACCTCCTGGGTTTTCGAGCAATTCTCCTGCTTCTGCCTCCCGAGTAGCTGGGATTACAGGCATGTGCTACCACACCCAGCTAATTTTGTATTTTTAGTAGAGACAGGGTTTCTCCATGTTGGTCAGGCTGGTCTTGAACTCCCGACCTCAGGTGATCTGCCCGCCTCGGCCTCCCAAAGTGCTGGGATTACAGGCATGAGCCGCCGCGCCCGGTCTGCATGCTTTTAAATAAATGTCTTAATCATATACCTGCCTTGGTGATTATAGATCATAGTCACTTCTGTTTTTTGTTTTTTTTTTGAGACGAAGTTTAGCTCTTGTTGCCCAGGCTGGAGTACGGTGGCATGATCTTGGCTCACTGCAACCTTCGCCTCCCAGGTTCAAGTGATTCTCTTGCCTCAGTCTCCTGAGTAGCTGGGATTACAGGCACCAGCCACCATGCCCGGCTAATTTTTTTGTATTTTTAGTACAGACAGGTTTTCACCATGTTGGCCAGGCTGGTCTCGAACTCCTCACCTCAGGTAATGCATCTGCCTCGGCCTCCCAAAGTGCTGAGATTACAGGTGTGAGCCACGGTGCCCAGTCGTCACTTGTTTTTAAAGGAGGATCTGGCACTGGATAATCTAGCACATCATCAGATTATGTTTGATAATGTATCAAACACATAATACATCTTAAGTAATTGTTAAGCACTTACATAAAATTCTGAGCTACATGGGTGTGAAAGAAACATAATGAGAATTTTGATTCAGTTGCAAGATGAAACATTATGAAGTGAGAGAATTGGCTTACAGTAGTGTGAGTAGTACAACCAGTGCTGCAGAGTATGAAGGTGAAAGCTGGGCTCCTGCAGGAACTTCAGATACCAGACTTGGAGGGGTCATCTACTCCCTTTAACCCCCTCTCCTCTGACCCTTGCATATTCCAGTCAGGCAGGACTGGACAGAAAAGGCAGGGCTTTATATGGTAGCAAATATAAGGTGCTTTAAATTCTCACATCAATAAATACCTAAAATATGATGCATAAACTGACCCAAATAAAAGAGATTTAAGGCCCACTGACCTTTTTAGTTTTCTATGGAAAGGAGGGGAACTCACTGTGACTTATTTTTTGTGTTCTGTTTATTCTAAGATGTTTTAGTACTAAGACAAGTTAAGAGTCCCTGAGAATAAGAGCTGTTTTTGTTGTTTTTAAATACTAAACATTCTCCATCTCTCTTTAGTCAACTTTTCGGAATCAAAATGCCTAAAAAGCATACAATTGGATTGTAACAATGTTCATGGCTTCTAATACATCAGCCTCAAAATGCTTAATTTTATTTTCTCTCAATTTTCCCTCCAGATGACCAAGTGGAATACCTTTTAAAGGCTTCAAGACTTTTCTTTCCCACTCCTCCCTGCCCATGCGAGGGAGGCTCCATTTTAAAATGTAACACACACACACAAAAAAACGGATTTGAAATAAGGCATTAGCCTGAGGTAACTTACCCCCACCTTGGCTCCAGAGCAGCTTGGATTTCCGATTCTTTGAGCAGGTCAGTGATTTGGGGAACCAGTAAAAGAGCCGGGCTATTCTTCTGAAGGTCTCATGAAAGTCACTTCTTATGGCCATAGCGAGAACCAGGAGTGTTCCAGAATGACTCGCTACAGAGAGCATGGATGAGGAGCACAGTAACACCCACATATGACACTTTAGCTGTGAACTGCCTTTCAGCCAATATGTCTGGGGACCACCTGTTAGCCCTAAATCCCCTTCCTCTGTCATTCTTTTGGCTTGTCCTTTAGACCTTGGCCCTCATAACTAGAAACTGTATTAATAGATGTTCTTTCTAAAGAAAGAGTTTTAAGCTTTCTTAAGAGAAGCTCTAACCTAATGCAACACTTGGTAATTTTCAAGCATGGACCTCCTGACCTCGTTCATAAAAACACAATTTTTTCATAGAGGAGTGAAAAAAAACAGGATCCACTAACTCAACTTCCAACAGAATTGTCAGTGGTAATTTGCAGGACTTAGTGGTGATGGACAAGCAATCTCCTAAAGCCATAGCCTTGATCCCATTTGTTTTGTGCATTTTTACTGGAAAAATGAAACCTATTTGAAACTTTAGCAGGAATTTATCCCAGAAAAAAAAAAATTAGTTCTTATGAGTCAAAAAATGTGTAAAAGGGCCAGGCACAGGGGCTCACACCTGTAATCCCAGCACTTTGGGAGGCTGAGGTGGGAGGATTGCTTGAGCCCAGGAGTTCAAGACCAGCCGAGCCAACAAAGCGAAATGCTGTCTCTAGAAAAAGGAAAAAAAAAGCTGGGCATGGTGGCACGTACCTATAGTCCCAGCTACTCAGGAGGCTGAGGTGGGAGGACTGCTAGAATCCAGAAGATGGAAGCTGCAGTGAGCTATGATAGCACTACTGCACTCCAGCCTGGGTGACAGAGCAAGACTCTTCAAAAAAAAAAAAAAGATGCAAAAGACCATTTTCCCCCAGGGTCCTATTTTGATCTTTAACCATTTATTGAACAATTCTCTAGAACTTCTAACATTGTAACATTACTGAATCCATTTCAGCATTTCAGCAGACATCAATGCCTAGTTGTCTACCACGCAGCTTGTACTGAGGTTCCCCATCATCACTCCTAAGACTATGTCTAACAGTTGGTCCTTGTGCATTCTGTTTATGTCAAAAGAAATAAACTTATTCATATATTCATTTAGGAGCTAAGTCGATTAAACAGCCTGATGTAATATTTGGGCTTGCTTTTTATATGCCACAGCAAATTTTTGGAGCTGATTTACTCTCTAAAGAGAAACAACGGATATTATTATATTGCCAGTTTTTATTTCCAGATCAGATGTTTTTGTTTCCTATTCCATTTTCAGTATTTCTTAGGAATTTGGACTTTGATTCTTCTTACAAGTGACAAGTGGGGAGCAAGTCTAACTAAAACAACAGTGTAAGAGTTTTTCAGGTCTTCTTAAAAGTGGGATGTGGGGTGGAGAATCCAGCTAAAATAGTAAAGATTTCTTTCAATGTTTTTCCCTTCAACTATGTGTGTCTGCCCCAGCACTTCTCAGTTTCAAAAATTTGTTTGAGTAATTATAAATTTTCTGCAGCACTTCCTCAAAGACAAAGCACAACATATAAAACACATCGGAGTGAGGTGAAATTAGAAACAAAAGACTAGCTCTTGGCCGGGTGCGGTGGCTCATGCCTGTAATCCCAGCACTTTGGGAGGCTGAGGCAGGCGGATAACCTGAGGTCAGGAGTTTGAGACCAGCCTGACCAACATGGTGAAACCCCGTCTCTAATAAAAATACAAAAATTAGCCGGGCATGCTGGTGGGCATCTGTAATTTCAGTTACTTGGGAGGCTGAGGCAGGAGAATCACTTGAACCTGGGAGGTGGAGGTTGCAGTGAGCTGAGACTGCGCCACTGCACTCCAGCCTGGGCAACAAGAGTGAAACTCCATCTCAAAAAAAAAAAAAAAAAAAAAAAAAAAAAGACTAGCCCTGGTGGTGGCTGTTCTGAAAGGGGAATAAATTGTTGACATTTCAGTTGAGAGTCCTTATTCCTACTGATAGTCCCTTTCTTAATTCTAAACAATGTATCTCTTACTTTTAACACAGACCACCACAAAAGGTAAACACTATTGCAAAAAACAAAAACCAAAGAAAAACAATCTAAACCAAAACAATCATAAAAAGTTCAGGATTATTGTAATTTTTTTCTGGATAATTTATGGATAAAGACACTACATTTGTAAAGAAATGTTGATTTTTTTTAATATCTAAGAAGCATTTCTTTTGACATGGTATAATCAGGTCTATAAGCCAATAATTTGGTAACCTCCAAAATAATGGCAGCTGGATTTTTTTTTTTTTTTGAGATGGAGTCTCACTCCGTTGCCCAGGCGCGATCTCAGCTCACTGCAACCTCCGCCTCCTGGGTTCAAGTGATTCTCCTGCCTCAGCCTCCCAAGTAGCTGGGACTACAGGTGCATGCCACTACACCCAGCTAATTATTTATTTATTTTTATTATTATTTTTTTTTTGAGATGGAGTCTTGCTGTGTTGACAGGCTGGAGTGCGGTTGGCATAATCTCACCTCACTGCAACTCTGCCTCCCAGGTTCAAGCAATTCTCCTGCCTCAGCCTCCCAAGTAGCTGGGACTACAGGTGCATACCACCACGCCCGGCTAATTTTTGTATTTTTAGTAGAGAAGGGGTTTCACCATGTTGGTCAGGATGGTCTTGATCTGTTGACCTCGTGATCCACCTGCCTCAGCCTCCCAAAGTGCTGGGATTACAGGCGTGAGCCACTGCGCTCAGCCTAATTTTTTATTTTTAGTAGAGACGGGGTTTCACCATGTTGGCCAGGCTGGTCTCGAACTCCTGATCTCAGGTGATCGGCCCGCCTCAGCCTCCCAAAGTGCTAGGATTACAGGCATGAGCCACCGTGCCCCGCCGGCAGCTCGAATTTTAGGAGACTTACTTAATGGGATTATTTTTCCCATTTCTTTCCTAACCTTACATTCCTGTTTATTTACTTGAAGCTATCCCTTATTTTTTTATTTTTTATTTTTGAGACAAAGTCTCACTCTTGTTGCCCAGGCTGGAGTGCAGTGGCACAACCTTGGCTCACTGCAACCTCCGCCTCCCAGGTCCAAGCTTTTCTCTTGCCTCAGCCTCCCGAGTAGCTGGGATTACAGGCGCCTGCCACCATGCTCAGCTAATTTTTGTATTTTCAGTAGAGACAGGGTTTCACCATGTTGGCCAGGCTGGTCTTGAACTCCTGACCTCAGGTGATCCGCCCGCCTTGGCCTCCCAAAGTGCTGGGATTACAGGCGTGAGCCACCGCGCCCGGCCAAAGCTCTCTTTTGATATACTTTATATTCACATATTTCACTTTTATTTTTTCTGCTGTCAGTACTATAACTTGTTTTATGCTAAGAGTTACATCTACTAACGCTTCTATTTTTTTTTTTAATTTTTTGAGACAGGGTCTCTCTCTGCCACCCAGGCTGGCAATCATAGCTCACTGTAACCTTTAACTCCTGGACTGAAGCAGTCTTCGCAGCTCAGCCTCTGAGTAGCTGGGACTGTGGCACATGCCACCATGCCTGGCCAATTAAAAAAAAATTTTTTTTTTTTTTTTGTAGAGACAGGGCTCTTGCTATGTTGCCCAGGCTGGTCTAGAATTCCTGATCTCAAGTGATATCCCTGCCTCAGCCTCCCAAAGCGCTGAGATTACAGACATGAGCCATCACACCCATCTTCTATTTGTTATATATACTATTTTTATACCATTAATTGCTATCTTTTCAAAACATTATAATATTTTTAAAAAGCTACTAAAGTGAAGATACAACTTATTTTAAAGCTAATTTCATTTAAATAGTCACTGAACATTAGCAGACTGGTATCATGCATTTATTTATTTAAAATGTTTTGAAAAATAAATGTTTTGAATGAGGATGCATTTTTGAGGGTAAAATACTGAAAGCAAGAATGCTTCTCTTCCATGTCACTGTAAGGGGGAAATAAAAGAGTAAATCTCAAAAAATACTACTGTGGAATAGATATATTCCTATCAATACTATTAATAAAAATACAATCGCCACATAAAGGTTCTATTTATTGGTGTTGTTTGCTAGAGGTGCTGAAATAAAAACTAAATTGGCAAATATATCAAATAATCACATAATTTGAGTAAAATTTTACCTAATATTCAGTGATATAAGCTTTTAAACTATACAAGATACCCATATTAGACGGTCAAATGGAAAATTAAAATAAAGAGGGATTAAATACTTCCTTGCCCCACACACTCTCAAACTAAACAGGTAACTGACAGTGGATAACTGTATTATTTAAATAAAGGCATTCACCCTTGCATTTATTTGTTACGTGTACATATGACGCTTAAAATTCTCCACTACAATAATGCATCATAATCTCACTTAAGATCCTAATCATTTCTTAAAACTGATGAAGTTACTGATGTTCTTGGTAGACAAATTTATTTCTCTTTAGGATATGTTATTTTTATGATACGCGGGTTTTATGTAATCACACTTCACCAGTCTGAAAAGCCACAAACCAAAACCAAAAGAAAGAAAAGTCCTGTTGGATGAAATAATTTCTTGCTGAGCACAATCCCTTAGTCTAGAACTCTGAGTATATTTTTCAGAGAAAATGTTCCTTTTCGGCTGGGCGTGGTGACTCAACCCTCTAATCCCAGCACTTTGGGAAGCTGAGGCGGGCGGATCACTTGAGGCCAGGAATTTGAGACCAGCCTGACCAACATGGTGAAACCTCATCACTACTAAAAATACAAAAATTAGCCAGGCATGGTGGTGCACACCTGTAATCCCAGCTACTTGGGAGGCTGAGGCAGGAGAATTGCTTGAACCTCGGAGGCCGAGGTTGCAGTGAGCAGAGATCACACCACTGTACTCCAGCCTGAGCAACAGAGCGAGACTCTTGTCTCAAAAAAAAAAAAAAAAGGAAATGTTCCTTTTCAATTTGTATAATAGCCTAAGTATATGAAAGAACTTCATACTAAATTTAGAATTAGTGGGTTTAGAAGAGACAGAAAATTGTCCCTAGATCCAATATTCTGAGTAGTTTATGATTATCATCTATATTGTTACTTTCAAAAGATAACTTTTGTTTCACAAACTGGATACAAAGAAACACATGAACTCTTTACATTAAAATTGAGAAATTTATTTTTTTCCATGAAATAGTAAGCAGAATTAAAGAAATATACAGCTTAAAACAGTTGAAATGACCTTAGAATTTTAATGACAATTACACATTTATGGCCAAAGGAAAAAAATGAATAGTTTTTAATAATGAATTCACTTTAAAATGTTTGCTTAATAATTCATCTGAAATTACATGGATACAAGGATAACTGGGATCTGGGCACCTTGTAAAATAAAATAATGCCACTTTATCCTTCTCAAAAAAATTGTTATCCCAGTATAACAGTGGTGCGGTTCTGCTCCCCACTCACAGTAGCCACCGTTCTACCATTTACAAACGTGTCAAGTCAGTCTTCCTGATTTGTAAGGATGCCTATTTTGGTTCCACTTAAAAATATTTCCAGTAGGCGGTCAGAGAAAATAACTTATTTAGCCCCACTCAGAGTAGAGGATCAGTATGTCAACATATTGGTCGGTCATGGCTTTCTTCTCGTGATCACTGAGGTCAAATTTCCTCATATAATTATAAATGTTAAAAGATAAAATTACATCTTCACAGCAGCCAAAAATTTGTATATTTTTTATGTATTTACAATATTGTACATATTTACACGACCACATCAAATACTGAATTGTAGAAACAAGTGACTATCTATAAAGGCATTCATTTAATGCCCAAGCGTTATTTTCTTGTGCAAACGGAAACTTTTCTTAAACTTCTATTAGAAAGCTAAAGACAGTCAACGTTGCGAAGGCCACCATCCATGGTTAAAGAGCCAAACCTAAAACACACACACAAAGAAAAAAAGGTAATCTCAAAAGTTGCATTTATGTATAAAGGCCCCCAACCTTAAAATACTTTTCAGAGGAATAAATAGCTATTTATTTTTAAAGAGTTTAAGTAACTATGATTTGTTCTATTTCTTACTGGAACAGCATGGTATTATCATAAATACATGAAAAACCGATGTAATGATGTAATTAAGAAACTGTCAGTAAGAACTGGATAATTTCTTTCTGGTGGGGTGGGATTTATAAGCTAAGATAGAATTGGGGCCGGCGCAGTGGCTCACGCCTGTAATCCCAGCACTTTGGGAGGCCGAGGCAGGCAGATCACTTGAGGTCACAAGTTTGAGACCGGCCTGGCCAATATGGCAAAACTCCTTCTCTACTAAAAATACAAAAATTAGCTGGGTGTGGTAGCGTGTGCCTATAGTCCCAGCTACTCGGGAGGCTGAGGCAGGAGAATTGCTTGAACCCGGGAGGCAGAGGTTGCAGTGAGCCGAGATCATGCCACCGCACTCTAGCCTGGGTGACAGAGTGAGACTTTGTCTCAAAAAAAAAAAAAAAAAAAAAAAGATACCGAGTTGGGAGTGTGACATACCCAAAGGAAGTTGAGAAATGAGACCTTGCTAGAACACAATGTTATTTTGGGGAGCAGTGGGAAGTAAAGTTGGGTGAACAGGCTGGAACCAGGCTATTACACTCTTTGAATTGAAGTATAAATTTAGACTTGACTTTTTAGGTAACAGGAGTTTAGAAACTTTTGAGCCAAAGAAGTCATACGATTACATCAGTATTCTGAAAGATGATTTTGGCTGTAATACCCATGACAGATGGGAAGAGCTTGGGGTTAAGAAAAAAAATAGGTTATTACCATATATCACATATGAAAGGGAAAGGAGATCTGAATGAGGGTGACGAGGGGAAATATGGGAGCCAAACTTGTTGAGAGGGTATAAAGAAGATTAAGTGTCTAAAATAATTTATGTTTAAGGGAGTAGGAGAAAGGTGGTACCTTTGAACAGGATAAGGAGCAGAGAGAAAACTGAGTTGGGACAGATGATTTTAGATTCAAAAAAAAATTTGAAGTGATAGTGGGTTATCCACATGGAGACAGAGTAGTATAATACTCTGAACAAAATCTGGCTTCCATTACTAGTTTTGTCACTTAACATTTACGTTAAGATTATGCCATGTTATATCACCTATATATTGTCAAGAAACCTGCAAATAAAACACAGGAGGAACTGACTTACTAAATGTGGTTTAGGAAGTTGGGATTTTATTCCACAAGGCATAAGTAGTTAAATATAAAAGTTAAAAGCACATCTTTGGCTGGGCACGGTGGCTCACGCCTGTAGTCTCAGCACTCAGGGAGGCCGAGGCAGGTGGATCACGAGGTCAAGAGATTGAGACCATCCTGGCCAACATGGTGAAACCTTGTCTCCACTAAAAATACAAAAATTAGCTGGGCATGGTGGCGTGTGCCTGTAGTCCCAGTTACTCGGGAGGCTGAGGCAGGAGAAACGCTTGAACTCGGGAGGTGGAGGTTGCAGTGAGCCAAGATCGCGCCACTGCACTCCCGCCTGGCGACAAAGCGAGACTCCATCTCAAAAAAAAAAAAAAAAAAAAAAAGCACATCTTTATAGTCTCTTCTACTTGGTGATCTTTAAGCCTAAAAGGATTTAGCTAAAGTTCTGAAGAAACTGTAAACTGGATACTATAAAAGTTAGATAATTACTATAAACAAGGAAAATATTTTTTAAAGTTAACGAGTAACTCTCCCCAAAAATGAAAATTGAACAAACATATTAAACGATGTTTGACATCACTATAAACCACAGAAATATAAATTAAAATAAGATCTCGGTTTTTACTAAACAAATTGGCGAATGTTTAAAAGATGTTATACATTCAATGTTGCCAAATGCATAGGTTTTATCTGCTTAGGACTATAACATGCACCCTTTTAAAGAACAAAATTGGCCGGGTGCGGTGGCTCATGCCTGTAATCCCAGCACTTTGGGAGGCTGAGGCAAGTGGATCACCTGAGGTCAGGAGTTCAAGACCAGCATGGCCAACATGGTGAAACCCCAGCTCTACTAAAAATACAAAAAACTAGCTGGGTGTGGTGGTGGGCGCCTGTAATCCCAGCTACTCAGGAGGCTGAGGCAGGAGAATCACTTGAACCCGGGAGGCAGAGGTTACAGTGAGCTGAGATCACGCCATTGGACTCCAGCCTGGGCAACAGCGAAACTCCGTCTCGGGGGAAAAAAAAAAAAAAAAAAAAAGAATAAAATTAGTAAAACCCAACAAAAATTGAAATTGACATACTCTCTGACCCAAAAATTCCATATCCATTTTTTTTTTTTTGAAACAGGGTCTCACTCTGTCACCCAGGCTGGAGTGCAGTGGTGTGATCTCGGCTGACTGCAACCTCCATCTCCCAGATTCAGGTGATTCTCGTGCCTCAGCCTCCCCAGTAGCTGGGATTACAGGTGTGCACCACCATGCCCAGCTAATTTTTGTATTTTTGGTAGAGACAGGGTTTTGCCATGTTGCCTAGGCTGGTCTTGAACTCCAGAGCTCAGGCAATCTGCCTGCCTTGGCTTCCCAAAGTGCTAGGATTACAGGTGTGAGCCACCGTGCCTGGCCAAATGTGAAATATTTTTATTAGCATTACAAGCGTTTGAGAACCTATAGAGGAGAACCTAAGGGCTTGAAAAAGAAAAGGTTCTATTACAGAGCCAAATATGACTTAATTTCTCTGAGGAATCAGGATAAGGAAAACTGCCATCCAAAAATTGCTTTATTGCCTCTGCAGGCTTTCAAATCTCTTTGGCCTTATCTATTAGGATTTTGCAGATAATAAGCAGACACCTAACTCCTCAAAGTACTGCATTTACCTGTGGCTTTCACCTGCAAGGAGGTGTGCAGAGGACCCCGTAAGCTACTCAGCACCAAAGTGCTGGTATCTTAAAAAGCAACTCTGATTCACCAAATTGAAAATTATGATTCCAATGAATTAAGTTATAAAAATAATGTAAATAGAGTTTGATCTTTACAAACTGATTCAAATAAGTAATTCGATTAACCAGTGCTTCTATAAAATGGAACTAATCAACCATTAAAAGGCATCACAGATACACAATCATAGAGAGAAAAACATGAGTTCTGACTTTATGACCCTTTACCACTGCTGAATCTATTGATACAGGAAGATATAAGTACAGATGTGAATGAACTCAATTGCACAGAAAATCACAGTAATTATTTTTGCATTACTCACCTTTCTAAAATGTGGTTATTTTCAGCAAGTTCTTTAACCACCCCTTCCATCTCTTCCTTTAATTTCTTCATACTAATAAAATAAACAAGCACCTTTGCTCAAAAACAGTATGCAAATGTTTTAGAATGATGTTTATGTTTTATTTTCTTTTAACTGGTCAATAGATAACCTTATTAAACATTGTATTACAACAAACATAAAAAATTTCAAAATGTAAGAGCAAAAGCACAAACTGCAATGAAAGCAAATGGAAACACTACAGTTTCCAAATGATGAGTTTCTTACCCAAGAGTCATTTCTACTAATGTGTTAGAACTTGGATAAATTGGGGTCATGGTATGTTTGATTCCACTGGAAGCTGTAAACATTTTCTGAGGCAGAGTTTCTTGTAACTGAAACATCAAAAAAAAAAAAAAAAGAAAAAAACCCCACATTAATCACAGAACAAAAGTACTTACTACAGATCTGACATCAAGTGTTACAGCTTTTAATAAGTCCTTTAAAAAAACTTTAAATTTTGATTTCAAAACTATCGATGATACAATACTTAAATCAACACCCTTTTAAGAAAGAAACTTTTCATACAGTTGATAAAAGGATGGTTTATCAGCTGTTTTTAGTTGTAAAACATCTACATTCTTAAAACTTGGCTCAAAATACATATTAAAAATTGGTGGGTGGAACTGAATGTAGGCACATTCTATCCCATTTCTCCCTTGTCAATCACTATCAGTTATAAACTGAGAAGAATTTTAATTTTTCCTTGACAGCTGTACCTACCTCATTAGTATATTCTTGATATTTTGATACTTCTTCTTCAATATCAAAACACTGATTAGTCAGCGATAATAACTGTTTCCTAAGATGAAGCATCTTTCTGAAAACCAAAAAGAATCAATTGATATGCAGTCTAGTGAAGCATTCTTACTTCAAATATACATTTATATTGTGCAGTCAACCACTAATCACTCCAAAAGAAGTTTACTCACCTTATCCATTCTTCTGACTTATTCAAAAATGCCTCATACTTTTTAACACATTCATCTGTAAAGTGCGTCATAGCTTTTGTGGCATGGTAATACAGTTTTTGCCTGTAATTTAGAAATAATCAGAGGCTTAAACCAATGTCACTGTTTCTACTTTCAATATTTAGAAATTTTCAAATATATGAAATGTATCTTTCCTATAATGATTGTTGTGGCTTTAGAATATTTACAGGAGAAAGTAAACGTTTCTAAGATAGACATTATAGCAGCAAGAAGATAAAGAGAAGGTTCAAAATGGATGTAAAAAAAATGCCTATTGAATGCGGTTAAAATTAAGACGGTAGTTAAGTCTGCCCTTGCCTATGTGCTGTATTATCTGTACTTCTGTAATCAGAGCATATGAGGCAGAAGCTGACTGACTGAAATGGTAATCTTTCTCCCCCCTCCTTCTCCCATCATGGTAACTTCCCAATTAGGGAGCAGATGTGTGAACCTCAAAAATGTCTACATATTGTAACAATCCTGTAAAATCAAGATTAAAATGTATTTTTAAATTGTAATTAATTTCAACTTTAAGAAGAATCATATTAATAAAGATAACCAAAATAGCACCAAAAATAACTATTAAACATAATCTGGATACTTACTTATCAAATTTGTGGATTTGTTCTTCATTATAAGCTAATCCTAGAAATAGGAAAATATATTACTGTTGTTAATATAGAATCATAATATTATACACAATGTATTTTCTTTTGAGATTATTGCTTCAAAAAGGCTAAGAGTCTGAAGCAGATGTCATAGATTTGTGGCTCATTGGTTACTTATGGCCCACAGATGCTTTTATTTGGTCTGTAAATAACAATGTAAAAAACAATTAACAGTTAACATTTAAAAATCAAGGTATTTCTAACAAATTCTGTATTTCTAGCTTTTTTTGAGAAATGGGAAGATTGGGCAATACCTTTGGTGAATATGAGTAGTGGCTCTCCCCTGTAGATGAGTCCCCACTGGCCAATCTCATTCCTTTCTGTTACCTGCCTGGCCTTTAGAGGTTCTGGTGTTCATGACCCTGATTTAAAGTATTCAAAAGGTTGATTTTAAGGATAGTTTTTTTTTTTTTTTTTAACACAATCAACCTTTTTCCTGACAGAATCACATCTCTGAAAAAAACAGCTTAAGAAGCTACCCTTACAGATATACCAAATTAATTTAACTGAATTATAACTAATTACTAAGAGGGATTTATTAAATTAACAAATAGCAAATTTTACTTACTACGTTCTGCTTTGTCTTTTTTGAACTGATAGTAAATCTCTGTCATGCAATTTAACAGGACTTGTAGTTTTTCTACACTATTTAAGGAAGAAAAACTCAAATAAATTAACTGAGTCAATGTGAAAAAGGACATTAATAAGAGCAGAAACTACGCATAAAGCTATAACCTACTTTCTGTCTTTCGGATGAGTGCCTTCTTGATGTGCCCATGCGTCTGCCAGTGATCCACCTGGAGATAATCTGCTGTCGATATCCTGAAGACTGGTTTCTATTGTTCCCTGAGAACTGGAAAGCTAAATAAAACCAAAGGTTCAGATCCAGATTGCCAAAAGCCAGAAATGATCATCACAGTCCCAACAAAGTCTAAAGTCTGGACCACATTTCTTTTGTAGATTACTTCAATTCAAAGGCACAGTAATTATTTCCATTTTTAAATACAAAAGAGTTTCTTAGGTTGATTTCCACCAGGGGTACAGTATGATAATAAAACATGAGACCAGCAGTAATACATCTTATAAAACAGTTCATTCAGTAAACACCCTTCTAAAACCACATGTAAAATACTTCTAATCTTGTTTCCTTATCTGTAAAAAGTGGTTAATTCTCCATTTCATAACCCGGTTTTGAAAATTAAATAGAACCACTAGAATAGTTCCAAATATCAACTGTGTAGGCAGCAAGATTTGTGCTCTTCTTGTTTAGAGGCCAAACCAAAGCAACTCCTCTTAAAAACAGAAAATGAAAAGAAACCTCATCTAAGATTCTGTTCATTTTAAGCTTAGTAAGTTTATCACTTACCTACCACAGAAATGCATACAGTATTTGTAAAACTTATGAAGAAAGGATGAAGGTTAGACTTAAAGGATAAATATGTCCATATATTTTAAAGGTCCTGATACACACTATTGCCTTTCAAATAATGTTGTCAGTAGTAGCTGACATTGCCACTAGCAACAAATAAGGATGCCCTTTAAACCACACTCTTGTCAGCACTGGCATTATAATTTTTTAAGCCTTGATAATCTGAAAGACAAAAATAGTATCTTACTGTTATGCAATTTTTTCTTACTATTGGATTTGAGCATTTTTTCAAGAGTGTTTTCACCAGATATATTTTCTTCATTTATAAATTGTCTCTAAATGTTCTGTGCTCATCTATTTTTTGCAGATTGACTATTTTCCTTATCAATTTGTATGAGTTATTTTTTATAAAAAACCCTTTATCACATTTTCCCAACTTATTTGCATTCTAACATTTTTTAAACATGTACAGATCTTAAATTTTTATTTTATTTTTGAAACAGAGTCTCATTCTGTCGCCTAGGCTGGAGTGCAGTGGTGCAATCTCAGCTCCCGCAACCTCTGCCTCCTGAGTTCAAGCCATCCTCTCACCTTAAGCCTCCTGAGTAGATGGGATTACAAGTGCGTGCTATTGCGTCTTGCTAATTTTTTCTTTTTTTTCTTTTTTTTTTTTTGGTAGAGTTGGGGTTTCACCATGTTCCCAGGCTGGTCTTGAACCCCTGAGCTCAACCAGTCTACCCCCACCTTGGCCTCCCAAAGTGCTGGGATTACAGGTATGAGCCACTGTGCCCAGCTTAAATTTTTATATGATCAAATATATATCTCGGTTTTTATGCTTTATGTCTGTTTTAACATTAATGTTTAGAATGTGTTAAATTATACATCCAATATATGGAAAATAGTTTATGGAAAAAGTCATTTCTTACAGCATTACATAGAAGAGTGAAAAGCAAACTAAAGGACCAACAGTAGAGCAATAATAAGTAAGACTGTAATAAATCCACTGGCTGCAACATCATATCATTAAGAAAATGGTGTTACCAAAAAAACCTGGGAAATGCCTACACTATAATGGTATCCAAAAAGTAAAAATAACAACCATATGTTTGTAGAGTAACAGTCATTTAATAATACATATAAAAGAAAATGAAAACAGTGATTACCCAGATTTTAGCAGCATGAGAATCACCTGGAAGGCTTATTAAAAAGGGCCTTTGCTGGGTTCTGCCAGTGAGTTGCTGACTCAACACATCCGAGGTGGGGTCCCAAAATGTGCATTTCTAATAAGTTCCCATGTGAGGCTGAAGCTGCTGGCCCAGGAGCCACTCTTCTTTACTTTTTTTTTATTTTTTGAGACAGGGTCTCTGTCGCCCAGGCTGGAGGACAGTGGCATGATCTCGGCTCACAGCAACCTCCATCTCCCAGGTTCAAGTGATTCTCTTGCCTCAGCCTCCCCAGTAGCTGGGATTACAAGCGTCTGCCACTACGCCCGGCTAATTTTTGTATTTTTATTAGAGACACGGTTTCACCATATTGGCCAGGCTGGTCTCGAACTCCTGGCCTCAAGTGATCCGCCTACCTCAGCCTCCCAAAGTTCTGGGATTACAGGTGTGAACCACTGCGACCTGTGGCCCAGGAGCCACTCTGAGAAGCACTGCTGCAGGGCAATGGACAAAACTTTTAAGCATCATTTTTTGGGTGCATAATATATGTGGTATTTTTTTCTACTTATAAATTTTACTTTTGTGGTGGGAAAAATGTCTGTAAGGTCTCCACTACGAAGCCGGGCGCAGTGGCTCACGCCTGTAATCCCAGCACTTTGGGAGGCCGACGTGGGCAGATCATGAGGTCAGGAGATTGAGACCATCCTGGCTAATACGGTGAAACCCCGTCTCTACTAAAAATGCAAAAATTAGCCGGGCCTGGTGGTGGAAGCCTGTAGTCCCAGCTACTCGGGAGGCTGAGGCAGGAGAATGGCGTGAACCCAGGAGGCGGAGCTTGTGGTGAGCCGAGACTGTACCACTGCACTCCAGCCTGGGCAAAAGAGCAACTTCGTCTCCAAAAAAAAAAAAAAAAACAAACAAAATTAGCTGGACGTGGTGGCGGGCGCCTGAAGTCCCAGCTCTCAGGAGGCTGAGGCAGGAGAATCACTTGAACCCAGGAGGTGGAGGTAGCAGTGAGCCGAGATTACGCCATTGCACTCCAACCTGGCGAAAGAGTGAGACTCCATCTCAAAAAAAAAAGAAAAAGAGAAAAAATGATATCTACGGAAAAGTAATTGGCTTGAAGTGAGAAGTCCTGATGTCATAAGACTCCATTACCTCAAGCTATTTAGTCATCTATGCTTTCTCATAAGAAATCTTAATCTTGGCTAGGCAAGGTGGCTCATGCCTGTAATCCCAGCACTTTGGGAGGCCAAGGCGGGCGGATCACCTGAGGTTGGGAGTTCCAGACCAGCCTGACCAACATGGAGAAACCACTTCTCTACTAAAAATACAAAATTAGCTGGGTGTGGTGGCACATGCCTGTAATCCCAGCTACTCGGGAGGCTGAGGCAGGAGAATTGCTTGAACCCAGGAGGCGGAGGCTGCAGTGAGCCAAGATCGCGCCACTGCACTCCAGCCTGGGCAACAAGAGGGAAACTCTGTTTAAAAATAAATGAATAAATAAAAAGAAATCTTAATCTCACAGGAATGTCATAAAAATGAGAAACATTTTGAGATCCCCAAAAGAAAATATATTAATTTTGATTTAAAGTGCTCAAACGATGCTGGCCCTGGAAATAAATGTCCACTAGGCCTATGAGCAGGTAAATCATGTTCTAAGGTGAAAACAGAGAAGAATATAAAACACTGACAGCAATATGGCTGCCTATATTTAAATGCAGACAAATACTGGGGAAGACTATTTTGTGCTTTCTGACTTTTAATCACCTTATTCTATAGCTATGGTTTTCAAACTTTCCTGACCACAACTCATAGTAAGAAACTCACTGTTTTAACTCAGTAACATTTAAAGTGTGTATATACCTGAATCAAAGTTTCATAAACAATGATTTCCTTATTATATGTGACACATTCTGACATTTTCTATTCTGTTCCACTGAAAAATACATTGCTGATTACAAGGCACCCAACTTCATAACCTACTAGTTGTTCATTACTCATATTTTGAAAACCACTGTTTGAGATCTAAAACTGAGGAAAAGAAACAAACATCAGCCTAAGCTGGAAAGTGAAAAGGATATCGTATCAAGTTCCTTTCACTTTTAATTTAACATCCATTTTATGAAAGAATACTTCGAATACTAAAAGCTTGCAAGATTACAATATATTTATTTATTTATTTATTTGAGACAGTCTCGGCTCTGTCACCCAGGCTGGAGTGCAAGTGGCACGATCTCGGCTCACTGTAACGTTCGCCTCCTCGGTTCAAGTGATCCTCCTGTCTCAGCCTCCCAAGTAGCTGGGACCACAGGCATGCACCACCATGCCTGGCTAATTTTTTTGTATTTTTTGTAGAGATGGGGTTTCATCATGTTGCCCAGGCTGGTCTTGAATTCCTGGACTCAAGTGATCCATCCGACTCAGCCTCCCAAAGTGCTGGGATTAGAGGTGTGAGCCACCACACCCAGCCAAGAGTACAGTATTTTTATTTATCTCATTTAATTAGTACAACAACCCATAAGACGGGCAGGGTAAGAAATTGCTGATTTTAGAGAAAAAGAAACCAAGGATGCAAAGAATTAAAAGGCCTTGCTTAAGTAGCCAGTCATGAGTAGGCAGGTAAATGGGGCAGGTCTGGGAGTAGTAATCAGCTCTCACTGATTACTAATATATAAACCTGCGCACTTCTATAATACATGTTAATAAGAGATTCAGAGACTCCCAGAAGTTCTATTGTATTTTTCAGCAGAGTAGAGACTTGTGTCCTAATTTCTTTTTCTAGCTATAGAAGTAATTACTGCCTTGAAGACCTCAAATCTTTCTTTCCTTTTTTATTTTAGAAAAAAATCTGATAATATTTTTCTAATTTAAATCTTTTTTTTTTTTGAGATGGAGTTTCACTCTTGTCACCCAGGATGGAATGCAATGGTGTGATCTCGACTCACTACAACCTCCGCTTCCTGGGTTCAAGCAATTCTCCTGCCTCAGCCTCCCAAGTAGCTGGGATTACAGGTGCCCACCACCACACGCAGCTAATGACACGGGGTTTCACCATGTTGGCCAGGCTGGTCTCAAACTCCCGACCTCAGGTGATCCACCTGCCTTGGCTTCCCAAAGTGCTGGAATTACAGGCATGAGCCACCGCGCCCAGCCTAATTTAAATCTATTTCTAAACAAGCTCAAGCACTTTACATTCAACTGCATGTGAAATTACATTTATGAACTTGCTTTAACTGCCACAGCAAGAACACAAGAGCATTATGGATTTAAACACCGAGAGAGAGAGAGGCAGCGAGAGAGGTTTAAATTACAGTAGTCATTTGAATATGTTACAAAAAATTTCAAGGCAGTAAGATTATTTAATATTGTAAAGAAGTTTCTAAAGATGGGAAAAATTCTTTCTCTGCAGTGAGAAATATCATCTCTATAAGAAAGTTTATTTATTTAAATTATTTATTTTACAGACAAGATTTCGTGCAGTTGCCCAGGCTAGGGTGCAGTGGCACCATCATAACTCGTTGCAGCTTTTAATGCCTCAGCTCAAGTGATCCTCCTGCCTCGGCCTCCTGAGTAGTTGCGACTCTAGGTGTGTACTACCATGCCTAGCTCCTAAGAAAGTTTAAATCTAATAGTGCCAGCAAAGGAATAGGTTATGAGCTTACAAATTTCGTAATTTTGTAAACACTTACTCTCAACAATTTGGTGTGTATGTCTGAAATTTCACCTAACTCTGCCGCTTCCAGGTTGATCTTCATCAACTTTTCATATCTGTATGAAAAGTCAAAAGAGAAAATTAAATGAGTATAATCAATACATAGTTTTAAAAAGATGTTTTATAAATAATAATTTCAGCTTTCATCATAACCATTTAAAAATAAAAAATTGATTCAAAGTCTATAAGCCAGCAGATTGTTAAAAAAAAAACCTGATGCCGGCCAGGTGCAGTGGCTCACGCCTGTAATTCCAGCACCTTGGGAGGTCAAGGTGGGAAGATCACGAAGTTAGGAGATGGAGACCATCCTGGCTAACATGGTAAAACCCCATCTCTACTAAAAATACAAAAAAAAAAAAAATAAGCCGGGCGTGGTGGCATGCACCTGTAGTCCCAGTTACTTGGGAGGCTGAGGCAGGAGAATCGCTTGAACCTGGGAGGCGGAGGTTGCAGTGAGCAGTGATTGCATCACTGCACTCCAGCCTAGATGACAGAGTGAGACTCTCTCTCAAAAAAAAAAAAACCAAAAAAACAAAAAAACCTGATGCCTTCCTGAAGAAGGAATTTTATCTGCTTCTATTTTAAATTTGCAGATTAAGGGATGGATAAAACAGAAAAGACAAATTAATTTCAAATAATCTTATATGAGGATAATAGTAAAAATACATTTCAGAATTAATGAAGGTCAATAGTGAATACTGATTTCATTTATTGTATTTCCTCTGCAGTACAAATAGTATATTCTAGAAAGAGGGCAGTTAAAAATATCATTCTGTTTCAAAACGTGTTCTCAGGAATAAGATTAACAAGTAAAAATAAACTAAAAGTAATTCCTATAATTCTAAAAATACTACTAAAAGGCTGTTCTAGAATATCTCTTCCTATTTCCTTTGTTGATTACAAGTTTCATATTTTCTTATTCACAGTTTCTGTTTTACAAGATAGAAATGAGATGTTTTTCCCACTACCTTTTCCTGCCCAATGGCTGGGAGGAAATGCCACTAAGAGATGGTGTTCACTTCTTACCAAGAAAACTGGCATTTTTGCCTTTGTGATGATAAAGTAATCACTAATCTAAGGCTGATCTTTATTTTATTTTGTTTTTTGAGATGGAGTCTCACTCTGTCACCAGGCTGGAGTGCAGTGGCATGATCTCAGCTCACTGCAACCTCTGCCTTCTGGGTTCAAGCGATTCTCCTGCCTCAGCCTCCCGAGTTGCTGGGACTACAGGCGTGCGCCACCACACCCAACTAATGTTTGTATTTTTAGTAGAGACGGAGTTTCACCATGTTGGCTAGGATGGTCTCCATTTCTTGACCTCGTGATCCACCTGCCTTGGCTTCCCAAAGTGCTGGGATTACAGGCATGAGCCACCGTGCCAGGCCGCTGATCTTTAATAGAAACCCTAGCATAGCATGCCATATTGTGCCAAGGATAACTAAGTCATTTAAATAGAAATGGAACATTTAATAATTTAACCCCTACTAGTAAGGAAGTAGTCTACTCACACTTTCACAGTTTTTTCAATGTTTCTGATACAGAAATCCAATGTGATCACAACTTCTGTCTTTTTGTGAACAGTTTCATTGTAATCATCTTTAATTAATTCACTAAAAAAAGAAAATTATTCTAATTAGTTTATCTAAGGAGTTATTTTTTCTATCTATCACTAATTATACTGCAGTACTACAGTTCAAAAACATTTTATAACAATATTCATGATATTCATCAATTCACACTTTTTGAAACATTATTATAATAAGCATTTCTGTGATCCTGATGTATTAGGGAACTCATATTTTCACAAACCATTACTACTTAGGTTAACAGTTTAAAAACCTAAGGTATTAAAATTACATTAAGGAGTAAAAACTAATCTACAATTACACAAATAGTTTGTAGAGCATTACAGTTTATACCACCAGAATTAATTTTTACTACTCAGAGTAGACTACTGTCTGATTTATACTTTAAACCAATTACAGGTTGAATATCTCTTATCTGAAATGCTTGGGACCAGAAGTGTTTTTCAGATTTTGGATTTTGGGATATTTGCATATATACATACTGGTTAAGCATCCCTAATCTGAGAATCCAAAATGTTCCAATGAGTATTTCCTTTGAGCATAAACTTTGAGCAAAAAGATTTGACTTTTGGAATATTTTTTATTAGGGATGCTCAACTTGTGATGTCATCTGAAGAAGGATGACACAGTAAGAAATATATAATTGAAGGGCTTTTGATCTACATCAGGGATCAACAAACTAAGACTTGAGGCCTGCTTTTTGTATGGCCCATGAGCTAACATTACACTTTTAAAGATTGTAAAAACAAAGAAGAGACCATATGCAGCTCACAAAGTCTAAAATATTAGACTGATCCTTTAAAGAAAATGTTTGCCAACAGTGGTTTACATTAAAACTATTTTCTCATGACTTATTGGACTATAAACTAATAAGTAAAAGGAATAAAAGCTTCATGGATCAGCAATTGACGATAGATAAGAGAAAATAAAAACTGTTAGTACA
Organism: Homo sapiens; assembly: GCF_000001405.40. Classification (NCBI taxonomy): domain Eukaryota; kingdom Metazoa; phylum Chordata; class Mammalia; order Primates; family Hominidae; genus Homo; species Homo sapiens. Next base: position 64,487,567 of record NC_000012.12, on the reverse strand, counting down.
CAGAGATTTTTCCAGAAACCAGTAAAAACAAGGAAGCTTCTTAGTGGAAACAGAAAAGCATAGGCTTAGGAACTAAGATATGTGAACACAGTGAAAAAGATAAACACAAATTTATGGGTTTCATATAATGCTAACAGAAAAAAAAAGGAGCCTAAAAAGAGTGATGAAATGCTTCATACACACTTTTGCAAGACGGGGTGGGTATGAGGTAGGCATACATAAACTGTCAAAAGCATTACAGTCCAAGGGCACATACATAGCGACATGAGTGCAGAAAACAAACTTCTTAACATCTGTCGGCCACAAGGCCATCATGATGTGTACGCAAAATTCAAAAGCTTTGAATGATGTGTAGAAACAAGCATAATTTCCAAAAGAGATAATGTATTTTCCATTTTTTTCAGATGGAAAGATGACATCTATAAATCATTAAAGTAAAAAACAGGTAAAAATTACATCCATCTTACATTTCTTAGAGTCACTTTCAGGAAGAAACTACTTAAACTAGATAACCAGTTATTCTGAACTAGAATAACTATATTAAGCGATCTAGTTTTAAAAAATTAGCTTTTAAATTGCTTGTTAGATTATATATTCATATTGTATAATTTCATTTATATGAAATGTCTGGAACAGGCAAACAGTATATTAGTGGTTGCCTAGGGCAGGGCTGTTTAGGCGGAGATGGAGAGTGAATACTAATGGATGCAGAGATACTTTCTGGGGTGATGAAAATGTTCTAAAATTAGTGATGATGGCTGCACAACTCTGAACATAATAAAAACCATTAAACTGTATGCTTAAATGCATGAGTTATATAGTATATGAATTATATCTCAATGTTGTGAAGGCTGGGTGTGGCTCATGCCTATAATCCCAGCTGAGGCGGGCTGATTGCCTGAGCCCAAGAGTTTGAGACCAGCCTGGGCAACATAACTAGACCCCCCATCACTAAAAAAAAAAAAATTAGCTGGGTGTGGTGGGGCATGCCTATAGTCCCAGGTACTTGGGAAGGTGAGGTGGTAGGATCACTTGAGGCCAGGAGTTTCAGGCTGCAGTGATCTGTGATTGTGCCACTGCACTCCAGCCTGGGTGACAGCGAGACCCTGTCTCAAAAAGAAAAAAAAAAAATACGGTGTGATAAAAAAGGACTGTGTACTTCATTTGGGAAAATGGTAGGAAATTAAGGAAGACTTTGAGGACTTAAATGCTAGAAAGTACAGATTGTACTGAATTCTAACAAGCCAAAGACTTCTAACATAGTTAAATGACAACCAACTACTCAAGGTCCTAGGAAAAGAAATGCATTTGCCGTCACATCCTATAGCGTGGTGTAAGTTTTAAAATTCAGATACTATTTGTTCTGTCTCACAAGGTCATTGTAGGACTCATGAAAAATGAGCTGCTAAATGTTTTATAAACTAAATGTGAAACAAATGTATTATAATAAAAATCAAGCACCTAACCTAACTAGTTTGAAGAGAGAAAATATCAATGATGGGGCAAGGTCTACATGAAAATCAATTTCAAAATTTCAATCTATTACTTACATCAGCCATCGTATCCCCTTTCGCATTAATTCCTGATAAAGCAGTAAGGTACTGGCAATTCTGCAGGCATAACACACAACCCCTGTTATTGCCTAATAAAGAAATAAAATGTCAATATTTGGTGCTAATTGTGGTATAGGGTAAGAAAAACTTTTACACAAAATTATTCAAGCTTACACATTTTTATCAGGTTAATTAAAAACACAATAAACCACCAATTTCTAAGAGTTAAAAATAGATATAAATATAATAAATATGTTATCCTTAACATTATCTAAACATGCACTATCTCAATGGAGAGAATTTTCTTATATAATGAATTCAAGAAAGGATAAAAAGTAAAAAAGAAAGACCACAAAATCACTTGGAAAGGGTATCAATTTAAGTGAATAATTTCCTAAGTCATATAGACATACATGAAGACACAATACATGTTATTGCTTCCACTATTGATAGGATACATTAAATTCAGATGTTTACATAGTAATTAAATTAAATACTAACCTTAGCCATGCTAGCATCCCCGTCTAAATCATAACGTGGATGTACTTTAGGGAGGGAAACTGAAATATGAAGTAAAATAAAATGAGAAAGAAAACTTTTTGAAAAAATCACTTTATCCTTTATAGAGCAAACACAATGTCTAAATTAAACATTAGTGGCAAAATCTGTAATGTAGTTTTCGTGATTAAAAAAACACCACTTCAAACAATAATGCTCATTCTCTAACAAATTACCTCAAATATTTCTAAGGAGTTTCATTTTTTCCTTAAATATACACCAACACAATGAGTCCAATGCTTCTCTTTAAATCTACATCAAATCCCAACCTTCAAATAGAACTGTAAAATTCTGGGTGATCCATTTTTTTTTCTACCAGTAGAATGAGTAATTTAAAAGATTCTAAAAATGCAGATCTAATTTTTCTTAGACTCTAAAGCTTGGCACAATGTTCTATACATACTGCACACAAAAAATATTTGCTGAAATTTATGATATAAAAGGTAATTTTGAGTGTTAGCAAAACACTTTTTAAAGAGAGTTACAGTGAAACGTATGACAAACGATTTTATCGTTTTAGGAAACAAAATATTTGAAGTCAAATCATGTCTACAAGGCTTTTTCAATTTTACAATTACTCTCTTTCAACTATAGTAATTTATAAAATTTTAATATTTATGAAAGCTCTACACTAATATTATCATCAGCTTTATAAGGATGACAATCATTTCTACAATGACAGACTTTGTGGATTTTTTTGTTTTTGAGACAGGGTCCCACACTGTCTCCCAGGCTGGAGTGCAGTGGTGCAATCTCGGCTTACTGCAACCTCTGCCTCTTGGGCTCAAGTGATCCTCCTACCTCAGCCTCCCATGCAGCTGGGACTACAGGTGCAAGCCACCATGCCCCACTAATTTTTGTTTTATTTTTTTGTAGAGACAAGGTCTCACTATGTTGCCCAGGCTGGCTGTATTTTTCTAATGGCTAGTAAGAACGACAAGAAAAATCCCAACTTACTTTTTTCATATATTAATCCTATGGTATTCAGAGGTTCCCGGCTTACTACAAATATAGGGTTTTCCTCAGTAGTTTTAGGGAAATGTTGTGCCAGCCTTCCAGGTTCTAAGACTAAGCGTCGCCCTTCGTAGATAAGTTCTTGATTTGAAGAAATAATTTTGGTTTGTTTATATACCAGTTCATGAAATATAGTAGCACTGTGTGAGAAAAATTCAAAAGGACACTATAACTGGGGATAAAGTGAGAGGCAAAATATTTTAAATGAGTGCAACAACATCCATTTCTAATTCATATCCCTAATATCATAACCAGTCCATATAAACTTGCTTTGTTAATGTGGATACTACAAACTCCATTCCATATAACCTGTCCATACAGTAAGCAATTCTAAAGTATTTTTATGTTTGGATACCTGTGTAATATACAGGATTCTTAATATTTTCTTTCCTCTGTGTGTGTGTGTGTGTGTGTGTGTGTGTGTGTGTGTGTATGTGAGACAGAGTTTCGCTCTGTTGCCCAGGATGGAGTGCAGTGGCACGATCTTGACTCACTGCAGCCTCCGCCTCCTGGATTCAAGCGATTCTCGTGCCTCAGCCTCCTGAGTAGCTGGGATTACAAACATGCACCACCACACCCAGCTGATTTTTGTATTTTTAATAGAGACAGGGTTACGCCATGCTGGCCAGGCTGGTTTCGAACTCCTGGCCTCAAGTGATACACCTGCCTCGGCCTCCCAAAGTGCTGGGATTACAGGTGTGAGCCACTGTGCCTGGCCAAGATTATTAATATTTTCAAATAGAGAACCAACATAGCAGAGCGGTTTAGAGCACTGACTTGAATCAGATACATGGGTTCAAATCTCAGCTCTTCCACTAACTTCCTATAAAACCGTAAGTGACTTAACTCCTCTGCACTGTTTCCTCATCAGTAAAATGGAAATAATAACAGTACCCACTTCACAGAATTGTTGTGAGGATTAAATGGCTTAAATATGTAAAGAACCAAGAACAGCACTTGTTATGTGACTATATGTTTGTTAAATACATTAATAAAACTAGGTATTTTCAAAATGATGCTTCGGGGGAAAAGACAGCTTCCCCATGAATAGATCAATGACATCAAAAGAAATGTTTCAGCAGCAATATTGTAATTTGGCTCTACAAGCCTCCACTGTGTCACCTTTTGAAAATTTTTTGTTTTTAATTTTTGTGTGTACATAGGAAATGAATATATTTATGAGGTACATGAGATGTTTTGTTACAGACATGCAATACATAATAATCACACCATGGAGAATGGGGTATCCATCCAGTCAAGCATTTATCTTTTGTGTTACAGAAAATCAAATTATATTTTTTTAGCTATTTTAAAATGTACAATTAAGTTATTATTAACGATAATCACACTGGGTGAGCTTTTTACAAAACATTGACATCACTGTAGATTCACATGCAGTTCTAAGAAATGATGAAGAGAGACACCATATATTCTTCTCCCAGCTTCCCCCAATGGTGGCATCCTGCATATAGCAAAGCATCACAACCAGCTATTAACATTGATACACCCAACTTACTCAAATTTCCCCAGTTTTACATGCAAGTATATGTATGTGTACAGTCATGCATTGCTTAATGATGGGAATAGTTCTAAAAACTGCATCATTGTGTGAACATCACAGAGTATATTTACAGAAAACTACATGGTATAGCCTTCTACACACCTAGGCTATATAGGGTAGCTAGCCTACTGCTCCTAGGCTACGAACCTGTACAGCATGCTACTGTACTTAATACTGCAGGCAGCTGTAACATAATTAGAAACAGTATTTGTATATCTGAACATGTCTAAACATAGAAAAGGTACAGTAAAAATATGATATTATAATCTTACGGAACCAGTGTTGTATATATGGTCCATCATTGACCAAAACTTTATATGCAGTTTTATCACATGGGTAGTTTTTTTTAATCACATGGGTGTAATGTGTTTTTGTTTACATAAAACAAACACTGATTATTTTTCCGGAGCCAGGTGCTTTAACCATTATTATGGTTAATAGTAACCATATTATCTGCATAGGGTTATCATAGGCAAATAACCATGCTAACAATGAAGACTTAGGCTTTGATATTTTAACATGGCAGGATAGTACACTTAGCAAAACCTGGCTGGTTTATTGGTAGATGCCATTTGTGGTTATGTGATTATGTAACTTGAAAGAAGGCACAGCAATGAAAGTACTTTTGTAAAACTTACAGTTTAAGAAACAAGCTAATTTAACTATAAATTTTAGAATTATCAATCCTTTTACTCCAAAAATAAGTGAAAAGGAATTTACTAAGCACTTAAATATAATTTTCCATGTGGGAAATGGGTACTTTTGGTGAAGCTGAGGCATCTTTTCTATTTCTTTTCCTAACTTAGGAAAATATTATATAACAGAACATGTTGATACAAGAAGAAAATAGAGATACTTACGTATTATAGCTATGAATATAAATCTTATGAGCTGTCATTTGTTGTAGCGAAAAAACATGAATTACCATTCGGTGAAGTATATCACTAGTTTCTGCAAAAAACTGGTCAAAACCCCAACACTTTTCCTGATCTGCTTCAAGGATGTTTGCAAGAACAGGGGTAAGTAGAACCTGAAGACCCCTAAAATAGTATTGAAAAGTTACTTGAAGAGTGAATATATCATATTCTGTCTAGGTTAAAAAATCATAGTATTTACCAGCAAATCAAAGGAACTGTCATTATTACTATATTAGATTAATTTAAAAAATTTAAAATCTGTCAACTTTTCAGAAAGCTAGGTAACCTTCATTTAATGCCACTCATCAATGAATAAGGAATTATAGCTTTTTTTCTTCTAGAAATGGGGTCTTGTTATGTTGCCCAGGCTGAAGTGCAGCAGCTATTCACAGATGCTTTATGCATTGCAGTCTCAAACTCTGGGGCTCAAGTATCCTGTCTCAGCTTCCTGAGCAGGTGGGATTATAGGTGTATGCCACCGTGCCAAGACCCATTACATTTCTGGTAGTTGTTTTCACGGCTGATTTGTAGTACTTAGAGTTCTTACTATTTAAAACAAAAAAATTATATAATATACTTTCTGGCATCTAAGCAATTTTTCTCAAAGAATTTGTAACTTGGTATGCTAAAGACTGATTCGATAGATAATGCCTGTTACCCTCCAGAAATATGCTGCAGTTCAGATCATCAGATTTTTTTGATTCTGAGTTTTGGCAATATAATTATTTACCAGCAAGTGTTCATTTTCTGAGCCCTTTACACTTTATCAGTTTTGCCTGAGATCCCCAAAATGAGTATTTCCTAAATAAAAATTTAACACAAATCACAGTTATAATATTAAATTTCTACTCTCCAACACAATGAATTTCTCTTAGTAATCTAGTTACATGACGATTTCATTTTGGAAACTTTTTAAAATAACACACACAAAAAACTGTTAACAATAGTGGTTTTTGAAAATGATTTCAGCATTGGAACTCTTGGTTTAAATGAATTTTCACAGAACCCAACATATAAAATGATAAGTGATATTTTATTAGCTTGTTTTATATATTTATTTATTTAAAGTCATACAAAAAGCACCCACAACTTAAAAAAGGTGATAAGCCACTAATTCATAACTTGTGTCCAATTAAGGATTATATAACTACCACACTCAAGAAAAATGGAAGCTAATTCAGTAATCACAGATACTAAATACCGATGCATGTCTTGGCTTTGTTTCCAGAGTGAAATACAAAATAATTTACTTTCTACTTTTAATTTCTTTTACCTTAATTCTTTCTTTGTGGTAACAGGATTCTTAAATGACAATATAATTTTTTTGATTTCTGTCTGTGACATTAAACAAGACCCAAATGAACATTTGAAATGCTAAAAAGTACAAAAAACTATTATTTCTCACCCTTTGAATAATTTGAATTTTTTAAAATGAAGATAATACTAAATCTCTTCATTGTTTGCTTTTTACAACTCCAGTTGAGAAATTTACTCATATCTAATCCACTATTTGTTATCCATCAATATGGAGGTCATTACAAAAGATACTAAGGTCCTGAGCATGATCCCTACACTGGGAAGAATTCCAAGACCAGTGATTACCAATCTCAAAAATGTATGCCCTGTGTCCTAATGAAGATCTTGGGAAATTATTCATATAGCAGAGAATAAATCTTTTCACCACCACGAAGACAAAAATCATTTATCAAAGCACATGCTTTGACAATATCTAATTAAAATAAAATCAAACTACACTTCAGTATTTGAGTATCTGTGGTTCTAGGCAACAAAGATTTCAAACACCAAAGTGCAAAAGATGAGAATTAGGTACACCATACTTACCGAGAAAGACTGCAAGAAACAGGCATGTCTCCACTCCAGTCAATTGGTCCATTTTCTGCTTTCTGTACTCCAGATATTGCACCAGAAGGCTTTCCTGTAATTATTTTATACCTTGGGAGGAACAAAAGCAGAATAAAATAAGCAGTTCATTTTTGCATGACTTATTAATGGGCTTTGCAAAAGTATTTCCTCAATTGCACCTACAATTATCTACTAGATGAAACTTTGTGATTGATGCTCACAGGATCCATAAAACAATCAAAATACTTTGAATCTGACTGACTGAAGTACAATAGTGGTTGTACGGTTATTTATATATGCCATAATTAATTTTCATTTGAGATCTCACAGTGCTTTATAACAGCATCTTGATGTTCACAACAAATATATTAATTTTTCCATCTGAAAAAACTGAGCAAACACAAAATAAGTTGTGTCACAGAATGTCTCTAGACCATGAAAAAAAGCATATAATCCCTCTTACCCATATTATCCAAAGGCACAACTAAAGTTTCTGCAGAATGAATAGTATTCTTTAAAACAAAAAAGATTATACTATATAGAGCACAGTATCAGATTCTTTGCACACTGGAAAACACACATTTGCACATTTTGGAAAAAGCACATTTGTTTAACATTAAAGTAAATGTGCTTTGAGCAAATTAATTATTTTTTTAAAAAATAGAACAAACCACCACAACTGATTTAGACCATTTGCTGCTTCCTCAGCAGTGGCAGCCAGGATTTCTGCCTTAAGAGATTTTTCAAAGAGGAAATTAACGTGAAAAATAAGGTGTGTTCATGTGACAACTATCTAAGAAGTAAGTGCACATGTGTGGGATTAATGCAAAAGAGAAGTGAATAGAATAAATGGCAAAAGTCTTAGGGGAATGCTTACAAGTTTTAAAAAAGTTTAATTTTGATAAGATCCACATATAAGTACATTCATAACATGCAAATGAGATGCTGAGGAATCAGCACTACTATAATGTTGGATGAATATATCTTTCATTAGTAAAGTAAAACAATTATTATTACTGAGTACTTCAATCACCTCTGAACATTCTTTAGCATCAATGTTCATAAAAAGTTGAGTTTCTGTGCTAATAAAATAAAATTCTTCTAATGGTATATCTGCCCACAAGGGTGTCAGATAAAATCATCAGGTATTCCTAGCTGCTTATGAGTCACATGTTTCCTTTATTAGTGAGCAGCACACACTTTTATTTAAACCATTTTTAGGGCAGCAAGAAATGCTGACATTGCTTTAAAGGCTGATACTATCTATGATGAAAAAAGTATGATTAACTGTTAGGCACAATTTATGTGTAATGAGAAAAACACAAATTATCAGTTTTTATTAATGAAGAGATTTCATTAAAAGGGCAATGACATAAAGCAGGCTCAATAGGATGCTATGCCAAAATCATCAGTACAGTTAAATAGGTGTCTTCTTCCCATAAATATGTACACTGTCCTTGCTGGAAAACACTTAAATACCCAAGTTATAGAAAAAGTCATTGTACCATCTGAATTTGTTTTACTTCCTCCAACCAACAAAAGGAAAAACATGCTTCTCCCTCAATTTTTTGAGAAGAGATTAGATAATTGTCTTTTTACAGTTGTGATTATTACTTTAAGTCAGGTTTGCTTCATAAAAGATAGGGCCAGGCTGGGTGCGGTGGCTCATGCCTGTAATGCCAGCACTTTGGGAGACCAAGGCGGGGGGCAGATCACTTGAGGCCAGGAGTTCAAGACCAGCCTGGGCAACGTGGTGAAACCCATCTTTACTAAAAATACAAAAATTAGCCGGGCATGGTGGTGGGTGCCTGTAATCCCAGCTATTCGGGAGGCTGAGGCAGGAGAATTGCTTGAACCTGGCAGGTACAGGTTGCAGTGAGCTGAGATCAGGCCACCGCACTCCTGCATGGGCAACAGAGTGAAACTGTCTCAAAAAAACAAAACAAACAAAACAAAAGATAGGGCCAAATATATAAAGGTCTGAGAAATATGTTAAGACCTAAAAGAATGGTTGGACAGGTTAGGCTGTCAGTGGTTGTTATCCATTCACTAAACTCAATATTCTTCACATCATAGTTTTATGTGTATGTGGTCTGGCCTTCTCATGAAACAAGGTTATTCACTAATGTCTTTTAAAATAAAAAGAAGTGTGGTCAATTATGGATTATTTTTATAATTAATTTCACATCTAGAAATCCATCTCTTCCTTGGCTTACAAAAAATGACTTTATACACAGTAATTATTTCATAATAATTATGGCAATACATCTCAACAAACTAGGCACAGAAGGAACATATCTCAAAATAATAAGAGCCATCTATGACAAACCAATAGCCAACATCATTCTGAATGGGCAATTCCCCTTAAGAACTGAGACAAGACAAGGATGCCCACTCTCACCACTCCTATTCAACATAGTACTAGAAGTCTCAGCCAGAGCAATCAGGTAAGACAAAAATAAAAGGCATTCAAATAGGAAAACAGGTAGTCAAATTATCTCTCTTCACTGACAGTATGATTCTAAACCTAGAAAACCCTAAAGATTTTGCCAAAAGACTCCTAGACCTGATAAATAATTTCAGCCAAATCTCAGGACACAAAATAAATGTAGAACAATCAGTAGCATTTCTATACACGGACAAAGCTGAGACTTTATCAAGAACGCAATCCCATTTACCATAGCCACACACAGACACAAAAATACCTAGGAATACACTTAACTGAGGAGTTGAAAGATGACTACAAGAACTAACACCGCTGAAAGAAATCATAAATGACACAACAAATGGAAAAGCATTCCATGCGCATGGGTTGGAAGAATCAATATCATTAAAATATCCATACTGCGCAGAGCAATCTACAGAATCAATGCTATTCTTATCAAATTATCAGTTATTTTTCACAGAATTAGAAAAAACTATTCTAAATTCATATGGAACAAAAACAGAGCCTGAATAGCCAAGGCAATCTTAAGCAAAAAGAACAAAGCTGAAGGCATCATATTACCTGACTTCAAACTATACTGCAGAGCTACGGTAACCAAAACAGCATGGTACTGGTACAAAAACAGATACACAGACTGATGGAACAGAATAGAGACTCCTAAAATAAAGCCATACATCTACAACCAACATATCTTTGACAAAGTTGACAAAAATAAACAATGGGGGAAAGGATACCCTATTCGAAAAATGGTGCTGGGAAAACTAGCTAACCATATGCAGAATAAAACTAGACCCCTACCTCTTACCATATACAAAAATTAACTCAAGATGAATTAAAGACTTAAATGTAAGACCTCAAACTACAAAAATTCTAGAAGAAAATATAGGACATACTCTTCTATACATTGTCTTAGGCAAATAATTCAGGATGAATACCCCAAAATCAAATGCAACAAAATAAAAAATAGACAAAGGAGACTTAATTAAACTAAAGAGCTTTGGCACAGCAAAAAGAACTCTCAACAGAATAAACAGACAACCTATAGAATGGGAGAAATTATTTGTAAACTATGCATTTGACAAAGGACTAACATCCAGAATCTATAAGGAACTTAAACGAATCAACAAGAAAAAAACAAACATTCCCATTAAAAAGTGAGCAAAGGACATGAATACACTCTCCTCAAAAGAAGACTATGCGCCGGGTGTGGTGGCTCACACTTGTGATCCTAGCACTCTGGGAGGCCGAGGCGGGTGGATCACGAGGTCAGGAGATCGAGACCATCCTGGCTAACATGGTGAAACCCCGTCTCTACTAAAAAATACAAAAAATTAGCCGGGTGTGGTGGCACGTGCCTGTAGTCTCAGCTACTCGGGAGGCTGAGGCAGGAGAATAGCGTGAACCAGGGAGGCGGAGCTTGCAGTGAGCTGAGATCGCACCACTGCACTCCAGCCTGGGCAACAGAGCGAGACTCCATCTCAAAAAAAAAAAAAAAAAAAAAAAAAGAAGACTACGCAAGCTGCCAACAAACATGAAAAAACCACTAATCATCAAAGAGATGCAAATCAAAACTGCAATGAGATACCATCTCACGCCAGTCAGAATGGCTATAAAAAAATAAAAAAAAGTAACAGATGCTGGTGAGGTTGTGGAGAAAAGGGAATAATTATACACTATTGGTGGGAATGCAAATTAGTTCAGCCCCTACGAAAAGCAGCTTGGAGTTCTCAAATAACTAAAAATAGAACTATCATTTGACCCAGCAATCCCATTGCTGGGTATATAACCAAAGAAAAATAAATCATCCTACCTAAAAAGACATGCGCTTGTATGTTTATCCCAGCAGTATTCACGATAGCAAACACATAGAATCAATCTAGGTTCCCATCAATGGCAGACTGGATAACAAAAATGTGGTACACATACACTGTAGAATACTATGCAGCCATAAAAAAGAATGAAATCATATCCTTTGCAGCAACATGGATGCAGCTGGAGACCTTTATCCTAAGTGAACTAATGCAGAAACAAAAAACCAAATACTGTTATGTTCTCACTTATAAATGAGAGCTAAATCTTGCGTTCACAACTTTTCCATCTGTGCTGTGGAGCCCATCATATTGTCTCGCCAATCCCAGAAATCAATTCTTGTAATTATCCCACTTATTTAATGCATCAAAGATGGACACAAAGATGGAAACAACAGACACTGAGGACTCCAAAAGTAGGGAGGGAAGGAGACAAGGGCTGAACACTTCTTATTCGGTACCACGTTCACTATCTGGGTGATAGGATCAACAAAAGTCCAAACCTCAGCACTACACAACATACCCTTTTAACTAAACCTTCACACATACCCTCTGAATCTAAAATAAAAATGGAAATTAAAAAAAAATTGTGACAATACATAAATGTGTATACATTATACTAGTAAAATATATCAAGTGTCTGGTCCAAATCTGCAACACTGGAAAAAAAAGTTTAATGTTACATTACTGCCAAAATGTTATTTTTAATTTTCTTTCATTTATTTATTTAGAGACAGGGTCTCACTCTGTCGCCCAGGCTGGAGTGCCGTGGCGCAATCACAGTTCACAGCAGCCTCAATCTCCTGGGATCAGGTGATCCTACCACCTCAGCCTCCTGAGTAGCTGGGACTATGGGAGCATACCACCACCCCTGGCTAATGTTTGTATTTTTTTATAGAGACAGGGTCTCACTGTTGCTCAGGCTAGTCTTGGAACTCCTAGGCTCAAGCTATCCTCCTCCCTCAGCCTCCCAAAGTGCTGGGATTACAGGCGTGAGCCACCACGCCTGGCCCAAAATGTTATTTTTTAAATGGTAAAAGGAATCAGTTCACTTTAGGGTAAGACTGATGTTTGTTTTAGATCTGGTAATGATTCTAATACTCCACAGAACTATGTATTTTTTTTCAGTTGTATGGGAGGAAAGTGCTGACAAGTATGCAGAGTGAAATAAACAGTGTGCTGAAATAAAGTCTAGAAAGCAGTACATTTTTAATGATGGGCCAAAGACTGAATACCATTTATACTGTGTATATAAGATATTTAAACATAAATATCTTAAACATAAAATTATGCAAACTTTTATAAGGCTGCATTCTTTTTAAAAACCAGGTAGCTTAAAATATCAGAAATGATTGTTAAATCAATTTTTATTAGCATAAACCACTAACAATAAGATGAACCAAGACAGAAATCATTTTTTAAATGCTTCTCTGATTTTAGATCGGGAAACCACTTACATCACTTCTTTATTCCTACGAGGCCCTTCAAAGGGTCTAAATGGCAGTGATCCAGTAGCTGCATGGTAAAATGTTACCCCAATGCTCCAAAGATCAACTGTTGCTCCATATTTCTTCTGATGATCTTTTCTTAGCACTGCTCTCTCATACATATCAGGGTGCTAAGATTAAAAAAAAAAGAAAAAAATCATGAACCTGTGACCCATTTCATTATACAAACAAATGGATACTCAATAATGCTTAGAAATTCTATTTTGTTTTCCTAATAACTTCACTTTCCCAATCTGAAAAGACTATTTCACATCTTCCCCTCCCTCCTCAAACCTCCACCACCTCCTTTGATCCTCAGTTTTGATGACCCTGCTTCATAATTTAATGTGGAAATGGAAGGAATCAGACCAGCACTCCCTTATGCCCTTTACCAAATACAACCTACCTGAATCTGTGTCCGTTTTATTTTTTTCTCTTTTTTTTGAGATGGGGTGGAGTGCAGTGGCTTGATCTCGGCTCACTGCAACCTCTGCTTCCCGGGTTCGAGTGATTCTCCTGCATCAGCCTCCTGAGTAGCTGGGACTACAAGTGCTTGCCATGATGCCTAGCTAATTTTTGTATTTTTAGTAGAGACAGGGTTTCACCATGTTGGCCAGGCTGGTCTTGAACTCCTGATCTCAAGTGATCCTTGAGGACCTTAAGAGCCTTGGCCTTTCAAAGTACTGGGATTACAGGCATGAGCCACTGCACCTGGCCAATCTGTGTCCATTTTCCAGGCCTACTTTCCAGTCACAATGGAACTGCACCTATACATGGCCAACTTTTCCATCTGTGCTGTAGAGCCTATCATATCATCTTGCCAATTCCAGAAATCAATTCTTGTAATTATCCCACTTATTTAATGCAGCAATGTTTCCCTCTGTTCTGATTCATTACTTTCTGCTTACAAACATGCTTTAATATCTCCCATTTTAAAAGATCTCTAAATTGACCACAAAACTCCTTTCAACAATTACCCAATTCTCTGCTTCCCACCACAGCAAAACTTCTCAGTACAGCTGTCCATGCTTATTATAACTGCCTTACTCCCTCATCTCCCATTCAGACCTAATGTATTAAATATCATATGTATGCTTTAACTTCCAAAACTACCTTGGGCCCTGAGCTTCAGATTCATATATCCTACTATTCTCTCGATATCTAAAAGGCAGCTCAAACTTAACGTATCCAAAATTGACTCTTGGTCTTCCCACTTAAACTTGTTTCCTCCTAAACTTTAAGTAAACAATACCACCACATATCTAGCTGCTCACACCCGAAACCTATCAGGCAGCCTTAATTTCTTTGCCTTATCCCTCAAATGCAATCTGTCAGGGTAAGTGCATTTAATTTAATGAAATTAAATTCTCTAGAATCAATTCAGAGGACTAACTTGACTGGGTTCACTGGGGATCTACTGACATTAAACACACGTCCTTACACATAGGACATATTACACCAAGCTTGTCCAACCTGCAGCCTGTGGGCCACATGTAGCCCAGGACAGCTTTGAATGTGGCCCAACACAAATTCATAAACTTTCTTAAAACATTGAGGTTTTTTGTGATTTTTTTAAAATAGCTCATCAGCTATCATTATTTTATGTGTGGCCCAAGATAATCTATCATATTTTATATGTGGCCCAAGACAATTCTTCCAGTGTAGCCCAGGGAAGCCAAAAGATTGGACACTCTGCACTAATACCATAGTCACTGAGAACAGATGGAGCTTCTAAGAAATTGTTTAGGAGCTCACAAAACCTAACAGATATTCTGATGGACATTTTGTTCTGCAGAGAATAACCAGTGGTCACACACAGCATGGCCTCCTGCCATCTGCCTTCATGAAAGTTATACA
The DNA here is from genome assembly GCF_000001405.40 of Homo sapiens. Taxonomy (NCBI): domain Eukaryota; kingdom Metazoa; phylum Chordata; class Mammalia; order Primates; family Hominidae; genus Homo; species Homo sapiens. Next base: position 64,472,503 of record NC_000012.12, on the reverse strand, counting down.
CTTGCAACTTGAAGATTTTTGGAAGATAAATCTTGAAAAGTGTACGTATGGACCAAAGTAGAGTTACCACCTAAATGATCCCAAACCAAAACAATTCCTTATGACATTGTAGGATTTAGCTATGGCCCAGGGAACTGGGAACCAGTGTAGGAAATGCTGCTGGGAGGGGCTTCTAAATGATGCAATCTGTGACTCTCACTCCCAAAGGATCACAATCTCTGATTTCTGAGGGTCGGGGTGGTGGGGGGGTGCTGGAGATGGGGGTGGGAAAAAGACTCTTTTGAGAAACACATTTTAATGAGAAATCAGAATGCAGACAAGTATAAGAACTGGGTATTGACGTGAGTGTCCAAACATATGCCTACTAGATATATGGGATCTCAGTGGCTTTGCTGGTTCTGTAGCACAGCACATAAAGTGATTATTGTCCAAAGAAGTGATTGCCAAACCTTTGACCTAGCAGCTGGTACTTAGTGTGTAAATGGTGTCATGAAGAGGCCAAAAGTACCTGGATATGTCTGATGCCTTCTGGAATATAAAGCCTCCTGGGAAGAGGGGACACAGTGATTCCAGAAGGAGACAAAGACGGACCTCCTCACACGGTGCAATAATATACTGCCTAATTGGTACAGCTGGAAGCTATTCCCTGGGAGTGATTAACTTGGGGTGGCTTGACACATGCTGGTCTGATACATTTGTGCCCACTGGCTCTGTCCTGATGTGTTACTGGCTTGGTGTTACTGGGCCTGGGCTATTGCATCTGGAAGAAGAGCATAAGGATAAAGCTACTCCAAGGTTTTCAGGATTATATTACTGAGATGATATCCATCATATTAAAAACAGTAGAAGAGACAGGGTGTGGTGGCTCACATCCTGTAATCCCAGCACTTTGGGAGGCCAAGGTGGGTGGATCGCTTGAGGTCAGGAGTTTGAGACTAGCCTGGCCAACATGGTGAAACCTCATCTCTACTAAAAATACAAAAATTAGCTGGGTGTAGTGGCACACACCTGTAATCCCAGCTACTTGGGAAGCTGAGGCAGGAGAATTGCTTGAATCCAGGAGGTGGAGGTTGCAGTGAGCTAGGATGGCACCACTACACTCCAGCCTGGGCAACAGAGTGAGACTCTGTCTCAAAAGTATACATATATATATATAGACACAAAAATATTAGCCAGGTGTGGTGGTGTGCACCTGTAACCCCAGCTATCTAGGAGGCTGGCACATAAGAATCACCTGAACCTGGGAGGTGGAGCTTGAGTGAGCTGAGATTATGCCACTGCACTCCAGCCTGGGCAACAGATTGAGACTCTGTCACAATAACAACAACAACAAAAACAAAAAACAGTAGAAGAATGTTTTCTTTGGACTTTAACATACAAAAGAGAGAGAATTTAACATATGGGTTGTAGTTCCTGGGAGCTTCAAAACGAGGGAAGTTTCCAGTTAAATGTAGAATATAGCTAGGCTGCTGAGCCTTAGACTATTATTTATCTCATTCTGGTGCACTGTATTTGAATATTTCCCATTCTGAAATAGGAAATAAATAGAATGGGGTTAAATTTCAGCCTAGAGTACAGCACAGACTTGGAATTAATTTATTTAATGTTTTGCTCTTCCTGTTAAAAGTCTTAGAGGCAAAAGCTAAACTGTGTTCCCAGGAGGTTACATGAAAGATTAATAGTTGGTATTGGGGGAGCAACCTCATGAAGGCTGGTACAGGACTGCTGTTTGCTTGTTACAGTGATTATCATGATTGGAAAAGGCGGAGACCAGACACTGAAGGACATACTGCAGTGTATGTGACAGTTCTGAAAAATGATCCTCCTATATATAGCCTGAATGACTTTGGAATATTCTGCCAGATACTTGTGCAAGTGAGAAATCTATTTCGAACTCCATTTTATATATAACAAAGTATTTTTGTACAGCTTTTCCAAGAATGTAACTATATTTAAATTTACTTTTAGTTAGAAACTTTACCAAAAATTGTTCACTACTTTGGAAAATCATGTCAATAACAATACTACCATTTGTGATGTGATTCACTAATACAACATGAGTTATCACTGCACTTGTATTCAAAGTAGTATTACATATAGCTGCAAGCATATATCACTACTTGTTTGCTCATGAAGCTGTTTCTAAATTTTTACATATTAAATATCTATTATTTTATTATAAAATATGTTCCTTTACATTATTAAGATATGCTATTTTAATTAGGTGTGCAGGTTTATAATATTATCTAGGAATTTCATTTCAAGATACTGAAGGGAACACTACAAAATATTTATTATAACAAGGGGGTATTGGTCTGACAGGGTTTAAACTACTAGCCTGTCTGATCTGGCTAGCCCCCTGATCACTTCTTTAATTCTAAGTCCTTCCACTTGCCTCTTTACTCACTAAATTCCAGTAAAACTGCCATCTTTTCTGTTTCTCCAACTCCTGAGGTCATTCTTGTCTCCAGGCCTTTACAGCTGCTGTTTTCTCTGGGCCTGATGGAACCAGACTGAAGCCCAAGAACATTCTTAGAGCAGTAAACCTTGGCAAGCAGTGCCCTCCTGGGAACAGTAGTGTCCTGAGCATTCATCTACTGTGGCTTTGGCTATGACAGGTGTGGGCTCCAGAGACAAGGAGCTGGGCCTGGTGAACTAGCTTTTAGAAATAGGCTGTTCTTACAGAAAGTGGGGTTGGGGAAAAAAAAAAAGTACTGGGTGAGAGAAAGAGAAAGAGAGAAATTGAATTTTTGAACAAGTTATCTTATCTAATCATTGAATTTGAAGGACACGCGCTTGAGCTTGCTACTGGAAAGGAGGCAGTCTGGAAGAACATGGCCTTGAGCTATTTATTGGAGGCTCACTGCTCTAAGAGAAAAGACAAGGGGAATGTCTGAACTGGGGAAAGTGAAGGAATCAGGAAGTTGCCTTGTACCAAAGCTCTGGTGTGAATTCAGCAGTGTTGCTTCTAGAAGCAGAAAGCATGGTCTAGCCAAATATAACTGAGAAGACCACCAACAGAGAAATGAGAATGAAGATGTGTGTTGACTCAGTCACATGTTGAGGCCCAGGAAGAGACAAAAGGATAATAGCAAAAGCACAAATGTCATGTAGGACGGAGAAAGGAGCAGGAAGGGGGTGATTTCTTCTTGTCTAATTCTGCTTGGTGTTCTCGGTAGGCTAAGATGAAAGTCCCTGGTTTTGTGGAGCTTACATTCACGTGGAGAATTCAGGATATGAAGCCTGATTCCACTCGCCAGAAACGTCTGAGTCCTGCCTCTGTTCCAGCCAAGAGTCTCAGGAAGCTTGAAGGTGAATTCATTACAACTGTACTTCCCTCTGCTATCTAGGTTCTATGACACATTCTCCAGATCCACAATGACAGGGAGTTCACTGTATCACAAAGCAGCTCATACGTCACAACTCAGACAGCCAGAGGACCCCATAGGCATCCTGGGCCCTCAACAACACAGGTTGTAGGGGAGAGGAGGCTAGACTGATGCAGTAGGGTTCAGACTGATGCAGTAGGCTAGACTGATGCAGTAGGTTCTCAGCAAGCAGAGATGGAGGGAACTGCCGAGGAGTATGAGGACTGGTGGTTGAGTTTCTTTTCTGCAGGGGGAGGTAGCTTTCACAGGGCCAGGGAACGGCACAGAACAGCAGTCAGAACGCTGTGCCTGGCTTGCTTCTTTTTATCATTTCAGTGTCAGTTCATTTAGTCCTCAAAGGAGGCTTTCCCAGGCTATGTTTCTCCTGCTAGTCACTCTTTATCTTATTACCTTAATTTATTGTCTTTGCTAAACTTTAATGATCTGAATTTACTTTACTTACTTGTTAATTGTCTTTTTTCCCTACCAGAACGTGGGCTCCATAAGAGCAGGAATACTGTGTATGTAGTTCACCATAGAAGTCTGAGCACCTAGAACAGTATCTGGTATATAGTAGGCACTTCATAAATATTTGTGCAATGAATGAATAAAATCCATTTTTAGGTACTTTTTTTTTTTTTTTCTGAGACGGAGTCTCGCTCTGTCACCCAGGCTGGAGTGCAGTGGCACGATCTCGGCTCACTGAAACCTCCACCTCCCAGGTTCAGACAATTCTGCCTCAACCTCCCAAAGTAGCTGAGATTACAGGCACACGCCACCACACCCAGCTAATTTTTGTATTTTTAGTAGAGATGGGGTTTCACCATGTTGCTCAGGCTGGTCTCAAACTCCTGAACTTGTGATCTGCCCACCTCGGCCTCCCAAAGTGCTGGGATTACAGGCATGAGCCACCATGCCTGGGCCAGGTACCTTTTTTTAAAAAATTAAGAGACAGAGTCTTGCTTTATAGCCCAGGCCAGATTGCAGTGGTGCAATCATAGCTTACTGTTGCCTCAAATTCCTGGGCTCAAGGGATCCTTCTGCCTCAGCCTCCTGAGTAGCTGGGTGTACAGATGTGCGCCACCATGCCTGGCTAATTTTGTAATTTTTTGCAGAGATGGGGTCTTGTCATTGTGCCCAGACTGGTCTTGAACTCCTGGGCTCAAGCAATCCTCAGCCTCCCAAAGTGTTGGAATTATAGGCATGAGCCACTGTGTCTGACCCATTCTTAGGTACTCTTATCTAAAAGATCATCACATATATCTACAGATCAATTTGAGGTTACCAATTGTTAGGATAACAATTTAAGACATTTAGTTCATGCCAGACTTAGAATAATCTGAATAAAGCTACAGGGTGTGGTAGATATCTTTCATCTTATAAAATTACAACAGCACAATCCAAATGCAAAAAAGTCATTGATTCTATGACTTTTAAGACAAAACCCAAAGCCATGAATAATCAGTGAGCTATATATATTAAACTTCCTGATTACATGTTAAAAGTATTTACTTTTAAGTATATTTTCTTAAGTATTTCAAATATTTACTGACTTTACAAAAACACACCTACATAAACTTTTTCAACTACAGAGCTTTTCTAGCTTTCTAAAATTTCAAGTTAGATCTTCTCAGGGGCATTTTGTGTGTGTGTGTTTCTAACAATGGTCCTTTTCGTCATTCAATAACCAACTCCCCCAAATAGAATTATCTGTTTCATAAATATAATGAATATATAAAAAACAGTATTATAACAAGCTTGTAATATGCTGACTGCTCATCAAAAAACAGACCCTTTTAATTTAGATCCATAGCATCAGTAAAACTAAAGAATTTAAGGGTGCTACAAAACTTCCAAGAATTTTTAATAGAAAAATAACAGCACCCTTGGAAGCGAGTACCTAATTCCCATGTTGCACATATTCATTAGAATAGAAAATTTAATTTTTGTCATAAAAATGACATTTTATAGTGAATTGGCTGACCAATTACCCAATTATAATTACAATATATCAAGCTTCTTTAAATGAAAATATTAGTGATACATGACTTACCAAATATTCTTCTGTGCCATACAGAGAAACAAACTGCTCATCATCTTCTAATTCTCTAGCTGCACCAAAATCTGTGAGTTTGTACACAGACTGTCCATCTTCCCCTATAACACGCATGATATTTCCTGGCTTGATATCACGGTGCACTATACCATTCTCTCGTAGATGATTCATTCCACCCACTTCAACAATATAAAACAAAAGAAGTCATAATGTAGATATTTACGTGTATGTGTGCATGTCTCAAATTCATTGATATAGTCACCCAAACTTAATATAAATTTTTCCATAATTTGGTTCAAAGTAATTTTACTCAAAGAATAGATAATAAATATATATATATAAAAGATGTTATGTTTTAGTTATAAGAAGTTTTAGAATGATAAAAATTAATGTGGTCTAAGGAAAAATCCAGTGTCTCTTAAGTACTACCAGGAAAATGTAACAAAACAGTCTTAAGCATATGATTTCTTGAATTACTTTGGTTATATATATGTGGGTGATCTGTTTAAACATAAAAATAATAAAGATTCCCAAAAAAGATATCAATCTTTCACCAGAGTTTTACATTTCTTTATCTTGGGAAAAAAAATTCCCTAAAAGTAAACTGAACTCAATATGTAAAACAGCAAAAAAGAAACAGAAAAACAGCAAAGTGTCAAACTTGTTTCTGTAAAAATGTATTCTCATATGCTTGGCACTATTCCAAAAAGCCCATTTTTTCTTCTTTTTTCTTAAGGGCAAAGTTGTCTACTTTGCTGAAATTAAGCTATTTTGTCTAACTGACAGTGTCACTGAGTGATAACTTTATACATTTGCTTGAGGGCTGATAGATGAATGTTCAAATTCAAAATATGTAAAAGGTTTAGGGGTATCAATGTATAATTATTAAAACTCAGGACTACCAATACACTTAGGAAGACATCATATCTATAATTTCTATTTGATTAAACAGGCTGTAGCATACTAGTAATATTGTTTCTCTCTCATTGTATCCTCACCTAAATAATCACTCTGCTTCCAGTGACAAGTTCAAGAATTCCCACCAACCTTTTACCTTATCACTTGACTTTTTCCCATTCCTCAAATATTTGATTCATTTCTCTTAAGATGTTATTTCCTTTGATTGCAGTATTTTTTTTAAAAAATAGGTTCACTGAGATATAATTCAAACATAACATTCATCTTTTTAAAGTGTACAATTCAGTCATTTTTAGTATGGTCACAGAGTTATACAACCATCACCACTGATTTCAGAATACTTTTGTCACACCAAAAAGACAACTCATACCCAACTCCATCTTCTCCTGATCCCCCAGAAACCACTAATCTGTTTTCTGTCTCTATGGATTTGCCTATTCTTGACATTTCATATAAATGGAATCATATAATATTGCAGCCTTTGTGTCTGGCTTCTTTCACTTAGCATAATGTTTTCAAGTTCATCCATGTTGTAGCATATATAACTACTTCATATCTTTTTGTAAACAAACAATATTCCATTGTATAGACACACCACATTTTTGTTTATCTGTTCATCAGTTGATGGACATTTGGGCTGTTTTCATCTTTTTTTTTTTTTGCTATTATGAATAATGCTGCTAAGTACACTGGAGTACAAGTTTTTATATGGATATGTTAATTCTTTGGGGTATATACGTAGCAGTGGAACTGCTGGGTCATTTGGTCAAAAGTTAAATAATTCTATATTTAACTTTTTGAGGAACTCTAGACTGTTTTCTAGAATGGCTGTATCATTTTATAATCCTACCAGCAATGTATCAGGGTTCCAATTCTCCATATTCTTGCCAACACTTGTTTTTTTTTTTTTTTTTTTTTTGAGATAGTCTTGCTTTGTTGCCCAGGCTGAAGTGCAGTGGCACAATCAAGGCTCACAGCAGCCTCAATCTCCTGGGCTCAAGTGATCCTCCCACCACAGCCTCCTGAGTAGCTGTCTACAAGTGCATGCCACCATGCTTGGCTATTTTTTATTTTATTTTTTGTAGAGACAGGGGCTCACTGTGTTGCTCAGGCTGATCTTGAACTCCTGGACTCAAGCAATCTGCCGGCCTCCACTTCCTAAAGTGCTGGGATTACAGGCGTGAGCCACCATGGTTGGCCCTGTTTGTCTTTTTGATATTAGTCATTTTCATTGGTATAAAGTGGTATTTCATTGTGGTTTTGATGAGCATTTCCCTAATAACCAATGATGTCGGTTATTAATTAATTAATGTTGAGCTTTTTTTTATGTACTTGTTAGCCACTTGTGTATCTTCTTTGGAGAAATGTCTATGCGAATCCTTTGCCCATTTTTAAATTGGGTTATTTGGCTTTTTATTGTTGAGTTGTCTGGATAAAAATCCCTTGTCAGGTGTATGATTTACAAACATTTTTTTCTCATTCTATGGGCTGTCTTTTCACTTACCTGATGTCCTCTGAGGCCCAAAAATGTTTAATGCTGATGAAATCCAATTTATGTATTTCTGGTATTTGTGCTTTTGGTGTCATATCTAATGAAGCATTGCATAAAGGTCTTCAGTTTTGAATGGAAGATATTTTTTAAAAATTCTGTTATTAAATTTTATATACAAATGATATCATATAAATAAACAAACATACCCACATCTCGCAAAACAATTAAGAATTCAGATTCTGGTAGTCCATAGGCATTAGAAGGTTCTTCTAAAACAGTGTATAAACTCCCACATGGACAAAATTCCATAATAAGTACTTTATGTCTTGTTGTTGTCTGAAAAAAAAAATCATTGATTGGGAATCAACATAAAAAATAAATTTTGATTATATGCCAGTACTTATCTGATTTCATTTAAATGTAGGATTTGCTACAATGATGAAGGCACTTTGCTTCACCTGAGATTCAGTATCTGTTGAACATACACATATAAGAATTAATATCTTCCGGCCGGGTGTGGTGGCTCACGCCTGTAATCCCAGCACTTTGGGAGGCTGAGGTGGGCGGATCACGAGGTCAAGAGATTGAGACTATCCTGGCCAACATGCTGAAACCCGGTCTCTACTAAAAATACAAAAATTAGCTGAGTGTGGTGGCACATGCCTCTAGTCCCAGCTACTCAGGAGACTGAGGCAGGAGAATCACTTGAACCTGGGAGGCGGAAGTTGCAGTGAGCCGAGATTGCACTACTGCAGTCCAGCCTGGTGACAGAGCGAGACTCCATCTCAAAAAAAAAAAACAAAAAAAAAAAACTAACATTTTCCAAATTCCTATTAGGTGAAGAAGTTGGATTTGTTTTTGAAGACAAACCACAGTAAAAAGTAGCTAAATCTGAACTACAAAATCATTGGTACAATGTTACAATGGTTTTGTTAAAATCATCTTAAATTCCTTTCTTTTTTTTTTTTTTTGAGACAGAGTCTTGCTCTGTCACCCAGACTGGAGTGCAATGGTACGATCTTGGCTCACTGCAACCTCCACCTCCAAGGTTCAAGTGATTCTCCTGCCTCAGCTCCCAAGTAGCTGGGATTACGGGCATGCTCCACCATGCCTGGCTAATTTTTCTATTATTTTGTAGAGACGGGGTCTCACTATGTTGCCCAGGCTAGTCTCGAATTTCTGGGCTCAAGCAATCTGCCTGCCTCAACCTCCCAAAGTGCTGGGATTGCAAGCATGAGCTACCACACCCAGTCACTTGAATTTCTTTCTTTCCTTCTTTTTTTTTTTTTTGAGACAAAGTCTCGCTTTGTCACCCAGGCTGGAGCGCAGTGGCGCGATCTCGGCTCACTGGAAGCTCTGCCTCCCAGGGTTCACGCCACTCTCCATTCTCCTGCCTCAGCCTCCTGAATAGATGGGACTACAGACGAGTGCCACCACACCCGGCTAATTTTTTTGTATTTTTAGTAGAGACGGGGTTTCACCATGTTAGCCAGGATGGTCTCGATCTCCTGACCTCGTGATCCGCCCACCTCGGCCTCCCAAAGTGCTGGGATTACAGGCGTGAGTCACCACACCAGTGCTGAATTTCTTATGTATAACAGTACATTTAGGACAACAGCTCTTCTAACCTCTTAAAATGAAATTTTTCTTATGATGACTACTGTTACTTCAAGGAATGGAGTCCTATCCTTAAAAATAAATGGGTAGCAGAACAGCTGAGTGGTCCCTCTTGCAGCAAAGCTCCAGTCTGCTCATTTGCATCTGAGATGCTGATTTGTTTTAAACCTTAATTTTAATGTACCATTGATTATAATGCTTCATCAATTTAATAACAGCATTACGGGGAAAAAGAAATACCATCAAATTATATATACACAATGATTATAAGATGCATGACAATTTCAGAATCTGAAAATCTGAATGAGTCTTAAAATCTACTATTCATCTCCAACTTTTTATCCTTTGTTTCTTTTCTAATTTTTTTCTACATATCTCCAAAACACTTTTATAAAATATTTTAAATTACTCTCTGGCAGTCATTTCAAAAAAGAGAGAGAAATAATCATAGTAGAAAAAAAAAACTGTTGCTTTTAAATGATAATGTATGTTGATTGTTGAAAATTTGGGAAGTATACATAATTCCATTACCTGGAGATAATGAATTAATATTTTGGCGTATTTTCTTTCAGTCTTTTTTCTATGGATGAAATAATGTCATAGATACATAATGCTGTTTGCATATTACACTGTATATGTTAAGATCATACTACATATATATTTTTAATCCTGATTCTTCTCACATAACATCATATATAAGGTGTTCCAAGAAGATTAAAATTTTGGTAAATATCTCTTTTCATTACCACTTAACTATTGTGTGGTAAAAAATTAACTTTACCCAAAGAGAAGTCAGGCTTTGCCCTTGGCTACTGGACAGTGATCTCTGGCCCCTAAAATGTCCTATCTGAAAGAACAAGACTTCTGTCTTTGTTCCTCTGGGGGCTTTGGCCACTGGAGAGTCTCACAGCATGATTTAGGATGGGGGCTTAATGGAGACTAAAGGAATTACCCCAAACTTCTGGAAGGAGCTGGGGACTAAAGGTCAGCAATACAGGCAATAAATGATCCAGCCTCAGTAAAAACCCTGGACACCAAAGGCTTGGGTGAGCTTCCCTGACTGGCAATACTTCATGCATACTGTCATACATCAATGCTGAGAGAGTAATGTGTCCCTCAGGACAAAGAAGCTTCAAGATTGGAACCCTCCCACATTCCACGCTTTGTGTCTCTTCCTCTGGCTGGTTCTAATTTCTATCTTTTTGCTACAATAAAACTGTAATTATAAGTATAGCACTCTCCTCAGTTTTGTGAGTCATTTCTACATTCCAGCAAATTACCAAACCTGAGTGTCATGGGCAACCCCCACATTTGTAGCCGGCTGGGATGATGTGAGGGTAATCTTGTGGGAACTGTTCTCTCTGTGCAGTTTGCCAAACTCCTTTGCAATTGGTATCAAAAGTCTTGAGCAGACTTGGCAGTGTGGAAGGCTATGCTCTTAATCTTGAGTTTGGCTAATTCCAGGTAACTATCTGCCACACATTCTAATTTATTCAACTTATTTAACCATTCTTTATTATAAACAGGATGCCAATTAACATCTTCATGCATAAAATTATATTTCTGATTACTTCCTAAGAAATAATCACTAAAAATAAAATCACTCGGATAAAGAGTATAAACTACATTTTTTCCCAAAGATTTTATTGATTGCTCATGTTTAAAGGGATTAAAATAATTTCTATTTCCATTATTTCTAGATTACTTTTCCTAATGACATTCTTAATTCCACTATTTCCCCTTAAAAAAATCAATTCTTTTATAATTGGACTTCATATCTTAAACTGTAGGACTCTTGAAATTTTTATTCATGAAATACAAAATTTTTATTTTTTTAAAGTTCGATTTTTTCTTTTTATAATTATTTTTTCTCTTTATAATTATTAGATTTAACTTGTTACCTTTCTTTTTCTAGTAATAATACTGGTAACCATATTCAATACCCTTTTATTTCCTTCTTTCTTTTTTTTTTTGAGACAGGGTCTCACTCCATCACCCATGCTAGAGTACAGTGGCACAATATGGTTCACCATAGCCTTGACCTCTCAGGCTCAGGTGATCCTCCCACTTCAGCCTCCTGAGTAGCTGGAACTACAGGCGTACACCTCCATGCATGGCAAATTTTTGTATTTTTTACAGAGACAGGGTTTTGCCATGTTGCCCAGGCTGTTCTTGAATTCCTGAGCTCAAATGATCCTTTCTTTTTTTTTTTTTTTTTTTGAGATGGAGTCTCCCTCTGTTGCCAGGCTGGAGTGCAGTGGTGCGATCTCAGCTCACTGTGACCTCTGCCTCCTGGGTTCAAGCAATTCTCCTGTCTCAGCCTCCCAAGTAGCTGGAACTACAGGTGCGCACCACCATGCCAAGCTAATTTTTGTATTTTTAGTAGAGACGGGGTTTCACCACATTGGCCAGGCTGGTCTCAATCTCTTGACCGCATGATCTACCTGCCTCGGTCTCCCAAAGTGCTGGGATTATAGGTGTGAGCCACTGCACCCAGCCGCAGCCGGCCGCCCCCTTTTATTTCTTACACTACTGTTTCTGATTCCATTTTTATGATATTTTATTTCTATTGTTCTATATATTCAAGAATCCTTTAGGATAAAGTATTTGGTTGTACAAACCCTAATTTTCAACAGTTTTTTAAAAAATCCATTTTTTAATATTAGGTTCTATTTCTTGACTCGTAACTACAATAAATATAAGATTGAAGTTTTACTACTTACCTCCTCTTCAATAGCAAATAATTTGACAATATTTTTGTGATTGAGTTTTTTCAACACTTCAAATTCTCTCATTTGAACATCCACTGGACGAAGGAAGCTTATGTTATTAAATACTTTGATAGCAAATAAATCACCAGTTTTCTTTAAAAAAGAGAGAGAAATGTTTTATTTATTCATAATATTGTAAAAGAGATTAAAAGGTAGCATTAGAACTCGCTATTGCAACTTATTTTCTTACAGAACATCATGCATCTTTTAGGCACAGGGAATCTGTATGAGGACTTTTGACTTTTCTAAAAAGTTAAAATGAATCAATTAACTGCTCAACATTTCTTTCAAATTACACCTTTTGGAATTCAGAAATGGATATTTTCTTTCATATTATAAATAAACCTTTCATGAGGATACAGTAGGGGCAAAAATAGTCACACATCAGAAGATAAAAGCCATAATAGTATCAAAAGCAAAATCATCTTTTAAAGACGAAATAGAAAGTGAAACTCATAAGGGCTTCTCCAAGGCCTAATAATTTTAAACTAATCAAAGCAGGAGAGAGAGACTGAACACTATATTCCACCTATGAGATTTTTATTAAGAATATCAAAGTAATACAGTTAACTTTTCAGAATTATTTTGTAGCTAGGACAACGTGGGGGAGGGGAGTGGGGAAAGCAGGAGTTGCAGAGCGAGGCTAAAGTAGACTTCCTGGTTGGTTTCTGCCCCTGCTGCCCTGGGTTACTTTCTGCAATTCTACCTAGATGACCAGGGCAGGCTGTTCCTTCACAGACCCTCTCTAGAGGAGTAAAGGCATTTATTTCTTCTTCTCTACTGATGTACCACAGCATCCCACTCTCACTCTTTCATGACCTACATCACACACAAAATTACAAAGCACAGCTGTAGTTGGGAGGGAATCTTAGAGGTTCAAAACACATGCTTACATTTCAGGCAAACATCATATTTATATGTTCTTCTTATTAACCTTCCTTTAAGATTGTCTTTCAGACCCTCTCACTTCCTTCCAATCACTCTAATGAGCAAGCCTCTCCCTCGTGGCCAGTCCAGATCTTGAGTTTAGCCTTACATTTTCCCCCATTTATCCAAGGTTGAACTTCCCTAGAGCAAGCAGGAAAATCCTTTTCTCTTTGAGCTTGGGGTTCAAGCACATTTCATGGCTAAAGACATTTCATGGCTCTCTGTCAGGACCTCTGTACTGTTCCTGCTTTGGAGCCCTCTTTATACTTTCCTCAGATTCACCACTTAGAGCCATCACCCTCCTCTCTCACTCCAGAATCGCATGATCCTTTTCTTAAGGCCATTTAACTGCTTCATAATCCTATGTGATTCCCCTCACCCTGGTCATGCAAAATACACAAATTGATATATATTCTTTCTAGAGGAAGATGAAAGATCAAAGAGCCAATGACCATTTTCACACATATGAAAAGAGAAGAATTTAAGTACAGTTCAGTTTCACTGTTTTTCCCTCAGTTCAGCAAGGGTTAAGACACTGCCAAATCTATGCATCACCCAACAGAGTGATTTTTCTTAAGCTGAGACAGGCCTCAAACTCAGTCTAAAACTAGGAGAATCCTAACAGAGGAGCAAGCAGGGAAAATAATACAATTTTGCAATATACCCACTGACCTCATGGTCATTATTTTCCAAACTTGTGTAGACTACATCATGCCTGTGAGATTATCGGGATCCAGGTGGAAACGTACTATTTTCCCTTTATTCACCTACACAGTCATCTATTATTCACTAAGTCAAAGTGTATACAAATAATAGAGATCCATATATATATATATATATATGTATATATCCATATGTGCAGATCAACACATCCTTCAAGTCTCTTCCCTTAAACTTCACCATGGTAATCACACACATATACACACACCCACACTCATACTTTAGTAACTAAAAGCAATTTAATAAAAAACAGATTAAGTAGGTAATATACTTTGAATAACAAGTAATAAATGTAAGAATTTGGTCATTCTAAGAAATAATATAAAAGGGCTAATATCATGGTAAAAATCCTTTAAATAGTTAAAGGGAAGCAGGATTTTTTGTAGGATATAGTCCTAAACAGTTGCAACTGCCATCATTAAGAACAAATATGGTTTCTCAAAGCACATCCCTAGGAAAACTGTTGGGGACTAAATACTAGACTGGGCCTTGGCAATCTTTTTCGTGTGTGTATGTGTGTGTGTGTGTGTGTGTGTGTGTGTGTGTGTTTAGTAGAGACAGGGTTTTGCCATGTTGCCCAGGCTGGTCTCAAAACTCCTGGGCACAAGCAACCTACCTGCCTTGGCCTCCGAAAGTGCTGGGATTACAGGCGTGAGCCACCATGCTCGACTTCACAATCTTTTAATTAATTCTTATACTTCTGAAATTCTCATTTTAGATTTCCACACTATAATGGGTAAAGTACATATTTGTTTCCTTTGGAGAACTTTAGGTTGTCTTGGGGTAGTCTAATCAGTCCTCATTCATTCACTTATTCTTTCATTCAGCAAACATTTACAGAGTGCATACTATGTGTAGTCACTTACATGAAGAACACTGAGTATCTAAGTAAGGAAAGAGGAGCAGGATATGTGACGTATCTTCTAGTGCCAGGCCCTTTCAATATGTCTCATCCAGTCTCTATCACTATTGACTATCTCTCATCCCATCAGCTTCCACTTTACTTCCTTTCTAATCAATCTTGCTACTAAACTCGAAACTGTGTCCAGTTAATGTGCAGTATAGCTAACCGCACATTAGCTATAGTAATATTCACTAGGTCTGCCATAGTGCCTGACACATACCAAGTGATTATTAAAAGTTTGTTAATTTGGACTACAGGAAGATAAGATGATCAGACGTGTTCTCAATGCTAAATTCTGAGGCACTAGTCATTTTCTCCTTGGCATAAAACAAAAGCAATTTCTAGGACGGAGTACCCAGGATTGATCGCAAGTAATCTGAATAAGAATCCAGAGCTTGTGGATAATTCTAGATACAGGGGGAGGAAAGCTAAAAGTTGTCTGTATGGTACTTCTGATTCATTCTCTATGAGCCATAAAGGGTGTTTATAGTCAATATTCTCTCCCCAGAGGAAACAGCCCCTCCCCCATGTACGCTTATCTCATCGTCACTGACAGAACTGACTGGTAGTCTCAAGAATACAGGAAAAGAGGAAGCAATTCCTCTCTACTAAAACGTTTAGGGCCCTGTTTCTGAAAATAAGGATTTAGGAAGCTCCAAACATCATTTAGCTCGAAACAAATTCATAGCACTGAAAAATTAGTTATTATTTGTATTATAAATGAACTTTGTACTCCATTTTTCCAGCTTCTTTCTCAGACTCCATTTCTCCAGCTTTTTCCCAGAATAGAAAGTTTAATTATCTTCAATTTCTTAATTTTAAATTATTTTAACTATTTTAAATTTCATCCTCCACATTGAATCTAAACAAAATCCTTTTTTTTTTTTTTTTAATTGAGTCTTGCTCTGTCACCCAGGCTGGAGTGCAGTGGTGCTATCTTGGCTCACTGCAGCCTCCGCCTCCTGGGTTCACACCATTCTCCTGCCTCAGCCTCCCGAGTAGCTGGGACTACAGGCGCCCGCCACCACGCCTGGCTAATTTTTTTTGTATTTTTAGTAGAGACGGGGTTTCACCGTGTTAGCCAGGATGGTCTCGATCTCCTGACCTCGTGATCCGCCTGCCTCGGCCTCCCAAAGTGCTGGGATTACAGGCGTGAGCCACCGCGCCCGGCCCCTTTTTGGTTCTTGAAGTGCCTCTGGGAATAATCTTTTTATTTTATTCCCACTTCCACTACCAGGTTCTGATTACCTTATACCAAAATATGGTCTTTTCAACCTGGGCTCCTTGTTGAGAATCTCATTTTACTCCAATCTACTTTGTAGGATGCTGTTTTAGTAGGGGCACTTACCCTTACCAGAGCCTATCAGAAACACCTGTGAGTTCCCCTCCCAATACACATCTGCCTCCCTACCAACCAAAATGCCACATCAAATGCTACCTCAACTCATTACACTGAACTTCTGTCAGTGAAATCACTCTACCATTAGGGAGCTGGGCTGGGGAAAGCATCAAAAGGCACAACACTAATCTTTCCCAGTCCATTTTCAACCAATCTGTTTTCCTCCACTCACTAACACTTAACCTGTGCCACCACTGGGTAGATATGTTCACTGCCTGACACAGCTATGCCTTAAATGACCACGAAAATCATTAAAACAATTTCTTCAGACAAAGGGATCAAAATCACCAAGTCACACACTTTAGTGTCAACATGCATCTTAGAACAAAATACATACAGTGATAAAAGGTCTTCAAAGTTTTCTCTGTACTAACCTTATGTCTTCCACGAAAGACATTTGCAGTAGCTCCTTGGCCTAAAATATCAGATAAAAGCCACAGATGATTAGAAGTGCTCTGCATCTTGGCTGGATCAGGCAATCCTCTTGTTATACTAAGAGAAAAAAAAAATTTGCAACTATGTTTTAAGGGAGTAACACAGCTAAGAAACAAATGTTAGCTGTTTTTAGTCTCAAGTAAGATCACCCATTATCTGTTACTGACATGAAGTGTATAAACAGTTCAATATAAATATCTTAAGTTTCAAAGTATTTTCAAGTCATAAGTTGCTAACTGATATGGTATGAACAAGTCAAAATATGAACCATTATGATTCAAGTTAGATTTTCCTCTGGAGAGACGGATCTGAATGTTCAGTTCTAGCCAATGTAGATTTTTACTTTCAACTTTTTAATCAATATCACTTTCTGTGCTTAACTCTTTGGTGTTACCTTGTCTGTTTTCATTCGTCTAAAATTCTGCAGGGATGACTAAAATTTGACATAATGGTATAAATGGATTATTAAGAGTAACTTTAAGTTGAAGATTAAAGCAAGATGCCATTTTCCCCATGACCTTCATTTTGTTTACATTTTTTCCCTGTAAGTTAGTATACACTATACATACTATAATAAAATACAATAATATGACAAAAAAAATCTAAGTTTCAGCTGGGAGCAGTGGCTCATGCCTGTAATCTCAGCACTTTTGGAGGCCGAGGCAGGCAGATCACCTGAAGCCAGGAGTTTGAGACCACCTTGGCTAACACGGCAAAACCCCGTCTCCACAAAAAATACAAAAATTAGCCAGGTATGGTGGCAGGTGCCTGTATCCCAGCTACTCGGGAGGCTGCAACAGGAGAATAACTTCAACCCGGAAGCAGAGGCTGCAGTGAGCTGAAATCGTGCCACCCTATTCCAGCCTGGGTGACAGAGCAAGACTCCATCGCAAAAAAAAAAAAAAGAAAAAAAAAAAATTGGCCGGGCGCGGTGGCTCACGCCTGTAATCCCAGCACTTTGGGAGGCCGAGGCGGGCGGATCACGAGGTCAGGAGATTGAGACCATCCTGGATAACATGGTGAAACCCCGTCTCTACTAAAAATACAAAAAAATTAGCCGGGCATGGTGGCGGGCGCCTGTAGACCCAGCTACTCGGGAGGCTGACGCAGGAGAATGGCGGGAACCCGGGAGGCGGAGCTTGCAGTGAGCCGAGATCGCGCCACTGCACTCCAGGCTGGGTGACACAGCGAGACTCCGTCTCAAAAAAAAAAAAAAAAAAAAAAGATCTGAGTTTCTAGCAATATTCAAGGCTAAAATGCTGTATGAGCTTTGAAAAAAAAAACATTAACCAATGACATACATTCAATTTAATTCACTTAACACAGGGCTGAAAGAAACATCTATTTCTCAGCCGGGTGCAGTGGCCCATGCCTGTAATCCCAGCACTCTGGGAGGCCGAGGCGGGCGGATCACAAGGTCAGGAGTTCGAGACCAGCCTGGCCAATATGGAGAAACCCCGCCTCTACTAAAAATACAAAAAAATTAGCCAGGCGTGGTGGCGCATGCCTGTAATCCCAGCTACTCGGGAGGCTGAGGCAGAAGAATTGCTTGAAACCAGGAGGCAGAGGTTGCAGTGAGCTGAGATCGCACCACTGCACTCCAGCCAGGGTGACAGAGCGAGACTCCATCTCAAAAAGAAACAAAAACAAACAAAAACAACACCTATTTCTCTTCTAATTTTGTCTTTGTTGATGAGAGTGATATTGTTACTTACCTCCTTCAAATGTTTTGAAAGATTAATTTATGACATAATTTAAGGTGTTTTAAAATAAAGAAAAGTAATAATGTAAAATATAACAAATATAGGAAAAATTACTTTGTTTCCTTCAGAGCAGAGAAACACTAATGAAGACAAATGTTGTCACTGCATAATATTCCCATAAGCTAAAATTTTATCTACACAATCTACACAGAACCTGACAAACATAAAGGAAAGGTGCAAAAATTATTATTCCTGAAAAGTTACGAACTCTTCTGGAATTAATTTAAGGATAGTTTCTCCAACCTCCAAGTATAAATATATAAACGTACCAAGTAGCCTGTATTATCAAGTCTTTAATACTGAAAAGCTATGGATCTATCAAGGTATACAAAGTATCCAAGCTCCACACTGGACTAAAATTGATGTATGCTAACATAACATAAACACTAGTCCCACCATGCCCCCTTAAACCTGCTGTATTGTCATTAAAACATGGATTTTAATATCCCTCCACAGTAAGTTAAAGCAAAAAGTAGTATGCTAGACTAGGTATTCTGTGATGAATTAATGACCACCAATATCCCCAAGCTGGGTTAGGAAAATGCAGAATGGTCAGGGGTCTCAATTTTACCAATCACTGATATAGTAGGATATTTTTATATAATTTTACTACCCATCTAATTTAGATAAACTTTATATACGACTATAGGAAATAAGCAATAAAAATAAGATTCCCTTTTCACAAATAAGGAATACACATTTGCCAGTCATTACATTTCACTCACGATACAATAACAAACGTCTCAACTATCTAACGAAAAACCTTCCCTAATCAATGTAACTGTAAATGGCAAATAGTACCATTAGGTACCTATATGTATGTACCTTCAGGATAATAAGAAAAATATTTATCAGCTAAGATATCTGTTCTCTATGCAAATACAAAACTATGGTTTCTATTTAACAGTAATCACAATAGTGGTCAGGGGAAATGTCTTTTGAAATTATCTTCCAATAACTCCACAATAACATGTTAAAACATGACTCAGCACACCCACAACGTGCTTGCCATATAAATCTTCCCAAATTTTTGACAAGCATATAAGCAGACACTCAACAACTATGTTGCTGATGATGCCGTCTTCAGCCTACTTCCTTACACCGTCCAAAACGAAAGTTACTATTTGTTGAGGGATGAAAACAGGTTTGACGACATGGCCTATGGACAAAGTTCCAGGATTTCTAAACTCTGCCCCTATGTGATTCATACACTGGGGTTTCAGAGTGGAAAAGACCAGTCTTTGGTTATACATTTGGCAATTACTTGGGAGTTGTTTTGAGGCCACCTACTAAGAATACTTGGGATAGAGATTACAAATTAAACCCATAAGCCAGGTAGACGAGGAGCAAGGAAATGTCTGGGAATTCGTATTTCATCGGCATATATTTAAAACATCTTATGCTTCTAATTTCCGGTGTGAGTCAACCTCTGCGGACTGAACATCACTAAAACTCTAAGGAAACGTCTCTTTTTAATCCTCTGAAAAATCAATACATTTAAAAACTGCCCGTTGTGTCGACGCTCGGAAAGAGGGTAGAAAACAGCGAGTCTAAGGGAAAGAGGTGCCCCTGCCTCCCCAGGCAGCCAGGGCCCAGGCCCGGTAACGGAGTCGTCCTCTTTATGCCCAAAGCCGCCGGACGGGATGCAGGTCGAGGACCGGCCGCGCGGCGCGGAGCGGGGATGCAGGTAACAGGGCCCGCGCGACCATTCCACCGGCTACGGCCACCCGACACACACCCCAGAGGCAGTGTCCACGCAGCCGGGGTCCTGGATGGCTTGGCCTCGGGTCGTCCGGGGCTTCTCGGTGCGCCCGCCCCCGCCCCCGCTCTGACTCAGCATCCCAGCCTCCCACAGGGGGCGGGAGCGCTCCCCGCCGGGCGGCGCAGGCCTGACCGACCGCGCCCCGCGCCGCCTTGGCCCCTCAGCCCGCGGCCGTCTCACTTACCCAGCCGGGTCTCCGCCGCGCCACCGCCGGCGGGCTCCCGCGGCCTCCTCGAGACTCAGGACACTTCCGGCTTCGCAAGCCCTGGCCGGAGGCCACGTGACCGACGGCCGGCGCGCCGGTGCGGGTGCGCGTGCGCACGCCTATGGCCCGTCTGGTAGTCACCACAGCCGCGGCGGCAACTGCCGAGTCGGCTTCCGCGGCCACGGTAATGAGGGGGATGTCTGGAGACACCCCGTCCACTGTTGCCCTCGCCCTTTACTCTAAAGGGGAATGAGGAGCCCTGAGCAGCGAACACAGTAATTGGGATTCCCGCAACTGCAAATCCCGCCCCTTCCCCGAGCGCTGGCCGACAGTAGGGCGGACCGACGCTGAGCAAGGGATTACATCCCAAGATTTACAGGTGTGCAGAACGTGGGACACGTGGGGGGCAGGCACAGACGGCCGGCAGAGCTGGGAGGGATGGATTCTATGTTTTAAGGGCCCACTTTGGCTGCAGTGGAGCCAGATTATCGTCTCGCAGTAATTCAGACTTTACATTGTTTTTTTCATTTTCCCATCACCCAGAAATACATTAAATTCTTAATGTAAAAATGTTCATTTAATTCCCTCTCGGTATTTTGGAAAACGGCCGTATTGGAGTATCTAACTCTAAACTTAAGAATTTAAGAACTAAAACTTAAATACTAAAATTAGGTCCTGCAATATTCGTGCAGTCAAAATCTCAAGCCGCTATTCCCAATAAGGAATAGCTTTCTGAAGGGGTCCCTTCTGCCCACGGACAGCACAACAGGCCTTTCTCAACATGAGGGAGCAGAGACCGCTGCTAATCTAGGGCTAAATTTCTGAGTGGAGGGGAAGAGGAAGATGGTGTTTCCCAGAGTAGCAGCAGCAAACACGAATGAATGGGAAGTCATGCGGAGTGGCTCAGAGGCTTTTGAATGTAACAGACCTAGGGTTGCTGTCTCGGCTGCCAATTACTGACTTAAAAGCTAATCTCTTACCTCTCTAAGCCTCAGTTTTATCAAATGCACAATGGAGATAACAAAAGTCCACTCTAATGAATTCTTACAAAGCAAGTTACTTTATTAGCATTTTAAACAATGTATAAGTGATGGAATCATTCTAACAACACATCTATTCACTGCTTACAATTCCAACTAATTTCAGTTCTTTGATATCTAATGACAAGAGCGAAGACCTGTTAAAGTTCCTTCCACCAGTAAAACTCACAGCTCAAAGTTGTGGGAGTGATTAACTGAGCCACAGGCCTTCATTCACATGTTTACCACATTAAAATACCACACAGTGTTTTCTTATAAGGTCAACCAACTGGGAAGCAATTAACATTAGCATTAAGATTTAAACTGTTAGGCACAGGGCTAAATCAGGCATTATATGAAAACTTGTGGTTCCCTAGTCAAGTCAAACAAATCCCCAAATATTTCAGCTTGTAACAGTTTTGTCCTTCCTCTCTTGAGACAATTATTTGAGTACTTGCTTTTGGAAATAAGGTAATTCATGATGGAAGCTTCCTAGCTGTGATGGTGCTCTAGGCAACTTCAGAGAATGAAGATAGAAGTTATGCATGATTATATAACATGAAGAGTTTAATTTTTATTACACACTCAATTTCCATGCCCTGATTTCTCTTAGCTCTATAAACACATGTAAATCTTCTGCAGAGCTTTAAAGAGCTCTGAAAGGGAAAACACCTTTCCATATATGGAATTGATAGCATAGTAAGGCCGTGTGCAGTGGCTTATACCTGTAATCCCAACATTGTGAGGCCAGTGGGAGGATTGCTTGAGGCCGGGAGTTTGAGACCAGACTGGGTAACATAGTGAGACCCTGTCTCTACCAAAAAAAAATGTAGCTGGGTGTGGTGGTGCACACCTGTAATCACAGCTAGTCTGGATGCTGAGGCAGGAGGATTGGTAGAGTATGGGAGAAGTTACAGTGAGCTATGATGTCACCACTGCACTCCAGCCTGGGTGATAGACTGATCTCTATTCAAAAAAAAAAAAGAAAAAAAAAGTATAGTGATACACTATTAATTCCATATATGCTAATATGAGATAGCATCCATATAAACTACTATCAAGTCTTTATGTGCCAGCTACTGTAATAAGTCTTTTCAAGTTTAACTCATTGAATTCGTAATGAGGTTTGAGGTAGCTACCATTATTTCCATTTTACAAATAGGGAAACTGAGGCTGGGAGACATTCTTTAACTTGCCCAAGGTTCTAAAACCAGTTACTGGCAGAACTGGTATTTGAACCTACTTAATCTGATTCTAGAGCCTGTGCTATATAAACTCTTACCCACTATGCTATGCTATTCATTAGTATCCATTTAACAATTACTACTATTGCAATAGCTGCAATTATCACTCCTATAGTACAGGGGAACCTATCAAAGAAACACTCAGCTTTCACTTATCTATTTCTGAAAACATTTTTTATTAAAGTATAAGGTACATTTCACTGATTTATTTTTATAACTGTCAATTTAGTTAAGTATTTTTATTATATGGTGTAAGAAAAATGTTTGAAATGTCTTCTGGAATTAACCGGAACAAAATAAATGTACAAAATTTAGAATAGAATTTTACAGAGTTTATAAGCCACTGAAGCCCATTCATGAAACCCATTCATGAGGCCAAAGGGCAAAACAAACCCTCCCTGAACATCTCAATTGGGCTTTTAGAATTTAAACGTAAATGTCTATACGAATTCTGCTGCTCAGTTTTGTCCCTCCTCTCTTCTTTCCAGTGACACTACTGATAACTATTATTTTTTCCTTTTGCTTTCTCAAGTAGCCATGAATAAAAATGGAGGAAGGCAGGGGTAAGTACTTCTAATAATTAAATGTCAGTTACCATTTACAAACATAATAAACACATAGGTATACTATAGGTATACTGTGTTCTAAATACATCCAATAAAAGAGTTAGAAAATAAATTGGGATTTTAAATTCTTTTTTTTTTTTTTTGAGAGAGAGTCTTACTCTCTTGCCCAGGCTGGCGTGCAGTGGCACAATCTCAGCTCACTGCAACCTCTGCCTTCCGGGTTCAAGCGATTCTCCTGCCTCAGCCTCCTGAGTAGCCGGGATTACGAGCGTGCACCATCACACCTGGCTGTTGTATTTTTAGTAGAGATGGGGTTTCACCATGTTGGCCAGGCTAGTCTCGAACTCCTGACCTCAAGTGATCCACCTGCCTTGGCCTCCCAAAGTTCTGGGATTACAGTCGTGAGCCACCACGCCCGGCCTGGAATTTTAAATTCTATCAACAGATTCACATAGGCTTTTTCCAGTACATTAAAGAAAAAGACTCTCATATAACAGAACTAAGTTGCATGTTACCTTTGAGGAGTGAGGTTAAATGAATTAAAGCATCCACACACTCATATTTGTAAACCTTTAAATGGGAAATTATGGAGAGATTAAGATGAGAAAATAAAACTAAAGTATTTATAATAATTCCAGAAAAGACTTGGAAGATTTCACTACGTAAAGTTTATTTTTATATATATATATAAAAAAAAGTATAACACTGGAGCCTAAAACCATTCTCTTTTGTAGAATACATATTGGCGTTGAAACAGTTTAAAGAAATGAAATGGCTATCTACAAAAAGTTAGTTTTGATTGCTGTCTTCCCCCATACTTTGTGTCTTCACACATAAAGAAAATTTTCAAAGATTTTATATTCAGCAATTTTTTAAAAAGTACACTGTTTTCCACTGCTATGGTCTTTATAAAGGACTTGACTTAAAATTTCAAATAAAAAAGAATTAAGGTTCTAGGATAACTCTTGTGTCTTTTAAGAGCATCTTTATACAGAACAATTTGGACCGGCATGCAGGCAACTTCTTTTGTTGTTACATACCTGTATTAGGAAAATTACACCCATTTTACAGAAAAATCCCAAAACATATACTGCAATAAGCTCAAAACAATGTGAAAAAGACCAGTGTGAATGGCACACAAAAATCGCCTCTTTATAAATTAACTGGAATTCATGATCATGAAGTAGGCACAGGGAAATCCAGTCCTCAGGGCTTTGCTCTCTGGAAGAACACCTGTAAATAAAGTATTAATGCAATCAATACTAATGTCAGAAGATATCACTTTCACCTGAAGAATGGCTCCAAGTATCTGAGTGCTAGCAATGTTCTTCTGTAACATTAGAACATTTCGCATGCCTTATATATCCGTATGTAATCCAAGCTAAGAACTTTCTGTTCTGGAGAGTTTGGTAAGTGTAGATATAACTTATGCTGACATCACCCAACTGGGGAAGTAGTGAAAATATGGTGTTATCTCTATGCTATAGAAATCAAGTGGTCAGAAGAAAACAAGCTCTTGACACCTTTTTACTGATTGGTACTATTTCCAAATTAACACTGGTAAATTAAATATTGAGGACGGGCACGGCGCCTGTAATCCCAGCACTTTGGGAGGCCGAGGCCTGAAGCCAGGAGTTTGAGATCAGCCTGACCAACATGGAGAAACCCAGTCTTTACTCAAAATAGAAAAAATTAGCCGGGTGTGGTGGTGCATGCCTGTAATCCCAGCTATTCGGGAGGCTGAGGCAGGAGAATCACTTGAACCTGGGAGGCAGAGGTTGTGGTGAGCCGAGATCGTGCCACTGCACTCCAGCCTGGGCAACAACAGTGAAACTCCGTCTCAAAAAAAAAAAAATTAAATATTGAGGAGGAAACAAGTCAAAGCTAAACATAGCAGTTCTAACTCTGTAAGGAATTTACTATTTATTTGATGATTCAAAAGTACTTCCAAGTCAAAATTTGAGACTACAAAGGAGTTGGCTAGAGGCTGTGCTAGGCATGGCCTAGTACTACATGCTGCCATCCATGGCAGGTCAGGTGAGCACCAGACATAATTCAGTGTTCTCAGTAAGGACAATGATATGGTTTGACCCTGTGTCCCCACGCAGATCTCATCTTGTAGCTCCCATAATTCCTATGTGTTGTGGGAAGGACCGGGTGGGAGATGATTGAATCATGGGGGCAGGTCTTTCCCATGTTGTTTTCCTGATAGTAAATGGGTCTCACAAGATCTGATGGTTTTAAAAATGGGAGTCTCCCTGCACAAGCTCTCTCTTTGCCTGCTGCCATCCACGTAAGATGTGACCTGCTCCTCCTTGCCTTCCGACATGATTGTGAAGCCTCCCCTGCCATGTGGAACTGTAAATCCAATAAAGCTATTTTGTAAATTGCCCAGTCTCGGGTATGTCTTTATCAGCAGCGTGAAAATGGACTAATACAGACAAGAACAGTATTGATAGTGCCCTAGTACCTAGGAGATTCATTTAATAGATAATCTACTATGTGCAGGGGAAAGAATGATCACTATATAGGCAAAAGAAAACCTTACAAGGAGGCTGTGCTTAAGGCAAACCTAGAGAAATGGGTACAGTTCATACAGAAGTTGGGCTGCTAGTAAGGCAGGATTTTTGAAGAACTACAAGAACAGTAAAGACCATTTCTGCAAGAAAAAACAGAAAGGTAGTCTCAGGGCAGAATATGAAAAAAAAAAAAAATTAAGTGCCAAACTGAGAAACATGAATTTGTTCAGGAAGGTTATGAGGAAGGTGAATAAATATCAAAGGACTGCTTGAAGTTTTCAAACACATCAGCCTGGCTAGAACAAGAGAAGAGAGATCAGAGTAAGATAACATCAGCCTACACCAGAGCAGCAGAGACAGAAGAGAGAGAAGATGAGGAAAGAATCTGCAAGATCTGAGGATCAATCAGATGTGAAGGGAGGAGTGAACACGAATGAAATTCATTTTTTCCAACTAGAATAATAATGCTAACACTGAGAATTATGATCACTAAGATAATGTCATCACTGAAGAGAAGTTGGGCCCAGAAGGAAGACTTTTTATAAATGCTATGCAGATAAATAACCACATCTGGAGAACAAGCCTTCTATAGGGTACCTAGATCTACTGTTACAGACACCTCTAACAGATAGTGAGGACTGAGTCCTTAAATTCAGTTTGACTGATCAGTTATTTAACAGGGGTTACTCCTGTAGGCACTTTGCTTTTTTATGGGAGGATGGCGAAGGGGAGGGTTCCCAATGATAAACAAAAACAAGCCCTCAATATTCTTCCACAAAAACTCTGAGATGTTTAAGCTGACAAACTACAACTAAGAAAAAACTGACAAGGGAAGATGTTAGAACCACAGTCAAAGGATGGCACACTTAAATTATTTACTGCGCAAAGCCCTCTGACTTACAAATTCTACTGAATGTCTTTGCTAAAAGAACCAGGTGATACACTAAGTTACCTGCTACTGAATTTAATACAGTGCTTTGTCTTCAAATTATTTGAGTGAAGATAATAAAAAATAATTCACCTTGTCACACTGTAACTTTATTTCTAGATCATGAGCTCCTTATGGGGAGGGAAAATTACTCATAGTTGTATTTGCAGCCATTACTGTAGTACTTGGTACATAAAAAGCAGTCATTATGTATGAAATGAATGACTACCTAGGTAAGACCAAGACAGTTTCATCTCATGAACTCAATTATAACTATGAATACCAAATAAACACGTGACACTTTTTGTTGATTTACAGAGTTAAAAAAAAAAATCAGTAATTTCGTAAATGTAAAAGGAGGCTTGATGGCCCAAATCTGAGGATTCTCCTTTTTGTCTGTTTTACAGTTCAAATGTTTCAAAATAGGATATAAGCAAATATCTCATCCTTCTGTTTTTATATTTTTAGCCCCTTCTTTTCAACTTAATTTGGACAACTGTTCTTGAACATTTCTTATTCTCCTAATCCCTCTAGTTTCTATTTAATTACATCATGAAACTGTAAAAGAAAACTGGCATTTTCTCACCAATATACTCAAAGGTGTACACATTCAGTGTGCTTACCTAACTTATACTCTTTTTCAAGAGCTTAGTTAAAAGGGACTTCACATAAACATCTATAATTGCAGGTATGTATTCTCTCTTGGCTCTCAAACATTACCTAATTGTATGAAGATACGTGAGCTTCACAAATACCTACCTTTAAGTAATTTTTAAAAACTTTAGCATCAGGCTGCTGAAGCGCTTGACAAAACTCCTGGGGGGTGGGGAAAAGAGGGAGAAAAAGAACAAATGTATTTGTATTAAATCCATTGTAATTCGTATCCAGTTTTTTTTTTTTAATTTTTTTTTTTTTTTTAAGAGATGGTCTTGCTCTGTCATCTAGGCTGGAGTACAGTGGTGTGATCATAGCTCACTGTAGCCTCCAACTCCTAGGCTCAAGGGACACTCCCACCTCAGCCTCCCAAGAAGCTGGAATTACAGGCATAAGTCACTGTGCCCAGCTCTTTTTTTAAAAAAGCTGTAGTTAAAAACACTTAAAACTTATCACCTTAACCACTTTTACATGTACAGTACAGTAAGCATTAACTACATGCACACTGTTGTACAACAGGTTTCTAGAACTTTTGCATCTTGCAAAACAAGCTTGCTTTTTGCCTCTTAACTGAAGAACTCCCCATTTTCCCCTACTCCAGCCCCTGGCAACCACCACTTTCTGCTTTGGTGAGTCTACTTTAGATATCTCAAACAAATGGAATCATAGAGCATTGTCTTTTAATAACTGCCTTATTTCATTTAGCATAATGTCCTCTAGGTTCATCCACATTATAGCATATGACAGGATTATTTTATAAATCAGGCTTAATATTCTATTGTATGTATATACCATATTTTGTTTATCCATTTATCTGTCAAAGGAATTTAAGGTTGCTTCAAATTCATGGTATTTAACTTATCAAGATTAATTCAAACAGTATCTCACCACAAGAGGTTTATAGCATTTTCAAATGTCAGTACTTGTCAAACAGGCTGCTTTCACTTTTGAGAACATAGCTCTCCTAGACAAGGTGGATTCATGCCTGAGAGGAGTGAATGGGACAAAAACTACATTGCTACGGCTGCTCACATCTAGTAAGAGGGATAACCAAACAGAGCTAGACCAAAAGAAAAGAAAATTCTAATAGAGAATATTGTGCAAAATGTGTTGTCAGACATAAGGCATATGAAAAAGGGAAAACTGAGGTTCCTTATCTTTCATAATGAATTACTAAATAGAAAAATAATTTTATTTCATTTAGCAATCTGGAAGATTAGCTGTAAACTGAATGGTCTAAGTTCTACTTTTGATGAGCACTAAGATCACAAGAATAGTAATTTATTATTTTCATTAAAATATGAGTTTATTTACATATCAAATGATAACCAAGAAAGTCATTAATATCTCTAAAGGTGGTATACTGTGAAATAAGAGATCACAAATTCATTAAAAATGAGTTAAATTCATTTTTTAAACTCATGTGAAATCTTTATTTTTGAAAAAAACAGCATTATAAAAACTTCAAAAAAACACCATTGAGGCTGGGCACAGTGGCTCATGCCTGTAATCCCAGCACTTTGGGAGGTCAAAGTGGCCGGATCACTTGAGGTCTGGAGTTCAAGACCAGCCTAGCCAACATGGTGGAACCCCATCTCTGCCAAAAATACAAAAACTAGCCAGGTGTGGTGGCATGCGCCTGTAGTCCCAGCTACTTGGGAGGTTGAGGTGGAAGAATTGCTTAAACCCGGGAGGCAGAGGTTGCGGTGAGCCAAGATCGCACCACTGCACACTAGCCTGGGCGACAGTGGATGACCCTGTCTCAAAATAAAAATAAAAAACAAAAAAACACCATTGAAAGCTGTGTTCATGGACTGAAGACTTAATATTGTTAAAATGTCTTTGCTACCCAAAGCAATCTGCCGAGAAGTGATGTCTGCTGTTCTCTTACCTCTCTTTGGTGTTTGACTGCCACCACCTATGAAGGGGCCCTTACCCTTCTGCAATACCCAGACCAGGGTGATGTAGTAGTGTTCAGGGACTTGGTGAAGGTCATAAGAGTGAATTATAACACACATGGGGAGCTGGGTGACAGTGGCAGGAAATTTGTATTTTTCAACATACCTCAAATCCAAAAACAAAAAAAACCCTTGGATCGGGCACGGTGGCTCACGCCTGTAATCCCAGCACTTTGGGAAGCCGAGGTGGGTGGATCACGAGGTCAGGAGTTCAAGACTAGCCTGGCCAAGATGGTGAAACCCTGTCTCTACTAAAAATACAAAAATTAGCTAGGTGCAGTGGCGGGTGCCTGTAATCCCAGCTACTCGGGAGGCTGAGGCAGGAGAATCGCTTGAACCCGGGAGGCAGAGGTTGCAATGAGCCGAGATCGCGCCACTGCACTCTAGCCTGGGTGACAGAGCAAGACTAGAGCAAGACTCCATCTCAAACAAACAAAAAACCCTTGGATGCAGATCATGATGTTTAAGAACACAATACCATTACCCTTCCTACAATTCTATTTATATTATGAAGAGCAGGTCCTGGTGGATATAGAAATCAAGATGAATAAGGAGATTATGGAACACATCAAAAAAATCGTGGGGAAGAATGAGGACACAAGAAAGGAGAGCAGGAGAAAAAGCAGCTCTCTCACCCAGCTCATTTTGGCCTTCAAAGTAGTTCTGATGGGAATCTACCTGTGAAGTTAAAGGGCAGGTGCCCTATCCAGGCCTAATGGCATTAGGAGACGACAGGGAAGTACAAAGCAACACTGAAAGCCAGTGCCTAGCAGTAAGGTCCAAGGACACTATGGGCTAGGGTAATTGATATGGGGTTACCTTGGTCACAGAAAAGCCCCTGGTTCTGGACAGGTGTGGTGGCTCACGCCTGTAATCCCAGCACTTTGGGAGGCCGAGGCCAGTGGATAACTTGAGGTCAGGAGTTCAAGACCAGCCTGGCCAATGTGGTGACCCCGTCTCTACTAAAAATACAAAAATTAGGCATGGTGGTGGGCACCTGTAATCCTAACTACTTGGGAGGCTGAGGCCGGAGAACTGCTTGAACCCGGAGAATTGCTTGAACCCGGGAGGTGGAGGTTACAGTGAGCAGAGATTGTGCCATTGCACTCCAGCCTGGGTGACAGAGCAAGACTGTCTCAAAAAGAAAGAAAAAGATGACGACTCTGGAAATGTCTTTGCAATAAAAGGGTCCCCCCCCCACTTTACACATTATGTAAAATGACACAGGGGAAAGAGTATATAAAACTGAGCTGCTAAATGAATATCCCTGTTCCATCAGGTCAACAAAATGCTTCTTAATGGCCAGGCAAGGTGGCTCACGCCCGTAATCCTGGGACTTTAGGAGGCCAAGGTGGGAAGATCACTGAGGTTAGGAGTTTGAGACCAGCCTGGTCTCTACTAAAAAAAAAAGCAAAAACAAAAATTAGCTAGGCATGGTGGTGCCTGCCTGTAATCCCAGCTACTCAGGAAGCTGAGCCACCAGAATCACTTGAACCTGGGAGGCGGAGGTTGCATGCAATGAGCCAAGATCGTGCCTCTGCACTCCAGCCTGGGCACTAAAGCGAGACTCCATCTCAAAAAAAATAAAAATAAATTTAAAAAATTTTAAAAAGCTTCTTAATCATTCCAAAAATAAAAAACAAAGTGACGTACAGATTCAAGGCAATCCGTATAAGAGTTCCAAGAGCATATTTTATAGAAATAGAAAAAACAAAACTAGAATTTACATGGAATCACAAAAGGCCCTGAATAGCCAAAACAATCCAGAGAAAGAGCAAAGCTGGATGTACCACACTTCCAGATTTCAAAATATATTTTAATATTACAGTGTGAAAACAGTATGGTACTAGCAAAAGACAGACATATATCCTAGCTACTTGGGAGGCAGAGGCAGAAGGATTCTTTGAGTCCAGGCGTTTGTAGTTGCTGTGAACTATGATGGTGCCACTGCACTTGAGTCTGGACAACAGAGTGAGACCCTCTCTCTTTTAAGACAGACATATAAACCAATGGAACAAAATAGAATTTGAAAATCAACTCCTGTATACAGTCAACTGATCTTCAACAAGGGTACTAAGAATACACAATGGGGAACAATAATCTCTCCAATAATGGTGCTGGTAAAACTGGATATCTACGTGCAAAAGAAAACGAGACCCTTATCTTACACAAAAATCAACTCAATGTATTAAAGACTTTATATGTAAGTCTCCAAACTGCAAAACTAGAAGAAAACATAGGAGAAAAGCTTCAAGATGCTGGTCTTTGAAATGATTTCATTGATATCACGAA
Organism: Homo sapiens; assembly: GCF_000001405.40. Taxonomy (NCBI): domain Eukaryota; kingdom Metazoa; phylum Chordata; class Mammalia; order Primates; family Hominidae; genus Homo; species Homo sapiens. The sequence goes on along the minus strand of NC_000012.12, from coordinate 64,440,986 downwards.
AAGCTACATTAGTGGGGCTACATTGAATTAAGAAGCTTCTGCACCATAAAGTAAGCAATCAACAGAGCAGAAAGGCAACCTCTGGAATAGCTAAAGAATGGGAGAAAATATTTGCAAACCATTTATCTGATAAGGGGTTAATTTCTAACATATAAAAAAACTCCTCTAATTCAATAGCAAAAAACTTAATAACTTGATTAGAAAATGGGGTAAAGACTTGAATAGACTTCTCCAAATACAAATGGTTAACAGGTGTATGAAAAAACAAACATCACTAATCATAAGGGAAATGCAAATCAAAACCACAATGAGATATCACCTCACACCTGTTAGAATGGCTATTACAAAAAAATGAAAGACAGCAAGTGTTGGTGACATTGTGGAAAAACTGGAACCCTGCTACACAACTGATGGAAATGCAAAATGGTGTATAGCCACTATAGAAAATAGTAAGATGTTTCTTCAAAAAATTAAAAATAGGACTACCATATAATCCAGCAATCCCACTTCTGGGTATTTATCTAAAAGAATTGGAATCAGCATCTCAAAGACATATTAGCATTCCCATGTTAACTGTAGCACTTACAATGTGAAAATAGCCCCAATGAATCTATCAGTGGATTAATGCATAAAGAAAATGTGATATATACATACAGTGGCATGTTATTCAGCCTTAAAAAATTGCGAAATCCTGCCATATGTAACAACATGGATGAACCTAAAGGACATTGTGTGAAACAGCCAGTCACAAAAAGAGAGATAACTGCATGATTCCACTTATATTAGGTATCTAAAGTAGTCAAATTCACAGAATCAGAGAGTAGAATGGTAGTTTCTAGGAGATGGGGGCTGTGGGAAATGGGAATTGCTAATCAGTGGGTATAAAGTCTTAGTTATGCAAGATGAATATGTTCTGGAGATCCACCTATATTTTATAGGCACATCACTGTCCCTATAATTAATAATACTGTGTTGTGCACGTAAAAATTGTTAAGATGGTATATATCTCATGTAAGTGTTCTTACAATAAAATAAAAACACTATTGATGAAGAAACAAATTTTGGAATCTACATAAGAGATTGTAATTCTAGTTTTAATCAAGTTTGATACTTCATTAACTCCATGTACTACTGGACAAGAAATCTGGAAAATTATATGCCAAGAAACAATATTATACAAATGACTTCTTAAAAGTATAAGGTAACTTTCCAGACACTTTCCTTAAAATAGTTTCAGATTTACAGATTAAGCATTGATAAGCTTGGTGTACACACAATGAACTACCTGGTACAAAGCTTCAGAACTCTGCTGTGGTCCCCTTCAGCAGTCTGGAAAAGCCTATTAGGCTCCTTTAGAATGTTTTTTTAAAAAAATGCATAAAACATAATACATGGGATTACGATAGAAGCCAATTATACTGAATAATGGTTATCAAACTAAAGTATGCTAGAACAGTAAGGACTTATTAACTTGTTGGGTAACAAGGTGTAGTGATATTACTTAGTAACTCATAATTTCAAAATGGTGATAAGCATAAACAGTATTTTGAGATGCTGGCAACAACTTATGTAATATGAAAATATTTTTGATTTCTGCTAGCGACAATGTCACAGGCAATGCTGCTACTACTGTGATCTCTCGCCTACACAATGGTAAGAAATAGCTCTTACCTGAATTATTTCTGGAGCTACTTGCAAGGAGGGCAGGTATTCTTGTTGAAGATACTGAACACATTCTGGGCCCTGAAGATTAAAAGATACTTACAACTATTTTCTTGCTTGACATTAATAAGCTTAAAAAGAATCGGAACAATACATGTACACTTTAAAGGCAATATAGTATTGTGCTTAAGAACACAGACCCGAGAGCCAGACTGCCTTGGTTTGAAGCCTGGCTCTGGCACCTTCTTTAAAATTATACTTTAAGTTCTGGGTTACATGTGCAGAACATGCAGTTTTGTTACATAGGTATACATGTGCCCTGGTGGTTTGCTGCACTTGGGCAAGTTACTTAACCTCTCTAAGCCTCAGTTTCTCCATCTGAAAAATAAGGTTCTTGGCCGGGTGCAGTGGCTCATGCCTGTAATCCCAGCACTTTGGGAGGAGGAGATGGGTGATCACTTGAGGTCAAGAGTTCGAGACCAGTGTGGCCAACATGGTGAAACCCTGTTTCTACCAAAAATACAAAAAAATTAGCTGGGCATCATGGCGCATGCCTGTAATCCCAGCTACTCGGGAGGCTGAGGTAGGAGAATCACTTGAAACTGGCAGGCGCAGGCTGCAGTGAGCCGAGATTATGCCAGTGCACTCCAGCCTGGGTGACAGAGCGAGACTCTGTCTCAAAAAAAAAAAAAAAAATCAATGTATCTCTCCTCGATGTACTCTTCCTTGCACTACCACCTGGAATTCCTGTTTAATATTAGTGCTTCTGAATCAAAGGATTTATGTTTCCTCCTTCACCTTGGATCTAAGTCCCAGTTTAATGACCCATCAGAGGAAACCTGTCTGTAACTGAGAGGCAGTAACCCTTCACTGTTTCCCAGATCCCTCCTACTTTCCTTCTCATCTTTTTCTTATGTCTACCCTGTCTGTACTTGCTTCCTATGCAATGTTCATCACTTTGTAACCTCACTGTTATCACTTTAAAAGAGTGTAGTTTTGTTTGTTTTGAATCAGGGAAAGTAAACTTATACCTCAAGTCAGTCAAAAGATGAGAAAAAAGAACAATGAAGCAAAACTTTTTTTTGTTTTCTGAAGCAAAACACTTTAAAATATTGTTTGACTCAATTCTGTATGTTTAAATTACGACTTCTATGGATAAAACAAATACTTCTGAAGTAGAAATACCATCCTTACTGTTTCCTTTCATCCTTCATCCACATCCACCTTGACTGTTTAGCATCCAAACAACGCCATCCAATCTCCTCTCTTGAGACTGTCTTCTCTTATCTTTCATAATGCTCCTACCTCTGGTTCTGCTTTTTCATTTTGTTTTGTTTTTGTTTTTTGAGACAGAGTCTCGCTCTGTTGCCCAGGCTGGAGTGCAGTGCCACGATCTCAGCTCACTGCAACCTCACTTCCTGGGTTCAAGCAATTCTTGTGCCTCAGCCTGCCAAGTAGTTGGGATTACAGGCGTGCACCACCACACCTGACTATCTGGTTCTACTTCTACCTTTCTGTTGACTCTTGCTTGAGCCAAAGTTCTTTCTGTTCTGGTCTTAGAAAGTCTCAGTCATTCCTATGGCTTTACTTTGACTGACTTACACTGAGGACTCCAAAATCAGTATTTAATCCTAACTGCTTCAGACCCATTGTTCCGAACACTTTCCCTCCTAAATTACAAACCCACTGCCTACTGACTTCCTGACTTTACACATGTAACACAAGGCTTTTATCTAGTCTCATCTTATTTTTTAGCTATCACTTCTGCCTCTATACTTTAGCTAAACAGAATTAAGTCTATAACTTCCCACCAAATCCACCATGTGACATCTAATCTAATCTGTCTTTGTACACCTACTTAACTTTGCCCAGAATGCCAGCTCCCTATTACTCCCATCAATCTACATTTAAGGGCCATCAAAAATATCACCTCTTTCCTATAGCTTGCTTAGATTGCCCCTCAGGCAAAATTGCCCATTCAGCTTTAGTTCCACAATATTTTATGTATCTCCACTAAAGTACTTAACCCACTGGAGTTTTTTATGTGTTGGTCTCCCTTGATTCTGAGTTCTCGAGTATCGGGGGATGCCTTATTTACCTTTATACAGTTCCCCTGCTGTCCCTAAACACACACCTACCCCACCCTAGCAGGTAGCAAGTATAGAAGAAATGCTGCTGAATTGAAAACACTTCAAGTCTCTATCAGAATCAAAAAATCAAGTTCAAATGAGTGCACAGCTGAATGGAGACCACTGAGCAAAAGCTCATGTTCTTTTTAGGGGGTGAGGGCAACTACTGCTCTTTAGCTGGCTGTAGCTATGTGGCAATAACAGTCCTGTGCTGGCATTCTATGGCTTTGAGAGAGGCTGGAGGGAAGAATTTTTGGTTAAAAAAAAGTATTTGAGATTTTTAAATGTTGGCAACCAATTCCAGTTATTTACAAATACCCAGAATCAGCTGGGCATGGTGTAATACCAGCATTTTGGGAAGCCAAGGCAGGAGGAATGTTTGAGCCCAGGAGTTCAAGACCAGTGTAGGGACAATGGTGAGACCTGGTCTCTATAAAAACCACAAAAATTAGCCAGGTGTGGTGGCGTGCGCCTGTACTCCCAGCTATTCAGGAGGCTGAAGTGGGAAGAGTACTTGAGCCTGGGAGGTGGGGTCTGCAATGAGCTGAGATCATGCCACTGCACTCCAGCCTGGGTAACACAGGGAGAACCTACCACAAAAAATAAAGTAAAATATATATTAAAAAAATAACCAAGGCCGGGCACAGTGGCTCACGCCTATTATCTCAGCACTTTTGGATGCCATCGTGGGCAGATCAACTTGAGGTCAGGAGTTCAATACCAGCCTGGCCAACATGGTGAAATCCCATCTCTACAAAAAATATAAAAATTAGCCAGGTGTGGTAGCATGCATCTGTGTGGTCCCAGCTACTCTGGAGATTGAGATGGGAGGATCAGTTGAGACTCCAGGAGGTGGAGGCTGCAGTGACCCCAGATTGCACCACTGCATTCCAACCTGAGTGACAGAGTGAGACCCTGTAAATAAATAAAAAATAGGCCAGGCGCAGTGGCTCACGCCTGTAATCCCAGCACTTTGGGAGGCCAAGCAAGGCAGGCGGATCACTTGAGGTTAGGAGTTCGAGACCACCCTGGCCAACATGGTGAAACCCTGTTTCTACTAACAATATAAAAATCAGCCGGGCATGGTGGCGGGTGCCTGTAATTCCAGCTACTCAGGAGGCTGAGGCAGGAGAATTGCTTGAATCTGGGAGGCAGGGGTCGCCGTGAGCCGAGATCATGCCACTGCACTCCAGCCTGGGCAACAAAAGTGAAACTCAGTCTCAAAAAAATAAATAAAAATAAAAATAAAATAAAAAATCTGGTAGTGAAGAAGCCTACAAGATCATGAAAACTGAATCTTGAAATTCTGGCTAAGATTTTTCACATCCTTAGTCAAACCAAAACATGTTACCCAAAACATGAAGGACAATAAATGGATACTGCTACTTTCATTCATCCCCTTTCCCCACATCCAAAAAGTCAAAACAAAAGTTAAATTTTACACAAGATACATCTTTCAAGAACAAGATAATAATACCACATGTGAGATGAAAATGAAGGGGCATGGACTAAAAGGCTTACCCGTTTGAGATGAATTGTTTTCAGTGTCACTGCACACTCAGATAAAGCCTGTGAAAAACAAGTTTAAGAATTTCTATATATTCAATTCTTGTTTAGTGATCCAGCTCTTCTCTTTACTACCCTGGCCACTGCCAGGGAAATTCAAATAAATATTTCCAGAGAAATATTTAACTCCAGAGAAGGGATAGAGGAAGGAAAGGTAACAGGCAGATGGACTAAGTGGGTTGAAGTAAAAAAAGAAAAAAAACAGAAAAATACAAACTGTTGTTTTAACGTAGTAAATTACAATTATGAAATCTAGCTTTTACCAGGTTGTGGGAAAGTGAGAAAGCGGAAATTGACATTAAGTATTGTGAAAATTAGATTTGGGGAAACTATCATACAAGGAGGATCAAGTTGCCATTTCATGCTCTTAATGATTAGGGAAAACCACTAGGTACAAGTTTTAGAATTAAAGTAGTAGTAGGAAACTAATACTCAAGCTTGAAAGAATGTTTGTGACATATGCCCTTTCATGGTCCTAGAAAAAGTCAGGTGTTAAAGTCGAAGGAGTAGAATTTGTAAAATTCAGCAGTAGCATTGGGATTCAATAAGAATTCATAAAAACTCCAGAAGGTATCATAAATCTTTAAAAAAAGAACCCTGATCTGAAATCACTAAGTTAAAAAAAAAATCAATGAAACATAATATAATCAACCTGGCATTAAAGAAGAAATTGGGAATATATGAGCTACACAAGGTAAACAAAGATTCCTAGGTGCTTACCAATACTGTTTGTGCATCTGCCAGGTCAAAGGTTTGTTTTAAAGGTGCTAGGAAACATGCGGGGACAATGTGCTTATAAACAAAATCAGCAAATCCCACTGGTCCATCTTTACCTCCTGTCAAGAGAATTCAAATTTTCATCTTATATATAAAAGTAAGTCAATTAATTCATCACCAGGGAAAACCAACTCCCAGTTTCTCTCTCTGTTAGGGCTATGTTCCATTATGTCTAAGAGTTTTATGAAAGAGTTTGGGAAATGAAGGTTAAGAAATAAAATTATCTTACCCCAGAGTTCTACCAACTTTGAGAGGATGATAAAACATGTTTTCTGTGCAATTGGATCTGGATATTCAACTGCTCCTTGGATAACAGTAACCAACACTCTTTCTACATTCTCTGCACCTGAGGAGAAAAACCTTTAGTTTAAGCAATTTCCAAAATTAACTAGGAAAGCAACCTGAAGTTCTCTTTTCATATACATTAACAAGTCAAAAATCATTTACAGGTGGAATGGGAAAAATGAAGGGGGAAAAAAGCATTTACAGAATTGCCAAAATCCCTTGATTTTTATTAACTGGGCACCTAAAGTTTAAACATTAAACACTGAAAAATCAGCTGGGCGCGGTGGCTCCTGTCTGTAATTCCAGCCCTTTGTAAGGCCGAGGAAGATTGCTTGAGCCCAGGAGTTTAACCAGCCTGGGCAACGTGGTGAGATCCCATCTCTACAAAAAATAAGCCCAGCATTGTGGCAACTGCCAATGGTCCTGGCTACTCAGGAGGTAGAGATGGGAGGATAGCCCAGGAGGTGGAGGTTGCAATGAGTCGTGATGACACCACTGCACTACAGCCTGGGCAAGAGAGTGAGACCCTATCTCACAAATCAAATCAAATTAAAAAATAAAACAATGAAAAATCAGTTTGCCCCTGGTATCTTGTTCCCTAAATTTCCTATACAGAATTCTCTACACAAATCTGTACAGCTCCATTTATTTTATATTTCAAAATGGCAAATTTGCCATAAAGACTCAATTGTCAGGTCAATTCTGGTAAGTAACCATGTTATTTATATTGCTAAAGAACCAAATTAAAAAAATATTGCAGAAAGAAAAAGGAACAGAATACAAATTAATTTTAGGTGCTTTACATAAAAGTGATCAATTCCCACCCTGAAAACAATAAACTGTCTTCCCATGGGATAGCAAACTTCAAAATTTCTGTATTTACTTCAGTTTGCTCTTGGTCATATAGATGTACAACAGTGACACAGACTTAAGCAGACAAATTAGATATGGCATGTGTTCCCACCTTGATTTGCTATAACTTCGCTCATCCCACTGCCTGTGACTGTTTGCAGGAAAGCAAAGTAACTCCTCCGCAACATCTGCTTCTCTAAAGCAGCAGACTGGTCATTTTCTTCTGCTGGCCGGAGCAGCACTTCAAAAATTGCATGAAGCAGGGGCATGAACATCTGTTGTAAAAACGGGGATACCTGTATCTGAAGATAAACAATCATTACTTCAGAAATTAGTAACAATATTAACATACAACTTAGAAAAAACTATTTTACATAAAGCCTTTCTTTTCTATTTAGGATGCATGCGTACATAATTCAGTTAGCAAATATCAATTTTAAGATAAAATCTATATAACCTAAACATTACTAGGCCAGACGCAGTGGCTCACACCTGTAATCCCAGCACTTTGGGAGGCTAAGGCGGGTGAGTCACCTGAGGTCAGGAGTTCAAGGCCAGTCTGCCCAACATGGTGAAACCCCATCTCTACTAAAAATACAAAAATTAGCTGGGTGTAGTGGCGCACGCCTGTAGTCCCAGTCCAAGCTACTCAGGAGGCTGACGCAGGGGAACTGCTTGAACCTGAGAGGTGGAGGTTGCAGTGAGTCAAGATCATACCACTGCACTCCAGCCTGGGCAACACAGCAAGACTCCATTTCAAGGTGGGGAAAAAACCTTAAAAAATATTACTAAAAGACTCAAGATCATTAAATTTAAACCCTTTCCTACAGCTTAAGATTTAGGTTAAAATAATAGTCAGACATATTTCACAATATTGCCATGGAATATTTTCAAAATTAAATTCTCAAAAAATGAATTATATGATTAAACTCTTAGGGTTTTTCTTGTTTTTGAACAAAGGTAAAAAACATTGTTTAATAGCATGTTCTCAATACTTGCTTACAAATGAACTCCTGAGTTTTATGAACTCTTGGGCAAATCCCTTCACTTCTCCATGCCTCAGTTTCCTCAACTATAACATATAATCCCTGTCTTCTAGGGTAGGTATGAAGATCAAATGAGTAAATGTACAAAAAATGCTTAGAACAGATTTTGAACATAGAAAGTACTATGTAAGTGGCCAGGTTTATGCCTGTAATCCTAGCACTTATGGAGGCCGAGGCAGGAGGATCACTTGAGGTCAGGAGTTCGAGATTAGCCTGGTCAACATGGGGAAACGCTGTCTCTACTAAAAGTACAAAATATTAGCGTGGTGTGGTGCATGCACCTATAGTTCCAGCTACTCAGGAGGCTGAGGCACAAGAATCGCTTGAACCTGGGAGGTGGAGGTTGCAGTGAGTTGTGACCGCGCCACTGCACTCCAGCCTATGTGACAGAGTGAGACTATCTCCATTTAAAAAAAAAAGAAAAAAGGAAAAAAGAGGTACTATGTAAGTATTAACCACTTTTATTAGCCAGCTTAAATGTCCTACAGAAAACTGACTTTAATACATTGAATTACTTTTAACTCTTGCTTGGGTACCTGAATTATGGTGCTTATTTAGTACTCAGTTTACTGGTTTTATATGCTCTTCTAAAACAGCAGACTAGTTTTCTTTTGCTACACAAAGCGGTTAGGGTCTGTTTATATTCAAACATCTATTAAGCATGACCTATGTATCAGGCAGTGTGCCAGACACCACAGATGATAAAAATACATATGATCCATGAGGCTCTTAAGTAATTCATTAAAAGCAAAAAAAAAGAAACCCAAGGGCAAAATCCGAAACATGTCTGAAGATAAATACATCTGATCTTCAAGAGATTTTCAGAGCTCTGAAAGTTTGCGGTACCTTGAATTTGGCCGTAATCTGGTTGATAAGAGGAATGAACTCCTGGAGATCTTTTGCTTCACAATCTTTGAGCATATGTTCTGAAGCAGATGGAATGAACGGAAGAACTTCTTCCTCCAGGCAAATAATCATTCGATGAAGGAAAGTACGGACTCCACTTCTGAGAATATCCTTTTGTAAGGGACAACTGAGGGCTGGCAAGAATGTCTGTAAACAGTCCAGATAAACTTCGGAACAGCCACATTGTTTCACAGTCTGTTTGTTGCTGAAAGCTTTACTGGTTCGACTATATAAGCAAAAATCAGGCAATCAGATGCAACTTTATTCTTTAAAAGTGTTATGGAGTATTCAAAAGCAATGCACAACAAATTACAAAATTAACAAAACTAAATAACCAGACCTTTATTTTCCACATCACAATTACTTCCATCTTTAGCTAATATGGCTATTTGTAAACTACTGCTTCCAATGATCTTTCCAGAACAAAAGAGCTCAAATTAACTTAAATGAATGACATGTAGTTAATATAATCCTTCTAATGTGAGTCTACCTAAATGTTTTATTAAAATCCTATTGACTGGGCTGGGTATTGTGGCTCATGCTTCTAATTCCAGCACTTTGGGAGGCTAAGGCAGGCAAATCACTTGAGGCCAGGAGTTCAAGACCAGTCTGGACAACATGGTCAAAACCGGTCTTTACTAAAAATAGAAAAATTAGCTGGGTGTGGTAGCACATGCCTGCAATCCCAGCTACTTGGAGGCTGAGGCACAAGAATTGCTTGAGCCTGGGAGGCGGAGGTTGCACTGAGCTGAGATCACAACACTGCACTCCAGCCTGAGTGACAAAGCAAGACTGTGTCTCCCCCACAAAAAAAAGAAAAAAGAAAAAAAAGAGAAAAATCCTACTGACAAAGTGGACAGAAAAGAGAAAATAAATCCACTTATTATGACTAGGCCTGTACTAGGTAACCTGCAAACCACCCATTTAAATTTAGAAAACCATCTTCAGAATTCTTTATACAACCTCTCTAATATCTAGCTCTTGTTCTTAAATATATTATAGAACAATTTAACTTCTAAATTAGCAATCTTTACAACTTTCATGCTGTTGTTTGTCAACAAAAAGTATGGCTAGAGGCGGAAAAAACAGCTGCTTGGGTGATCTTCAGGACACAATACAACTGAAGAGAAACCTCACGCTCTTCTCTTTAAGGTAACCAAGACTAACCAAAGATGTCCCGTCCCAATATATATTTGGTATATTAACACTTCAGCTGATCCTCTTAAACACACAACCCATTTATATCAGAGAAGTCAGAGGAGTTAAAGATTTACAGTTGTCAAGGCAAAAATGTAAATGGTATGTAACCTATCCCCTTCTTCAACCAAATCTAACTGACTGGATTTGGAGGACAAAGATTTAGACAATTCTCTGGATTATCCAACTGTGGAAACACAAATGTGTGTGCCCACCAAACAAGTGGTTCTGTCTGTGTAGATACATGCACTTTATAATTTTAACTGTGATCACACTTACCTTGCAAATCCAACAGCATGGTTAAGACAGTCTGCTAGAGAGGCTTGCCTTTCTTCATCTTGTGCCAGCATCAACTTTTCTAACAGAATTTTAAACTTCTCCATTAGTGGAGTCAACAGATTCCTCATTAAGGCTTGTTTCCTTTCTGCCGGATATTCACTATTAACAATCAGCACTCCAGCTGTCTCATAAATAAAAAGTTGATCATCGCTGCTCAGTAAGGACTGGTGGCCATTCTCCTAGAATGAAATTCAGTCTTATTAAAGCTTTTATTTTTTGAGTTCCCTTCATTTAATGAGAAAAAGTGCATTAGGAACAGGAAATGTAATCTATCACACCAACTCATATGTCAAATACTTATAAAGACAAATTTTCTCCCAGGACCATAGAATGAAAAGAAAACTAAATTAGAGGTCAACAGATCACGGTTCTAATTCCAGCCCTGACAAGACTCTATAAATGATCATGTAAGATAATTATTAAAGTTAGCTTTCTAACTTGTTTTCTTTTGTAAAGATCTTATTTATATAAGATTGTTATGAGGCTAGGCTGCATGTGGTGGTTCATGCCTGTAATCCTAGCACTTTGGGAGGCCGAGGCCGGCAGATCACTTGAGGTCAGGAGTTCGTGACCAGCCTGGTCAACGTGGTGAAACCCTGTCTCTACTAAAAATACAAAAATTAGCTGGGTGTGGTGGCGCACCTGTAGTCCCAGCTACGCGGGAGGCTGAGGCAGGAGAACTGCTTGAACCTGAGAGGTAGAGTTGTAGTGAGTCAAGACCATGCCACTGCACTCCAGCCTGGGTGACAGAGCCAAGACTCTGTCTCAAAAAAAAAAAAAAAAGTACTAGAGTGCTATACTTCTTTTAAATAATTAAGTAACAACACACAGTAAAGCATTATTTTGCATGTGTCTGTAAGGGTGTTTCCAGGAAAGATTAGTCAGTCCAAGTAGACTATGTGGGGAAGACCTGCCCTCAGTGTTGGCGGGCACCATCCAATTGACCAGGGGCTCTGAGAGAACAAATACATAAGGCAAATTGGTCTCTCTCTGAAAGGTGGACAGACTTTTCTTCTGCGGCCTTGAACATCAGAAATTTGACTCTGCAAAAGTACATTACACACAGCATTAACTGTGTGTGTAAACACTGCATGTACACAAGAAAGGTCCTTTCTGTACATCTGCATCTGTGAAACATAAAATTTCTTGTGATCTCAGTTCTTTGGGTGACTGCATATGTTGTAGTGACCCATTGCCGTTTTTTATCAATTTCCTCAAGACTTAGGTTGTCTGTCATGGTTATTTCAGATGAGCGCAGTTATAAAGCAGAGTGGCACACAACTACTAACCATAGTGACATGCACTTACACATTTTGCTTTCTGATTTATGAATACAGTTTGTCTGCTCCTGTTTTACACATGTAACTGTCATTTTTATAACTGTTTATGCTTGCAAAAGCATGTTATTATTGCCTATTTTATTGTGTAAAGTGGCCTATGAAGTGCTGTCATGTTTTTACATGTTTCTCAAATACATTCCCTTTTAAAAATGTAAAGTAATATCTTTCAAATAATTTTTTAAAATTACTTTTTCCAGGATTATATTTTTAAGATTTTGATCTTTTAGAATTGTGGTTTTTAGGATTTCAGGATTTTAACACTTGGGATTATGGCCCAATCCCAACACCAAAATATTCAGATCGACTAGCACTTAATTTTTTTTTTTACCCTAAGCCTGAAATGACAGGGAAAACCTTCGATCTAACAGTAGCAGCTGCTAAGAATGGCTAATACAATTATAGGATTAAACAGAATAATTTAGAAGTTGAATTTTTTAAATTTTTATTTTCTTTTGGTTTTTAAAATTTTTAATATACTTTTCATTTTAACAGCAAGCTCATCTTTAATGAATTTTTTCTTCTTCATAAAATGCTTCAACATTTTAACAATATACCCCATGCTGCCAAATTGATCTGTCAACTCTTGATTCCTATTACTATGTTTTGTTTACTATGTCAACAGAATTTTGGTAAATAGAACTAATCTTTGCACATACACTTCCCTCCACCACCAATTTTTTTTTTTAAATGCCAACAAAGGCAAGGCTAATGGCACGTGTGGCTTCAATGAATTCTGGGTAAAATATCTTAAAGAGACAGATACTTACAGGTGGAGAAAGCTCTAATAAATCTTGTATTCTATTCAAAATATCCTCAATGAAAGGATTCATTTGCTTACTGAAAAACAGAAAAAGGAAATCACAATTAATAACAGTGCTCAAAACAGTGCTAAAATACCAAATTCCCCCTTTAAGACAGAACTAAAAAAAAGTTCAGTTGTAGGCTAGTCACTTCTGATTAAGATTAGCTATGGTTAATTTTTAAAAATTACCTTTATCTGCTCTGTAGTGATAAGATTGTCAAAATGACTTACAATCTTATAAACCTAATAAGGAGTAGTTTTCATTCGCAAAAAATAGTACTAGTAAAGAATAATACAGGCCAAGTGCAGTGGCTCATTTCTGTAATCCCAACACGTTGGGAGGCCGAGGTGGGAAGACTGAGCTAAAGAATTTGAGACCAGGCTGGGCAATGTGGTGAGACTGATTCTACAAAAAATACAAAAATTAGCCGGCCATCGTCACACGCCTGTAGTCCCAGGTGCTCAGGGGGCTGAGGTGGGAAGATCACCTGAGCCTGAGGAGGTTGAGGTTGCAGTGAACTGGGATCCAGCCACTATACTCCAGCCTAGGCGACAGCATGAGACCCCCATCTCAAAAAAATAACAACAAAAAACAATGAAAACTTTTACTATTGAACTAAGTACTTGGCTGATGAGCAGGAAAGGAAGTGGCAACATAAAAAGGGGGCTGGGCGCGGTGGCTCATGCCTGTAATACCAGCACTTTGGGAGGCTGAAGAGGGTGGATCATCTCAGGTCAGGAGTTCAAGGCCAGCCTGACCAACATGGTGAAGCCCCATCTCTACTAAAAATACAAAAAATTAGCCGGGTGTGGCGATGGACACCTGTAATCCTGGCTACTCAGTAGGCTGAGGCAGGAGAATCGCTTCAACCCAGGAGGCAGGGGTTGCAGTGAGTCAAGATCATGCCATTGTACTCCAGCCTGGGCAACAAGAACGAAAATCTGTCTCAAAAAAAAAAAAAAAAAAAGGTCGGGAGTACATCTACCTGACCTGACAAAGCATGACTTGACTTGAACAGGAAGAACCAAATCTACCATAGGCTCTTGGAAAATAATTTATATGTCTACTTTTTTTTTATTTCCATCTTCATTTTATTTTTTTGAGACAGAGTTTCACTCTTGTCACCCAGGCTGGAGTGCAATGGCACGATCTCTGCTCACTGCAAATTCTGCTTCCTGGGTTCAAGTGATTCTCCTGCCTCAGCCTTCTGTTAGCTGGGATTACAGGTGCCCACCACCATGCCCGGCTAATTTTCTGTATTTTTAGTAGAGACCGGGTTTCATCATGTTGGCCAGGCTAGTCTCAAACTCCTGATCTTAGGTGATCCACCCGCCTCAGCCTCCCAAAGTGCTGGGATTACAGGCGTGGGCCACCGCGCCAGGCCTCCATCTTCATTTTAAATTCAGGGGGTACACATGGAGGTTTGTTACACGGGTATATCACGGGATGCTGAGGTTTGCGCTTCTATTGATCCAATCCCATTGCCCAGATATTGAACACAGTACCCAACAGGAAGTTTTTCAGCACTTGCCCCACTCCCTCATTTTGGAGTCCCAAGTGTCTTTTGTTCCCAGCTTCATATCTGTGTGTACCCAAGATTTAGCTCTCACTTATAAGTGAGAACATGTGGCATTTGTTTTTTTGTTTCTGCGTTAATTTGCTTAGATTAAAGGCCTCCAGCTGCATCCATGTTGCTGTAAAGGACATGATTTTGTTCTTTGTTATGGCTGTTTAGTATTTCATGATGTATGTGTACTACATTTTCTTTTTCTTTTTTTTTTTTTTTGAGACTGAGTCTCACGCTGTCACCCAGGCTGGAGTGTGATCTTGGCTCACTGCAACCTCCACCTCCCAGGTTCAAGCGATTCTCCTGCCTCAGCCTCCTGAGTAGGTGGGATTACAGGAACCCGCCACCATGCCTAGCTAATTTTTTGTATCTTTAGTAGAGATGGGGTTTCACCATGTTGGCCAGGCTGGTCTCCAACTCCTGACCTTGTGATCGGCCTCCCAGAGTGTTGGGATTATAGGCATGAGCCACCATACCTGGCCTACATTTTCTTTATCTAATCCACCACTGATGGGCACCTAGGTTGATTCCATGTCTTTACTATTGTTTTACATCTATCCAGTAACTTAAAAAATAACTAAACATAATAGCTGCAATTTTATACTTACTTGAGAGATTTGACAAATCTAGAAAACAGGTAAGCCGTCCTGCTCCGAACTTTTGCACTGGAATGCCGCAGACCTCTGTGATCTAAGAAAGCCATCTAAAGAAGGAGACACTTTTACTATTTCTGCATTTTTTCAAGGGTTTTGTTGATATTGTCCTGCTACATTTTTGTTCACACCAAATTTTACTTCTTAGCTCCTAAAAGGCAGGGACTAGGAATATACGAGTAATTCTAAACTACACACAAACAGTCCCTTGAGAACTTGTTTTAGTTGACTAATTGGGCACAAACTATCCATTTAAAAGAAATGGAGGAGGGGTTACTTTCAGTGTGTGCCAAGCACTTCTGAGAGGTTTTGATTCTGAGAAAAGTTATAGACAGAAAAATACAATACTACACTATCAAGTCATTAGCTGAAACCCATGGAAAGTAACAAAAATCCAGAGTACTTACTAGTACACATGGAATGTGCTGAGGTTCAACTGTGAAAAACTTTTCATATCTAACAACAGTTTCGAAGAACTCCAATGTCACAGATGTATGCTGATAGGAACTGACTCCTGATGTTACCAGCTAGATCAGGAAAAAGTTAGGAAACCTCTTCTTATTTATTGCAACATCAAAATGCCCCGGTATTAACATATACTAAGCTCTAACAATTAAGGAACTCCCATTAGCTTATACTGAAAACAGAAATTTATGGTCAAAATTATCTCCAGTATACTTACAGTTCGCATCATATCCTGCAAAGCACTAGCTTTTGAAACATCACCTGAGAAGTGAGCACCATGAGATACTGGAAGAGCTTCTGCCAACATATACAGCAATCTTATTGCTACTTCAACTTCCATAAACCGTGTAGTCTGCCAATTCCTACCAAGGTATAATATGTCAGTGAGATTTAAAGATAAATTTTTCATACAGCAAATTATGCACAGGGTAAGACACCAACAAAAGCCTTTTTAATTATTAAAAAGTCATAGCAACTGTTAACTTTCCCAGGCAATACATCACAAAGGTAGAAAGGATCAAGATAAATCAAGAAGACAAGTGCATTGTTTCCAGAGATACACATAAGATCTCAATAAGTAACATGGATTAATAAGTCATATGAATCATTTATTTTGACCCATATCAAAGAGCAAAAGAAAGAAGTAGGCTTGTTACAAAAGTAATGACAAACTTACTGCAGTGTAGAACTAAAAACTCTGCGAACAGAGGCCAGTAGTAACTCTGGTGAAACTTGAGCAAGCCTGTCCAACAGTAACTTCAGTTGTTTTCTATATTCTACAAACATGGCTTCATCTTCACCCTATGATACAGGTTAAAATCCTCATTCAAAAAACTTATGGGTTGATCGGCGCAGCAAACCACCATGGCTACATGTATACCTATGTAACAAACCTGCACGTTCTGCACATGTACCCCAAAACTTAAAGTATAATAATAAAAATTAAAAACTTAAAAGACCTTAAAATTCATGTAAATATCCAGTTCTCCTGTATTTTTCCGCATTTACATATTTCGTACTTTTATTTTTGTCACTATTTATATAGAAAAACTTATTAAGCTTAATAACTTCTTCCCTCCAGCTCACAAATAAGTATTTCTGCACAAAGCCGTAGACCTCAAAAGCCTAGAGCTAGAAATAGTCTAAGAAGGTTAAAGACAATACTCTAGCACTAGAATGGGCTTTGAATTCTTTGCACCTTATTTATTCTTGTAAGTCAATATCCACTGTAAAAAGTGGTAATAATATGGTATAACTGGAGATATTCAATCTTAGGAGCCTGGCACATCCCAGGTGCGCAGTGTGTTGGTCAGCACCACTATTATCCTTTTACAACCCTAAGTTTTTGAATGTCTGAGGTGGGGGAATACAACACTTTAGAACAAAGCTTAGCAGCAAATACCATGACTGAATACCTAGAAAGCACCAATGGCCCTTGTTTGATGGGAAGCTGACCCACTCACAATCTTGAAAAAGACCTTTAACTGGAACAAGTCTAGAGCGCCTCATTTCCACTCTGCCAATACAGTCTTGTGACTGGAGTTCATCATTCTTACAAAATATAAAGTGAAATATGATCACCAATAATATTATCAATATTTTACTATGTTCAGTGCTACACAGTATTTGTAAAAGGGCTGTTAATGGGACAGGTGCAGTGGCTCACACCTATAATCCCAACACTTTGGGAGGCTGAGGCAGGCAGATCACTTGAGGCCAGGAGTTCAAGACCAACTTGGCCAACACGGCGAAACCCCGTCTCTACTAAAAATACAAGAATTAGCCGGGCATGGTGGCACATGCCTGTAATCCCAGCTACTAAGGTGGCTGAGGCACAAGAATCACTTGAACCCAGGAGGCAGAGGATGCAGTGAGCTGAGATGGCACCACTGCACTCCAGCCTGGGTGACAGAGTGAGACTCTGTCTCAAAGCAAAAAAAAAGGAGGGGGGGTGGTTGTTAATGGATAAAATATCAAAAAGGAAGGATTAAGAGGCTTCTATTAATTTCACCCAAGGTTGGTGTCAATATAAACAGACTAATTTTTCAAGAACTTCATGTTTTAAAGGGCCCCGAAACAATAAGAACTTGAAATATTAATTTGATATAATAATAAAATTAAAACTCCTTTCTCCTCAACAAAAAAAAATTCTTACCTCATTTTCAAAGTTATATTCTTCATCGTAAGTCAATTTTTTCATAACGGCCAACATGATTGCCTAAGAATAAAATTGAGAATAAAAGAGTTTTTGTCAGTCTCCTTCTAATTTGATATAATTTGAAATTAAGCTACATTTCAAGGCAAATTACAGACTAAAAATCTATCATTGGTTTAAAAGAAGCATAAAGTCAATTACCTCTACATTAGCTTTTTGCTGATCCGAGAGCACTGTAAGCTGTTAAAAAGGAAGCAATAACTTATTAGGTTTTCTAAAGTTATACCTGCATATCAGAACATTTTTCGAATCAATTAAGACCTGGTTTTTTTTTTTTTTTTTGAGACAAGGTCTTGCTCTGTTGCCCAGGCTGGAGTGCAGTGGCGCAGTCATGGCTCACTGCAACCCCCAACTCCCTGGCTCAAGAGATCCTCCCACCTCACCCTCCCAAGTTAGCTGGGACCGCAGGCATGTGCCACCACACTTGGCTAGTTTTCTTTTTATTATTTATAGAAATGGAGTCTTCCTATGTTGCCCAGGCTGGTCTCAAACTCCTGGCCTCAAACAATCCTCCCGCCTCAGCCTTACCAAGTGCTGGGATTACAGGTGACAGCCATTATGCCTGGCCTGTAATCAATCAAGATCTTTGAAAACATGCACACAACTTTTTTGGAGGGCAGTTTAGCAGCAGCTGCCTATATTTAAAATATACCTAACCTAAGATCAAGTAATGCCACTTCTAGTAAGTAACTTGACATGTAGACAAAGACACCTATAACATATTCTGCAAAGGTTTTTAAACAAAGCAAAACAAGCCTACAAAACCATTAAGAGATATACAATGGAATTACCAATAGTGATCATACCTTTCCACACTGCATAAAATTTCTTGAAGTATACATAAAGATACATGTTATGTTTACTACAATAAAACAGAAACTAAAGTCATTTGGGAACATATTTTAAGTTTGACTTGACTCAATTAATTCAAAGTAAATATACAGAAATGGCTTTCATCTAATATCATATTGATAAGTTACTAATTATTTTAATTGCTAAATGCTATAATATGGAGACTAACACCACCTACAAGTTCTTTCTGGAAGTGGGGGAAACTTTAATTGTAAAAAATTGTTGCCGGGCGTGGTGGCTCACACCTGTAATCCCAGCACTTTGGGAGGCTGTGGTGGGCAGATCACCTGAGGTAGGGAGTTCAAGACCAGCCTGACCAACATGGAGAAACCCTGTCTACTAAAAGTACAAAATCAGCTGGATGTGGTGGTGCATGCCTGTAATCCCAGGTACTTGGGAGGTTGAGGCAGGAAAATCGCTTGAACCTGGGAGGTGGAGGTTGTGGTGAGCTGACATCACGCCATTGCACTCCAGCCTGGGCAACAACAGCAAAACTCCGTCTCAAAAAAGAAAAAAAAATTGTTTATGAGAAATGAATGATGTATATGTAAATTAAAATAACAAACCATGCTTATGAAAATTTCAACTGTATTCACAAATAAAGACAGGTTCAAAATAAAAAAAAAAACCTAAACCTATAACTACCTCTGAAGCTGGTTAGTCTACTGAATTTAGAACCTGAAACTATTTTCTGGCCAATTCTTTTTTTTTTAAGATGGAAATACATTAGTATTTAACAGTAAATATCTTTAGGTAGTAGAATTATGGGTATTTTCTCATTTTTAATTTTTCCATATTTTCCACTTCTCCATGGCTCCTTTGTATTATGTATTGAGCAAAAAGAATAAAACAAAAACTTACCTGTTTCAAAATATGAAGATAATCGTAACAAAATCCAATAATATTAGAAGAAATATCATCATCCTCATGAATTAGTAGCTGCAACATCAGTGCCACTTTTGTTTCAATAGCTTGTAGTGCCTCTTGAGCATTCTTAATATCCCCATTCTTAATTAATTTACTCCAACTAACTATCAATGACTGTCCCATTCCATTTACCAACTTAGAAAATCTGGCCAGGAAGTCAACATCTTCTTCCTATAAGCAATCAAGACACATCTCTGTTTAAAACTGCCTGCCCAAGCTAAGAGGAAAAACTGAACTTTAATATGAATCAAGTGCTAATTACAGGATTCAATTTTAAAATGACGTCATATATTTAACAATTCCAGGCTGGGCACGGTGGCTTATGCCTGTAATCCCAGCACTCTGGAAGGCCGAAGTGGGTGGATTACCTGAGGTCAAGAGTTCGAGACAAGCCTGGCCAACATGGTGAAACCCCGTCTCTACCAAAAAGGTAAAAAATTTGCCGGGTGTAGTGGCATGCGCCTGTAATCTCAGCTACTCGGAAGGCTGAGACAGGAGAATCACTTGAACCCGGGAGACGGAGGTTGCAGTGAGCCGAGACTGTGCCACTGCACTCCAGCCTGGGCAACAGAGTGAGACTCCATCTCAAAAAACAAAACAAAACAAAAAATCTCAATTCCACTATGAACAAGTTGTGTCAGCATCTCCTAAGAGTTTGTGAGAAATGTGCAATTACAGGCTTTCAGGTTTAAGAACTGGTATAACCCATTCTCCAAGGAGAATGCTACTGAGAACATTTTGGCTAGATGCAGTGGTTTATATTATAATCTCAAGGGGAGTTTATAACATTTAGAAGAAAAAAAGCTATTATTATATTTAACTTAGTACCTATCCCAGTTTGTTCTAACAACTTTACATACAATGTTTTATATAAATTTACCAACCTGGTCAATGCTGAAAAACCCAGCAGACTGTAATACTTGACACAAAGATTCCACTAGTTTCATTTTATCAACAGGGTCCATTCCTTTATTTACAACTTCAAATAAACAGTCACATGCTTCTTCCCGTAGAACTTCTATTGACATATGACCTAGCAGCATATTTATAAACCTGGTAATGGGACAATAAAATTGTAACATTTTCAAAGTCATGAGTTTTAGATACTGTATTTTACAAGTTTATACTATAAAAATAATAGGCATACTTACCTATCATTGGCTATAAGGGATAAGTCTATCCAAGAGACATAAGCCCCAACTACTTCAAGGCACTGACACGTCACTTCAGAATTAGTAAACTGATAATTTTGTAATATTTGGTACCATGATTCCACCAGATTTGGAATGCACTGTTCCCTCATGGTATCTTTTATGAGAGTATTCCTACGAGCCTCCTAAAATACAAAACGCCAAATGCAAAGTAGATTACCTTACAAAATCATGTTTGATATCTGAATATACTTGCAGAGAGTAAACTTTCAGACTTGTTAACACATTCCCTACCAGTATTTCCTATTTACCAGCTCTAAGATCATATCCTGTGATTCTTTGTATTTCCTCTTTCTGTTCTACTCCTCAGTGTCAGAGTTAATTTCTTAGTAAATACAAACTATAAAAAGCACTGCTTAGAAATCTTAAGCATATTTTAAGTTATTTCTCAATATAGTAACATAGTACTTACACTATGTGATGAAGAATACAGAAGTAGCAACACGGACAACTCCTAAGCAATGCTTCTTCCTTGCTCAGGGACTATATAGCAGTATTAAATTGAGACTACCTTTCTCAACAGATTCATAAAAGAAAATCAACTCGTGTATGTCACTACAGTATTTGCCTAGTTAAAAAAAATTTAGGCTGGGCGCAGTGGCTCATGCCTGTAATCCCCACACTTTGGGAGGGCAAGGCGGGCGGATCACCTGAAGTCAGGAGTTTGAGCACAGCCTGGCGAAACCCAATCTCTACAAAAAATACAAAAATTAGCCAGGCGTGGTGGCATGTGCCTATAATCCCAGCTACTAGGGAGGCTGAGGTGGGAGAATCGCTTGAACCCAGGAGGCGGAGGTTGCAGTGAGCCAAGACTGTGCCACTGCACTCCAGCCTGGGGAACAGAGCAAGACTCCGTCTCAAAAAAGTAAAAAAATAAAAAATGTAATGTAATACTTTAATTTCAATATACCTCTGGAAAAAAAATAACCAAGTTTGAGTTCCTTCATAAAATAAAATCCAAAACATCAGGTAAATTTATAATTATATAACTTAAGAAAGTTTACCTCAAGAAAGAAAACTTCCCTGCTCTTTTTATTATGTGCCCATTATCACCTACAAAACTTACATTAAATATAAAAAATTCATGGTTAGTTACTTGCCTCTGATGTATGCACCACATCACGATCCACCAACTCTGAATCAATAGCCATGAGGATTCGCAGGTAGAGATCTACTCCCCTTGGATTTAGGTCCACTACTGAGAGAATGTCAAAAAAAAACTTGGGCCACTTAGTGAGATACTCTGTAACAAAAAGCAAGGCGAAGACTTGGGCGGCTTTATTTCGTATAAAGGTCTTCTCTGGTTGGGGATTCAGCATCTGACAAACAGAGAAACAGTCCATAAAATTAAATGTAAATTGAAAAGACCCAGAAACACCAGTTGTCTTATTAAAAGGCAAAGTTTCATCAAATGTCAACATGGCCCAGATAAACTATGCAACAAATACTCTTCAAAATTATTTTGATAATTATGATTATCAAAATTATCAAAAGTATTTAAGTGATTGACCAGATGAAGAACAATTAAATGAACCATTAAAGGCTGTAATGATTATTCCTCATTCTTACACTTTGACAGAAAAGTTTCATGTGCAGAGTTTTAATAGTTCCTATAATTTCTTCTAAGAAGAAAAAAAAATTTTCCTCTACTTGCTCTTTAAGGAAAATGAAAACTCTAGCTACACAACTGCTTTATGTGTTAAGATTAGCTAAAATTAACTGAAAAGAACTCAACTGGCCCTTTATAAAGGGCTCTGGTGGAGAGGCTGTCCAGGAGGGCTCACCTTTAAGAGCCAAACAGAAAGCAGCATTTGTCAAGTAGTTAAAAACAACTACATTTTAAAACCAAAGTTTCCACAATGTGTCATGGAAACTATGACCATTTCAGTCATTGATATAATATTAAATTATTGCTAAACTACCACTTCCATGATCTTTAAAACCAGCACCTTTTAAAAAAGCTATGAAATCAAATGGAGGAACACTGATGAAAATCTTTGAGGTAAAGTTCCAAACTCTTGCAAAAAATAAGTTTAAATATCTAATAATTTGAGGTACTGAATGAAATTATGATTTTACCTGAGCTTGCAGCCATGATATGAGCGTCTCCCTAATTAGCTGTTGTTGAACAGTGGTTAGTTCTGAGTATCTGTTCAAAATAGAGAAGAAAAAGAATAATGGCTATATTTGGTGTCTATGGTTGTAAAAAATAACAGCCTCATATATTTGAAAGGGAAAATTTGTATAGCTCTCAATTATCTGAAGTTCCCTAACATAAACTGATAATGCCACTCATCATTGCTTTAAAGATAAGGACAAGAGTGGCAGGTAGGGCATCAATATCAATCTTTAATTTGTGATTCTGTTCATGTTGAAACAAATGATGGCTACACAATTTTTCGAATGAAAATGTTTTGTGGTCTGTGATCTACAGAATAAACCAATAGGTGAACTAGGAATCCTCTCAGTAGTGATTTGTTATTTTGCTTAATTAGTAAGTCAGAGATTCTGAACACAAGTGCCCATGCAGCTACTTAACTCTAAGAGAGAATTGTCATGTAGAAAAACAGGCCTGGTGTTACCAGATATTCTGACTTTTCCAGAAAAGCTGGAAATCTAGATTTTTCTGTGAAATATCTGGATTTTCATTTTTTTTTTTTTTTTTGAGACAAGGTCTTGCTGTATTGCCCAGGCTGAAGTGCAGTGGCACCATCATGGCTCACTGGAGCCTCAACCTCCTGGCCTCAGCTTCCCCAGTAGCTGGGAATACAGAAGCGCGCAATCATGCCTGGCTAATTTTTTAAAAAAATTTTTGTAGAGATGAGGTCTCACTATGTTGCCTAGGCTGGTCTCAAACTCCTGAGCTCAAACGATCCTCTTGCCTTGGACTCCCAAAGTGCTGAGATCATAGGCATGAGCCACTGCGCCCAGCCTTGGATTTTTATGTGTAACCAACAAACTCAGCACTTTTTTTATTTTTGAGACGGAGTCTCGCTGTCACCCAGTCTGGAGTGCAGTGGTGTGATCCCGGCTCACTGCAACCTCCGCCTCCCAGGTTCAAGCAATTCTCGTGCCTCAGTCTCCTGAGTAGCTGGGATTACAGGTGCATGCCACCACATCTGACTAGTTTCTGTATTTTTTGTAGAGACGGGGTTTCACCATGTTGGCCAGGCTGGTTAGTCTCAAACTCCTGACTTCAAGTGATCTACCGGCCTCAGCCTCCCAAAGTGCTCGGATTACAGGCGAGAGCCACCTCACCTGGCCAACTCAGCACTTTTAAAACACTTTGGGGTACATCAAAACGTATCTATAACCTGGATATAACATATACACTGTGAATTTACAACCTGTATTATGGTTTCCTTATGGAAGAAAAACATTAAATTAAAAAAATGACCTCTCCCCGCAAATCTGAGTCAAAACAGTAAGAAAAGCCTTACTTGTATTTAACTTGATGTTCCAGTACTTGAAAGCAGAAAAACTTCACATGATCATCACTGAAAAAGAAAAAAAGAAAATGAGATAAGCAGAATATGAACTGAGGAAAACAAATCAAAGGCAAAATAGTAATGAGTAATACAGCAGAAAAGTTTCTCAAACTAGACCTTTGGCTTGTTTCATACTTACTGGTCTCATTTTATGACATTAAAATCCATTTACTTAAAAAGCTATGAGAACTCTAAATATTACACAATATTTAAAATTTCCATTAAATCTGACAAGCAAACTAACCAAGATATTAAGATGCACCTTGAATACAATGCTTTGTAAGCAGCAAACCATCCCTCTAAATTCCAGATATTAAGATTCCTGGAACAGTCCCTTCATTTTACAATAACAGGTTAGGTGTAAAATTACAAATGGCAGAACAGACAGAGTCTG
Source organism: Homo sapiens (assembly GCF_000001405.40). Classification (NCBI taxonomy): domain Eukaryota; kingdom Metazoa; phylum Chordata; class Mammalia; order Primates; family Hominidae; genus Homo; species Homo sapiens. The sequence continues at coordinate 64,416,312 of NC_000012.12, read as the reverse complement.
AGTGAAAGTAAAGATGGTCGTCCAAGTCCTGCTTAAAATTCAACCCCAGTAGTTCTATTGTAGCCAAATCCAAAACAAGCAGGGCCACATGGACTGTCAGTCCAACTTCAAAGTTTCGTACAGGACACTAAATTACAAATATGGTACCCTTGCTTATACAAGATGGGGGCAAAAGTCAACACACCAATTACCCACTTCCAACTGTCTTTCTAGGGGAGTGGCAGAGTTGCAGTTAGCCAGCTATAAACACTGACAAAGATCTTCTAGAGACCAACAATCTGCCAATGAAGTGAGTATAAGAGAGTTCCTATTTCCGTAAAAAGTTAGTTGAATGCTTTAGAAAGATTTCATAGAAAGCCACACTGCAGAAGGAAAAAATCTTGTACATATTTGACATGGCCTATATAACCAGAAGACTTGAGAGGCGGGGACAAATATCTTAAAAATCTATGGATCGTCACTCATTGTACAGAGACCCATGCTAGAAATTGTAGAGGATGGGTTACAGGTGTGACCAACCTACGAATAAAGTGAATGCTAGTTAGTATACAAAGATAAAGACTGTGGTCCAATATTAAAAGATTGGTCACCGAATGATTATATACCTTAAGTTAAAATTAAAAATTAAGATATAGGCCGGGTACGGTGGCTCACGCCTGTAATCCCAGCACTTTGGAAGGCCGAGACGGGCGGATCACAAGGTCAGGAGATCGAGACCATCCTGGCCAACACAGTGAAACCCTGTCTCCACCAAAAAGAAATACAAAAAAATTAGCCGGGCATGGTGATGGGCACCTGTAGTCCCAGCTACTCAGGAGGCTGAGGCAGGAGAATGGCAAGAACCCAGGAGGCGAAGCTTGCAGTGAGCCTAGATTGCGCCACTGCACTTCAGCCTGGGCGACAAAGCGAGACTCCATCTCAAGAAAATAATAATAATAATAATAAAATAAATAAATAATTTTAAAATTAAGATATATATCATTTACAATCACCGTCTTTACCAAAGTTTTAGGAAAGCAGTTATCACCCTCAATCATAAGATAAGGAAGTTTTTACTGCACTTTATTCCAGCTGGGATCTGGTGACAGGTACACAATATATACCAAAGGATGGTTTTACTGAAAAGTTAATTCTGAAATGGCCAAACTGGGTTTACTACTTTTCTCATTTCTACATGGAATGACTATATGTTAATGGCTTTGCAAAAAAAAAAAAAAGTCATAAAATGTTTTTATGAAAACACTTTCCAAATACAGGTAAATTTCACAGTCCTGTCATGTCCACAGAAATTTAAATTGTCATGCAAATTTTGTTTTTAATTACCTGTATGTCCTCTGGGCTAGAGCTTCTGCACACACCTGCCAGGCATCTGGGGAAATTTTTAACTGCTCAAAATAGGCCAGGGCCTATAAGATTGCAAAACAAAAAAATGCATTTAGAATAAACAATCTCAATGCCCTGCTAATATAAACAAAATATTCTGAGAGTTGCAAACCTATAACAAATCAGTAAACTTAATAGAAAAACAGTTAAAACATTAAATGCAGGCTTCCGAATATATGCAACTTGGGGTCATTCCTAAAAATAGGTTAAATAAATATAAATTCCATCAGTTAGATAATCAAACCTGTTTTCTTACAGCAGCAACAACACAAAAATGCCCCGCAGCCTTCATGGGGTTATTATGAAGAATGAGAGCAAGTGCTTTGTCAAGTGCCATACTACTGAGAAATTGCAGAGGATGAGTTAAGGGTGTGATCATTTTATAATATGCAATTATAAAATGGCACGTGAAGGGCACTTTTCCTATTTAATAGCACATCTGCTATTAAAGCGGTGATTATAAAAGATAAAACATACTGTGTACCTTATCTGATCTACTGTTACACAGGAGAGTATTTCAAGTCTTTAATTATATCATGTAAGTTCCCTAAAGAGATTAAAATTGGAGTACAAGTGCATGATATGAATTTTGAAAAATATTAAGTAACTGAAAAGGTCAAAGCTCGAGGAAGTTTTTTATCTCTAAGTTTATGAATTCAGGGCCTTGTAATCACAAGTAACAGTGCCAACAAGGAGCAAGAGTACTCTAGAATGGATGCAGCACCAAGTCCATACGCTCTCTACCAAACTGTTGGGAAAATGGGAGTTACTTCAGGCACTCTTCCCATCAGCATGTTGCACCAGATGCAGGTTTCACACATGGCAATGGACAAATAGTAGTGAACATCTTGTGACAAGTATCTCCAATAGACAAGAAAATTGCACATCAACTGGAAGCACTGCTAGATGATTTGACAGCAATTATGTATGAAACAAAAGCTGACATGAGGTAAAAGAAACATTAGCCTTAGAGAAACCTAATTTCAATTGGTAAATATTTTTAAAACGGTGGTGTCTCCCACTAGTGATGAAATCAGTTTATGGGTCCTGAACAATAATTTTTAAAAATGAAATAGAGAATATTAGATATTCTGTACTATACCCTAGCAAGAATATTACTTTCTGTAACTTGTTTTAGTTATTTATGTGCATATGTACCTATAAATATATACACACACACTGGGTCATCGAGATGTAAAGTTATTTTTTTCTTTGGGTTACAGATCAAAGCCACTGTATTTATATTTAGGTGATAGTTTCCTATACTATGTAACTGTATGAATGAGGGAATGGGTTTTCATACATGGTCTCAATGGCTGCTCCCACTGACAGAAGACCAGGTAAATGAAGATGATTAGGTGAAGATCACCAAATATAATATTAAATATATGGTATAACGAAAAAATACATTTGGGCTTTGCAGCCAGTTGCTGGCTCAGAGCCCTTAAAACTCTTGGAAAATTTCCTGAGCGACAGGACCGTCTTTTGTTATTTATAATGAGTCCTTTGGGCCAGGCACAGCAGTTCACACCTATAATCCCAACACTCTGGGGGGTCAAGGTGGGAAGATCACTTGAGGCTGGAAGATCACTTGAGGCCAGCAGTTCAAGGCTAGCCTGGGCAACATAGTGGGACCCTGTCTCTACAAAAAATTTAAAAATTAGCCAGAAGTGGTGACGTGCACCTACAGTCCCAACTACTTGGGAGGCTAAGGTGGAAGGATCACTAGAGACTTCGGGGTCAACAGAGTTTATGTTAATGAGGTAACTTGGTGTGGGAACACTAGACAGCCTCAGGATACAGCTGGTTACCAGAAAGATCAACTGATTAGAGTGTTGAAACTTTTACCCTAACCACCAACCTCTGGGAAGGGGAGAAGGGACTCAAGATTCAGCTCTATAAAAACTCTTGAACTTCCAGGTTGGCAAACACATCGAGATGCTGAGAGGGTGGTGTTCCTAGAGAGGGTGGTGTTCCTAGAGAGGGCACAAGAGCTCTGTGCCCCTTCCCCTATACTTTGCCCTATGCATCGCTTCCATGTGGCTGCTCATGAGGTGGATCCTTCATCAGCACAAGAAAGTCAACTGTTTTTCTAAGTTCTGTAGGCTACTCCATCATCAGAAATATGAGAGGTTCTGGACTCAATTAGTGTCTTAAGTGGGGGCGGTTTGTAAGACCGAGCCCATAACTTGTGGGATGTGATGCTAATCCTGGTAGTGTCAGAATTGAATTGATTTGTAGGACACCCAGTTGGTGTCCACAGAAATCAAGAGAGTTGGTTGTTGGTATTGGAAAACAGCCCAGAGTAAATAATGTCTCTCTTTAGAAGTTAAGACTATAAGAACACAGGCAGCTATAAAAGATAGTACTAGCTTAGTTGTTTCTAACAGCAGTCCATGAAACATAGGGTATTCTTTAGGAATATCTCAGAGGCCAGAGGACAAGGTAGAAGTTAATCATGTATGTTGCATTACCACCTAATATTTCACTTACAAAAGAGGGGAGAGGTGGTTTCAGCTGCTAGAAATGTCATGACATACCATTTTCTTTAAATAATAACAGGTTTTAAGCCAAAGACGAGTGTTTTATTTTTTAAAAAGGAGGAGGCTGGGCGCGGTGAGTCATGCCTGTAATCCCAGCACTTTGGGAGGCTGAGGCAGGGAGATCACAAGGTCAAGAGTTTGAGACCAGCCTGACCAACATGGTGAAACCCCGTCTCCACCAAACATACAGAAATTAGCTAGGCGTGGTGGTGTGTGCTTCTAATCCTAGCTACTCTAATCCCAGCTGAGGCAGGAGAATCTCTTGAACCCGGGAGTTGGAGGTTGCTGTGAGCCAAGATGGTGCCATTCCACTCCAGGCTGGGCAACAGAGTGAGACTCTGTCTCAAAAAAAAAAGGGCGGGGGGCGGGGCAGGGGTGAGAGGAAGGAGAGGAGAGATAACGTGGAAGTTTTTAGTTTTTAAACAAAGCCTTTGTATTCTGAATCTATGCATTACTAACAATTAAAAAAACAAAATTCTACAACACTGACAAACAAGTCCTAGCTTTCACCACCTAGTTCTACCCCATACCTTTTTTCTAATGGTTGACTGACTCTATGTGACAAGAGTCAGTTCAACTTTTATTGCCCATGTAAAAAACAGAGAATTACAGATAGACAACTGAGCAATTGGGGTTGGCAGACAGTCATTCTTCTCACCACCAAACTGAATTAAGTTTCCACTACTCCCGAACTGCAACAAAAGGGCTTTCAGAATTCACTTTAAGATTTCTTCCCTTTCATCCTAATAAATTGTTATTCAGATTGGCTAAATGGATACTGAATTATGCCTGGACCTGGATGCTTAAAACACGTATGTGACAGAACCCATTTTTACTGACAAAAAGCAGAGCTTCTGTATTAAAACCACTAATAATGTATTGGTTTTAATTTTCTGAAAAAGAAATCATGGCACATTTAAAAAAATTGGATGCTGGAACTTAAGAGGCAAAGAAAATGCCTCTTTCATCCAAAAATTGGATGCTGGAACTTAAGAAATGAAAGATTTCAAGAGGCACATAAAAATAACAGTAAAGGCCATTTAATAACTAAACATACAGTCAAAGGCTTTTAATTACAAGCATGCAATACCAAGCTAGACTAAAGGTAAAGATCTATGATACTTCAACTATGTTTGAAGGTAGGTAGCATAAAACCCTATGACAAGAAAGATTTGTTTACACACAGAAGACATGGATTTTAAATGTCTTTTGATGTCCTAACTTGTTTGATAGGTATCTTGTAATTAGCCAGATACTTAAATCTCAATTCCTATTATTTTCCTGTATCTGAAGGGCTCGTTACTTATTTAGTAGCAGAGACATGCACATGGTACTGTATTAGAAACTAGTTGGGATTGTTTTTTACTGCTTTAAAAGATTTTTTTCTTAAAATAAGAATAAAAACTGCTATAATTTTTAGTGAGATTGTTAACCTCATTTAGCTCATTTATAAAAAGTATTCTTTGCTATGAAAAGTAAAAAGAAAATGCCTCTTTCCTTTCCACTTACCCTATAGTTCCAAATGCCCACGTCTTTAAAAAAAATTAATTATAGGCTCATTCTTTATATTTTTCTATCATTCAGCTATAGTCATGATTATAGTTGTAGGCTACATTATATTTAATTGTTTACATTTATCCAACTATCCCAGCACTTTATAATGGATTCTTGTCATGTAACCATTTTACTTAAGACATAACCTATCATAACTGCTTATTTATGTCTGCCTAGACCAAATAACAAGAAAGTTAAATATCACTAATGTGGCCGGGCAGGGTGACTCATGCCTATAATCCTAGCATTTTAGGAGACTGAGGTGGGCAGATCGCTTGAGCTCAGGAGTTCGAGACCAGCCTGGGCAAGATGGTGAAACCCTATCTCTAGAAAAAAATTAAAATAAAAAAAAAATCATTAAGGTAAGTGTTAAAACAGCTTGTATAGATCAAGCCAAGGAAAGAGAAAATAAAATACACATGTCTGCTGCTATGGAAAGTCTCTTAAACGAATCCTTTGCATTACAATTTTTAAATAATTAGAAATAATGACTGATGTTGCATAAAGATCTGCCTTGAATCATATGAGATTTTAATACTTTTGTTTGGCCAAGTAAACAGAAAATAAATCACAACACTCACTGTTTCTATATTCAAAATATATTCAAATACCTCAAATTTTTTTGTTTCTGTTCATTTCTACCCAAAGTAAACTTTTGCCAGGTGCATTTTTATTCAAGTCCTCTAATGCCAATCTGTGGTGACATGATTAAAAAATGATTCAGCAGAGTAACTTACCCTTTGTCTAAAGTCTGAATCAGCATTTGGATTTAGCCCTAATAGAGCCTGTTCATCCATCCTCGCTGTTATACTTGTAGTTTTCTGGTTGTAATAGGCGTGCCCTCTGATCCCACAGAAGAATTTATAAACATCTGCCACAAAAAACAAAGTTGAAAGAAAACATTACTTGATAAACAAATAGATGCTTATCCTGAATAACGTAAATGGATAAAATCATGCAAAGAAGCTTAAATGTTTAAAAACTTATTTTGGAACTTATCTAAATTACAACTAAAAGTTAGAGCCTAATTCTCAGAAAAATGGGCTCTGCTAACTACTCCACTAATGTGTAATTCCTAAAAATCTGATTTTTTTTTTTGAGACGGAGTCTCACTCTGTTGCCCAGGCTGGAGTGCAGTGGCACCGTATCAGCTCACTGCAAGCTCCGTGTCCCAGGTTCACGCCATTCTCCTGCCTCACCCTCCCGAGTAGCTGGGACTACAGGCGCCCGCCACCGCGCTGGGCTAATTTTTTGTATTTTTAGTAGAGTCAGGGTTTCACCGTGTTAGCCAGGATGGTCTTGATCTCCTGACCTCGTGATCCGCCCGCCTTGGCCTCCCAAAGTGCTGGGATTACAGGCATGAGCCACCCCACCTGGCCCCTAAAAATCTTAAAGTATGCCATAAAGGTCCTCAAGCTTTCTTAGTCTTCAAGATCTTCTTAATAAGGTATAGAAAGTAATCATTTTCTACTTTAAATAGTAGAAGTACCTAATTTATGCAGTGTTTTACTTATCTCTAGTACTTAAAAATGCAATTGTGCAACTGCAGTTAAGTATAAAAATGACAAATGCAGACTATTACAGTAATTATAATAATTTGTCTACTTCCAGATACAAATATCACAAACCTTCTTTAAAACATTAGAATGGCTGACCTCAGAGTTCAATATCCTTTGGAGTGTTTACTAAGTACTATGACAGAAGTCTAATGAAAGGAACAGGATAATGAAAAACCAGTCATTTAGCTTTTGAGCAATGGACTTAGTTTTGCATTTTACAGATCTCTGCTCTTGCCAGCCAATTCTAAAAATTTCAAAAAAAAAAAAGTTTTTCAATAGTAGATACAAAAACCCACAAACCAGCCAGCTACAGTGGCTCACACCGGTAATCTGAGAACTTTGGGAGGCTGAGGTGCGCAGATCACTTAAGGTCAGGAGTTCAAGCCAGCCTGACCAATACGGTGAAACCCTGTTTCTACTAAAAAGACAAAAATCAGCCAGGCTTGGTGGCACATGCCAGTAATCCCAGCTACTCGGGTGACTGAGGCACAAGAATCGCTTGAACCCAGGAGGCAGAGGTTGTAGTGAGCCAAGATTGCGCCACTGCACTCCAGCCTGGAGAACAGAGTGAGATTCCATCTCAAAAAAAACAAAACACACAAAAAAAAATCCACAAATGACTTAACACTGACTACTCTTATTTAAGGATTTTTTTTAATCTCTGAGAGGTAATCCACTTCTTCACAATATAGGTTCCAACATTCTCAAATAATAAGCTGCAAAAGGCATCCTAGTTTTTGATAGAATGCATATTCATTTGAGCAAACATGGAACAAACTCTAAATGATGTGAAAAATGATATTATTCTCTCAAGACCTATAAGGTAGGGAGACCAAGTCTTACTACTTCCATTAAACGCTGTGGGGGGCCAGGCGTGCTGGCTCATGCCTGTAATCCCAGCACTTTGGGAGGCCGAGGCAGGTGGATCACTTGAGGTCAGGAGTTCAAGACCAGCCTGGCCAACATGGTAAAATCCCCTACTAAAAATACAAAAAAATTAGTGGAGCATGGTGGCACACACCTGTAATCCCAGCTACTTGGGAGGCTGAGGCAGGAGAATCGCTTGAACCCAGGAGGTGGAGGTTGCAGTGAGCTGGGATCACGCCACTGCACTCCAGCCTGGGTGACAGAACGAGACTCTGTCTCAAAAAAAACAAAAAAAGGCTGTGGGGCTTTTTGTTTCAATTACCGTTAACCAAAGACGCCAAAAAACTAATTGGATTGGGGGTAGGGGAGAAAAGCCTTTTGGGAATAGCAGGGGTAGGGGAGAAAGGCCTTTTGGGAATAGCAAAACCAGGCTCAGGTCCAGGTTACAGGATACCTACAATAGGCTTTTCTGTTTTCCTCTGAGCCTGCCTGAATCAAATAACTCAGGATATGGACTGAGAGCTTTGAAGACAGCTCAGCCCTTTCTCTTATGGTTCATAACGTACTTGCAGACTTCAAGGCAGTGTAACTCCCTACTGCCCTCAGATTACGATCCAAACACTTTTGAATAACTCCTCACTATTCTGCACACCAGGTCAGCAAGGCCAGTGCTAGTGAACCATATGGCAGTTCTCCAGTGGTATTCTACCTTTCATCTTTGCACACTGCTCTTTCTTCTTGTTAGTAGGTTAACCCCTGCTGTCCTTTGAAATTCAACTTAGAAGCCATCTCTTTCAAGAACACTTCTTTGACCTCTATTGTCCAACTCTCCCAAATTGGATTACATGCCCCATCCTAAGCACTGCTATGCTGTCACTGCCAGCTTACTAGTTTTCTCTCATTAATCTTTTTTTTTTTTTTTTGAGACAGTCTCACTCTGTTGCCCAGGGTGGAGTGCAGTGACATGATCTCGGCTCACTGCAGCCTCTGGCTCCTGGGTTCAAGTGATTCTTCTGCCTCAGCCTCCCAAATAGCTGAGATTACAGGGGTGAGCCACCACACCCGGCTAATTTTTGTATTTTTTAGTAGAGATGGGGTTTCACCATGTTGCCCAGGCTGGTCTCGAACCCCTAATCTCAGGTGATCTGCCAGACTCGGCCTCCCAAAGTGCTGGGATTACAGGTGTGAGCCACCCGGCCATTTCTCACAATCTTAAAGGGCAAGGACTGTCTTGACTATCCATCACTATGTCCCTAGGACATAGTAGAGCATAGGTTTTGGATTTCAAAGACCTGGGTTTGTATCCCCATCTTGTCATTTTTTAATTGGGGCCACTTGGACAACTTACAAAACCTGAGAGAACCCTTTCTATGACATGGGAAAAAGACCATATGCCTCATAAAGTTGTAAAGGCTTCAAAGAGATAAGGTATGCAGAGCATGGCTGGCACATAGTGAGCCCTCAATACGTTGTTTATAGTCAGAGGTAGGAACATGTGGAATGGAAACGACTTGGGGCATTCTTATACCAGATCAGCATTTTTAAAAGACAGAAAAACACAAAGAAAGGCACTGGTTCCCTTCGCCCCCTAAATGTTAAGAAAATCTGATGTCCATTCCCCTGAAAAATGCCCACAGAGAGAAAAAACGATTTCGGAGTTTCTAAGAATCCCTGATTGAGAAGTCCAATAAAAGCTTCCTTGAATTTGCTATGGCTTTTTAAAAAAATGCTGGCCAGGCAGGGTGGCTCACGCCTATAATCCCAGCACTAAGGAAGGCCGAGGGGAGGGGGGCGCAGATCAACTGAGGTCGGGAGTTCGAGACCAGCCTGACCAACATGGAGAAACCCCGTCTCTACTAAAAATACAAAAATTAGCCGGGTGTGGTGGCACATGCCTGCAATCCCAGCTATTCGGGAGGCTGAGGCAGGAGAATCGCTTGAACCCGGGAGGCGGAGGTTGCAGTGAGCTGAGATGGCGCCACCGCACTCCAGCCTGGTCAACGAGAGCGAAACTCCATCTAAAAAAAATTGCTGGCTGGGCACGGTGGCTCACGCCTGTAATCCCAGCATTTTGGGAGGCCGAGGTGGGCGGATCACGAGGTCAGGAGTTCGAGACCAGCCTGACCAACACGGTGAAACGCCGTCTCTACTAAAAATACAAAAATTAGCTGGGCATGGTGGCCTGCGCCTGTAATCCCAGCTACCCAGGAGGCTGAGGCAGAAGACTCGCATGAACCCGGGAGGGGGAGGTTGCAGTGAGCGGAGATCGTGTCATTGCACTCCCGCCTGGGCGACAGAGTGAGACACTGTGTCAAAAAAAAGAAAAAGTGCTTAAGCTTGGTCAAGTCACTCTGAAGCTATCGGGAGAAAAATGAAGTGGCCCTAAGGAAAACATAGCCAATAAACCCAAGGAAACAAACTAGTTAACAGTTGTCACTACAGAAAGAATCCCCCACATAGAAGGCATTTGGACGATCAATATGCAGTGGAAGGCCGGGCGCGGTGGCTCACGCCTGTAATCCCAGCACTTTGGGAGGCTGAGGCGGGCGGATCGCGAGGTCAAGAGATCGAGACCATCCTGGCTAACACGGTGAAACTCCATCTCTACGAAAAATACAAAAAGTAGCCAGGTGTGGCGGGGCGCACCTGTAATAGAGCTACTCGGGAGGCTGAGGCTGCAGAATCACTTGAACCTGGGAGGCAGAGGTTGCAGTGAGCCGAGATGGCACCACTGCACTGCAGCCTGGGCGACCGAGCGAGACTCCGTCTCAAAACAACAACAACAAAACCCCAAAAAATGTTTCAATACGGTAAACAATTATGCATCTTGCAAAGGTTCTTGGGGGAAGGCAAGCAACATACTTAAAATATTAAGCCTTAACTTTTCCTGGATAGCCATTAAGAATCAAACAATTTGGAAAAATTCCTCTACACCTACTGAAGACTGTTTCAAATACTACGACTGAATCTTTCCAGCCTTTTAACACCACGCTGACAAGTCGGTTTAATAAAACGTAACTCTCCCCCAACCCCCGCCCGCCACAACTAATTAGCACTTTCAAAAAGTACTCGTTTTTCTGGTTACAGGGAAACCTCATGCTTCTCTAGTCCTGCAGGATGGTGAGGAAGGTTTGAGAAGAAATGGAGCGTCCGTGCTGGCCAATTACTGCACAGAAATAACACTTTTCCTTTTTGTCCAGGGGTGGGGGAAGAATCAAGTTTGAGGTCTCCACAGTTGATAACGCTACAACGATGACTAACGGGCTTCGGAACCACAGGCGATGCCGACCCTCCTCTGCTAGCCTTGCTCCCATCCCTCCCCCGATCCCTCCCCTAAAGGAAGCCTCGTGGCAATTCGGGTGATGAAACACCAAGCAACCGCCGGCCACGCACTCGGGACGCGCTCCTCGGCGGCGGCCCCGGCTCGTACCCACCCCCACCCGGTCCGCCCAGCCAGGGGGTGCACCGCCATAGAGGGTCCCAAGCCTGCACCCTCCCTGGCGTCGGGACTCCCCCGGGCCGGTCCGCCCCGGCCAACTTCCTCGAAGCCTCACGCGGACCAAACCTGGTCCCGGTCCCGCTGCCCCCGAGCCCCGAGTCACCTTCCCTATCACTCCATCCCGCCTCCCAGCCTGCACTCCAGATGGTCAGCCAGCGGAGCGGAGCGGCGCGGCACGCAGAGAGCTGGGAGAGCGGCCCTCGTCCTTGTCGCCGTAGTCCTCCGCCACGGCCGCAGCTACAACGCCAGAGACGGTGCTGGCCGGGACCGCGCGCCTCTAGTCGCTCTGCGTCCCCTGGCACCTTCTCTTGCGTGGCGCCGGGCAGGCAGGCAGGCAGGCAAGCAAGCAAGCAAGCAAGCGGGCGGGGTCGGCGCCCCAGGAAGGGAAAGAGCGCGAGGGCCGGCTAACGCCGCCGCCGCCGCCGCAGCCGCCGCCGCCGCTGAGTCAGCGCGAAGCGCGCTCCCCGCGTCGGTGCCGCGCGGGCGGGCGCCGGCGCCAGCAGTCTCTTGGAGAGTGCGGGCGGCAGCCCGCGGGCTGACGCCGGAGGCCTACAACTCCCAGCATGCAGGGAGCGGCCGGCGCTTCCGGGCGGCGAGGCGCACACGCGCTCCCTGGCGCTCGCCGGAAGGCGTGGTCACCGGGGCTTGAGGTGCATGCCGGGATGAGGCATCCGGCCCAGGAGTCCCTACCCAGCTCCTAAATCCCCGGCTGTGTCTGCGTGGTGTCAGAGCTCAAGCGTCAGGTTCGCCCCGAGCATTCCACAAAGGGCTTCTAGTAGTTGAGAGTACGGATTCACGAATCAGGATGACGTGGTTCTAACCACGTGTGAGTCAATTTAATTGCTTGTCTACGGCCCCAAGTGTCCCGAGTACAGCAGTGTAAAGCTCTGATGAGTGCTGACAGGTTTTCAAAATTAATTAATTAATTTATTTATTTATTCTTTGAGACGGAGTCTCGCTCTGTCGCCCAGGATGGGGTGCAATGGCGAGATCTTGGCTCACTGCAACCTCCGCCTCCGGGGTTCAAGCAGTTCTCCTGCATCAGCCTCCTGAGTAGCTGGGATGACAGGCGCGCGCCACCATACCCAGCTAATTTTTGTATTTTTCGTAGAGACAGGGTTGCACCATGTTGGACAGGCTGATCTCGAACTCCTGACCTCAAGTGATCACCTGCCTCGGCCTCCCAAAGTACTGGGATTACAGGCGTGAGCCACGGTGTCCGGTCCAAAATTTATTTTAAACAGACTAAAATTTTGTCCATGAAAAGAAGGAGAGCATTCTTAGGAAGTCCTACTCACGGGATCTTTCGATGCTACTAAATGTCACTTCATTTATTTGGTCACAGATTTATTAATTTATTAATGCAACATAGAGGCAGTGTAGGCTTAGGCTGCCTCGACTTGACTGCCACTCCGCCTCCTCACTAGTTGACCTCAGGCACTTTACTTTAGTCTATCCATGCTTCAGTTTACTCGTATGTAAAATGGGGATTGTTAATAGTACCGACCTCAAAGGGTTTCTGTGAGGTTTGAGTTAATACATGTGTTTGACACACAATGTGCTCAATATTTACATTTCATTGTTGATTATTCAATGTGTACTAAATACAGACTAGGTTGCTGCCACAGACTACAAACAAAACTTGGAGAGGGAGGAATGGTAAGAGCATAGAATAAAACTAATGTTTTAACAGCTACCTTTATTTAGCTGTCCAAGACACTACACCAGGCATTTCCTATATAAAATACCTTGAATCACTCTTGCATCATGTTTCTAATTTATGTGTTTAAAATGTCAGGCTAGTGGCTACAAGATGTCGCTAAAGGAGAACTGGGTTTTAATTTTTTCTTGTTTTTAGAGAAAGGGTCTCGCTCTGTTACCCAGTCTGGAGTAGAGTGGTCATAGCTCACTGCAGCCTTGACCTCCTGGGCTCAAGCAATCCTCCTGCCTCAGCCGCCCAAGGAGCTGGGACTACGGGTGCATACCATCATACCTGGCTATTTTTGTTTGTTTTTGTAGAGATGGGGACTTGCTCTGTTGCCCAGGCTGATCTCTAACTCCCAGGCTCAAATGAACCTCCCACCTCAGCTTCCCAAAGTGTTGGAATTACGAGTGTGAGTCCCTGTGTCAGGCCTTAATTTTCTTCACGCTGCTCTCAGTTGGCTTCCCAACGAAATAGGTTCTTTGTTGTTCTGGCATACAAATTTTCTTTTGATTGTAATCCTTGCATGCATTATGTTTCTACTATTCAAATTATTAATTATTCAAATTAATTATAAACAAGAAGTATCTCTTGTTTTACTTCTGAGAAAACCAAAGTCATGGTATTCTCAAGACTAGAGATAATTCAACAAAGCCTGTGAATCTCCCTCATTTGGAATCTCTCTGGGCCCAATCTGTTTTCCACTGCTAGGGCGCTGCTGCTAAAGCTATATCATATGAAACCACCCTCCCTAAAAGCTCAGGGACCATCTCCAAATAGGAGGGCGAGTGAAACTGTAAGAGCTGGATTGATGGGTGGAATCTGGAAGCTAAAGTAACTCCATCTTTGGTACTAATCTGCCATGTTGGTTTCTGATTAACCCTGTTCCCGGAAGGCCTTTAAGATTTCAAGTTGTGTGAGAGCACATACTGTAAATTCTGCCCTTACGTCAAAACAGCCTTGATGTTATTGTACTTCAGTTGTCTACACATCCTGACGTGGTTTGGCTGTGTCTCCACCCAAATCTCATCTTGAATTGTAATTCCCATAATCCCCTCATGTCATGGGCGGGATCAGGTGGAGATAATTGAATCATGGGGTTGGTTTCCCCCACCCTGTTCTCGTAATAGTGAGTTTTCATGAGATCTGATGGTTTTATAAGGGGCTTCCCCCTTTGCTGGGCACTCATTCTTCTCTCCCCTGCCACCATGTGAAGAATGATGTGTTTGCTTCCCCTTCTGCCATGATTGTAAGTTTCCTGAGGCCTCCTCAGCCCTGAGGTACTGTGAGTCAATTAAATCTCTTTCCTTTATAAATTACCCAGTCCCAGGCATTCCTTTATAGCAGTGTGAGAACAGACATAATACACATCCCTTCTGAATTACATATACCCTTTCCATATGGGGGTTAATGGTGAGGGGATCCACCATCTTGTTTCACTGCTGCTGGAGACACAGGCATGGCTTTTTTCACAAGTTGCTATGAATGTTATTTCTAAGAAAAAAAATCTCAGGCTAGGATTTCTGCCCTACCTATTTCAGTATATCTTTCGAGTCTAGCACAGTGCCAGCCTGCTAGTTTCAACTCAATAACTGAATCATTGCATGAATTCTTATATTAGCTGTGATGATCAACTGTGGAGTATGAAGGCCCAATACTAATCTTGGGCTGAGTGCCTCTGCAATCTGTATGTTCAGCATATTCCAGGCCTCATCCTAAAGAATATGGCAATTCAATCTATCGTATTATAGATGTCTTTACTTGCTGTTTTGTTTGTAAATTCATTTTATGGCTACTTCTTATGTTGAATGTTATACAAAGCCTATCTTCAGTTTATCTACAGTTTATCTACTAACATTAGCTCTTTCGTTTATGGTAGTTGAAATACCTAGAATTGTAGAAATCTCTTTCAACTTTGTAAACTCATATTATTTCAGAACAAATAAAGAGGCTAGGCGCGGTGGCTCATGCCTGTAATCCCGGCACTTTGGGAGGCTGAGGCAGATGGATCACAAGGTCAAGAGATCGAGACCAGCCTGGCCAACACAGTAAAATCACGTCTCTACTAAAAATACAAAAAAAAAATTAGCCGGGCATGGTGGCACATGCCTGTAGTCCCAGTTACTTGGGAAGCTGAGGCAGGAGAATTGCATGAACCTGGGAGGTTGCAGTGAGCCGAGATTGCGCCACTGCACTCCAGCTTGGGCAACACAGTGAGACTCCATCTCAAAAAAAAAAAGCCGGGTGTGGTGATGCATGCCTGTAATCCCAGCACCTTGGGAGGCCGAGATGGGTGGTTCAGGAGGTCAGGAGTTCAAGACCAGCTTGGCCAACATAGTGAAACCCTGCCTCTACTAAAAATACAAAAATTAGCAGGACGTGGTGGCACATGCCTGTAGTCCCAGCTACTCGGGAGGCTGAGGCAGGAGAATTGCTTGAACCGGGAGGTGGAGTTGCAGTGAGCTGAGATCGCACCACTGCACTCCAGCTTGGGCAACAGAGTGAGACTTCATCTCAACAACCACAACAACAACAACAACAAAAAGAACAAATAAAGAAGCACTTGGTAGAATCCAACTGAAGAGGACCTAAGAGAGGTATTACATTTGACCATTCCATATTCTGCCTCCTCCGTCCATGAAGGGATGGGCAGTTTCTCATCTCAGATGAAAATGTTAGTCATCAACATGTTGACAAATAACACTATCATTTTGTAACTGCCCAAAAGGCTCCTTTTGTAACTGCCCAATAGGTTCCCTGCTGCCTAGACAGACCCAATTTATCAAGATAGGGGAATCTCAATAGAGAAAGAGTAATTCACATAGAGCTCCCTGTATGGGAGACTGAGTTTTATTATTATTCAAATCAGTCTCCCTGAGCATTCAGGGATCAGAGTGTTTAAGGCTGATTTGATGGATGAGGGAAGGTCAGTGAATTGAGAGTGCTGATTGGTTGGATCAGAGATGAAATCAGAGAGAGTTGAAGCTGTCCTCCTGCGCACTGAGTCAGTTCCTGGGTGGCGGCCACAAGATCAGATGACCCAGTTTTTTGATCTGAGTGGTGCCAGCTGATCTATCAAGTACAGGGTTTGCAAAATATCTCAAGCACTGATCGTAGGTTTTACAATAGTGGTGTTATCCCCAGGAACAATTCGGGGAGGATCAGAATCTTGTAGCCTCCAGCTGCATGATTTCTAAACAATAATTTCTAATCTTATGGCTAATTTGTTAGTCCTACAAAGGTAGTCTAGTCCCCAGGTAAGAAGGGTGTTTTGGGAAGAGGCTGTTATTGTCTTTGTTTTAACTATAAACTCTAAACTAAGATCCTTCCAAAGTTAGTTCAGCCTATGCCCAGGAATGAACAAGGACAGCTTGGAGTTTAGAAGCAAAATGCAGTTGGTCAGATCAGATCTCTTTCACTGTCTTGGTTATAATTTTGTAATGGTAGTTTCAATTTTAACATAAAGCATGTATGCTTGCATATGACAATGCTTTTATGTATTAATTGCCAATATTTTTGAGCATGTTTGCCAAACAGTTTTTTTTGTTTTTTGTGTTTTTGTTTTTGTTTTTGAGACAGAGTTTCACTCTTGTTGCCCAGGCTGGAGTGCAATGGCGCGATCTCGGCTCACCGCAACCTCTGCCTCCCAGGTTCAAGCGATTCTCCTGCCTCAACCTCCCGAGTAGCTAGGACTACAGGGATATGCCACCACACCCGGCTAATTTTGTATTTTTAGTAAAGATGGGGTTTCTCCGTGTTGGTCAGGCTGATCTCGAACTTCTGACCTCAAGTGATCTGCCAGCCTTGGCCTCCTAAAGTGCTGGGATTACAGGCATGAGCCACTGCGCCTGGCCATCAAACACAGTTTTAAAGTGTTTATACATCGATCCTCACAACTCTATGGAGATAGATACTATTATTATCCCCATTTTATAGACAAGGAAACTGGAGTGCATAGAAGTTAAGTAGCTGAACTGGGATTCATTTGTAGTCATTGAAATACAACTAAAAAATAAAAAAAAGAGCTGGGATTGAAACACACATAGTCTGACTCTAGAGTGTGTGCCACTAACCTATCTCTCAAATGAAGGTCCATTAGGATTGATGACAGTGTAGGACTATAGTACTGAGTCTGTTCTTCCTATAAATATGCTCAGAAGGCCCTTTCTTATAATGACAAAACTTTATTTGTACCTGTCCCATGTCTCCCTTTTCTTTCAATTGCTGAAGTACTTGAAAGAATTATGATAGATAACATTTGTATATGTGGTCCCTTATGGTTTTCACCGTGCCTCCATGTATCTTCTAATTTGTTCCTCTAACATTGTAGGGATGGAGCAGGTATCATCATCACCATTTTAAATTTACAGATGAGGAAACTAAGGTAGATCTATTTTAAGGAATGTATCCCGAGTTACATAACTGGTAAATGGTAGACTAGAACCTTGGATTCTTGATTCAAGATTTCTTGCCTCCAGTACATCACATTCGTTTCCTGTACGTACTCTTCCTTTCCTTCACTTTTTGTAATCTGTTTTTTCACTCCCAAGTCACTCAACTAAAACTCCTACAAATTTTCCAGTCGTGGGACCATTTTTATTCATTTATTCTTTTCTTTCAACTTCTCTGTTGACTATTTCCTTCCTCTTCAGAATTCTCTTCTCTTTTGACTTCTGACCCTATATTATTATTAAACTCCTTTTACTTTTTTGACCATTCCTCTTTGTCTTCCTCACCATATCCTTTTGCTCCCTTAACATGTTTTCTTCCCCAGGCCTTTGTTCTTAGCCATCTGGTTTTCCTTTGCCTACACCTGCTCCCTTAGTAAATTATCTATTTCTGCAGTTTCAACACGCAATTCTATGAAGATGACTTCCAGTTCTGTACTTCTGGTCCTAATATTCTGTACTGCCAACTTGCATTCACAGATGCCTGCATGTCTCACCAGCACCTCAACTCTAACATGTCTGCAATGGACTAAATGTGTGTGTCTCCCAAAATTTATATGTTGAAACCCTCACTCACTGTATGGTATCTGGAGGTGAGGCCTTTGAGAGATAATCAGGTCATGAGAGTGGAGCCCTCATGAATAGGATTAGTGCCCTTGTAAGAGGAGCTAGAGAGCTCTCTTTCCACCATGTGAGGATACAAGAAGACAGACAGCCATCTTCAAACCAGAAATTAGGCCCTCACAAGACACTGGATCTGTCAGCACCTTGATCATGGGCTTCCAGACATTTCTTTTCTATAAGTTTTTGGATTTTTAAAAATTCTCAGCTGAGTGTGGTGGCTCATGCCTGTAATCCCAGCACTTTGGGAGGCTGAGGCGAGTGGATCACGAGGTCAGGAGTTCAAGACTAGCCTGGCCAAGATGGTGAAACCCCGTCACTACTAAAAATACAAAAATTAGCTGCGCGTGGTGGCAGGTGCCTGTAATCCTGGCTACTCGGGAGGCTGAGGCAGAGAATTGCTTGAACCCAAGAGGCGGAGGTTGCAGAGAGCTGAGATCATGCCACTGCACTCCAGTCTGAGCGACAGAGGGAGCCTCCGTCTCAAAAAAAAAAAATTCTGTACAGTGACCATGTACTACTTTGATAATCAGAAAATTAAAAAAAGAAAAACAAACTTTTTTTTTTGCTTTGTCACCCAGGCTGGAGTGCAGTGGTCCAATCTCTGCTCATTGCAACCTCTGCCTCCTGGGCTCAAGCAATCCTCCCTCCTCAGCCTCTGGAGTAGCTGGGACTACAGGTGGGCACCACCATGCCCAGCTAACTTTTTTTAGTAAAGATGAGGTCTCACTATGTTGCCCAGGCTGGTCTTGAACTCCTGAGCTCAAGCTATCCACCTGCCTTGGCCTCCCAAAGTGTTGGGATTACAGGTGTTAGCCACTACAATTGGCCAAAAAATTTAAAAACTGCCTATAATAAAAGGTAAAAAAGAAATTGTTTCATTCACTCTTCGAGCATTTATCGAATTTACCTCCCTCATGAGGTCTTTCCAGATGTCCTCAACCAGGTTTGTGCTTGATCATATCTTTGACACAGCTTGCTAGTTTTTTTTTAAATCTCTAATTGCATTAATATGTTTTAATATGTTTTTGTTGTGTATTAAGTTTGTGTGGTTATCTTACCTATTAGTCATTTTTTGTGTGTATGAATGAGAAAATAACTTTATTTCATTTTGGGGAGCAGGCAGACATTCAGCCTCAGAACTTCTGGAATTGCTTCTTGATGTCTGCGACCTTGGTGACCTTGAGCACATTGAAGTACACCGTCTTGTTCAGGGACTGGCACTTATCCAACGTGACAATGTCGCTGATCTGGACATCCTGAAGCAGAGGAACAGGTGCATGGACAAGTTCTTGTGGTACTTCTCGAAGCAATTGTACTTGCGGATGTAGTGGAGATAGTTTCTCTGGATGACAGTGGTCCTCTGCATCTCCATCTTGGTCACCATGCCATACAGGATCTGCCCTCAGATGGAGACGTTACCAGTGAACAGGCATTCCTTGTCAATGTAGGTGCCCTCAATAGTCTCTTTGGACCTCTTGAAGCCTAGACCGATGTTCTTGTAAGTACCATAGGAGCTGCTTCTTGCCAGTTTCCTTTAGCAGTACCCTCTTCTTGCTTTGAATGATGGTCAGCTGCTTGTGGTAGGCATGCTCAGTCTCAATCCACCATCTTCTTGGCTGCCTGAGAAAAAACTAGACAATTATTATTATTATTATTATTTTGAGATGGAGTTTCGCTCTGTCACCAGGCTGGAGTGTGGTGGTGCGATCTTGGCTCACGGCAACCTCCGCCTTCTGGTTCAAGCAGTTCTCCTGCCTCGGCCTCCTGAGTAGCTGGTGCACCACCACGCCCAGCTAATTTTTGTATTTTTAATAGAGACGGAGTTTCACCATGTTGGCCAAGATGGTCTCGATCTCTTGACCTCATGGTCCACCTGTCTCGGCCTTCCAAGATGTTGAGATTACAGGTGTGAGCCACCATGCCCGGCCAAAACTAGACAATTTTTAAAGATTGAAAGTAAGTGTTATCCTGATTCTGTTTATGGCTAATAAATATTTCTCAGTAAATATTTGTGAAATGTATTGAGTTGAACCAAAAAGAACATAATTACGAGCTGATAGCTGCTGAGTTCTGTGTCAGATTCTCTGTGTGTTTCATCTCATTGTTCTTAAAGCCGAATGTCATTGTCACTAAAAGCTTATGCATAATGGGCTTCTTGGCAGAGAAAGAAGTTGGAAAACAGGTCAGGAATGCTGCCTTTATTGGTCCTATTCCAACCATTAGTTCCTCTTACAGGAAGTACATGTGCAGCAGGAAGCCTGAGAGGCAAAATAGAGCATTGGAGTATTATTCAGTGAAAGAAAACATTAATCCAAATCATTTGTCTGGTTTTTATAACAATGACATCTTTCCTTTGTATGTCATCTAATTACTAATAGTAGATTACTAATAGTAGATATTTAAATGATCAGTATCCATTAATAATAAGTATAGGGCTGGGCGCGGTGGCTCACGCCTGTAATCCTAGCACTTTGGGGGCCAAGGCAGGTGGATCACCTGAGGTGGGGAGTTCAAGACCAGCCTGACCAACATGGAGAAACCTTGTCTCTACTAAAAATACAAAAATTAGCTAGGTGTGGTGGTGCATGCTTGTAATCCCAGCTACTTGTGCGGCTGAGGTAGGAGAATTGCTTGAACCTGGGAGGCAGAGGTTGCGGTGAGCCAGAGGTTGCAGTGAGCCAAGATCGCACCATTGCACTCCAGCCTGGGCAACAAGAGCGAAACTCTGTCTCAAACAAAACAAAACAAAACAAAAACAACAACAACAAAAAACAAGCAACAACAACAACAACAAAAAAAACAACTAAGTTGAAGCACTAAGAGATTCCTAAATGAGACACCTTTAAAAAGTCAGGTTTAGGGCTGGGTGTGGCGGCTCATGCCTGTAATCCCAGCACTTTGGGAGGCTAAGGCAGGCGGATCACCTGAGGTCAGGAGTTCGAGACCAGCCTCAACATGGAGAAACCCCGTCTCTACTAAAAATACAAAATTAGCCGGGCATGGTGGTGCATGCCTGTAATCCCAGCTACTTGGGAGGCTGAGGCAGGAGAATTGCTTGAACCCGGGAGGTGGAGGTTGCAGTGAGCCGAGATTGCGCCACTGCACTCCAGCCTGGGTGATAGAGTGAAACTCCTTCTCAAGAAAAAAAAAAAAAGGTCAGGTTCTATTTATAGGCCACATATTCTAAATATCTTACTGTGTGTACTGTCTGTCTTTAGTTTCAAGTGGGGGGAATGGGAATACTTGGGATCCCTAGAAGCATTGAAGAGTACTTCTAGTTTGGAATCCTTACATGGTTCTCATGGCCTAACCTGCTGGTCTCTTCTCCACTAAAAATGTGACCCAAAAAAGGTAAAATTTGCCTTGGGTCAATCTCAGAAAGTTAGACTTGTATCCAATCAGAAGAATTTAATATTACCTTGTAGATAGGGAGCAGAACGACCACATATGTAACAGGAAATCACATACTTGTTGAACTTATTCTTTCTTTCTTTCTTTATTTTTTAAGACAGAGTCTCACTCTGTTGCCCAGGCTGGAGTGCAGTGGTGCCATCTTGGCTCACTGCAACCTCTGCCTCCCGGGTTCAAGTGATTCTTGTGCCTCAGCCTCCCAGGTAGCTGGGACTACAGGTGCCCGCCACCACGCTGGCTAATTTTTGTATTTTTTGGTAGAGATGGGGTTTCACCATGCTGTCCAGGCTGGTCTCGGACTCCTGACCTCATGTGATCCACCCACCTGGGCCTCCCAGAGTGCCGGGATTACAGGTGTGAGCCACCATGCCCAGTCAACTTGTTCTTTAGACGCTTATATAGTATTTACTCCAGTCCAGGTTCCTGTTCTAGGTACTATTGAAACTTTTTAAATCCTCGTAATAACCCTTTGGGGGTTGGTACTATTATCTCCATTTCATAGATGGGGAAACTGAGGCATAGGTCATTCAGCTACTGAATAGGAGAGCTGGAATTTGAACCCAGGTCATCTGGCTCTACAGTTCTATGCTCATAACTACTGTGCTTCGAATTATTTAAATTGACCATCCCTGTACCTAAGACCACTGTTCTGATGAAATTCAAGGAGACTGCATTTGAGGATTAGTCCAGGTAAGTAATGTCCCATTCCTTTTGATAATTTTGTCAAGAAACATCTATTAAGTGCTTGATTGCAGGAGTTCCTTTGCCAAATGTTTCTTGAGTTTGGATGAACTTACAAGATAAGGAGGGGGTACCTATCTTTGGTGCATTTGGGTTAACCATGTAAAACAGGGGTATCCAGGCTTTTGACTTCCCTGGGCCACATTGGAAGAAGAAGAATTGTCTTGGGCCACATATAAAATATACTAACACTAATGATAGCTGATGAGCTAAAAAAAAAAAAAAAAATCGCAAAAAAATCTCATAATGTTTTAAGACATTTATGAATTTGTGTTGGGCCACATTTAAAGCCTTCCTGGGCTGCAGGTGGCCTATGGGCCATGGATTGATGTAAAGCTTACCAAAAGATAAGGGAATGTGAATGCTTCATATGTCTGTAGTGCTCATAGAGTCTATAATTCATCACATTTGATCCTCACATTTTATAGATGATGAAACTGAGGCTCGGAAAGGTTGTGACTTTCCAAAAGTCTGATAGATAACAGAGTTAGTGCCCTTATCTAGTTCTCCTGACTCCAAATCTAGTGATCTTTCCTATATATTTAAATCCATTTCCTGCAATAGAAATTTTGCTGTTACCTTGGCAACACTGCTGTACAGTGCCTGGAAACCATTGTATTGCCTTCTCTGTGTGCCACGAAGTTAAAAGTTTAACTGAAGTCACCTTGATCACCAATCTCCCAGTCAAATTCCCTTCTTTCTGTGCTTCATTTTATTTATTTATTTATTTTTTAATTTTAGATACAGAGTCTTGCTCTGTTGCCCAGGCCAGAGTGGAGTAGGGCAATCTCAGCTCACTGCAACCTCCACCTCCCGGGTTCAAGCAATTCTCCTGCCTCAGCCTCCCGAGTAGCCAGGATTACAGGCATGTGTTACCACACCCAACTAATTTTTTGTAATTTTAGTAGAGATGGGGTTTCACCATGTTGGCCAGGTTGGTCTCAAACTCCTGACCTCAACTGATCTACCCGCCTCGGCCTCCCAAAGTGCTGGGATTACAGGCATGAGCCACCACACCCAGCCTGTGCTTCATTTTAATGTTTGCTAAGCTTAGTGCACTTGTCACCAAAAGCTTATTCAAGATGGGCTTCTTGGCAGATATATCAAGTATGCTGTCTTTTTTGGTCCTGGTCCAGTCATTCTGTTTCTCTTAGTCCTGGGAAGTAGGTATGAAGTAGGAAGCCTGAGAGACACAAAATAGTAGACTAAGATAAGGCCTTTCCCTTATGTGGGCCTCACTTTCCACCTCTGATATTGTAGTCATTCATCTTTCAACTGCTTTTGTGAGGTGTGGCTATTCAGCAGAGGTGAAGCGCCTTTGCCTTTCTGTTAGTTTGAAGCAACAAACTCTATTTAGAGTGGTTTAGATAATGAGTAGTCTTTATTTTGGAGGAAATAGCCATGCGGCATCTTTTATCAATAAAGGTTGCTACGGATGGTGTAGTTCATTCATTTTTCATCCATTTATGAAGTTAGGAAGGCTCAGATGTGTGATGAGATCCTAAGAAAACTTTAACTACTAGGTCATTTAAGATTTTGCCAGCAGGTGGCACTTCTCTTTACTCACTTGAGTTCCTTAACATGATCTTAGACTTAAGTCTAGCCAGACCCTTACATGGCGGTGGTTCATGCCTGTATTCCCAGCACTTTGGGAGGTCAAGGCAGGCAGATCAGTTGAAGTCAGGAGACAAGCCATGGCCAAGATGGTGAAATCCTGTCTCTACTAAAAATACACACAGAAAAAAAATTAGCCAGGCATGGTGGTGTACACCTGTAGTCCAAGCTACTTGGGAGGCTGTGGCAGGAGAATGGCTTGAACCCAGGAGGCAGAGGCTGCAGTGAGCCGATATCATGCCACTGCACTCCAGCCTGGGTGACAGAGGGAGACTCTGTCTCAAAAAAAAAAAAAAAAAAAAAGTTTAGCCAGACCAAAACATTTCTCTTTCCCTTTGTACTAGTGTAGTCTACAATATCTGTTTATGGATTGTAATATATTTATACCTTCTTTCCACAAGGGATTTGAAGTTGCTTATAACATACAGTATACAATAATAAAATATGTAGAAAGGGAGAATATAAAGAATATATCAAATTTGATTCAGGGTTGCTGGCAGCCACAGCAATGAACGATATGGTTTCATTATCAGGTTTTTGGGTCAATGGGGAGGGGAAGAGAATAACTTTTCTAGGATTCGAAATAAAAAATGGAACTTCTGACTTAGAGCATTTCTGTTGTGCCCTTCTCATTTCTCTAACCTAATTAGTAAGTTATTCTTGGCCTGTAAAAACTAAGGAATACTTACTCCTCTGCAGCCTCAGGGTATGTAATCCGCATTCTTCAGTCTATCAGCTTCAACTTTTCAAGATGCCAGCATCACCCATTCATTCTTCCTGCATAGATTGTCCTGGGCATTGGAAACAAAACCATATGCCTTAGGTTGGTTTGGGTGTGCTCACATCAATTCATGTGAAGAATCCCTTTCTCAAAGGCTGGGCGAGGTGACTTAACGCCTGTAATCCCAGCACTTTGGGAGGCCGAGGCGGGCGGATTACCTGAGGTCGGGAGTTGGAGATCAGCTTGACCAACATGGAGAAACCCCGTTTTTACTAAAATATACAAAATTAGCTGGGCGTGGTGGCGCATGCCTGTAATTCCAGCTACTCAGGAGGCTGAGGTAGGAGAATCGCTTGAACCCGGGAGGGGGAGGTTGCGGTGAGCCGAGATGGCGCCATTGCACTCCAGCCTGGGCAACAAGAGCAAAGCTGCGTCTCAAAAAAAAAAAGAGAAAAGAAAAAAAAAATCCCTTTCTCACTGGTTGGAGAAAGAAGACCTATGTTTACACTCCGACAATATCAGAAAGCTGTGCCAGGCCATGTTATAACCAAAAGCTAAATCTGTGTGATTGGGTTTAATAGGTTTCTAGGGTTGTTAAAAATAAATCGGTAAATTAAACTCTTTCAAGTTTCTAACAGGAAACCAGATTGAAGCTGGCTTCCATTACCAATAAAGTTTGTATTGGATGGTGTGATCCGCAACAGAGTACGCAGTGGTGGGGACTGGCATTAGGGGTGGGCGGGAGAGACCCTAAAAATCCACCGCCCTTCGGCCGCAGGGGACTTCACGGTGATGAGCCCGAGGTGCCCATCAACTCGGGCCTGAAGGACCAGCGTCTTGCCCCGCCCATCGCCGTCTGAGGTTAGGACAAAGATCGAGAGGCTGGACAGGGCTGGGGAGGGCGCTCCAGGGAAGCCGACCTAGCGTCGATTCCTGCAGTTGCGGCCCGGGTCCCCGCGCCTGGAGAGGAGGCGACGCGTGGCCGGCGGCTTTGTGGCGCGCGGGTTCCAGCGCGGGGGCGGGGAGAGGGCGAGCTGAGGGCCTCGAGTCCCAGCACTCCGCCACGCTGCGGGCGCCGGGCATGGCCAGCCCCTTGCCGTCCGGCTTCCCCGCGCGCAGGAACAGCCGCCTGGATGTGTTCCTGCGGCGGCATCTGCCGCCCGAGGTCTACGACGCGGTCCGCGCCTACGAGCCATGCATCGTGGTGTCCAACTCTGAGAACCACATCCTCAAGTATGTGGTGCTAAGCGACCGGCTCGTCTACCTAACCGAGAACCCGCCCAAGTCCATCCGGCGGGTAGTGGCTCTGCGGGACGTCGTGGCCATTGACCTGGTGAGCGGCGCGGGTGGGCAGGCGGGCTCGGGAGCGCAGTGAGAACTCCCGGCTGGGGCCCCCAAACCCAGCCCTCCTGCGCGGGGAGGGCTGCCCCATCCTGCCCTCGACTCCCCTCCTCTTATTTGAGAACGAGGAACACAGGGAAGCTGTGGATTGCTGTGAGCACTCCTAATACAAACACGTCTCCCATTCTCCTCGTGTCTGCCTGTTCACCCATTCTCCCGCCTCCCCTACCCCACGTAGGGCTACAGGTTTGAGAACCGAGCTCCCTATCAAAAATACCTTTTAAAGTCATTCCTTTGTTAACAAAGCACCTAGTCAGTGCCAGGCACTGTGCTAGACTCGGAGGATGCAAAAACGAAAGAGGGCCCCTACCTAGAAGCAGTCGCTGGAGGGCTAGAAAGCCAACACCCGTGCAAATAAATGCTGTGTGTTAAGTGCTGTTATATCTCATTTACTTTTTTGCCCCCGATGCTTAGAGCATGTTAGATGCTCAATAAGAATAAATGCATAAGGCCGGGTGCCGTGGATCACGCCTATAATCCTTACACTTTGGGAGGCCAAGGTGGATAGATCACCGGGGGTCAGGGGTTCGAGACCAGGCTGGCCAACATGGTGAAACGCCGTCTCCACCAAAAGTACAAAAATTACCCAGGCGTGGTCGTGTGCACCTGTAATCCCAACTACTTGGGAGGCTGAGGCACAAGAATCGCTTGAACCTGGGAGGCGGAGGTTGCCGTGAGCCGAGATCGCCCCACCTGCACTCCAGCCTGAGCTACAGAATGAGTGAGACACCGTTCCCCTCCACCCCCTCCCCAGCAAAAGAATAAATGCATGAATAAGCAGATGCGTTAATGAGATGCGCACAGGACGCTTGGCAATCTCAGGCGGCTCACTTGATCCAAACTGGGCGCAGGGCCTGCTGGGAAACGTCTTGGAAGGAGGGGCGTCGACGCTAGGAGCTGGGCTTGAAAGACGTCGGGCCTGCCACAGCCTGTCGCCGGTTTTCGGGTGCTGTTCCTGTACCCCTTTCGTCCAGGAATAGATTTACCTTGTAAACCAGCAACAGACTGGAAGCACGGTCTCCTCTCCAATTACTGTTTTCCCCGCCTGGCTCCCTTTGTCTGAGCTGCTCTCCAGGTGTGTTCTTGGTTTTTCCGTTGGGGACAGGTGTCTAGCCTCGTTTTTTCATTCCCTTGACTGAGCCCCAAGGGAGAGGTTGGCGAGACGCTTGATGGAGCTGTTTTGCTGAGGAGTCATGGCTTGTTTTGAACGAGTCTGTAAGAAAAGAATAAAATTAAATGAAAAAAAAAGATTTTTTTTCTACTCGGAATACCTTTGTGAACTAATGTAACTGTGCCAATTTATTTTCTTTGTTGAGGAAAAGTTCGGGATACAACATTGCTTTTCCTCACTACCATTGTTTCCATTCTCTTGAACTAAAACAATTTTTTTGGAGACAGTCTCACTCTGTCATCCAGGCTGGAGTGCAGTGGCACCATCACGGCTCACTGCCGCCTCAGCCTCCAGGGCTCAAGCGATCCTCCCACATCAGCCTCCCAAGTAGCTGGGACTACAGGCTCATGCCATCACAGCTGGCTAATTAAAAATTTTTTTTTGTAGAGACAGGATCTTGCAGTGTTGCCCAAGCTAGTCTCAAACTCCTGGGCTCAAGTGATCCACTACAGACAAGAGCCACAGCACCTGGCCTTGAACTAAATTTTTTTTTAATTTAAATTTCCTTTACTAAGTGTTTTTTAAAACTTTAGACTGGGTAAGGTGGCTCATGCCTGTAATCCCAGCATTTTGGGAGGCCAACGCAGGGGAATCACATGAGCCTAGGAGTTGGAGACTTAGGTAACCTAGCAAGACACCGTCTCTACAAAAATAAAAATAAATAGCTGTGTATGGTGGTGCATGCCGGTGGTACAAGCTACTTCATAGGCTGAAGTGGGAGGATACTTTGAGTTAAGGAGTTCGAGGCTGCAGTAAGCCATGATCTCACCACTGCACTTCAGCCTGGGTGACACAGCTAGACTGTCTCTAAACAAACAAACAAAACACTTTAAAAGGGGCCAGGCATGGTGGCTCACGCCTGTAATCCCAGCACTTTGGGAGGCTGAGGCAGGTGGATCACCTGAGGTCAGGAGTTCGAGACCAGCCTGGGCCAATGCGCCACTGGGTGTGGTGGCGCATGCCTGTTATCTCAGCTGCTCAGGAGGCTGAGGCAGGAGGATCACTTGAGCCAGGGAGACAGAGGTTGCAGTGAGCTGAGATGGCGCCGTTGCACTCCAGACTGGGCAACAGGAGCAAAACTCTGTCTCAAAAACAAAAAACTTTGAACGCTCAGCTTTTTCTATTGTCTCCAGTGTAAACATTTATTGTTTTGACACAAAAGTAATGATTTTAGGATATTGTTACTCTCCTCCAAAAGAGACATTTATTTATGTCAATAGTGTTATATATCTCTTG
The DNA here is from genome assembly GCF_000001405.40 of Homo sapiens. Classification (NCBI taxonomy): domain Eukaryota; kingdom Metazoa; phylum Chordata; class Mammalia; order Primates; family Hominidae; genus Homo; species Homo sapiens. Next base: position 64,387,838 of record NC_000012.12, on the reverse strand, counting down.
TTTTTTTGTTTTGTTTTGTTTTGTTTGGAGACAGGGCCTTGCTCTGTTGCCCAGGCTGGAGTGCAGTGGCCCGATCTCAGTTCACTGCAACCTCTGCCTCCCTGGCTCAAGTGATTCTCCCACCTCACCCTTCTGAGTAGCTGGGACTACAGGCACGTGCCACCATGCCTGGCTAGTTTTCGTATTTTTTGTAGAGACAGGGTTTTGCCATGTTGCCCAGGCTGCTGGGCTTAAACGATCCACCCACCTTGGCCTCCCAAAGTGTTGGCATTACATTACAAGCATGAGCCACTGTGCCTGGCTTGTTTTTTTGTTTTGTTTTTTTTTACCTGTGAGAATCTAAAAAGTACTGTAAAGCTCCTTTGGCCCTGAGCCAAGAATCCTACAAAAAAGGATACCAATTTATTTATTCATGCTTTCTGGACAAGGTTTACCTTTCAGGCATAAAGAATGTGTAATGGCTATAAATGTACTGAACAAATCTAAGTTTTCAACATTGTTGGTAGCTTGAATGTCCATCTTGCACAATATAGTTCAACTTTGGAAGTTGCGATAGGCAGAATAATTAAGCCCCAAAGATAAGCACACGCTAAATCCCTGGAACCTGTGAATATGTTACATGGAAAAGGAGAATTAAGGTTGCAGATGGAATTAAAGTTGCTAATCATTTGTCCTTGAAATAGGGAAATTAATCTGGAGTATCTGGGTGGGCTCAATGTGAACACATCTTTTTTTTTTTTTTTTTTTTTTTTTTTTTTTTTGAGATAGAGTCTCGCTCTGTTACCCAGGCTGGAGTGCAGTGGTGCAATCTTGGCTTGCTGAACCTCTGCCTCCTGGGTTCAAGCAATTCTCCCACCTCAGCCTCCTAAGTAGCTGGGACTACAGGCACGCACCACCATGCCCGGCTAATTTTTGTAGTTTTAGTAGAGACAGGGTGTCGCCATGTTGGTCAGGCTGGTCTCAAACTCCTGACCACCTGGCCTCTTACACTTTTAAAGATGTGTTTATGGCTGGGCGCAGTGGGTCACACCTGTAATCCCAGCACTTTGAGAGGCCCAGGCGGGCAGATCACCTGAGGTCAGGAGTTTGAGATCAGCCTGGCCAACGTGGTGAAGACCCATCTCTACTAAAAATATAAAAATTGGCCAGGTACGGTGGCTCACTCCTGTAATCCCAGCACTTTGGGAAGCCGAGATGGGCGGATCACCTGAGGTTGGGAGTTTGAGACCAGCCTGACCAACATGGAGACACCCCGTCTCTACTAAAAATACAAAATCAGCCAAGCGTGGTGGCACATGCCTATAACGCCAGCTACTTGGGAGGCTGAGGCAGGAGAATAGCTTGAACCCGGGAGGCGGAGGTTGCGGTGAGCCAAGATTGCGCCATTGCACTCCAGCCTGTGCAACAAGAGTGGAACTCCGTCTCAAAAAAAAAAAAAAATATATATATATATAAAAATTAGCCAGCAGTGGTAGCACACACCTGTAAGCCCAGCTACTCAGGAGGCTGAGGTGGGAGAATCGCTTGAACCCGGGAGGCGGAAGTTGCAGTGAGCCAAGATTGCGCCATTGCACTCCAGCCTGGGCAACAGAGTGAGACTCTGTCTCAAAAAAATAAAAATTAAAAATTACAAAAAAGGTGGAAGAGAGGGGCAGAAGAAGAGTCGGTGGCCAACTGATGCAGCATGAGAAAGACTCGACTAGTCATTGCTAGTTTTGAAGGTGGAAGAAGGCCTTAGCCAAGGAATGTAGGGGGCCTGGAGAAGCTAGAAAAGGCAAGGAAATGGATTTTCCCCTAAAGCTTCCAGAAGGTCCTGCCAACACATTAATTTAATTTATTTATAGAGATGGGGTCTTGCCATGTTTCCCAGGCTGGTCTCAAACTCCTGTCCTCAAATGATCCTCCCACCTCGGGAGGATTCTAAAGTTGTAACTGCCCAATGGATTCACCTTGCCTGCTGCCTAGACAGAGCCAGTTTATCAAGACAGGGGAATCACAATAGAGAAAGAGTAATTTATGCAGAGCAGGCTGTGCAGGAGACTGGAGTTTTATTATTACTCAGATCAGGCTCCCCGAGCATTCAGGGATCAGAGTTTTTAAGGACAACTTGTAGGTGGGGGGAAGCCAGGGAGTCAGGAGTGGTGACTGGTTAGGCAGGAGATGAAATCATAGGGTATGGAAGCTGTCCTCTTGTACTGAGTCAGTTCCTGGGTGGGGGCCACAAGATCAGATGAGCCAGTTAATCGATCTGGGTGGTGCCAGCTGATTCATCAGGTTCAGGATCTGCAAAATATCTCAAGCACTGATCTTAGGAACAAATAAAGTCCTTTATGCCTCTGAGCCCCAGCTCTCCTTGTTCCATGTTAGGCCAGATTAACTCTAGTTCCTGACATATGTCACATTTATCTCAGGGGAAAAAAAGCCCTTACAAATAATACAGATAAAATTCTATTCCCTTCACAAAGGAAAAAAAATTAAAGGTAACAGCAACAAAATTTAGACAGTTAGACCAGAGTCTACACATGTTTGTTTTGAAGAAGGGTACAAGTGAGATTTCCCTTCCAGCAAAAATGAGCTTAAAGTGCACTTCACGATCTCAGTATGTGTTTGATGTGGTTCATTTTCTCAAAGAAAGGGTTTCCAAGTTACTTGGGCGGATATTTTATAAAAGGCTGACATTTCCTTAAAAGTTACTTTTGAAAGAGTTCTCTAGAGTTCTGCTCTTGGGTGCATCAAAATACCACTTAAGCCCTTCTAAGGTTAGACACTTTTTTTTTTTTTTTTTGAGCAGGAGTCTCGCTCTGTTGCCCAGGCTGGAGTGCGGTGGCAAGACCTGGGCTCACTGCAACTTCCACCTCCTGAGTTCAAGTGATTCTCTTGCCTCAGCCTCTCGGGTAGCTGGGATTACAGGCTCGCACCACCACACCCGGTTAATTTTTGTGTTTTTAGTAGAGACGGGGTTTCACCATGTTGGCCAGGCCAGTCTCGAAATCCTAACCTGAGGCGATCTGCCCACCTCGGCCTCCCAAAGTGCTGGGATTACAGGCATGAGCCACCGTGCCCAGCTGGTTACATTTTTAAGTGTGAGAACAAATACGCAGAGCAGTCTATGAATTTCCTACAGATCACTGTCCTTCAAATCCATCTCATCACCTACGGGAAAGAAAATCTGTCAACTCCAGCAGCCCTTGCCTCTCTTTCTCCTAGTCCTTTCACCCCTTTTGTGAATATCTGCTCTCTAGGTATCCTGGGCTCCATGAGGCCTCTTGAACTAGAACAAATGCACCTTTTACAGCCTGGCCTGCTTGCTTGCCATGAACAGTTTGTCCTCCTTCAAGGTGGTTGAAATAATCACATTTTTAATCACTAGTTTTATCCTTGGTGACATTATTGAACACCTACTACTTGCTATGCAGTCTAAAAAAGAATAATACATTCCTTTTCTAAAGGAGACAGTCACTGGAACATAATAGTTCAAAACAGTAGAATTTCCAATAGAGGTATTCCTAGGATGCTATGATACCACAAAATACTGTCTTCTGATTTTGCATGGAAAGAGGAAGGGGAGGTAAACAGAATAGATTAAGGAGGTGGAATAGCGTAAGTACCTAAGATCACAGGCTTTGAAGTCAGATTGCTTGTCTTCAAATCCGAGTCCTGCCACAACCTTAAAAAAAACTGCTTAGCTTCTCTCTGCCTCAGTTCCTTCATCTATGAAATGGAGAAAATAATAAGAACTACCTCTTAAGGTTGTTATGAAGATCAGTTGAGATCATTCATGTGATACATTTAGCACAGTGAATAGGTCAGAACAAGCAATCAATGCTAGTTGTTATTACTTTGCAGAAATATGAAGGACTCTTGAAGGATGAATGCTATTTTTCCAGGCATGCATTGTGAACCTATGTCTATTACAGCAGTTAGCTCACAGCCTTATACTTAGCTGGATTCATTTTTGTCTCCACACAATATCTTAGTCATCTTTGTAAACCAGGCCTGGCAAATATCAGTTCAATGTGTACTGGTTGAATGGGTAAACGTATAACAAAGGACAAAGCTCATATTTGGTTGATTTATAGTTGTGGACTTCTTTTTTTAATCATTTTTTTTTTACATTGTATCAGCACATTTACCTATATTATGAAGGGGGGAAGGGAAATATTGGGCCCAGCGTGGTGGCTCATGCCTGTAATCCCAGCACTTGGGGAGGCTGAGGTGGGCGGATCATGAGGTCAGGAGTTTAAGACCAGCCTGGCCAACATGGTGAAACCCCGTTTCTATGACAAATACAAAAATTAGCTGGATGTGGTGGCACGCGTCTGTAGTCCCAGCTACTCGGAGGGCTGAGACAGGAGAATTGCTTGAACCCGGGAGGTGGAGGTTGCAGTGAGCCAAGATCGCGCCACTGCACTCCAGCCTGGGCAACAAACAAGACTCTGTCTCAAAAAAAAATTGGTTCTCTCATTTGTAATCAGGAAAATCCAATTAAACAAAAGAGGTACTATTTGGTTTTTCTTGGTTTTTTTTTTTTTGAGACTTTGTTGCCCAGGCTGGATTGCACTGGTGACACCTCTGCTCACTGCAACCTAGACCTCCCAGGCTCAAGTGATCCTCCCACCTCAGCCTCCTTAGTAGCTGGGATTACAGGCACACTCCACCATGCTCGGCTATTTTTTGTAATTTTTGTAGAGACAGAGTTTTGCTATGTTTCCCAGGCTGGTCTCAAACTCCTGGACTCCAGTGATCTGCCTGCCTCAGCCTCCCAAAGTGCTGGGATTACAGGTGTGAGCCACTGCGCCCGGCCAGAGATCAAAGTTTCAAAGTTTAACTATAAACTAGGCTCCTCCCAAAATTAGTTTCATGGATGCCCAGGAATGAACAAGGATTGCTTGGAAGTTAGAAGCCAGATGGAGTTGGTTAGGTCGGATCTCTTTCACTCTTTCAGTTATAATTTTTTTTTTTTTTTTTGAAACGGAGTCTCACTCTGTCACCCAGGCTGGAGTGCAGTGGCACGGTCTTGGCTAACTGCACTCCGCCTCCCGGGTTCACACCATTCGCCTGCCCCAGCCTCCTGAGTAGCTAGGACTACAGGCACCCGCCACCATGCCCAGCTAATTTTTGTATTTTTAGTAGAGATGGGGTTTCACCATGTTAGCCAGGATGGTTTCGATCTCCTGACCTTGTGATCCACCCACCTCGGCCTCCTGAAGTGCTGGGATTACAGGTGTGAGCCACCGTGCCCAGCCATCAGTTATAATTTTATAAGGGCAGTTTTACTTATAGAGTTGTTGGCTTAAACTGATTAATAAATTAAATATACTTAAAAGAGTGCTTAGAACATGGTAAGAACTATATATGCATTAGTTATTATTAATAACCTTTATTCACATATATTAAGTCTATTAAGGCACACTATGAATCTGTAAGATTGATATCGTCCCTTTTTCAAATTAGGTCACCTGGCTTTAGGAAATTTAGCAAATTTGGAAAGAAAATAATTGTTTTTTTGAGTACTGATTATGTATTAGGTGTTTTAAAATGTCATCTCATTTATTCTTTTTTTTTTTTTTTTTTTTGAGACAAGAGTCTCGTTCTGTGGCCCAGGCTGGAGTGCAGTGGTGCAATCTCGGCTCACTATAAACTCCGCCTCCTGGTTCAAGCGATTCTTGTGCCTCAGCCTCCCAAGTAGCTGAGGTTACAGGGGCACACCACCATGCCTGGCTAATTTTTGTATTTTTTAGTAGAGATGGGGTTTCACCATGTTGGCCAGGCTGGTCTTGAACTCCTGACCTCAGGTGATCCACCCACCTTGACCTCCCAAAGTGCTGGGATTACAGGCGTGAGCCACCGCGCCCTGCTGAGTTTATTCTTCCTAAAAATTCTGCCTGGTAGGTATATCAAGTTCAATGTGTTCAAAAACACAATTGCTCATTTCCACCCCCAAATCCATTCCTCCTTGGTTTTCCCTATTTTACCAAATGACGTCATCTTCCATCATCCTTGATTCAGTCTTTAACTTGCCAGATCCAACTCGTCAGTTGGTTCTTTTGACTTGTTTTCCAAAATATATTCATGAACTTTCTGACCCTATTTTCTGTTGCCCCCTGTCCAGTTTCTTAACTAGACTTTTGAAATTGCCTCCAAACTCATTCCTTCCCATATAGCAGTTGGTGGAACTACCATTGCAAAATTATAACTGAGACAGTGAAAGAGATCTGACCTAACCGACTCCATTTTGCTTCTAACCTCCAAGCTATCCTAGTTCATTTCTGGGCATAGGCTGAACTAACTTTTGGAGGAACTTAGTTTATAGTTTATAGTTTAAAACAAAGATAATAACAGCCCTTTCCCAAAACAAACATGCTTCTTGCCTAAGAACTAGACTGCCATTGTAGGACTAACAAATTAGCCACAAGATTAGAAATTATGGTTTAGGAGACATGCAGCTGGAGGCTACAAGATTCTGACTCTCCTCAAATTGCTCCAGGAGATAACATCACTACTGTAAAATCTAAGATCAGTGCTTGAGATATTTTGCAGACTCTGCACTTGATGAATTGGCTGGCACCACGCAGACAGGATAAACTGAGTTGTCTGATCTTATTGCCCCCACCCAGGAACTGACTCAGGGTAAAAGAACAGCTTTGGCTCCCTATGATTTCATCTCTGACCCAACCAATCAACACTCCTGACTCACTGCCCCCACCCAAAATTATCCTTAAAAACTCTAATCCCCGAATTCTCAGGGAGACTATTTTGAGTAATAATAAAACTCTAGTCTCCCATACAGCTGGCCCTGCATGAATTACTCTTTCTCTATTGCAATTCCCCTGTCTTGATAAATTGGCCTTGTCTAGGCAGCAGGCAACATGAACCTGTTGGGTGGTTACATTGTGGTTATCTTTGAAACATATATCATAAATTAAATTATAACATGCTTCTGATTCAAAATCTCCATGAGCCTCCAAACTCCTTATTGCTTACAAAAGCCTGCATGATTTAACCCTGCTGTCTCTTTGACTCATCTCCTACCACTCTTCCCCACGTTCTTTATGCCCTTCTATACCTCAGGACCTTTGTACTTGCCTTTCTACCTAGAACACTCGAGATCCTTAGGGGTTGGTTCTTTTGTGTAAGTCATATTTCAGCCCAAACTCAGCATCACTTCCACGAGGATGCCTCTCTGACCACTCAAACTAAAAGTACCATTCCCCCATCACACTTACCCATCTGTTTGTTTCAAAGTAGTTATCACTATTTGCATTTTATAAGATTAACTTGTTTAACAATTTGCTGTTCTCTATCTCCCATGGTAAATGTAAGCTGCTACATGGGAGTAGGACCTTGCCTCTCTTGTTCATCTCTGTGTCACTGTGCCTCACATTCCCTGACACTTAGTAGACGGTCAATAACTATTTGCTGATTAGAAGAATGAATGAGTTAATTAATTAATGCTCAGATCTATCATATAGCTTATCTCTTAGAGAAGGAGTTGATATTTCCTTATATCCAAGTGTTGAGGGATCCCAGAAATTGACAGGTTATCACACTGGCCGTTACTCAGGCAGTGGGTGGCAGAGCCTGGATAAAATCTTATAGGTCTCATGATGCTCATGTTTAGCTCTCTACACGCTTCTTTGTGCATATTGTGAGATGATCCCTGTGTTGTTTAGCTGCATTGTGCGTTTTTTTTTGTTTGTTTTGTTTTTTTTTTTTTTTTTTTTTTTTTTTTTTGCGACGGAGTCTTGCTCTGTCGCCCAGGCTGGAGTGCAGTGGCACGATCTCGGCTCACTGCAAGCTCCGCCTCCCGGGTTCACGCCATTCTCCTGCCTCAGCCTCCGGAGTAGCTGGGACTACAGGCGTCCGTCCGCCATCACGCCCGGAGACTTTTTTTTTTTTTTTTTTTTTTTTGTATTTTTAGTGGAGACGGGGTTTCACCGTGTTAGCCAGGATGGTCTGGATCTCCTGACCTTGTGATCCGCCCACCTCGGCCTCCCAAAGTGTTGGGATTACAGGCGTGAGCCACTGCGCCCGGCTTATATCGTGCGTTTTGACAGGTATTAAGAGTTACGTAAGCTGAGGCCATATTATAGATGCTTCTTTTCTTTTCCAGCTTTCTTCTTTATTTTGACTACTTTATAGCATTTTAAGGCTCTCACTGTGGGAGACAGCAGGAAGTGGTAAACTCACATCAGTCAATTTGTCTTTTTCTAAATTATTTGTTTGAATAGAATAGTATGAAAATTGCATTCAGGCTGGGCGCGGTGGCTCACACCTGTAATCCCAGCACTTTGGGAGGCCGAGGTGGGCGGATCACAAGGTCAGGAGATTGAGACCATCCTGGATAACACCGTGAAATCCCGTCTCTACTAAAAAAATACAAAAAAATAGCCGGGCATGGTGGCGGGCACCTGTGGTCCCAGCTACGCAGGAGGCTGAGGCAGGAGAATGGCGTGAACCCGAGAGGCGGAGCTTGCAGTGAGCAGAGATGCGCCACTGCACTCCAGCCTGGGAGACAGAGCGAGACTCCGTCTCAAAAAAAAAAAAAAATGAAATTGCATTCAAGTCTTAAGAAGCTTCATGAAGGCAGGCATCTTGTCAATTTGATTCACTACTATATTCCCAGTGATTGTAAGGACAGTGTATTGGTCAGATTAAGCTGCACTAACAAATAGCCCCAAAGTCTCAATGCTTCAACACAACAGAGGTTTAGGTCTGATTCAGGATTCAAGCTACTTATTTATCACAGATTAGCAAGGGGTTCTGTTCACTTTTTTTTTTTTTTTTGAGACAGGGTTTCATTCCTGTCACCCAGGCTGGAGTGCAGTGGCATAATCTTGGCTTACTGCAACCTCTGCCTCCTGGGTTCAAGTGATTCTCCTGCCTCAGCCTCCTGAGTAGCTGGGACTACAGGCACGCACCACCACACCCGGCTAATGTTTGTATTTTTAACTGAGACGGGATTTCACTATGGTGGCCAGACTGGTCTCAAACTCCTGGCCTCAAGTGATCCACCTGCCTCAGCCTCCCAAAGTGCTGGGATTACAGGCGTGAGCCACCATGCCCAGCCAGGTTCTGTTCATTTTTAAAAGTCCCAATATATGGGCTGGGTGTGGTGGCCCACGCCTGTAATCACAGCAATTTGGGAGGCCAAGGTGGGCAGATCATTTGAGGCCAGGAGTTTGAGACTAGCCTGGCCAACATGGTGAAACCCTGTCTCTACTAAAAGATACAAAAATTAGCTGGGTGTCTTGGCACATGCCTGTAGTCCCAGTTACTTGGGAGGCTGAGGCATGAGAATCTCTTGAACCTGGGAGGCAGAGGTTGCAGTGAGCTGAGATTGTGCCACTGTACTCCAGCTTGGGAGACAGTAGGACTCCATCTCAAAAAAAAAAAAAGTCCCAAGATATGGGATACTTAGTCACACATCTTAGTATAAGAGGTTTCATCTCATCCATCTCAGCACATGTTTGCTTATTCACCATGACAGGGAGAAATTAACTTAGTAAATTTATGTACCGGTTTTTAAGCTTCTACCTAGAACTGATACATGCCACTTTTCACATTTTATTAGCCAGAGTCAGGCACATTGCCATGCCTAACTTAAAAGGGGACAGGAAAATGTGATCCAACCATGTGTGCATTCCACATGTCTGGAAGAAAGGAAAACAGTAATATTTGTGAGCAGTACTTAATGACCATCTCAAATAGTTGACATTTATTGAGTGCTTACTGTATGCCAGTTAGATGCTGTTCTAAGTGCTTAGCTTGGAACTTCATCCTCATAACAACTCAGATAATATTCTTAGCTCAGTTTTACAGACAAGAAACCTGAATTACAGAGAATTTAAGCAATTTGCCCAAGGTTGTCCATTAAGTGGCAGAACCAGAATTTGAATTTAGATCATCTGGCTCCAGAGTCAGTGCTCTAATCTCTAGGCTACAGCTCCTTTGGTACCTAGTAGATCATAAAAAAAAATTTTTTTTGGTTGCCTGAATTCCCGCAAGACTTTAAGCCTTTTGAAAACAGAAACCCATCTTACATTTTGTATGTTTCAGTTTTGGCCTTTGTAGTAAGAGCTCAAAAATACTTATGGTGAATTGAACTGAACAAATCAGAAACTAGATAATCAACTGCTGAAAGCTTAGGGGTCTTTTTTTCTCTGAAATTAAAAGCTGATAAAAGAAATATGAATCAAGGCTATGAAAGCAAGAATAACGGATAAGATAAATATAGATTTATTCACAAAATATGGGAAACCAAGAAATAAGAGGTACTCCTTTGCATTTTGAAAGTAACATTTTAAAATTTACAAAGAAATCACAAACATATTAAAAAGTGGGCCAAGAGGCCAGGTGCAGTGGCTCACGCCTGTAATCCTAGCACTTTGAGAGACTGAGGTGGGCAGATCACTTGAGGTCAGGAGTTCCAGACCAGCCTGGCCAATATGATGAAACCCCGCCTCTACTAAAAATAAAAAAATTAGCTGGGGGTGGTGCACTTGCCTGTAATCCCAGCTCCTCAGGAGGCTGAGGCTGAGAATCGTTTGAATCCAGGAGGTGGAGGTTGCAGTGAGCCGAGATCACACCACTGCACTCCAGCCTGGGCAACATAGCGAGACTCCTCAAAAAAAAAAAAAAAAAAGTGGGCAAAGGACATGAACAGATACTTCTCAAAAGAAGATATACATGTGGCCAACAAATATGTGAAAAAAGTTCAACATCACCAATCACTACAGAATGCAAATCCAAACGAAAGTGAGATACTATCTCACACCAGTTAGAATGGTGATTATTAAAAAGTCAAAAACAACAGATGCTGGTGAGATTGTGGAGAAAAAGGAACCCTTTTACAATGTTGGTGGTAGTGTAAATTAATTGAATCATTGTGGAAGACAGTGTGGCAATTCCTCAAAGACCTAGAGGCAGAACTACCTGGCCGCTGCACTCCAGCCAGGACAACAGAGCAAGACTCCATCTAAAGAAAAAAAAAAGAAAATGTGGTACATATACACCATGGAATACTATGCAAGCATCAAAAGGAATGAGATCATGTCCTTTGCAGAGACATGGATGGAGCTGGAAGCCATTATCCTCAGCAAATTAATGCAGGAACAGAAAACTAAATACCACATGTTCTCACTTATAAGTGGGAGCTAAATGATGAGAACACATGGACACATAGTGGGGAATGACAGACACTGGGGCCTGTCAGAGGGTGGGGGTGGGAGAAGGGAGAAGGGAGAGGATCAGGAAGAATAGCTAGTGGATGCTGGGCTTAACACCTGGGTGATGGAATGATCTGTGCAGCAAGTCACCATGGCACGGATTTATCTATGTATTAGATTGGTACAAAAGTAATTGCTGTTTCGGACCGTGGATTTTAAATCATTATAACTAGGCTCAAACACATCTTTATTCATTAAGATAGTAACCATTACAATCAATACATTTTTGCCAACAAGAAATAAGTTTGTTAATTCCTATAGCTTAAAAATCCATGCTTTGGGGCCCAACGAACTCTTGGAAAGCATTTTCTGCATCCTGCTGGTTGTGGAAGCATTTTCCCTGCCAAAAGTTGTCAAGATGCTTGAAGAAGTGGTAGTCAGTTGGCAAGAGGTCAGGTGAATATGACGGATGAGGCAGAATTTTGTAGCCCAATCTTTCAACTTCTGAAGTGTTGGTTGTGTGATGCGCAGTCGGACATTGTTGTGGAAAAGAATTGGGCCTTTCCTATTGACCAATGTTGGCTGCAGGCGTTGCAGTTTTGGTGCATCTCATCTATTTGCTGAGCATAATTCTCAGATGTAATGGGTTTGCTGGGATTCAGAAAGCTGTAGTAGATCAGACTGGCAGCAGATCACCACACAAGGTGACCATGACCTTTTTTTCAGTGCAGGTTGGCTTTGGGAAATGCTTTGGAGCTTCTTCTCAGTCCCACTACTGAGCTGGTTGTCGCTGATTGTAGTATAAAATCCACTTTTCATCGCACATCACAATCCAATCAGAAAAACTGTTCGTTGTTGCATAAAATAAGAGAAGATGACACTTTAGAACAATATTTTTTAAATTTTCGCTCAACTCATGAGACATGCATTTATCAAGCTTTTTCACATTTCTAATTTGCTTCAGATGCTGAATGACCATAGAATGGTTGATGTTGAGTTCTTCCAAAACTTTTTGTGTAGTTGTAAGAGGATCAGCTTTGATGATTGCTCTTAATTTGTTATTGTCAGCTTCCAATGGCCAGCCTCTATGCTCCTCATCTTCAAGGCTCTGGTCTCCTTTGCAGAACTTCTTGAACCACCACTACACTGTACACTTGTTAGCAGTTCCTGGGTCAAATGCATTGTTGATGTTGCGAGTTGTCTCCACTGCTTTATGACCCATTTTGAACTTGAATAAGAAAATTGCTCAAAAAGACAAAAATAGTTTCCTTTTCCTCTAACCTCATTTCCATACTCTAAAATAAATATAAAATATGGGCTTGGCATGGTGGCTCATGCCTGTAATCCCAGCACTTTGGGAGGCAGAAGCAGGTGAATCACTTGAGGCCAGGAGTTCAAGACCAGCCTGGCCAACATGGTGAAACTGTCTCTACTAAAAATACAAAATTAGCTGGGCATGGTGGCACGGGCCTGTACTGCCAGCTACTCAGGAGGCTGAGGCAGGAGAATTGCTTGAACCTGGGAGGCGGAGGTTGCAGTGAACCATGGTCACACCACTGTACTCCAGAGTGAGACTCCCTCTCAAAAAATAAATAAATAAATAATAAAATAAATATAAAATAAACAGCAAGTAATAAGTCATTAGCAAAAAAAGCAAGAAACATGCATTAAAACAATGTATAACATAACCACATTTATTTAAGAACGTATTCCAATATCAAACAGCAAATTTCAACAATGCAAAAACCGCAATTATGTTTGCACCAACCTAATAGCAAACCTGCACATTCTGCACATGTACCCCTGAACTTAAAAGTTGAAAATAAAGACTGGGGATGGTGGCTCACACCTGTAATCCCAGCACTTTGGGAAGCCAAGGTAGGCAGATCACCTGAGGTCAGGAGTTTGAGACTAGTCTGGCCAACATGGTGAAATCCTGTCTCTAATAAAAATTTAAAAATTAGCCGGGCATGGTGGTGGGCACCTGTAATCCCAGCTACTCAGGAGGCTGAGGCAGGAGAATCACTGGAACCTGGGAGGCGGAGTTTGCAGTGAGCCGAGATCTCGCCACTGCACTCCAGCCTAGGTGACAGCGAGACTCCATCTCGGAAAAAAAAAGAAAAAAAAAAGTTGGAAAAAAAAGTAATGTTTTGATAAAAGTAAGATAAATTAATATCAGTTGCAAATATAAATATGGTGAAAAATGATGTAGATACATTTGTGAGTGATATATTATTCTTAGAGACCCCATGACTCTCCATTCAAGATTGTCATCCTTCAAAGCCCAGACTGGTGTCTTTGCTGTTGTTGATGAGGTTCAAGGACCAGTTTAGCTGAAAAGGCCCAGGTGGGATGTAGCATCCTTTTCCTAGGGCCAGGATTTGAAAGATTTTTACTTTTAGTCTTTCTTGGCTGTGTATCCAGACCCCGAGGCAATGATTTTTCAAGCCTAACACTGAAATAATTTTCAATATTATGATGAGGCACTGCCTAATTCTCAAAACTGGTAATTCTTTTGGGAATTTGTAGATGGATCATTCATGCCAGCAATATTCATAGATTCTAAAAATAGCTCATCTACCCAGACTTCCTTAGGGATTGGTACACTAAAGCCCAGGTAGAATATAATGGAAAAAAAGACCACCTGGTGGAGATGGCAATGAGGTTTTTAATTATGAAAATGAGAGGGTTTGCCAAGTTCCAAATGGAAAAATAGTTTCTACTTAAGACTAAGCTTATGTACAATGTGAAGGTAATTGCTAATGTGGTTTAATTTGGGGAAAAGCTACTCAGAATGTTTTCATATATTGGCCACTGTGTTAGTAGATTTTCATGAGAGAACATGAACGAGAAGATTAAAAAAACATATAAATAAATTTTAACCCCCTAAAAAAAATTATCGGTAGATTCAATCCTTTGGGTTTACCATTGGTCCTCTTTTAGATTCTTTGAAATACTCTCAGATCAGGTGACTCATTAAATTACAACAAATAATTTGTTACTTGCTTTCCTTCCTTTAGTGGAGACTGGAGAGTTAGAGTTTGCTGTGCAGAGAAGTTGGGTCCTGAAAGGACCATGGAAGCTGAAAGATGTCTCACAATTTAGCACTTGCTGGGTCTTACACTGATTTCAAAACTGTGGCCCAGTTGATCTCCAAATTTTTCTCTACATTGTGCACTTCCATTACATGGATATCAGGTTTTGTTTTCTTTATTTTTTTTCAAGACAGGTCTTGCACTGTTGCCCACGCTAGGGTGCAGTGGTGCAATCTCAGCTCACTGCAACCTCTGCCTTCTGGACTCAAGCAATCCTCCCACCTCAGCCTGTGCAAGGACTACAAGTACATGCCACCACACCCAGCTAATTTTTCATATTTTTTGTAGAGACAGGGTTTCACCATATTGCCCAGGCTGGTCTCAAACTTCTGAGCTCGAGTAATCTGCTTGCCTCCATATTAGATTTCATATGGAGTATTCCACAAATGTTTTGAACTACCAGGAACCAAAAACATAAAAGTGAATAAAAAATGGTACCTGTTTTTGAGTAACTCATAACTTAGGGAAGGAGGCAAGCAAATGAGGAAGAAGGAAAACAGTTATAAACAGATAATGATAATGAAATGTGAAAACAGATATAATAAGCAGAATATTGCAGGAAACCAGAAGAGTGATATATTCTGTCGAGGGCATGACGCAGGTAAAGTTTCATCGAGGAAGTAAAAAGCTTAGTCTTAGAGAATGATTAGAAGTTTCTAGGCAGAGAAAAATGGCTAGTGTGTTCCAAAAGGAGGGAAAAGCATGTGCTTGATCAGGTTTCTACAATGTATCTAAACTCAAATAGGGACTTAGTAGAGCCTGGCCAGGCATGGTGGCTCATGCCTGTAATCCCAGCACTTTGGGAGGCTGAGGTGGGCGGATCACCTGAGGTCAGGAGTTTGAGACCCAGCCTGGCCAACATGGTGAAACTTCGTCTCTACTGAAAATACAAAAATTAGCTGGACATATTGGTGTGTGCCTGTAATCCCAGCTACTCAGGAAGCTGAGGGAGGAGAATCGCTTGAACCTGGAGGCAGTGGTTGCAGTGAGCCAAGATCGTGCCATTGCACTCCAGCCTGGACAACAGAGCGAGACTCTGTCTCAAGGAAAAGAAAAGCAAAACCTAAAAAAAATTACTAAAAGCTTCAAGATCATTAAATTCAAACCATTTCCTACAGCTTAAGATTTAGGTTAAAATAATAGGTAGTCAGACATAGTTCGCAATAAAATATTGCCATGGAATACTTTCAAATTTAAATGATCAAAAAATGAATTGTTTTGCTAAACTACAAATCAGTTTATATGATTAAACTCTTAGGGTTTTTTTTGAACAAAGGTAAAAAACATCGTTTAATAGCATGTTCTCAATACTTGCTTACAAATGAACTCTTGGGTTTTATGAACCTTTGGGCAAATCCCTTAACTTCCTCCATGCCTCAGTTTCCTCAACTATAACATATAATATCTATCTTCTAGGGTAGGTATGAAGATCAAATAAGTAAATGTACAAAAAATGCTTAGAACAGATTTTGAACAGAGAAAGTACTGTGTAAGTGGCTAGGTGCAGTGGCTCATGCCTGTAATCCTAGGACTTATGGAGGCCGAGGAGGGAGGGTCACTTGAGGTCAGTAGTTTGAGACCAGCCTGGCCACCATGGTGAAGCCCTGTCTCTACTAAAATACAAAAATTAGCTGCATGTGGTGGTGCGTGCAAAAAAAAAAAAAAAAAAAAAGAAATCATTGCCAAGACCAATATCATGACACTTTCCCCCTGTATTTTCTTTTTATTATTATTATGTTTTTATTTGAGACAGAGTCCCACTCTGTCACCCAGGCTGGAGTGCAATGGCATGATCTCAGCTCACTGCAACCTCTACCTCCTGGATTCAAGCAATTCTCCTGCCTCGGCCTCCCAAGTAGTTGGGATTACAGGTGTGCACCACCATGCCCAGCTAATTTTTGTATTTTTCTTAGAGCCGGGTTTCACCATGTTAGCCGGGCTGGTCTCAAACTCCTGACCTCAGATGATCCACCTGCCTCGGCCTCCCAAAGTGCTGGAATTACAGATGTGAACCACCACACCTGGTCACCCCCTGGATTTTCTTATAAGGAGTTTTACAATTTCAGTTCTTAACATTTAAGTCTTTAATCCATTTTGAGTTGATTTTTTTATAGTATAAGATATTCTGATATAATTCTTTTGCATGTGGATATCCAGTGTTTTTGGTTTTGTTTTTTTGAGACAGGGTCTCACTCTGTCACCCAGGCTGGCGCACAGGAGTGCCATTTCGGCTCACTGCAATCTCTGCCTCTTGGGTTCAAGTGATTGTCACACCTCAGTAGCTAGGATTACGTGTGTGTGCCACCACTCCCGGCTAATGTTTTTTTGTAATGTTTTTGGTAGAGACAGTTTTGCCGTGTTAGCCAGGCTGGTCTCAAACTCCTGACCTCAGATGATCCACCAGCCTCGGCCTCCCAAAGTGCTCGGATTACAGTTGTGAGCCACCGTGTCTGGCTGATACCCAGTTTTTCCAACATATCCTTGTTGTGTATTTTTGGCATTCATGTGGAAGATCAGTTGACCATATATGTGTGGGTTTATTTCTGGGTTCTCTATTCTTTTGTTTTTGTTTTTTAGAGATGGGGTCTCACTCTATGGCCCAATGTGGAGTGTAGTGGTGCAATGGTAGCTCACTGCAGCCTTGAACTCCTGGGCTCAAGCAATCTTCCCAAGTAGTTGGGATTACAGGTGTGAGCTGCCATGCCTGGCTCTGGGCTCTCTATTCTCTTCCAATGGTCTATATGTCTGTTTTCACATTAGTACCTTACAGTTTTAATTACTAGAGCTTTATAATATATTTTAAATCAGGAAATGTGATGCCTTCAGCATTTTTCTTCTTTCTCAAGATTGTTTCAGTTATTCTAGTTTTTTTCTTCTGTTTTCAATTTTAAACTTGGTGCAATTAGCATCTTTTTATCTTTCTTTTTTTTTGAGACACAGTCTGTTGCCCAGGCTGGAATGCAGTGGCACAATTTCAGCTCACTGCAACCTCTGCCTCCTGGGCTCAAGCGATTCTCATGCCTCAGCCTCCCAAGTAGCTGGGACTACAGGTGTGTGCCACCACACCCAGCTAATTTTTGTATTTTTGGTAGAGATGTGGTTTTGCTCTGTTGGTCAGGCTGGTCTCAAACTCCTGACCTCAAATGATCCTCCTGCCTCGGCCTCTGAAATTGCTGGGATTATAGGCATGAGTCACCGCAACCGGCCTATCTTTTTTTTTGGGGGGGCGCATGGGCAGAGTCTCACTCTGTCACCCAGGCTGGAGTATAGTGGCACAATCTTGGCTCATTGCAACCTCCGCCTCCTGGGTTCAAGCAATTCTCCAGCCTCAGCCTCCCAAGTAGCTGGGATTACAGGTGCCCGCCACCACACCTGACTAATTTTTGTATTTTTTGTGGAGACAGGGTTTTGCTATGTTGGCCAGGCTGGTCTGAAACTACTGACCTCAAGTGATCCACTTGCCTCTGCCTCCAAAAGTGCTGAAATTACAAGTGTAATTACACTTGTAATTTCAGCCACCATGCCTGGCCAGCATCTTATTTTGTAACACTCTAGTTTGGATTATTATCAGCTTGATTTTTTTTTTTTTTTTTGAGACAGAGTCTTGTGCTATCTCCCAGGCTGGAGTGCAGTGGCACGATCTCAGCTCACTGCAACCTCCACCTCCTGGGTTCAAGCAATTCCCCTGCCTCAGCCTCCCGAGTAGCTGGGATTATAGGCGTGCATCACCATGCCCAGCTAATTTTTTTGTATTTTTAGTAGAGACGGGGTTTCACCATGTTGGCCAGGCTGGTCTCGAACTCTTGACCTTCTGATCCACCAGCCTTGGCCTCCCAAAGTGCTGGGATTACAGGCGTGAGCCACCATGTCTGGCCTACCAGCTTGATTTTAATAGTATATAAAAATGTTGCTTCCATATAGCTCTGTTCTCTTCCCCTCCTTTGTGCTATTACTGTCATACAGATTACATTTTATACATTGTGTTCCCATCAACACAGATTTATAAGTACTGCTTTATGCAGTGGTCTTTGAATTAGATAGAAGATAAAAAGAGTTACAAACAAAAAATACATTTTAAGGCCAGGCACAGTGGCTCTCGCCTGTAATCCCAGCACTTTGGGAGGCTGAGGCTGGCAGATCGCTTGTAGTCAGGAGTTCAAGACCAGCCCGGCCAATATGGCGAAACCCTGTCTCTACTAAAAATACAAAAATTAGCCGGGCGTGGTGGCACATGCCTGTAATCCCAGCTATTTGGGAGGCTGAGGCAGGAGAATCATTTGAACCCGGGAGGCAGAGGTTGCAGTGAGCCAAGATTGTGCCACTGCACTCCAGCCTGGGCAACAGAATGAAACTCCGTCTAAAAAAAAAGACATTTAACTGTCTTTTATTTTTACCTAAGTATTCTTTTTTTTTTTTTTGTAGAGAGATGGGATCTCACTATGGTGCCCAGGTTGGTTTTGACTTCTTGGCCTCAAGCGATCCTCCTTCCTCAGCTTCCTAGAGTGCTGGGATCACAGGCATAAACCATGATGCTGAGCCCTATGTAGTTATCTTTAAGAGATTTCTTGATTTGCATTCAAGTTACTCCCTAAGTTCTTTTATTTCAGCCTGAAGGACTCTGTTTAGTTAGTATTTCCTGTAGGTTTGCTAGTGCCAGTATCTTTCACAAAGCAGAAGAGACCTTAAACCTATTCTGTATTTCTCGTTTTACACATGAGGAAATCAATGTCAAAAGAGGTTAAGTGACTTGACTGAAGTCACACTGCTAGTTAGTAGTGGAGGCCACACTAGAAATCAGATTTCCTGACTGCTAGTTTATAGTTTTCCCCACCATTCCAAATTTTTGTCAAGATGTCTACTGTGATTAGCCAGTTTGGCGATGATGTACTTAATAATAGGGCACAAAAGAATGAATTAGCCCATAAGAATTTAATTAGAATAATGTATTTCTGGTAATGAGATTGCTGTCTGCCTGAAGGCTTTCCTTCAGAACACTTTAATATGGTCCACTCAGAATCTTGATTTCTAAGTGATTTTAATCCTGACCTGTGTACATTATTTTGTGTTAAATTCATTTTTTAGGCTTTCATAGTCTGAGGTTCTTTCATGTTTCAATCTCTCTTTGATGTCAGGCCTTTGATAAGAAACTCCATAGGTGGACGATTCATGAGAATGCATGAGAAATGAAGAAATTTGCCACCACACAAGCAGAATGGGTCAATGCAGTAATTAGGAAATTTGGAATTTTTGAGGGTTTTGTGACATTTGTTACAGTAATCATGTTTGTGTAGTACAGTCTCTCTCCTTAGGCTGGGCATGGTGGCTCACGCCTATAATTGCAGCACTTTGGGATGCTGAGGTGGGAGTATTACTTGAGCCAAGCAGGTTGAGGCTGCAGTAGCCATGATTGCGCTACTGCATGCACCCCAGCCTGAACAAAAGAGCAAGACCTGGTCTCAAAAAAACAAGGCCAGGCGCAGTGGCTCACACCTCTAATCCCAGTACTTTGGGAGGCTGAGGCGGGTGGATCAACTGAGGTCAGGAGTTTGAGACCAGCCTGGCCAACTTGGTGAAATCCTGTCTCTACTAAAAATACAAAAATTAGCTGGGCGTGGTGGCATGCACCTGTAATCCCAGCTACTCCGGAGTCTGAGGCAGGAGAATCACTTGAACCCGGGAGGTAGAGGTTGCAGTGAGCTGAGATTGTGCCACTGCACTCCAGCCTGGGTGACAGAGCAAGACTCCATTTCAAAAAAAAAAAAAAAGAAAGAGTGCCTGGCACGGTGGCTCATACCTGTAATCCCAGCACTTTGGGAGGCTGCGGCAGGTGGATCGCTTGGGGTCAAGAGTTCAAGGCCAGCCTGGCCAACATGGTGAAATCCCATCTCTACTAAATACAAAAATTAGCTGGGTGTGGTGGTGGGTGCCTGTAATTTCAGCTACTCGGGAGGCTGAGGCAGGAGAATCGCTTGAACCCAGGAGGCAAAGGTTGCAGTGAGCCAAGATCATGCCACTGCACTCTAGCCTGGGCGACAGAGCAAGGCTCTGTCTCAAAAAAAAAAAAGAGTATCTCTCCTTAAACGTTGTCTCATAGTGAGAATAGAAAAATCTACTTTGTTGTAACATTGTACTATCTCATAATAGAAGCAATTTTATTTTTAGACCCATAGTATTTTAGTTTCTTTATATTTGTATATATAAACTAAACTATATATAATATAATATAATATAATATATAAACTGTATATTATATAAGCTATATATTATATATAATATATAAACTGTATATTATATATAATATATAAACTGTATATTATATATAATATATAAACTGTATATTACATATAATATATAAACTGTATGTTATATATAATATATAAACTGTATGTTATATAATATATAAACTGTATGTTATATATAATATATAAAGTGTATGTTATATATAATATATAAAGTGTATGTTATATATAATATATAAAGTGTATGTTATATATAATATATAAAGTGTATGTTATATATAATATATAAAGTGTATGTTATATATAATATATAAAGTGTATGTTATATATAATATATAAAGTGTATGTTATATATAATATATAAAGTGTATGTTATATATAATATATAAAGTGTATGTTATATATAATATATAAACTGTGTTATATATAATATATAAACTGTATGTTATATAATATATATAAACTGTATGTTATATAATATATATAAACTGTATGTTATATATAATATATATAAACTGTATGTTATATATAATATATATAAACTGTATGTTATATATAATATATATAAACTGTATGTTATATATAATATATATAAACTGTATGTTATATATAATATATATAAACTGTATGTTATATATAATATATATAAACTGTATGTTATATATAATATATATAAACTGTATGTTATATATAATATATATAAACTGTATGTTATATATAATATATATAAACTGTATGTTATATATAATATATATAAACTGTATGTTATATATAATATATATAAACTGTATGTTATATATAATATATATAAACTGTATGTTATATATAATATATATAAACTGTATGTTATATATAATATATATAAACTGTATGTTATATATAATATATATAAACTGTATGTTATATATAATATATATAAACTGTATGTTATATATAATATATATAAACTGTATGTTATATATAATATATATAAACTGTATATAATATATAATATATAAACTGTATATAATATATAATAAACTGTATATAATATATAATATATAAACTGTATATTATATATAATATATAAACTGTATATTATATATAATATATAAACTGTATATTATATATAATATATAAACTGTATATTATACAAGCTATATATTATACATAATATATAAACTATATATTATACAAGCTATATATTATACATAATATATAAACTATATATTATACAAGCTATATATTATATATAATATATAAACTATATATTATACAAACTATATATTATACAAGCTATATATTATATATAATATATAAACTATATATTATACAAGCTATATATTATATATAATAATATAAACTATATATTATACAAGCTATATATTATATACACTATATACAATATATAATATATACACTATACATAATATATAATATATACACTATACATAATGTATAATATATACACTATATATAATGTATAATATATACACTATATATAATACAATATATACACTATATATTATACATAATATATACACTATATATTATACATAATATATACATTATATATTTATTATATGTATTATATAAACTATATATTATATATATTATATAAACTATATATTATATATTATATAAACTATATATTGTATTATATAATAGAATATATTATATTATATATACCTGAGCCTCCCAAAGTGCTGATATTACAGGCATGAGCCACCATGCCCTGCTGTTTTGTATTTTGTGCGTCAGTTTGTGTAAGTTGAGAGCATAGGCTTCATTTTGAATCTCTGGTCTGCCACTCATTAGCAGTGGCAATTTGGGCAAGTAACTTAGTTCTCTGAGCCTTAGGTTCCTTGTATTCCCTTATAAAATGGGAATAGCGGCCGGGCGTGGTGGCTCATCCCTGTAATCCCAGTACTTTGGGAGACTGAGGAGGGCAGATCACGAGGTCAGGAGTTGGAGAGCAGCCTGGCCAACATAGTGAAACCCCATCTCTACTAAAAATACAAAAAAATTAGCCGAGCTTGGTGGCGGGCACCTGTAGTCCCAGTTACTCGGGAGGCTGAAGCAGGAGAATCACTTGAAACCGGAAGGCGGAGGTTGCAGTGAGCCGAGATCGCGCCACTGCACTCCAGCCGGGGCAACAGGAGCGAAACTCCATCTAAAAAAAAAAAAAAAAAAAAGGAACAGCTTTAACAGCTGATGAAGTTGTCTGCGGATTAAATGATATAACACCTATAAAGCACATAAAAGATCATGTAATGAGTGTTCAATGAATGTTAGTTCTTATATTCTATGTGACATTGTTTCAATATTTCATTTATTTTCCTTTCCCCATCTTCATGCTGGAGAGGATCTGGCCACAAGGATAGAATTTTTATGAATCCTTTAAAGAGGAAGGATGGGGCAGTGGGCTGACTTCTCTCTGACTTCTAGGCCTGGGGTAGGACAAAGCCATGCAGTGCCCAAAGGAGGCGGGGTGAGAGTGGTCTAGGCAGCCAACGGCTCATGCCTGGGTATGGTTATCTCACTGTGTAGGGGGCTCCCAAGTCTGCCATCCTGCTTGATGATTCACTGAAAGGACTCACAGGATTCAGAAACGCTTTTATATTCACAGCTACATTTATTACAGCGAAAAGATACAGATTAAAGTTAGTAAAGGGAAAAGGTGCATGGGATGAAATCTAAGAGAAACTAGGTACAAACTGACAGTGTCCTTTTTCAGTGGAGCAGCATAGACCTGCTTACTTCTCCCAGCAACATGCGACAACATGTACAAAGTGTTGCCAACCAGGGAAGCTCACCTTAGCCTTGGTGTTCCATTAGTCCCATAGGCATGCAAGGCCTGCATGAGTGACTGAGTGACTTCAGTTACTCAGACGCCAGCACCCCCAATGCCTCTTCACTGCTCCCTACCCTTGAGCAAAAACAGGTGTTTACAATAAATCACATTGTCAGGATAAACCTATCTGGTCCAACTGGTACAGTATGGTCCAAGGTTTCAGACATGCAAAAACACTTTTTTTTTTAAATTTAAGAAGTTTTTGTTTGTTTTGTTTTTTGAGGCAGGGTCTCACTCTCATTGCCCAGGCTGGAGTGCAGTAGCTCAGTCTCGGCTCACTGCAACCTCGACCTCCCACAAGTAACTGGGACTACAGGCACATGCCATCACACCCGCCTAATTTTTGTATTTTTAGTAGACACAGAGTTTCCCCATGTTGCCCAGGCCAGTCTGGAACTCCTGGGTTCAAGTGATCTGCCCACATCGGCCTCCCAAAGTTCTGGGATTACAGGCGTGAGCCACCGTGCCTGGCCCAACACTCTTTTTTAAAAAAAAAAAAAGAAAGAAAAAACGGAAATGAATTTTAATACAGCAAACGAAGACAGCATTTTGCAAATTTATTGCTCAAAGGAGTTATCTATTTGAGGAAATCATCATGTTACACTTTGATAGATGAAATGTTACAGCTTGTACACCAAAAGTAAAAAATGAAATTAAAAAATGAAATGGCTACCAAGGTAATGCAGGTCAGGGGATTAAAGGTGAAGGGTCACACATTATTAAAAAGATCCAAAAGGACGACCGCATCATGATCTGTCATCAGTGTTCCAATGGTGGCCTCGTGCTAAACTCGAACATTTAGGCACACATTCAAGCACCTTTTTCCGCAAAAAGATTTGTACGTGACTACTCTGGCTATTCCCATGATCATCTATAGGTGGCACGGCATTGAGAACATAGTAGGTGCTGGTTCCAAAGAATACAATTCAAGAAACTCCTCTGGCAACCATTTCCCCTCTTCCTCCTCCTCGCAAAGGGGCCCCTAGCGTGTGCCCCAAAACACTTTTATGGAGTAGAATATTCCAAGGCTTCGAGATGATATCCCCCTCGTGGGTCAAAGGCCAGTCCTGATTCAAGCCTTTCTTTGGAATGTACAGTGTTTAAACAACCCAACCCTGCTGAATTAACCCTTTCCTGCACACTTACCTATCCTTTTAGCCTCACAGATTGAGAGAAGGTGCACCTGGCTAGGGAGCTAGCATGTTTGTTTTCCTTCAGCAGGTAACATGGTTGTTTTAGAGTTTTCTCAGTGCCCAGATTTTATTTCAAGAATAGTAGCTGGTGCATCACTTGGTTCCAAACCACTTGAGGGTTATACATTCAGCACTGTCAGAGGTTTTTAAACCAGAACAATTCCACCTTGAATAGGAGTTGCGTAAAATGAGGCTGCGACCTACTGGGCCACATTCCCAGGAGGTTAAGGCATTCTAAGTCACAGCATGAGACAGAAGGTCAGCACAAGACACAGGTCTTACCATAAAGACCTTGCTGATAAAACAGGTTGCAATAAAGAAGTCAGCCTGAACCCACCAAAACCAAGATGGCGATGAGGTGACCTCTGGTTGTCCTCACTGCTACACTCCACCAGTGACATGTCAGTTTACGAATGCCATGGCAACCTCAGGAAGTTACCCTATATAGTCTAAAAAGGGGAGAAACCCTCAGTTCCAGGAATTTCCCACCCCTTTCCCAGAAAACTCATGAATAATCCACCCTCTGTTTAGCATATAATCAAGAAATAAATTGGCTATTTTTTTATGGAGTAGCCTGTGGAGTAGCCATTCTTATTGCTTTACTTTCTTTTTCTTTTTTGAGATGGAGTCTTGTTCTGTCACCCAGGCTGGAGTGCAATGGCGCAATCTTGGCTCACTGCAACCTCTGCCCCCCAGGTTGAACTGATTCTCCTGCCTCAGCCTCCTGAATAGCTGAGATTACAGGCACCCAAAACCATGCCTTGCTAGTTTTTGTGTTTTTAGTAGAGATGGGGTTTCACCATATTGGCCAGGCTGGTCTTGAACTCCTGACCTCAGGTGATCCACCCCCTTCACCCTCCCAAAGTGCTAGGATTACAGGTGTGAGCCACCACGCCCGGCCTCGTTTACTTTGTTAATAAAGTTGCTTTCACTTTGCAGTGTGGACTCACCCTGAATTCTTTCTTGTGCCTGATCCATGAACCCTCTCTTGGGTTCTGTATCGAGACCACTTTCCGGTAACAGTTCCTTCCAAAGCAAGTCTTAGGCCAAATATTACAAAATACTATAATTTATGACAGGGAGTGAGAATTTAGGAGACCATTTGCAACTAACTCCAACTTCCCCAGCCCCAGTTTCTAAGGAGAAAAGACAGCTAGTTGCTGTTACTGGAAAGGGGTCCCGATCCAGACCCCAAGAAAGGGTTCTTGGATGTTGTGTAAGAAAGAATTCGAGGCGAGTCCATAAAGTGAAAGCAAATTTATTAAGAAAGTAAAGGAGTAGGCCAGGCAAGGTGGCTCATGCCTGTAATCCCAGCACTTGGGACGCCGAGGTGGGCAGATGACCTGAGGTCAAGAGTTTGAGACCAGCCTGACCAACATGGAGAAACCCCATCTCTATTAAAAATACAAAATTAGCTGGGCGTGGTGGCGCATGCCTGTAATCCCAGATACTCGGGAGGCTGAGGCAGGAGAATTGCTTGAACCCAGGAGGAGGAGGTTGCGGTGAGCCGAGATTGTGCCATTGCACTCCAGCCTGGGCAACAAGAGCAAAACTCCATCTCAAAAAAAAAAAAGTAAAGGAAGAAGAGAATGGCTACTCCATAGGCAGAGCAACCCCAAAGGCTGCTGATTGCCCATTTTTATGGTTATTTCTTGATTATATGCTAAACAAAAGGTGGATTTTTCATTCCTCCCTTTTTAAGACTATATAGGGTAACTTTCTGAGGTTGGCATGGCATTTGTAAACTGTCGTGGCACTGGTGGGAATGTAGCAGTGAGGACAACCAGAGGTCACTCTCATCACCATCTTGGTTTTGGTGGGTTTTAGCTGACTTCTTTACTGCAAGCTGTTTTATCAGCAAGGTCTTTATGACCTGTATCTTGTGCTGAGCTCCTGTCTCATCCTGTGACTTATTATAGGATGCCTTAACCTCCTGGGAATGTGGCCCAGCAGGTCTCAGCCTCATTTTACGCAGCCCTTATTCAAGATGGAGTTGCTCTGGTTCAATTACCTCTAACATTACCATTTATATTGGTGGGGCATACAAATACAGTGCTGGTTCAATAATAATTGTTTTTTTATTTTCTTTTTCTGAGATGGAGTCTCACTTTGTCTCCAGGCTGGAGTGCAGTGGCGCAATCTCAGTTCACTGCAGTCTCTGCCTCCCGGGTTCAAGCGATTCTCCTGCCTCAGCCTCCTGAGTAGATGGGATTACAGGTGCACGCCACCACACCCGGCTCATTTTTGTATTTTTAGTAGAGACCAGTTTCACCACATTGGCCAGGCTAGTCTCAAACTCCCGACTTCAAGTGATACGCCCATCTCGGCCTCCCAAAGTTCTGGGATTACAGGCATGACACCACATCTGTCCCAATAATAATTTTATGCAATTACACTTAAAAGAGTTGATTTATCAAATGTATATAAATGGTGTGATATATTGTTATACCAAAGGTTTTTTGTTGGCAATTCTTAGGAAAAAAAACTATGTTTCCTGATTTGGACTTTTAAAATTATTTTCAGGTATATATTACTTAGATATTATTGCCTGTGCTAAAAAGGGTCTGGATAAAAGCAGTTCTTTCAACTTTCATAAACAGTCCTAAAAACAAATTCAATGTTATATGAAACATGAGAAATCTTAACTTATTTTCAACCTAAATAAGCTAAATAGCCATGCAAAATAGAATTTTACTCACCGTACTTTGAGCTTATTTTAGGACAGTTAGAAAATTTTAAAATTATTTTATAGGATCATTACAATATCCTATCTATCTATCTATCATCTATCTATCATCTATCTACCTACCTACCTATTATCTATATGTTTTCACATTTTGGGGTTAAATGGAAGCTTTGGTTTTTGAATTTTCTTTTTTATTTTTTGAGATGGAGTCTTGCTCTGTCGCCCAGGCTAGGGTGCAATGGCATGATCTTGGCTCACTGCAACCTCCACCTCCCGGGTTCAAGCGATTCTCCTGCCTCAGCCTCCCGAGTAGCTGGGATTACAGGCACCTGCCACCATGCCCAGCTAATTTTTGTATTTTTAGTAGAGACGGGGTTTCGCCATGCTGGCCAGGCTGGTCTTGAACTCCTGGCCTCATGCAATCGCTGGCCTCAGCCTCCCAAAGTGCTGGGATTACAGGTGTGAGCCACCGCACCCAGCCAGTTTTTGAATTTTGTAAAAATGTCTCTGATGTAAAGCAAAAAAATATTTCTTTCAAATAATACCATGTTTAAACTAAATTGCTAACAAGGGATTGAATTCAGCTTTGTCCCTTTAAAGAAATTCTTTTCGCTGGACGCAGTGGCTCACTCCTGTAATCCCAGCACTTTGGGAGGCCAAGGTGGGCGGATCACTTAAGGTCAGGAGTTCAAGACCAGCCTGGCCAACATGGTGAAACCCCATCTTTACTAAAACTACAAAAATTAGCCGGACATGTTGATGGGTGCCTGTAATCCCAGCTACTCAGGAGGCTGAGGCAGGGAGAATTGCTTGAACCCAGGAAGAGGAGGTTGCAGTGAGCCAAGATTATGCCACTCTACTCCAGCCTGGGTGACAGAGCGAGACTCTGTCTTTAAAAAAATAATAATAATAAAAGAGCTTCTTTTCTTTCTACAGGCACTGAGAGCATGTTCTTTGGATTAAGCCTTCCTGCCCTGTTCAGTGCTCACAGTGGAAAAGCTTTTAGAAAACTCTTTACCCCCGCACAGATGTGTAAATTAGGCTTGCTTAGCTCCTGAGTGGTCCTCTCTGGCTTCACAAACACGCTGTGATCTTTAGAAAGAGACATTTTTTAAACAGAGATTTTTATTTTTGAATTTTTTTTTAATTTTTAAAAGTATAAAGGAGGAAATACATCTTTTCCTTCTACCCATCTTAGGTTCGTTGGCTTGGGGCCCTGGTAACAAAAGATAGATTAACAAGAGAAAAACATACACATTTATTTTTTATGTGACATGGGAGCCTTTGTAAGGAAAGGAAGATCTGAAGAAGTGGTTAAACCTGAATGTTTTTATGCTTGGTTTGATGAAGAGAGGAAAGTCATGGAGAAATATAATAGGACAAAGAAAAAGTATGAGCTCAGTGTAACAAATTGGAGAAAGTTAGGCCTAAACAGGCCTAACTGTTCAGATACTTTATCCTTTCCTCTGGATATAGGGAGGGCATCTTTCGCATGAGGGTTTTATGACCTGCATCAAAAGAAGGTTAGAAAATTATTCCTAGATTTTATGACCTGCTTCAGAGAAAGGTCAAAAAGTGCTTCCTGTACATGTCATTCCTCAAGTTCCTTCAGCTTAAAATAATCTGGTGAAGCGCCCTATTTTGGAGTAGTATGTCCTGAACTCCATTATAAGCAAATAAGAAAAAGAAGAAGAAACCACCTTCCTTTCTCTAACACTTTGCCCTCTTTACTTAAGTCCAAGTTGAATTAAATGTTTCTGTTAGAGTTTTGTTCTGTCTATGATTTTGTGACCATAAGTTTTGCAACTGAGATTATTATTATTATTTTTTGGAGATGGAGTCTCACTGTGTCGCCCAGGCTGGAGTGCAGTGGCGTGATCTTGGCTCACTGCAACCTCTCCCTCCTGGGTTCAAGTGATTCTCCTGCCTCAGCCTCCCGAGTAGCTGGGATTACAGGTGTGCACCACCATGCCTGGCTAATTTTTGTATTTTTAGTAGAGAAAGAGTTTCAACACGTTGGCCAGGCTGGTCTCGAACTCCTGACCTCAGATGATGCACCTGCCTCAGCCTCCCAAAGTGCTGCAATCACAGGCTTGAGCCATCATGCCTGGCCAAGATGATGATGATGATGATGATGATGATTATTATTATTATTATTATTACTTTTGAGATGGAGTCTTACTGTGTTGCCCAGGCTGGATTGCAGTGGCATGATCTCAGCTCATTGCAATCTCCACCTCCTGGGTTCCAGCGATTCTCCTGCCTCAGTCTCCTGAGTAGCTGGGATTACAGGCGCATGCCATCACGCCTGGCTAATTTTTGTATTTTTAGTATAGACGGAGTTACACCATGTTGGCCAGGCTGGTCTCGAACTCCTGACCTCGTGATCCGCCCACCTCGGCCTCCCAAAGTGTTGGGATTATAGGTATGAGCCACTGCGCCCAGCCGAGATTATGATTTCTAAATGAATCAATAAGAGAGAAAGGGGGAAATGAGAAATCATAGTACTTTTGGTATGTAATCTTTTGGTACTAGCACTATTCATAGTTTCTTTTTATCACACCTGTCATCATCCCTCCTTTTACATACACAAATATGTCCCCTTGTTTGTGTGACAACCATCAATGTAATCACATATCACCTTACAGTGATGGAGGCTTTGTAGGGTATGTAGAAGTGGCTTTGTTTTCTTTATTTCTTTTTCTTTTTCTTTTTCTTTTTTTTTGAGATGGAGTCTCCCTCTGTCACCCAGGCTGGAGAGCAGTGGAGCAGTCTTGGCTCACTGCAGCCTCTGTCTCCAGGTTCAAGCGATTCTTCTGCCTCAGCCTCCTGATTAGCTGGGATTACAGGCACTTGCCACTAAGCCTCGCTAATGTTTGCATTTTTAGTAGAGATTGGGGGGGTCTCACTATGTTGGCCAGGGTGGCCTCGAACTCCTGATCTCAAATGATCCACCTGCCTTGGCCTCCGAAACTGTTGGGATTACAGGTGTGAGCCACCTCACCTGGCCCGAGATCTCATCTCTACAAAAAAAAGTAAAAATAATTAGCCTAGCCTGGTGGCATGTGCCTGTAGTCTCAGCTACTCAGGAAGCTGAGGTGGGAGGATCACTTGAGCCTGGGAGGCAGAGGTTGCAGTGACCTGAGATTGTACGACTGCACTCCAGCCTTGGCTACAGAGCTCAACCCTGTCTCAAAAAAAAAAAGAAAGAAAAAAAAAAGAAAAAATTATGATTGCTAACACATATTTCAGTTGTCTAATATAATAAGGCAAAGCACCCCCAAGACTGATACATAGGCAATAAAAGCATTGACAAATCTCCCATAAAACAATTTCTGAAATATTTATGTTATACAACTTACTTAAGAACTTACCTATACAAATTTAAGCTAAGGAACACTGAACATCTCTTTGGACTTGACAATTCTTCCCGTGAAACAGTAGTAAATAGACCAAATTATTTCCAGCCTCCTCTTTTCATAAGTTGAAAGACCACATTTTTGTGTGTTTTTTTTTTTAGGAGCCTGCTGATAAATCTCAAAGATGTTTTAGGTGTAAAATATATCCTGAGATTTTAATATATTTCTTTCTTATAATTAGAATCTTATTTGGGGAAGGCAAAAATCAAGTGTTTATTAAAGGAGATTTTGACTTTTGGTTAAGAGAGAATCATGGGTGCCTGAGAAACAATGCCTGGTTACCTAGTGAGTCAAAGTGACAATAAAACATTAAATAATAGACATGGAAAGCAACATGCTTGAAAAGAATGTTAGATATAGTGAACTCCAAGCTTCTCTTCAAGGAATCAGTATGTTAGTATGTTCAGCTCTCTTATTCTCTGTTCTCCATTTTAAAGTTTAACTTCTTGGTTCTCTTCACCCCCTTGCCTCTAGTTTCAGTAAACAACTTTCCCACTTGTTCTAATCAGTAGTTCACATCTGTTCCCCTGGTCACCTGCTTTGACCTGAGTCACCCCTGGTCACCTGCTCCGTCCTGACTTACCTGTTCTGTAACCATCCTTCCTGCCAAACTACTCACCCCACCACTCTGACTTGTACTCCTGCTCTCTTTAAATTAGCCAATTGGAATTAGCTTAGACTGTGCGGTCCAACCCTAGCCAACAGGGGAATGACACAGCAGTAGGGGCTACCTGCATCAGGAATAAGAACCCCTTCCCCTCCCTTGTTCAGGTGTGCTCTTGCCATTGCTCCATCCACGAGTTGCACCCTTCTATGGAAGTAAAAATTGCCTTGCTGAGAAAATTCTTTATCTGAGCACTAGTTCTTTTCAGCACTGAGGAACAAGCATTTGTTTCTAACAAGAACCTCTTTCACAGCATGGAAACTTTGTAAATGAGCACATTCATTAACATGACCAAAATATATAACCTCTCTGTAAAATATAAAAATAAGCTTAAATGTATGGTTTTTTTTTTTTTTTTTTTTTTTTTTTTTGAGATGGAGTCTTGCTCCTGGGCAACAGGCCCAGGCTGAAGTGCAATGGCACGATCTCGGCTCACTGCAACCTCCACCTCCCGGGTTCAAGCAGTTCTCCTGCCTCAGCCTCCCAAGTAGCTGGGATTACAGATGCACACCACCACACCTGGCTAATTTTTTGTATCTTTAGTGGAGATGGGGTTTCACCATGTTGGCCACGCTGGTCTCAAACTCCTGACCTTGTGATCTGCCCAGCTGGGCCACCCAAAGTGCTGGAATTGCAGGTGTGAACCACCATGCCCAGGCAAGTTTATGTATTTTTTATCCTTTTGAAGTTCATAAGCATGGTGATTGGGTTTTCACACTCATGTGTGAGATGTACCACCCTTAAAGCTTGTTATGATGTAGGCACATTACCCATCTGACATGAGAAGAAGAAAAAACAAAACTATATGTATATACACTTAAAATAATGCTCAAGTAGCCAATGTTTCAGTATTCTCTCTTACTTAGGAATTATCTTGGTGTCTGATGATTATCTATTAAGTCAATTTAATATCTGCCCAAGGCTTTAAGTTACCTAAGGATCTTGGAAATTATCTTCAATCTGAGATATTATAAAACATAAAGTTGAAATAAAAATCTATCAGAATAATGATTTCATTATATTGAGCACAAATTTACATTTTTTCTAATTTTTTGAGACCATCTCAAAAAAATTTAAAATTAAATTACTGTTCAAATCATAAAAATAAATAAGACTAATGGAATTAAAATTGTTTAGCCTAAGTCAGAGAAAGTTGAGTGGTGATTTCAGGTACAAATTCATTAACTGGTTTGAATTACTCTACCTATTTGAAAATAATTTTTAAAAATTGAATTTGAGTAGATATTGTTAGCTTTTTATTAATTCATCTTCCTATCTTCAATTACTTTGATTTAGATTTTATAAATTGTATTACTTGATATTTCTTTCTTATATTTGTGAAAAGAAAAATGAAACTGCATGATCACAGGAAACATTTTTATCTAAATTCTAGGTACTCTCAAAAAACTTATACAGGAATTCTGCCTGACCTGCACCTCTTTTTTTTTTTTTTTTTTTTTTTTTGAGACGGAGTCTCACTTTGTTCCCCAGGCTGGAGCGCAGTGGTGCAATCTCAGCTGACTGCAACCTCCACCTCCAGGGTTCAAGCGATTCTCCTGCCTCAGCCTGCTGAGTAGCTGTGACTACAGGCATGCACCACCACACCCAGCTAATTTTTGTATTTTAGTACAGACACGGTTTCACCATGTTGGTCAGGCTGGTCTCGAACTCCTGACTTCAGGCGATCCACTGGCCTCAGCCTCCCAAAGCTCTGGGATTACAGGCGTGAGCCACCGCACCTGGCAACCCCATCTCTTTTTTAAAAGGTGGGAGTAGACCAGGTGCGGTGGCTCACGCCTGTAATCCCAGCACTTTGGGAGGCTGAGGCGGATGGATCACCTGAGGTCCTGAGGTCAGGAGTTCGAGACCAGCCTGGCCAACATGGTGAAACCCCATCTCTACGAAAAATACAAAAAATTAGCCAGGCGTGGTGGCAGGCGCTTGTAATCCCAGATACTCCGGAGGCTGAGGCAGGAGAATCGCTTGTACCTGGGAGGCGAAGGTTGCAGTGAGCTGAGATCATGTCATTGCACTCCAGCATGGGCAACAAGAGCAAGACTCCATCTCAAAATAAAAAAAAAAGAGAGATGGGATCTTGCTATGTTGCTCAGAGTGGGTTATAGTGGTCACAGACAAGTGCACTGCACAGATCATGGCACACTACAGCCTCAACTCCTGGGCTCCAGTGATTCCCCTGCCTCTGCCTCCAGAGTAGCTGAGACCACAGGTGGGCACCATTATGCCTGTCTCACTCTTAGCTTTTCAATCAAATGTTATTGCTGCTTGTCATAGAAAGTGAAGTAGGCTGTTGCAGAGAAGATCTAAATGTCCTATCTATTTATTGAGACCTTTTCCCTTTTTTATCCAGAATAGAGAACAGAGCACGTTGGAGAGAAGGACATTTCCAGTAGTTCAAACCTAGATGTTTGTCTTCCCAGAATCTCTATGAGCTGTTACCTATAAATGGACATTGTCTCCTGCATAGAAAAATCTTAGTGTAAAATCAATTAATTATACATTTTTGAGACCTTTATGAAAAAATTATTTTTAAAATGGAAGTGGACCAGGCACGGTGGCTCACGCCTATAATCCCAGCACTTTGGGAGGCCGAGGCAGGTGGATCACCTTAAGTCAGGAGTTCAAGACCAGCCTGTCCCACATGGTGAAACCCCATCTCTACAAAAATACAAAAATTAGCTGGGCGTGATCGCAGGTGCCTGTAACTCCAGTTACTTGGGAGGCTGAGGCACGAGAATTGCTTGAACCCAGGAGGTGGAGGTTGTAGTGAGCGGAGATTGTGCCATTGCACTCCAGGCTGGGCGACAGAGAGAGACTCCATCTCAACAACAAAAAATAAATAAAATAAAATGGAAGTGGAGAGGGATGTACTTTAACAAATACTGTAACAAAACACTTAGTGTTTATGTAGCAATTCTATAGTGTAAATAGTTTCTTGGGTTCTGTTGTCGAGCACATTTTTGGTAAGGACTAAAACAAATAGAGAAATAATTGGGAAACCTAACAATAAGAAAAGGAAGATGTCCAAGTGGATAAAATGAAGGGGAAAAAAAAAAAGAACTCAGTTTAAACTTTGCGGTGGCTTATGCCTGTAATCCCAGCACTGTGGGAGGCCGAGGTGGGCGATCACTTAAGGTCAGGAATTCGAGACCAGCCTGGCCAACATGGTTAAACCTTGTATCTACTAAAAATACAAAAATTAGCCAGGTGTGGTGGCTCATGTCTGTAATCCCAGCTACTCAGGAGGCTGAGGCAGGAGAATCACTCGAACCCAGGAGGTGGAGGTTGCAATGAGTTGAGATCGCACCACTGCACTCTAGCCTGGGTGTCAGGGTGAGACTCCGTTTTGAAAAATATATATATATGTGGAAAAAAAAAACTTGCTGTTAGCTTTGGGGGATTTATTATACCAAAATAGGTAAGCAGTTGTATTTGTCTTCAATGAGGTGAATTAATTTTTTTTCCAGATTGATGATTACCCGGAATTTTTGAGTTCGCCAGATAGAGAAATCAGCCAACACATTCGTATCATCTATTCTTCAACCGTTTTGAAAAAAGAGTGTAAAAAGTCAAACAGTGTCAGGAAATTCCTATTTCCATTTCATCATACTAAAGCTAACAACAAGAAAGGTAGGTACTTCCAATCTGTCTCTGGATCTAAGGCAAAAAAAAAAGTATATATATATATTTCTTAAAATTGATGCAGGATATTTTGCTTCTTAGTTCAGTTAAAATCCAGGTTCCTATCACGCAGCCAGGAAAATTTAGGCATGGGGACACATTGAAAGATGCGGACAGTGGGATTTATTAAAAGAAAGCTCTCAGTGAAAAAAAGGGGTCTGGCCAACTGGCTCTCACCTCACAGATTGAATATCAGTCTGCCACATGCAAGAGCTGAAGAGGCGAGGCTCATCCTCCTGCACAAGGCTCGAACTCCTGGTGGCTCTAACCCTACTCTCCCAGTGCACATGTGGGCACCCCCATCCATTGCGGGCACACCCAGACAAGACCCTGGGCAGGTTCCCTTATCTTCCTCCTGCGTCTATCTTTCCCCTGTCTAAAGAAGTACATCTAGCTGCCATTAGAATAAGAATAAGGGTAAGAACGAAGAATGATCTTAACTGCTTCCAGCTGACAGGGGGCGCTGTTTTGGGAAAATGGCAGTCAGATCTCCCTCAGAGGCCTGTCTCAGGGTTCCCTGTAGAAGGGGCCATCCTCTGGGGCTCTGGTTGCATGACCATTTGGAGTTTGGTGGCCTGAAAGTGAGAAGAGACAAACTGGCATATTAGAAAACATGTATCAAAATGAAACAAGGGTGGTGGGTAAGGATAGCTCAAAGATCCTGAGGTCTTTTACTTGTTTGCCCAGGGAGAGGGGAGCCAAAAGCCTGACTGGTAAAAAAAAAAACAAAAAAAAAAAAAAAACAAAAACAAAAACAAAAAAACCTTTTACTCTTTTGCTGGCATGTTGGGCTTCTGGGCTCCCTTCCCCTGAGCCCAATCTTAAGCCAACCAGTTTAAGGTTTGGGAAATTAACTTTTCCCAGTTTGAAGGATGTATCCGAAGGGAGTATCCTGTAGTACAGAGATACAATTTCCTATCTGTGAAGCGAGGACAGAGAAGGAAAGAGGAAAGAAAGTGGCTTTTTTTTTTTCCAAAGGAGTCCCAGGGTTTCTGGTTGCATTTGAAAGGGGTACAGCTTGAAGATGAATGGCTACTCCTCTGTTAATAGAAGGAGGGGAATGAGGCATCATCCCACATTCCCATCTCTTCCTAGCGAATACCCAGTATACATGAGGGAGAGAAAGTGAGGCATCCCTCTTTCTTCCATCCTAGTATCCCTGAGTCTCAGGGACCACATCAGGGTGCCATCCATGGGTATCAAAGCGGCTTTCACTGACATTAACAGGGAGGACTAGGGGCTGGGAATATATGCTCTTACTCATGTACACCCTATATCCCCTGCTGTCAGTAGCCGTCGAGTTCCCTTCATTTATGCCATGGATATCAGCATGACCTTTATCCATGAATTGCGAAGCTTGGCTTAATTGGCAGGAATCAGTCACGCTCACCTGTGCTGTGCCTTTTAACTTCTGTTATTGCCTGCACCTGGATCCTTCAGACCCTGCTTTCTTTCCTAGGGCTTTGACCCAAAGCTTGGAATTGAGTTTGGGACAAAAATGTGTCTGCAGGGGAGGGGGTTGCATAGACTCCTTATCATAAGCTGATTGCTAAGGTGTAACTGTGGAATTGAGTCCTCCTCTAACAAGTGAGAGAAAAGGATGTCTTGTGACATGCCCAGATGAGTGGTGGCTATATTTATGCTTGCTAAGATTTGGGTGCATGGGGCTTGGCTTTGGTTAACTCCCTTGGCCTTATTTTCCCAAATGGCAGGATGTGTGGGATAGTTTCTCAGAACTAGAATATTGATCCAGATTTTTACATTACCCATCCACTTTTGTTCCTTATGAGCTATGGCCAGAGGTTGCTGGTTGGTTCACAGGAATAAACAGGGTTAGTCTAAAATGTAGGCAAAAACTTAAAAACAGCTTATCTAAAAAGTCTAGAATTTCATGACAAATGTATAAGTTTTGAAATATAATTTCTTTCTCCCCAGTCCTCATTTTTTGTTAAAAACAAATCATGATAGGACTGAGTTGTTTGCAAAATAGACTTTAGTCTTATATTTGGCCTGATTATTTGCATAAAGTGCAGCAAAGATAATTATTTTTACATAGGCTTTTTAGATTGGTTTTGATGAAACTCTGTTCCACAAGGAATCTCAGATAAGACTTCCTAAAACTGAGCCCAGCCAGGGGCTTTTACTCTCAAATACCTGTAAGTTGAGTAAACTCCTCTCCTTTTGAGGTCCCAAGAGCATGGGATTCCTGGAACTGTTAGAAAGTGATATTCTTTACTCACCACAAATTAGGAACCCTGTATGGGGACTGTATAGACAATGTATCAGGCCAGTTTTCCCAAGAGGCTTTTATCAGCTCTGCAAGTCAAGCTTGACTCCTTAAAGGGAAGCATACTCTTCCAGTCAAAGCCTTGGTAAAACAACCAGTTTCTCCAGTTGCATCCTATTGCAAAGAAAATAGATTTTTTTTAAGCCACTCTGTGGTACGTTATTACTGCAGCCCTATCAAACTAATGCAATGACGTATTCAAACTTGAATTTCATTTTTCTTTATTTTTTCCATAGGTTATTGGGGTACAGGTCATATTTTGTTACATGAGTAAGCTCTTTAGTGGTCATATTTGGTTATATGAGTAAGTTCTTTAGTGGTAATTTGTGAGATTTTGGTGCACCCATCACCCAAGCAGTATACACTGCATCCAATTTGTAGTCTTTTATTCCTCACCTCCCTCCTACCCTTCCCCCTAAGTTCCCAAAGTCCGTTGTATCATTCTTTTTTTTTTTTTTTTTTCTGAGACTGAGTCTTGCTCTGTCACCCAGGCTGGAGTGCAATGGCATGATCTTGGCTCACTGCAACCTCCACCTCCTGGGTTCAAGCAATTATCCTGCCTCAGCCTCCTGAGTAGCTGAGATTACAGGCACCCACCACCATGCCTGAGTAATTTTTGTATTTTTAGTAGAGACAGGGTTTCACCATGTTGGCCAGGCTGGTCTCGAATTCCTGACCTTGTGATATGCCTGCCTTGGCCTCCCAAAGTGTCAGGATTACAGGCGTGAGCCACCATTCCCAGCCCATTATATCATTCTTATGCCTTTGTATCCTCATAGGTTAGCTACCACAAATCAGTGAAAATGTACAATGTTTGCTTTTCCATTCCTGAGTTACTTCACTTAGAATAATAGTCTCCAATCTCATCCAGGTCACTGTGAATGCTTTTTATGGGTGAGTAGTATTCCACAGTTTCTTTATCCACTCATTGATTGATGGGCATTTGGGTTGGTTCCGCAATTTTGCAATTGTGAATTGTACCACTATAAACATGTGTGTGCAAATATCTTTTTCATATAAAGACTTTTATTCCACTGGGTAGATGTCCAGCAGTGGGATTGCTGGATCTAATGGTAGTTCTATTTCTAGTTCTTTAAGGAATCTCCACAGTTTTCCATAGTTGCTGTACAAGTTTACATTCCCACCAGCAGTGTAAAAGTGTTCCCTGATCACTGCATCCATGCCAGCATCTATTGATTTTTTGATTATGGCCATTCTTGCAGAAGTAAAGTGGTATTGCATTGTGGTTTTGTTTTGCTTTCCCTTGATCATTAGTGATCTTGAGCATTTTTTCATATGTTTGTTGGCCATTTGTGTATCTTCTTTTGAGAATTGTTTATTCATATCCTTAACCCACTTTTTGATAGGATTGTTTTATTCTTGCTAATTCATTTGAGTTCGTAGTAGATTCTGGATATTAGTCCTTTGTCAGATGTATAGATTGTGAAGGCAGGAGAATCATTTGAACCTGGGAGGCAGAGGTTGCAGTCAGCTGAGATCACACCATTGCACTCCAGGCTGTGCAGCAGAGTGAGACTCTGTCTCAAAAAAGAAAAAAATAATTACTTCAGTTTTCCATTAGTTCAGTCCATTCAGTTAACTCTTGTTTTGCTTGATATTTGTGGACAATTCAGCTCTTCATGAGTCCTTACGTTTTTCTTTTATTCCAATGTCACAATCTCAAAAGTTATCAGAAACCTGAATTTGAGAGCATCTGTCAAAGTTCTATAGCTGATTATAAACCATCCTTTGAAGAGGATCAAGACAAGACAAAAAACTTAACATAACAACCTTAATTGTGATTGATAGCCTATACTCAGACATTAGAATTTTAGAAATCCCATAAATTTTGGAACATATATTAATATTATTCCCTAAAATATAACCTGAGGAAGATTAAACATACCCATGTACCTAAACATATCAGGTAATCCTGTTTACCTCTCTTCTGTATGCCCCAGGGGCCCTCTGTAGCATCCAAAAGCTAGCCATCAAGAAAGACAATTTTGAAACTGAAGTTTGATTTGGGGAAGACTGTTAAATATGTTAGAGTGTTAAAGCACTTGATGTTATGAAATAGAATACCAGATTACCTTAAGTTATTTATTTTGCCAAAATGATGACTTGGACATTTTTTAAAAAGCAAAAACCTTTTACAATCCTTTATAAATTTTGCTGAAGAGCAGATTAGTGCCTTAAGAGTACCTTGTTGTGCTTTTATTTTAATTCTCAATTTGCAGAAAAACCATATAATACCCCCCTACCCCTGCTTTTTTTTCATATGGAGTCTTGCTCTGTTGCCTAGGCTGGAGTGCAACAGCATGATCTCAGCTCACTGCAACTTCTGCCTCCCAGGTTCAAGCAATTCTCCTGCTTCAGCCTCCTGAGTAGCTTAGATTACAGGCATATACCACCACACCTGGCTCATATTTTATTTTTAGTAGAGATGGGGTTTTGCCATGTTGACCAGGCTGATCTCCAACCCCTGTCTTCAGGTGATCTGCTTGCCTTGGCCTCCCAAAGTACTAGGATTACAGGCATGAGCCACCATGCCCAGTCCATGTAATAGCCTTTTGAATTTAGTTAATCTGTTCACACACAGAATTTCTTTCACAAGATTAATTCTTACAATCATTCCACAACTTGTTCAAATTTTTAGGTTTATCTTATCTAATTCAAAACAATCCTTTAACGCTAGGCAAAAATTTATATTTTGATGACATCTGCATTTTGCCAATAATCTTTAAGACTGTTTTTATTTCTCAAAGATTAAAGTTACATAAACTAAAAGGTACCACAGCTTTTGTCTTCCCTTTAAAACGTATTTGATCCAAGTGCTTATCCTTCCTTAGGTCAATTAATTAGATCTCTTTTTATAGACATCACACACTCAACACATATATAACTAGAGAGACAGGTAGAAGAAGATCCATCCTGGGGGACAGAGTGAGACCCTGTCTCTAGAAAACAGGGAAGTTAGGCTGGGTACAGTGGCTCAAGCCTGTAATCCCAGCACTTTGGAAGGCCAAGGATCATGAAGTCAGGAGTTCGAGACTGGCCTGACCAATATGGTGAAACTCTGTCTCTACTAAAAATACAAAAATTAGCCAGGCGTGGTGGCATGCACCTGTTATCCCAGCTACTCAGGAGACTGAGGTAGGAGAATTGCTTGAACCCAGGAGGTTGAGGTTGCAGTGAGCCGAGATCATGCCACTGTGCTCCAGCCTGGGAGACAGAGCAAGACTCTGTCTCAAAAAAAAAAAAAAAAAAAGTTACTAGGCTGGGCATGGTGGCTCACACCT
The DNA here is from genome assembly GCF_000001405.40 of Homo sapiens. Classification (NCBI taxonomy): domain Eukaryota; kingdom Metazoa; phylum Chordata; class Mammalia; order Primates; family Hominidae; genus Homo; species Homo sapiens. Next base: position 64,347,253 of record NC_000012.12, on the reverse strand, counting down.
GTAATCTCAGCACTTTGGGAGGCTGAGGTGGGTAGATCACTTGAGGTCAGGAGTTCAAGACCAGACTGGCCAACATGGTAAAACCCCGTCTCTACTACAAATACAAAAAAATTAGTTGGGTGTGGTGGCACACACCTGTAGTCCCAGCTCCTTGGGAGGCTGAGGCAGGAGAATCACTTGAACCGAGGGGGTGGAGGCTGCAGTGAGCTGAGATCGTGCCACTGCACTCCAGCCTGGGCAAGACAGAGCGAGACTCCATCTCAAAAAAAAAAATGTAACTAGATAGACAGATATAGATAGATATATATATAGATATAGGTATAGATATAGATATTTTCTTTTTCAGACCGTGTCTTAATTTGTTGCCCAGACTGGAGTGCAGTGGTCCTTGTGCCTAGTTCCTCACACAGAGCTTCTGAAACATTTAGAATTTCCTGAGTGATAAGAACATTGTTTGTTATTCATAACAAGCTCCTTTCAACAATAGAACAAATGCTAATGAGATGACACTTGGTGGGCCTCTAGATAGCTTCAGGATGGGGCTGGTTGCCAGAGGAACCAATCATGTGATTAGAGAGTTAGAACTTTCACTCCTCCTCTACTGCCACCCACATCTCTAACCTCCTGGGATGGAGAGGGACTAGAGATTGAGATGATCACCAGTGACCCATGATTTAATAACTCATGCCTACTTAATGAAACCTCCATAAAAATTTTTAAATGGGTTGGGCACTATGATGATTAATACTGAGTGTCAACTTGATTGAATTGAAGGATGCAAAGTTTTGATCCTGGGTATGTGTGTGAAGGTGTTGTCAAAGGAGATTAACATTTGAGTCAGTGGGCTGGGGAAGGCAGACCCACCCTTTATCTGGGTGGGCATAATCTAATCAGCTGCCAGTGAGGTTAGAATATAAAGCAGGCAGAAAAATGTGAAAAGAGAGACTCGCCTAGCCTCTCAGCCTACATCTTTCTCCTGTGCTGGATGCTTCCTGCCCTCGAACGTCGGGCTCCAGGTTCTTCAGTTTTGAACTCGGTCTGACTCTCTTTGCTCCTCAGCCTATAGACAGCCTAGTGTGGGACCTTGTGATCATGTGAGTTAATACCTACCAAACTCCCCTTTGTATATGTATATATTCCATTAGTTCTGTCCCTCTAGAGAACCCTGACTAATACAAATTTTGGTACCAGGAGTGGTTCTAGAGGAACTGAATATTAAGGATGGAGTTCTTTCATTGGTTTTGGGGTTTCTGGAGTTGACTGCTTTACATGCTTAGACCAAAAAATGCTAAGGACTCTACTTCTAATAGTATGGAGAGCACTGATAGTCCTTGGCATAAACTGTTTAGAGAGTGCAAAATAAATGCATTTGACATTCTTGATTCATCGCTCATGAGAGACAAGGAGTTTAGTGACTCTATGCATACTACATTTGTATGAAGTATTATGTAGACAACCAAGGAACATAATGAAGCTTGTTGGTTGCTCCTAAATTCTGCAGACAAAGTGATGAAAGAAAATGATAAACTCAGGGATTCTATCTACCAGCGTCAGAAGCAGATACTGAACCTCTAGTCTGCTTAGATTGCCCTGAGTGAGAGTCTTATCTCCTATAGTGAAAGAGCTACAATTGTGGAAAAACAGACACAAGCTCTTATCATGCAAGTCGCTGACCTGCAATGGAAGATACATGCACAGCTTCACCAGGTGTCTACTGTTAAAGTTAGGGCATTGACTGGAAAAGAAAGGGACCCTGCAACTTGGAATGGGAATGTGTGGGAGGACCCTGATGAAGTTGGGGACACTGAGTTTGTAAACTCTGATGAACTTTTTTTTGCCAGAAGAAACAGCTTCCCTAGCCCCAGTAATGGCAACATCCCATCCCTGATCCATGCTGCCATCAGTCTTTCCACCTTTGCCTGAGGAGATAAATCCTGCACTGCCTGAGGCAACAGTGATGGCCTCCCCTGAGGCAACAGTGATGGCCTCCCCTGAGGCAGTTGCCAGGCAAAATAATGTTGACTCTCCTCAGGACCCACCCCCCAATGTTCCTGTTTGCTTGTAGACCTATAACTAAAGTCCCCGTAGGCCCCTGGAGGTTGAGAGTATGACCCCATAAGGAGGTGTGCTACATTCAAAAAGAACCTCATGAGTTTTCTAATTTTTTTAAACAACAATCTGGAGAACAGACATGGGAATGGATATTAAGGGTGTGGGATAATGGTGGAAGGAACATAGAGTTGGATCAGGCTGAATTTATTGATTTGGCCCCACTAAGTAGGGACTCTGCGTTTAATGTTGCAGCTCAGGGAGTTAAAAAAGGTTCTAATAGTTTATTTGCTTGGTTAGCTGAAATATGGATTAAACGATGGCCCACTGTGAGTGAGCCGGAAATGCCTCATCTCCCTTGGTTTAATGTAGGGGAAGGCATCCAAAGGCTTAGGGAGTTTGGGATGGTGGAGTGGATTAGTCATTTTAGAGCTACTCATCCCAGCTGGGAGGGTCCAGAAGATATACCCTTGACCAATGCCTTGTGAAATAGATGTGTGAGGGCAGCACCTGCATCTTTGAAGAGCCCTGTAATTGCTCTTCTCTGTATGTCAGATCTAACGGTGGGAACTGCAGTCACTCAACTATGAAATTTAAATACAATGGGAATAATTGGATCCCGAGGTGGCAGTGGCCAAGTGGCAGCACTCAACTGTCAAAGGCAAGGTGGGCATAGTTACCATAATGGACAGCAGAGGCAAAACAATCAGAATAGTCTGACTCACATAGAGTTGTGGCATTGGCTAATTAACCACGGTGTTCTTAGAAATGAAATTAATAGGAAGCCTACTGCATTCCTACTTAATTTATATAAGCAGAAAACTTCTAGGTCGAATGGACAAAAGACTAATTTGAATTATGAAAACAGAGGATCATGGCCTCTTAATCAGTTTCCAGATTTGAGCCAGTTTACAGACCCAGAACCCCTTGAATGAAGGGGAGGTCATGTCCCCTTAAGGAAGGACCCCACTACATTACCAACAATTTATGCAGTGAATCTTTCTCCCATCCTTCCCCCAGGAGACCTGTGACCTTTTAGCAGGGTAACTGTGCATTTGGGAAAGGGAAATGATCAGATGTTTAGGGGACTACTGGACAATGGCTCTGAGCTGACATTGATTCCAGGGGACCCAAGACATCACTGTGGTCCTCCAGTTAAAGTAGGGGCTTATGGAGGTCAGGTAATTAATGGAGTTTTAGCTCAGCTTCGAGTTACAGTGGGTCCAGTGGGCCCCTGGACTCATCCTGTGGTCATTTCCCCAGTGCCAGACAGCATAATTGGCATAGACATACTTAGCAGCTGGCAGAACCCCCACATTGGCTGGTAGATTGAGGGCTATTATGGTGGGAAAGGCCAAATGGAAGCCATTAGAGCTGCCTCTATCTAGAAAGATAGTAAATCAAAAACAATATTGTGTCCCTGGAGGGATCATGGAAATTAGTGCTACCATCAAGGACTTGAAAGACGCAGGGATGGTGATTCTCACCACATCCCTGTTCATCTGTCTCCCATTTGGCCTGTGCAGAAGACAGATGGATCTTGGAGAATGACAGTGGATTATTGTAAGCTTAACCAAGTGGTGACTCCAAGTGCAGCTGCTGTACCAGATGTGGTTTCATTGCTTGAGCAAATTAACACATCTCCTGGTACCTGGTATGCAGCCATTGACTTGGCAAATGCCTTTTTCTCCATTCCTATCCATAGGCCCACCAGAAGTAATTTGTCTTCAGCTAGCTAGGCCAGCAATATACCTTTATTGTCCTACCTCAGGGGTATAGCAACTCTCCAGCTTTGTGTCATAATCTTATTCAGAGAGACCTTGATCGCTTTTTGCTTCTGCAAGATATCACACTGGTCCATTACATTGATGACATTATGCTGATTGGATCTAGTGAGCAAGAAGTAGCAAACACACTGGACTTATTGGTGAGACATTTGTGTGCTAGAGGATAGGAAAAAAATCCGACTAAAATTCAGGGACCTTCTACCTCGGTAAAATTTCTAGGGGTCCAGTGGTGTGGGGCCTGTCGAGATATTCCTTCTAAGGTGAAGGATAAGTTGCTTCATTTGGCCCTCTCTACAACCAAGAAAGAGCCACAATGCCTAGTGGGCCTATTTGAATTTTGGAGGCAAGACATCCCTCATTTGGGTGTGTTACTCTGGCTCATTTATCAAGTGACCTGAAAGGCTGCCAGTTTTGAGTGGGGTCCAGAACAGGAGAAGGCTCTGCAACAGGTCCAGGCTGCTGTGCAAGCTGCTCTGCCACTTGGGCCATATGACCTGGCAGATCCAATGGTGCTTGAGCTGTCAGTCACAGATAGAGATGCTGTTTGGAGCCTTTGGGAGGCCCCCATAGGTGAATTACAGAGGAGGCCTCTAGGATTTTGGAGCAAGGCCCTGCCTTCTGCAAATAACTACCCTCCTTTTGAGAAACAGCTCTTGGCCTGTTACTGGGCTTTGGTGGAAACTGAACGTTTGACCATGGGTCACCAAGTCACCATGTGACCTGAACTGCCTATCATGAACTGGGTGCTTTCTGACACATCTAGCCATAAAGTGGATCATGCACAGCAGCATTCCATCATCAAATGGAAGTGGTATATATGTGAACGGGCTCAAGCAGGTCCTGAAGGCATAAGTAAGTTACATGAGGAAGTGGCTCAAATGCCCATGGTTTCTGCCACCCTGCCTTCTCTCCCCTAGCCTGTATCACTGGCCTCACGGGGAGTTCCCTATGATCAGTTGACAGAGGAAGAGAAGACTAGGGCCTGGTTCACAGATGGTTCTGCATGATATGCAGGCACCACCCGAAAGTGGACAGCTGCAGCACTACGGCCTCTTTCTCGGACATCCCTGAAGCACAGTGGTGAAGGGAAATCTTCCCATTGGGCAGAACTTCGAGCAGTGCACCTGGATGTGCGCTTTGCATGGAAGGAGAAATGGCCAGATGTACGATTGCATACTGATTCATGGGCTGTAGCCAATGGTTTGGTGGATGGTCAGGGACTGCCAGAAGAAGCTTCCAGAAGAAGCATTATTGGAAAATTGGTGACAAAGAAATTTGGGGAAGAGGTATGTGGATGGACCTCTTTGTGTGGTCAAAAACTGGGAAGATATTTGTATCCCATGTGAGTGCTCACCAACGGGTGGCCTCAGCAAAGGAGGATTTTGATAATCAAGTGGATAGGATGACCCATTCTGTGGACACCACTAAGCCTCTTTCCCCAGCCAACCCTGTCATCACCCAATGGGCCCATGAACAAAGTGGTCATAGTGGCAGGGATGGAGGTTATGCATGGGCTCAGCAACATGGACTTCCACTCACCAAAGCTGATCTGGCTATGACTACTGCTGAGTGCCCAATTTGCCAGCAGAAGAGACCAACACTGAGCCCTCAATATGGCACCATTCCTCGGGGTGATCAGCCAGCTACCTGGTGGCAGGTTGATTATATTAGGCCTTTTCCATCATGGAAAGGGCAGAGGTTTGTCCTCATCAGAATAGACACTTACTCCGGATATGGGTTTGCCTATCCTGCACTCAATGCTTCTGCCAAGACTACCATCTGTGGACTCACGGAATGCCTTACCCACCTTCATGGTATTCCACACAGCATTGCCTCTGACCAAGGCACTCACTTTACGGCTAAAGAAGTGTGATGTGGGCTCATGCTCATGGAATTCACTGGTCTTACCATGTTCCTCCTCATCCTGAAGCAGCTGGATTGATAGAATGGTGGGATGGCCTTTTGAAGTTACAATTACATGGCCAACTAGGTGACAATACTTTGCAGGGCTGGGGCAGAGTTCTCCAGAAGGCCATGTATGCTCTGAATCAGCATCCAATATGGTGCTGTTCCTCCCATAGCCAGGATTCATGGGTCCAGGAATCAAGGGGTGGAAGCGGAAGTGGCACCACTCACCATCACCCCTAGAGATCCACTAGCAAAATTTTTGCTTCCTGTTCCCATGACATTACATTCTGCTAGCCTAGAGGTCTCAGTTCCAGAGGGAGGAATGCTGCCACCAGGAGACACAACAACGATTTCATTAAACTGGAAGTTATCATATCCACCTGGACACATTGGGCTCCTCCTACCTTTAAGTCAACAGGCCAAGAAGGTAGTTACAGTGTTGGCTGGGGTGACTGACCCAGACTATCAAGATGAAATCAGTCTACAACTCCACAATGGAGTTAAGAAAGAGTATGCATGGAATACAGGAGATCCATTAGGGTGTCTCTTAGTGTTACTATGCCCTTTGATTAAGGTCAGTGAGAAACTACAACAGCCCAATTCAGGCAGGACTACAAATGACCCAGACCCTTCATGAATGAAGGTTTGGGTCACTCCACCAGGAAAAAACCATGACCTGCTGAGGTGCTTGCTGAAGGCAAAAAGAATACAGAATGGGTAGTAGAAGAAGGTAGTCATCAATACCAGCTATGATGACGTGACCAGATGCAGAAACAAGGACTGTAATTGTCATGAGTATTTCCTCCTTCTTTCGTTAAAAACATGTTTGTGCATGTATACACTTGTACTAAGAAAATATCTTCATTTTATTTCCTTTTTCCTTTAGCATGTGACATAAGATTTATTGACTTTACATCAGCATTTAAATATTGTTAACTTTATGGAATAGTATTTGGGTTGGGGATTGTTGCATTTCTGGTTGTACAAAGGATAGTTGTATTATGCTAGGCATAATTATGACCTTATTATTGTCTTTATTTGAAGGTTATGTATGATCTCAGGGGATGTATATGGGTTTAAGTTGACAAGGGGTGGACTTGTGATGGTTAATACTGAGTGTCCACTTCATTGGATTGAAGGATAGAAAGTATTGATCCTGGGTGTATCTGTGAGGGTGTTGCCAGAGGAAATTAACATTTGAGTCAGTGGGCTGGGGAAGGCAGACCCACGCTTATTCTGGGTGGGCACAATCTTATCATCTGCCAGCACAGCCAGAATATAAGCAGGCAGAAAAATGTGAAAACAGAGACCGGTCTAGCCTCCCAACCTACATCTTTCTCCTGTGCTGGATGCTTCCTTCCCTCAAACATTAGACTCCAAGTTCTTCAGTTTTGGAACTCGGACTGGCTCTCCTTGTTCTTCAGCCTGTAGACAGCCTATTGTGGGACCTTGTGATCATGTGAGTTAATACTTAATAAACTTCCATATATATATATGGGAGTTCTCTACCCATTCTGTATAAATGTCCATATATATAAATATATGGAAGTTATCATATATATACAACTGGAAGTTATCATATCCACCTGGACACATTGGGCTCTATATATTTATTCCATTAATTCTGTCCCTCTAGAGAACACTGACTAATACAGACATTGTGGCTCACACTTGTAATTCCAGCACTTTGAGAGGCTAAGGTGGGACAATTGCTTAAGGCAGGAGTTGAGACCAGCCTGGGAAACATGGCAAAACCCTGTCTCTTCAAAAAATACAAAAAGTAGCTGGGTGTAGTGGTGCACACCTGTAGTCCCAGCTACTCAGGAGGCTGAGGTGGGAGAGTCACTTGAGCCTGGGAGGTTGAGGCTATACTGAGCCATGATCACACCACTGCACTGAAGCCTGGGTGACAGAGAAAGACCCTGTCTGAAAAACAAACAAACAAACAAATACAAACTTAAAAAAACCCTTAAATGACGGGGTTTGGAGAGCTCCCAAGTTGGTGACCACATCAAGTTCTTGGGACAGTGGTGCACCAGGAGAGGGCATGGAGGCTTTGCACCCCTCCCCTGATACCCTGCTCAATACATCTCTTCCACTTGGCTATTCCTGAATATAATCCTTTATAATAAACTGGTAATAGGAAATGAAGCACTTTCCTGAGTTCTGTGAGCTGTTCTTGCAAATTATTAAACCTGAGGAGGTGCTTGTGGTAAAGGGGAGGAAAGACTTTTCCCCTACCTTCTTAGGTTTTGTGGCTGTTTCTGAGGATTAAGCTGAGAAAAGGCAGGTTAACAGGAGATAAGGATACACATTTTATTTGACGTTAACATTTTTACATGGCAGGGGAAACTTCATAGAAGAGAAATGAAGACCCAAAGAAGCCGACAGGCCTGAGTGCTTATATACCATGTTAACAAAGAATGATAAATTGTAGAGTTGTGACAAGACAAAGCAAAGGGGCTTAGGCTACGCATAGTGAACTGTGGGAAAATGACTAGGAAATATATGGTGAAAATTAATGGAAGACAAGATTTATTTTAGTATTTGTACAGATTCATCTCAGTGTCCATGCCTCACCTCTATTGATAAAAATGTTCTCAAAAAGTAAAGGAAACCAAGGTCTGCACAGGGGTTTCCTCTGCCCATTCCTCCCACCTCACCCTTCAAACCTAAACTCGAGCCTGCTGCTCACCGGCCTAGCTTTGCTCTCACCATGGCTCTCAGCAATGCTGACATGCAAAAGCAGATAAAGCATATGATGGCTTTCATTGAACAAGAAGCCAATGAGAAAGCAGAAGGAATAGATGCAAAGGCAGAAGAAGAGTTCAACATAGAGAAAGGTCAGTTTGTGCAAACCCAAAGACTAAAGATTATGGAATATTATGAGAAGAAAGAGAAACAGATTGAGCAGCAGAAGAAAATTCAGATGTCCAATTTGATGAATCAAGCAAGACTCAAAGTCCTCAGAGTGAGGGATGACCTTACCACAGGTTTGTACCAGTTGCTGGAGCCCTGAATGATTGTTTGTTGCAGGAAATAAGATTTCCCTCTGGTAAAGTCTGCGGTGCAAAAGGAAATCCCTATGTACAAAGTTGCCACCAAAAACGATGTTGATGTCCAAATTGACCAGGAGGTCCCCATTATATATCTCAACTCCACCAGCTATGTCTACCTGCCAGAGGACATAGCTGGTGGAGTTGAGATATATAATGGGGATTGTAACATAAAGGTTTCCAATACCCTGGAAAGCCAGCTGGATCTCATAGTCCAGCAGATGATGCCAGAAGTCGGGGGGCTTGTTCAGGGCAAATGCCAACAGGAAGTTTTTGGACTAAGCCTTCGGGAGGTGGAGCTCGTCCTCAGCTCTCCTGCTGTGATGTGGAAGCTTCTGATATTTGAAGAAACACAAATGTCTCTGTAGCTTCCTCTTTACTGCCCCAGTATTGCTCTGTATTTATCAGTGATGCCCCTCTGTCACTAATGCCTTGCCTAATTGTTCACAATGGTGGAAAGCTTCATGTAATATGATCAGGACTCACCTCCAGTTCATCTAAAAGTAAAAGAAAAAAGAATGTTCTCCTCTCCCTGGTATAAAGAGGTTGCCTTTCTCATGGGAAATTTATGTCCTGGTGTTTTTTTTTTTTTTTTTTTTGACAGAATTTTGCTCTGTTACCCAGGCTGGAGTGCAGTGGTGTGATCTCAGCTCACTGCAACCTCCACCCCTCAGGTTCAAGTGATTCTTGTGCCTCAGCCTCCTGAGCAGCTGGGATTACAGGCATGCACTACCACACGTGACTAATTTTTGTATTTTTAGTAGAGTTGGGTTTTTGCCATGTTGGCCAGTCTGGTCTCAAACTGCTGGCCTCAAATGATCCACCTGCCTCAGCCTTCCAAAGTGCTGGGATTACAGGCATGAGCCACTGTGCCTGGTCTATGTCCCGTTTTAAGGTAGATAGGTGTAGATCAGAGAGCCCTTCCTACATCTGCTGTCTCTCAAGCACCTTCAGGTTAAAATAACCAATATGCCAAAGTAGTATATTTTGGGTGGCATGTTCTGGTTCACTTCATGGGGAGCTCCTGATTTATAGCTGGTTGGTCAGAAATACAGGTGGAAACCTGGGAGTTGCAACTGGCATCTGAAGTTAGGGCAGTCTTGTGGGACTGAGCCCTTAACCTGTGGGGTCTGTGCTACTGCCAAGTAGTGAATGGCAGAATGGAATTGAATTGTAGTACTCCCAGTTGGTATCTAGAGAATTAGAGAATTGGCTTTGGGTGAAAGAGAAAAAAAATTACACACTTGGTGTCTGAAGTGAGTAAAAACAACTCAGACATATCTGTATATCTATATCTATATAGATATGTTGATATATGAGCCTTTTTAAGGTATCTGTCCCTGTAATTGGGAGTTGGTGAAAAGCATAGAAAAAGAACATGGACTTTGCATTTCACTAAGCCCAGGTTTGAATCCTGTTTCTCACATTTCCTGGATGTGTGACCTTAAGCAAGTCACTTAACCTTTATGAGTCTCAGTTTCCTCATCTCCATTACTAGCTTCACAGAGTTGTTATATTACATGAAATAAGGTGGACAGGGCAGGGTACACAGCTGGGGTGGCTGACTTAATGAAGTCGGCCCTTAAGATTGAATCTTTAGCATAGAGGGAGAAGGGAAGGATGAAGGTCCAAGGAGCTGGATAGGCCCTTCTACTTCTGGCATCCAGCTTGTGTAGCTAGGCCAGCACATTCAGCCCATTCATTGTCCACTAGACTTTATTCCAAGTTGGACTCAGAGCTACAATGTGTGAGAAAACTGTGTGGTGCTTTTACACTTTCATGGATGAGCACCTTTCCATGCTGACACACTGTGGCATGGAAACTGTTTGTAGGAGCTGTAATTAGCAGGTTTATCAAATCCCTGGTTGCTCACCAGGTCTCCTGTCACACTAATTAGGGTATCTAATTGGTGTTGGTTGCCTTAAATGCATATTTATCCTTGTCCACAAGCATAATTATTCTTGGCTTTTTTTTTCCTTCAACGTGTATAGGAAAATAAAAACACATACGAAAATAATGTAGTAAAACAGATCGAAGTTTGATGACATTTAAATTCCTAGAAACTTTGCAAGTGATATTAAAATTAGTGAAGAGTTTGTCCTGTGCTGATGTGCAGGGCTATTCATAGAATAACACTTGCCCCCACCTGTTCTCTACTTTCATTCCCAAAAGTACCATCTGACACTTGGGCGTGGAGGCTTTTGACAACACAAAACTGCCACTGTCACAAGGAGCCCCAGCTACATTACAAGATAGAAAACACTCCCCTTTTCCATTATGCCAACAGTAATGCTGTATGTTTTCTGTTCTTCCAGCTGCTTGTTCCCTGAGTCAGGTATTGCTATATATCTAGGGCCCCAGTGGTTCACCTCAGAGACATTCTGCAATATGTGTCCTAAAGCAAGAGACAGGCCCAAACCTACTCGACCATCTATTTGATAATAGTCATTGCTAGAATCTTTAATATGTTAATAATGATGATGTCATGTGTAGAGCAGCAGCACACAATAACTGCTGAGCACTTAAATAAAGGTAATTATTAGGACTAACTCCAAACCTCTTGGGTAAAAAATCCTAGGGGATATTTTTGTCATGTGATACAGGTGCCCATGGTCCAATCAACTCGGTCATCTGAACAAAGCAAGCTCAATATTGGAAATCATTTCTAGTAAAAACACTTAGTTTAAATTATCACATTTTTAACAGGATTCCTAATTAGACCCAACTTTTCTGAATATATAGAGGAAAAGATGCTTTTCTTTTTAGTATACATATGTTCTTACATGGGTCACAATTAGCACTTTGAATTGCCAAGGCTGATCTCAAACTTCTGGCCTTGAGCAATCCTCCTGCCTCAGCCTCGTGAAGTGCTTGGATTACAGGTGTGATGCAACATGCCATACCTGAATTGTACTTTTCACATTGAGATGAAAGAGGATGGTTATTAAACTCTAAATGAACAATGCAGATGGGAACAGAGTGACAGGATTGAACTGTATTAGTAGCAAAAGCTCTTTTTTTTTTTTTTTTTTTTTTGGAGATGAAGTCTCACTCTGTCACCCAGGCTGGAGTGCAGTGGTGTGATCTTGGCTCATAGCAACCTCTGCCTCCCAGGTTCAAGCAATTCTCCCTGCCTCAGCCTCCCAAGTAGCTGGGATTACAGACGCCTGCCACCATACCTGGCCAATTTTTGTGTTTTAGTAGAGATGAGGTTTCTCTATGTTGGCCAGGCTGGTCACGAACTCCTGACCTCAGGTGATCCGCCCACCTCGGCCTCCCAAAGTGCTGGGATTATAGGCATGAGCCACCATGCCTGGCCACAAAACTCTTCAATGGATTGGGTTATTAACCACTTAGTTTCAGTTTCAGGTACATTCTAGAACAGCATTACCCAACAGAACTTTTGGCAATGATGGAGATGTTCTATATCTTGTCTAATCATGTCTAATACAGTAGCCATTGGCTACCTGTGGCCATTGGGCTTTTCAAACGTGGCTAGTGCTGCTGAATAACTGAATTTAAGTTTACATTTAAATAGACACAGGTAACTAGTGTTTTCAAATATTCACTGCAGCTCTAGAAAAACAGAAAAGACCTTACAGGCTTTAGTGGTATATTTTGAAATATTGGTATAAAATTAAATAGATGAATCCCCAACTAGATTGAAACATAGTTTAATGAAATCTAAACTGAACCAAAGTTTAGTAATACCACAAAAGCCTTTAAGGTCTTTTCTGTTATTCTAGAGCTGCAGTGAATATTGGCTCTCCATAGTCGTGAGCTCCACATTCATAGATTCAGCCAACAGAAGATTGAAATCATACTAAAAAAAAGTTGCATCTGTGTTGTACATGTACAGACTATTTTCTTGTCATTATTCCCTAAACAATACAGTATAACTATTTACATGACATTTTTTGTTGTAGTTAGTATTATAAATAATCTAGAGATTATTTAAAGTATATGGGAGGGTATGCATAGGTTGTATGAAAATACTATACCATTTTCTATCAGGCATTTGAGCATACTCAGATTTTGGTTTCCAAGGGCGATCCTAGAACCGATTTTCCATGGATACTAAGGGACAACTGTATGTGTGTGTGTGTAATTTTTAAAAATAAATGTAAAACCTAGATATTTTCTAAAACCAATGATGTGGGGCAAAAGTAAAAGCACAAGAAACTGATGAGTCTCTCAGGTTTCATGGATAGTTTTTACATATGGAAGCCTGACCATCTTCCCCACAGGAATGGGACTTTATGAATATAATTGAACCCCTTGCAATAGAGAAAGCAGATGTATTATTTTTGTAGTGTCCCTTCTAAAAATGTTCTTCAGCTGGCCCGTACTACCAAGCATTCCATCAGATATGCATTGTGCTAAATGACTGAAGGAATTCATATCCAAGCCACTGAAGAAGCATGTCAACTGCTACATGCACACTAGAGAATACAGCAGCAGATGACACTACACTCAGGCTCTTTTGTCATTATTGCCTTACACCTGCCAGACTCTGGTCCTTGGTGTCCAGGAGACCAGACTTTCCACCAAGTGCAGAAACAGATTGAACTGTACTTTATTTCTGAGTGGAGAGCACAGATGATCCTGATTCTCCAGACCATTATTACAAAGTGAAATTTAAAGCTAACATAGGCTGGGCATGGTGGCTCACACCTGGAATCCCAGCACATTGGGAGGCCAAGGTGGGCGGATCACTTGAGATCAGCAGTTTGAGACCAGCCTGGACAAAGTGGTGAAACCCCGTCTCTACTAAAAATACAAAAATTAGCTGGGCATGGTGGCAAGCGCCTGTAATCCCAGCTACTCAGGAGGCTGAGGTGGGAGGATTGCTTTTGCCTGGGAGGCGGAGGCTGCAGTGAGCCGAGATTGTGCCACTGCACTCCAGCCTGGGCGACAGAGTGAGACTCTTCTCAAAAAAATAAAAAAATAAATAAAAATAAATAAAATAAAGCTAACATAGAAAGAGGCAGGGACGTGAACACTAAAGTTGTTTTTTTTTTTCCAACTTTTTAATGACTTCGCACAAAAAAGAGAGAATTCAAGTTTGGTTAGTGAATTTGGATGGAATGAGGTTTAACAGACAACTTAAGACTGTTACAGGATGATTGTGCAAGTAACACTAACATCCTAACAAATAAGCCTCGGTAATCTCGTCCTCCTTTCCAGCATGCCAGCAGTGATGTGCTCTATTTTTCCTGTTTTCTTCCAAGCTGCTTGCTCCTTGGGTTGGTATTGCTGTATCACCAGGACCAAGTGGTTTACCTCCTAGACATTCTGTAATCTGTGATCTGAAGCAGGAGATGGGCTCAAACCTGTCTGATTGATGAGTCATAAGTGCTTCCACCTAATTCCAGCAATATACAAAGGCATTATTTGCATCACATTTTGTACCATTATTTGTGAAATGCCTACTTTTACAACTGATTGTGATGATTGGGGTCTTAAAGTTTCTTAAATTCCAAATAGAAAAAACTGATTCTGCCTATCTTAATGTCAAGGGGAATTTGTTGGAAGATTTTGGAGTCTCCTAGGGAATCAAAAGGGAAGCAAAAGGGCCAAATAGTGAAAGACCAGGAGCCCAGGTGCCTGTTCTGGGGTCTAAGCAGCTTGGCTAGGACCTCCTCCTAGGGTCCAGCCCGCTCCAAAGACTTCTAGCCCTGTCTCTCAAGAACAAATGTCACAAATCCAGGGCAAGACATTGATTGGCCCAGACTGGGTCAGCAGTCCACCTCTAGACCCATCAGCTGTGGCTAGGGCAGGAGCGGATCTAGGTTTTATGGGGACCGAAACTCATACAATTTGGAGAGCCCCCCCTTGAAATAACTAAGACGTCTGTCTTACACTGTACAAATACAATGCCCGCAGCACTCCAAAGAAATCAGGACAGAAGAAATCACAAATACAAAGTGCCTACAGCCACTCTCAAGAGAGGAAGTGAGACAGAAGAAAAATTGAAGTGGGAAGAAGACCCTGTGCTCTTAAATTATTGTGGTTGAAGAGGTGGATTATTCTCTTTGCAATTCTTATAAAAACATTTGGCCATGTGAACACATTTTTAGGGTCTCTCCTAAGACTTTGGAAGGAACTCATGCACTGAGCGGGGCTGAAACTTTTTTTTTTTTTTTTTTTTGAGATGGAGTCTCGCTCTTTCACCCAGGCTGAAGTGCAGTGGTACAATCTTGGGTCACTGCAACCTCTCTCTCCTAGTTCAAGAGATTCTCCTGCCTCAGCCTCCTGAGTAGCTGGGACTACAGGCCCACCCTACCGCGCCTAGCTATTTTTGTCTTTTTAGTAGAAACTGGGTTTCACCATGTTGGCCAGGCTGGTCTCGAACTCCTGGCCTCCAGTGATCCGTCTGCTTCAGCCTCCCAAACTGCTGTAATTACAAGTGTGAGTCACCGCACCTGGCCAGGGGCACTAAAACTTAAGCATCATTCATTTCATGGAAGGAGCAAAGTCTTTTTTTCCTTCTTTTTTTTTTTTTATTTAAGGATAAGAACCCTCATGGTAACTATAGGAAGAGAGCAATTCTTCAAAAAAGGGAGAGGCTGGAAAGACAGAATAACAGCGGACCACTGTCTTATCCTGCACCTGCTGCTATAACAAAATACCTTAGACTAGGTAATTTATAAACAACAGAAATTTGTTTCTCACAGTTCTGGAGGCTGGAAGTCCAAGATCTAGTCATCAGCAGACTCAGTGTCTGGTGAGGGCTGCCCTCTGCTTCAGAGATGGCAACTTCTTGCTGCATGCTCACATGGCAGGAGGAACAAATCCTATGTCCTCACGTAGTGGGAGGGGCAGTGGGACTAGGGCACTCCCGTCAACCTTTTATAAGGGTACTAATCCCATTTATGAGGGCAGAGCCCTAGTGACTTAATCACTTCCAAAAAGGCCCTACTTTTTAAATTTTATTTTTATTTTTTATTTTTGAGACAGGGTCTTGCTCTGTTACCCAGGCTAGAGTGCAGTGGTGTGATCATAGCTCACTGCATCCTCAACCACCTAGGCTCAAGCAATCCTCCATCCTCAGCCTCCCAAGTAGCTGGGGCTACAGATGCACACCACCACACTCAGCTAATATTTCTATTTTTTGTAGAGATGACATCTCGTTATGTTGCCCTGGCTCGTCTTGAACTTGTGAGCTCAAGTGATCCTCCCACTTCAGCCTTCTAAAATGTTGGGATTACAGGTGTGAGCCACCGTGCTTGGCCGAGGACATGTTCATGTCAAAGTCAAAGTTCTTTTTGCTCCATCGTGCTACCCAGCTTACAATTTTGGACTTACAATTTTTGTGAGGATTTATGAACAGTCATTTAATCAGTACATGAGACTAGGTCTTCTTCATAATTTCAATCAAATTATTTAATTAATGACCAAATAACTATTTTTTTTTTAAGTCAAGGAAGAAAAGAACGGCCTTGCCTTTTGGAGAAGCAAAGAGTCCAGAAGTCTGAAAGAATCTCCTCTCAGGTGAGATTGTTGTTTGGAGTATGTGTTTAACTTGCTAACCAAAACATTTTTACATTGTAACTTGTTTTTCTTAATTTTTTTTCTCTACTAATGGCTTTGGACTGAGTTCTATTAATCTTACATATGCAATAAGGAAGAAAGTATTTTTGAGAGAACTTTTTCTCAATTCAAATCAGTTAAATAGTATAGTTTTTCTAATTTTCTATATATTACTGAACATATAGATGTCACAATATAGATAAATAATTCATTAAAATTAAATTCAAAGACATCTGTTGAGCTCTGGTTCTGTGTAGGGCACTATGTTAGGCCCTATGATGGATACAAAGATGAGTACTCATAAATTCTGTCCTTGAGAAGCTGATTCTAACTAAGATATACAGCATTTGCACAAATTAAGAAAATACATAGTCCACATGCTAAGTGTCCTGAATGAGTCTGAGCAATTTTCAAAGAGATTTAAAGAGGGGACAGATGATATTCAGTTGTGGGGAGAAGTCAAGATGCCTGGTGACAGTTGGTAAAGGAATAGGGCGCCTGGAGATGGGGACACTGCAGTTGGAGGAATAGTGGGAGAGGAGATCCAGGCAGAAAAGAAATGGAACATGTGTTAGTTAGCCCCATGGGATTGAAAATAGGACCTGAAAGTGAAATGGATCCTACACTTTGGAGGGTCTTAAAAGTCCAGATGAAGACTTTACATTTCATTTCACAGGATATGAAAAAACTATGGAAAGTTTTGGCCATGAGAATGATATAGAAACCATTACAACAGGTGCTGGAGAGGATGTGGAGAAATAGGAACACTTTTACACTGTTGGTGGAACGTAAACTAGTTCAACCATTGTGGAAGTCAGTGTGGCGAGTCCTCAGGGATCTAGAACTGGAAATACCATTTGACCCAGCCATCCCATTACTGGGTATATACCCAAAGGACTACAAATCATGTTGCTATAAAGACACATGCACACGTATGTTTATTGCAGCATTATTCACGATAGCAAAGACTTGGAACCAACCCAAATGTCCAACAATGATAGACTGGATTAAGAAAATGTGGCACATATACACCATGGAATACTATGCAGCCATAAAAAATGATGAGTTCATGTCCTTTATAGGGACATGGATGAAATTGGAAATCATCATTCTCAGTAAACTATCACAAGAACAAAAAACCAAACACGGCATATTCTCACTCATAGGTGGGAATTGAACAATGAGATCACATGGACACAGGAAGGGGAACATCACACTCTGGGGACTGTTGTGGGGTGGGGGGAGGGGGGAGGGATAGCATTGGGAGATATACCTAATGCTAGATGACGAGTTAGTGGGTGCAGCGCACCAGCATGGCACATGTATACATATGTAACTAACCTGCACAATGTGCACATGTACCCTAAAACTTAAAGTGTAATAATAAAAAATAAATAAATAAATAAATAAATAAATAAATAAATAAACCATTACTACAGAAAAATAATCCGACGATTGTGCTTAAAATGGATTGAAGTAGGGAAAGACCTGAGATTGGTGGAAAGTCATTAGAATGTGAACTGGGGTAGTGATAGCAAAAATAAAGAAAAAGGGACGGATGGAAGAGATATTTCATAGGCAGAATCCACAATACTAACATTTAATTGAAATAGGAGAGCTGGAAAGAGAAACTACGTGGTTTCCAGCTGGGGTGACTGAATAGCGATGCCCTTCAAACAAATAAGGATGTCAGAAGGGATCACGCTCAAGTACTGGTTTAAATAGGTTAAGCTTGAGGTTCTAGTGGGCTTATCTGGTGTATAAGTTCATCTGACAGTTGAAATTTCAGTCTGGAAGGTGGGAAAGAAGTCTGGGTAAATTTAAAAAGGAGAAAAAGGAGTTTCTTTTTTTTTTTTGAGACTGAGTCTCGCTCTGTCACCCAGGCTGGGGTGCAGTGGTGTGATCTCTGCTCACTGCAACCTCTGCCTCCCAGGTTCAAGCGACTTTCCTGCTTCAGCTTCCTGAGTAGCTGGGATCACAGGTGCCCACCACCACGCCTGTCTAATTTTTTGTATTTTTAGTAGAGATGGGGTTTTGCCATGTTGACCGGGCTGATCTCAAACTCTTGACCTCAAGTGATCTGCTCACCTCAGCCTCCCAGTGTTGGGATTACAGTCGTGAGCCACTGCACCTGGACAAAAAAAAAAGTTGTTTCTTAAGTTGCATAAGTTAAAGTGTGATACTATATATATATATATATATATATATATATATTTTTTTTTTTTTTTTTTTTTTTTTTTTGAGATGGAGTCTTGCACTGTCGCCCAGGCTGGAGTGCAGTGGCTCGATTTTGGCTCACTGCAACCTCCGCCTGCTGGGTTCAAGTGATTCTCCTGCCTCAGCCTCCCGAGTAGCTGGGATTACAGGCGCCCGCCACCATGTCCAGCTAATTTTTTGTATTTTAAGTAGAGATGGAGTTTCACCATGTTGGCCAGGCAGGTCTCGAACTCCTGACC
The DNA here is from genome assembly GCF_000001405.40 of Homo sapiens. Taxonomy (NCBI): domain Eukaryota; kingdom Metazoa; phylum Chordata; class Mammalia; order Primates; family Hominidae; genus Homo; species Homo sapiens. The sequence continues at coordinate 64,328,464 of NC_000012.12, read as the reverse complement.
TCATGATTTGTCTGCCTCGGCCTCCCAAAGTGCTTGGATTACAGGCATGAGCCACTGTGCCTGGCCAAAGTGTGATACTGTTACACACTTTCTCTATTTAGATATTAGAAGGAAGAGGGGAGTGTAGGATTCTGGGAGCTGCCACTCAAGGGATATAGAGGCATAGGGAAAATTAATATGAATTGGATCCTAGAAAGACAGGTCATAGCAAGGGGAAATATCCAGATTAGAAAAGCATTGCAAAATGCTGTTCGGAAAAAGTGAAATCCTAACTGGGGATATTCACAAACCCATGGTGGCCCATGCTGTGTTGCTTAGCTTGCTGGGGAGGGGCCTTTTCTCACTGCACTTTCTGTCATTCTCACCCTCTCTCACAGTTTGAACAAGAGGACCTATGAGGTCTCTTCCAAACCTAAATTTCATTATTATTATAACTTTCTTTCTTGCCAAAAAAAAAATGGCTTAGGAAGTTTATTTTTCCTAAACACATTACCAACTTGCTTTGTAGAATTTTAACCTTAAGGCCAATTATTCTGGATAAGAAAATTGTTGGACAATGGCTGCAGTACCTAATATTCTTAAAGGTGCTTAAGTAAGTTCAAGGTTAAGGAGTTCATGTGTTCCTGTCAGAGTTCTCAAGGCTTTGGAGGTTTTGATTACATTTGAAGCCAAACATCAAAAAAACTAAGACAGAATTGTCTAATGTGTTCTATTTAGCATGGCAAACCATAGCTTAAAATGCGCATTGAGACCCCTTTAAAATGCTGGCATTGGAGAAGGAACCAACAGCCTGTGTAGCTAAATTCCTTTCACCAGATTTCTCAAGGGGTGCTACTGGCATTTGTGTGGTACCATTTGTACTTGTGCAGAATGGGGCCACACATTGTGAAACTTCATCTTCCCTGGCTTTTGTCCACTAAGTGCCAATAATGCTCCCCATTTATTGTGGCAACTAAGAAACACCACTACACATTTTCTTTTTTAAAAATTTTATTTTATTTATGTTTAGTTCTGAGATACATATGCAGGACGTGCAGATTTGTTACATAGGTAAATATGAGCCATGGTTACCATGCATTTTCATGGAACTATCCTGGCTACTTCCAGCTCTCAACACACTTGTCAAATGGTCAAGATTTGTTTCCATTTCTCCCATTCTGTGCTCTTTCTCCCTTCTCTGTGCTGTCCTCTCTCTAGCCTTCCCTGGTATCTCAGTCTGTTTTCTGTTGCATATCACAGAATACCTGAAACTGGCTAATTTATAAGGAAAAAAATGTATTTCTTATAGTTATGGAGGCTGAGAAGGCCAAGGTCAAGGAGTTGTATCTGCTGAGAGCGTTCTTGCTGGTGGGGACACTCAGCGGAGTTCCTAGGCTGTGCAGGACATCACATGGCAAGAGCACTGGGCATGCAAGCTCAAGTCTGTCTTCCTCTTCTTATAAAGCCAGTTCCATTCCCATGATAACACATTAACATATTAACCCACTTATCCATGAATTGATTAATCCATTTATGAGGGCAGAGCCCTCACTACCCAGTCACCTCTTAAAGGTCTCACCACTCAATACTGCCATACTGGGGATTAAATTTCAATGTAAGTTTTGGAGGGGACAAATATTCAAACCATACCACCTAGCAAGTATCCTTGTTCTTCCTCTAAATTTTATGTTTGGGTTTTTACTGATACCACATTGTGACAATTTCTTTCTTTCTTTTTTTTTTTTTGAGACAGAGTCTAGCTCCGTCGCCCAGGCTGGAGTGCAGTGGCTCAATCTTGGCTCACTGCAACCTCCGCCTCCTGGGTTCCCTAAGCGATTCTTCTGCCTTAGCCTCCTGAGTAACTGAGATTGCAGGTACCCGCCACCACACCCAGCTAATTTTTTTGTATTTTTAGTAGGGACGGGGTTTCACCATGTTTGTCAGGCTGGTCTCGAACTCCCAGTCTTGTAATCCACTCACCTCGGCTGGCGGTGGTCCCAAGTACTGGGATTATAGGCGTGAGCCACTGTGCCCAGAACATTGTGATAATTTAATAATACAGATTTAAAATGGTTATTCCTTTGGTGGGATTTCCATTTTAGCAGGCATGAAAGCCAGCAGCTCCAGGAAAGAAGTTCTATTTGTAGAATTTTGTTGTAACAGCTTTACTGAGGTATGATTGACACACAATAAACTGTGCATGTATGTTTTATCATATATATCTCCCCATGAAACCATTACCACAATCAGTATGTACCACCCCCCTCCTCTCTACCCTGTGCCCTGGAGACTTTTTCAAGGCAGTAAACTGGGACAATCATTAGGTCTCACCTTGATTATTTCCCATCTACCAGGGCTCATTGTCTTTTATTGCCTGGTGTCTAGTGTCTTGAAATCTATTTTTGCATATATTTTGTCCAATTTTTGGTTGTTTCAGGTAGAAGGGTATATATGGTCCCTATTACTCCATCTTGGCTAGAGGCAGAAAAAAACTAGTAGAATTTTAGGTTTATACCCATATATATAGAAGAGGATTTGGACTGGTGTTAGATCCTTCCTGGAGTCAGTGATGGTCCTGGAATTTCTATAAAAAAGATCTTTGGGGCAGCAATAGGGGAGATTAGGGAATTCATTTACCTAGACTGTATGTTTATGTGGGGTAGATTGAAACTCTTTTTTCCTTAGCAGGCACAGATACATTGTTTTTATGTGGCATAGATATTTATTTGTGGTGGCTCACTCAGGGGAAGACTATTGGAGATGCTAGGGAGGTGGGGTACTCAAGTCTCCCCTTCTTTTGGCTTCTGCCTTTGGGAGCCTGCTGTTTCAGGCCAACTCATCAATTTCAGTTCCACACTATATTAATGAAGATAATCCCGAAGCTCAGAAGGACCTAGATTATCAAAGATTCATGTATGTGTACTATTCTGCCTTTTACAAAAAGATAAAACCACACACTTTTAGAGAAGTCAATTGAATATGAGATCTCATTTTCCCCCAGTAGTCCTTCGGTGTAAAGTTAAATAGACTGTAGGGGCTTGAATTTACTTATCAGAAAGTTAGAATCTGGGACACTCATTGCTGCTGCTTCTTTTCTTCTTCTTCTTCTTCTTTTTTTTTTTTTAGACAGGGTCTTGCTCTGCTGCCTGGGCCAAGTACAGTGGTGTGATTATGGCTCACTAAAGCCTCGACCTCCTAGGTAGCTGGGATTACAGGCATGCCCAGCTCCACTGCTGCTGCTTAATGTGGTGTTACTGCTTTGAGATTAGTCTACACTCTTAACACATGCTGACTGGGCAATGTGAGGACTTAGCCTAGATCTTCTGGGGTGTGGAAATAAAGCTGACCTGGAATAATGGCAAAAGTCCATGTTTATTTCAATCTTGGTCATGTATAAGAATCTCCCAAGGGCTCGTGGAGAGTACAGACTCCTAGGCTCTACTCCAGGCTATGGAATCCTCAGCTTTAGGGACAGTGTTCAGTTGTCTGTTTTTGGTAGCTACCTAGATGATTCTGTTAGCTAGCTACCAAGGTTTGAGAATTGCTGGCCTAAATAATCTACAATGACATCAATCTTCCCCTGGATTATTGGAACTCCTGAGTTCATAATATGTCTCTAACTCACCCATCAACTTCTATCTCCACTGCCAAAACTCCACTATCACCTCTCATCACTTCTGCAACACCTCTACTACACTCTCCACCTCCATTCTCAGTACCTGTCTGCCTCTGCCTGAATCCATTATCCACCTTAAAGCCAAAATGATACTTTCCAAATGTCCCTTTCTTGCTTAAAACCTTTCAGTGGTATTCCATTGCACAGCAGATAAACCTTTTACCACGTCTAGACATCCCAGCAAGAACTGGCCGTTGCCTACCGCTCCAGCTTCACCTCTTACTTCTCTTGTTCATCTCAATAGTTGGAGCACTGCAAACTCTTTCCAGCTCAGACCTTTGAACTTCTTACCCCTCTTAACATTGCTTTTCACATGGCTCACTCTTTCTCATCCTTCAGATCTTAGCTTAAATGTCCTCATCCCAGAGAGTTCTTGCTTGATCACCTAGTTTGAAGTATGCCACCCGTCAACAAACACACACAAGTTTTCTTTATCAGACTGCTTTGTTGATTTCAATTGCACTTTTGTAAGTTATAACTACATGTTCATTGCTTATTGTCTGTCTTCCCACTAGAATGCAAGCTCCATGAGAGCTGGGACCTAGATATTCTTGTGCACTGATATATTTCTAGTGTTGGCCCAGTGCTTGGTACATACTAGGTGCTTAATATTTGTTGAATGAATAATCATATTCTTTACAACCTAGCCTGGCTTGCATAATATTGGCTTGTGGGAGTGTGATTTGCTCTAAATCCATGTAATAATAAACCATGTTTGGACAGAGTTTATGTATTTCCATTATTGCCCTGAAGAATGTGACTTATGAGCTTCTGCGGGGAGGGCTCTGCCTTGTAGCAGGGCACTGAGTGAAATTCTTAACATGGTCTTTGTAATTGGAAGGATTGAAGGAGGGGCAGTTCTAGGAATAGGCATCCACATGCTCCCATAGTCAAGTCTTCATTTCAGCATGTAATTCCCCACATTTCTGGGATACTTTGAGAGTTCCATTGTTTTCCTCCAATTTAGAAAAATAAAAGAGGTTTTTAGTTAATGTTTGCAGCTGGGCATGATGGCTCACGCCTGTAATACCAGCACTTTGGGAGGCCAAGGTGGGTAGATTGTTTGAGCCCAGGAGTTTAAGACCGGCCTGGGCAACATGGTGAAACCCCATCTCTTAAACAAACAAACAAAAAAGCAAAAATTAGCTGGGCTTGTGGCATGTCCCTCTAGTCCAAGCTACTCACACCACTGCATTCCAGCCTGGGTGACAGAGTAAGACCCTGTCTTGGCAAAAAAAAAAAAAGGAAATGTTTGCAGTAGTTGTTTTAGGTTACTGTGGAGGTTAAAACTCTGTTAAAAGTGACAGAAATGCATTTTAGGTTTAAAAAGGGAATTTATTGGAATTACTGCGTCAACTCATGAAATTCAGTATTCATTCAACAGATATATTTAGAAATGGAAATATATAAAGATATAGATACAGACAGAGATCTCTCTGTCAGTCTAATCTGGCATATTCGAATTGCTGGGCTCTGTGTTCTATTTTAAATGTATGAATACAATGGTGAGCAAACTCAGTAAAGCTTAGAAATGGAATCCTGGGAACGTAGGAATGGTAAGAACGGAATTTAGACACAGCTGGAACTGGGGGCTTGAGTGTCCCAGGACTCAGTCCCTGTCTCCTTCTCTGATGTTTGTGTGTCAATTGCATCTTCTCTCCCTGAACACCACATCCTCCATGGGGCAGCACACGAGTCACTGACTGTCTTAAATTCACATTTTACAGCTTCCACCACCAGACAAAGGCTAACTCACACACTTACTTGTATTGAATTTTTAAATCCTGAAGAAAGTCTCTGATTGCCCAGCTTGAATAAATGACACACTGCTGAAAAATATTCACCACAGCCGACAAATCAGGGTCTTTAAAAACATGGCAGCTTCTGTGTGCTCTGTTTGTAGAGGAGAGGAGTAGTTTCCAAAAAAAGGAGGGTGAAGAGGGAGCTGGGTCTACTGTCCCATAGTTTTTTAGCACTGTCATCTCCATAATTAAACATTTGAGTTAGAAGCCTAAACAAAAGGCAGGGTGGGATAGAAAACACTAAGTAGAGGACTAAAGGATGTTATCATGTACAGAGATTTGAAACACCTCCTAGGTGCCATGTTTTGGGCCTAATGATGAGAAGCTGCAGGCCACAAGAAGGATGTTGTTATCAGAAATGGGGCCTCGCTATATTGGCCAGGTTGGTCTTGAACTCCTGGGCCTCAAGTGATCCTTCCACCTCGGCCTCCCAAAGTGCTGGGATTACAGGCATGAGCCACCATGCCTGGCTCAACCAAAGACTTTAAGGCAACTGTTATAACCATGCTCTAAGAAGTAAGTATGAACCCCTTTGAAGCAAATGGAAAGACAGAAAGTCTCAGCAAGAAATAGAAGACATAAAAAAGGGACCAAATGGAAAGTTTAGAATGAAAAACATACTATAATAACTGAAATTTTAAAAATTCACTGAATGGCTCAATAGCTGGAATGGAGATGACAGAGGAAAGTCACTGAATTTGAAGATAGATGAATAGAAATTATCTAGTCCGAACAAAAGAGAATAAAGATTGAAGGAAAAGACAAACAGAATCTCAGGGTACTGTGTGGCAGTATAAAAAGATCTAGTATTCATGTCTTCAGAGTCTTAGAAGGAGAGGAGAAAAAGTATAGTGCAGAAAAATAGCCAGGCACAATGGCTCATGCCTGTAATCCTAGCACTTTGGGAGGCCTAGGCTAGAGGATCGCTTGAGCCCAGGAGTTCAAAACCAGCATGGGTAACATAGTGAGACTCTGTCTCTAAAAATAATAATAATAATAATAAATTAAATAAATGTAAAAAAAAATTAATGAAAAGAAAAAGTATTTGGAGGAATAATGACAGAAAATTCTCCAAATTTGGTAAAAGATATACACTTACAGGTTCAAGAATCTCAGTGAACCCCCAAAAAGATAAACTCAAAAAAATTCCACATCCAAACACATCATGATCAAACTGCTGAAAATAATAAAGGAAATTAAAAGATACTTAGAACTTAATGCCAATACATACCAAAGTGCATGCAACTGAGCTAAAGCAGACTTTAGAGGTCTGCTCTAAAGCTGTATTTACAGCTTTTACTGTATTCACCAAGAAATAAGAGAGTTTAAAAAAATAAATGAGTTAAACATTCCACTTAAGAAATTGTAGGCTGGGGCAGGGTGCAGTGGCTCACACCTGTAATCCCAGCACTTTGGGAGGCGGAGACAGGTGGATTGCTTGAACCCAGGAGTTTGAGACCAGCCCTGGCAACATAGTGAGACCCCATCTCTACAAAAAATTTTTAAGTTTGTAAAAATAAAAGAGAGATTTCAAGCTGGGAACAGTGGCTCATGCCTGTAACCCCAGCAATTTGGGAGACTGAGGCAGGAGGATCACTTGAGGGCAGGAGTTTAAGACCAGCCTGGGCAATGTAGTGAGACCCCCATCTCTACAAAACAAAGTAGTTTTCCACTATCGTGGAGGTTCTAATCTTATGGGAGAGAGAAGATAACTTAATGTAAAAGGATAAACTTCCCCTCAAAATTATTGAAATAAAAAAAAAGATAAACCATCAACTGAAGGCAATATAGGGTAATAGTAATAGCTTGCACATATTGTTTCCAGTTTTGCAAACTCATTGCATGTATCCTCACATAAACCTTATGAGATGGGTACTATTATTGTTTCTATTTTAAAATTAGGAAATGAAGTCCTAGGTCCACTAAGATGTCAAAAGACAAAATAAGCATAGATTTAGTTTTATTTGTGATTCTAGAAGTGGGAGAAGTGGTCTGAAAAGCTGAGCAGAGGAGGTTGACTTTATAGGCAGAGAAAGGCTGAAGTAAGCTGAAATGAGGCACAAATTGGATTGCTTGTTTCAAAGTTACTGTTCTTATAGGGTTAAAACAGAGGACACTACTTCATTATTGACTGAGGTTGAGTGGAATCTGTTCTTCTGGAAAACTGGTCAGTTTCCAAGTTCAGTTTGATTACTGGTACTAAGCACAAGGGACTCCCTTCTGTTTTGGTCCGTTCTGCTGGGGCCTCATGCAGGAGGCTAGTTGAAAACAATGGCCTCTCATCAACTTTGTTTAACAAAGGTCACATAACCATTAAGTGGCAGAGCCAGGATTGGAATTTAGGTCTCACCATACTCTGCAACTTCTTAGTTTCTCCAACTTGTTTTCTTGTGCAGCAAAGTAAAGAAAGGTCATGGTGAGCTGGAGAGAATAGGGAAAGTAAAGGACACAGCATTGATTCTGAAAAAAGTGCTGATGCTATTGGGAAAATCAGAAGAGTATTAGCAGGAGGGGAATTAAAGAAAACATCATTTAAAAAATCTCAGGCCAGGCACAATGGCACAGGCCTGTAATCCCAGCACTTTGGGAGGTGGAGGCAGAGGTGGGCAGATCATTTGAGCCCAGGAGTTTGAGACCAGCCTGGGCAACATAGTGAGTTCCCATTGTTACCGGGGTGTCCTTGCTCCCAGAGCTCCCAAGATGAAGGCAGGCCGCTTCCAAGATGGTGGCAAGCCTTGTGTTCTCTGACCTGGGGTTCTTGGCCTCATGGATTCCAAGGAATGGAATCTTGGGCTATGTGGTGAGTGTTATAGCTCTATTAGAAGCCGTGGGTCACGGAAGAGAACCGCGTAACCCAGTAACTAGTGTTCAGCTCCATTAGGACGAACCCGGGCACTTAGCTGTGCAGGAACAATGGCAAGCCTTTAGCCCGTTCGGGAGCGGCACTGGGCGTCTCACTGGATCAGGAGCACAGCGGACACCCTGCCGGATCCGGAGGGATGGAAGTCAGTGGCGGGTCTGCCAAGGCGGCAAACAGGAGTGGTGGACGGGGAGCGAAAGCTCAGCTCGAGCCGTAACAAACAGACAAAAAGACAGTGCAGTTGCAAGATTTAATAGAGTGAAAACAGAGCTCCCATAAAAGGGAGGGGACCCAAAGAGTGTAGCTGTTGCTGGCTCAAATGCCTGGGTTTATATCCCGATCATTGTCCCTCCCACTGTGCTCTCAGGCGATAGATGACTGGCTATTTCTTTACCTCCTGTTTTTGCCTAATTAGCATTTTAATGAGCTCTCTTTACTACTGATTGGTTGGGTGTGAGCTAAGTTGCAAGCCCCGTGTTTAAAGGTGGAAGTGGTCACCTTCCCAGCTAGGCTTAGGGATTCTTAGTCGGCCTAGGGAATCCAGCTAGTCCTGTGTCTCACCATCACTACAAAAAAATACAAAAATTAGCTGGGCATAGTGGCACATGCCTGTAGTCCCAGCTACTCAGGAGGCTGAGGTGGGAGGATCACTTGAGCCTGGGAGGTGGAGGTTACAGACAGCCCAGATGGCACCACTGTACTCCAACCTGGGTGACAGAGTGAGACCCGGTCTCAAACAAACAAACAAACAAAACCCCTCTCTTCATATCCTTATTTGAATTGTTTTTTCTTTATAGGATCCATTAGCAATGTACAATTAAAGGACAATCAAGTTTCAAAACTTAAAAAGTCCTTTCAGTGGAAATATCAGGGCTCCATGAAGGACAGGCACAATACTTTCAATATATACAGTGCTTCATTCTGTGAAATAAAATGTATTTCCGAAATACAGTTTATTTCTGAAAACAGAAACGTATACTAAAAGATTGCAGTATCAAATCTCCTCTAGTCAATGGGTTATTACCAGCGAGGTTCAATGACTTCCTTGTTTTAACAAGCATTCCTTTTGTGAGAAAACATTTGTGTTCAGTCTTAAACTACCGGTTCTCTTTGTTGCTTACTGTGAAATTTTGCATGTCATGTTTAATACTAAATTCTACCTGACAGGGACCAGCAGGAGAGCAGTACACCATCCAAGGACTCAACTCTCTGTCCTCGTCCAGGCCTCAAAAAGCTGTCCCTTCATGGCCAAGGTGCCTTTCGACCCCTACCTTCCCCCTCCAGGAGGAGCTCTCAGTCTGCACCAACAACTGGCAAGGCTGTCAGCGAGCCATCTTGCACAACAAACACAAAAGAACCCCAGGGACTTCCAGATCACAACTCCATAAGTGAAATTCCTTTCAAGTGCAATGGGAATGGAAATGAGTTTTACTTAGGAAATTCCCTCTTAGATTCCCCTTCACAGAGCAACTCAAATTTAGAGAAAAAGGAGTCAGAACTTCATTTGTATGTTATTTCCACAACCTCATCAATATTTCTGCACTTAAAAAGTTCATGGAACAATTATATTATAGTAAGTGTCCTCCTAAGTTAACCTTAACCTGAATTTTTATATTTTTATTTTTTAGAGCAAACAAGCCCTCCTCCCTCCTTTACCTCCCATTTTGGAAATTTAGCCTTGGAATTTAATAATATTGTGAAAAACAAAATGTACTGAACAATTAAGGAGATGATTTTATTTAGGCGATTGCAATAGGGAAAAATGCTCATTAATGAGCAGTTTCTGGACGGGCATGGTGGCTCATTCCTGTAATCCCAGCACTTTGGGAGGCCGAGGTGGATGGATCTCTTGAGGTCAGAAATTCGAGACCAGCCTGGCCAAGATGGTGAAACCCTTGTCGCTACTAAAAAATACAAAAATTAGCCGGATGTGGTGGTGCGCGCCGGTAATCCCAGCTATTTGGGAGGCTGAGGCATGAGAATCAATTAAACTCCAGAGGCGGAGTTTAATTGCAGTGAGCTGAGATTGCACCACTGCACTCCAGGGCGACAGAGGAAGACTCCATCTCAAAAAAACAAACAAAAATCACCTGGGGTTTTGTAGAGGTAGGTAAGGTGAGTCATGGAAGTCATGAAGAAGGAGGGAGACAAGTCTTATCCTGGAATATGTGTGAGCAGGTGGTCTTTTGCAGTTGCTGGGGTGACAGAGACCTCAGGTAAGGTTCAACGTTGTCAGTATGATTCTGTATTGCTTAGCTGTGCTATTGAAAGTGGGTTGATGGGGGAGACCTTGTTATAGGATCAGATAAATTTGTCTAGAAATCACTAGGTTAAGTCCTTATTTTATAAATGAAGAAACTGAAATGCAATCTTTTTTTTTTTCTTTTGAGATGGAGTTTCGCTCTTGTCACCCAGGCTGGAGCGCAGTGGTGTGATCTCGGCTCACTGAAACCTCTACCTCCTGGATTCAAGCAATTCTCCTGCCTCAGCCTCCTGAGTAGCTGGGATTACAGTTGCCCACCACCACGCCCGGCTAATTTTTGTATTTTTGGTAGAGACGGGGTTTTGCCATGTTGGGCAGGCTGGTCTCGAACTCCCGACCTCAGGTGATCCGCCCACCTCGGCCTCCCAAAGGCTGGGATTACAGGCGTGAGCCACCACGCCTGGCCGAAACACAAAATTTTTAAGTGATTTACTCAAGATTATATAACTTTAGGGACAGAGTCAGAACTCCCATTTAGGGACCTTTTTGTTAGAATTCATTTAAAAAATAAGTAATTATTAAAAGAGTAATACAATCCCTTTATCTTCAGTAGTACATAATTTTTATTATTGATCTTTCAACATAATAATAATAATTATAAAGGGCTATTTCAGATAGAAGAAACTAGGAAGCCAGGGTTTTATAAACGGCTAAAAATTATGAAAAATTACAGGACAACCCTTAATTTTTTTCTCATACCACTGTTTGGAAGACTTCAAACATTTAAAATTCCTTTCTAAATTTTTAAATGGCTTTCTTTAAATTAAAAATGTAAACAAATTACAAATAGAGGAAAGCTCTGGTGTATTAAAAAAAGATCTCATATATTCTAATAGAAAAGCCAAAACTTACCTGACTTTAAAAAATCTATGTGAATACTTCAAAATAACTGTTTATGCTTCCCTGAATTGCCCAGCTTCAGGTTTTAGCAATACTTTTAAATTATGCAGCAGATGCATGGTTGGAGCATTCAGATTGGCGGACTCATTACCTGCTAAGCTATAAATAGTCTATGCAATAACAATAACTAATATCTATTGTTAATTTCCTACTAGAAAATAACAATAGAACGGAGCCTGATGCTTCATGGATATTAACTTATTTAATTTTTACAACAACCCTATGAGGTAGGACTGTTATTCCCATTTTATAGATGAGGAAATTGAGGCACAGAGAAATTAAATGATATGTGCAAAGTCACATAGCTAGTGTAGAGCTGGGATTTGAATCTAGGTAGTCTGATTTTTTTTTCTATGACCATTGAAATAAATGTGGGTGGAGGAAGACTATCTTTATGAGTTGGTAGACACTATCATTGAAAATAACGTTCTCTTAGCCAGGTGTGGTGTAGTAGCACCTATAGTACTAGTTACTCCAGAGGCTGAGACAGCAGGATCGTTTGAGCCCAGGAGTTAGAAGCTCTGCTGCACACTACTGCACTCCATCCTGGGCAATAAGCAAGACTCCATCTCTAAAATAAAAAGTAAGGCCAGGCGTGGTGCCTCATGCCCATAATCCCAGCACTTTCGGAGGCTGAAGTGGGTGGATCACCTGAGCTCAGGAATTAGAGACCAGCCTGGACAACAGAGATGGGTGAAATCCCATCTCTACAAAAAATACAAAAAAATTAGCCAGGAACATGGCCTGCATGTACTCGGGAGGCTGAGATGAGGATTACTTAAGCCTGGGAGGCGGAGGTTGCAGTGAGCCAAGATTGTGCCACTTGCACTCCAGCCTGTGTAATACAGTGAGACTCTGTCTGAAAAAAAATATATAAAATAAAATTAAAAAAATAAATAAGTTTTAAAAATTACAATAATGTTCTATCTCTTCCTTGAAAGATGGAAAATGAATAACCAAATATTTCACACGTAAGTGAGAAATCGGGTTAGAATTCATTCTACTAACAATAAGCTACTAGTTCAATATAAACACTTTTTTTTTTTTTTTTTTGAGGTGGAGTTTCACTCTTGTTGCCCAGGCTGGCTTGCAATGGTGCGATCTTGGCTCACTGCAACCTCTGCCTCCCGGGTTCAATTGATTCTCCTGCCTCAGCCTCTCCAGTAGCTGGGATTACAAGCATGCGCCACCATCCTCTTCTAATTTTTGTATTTTAGTAGAGACAGGGTTTCGCCATGTTGGCCAGGCTGGTCTTGAACTCCTGACTTCAGGTGATCTGCCTGCCTCGGCCTCCCAAAGTGCTAGGATTACAGGGGTGAGCCACTGTGCCCGGCCACATTACACATTTTAACTTTCTCTGTACTTTTAGATAAAATTAACCCAAACCATCTAATTAGAAATTATCAGCACTCATCCTGATTTTAAGAGTTTCCAAAGAGTTGAGCCTCCTTCAGTAATCCATTTTATATGTAACTTTCACCAAAAATAGTTACACGTAGGTTGTTTAGCGCCTTAAATTCTGTAAAGATGAAATGTGGTAATTCCTTGCCTTGTATACATTGTGAAGATAGCTGCTACAAAGCTAAATATGGGATACCCCAAATTAAAATTCTGGATTTAAGGAAAATGTAAATATTTGGAGAGGGAAGAAAGGCTGCTTTAAAAAAAAAAAAAAAAACGTAGAACAATGACAAAAGTAGTAAGAAAAAGCACATATCTCCCTTGCCACCATCCACCCACTACACCACTCTGATATTAAGCACAAGACAGGTTGGGTGGCTGAGGCAGTTGGATCACCTGAGGTCAGGAGTTTGAGACCAGCCTGGACAACATGGTGAAACCCCGTCTCTACTAAAAATACAAAAATTGGCTGGCCGTGGTGGTGGGCGCCTGGAATCCCAGTTACTCAGGAAGCTGAGGCAGGAGAATTGCTTGAACCTGGGAGGCGGAGGTTGCAGTTAGCCAAGATCGTGCCACTGCACTCCAGCCTGGGCAACAAGAGCTAAACTCCGTCTCAAAAAAAAAAAAAAAAAAAAAAAAAAAAAAAGCTGGCCGGATGCGGTGGCTCACTCCTGTAATCCCAGCACTTTGGGAGGCCGAGGCGGGCGGATCAGGAGGTCAGGAGATCGAGATCTTCCTGGCTAACACGGTGAAACCCCGTCTCTACTAAAAAATAGAAAAAATTAGCCGGGCGTGGTGGCGGGCGCCTATAGTCCCAGCTACTCGGGAGACTGAGGCAGGAGAATCGCTTGAACCTGGGAGGCGGATGTTGCCGTGAGCCGAGATGGCGCTACTGCACTCCAGACTGACAGAGCGAGACTCCGTCTCAAAAAAAAAAAAAGCTTGTCTGCAGTGTCAAATCAACAACATTTGAGAAATTCCTTCTGACCTGTCTTAAGCCTCAACATAAATAAAAGATTATTTAGAGAAATTGCTGAACACTGTATGACTATTTTGAGGACCCAGAATAAATGAGAAATGGCAACACTAAAGGTTTAAGGAAAAATAACTCCATTAATAAGGAAATAGTTAACAAAAGTGTTGTGTATCTATGCTATGGAATACTAAATAATCATTAAAAGAATTGATATTGGTTGGATGCAGTGGCTTATGCCTGTAATCCTAGCACTTTGGGAGGTTCAGAGGGGAGGATCGCTTGAGGCCAGGAGTTCAAGACCAGCCTGGTCAACATAGCAAGACGCCATCTCTACTAAAAAATAAAAAGTAAAAAATTGGCCTGGCAAGGTAGAACATGTCTGTAGTCCTAGCTATTCAGGAGGCTGAGGCAGGAGGACTGCTTGAGCTCAGGAGTTTGAGGCTGCAGTGAGGTATGATCATGCCACTGTACTCCAACCTGGGTGACAGAGTGAGACCCTGTCTCATAAGAAAAAAAAAAAATTGAAGTAAATCGGTAAATCTTTTTTTTTTTTTTTTTTTTTTTGAGACAGAGTTTTGCTCTTGTTGCCCAGGCTGGAGTGCAATGGTGTGATCTTGGCTCACGGCAACCTCTGCCTCCCAGGTTCAAGCGATTCTCCTGCCTCAGCCTCCCGAGTAGCTGGGATTACAGGCATGTGCCACCATGCCTGGCTAATTTTTGTATTATTAGTAGAGATGGGGTTTCACCATGTTGACCAGGCTTGTCTCGAACTCCTGACCTCGTGATCCGCCCACCTTGGCCTCCCAAAATGCTGGAATTACAGGTGTGAGCCACTGGGCCGGGCTGTAAATCGGTAAATCTATATACACAGACATGAAAAACCATCCACCATATATTAAGTTAAATCAAGTTCCAGATTAATATATGCGATATAATTTAGGATTAAATATATATTATAAAAATATATAAATACTATAAATTTATGTGTTTATAATTCATATGTCTTTATATGCCTGGAAGGACCTAAACCAAACAGACGATAGATACTTTTAAAAATTTTAGACACAAGGTCTTGCTCTGTTGCCCAGGCTGGAGTGTAGTGGCACAATCATAGCTCACTGCAGCCTCCAACTCCTGGACTCTTTTGATCCACCTGCCTCAGCCTCCGAAGTAGCTGAGACTACAGGTACAAGCCATGGTACCTGGCTTCATGATCAGACACTTTGCATAGTGGGATGGAAGGGGTAGGGAAAAACAGAGAATTTTATATTTTACTTTATCTAAACTGTGTGATTTTGATAAATAATTTCTTTCTTTCTTTCTTTCTTTCTTTTTTTTTTTTTTTTGAGACAGAGTCTCGCTCTGTTGCAGAGGCTGGAATGCAGTGGTGTGATCTCTGCTCACTGCAAGCTCCGCCCCCCGGGTTCATGCCATTCTCCTGCCTCAGCCTCCCGAGTAGCTGGGACTACAGGCACCTGCCACCATGCCCGGCTAATTTTTTTTGTATTTTTAGTAGAGATGGGGTTTCACAGTGTTAGCCAGGATGGTCTCAATCTCCTGACCTTGTGATCTGCCTGCCTCGGCCTCCCAAAGTGCTGGGATTACAGGCATGAGCCACCGCACCCGGCCTAAATAATTTCATTTTATAATGAGCAAGTGTTATATTTAAAACTTTTTAAAAACTGGATAAGAAAAAAATTCCCTGTGGTATTATTAAACACTAGAATGAGTTTTATAAACAAATCGTGTACTATAGGAGGGCTTAAAGAATAGATACATAACATTGACTAAAGGTAGGGGGAATTGATCTTCAGTAAATAAAAATTCTAACAATTTCTACTTTTTCCTTTTTCAGAAAGCTACTCTTTTACAAGATCCCTTCTATGCTAGTGAGTTCAGTCCTGCTATTGGAAGTCAAAAGCCATATAGGTAAGAAGTGATGATGTATGATAGAGTTGCATGGGGAATTTTTCTCTCCTCTTTGCCTCTCCTTTTTTTTGAAACTGAGTCTCACTCTGTTTCCCAGGCTGGAGTGCAGTGGCACAGTCTTGGCTCACTGCAACCTCTACCTCCTGGGCTCAAGAGATTCTCCTGCCTCAGCCTCCTAAGTAGCTAGCACTCCAGGCGCCCGCCACCAAACCTGGCTAATTTTTGTATTTTTTAGTGGAGACAGGAGTTTCGCCATGTTGGCCAGGTCGGTTAGATTGGACTGACCTCAGGTGATCCTCCTGCCTTGGCCTCCCAAAGTGCTGGGATTGCATGTGCGAGCCACCGTGCCCGGCCCTCTTTGCCTCCCCTAACTCTGTGTTGTATGTGTGGCTATCACAGTTATACCTTTACCTCATCTGCCTGCCCTGACGGTTAAGTCTGCAAACACAGGTATCCACTGGACATCTTTTGTATGTCTCATAGGAACGTTAAAGTCAACATATTAAAAGAGAACTCAGCATCTTCCCTCTGCAACCTGACTTTCCTCTTGTGCTTCCTAACACAGGGAATGATGTCATTATCCCTAGATCACCTCAGCCAGAGTCCTAGAAATCACCCTTGCCTCCTCTCTCCCCTTCACCATTTCCAGCATCCAGCCAGTCATCACATGCCTTATTTATTGCGCCTTTACTATCTCTGGATAACATCCACTTCTTTCCATGGTCACTCGCTCATGCCCAGTTATCTCAGTTCTGAGCTCCTACAGTGTTTTCCTAGCTGGTCTCTCTGCCTTCACTCTTGCTCCTCTCCAGCCCATTCTCCATTACAACAGAAGAATCTTTCGGAAGCACAAATCTGATCATGTAATTCCTCCCGGGAAGCCTTTGAATGGCTTCCCATTGCCCTTAGGTGAAAGTCTAAACAGCGTACAAAAAATATGTATGACATCTCTTTTTATTTTTCTTTCCTCAAGCATTGTGTCCATCCTCACTCTTGCCCTAAGCTCCTGCTCCAAATGAACTTCTCACAATTCTCAGGAAGCTCCCTGTTCTCTTCCCTCTGGGGCCTATCATGATGGCCCCTCTTCTGGAACACTACTGTACTCTTCTTCCTCTTCCTGAATAACTTCAACTCATCAAGTCTCAGCTTATTTATCATTTTCTCTAAAAATCTTTCTTGACACTCCAGAACTAAGTTAGGAGGGGCTCCTCCATAACGTCCTGTGTTCACACTTTTTTTTTCTTTCTGTTTTTGTTTTTTTTTTTTGAGACAAAGTCTTGCTCTGTTGCCCAGGCTGTAATGCAGTGGAGCGATCTTGGCTCACTGTAACCTCTGCCTCCCAGGTTCAAGCAGTTCCCCTGCATCAGCCTCCCGAGTAGCCATGCCCGGCTAATTTTTTTATTTTTAGTAGAGACTGAGTTTCACCATGTTGGCCAGGCTGGTCTCGAACTCCTGACCTTGTGATCCTCTCCCCTCAGCCTCCCAAAGTGCTGGGATTACAGGCATGAGCCACCACGCCTGGCAATAGCAAAGACTTGGAACCAACCCAAATGTCCAACAATGATAGACTGGATTAAGAAAATGTGGCACATATACACCATGGAATACTATGCAGCCATAAAAAATGATGAGTTCATGTCCTTTGTAGGGACATGGATGAAGCTGGAAACCATCATTCTGAGCAAACTATTGCAGGGACGAGAAACCAAACACTACATGTTCTCACTCATAGGTGGGAATTGAACAATGAGAACACTTGGACACAGGAAGGGGGACATCATACACCAGGGCCTGTTGTGGGGTGGGGGAAGGGGGGAGGGATAGCATTAGGAAATATACCTAATGTAAACGACGAGTTAATGGGTGCAGCACACCAACATGGCACATGTATACATATGTAACAAACCTGCACGTTTGCACATGTACCCTAGAACTTAAAGTATAATAAAAAAAAATAAAGAAAGAAGAAGAAAAAAATAAGAAATGAGATGACTGAAACATAATGAATATATAAAAATTCAGAAGTGTATAATGATGCATGATAGAGAGAGGGCCCTCCCTCCCCACCTGCAAGGAAATAAAACACATGTAACATTAGAAAAAAATAGGGCACCAATTCATTACTCTGCAAATCATCAAACAAATGGAAAAAATTTAATATATTCTTCCTTTCCTCCATGAACCGTAACGAGTTCAGGATAACCAAGTAGCCCTAGATGATGAGTGCAAATTTCATTGTATAGAATTCCAGCTAGTGAATGCGGAAGGCTTAATAGAATTAGAAAATTACAATTTATGTAGCCTGTAATGAAATGACAGATTCATTTAACAATCTTCAGTGGATGAAACCATTAGACAGAGAGGTGAAGTGGGGCCAGGTATGGTGGCTCATGCCTGTAATCCCAGCACTTTGGGAGACCGAAGTGGGAGGATCGCTTGAGCCCAGGAGTTTGAGACCAGCCTAGGCAACATAGTGAGACCTCATCTCTACAAAAAAATTTAAAAATGCCAGGTGTGCCTGTGGTCCCAGCTACTTGAGAGGCTGAGGTAGGAGGATCACTTGAGCCTGGGAGGTGGAGGCTGTAATAAGCTGCGATTGCACCGCCGCACTCCAGCCTGAGTGACAGAGAGAGACCATTTCTAAAAGAAAAAGAGATTTAAAAAAAAAAGGTGAAGTGGAACTTTAAAATGGAGGGATCATGTTGTAAATAACTAAATCCATTGATTTGTCTTAGTATCACTTCAGTGAGACAGCCAGACTTTGTGTGCCTCATTATTTGATGTAATATAAAATACACAGCACCACCTATGAAGTATTTTTGTTAAAACGGTTAAACCTGAATCTGACTCAAAAGTGTGAGTATGATAAGCCGGGTGCAGTGGCTCACACCTATAATCCCAGCACTTTGGGAGGCCGAGGAGGGAGGATCACTTGAGGCCAGGAGTTTGAGACCAGCCTGGCCAATAGGGCGAAACCCTGTCTCTACTAAAGATACAAAAATTAGCCTGGTGTGGTGGCACATGCCTGTAATCCCAGCTACTTGGGAGGCTGAGGTATGAGAATCACTTGAACCTGGGAGGCAGAGGCTGCAGTGAGCTGAGATGGCACCACTGCACCACAGCCTGGGCAACAGAGTGAGACTCCATCTCAAAAACAAACAAACAAACAAACAAACAAACAAAAAAACAGTGTGAGTATGCTAGTCTTAAAAAGGAAGTAAATTCTGCTACTACCACATGGATGAACCTTGAAGACATCATGCTAAGTGAAATAAGCCAGATACAAAAGGGCAAATATATGATTTCACTTATGTGAGGTACCTAAAATAGGCAAATTTATAGAGACAGAAAATAGAATAGAGGTCTCCGGGGTTGGGGAGAGTGGTGAAGGGAGAGTTACTGTTTAATGGGTATAGAATTTCTGTTTGGAAAGATGAAAAAGTTCTGGAAATGGATAGTGGTGATACTTGTAGAACATTGTGAATTAACTTAATGCCACTGAATTGTACACCTAAAAATGGATATGATGGGAAACTTTGTTATATAATTTTAGTTCAATTTTTTTAAAAAGTATATATGTGTGTTTGTATGTGTATGTAAGAGAACAGATAAAACAAGATTGGCAAAATATTGAAAATTATTAGAGCAAGGTGATGGGTACATGGGATTTCTTCTTTCTTTCCTTCTTTCTTTTCTTTCTTTCTTTTCTTTCTTTCTTTCTTTCTTTCTTTCTTTCTTCTTTCTTTCTTTCTTTCTTTCTTTCTTTCTTTCTTTCTTTCTTTCTTTCTTCCTTTCTGTTTCTTTCTTTCTTTTCTTTCTTTCTTTCTTTTTTTTTTGAGATGGAGTCTTGCTCTGTTGCCCAAGGTGGAGTGTAATGGCACCATCTCGGCTCACTGCAACCTCCACCACCCGGGTTCAAGCAATTCTCCTGCCTTAGCCTCCTGAGTAGCCAGGATTACAGGCATGCACCACCACGCCCTGCTAATTTTTGTGTTTTTAATAGAGAAAGGGTTTCACCATGTTGGCCAGGCTGGTCTCGAATGACTGACCTCAGGTGATCTGCCTGCCTTGGCCTCCCACAGTGCTGGGATTACAGACATGAGCCACCGCCCAGCTGGGTACATGGGATTTCTTATAAAATTTTCTCCATTTTGATGTATGTTTGAAAATTTCCATAATAAAAAATTTTATTGCTTGATGATGTGATATAGAAAAAAATTTTTTGAAAGACTTAAGAAACATAACAAGCAAATATAAGAAATATCTTATTTAGTCTTGATTTTAACAAACCAAAACTAAGAAAACATTTTTATGTTTTATTTATGTATTTATGTATGTATGTATGTATGTATTTATTGATACAGGGTCTTCCACTATCGCTCAGGCTGTAGTACAGTGGCATGATCTTGGCTCACTGCAATTTCCACCTCCCAGGCTCGAGCAATTCTCATGCCTCAGCCTGCTGAGTAGCTGGGACTACAGATGTGCACCAGCATGCCTGGCTAATTTTGTGTAGTTTTTTAGTAGAGACTGGGTTTTGCCATGTTGCCCAGGCTGGTCTCGAAATCCTAAGCTCAGGCAATCCACCTGCCTGGGCCTCCTAAAGTGCTAGGATTACAGGCACGAGCCACCGCGCCCAGCCGTTTATATTTTATTTACTTTTGAGAGAGGGTCTTACTCTGTCACCAAGGCTGGAGTGAAGTGGCTTGATCACAGCTCACTGCAGCCTCGACCTCCTGGGCTCAAGCAATCCTTCCACCTCAGCCTCCTGAGTAGCTGGGACTACAGGTGCACACTACCATGGCTGGCTAATTAATTAATTAATTTATTTATTTATTTATTGAGATGGGGTCTGGTTATATTGCCCAGGCTGGTCTGGAACTCCTGGGTTTAAACAATCCTCCCACCTTGGCCTCCCAAAGTGCTGGGATTTGCACCCCTGGGCCACCACGCCCAGCTGTAAAAACACATTTTTAAGTCAGTAGAACAATTTGAAAATGGTCTGAGTCTGGCCGGGCGAGGTGGCTCACGCCTGTAATCCCAGCACTTTGGGAGGCTGAGGCGGGCAGATCGTTTGAGGTCAGGAGTTCAAGACCAGCCTGGCCAACATGGTGAAACCCTGTCTCTACAAAAATACAAAAATTAGACAGGCATGGTGGTGTGTGCCTGTAATCCCAGCTACTTGGGAGGCTGAGGTAGGAGAATTGCTTGAACCTGGGAGGTAGAAGTTGCAGTGAGCCGAGATTGTGCCACGGCACTCCAGCCTGGGTGACAGAGCAAGACTCCGTCTCAAAAAAAAAAAAAAAAAAAGGACTGACTATCAGCAATACCAAAGAATGTTTGATAATTTTGTAGGGTGTGATAATCATTTTGTAAGAAAGTATTCATTTTATTTAGAGATACATTCT
Organism: Homo sapiens; assembly: GCF_000001405.40. Classification (NCBI taxonomy): domain Eukaryota; kingdom Metazoa; phylum Chordata; class Mammalia; order Primates; family Hominidae; genus Homo; species Homo sapiens. The sequence goes on along the minus strand of NC_000012.12, from coordinate 64,307,270 downwards.
GAGGTATGTAAGAATTAAGTGACATAATATTTAGGATTTCTTTTTTAAAAAGTTATATGGATAGCTTAAAATTTCTATAGGTTTTCATACGTTTACTCTAAAAAAAGCATCAGTTTTCATTTTGGTATTTTATTTAAAGTGATTTTAAAGCTAATTGTGTAATAAAACAGACTCAAATTCTGTGTGTGTGTGGCTTGAAATTTATTCCTGAAGGCAAGAAGGATGAGTTCTACCACTCTCTCGGCTCAGGAAAATCATATTTATTACTAAGTTAATTCCTGAAGGCAATATACTTAAAATGCCATGATTTCAAATGCACTGTGAAAGATGCAGTGATACACAAGAAATAGCCCCTACCTGCAAGGCATCTTCAGTTTAAAAGGAATAAACATCCTTTAGGTTTTCAATTTAGAACTGTGTCACAGATGGGATGGTTCTGCAAGCTGACCACTGTGAAAATCATACACAGTGCTTTTGAGATAATATAGGAAGAGCCTTTCCAGTGCTTTACAAATGTGAGGTATTATTTATAGTAAATGTCTGGAAAGATGAAAAAATACAGGAAAAATAAAGCTTGTTATTAGATTAAGAATCTTTCCTGCGGCTGGGAGTAGTGGCTCACGCCTGTAATCTCAGCACTTTCAGAGGCTGAGGTGGGCGGATTACTTGAGGTCAGGAGTTTGAGACCAGCCTGAGCAACAGGGCAAAACTTTGTCTCTACTAAAAGTACAAAAATTAACCGGGTGTGGTGGTACGCACTTGTAGTCCCAGCTACTCTCAGGAGGCACAAGAATCGCTTGAACCCAGCCTGGGTGACAGAAGAAGACTCTGTCTAAAAAAAAAAAAAAAAACAAAACCTTCCTGCAACACTATTTTGCTGAATTTATGTTTTCTACTTGATGAAAATAGAGTATCTGTTAACATTAGTATAGATTTTCCTCTTATTCCTAAGTTGAATAATGGAGTCTCCTGGCATTTGGCTTTTTCTTATTTCTTCAGTCAAATGAAGTTTGTCATCTATGTATAAGCTAATATTTTCTGAATCCTCAAAGAAATTATTATTCATAACTTTTCTGCAGTAATATAGAATATGTACTCTAACTTGAATTTATGATGTATATGAGACCTCCATTTATGTATGAATTGATTTTTAGTCTGAAGAGATTAGTATGCTGTTTTCTGTGAAAATTTTTTTGGCCATTAAAAAAAATTAGTTTGGCATTACAATCTATTATCCTAGTTGGCAAAGGATTAAAAACAGTTTATTTTTGTTGCGGATCTTAGCAAATTGCTGACTCCAAATGAAAAAACAGGAAAATCAATTTCAAAATAATTCTGCTGATATTGTATCTTATCTGAGCTTTTGCTTTTCTAAGCTCTTTTGTTTGTAAAAACTACATTTCTGTTGTTGGAGTTCTCAGAGAATAGAGGGATTTCATAGTTACTTTTTAAATGAAATATGGTGGTAATTAGAAGTGGATAGGGAAGCAGGATCTCAAACTTATTCCTGTTTTATTTAGAGACCGTTTATCAAACACTTAGTGTGTATGAAGACATGCATTAACTAAAATATCAAAATAGCACATTTGGCCGGGCGTAGTGGCTCACGCCTGTAATCCCAGCACTTTGGGAGGCAGAGGTGGGTGGATTACCTGAGGTAAGGAGTTTGAGACCAGCCCAGCCAACATGGTGAAACCTCATCTCTACTAAAAATACAAAAAATTAGCTGGGTATGGTGGTGCTCGCCTGTAATCCCAGCTACCCAGGAGACTGAGGCAGGAGAATAGCTTGAACTCAGGAGGCGGAGGTTGCGGTGAGCCAAGATCACGCCACTGCACTCCAGCCTGGGTGACAGAGTGAGACACTATCTCAAAACAAACAAACAAACAAACAAAAAACCCAGCACATTTGGATAGGTACTATCATTATTCCTATTTTACACATGAGGAAATTGAAGCACAAAGAAGCTATGTAACTTGCCCATGATAATGACCTAACTGAGTAGGGGTAGATCTAGGATTCTGACCTCAGTCTTCATTTTCATAATCATTATGCTCCTCTGCCTCTCTGCTATTATTGAATTCATAATGATCAGTTTCCCTCCAGCATCTCCGCTAGAAAAGAGACCATTTTTTTTTCAGAAGTCTTAATTTTCAGGTTAATAAGAGCGACTCATTGATTGGACAAAGGAGAACATCTTAGATGTTTTTTAAATAAAGGGGGAGGTAGTAGGCAAGTACCAACATTCCATGCAGTAGCTAGTATTGGGATAAACGGCTGGTACAGGTTACTGGAGTAAGTGGTAAAAAATGTTTTTACTTCAAGTCAGAAATTTTAAGATTCCATCAATCTACATAGAACATGAACTATCTTTCCTACTGTTACCTTGCACCCTGGCTCTCTGAATCACTGGTTGTGTGAGCTTGGACAGGTTACTTAAACCCCCCCACAACTTCCTGTAAAATGCGTTAGTAATTCCCAGCTCGGTCCCCACAGTGGAGCCAGCTCAGTCCAAGAACGAGTCTACGGAAAGCACTCAGGCCAGAGCCGGCCACCTCGTCAGCGCCCAGTAAAGCGCAAGTTGTTATTACTGAGCACAGTGGGAGGGGGAAACAATATTTAACCCGGTGACATTTTTTCCAAGTTGCTAAAAGTCAGCTGAGGGGATAGGATAGGTACACGAGTAACTAACTACAATGAGTGAAATGGGATTAATGTGATACTAGGAGTGTGAAAAAACTGCAGTGGGAGAGGGGCTGCATTTGTTGGTGGAATTAGGGAAAGATCTGAGGAGGTTTTTCTGCTAAGCCAGCTTTTCCTTAGGTGTGGAAGACACGTGGTTCAGTAATGGGAGATGATTCCAGGTGGTACTCTGACATGGCATGAAACAACTTTGAATTCCATGGTGGAAATATGTGATTCCTTTTTCCAGCTAGGCTGATCTCATCAGGGAGAACCTCTCAGCTTGGGGCCACTAGTGATAGTTCTTGAACACATGCTCATCTGCCCTTTCCTCACAGAGAAGCCAGCTACAGGCTCAGAAAATGCAGCATTTACTTAGAATTTATGTTGCTTTCATGCCATTTACACCAAGTGATACTGGTTTTCCCTGGAAAGTGACACAACATTTTCTTTATAAACTTCTTAAAAAAAAAAGCTAGTTGATTGAAAGAAAAATATTACATAAAGGCTCATGGATTATGGTAAATGAAAGAGGGACAGAAATTTACCAGGGACAGTGAGAGTATTCCTGGTATAGGAACAGCTTGAGTTAAGGGGCACGGGCAAAAAAGTATGTTTGGAGCGTAATAAACAGTTCAATTTGTGGGGAGCAAGTTTCACTACTGGTGAGTATTAAGGCTAGGAGAATAAAACTATATTAAAATCCCATTAGTAACAAAGTTTAACAAACCTGACAGTAATCATTGATATTCCTAAACTGCTATGTCTTACCATTTTTTTAAGTGGAAAATTTTCTTCTGTTTCTGTAGGTCTGAGGAGAAAATTAAGCACTTCAGTCAACTTAAATCTGAACTTTTTCTTAAAGACAATTCTTTGAGGAGGATACTTTCTTTACTTATGGAACTTAAAGTAGCAGCCCAGAAAAACTTCATTCTGAAAAGGCTTTTCTGGAAGGTAAGTGTTTTGTTTTATTTTTAATCTTTAAAGTTTGTGTTTCCTGTTTACCAAATACAAACATACATTAAAATATAAATAAGAGTTGTCTTGTATTCTGATGCTGTATTTTTAAATGTTGATAAAATTTAATGTAGTCATGTCTTAATGGTGGATACTTTGTGATGCAATCAGTAATGTATATGTGTGTGTGGAGGGGAGATGGGAAGAGAGGGGAGTGGTAGCAAAAAGTAGCTGCCATGCATTGGGTTGGCAGAGCCAACGGAGAGATGTTAGGAGGAACATTTTTGGCATACAAGATATATAGACAGTGAGATGGGAAAGTAGATTTTAAGAAGTTTTTGTTTATTTTTTATTTTTTTGAGACAGTCTTGCTCTTGTCGCCCAAGCTGGAGTGCAATGGCACGATCTCAGCTCACTGCAACCTCTGCCTCCCAGGTATAAGCCATTCTCTTACCTCAGCCTCCCAAGTAGCTGGGATTACAGGCGCCCACTACCACGCCCAGCTAATTTTTTGTGTTCTTAGTAGAGATGGGGTTTCACCATGTCGGCCAGGTTGGTCTTGAACTCCTGACCTCAGGTGATCCACCCGTCTTGGCCTCCCAAAATGCTGGAGTTACAGGTGTGAACCACCGCGCCCTGCCTGTTTGTTTATTTTTTAAATAGACACAGGGTCTCACTCTGTTGCCCAGTCTGGTCTCAAACTCCTGGGCTCAAGTGATCCTCCTGCCTTGGCTTCCTAAAGTGCTGTGATTACGGGCATGAGCCACTGTACATGGCTGATTTCAAGATGTTTTATTGTGCAGTTTCCCCTACTGTAAGAATATAATTCAAAAAAGTATTTTTGAGTATAAGACTGGTATTTTTAAAAATGTGAGTCCTGGGGAGGCAAGGCAACCTCATTCTCACTCAGTAAATTACAGACACCTCATTTTCATGTTCAGGTGAAAGTGTTAAGAAGCCCAGGGGAGTGACCTGGTGTGGTGCTAATGGTGGTGCTAATGAGGCCTCCATGAGAGAGCCCTGTCTAGGGCTGTGTTCATGTTGATTGCTATATATTTTATCCTAATTCTGGCATTGGTCACATAAGTAGCTGCCATCATTTTACTGAGCAATTGTAAAGCATGTGAACTCCCAACCATACAAGACAGTCCTGGCTATTTATTAGCTTCTAGGTCCTTGATATGTAGGGTGACCATTTTGGTTTGCCCAGATTAGGGTGACCAACTATTCCAGTTTTCCTGGGACTAAGGAAATTCCTGCAACATTGGAAAGCTAGAACAGTTCCAAGCAAATCAGTACGGTGAAGGCAGATTAGCTGTAGAGAATAATATGCCAAATGTCCCACAACATTGAGACATTGAGACTCAGGTAAGGATGATGTAGTGCTGCGTAGTCTAAAATGGTTGGTACTGGATGGATCCTGTGAGGAATACACCATCCAAGTTTTGACTCTAGAACTTCAGAAGATTGTGGAAAATATGACCAACCAAGTTGATTATGAAGATGAAATGGAATTCATGTGGAAAGGGTAAATAAATTAGGATTATCTTCTTCCCAAATAAACCTCTCCAGTCCACCCCACACACAGTATCAATTTAATCTACAACCCTGATTGTATGGGATTGCTTGTTCAAAAGTTTCTTGTGACTTTCCTTGCTAGTAAAGACTTTGGCTTCAACATTTAAGGCTCTCCACTAATCACAGACTTCAAATTTGGACAGGTATGGCCTTTATTTTAGTAGGCTGGGGTTATCAGGAAAGGGCTGTGTATTAGTCCATTCTCACACTGCTGTAAAAATGCTACCTGAGACTGGGTAATTTATAAAGAAAGAAGGTTTAGTTGACTTGTTCCTGGACCAAACCAAGGGTCGGGCTGCTTATTCTTTGGCCCAATAACGAGATACAGATGAACTGGGAAAGAAGGGAAAGGCCTGGAAATTATCGCCAGACCAATTCAAAATTACAAAGTTTTCCAGAGCTTATATACCTTCTAAGCTATATGTCTACATGTAAATGCATTCATCTAAAGACGTAAGTGATTAACTTCTTTTAATCTATAACTAAGATTAGATCAGGACCTAAGGAAGGTCCTGAAAACCTTCTTCTGGGGCCTCAGTAAATTTACTCAATCTAAATGGGTCCAGGTCCTGGGGTGATTACCCTTATCTTGCCTCCTGCTAAATCACGGAGGTTTGGGGAGTTCCTTCAGACTGCCAATAAACTTGTTTGTGGCGGCCTGAGGAGTTTCTTCAGACCCCCAGTAAAACTTGTTTAATTCTAAACAGGTCCTGTTAAGAATTCCTTCATTATCTTGTCATGCTTCAAGGCCCAGGAAAGGCCTAGGCAAAACTCTTGGTGGGTTTTTGTTACATCCCAGCCTTTGTGAAAGGACACTGGCTCTATCAGCTTTTAATATTTAACATAACCACTCAGTCAGTACCGGAACAGTTGTTATGGAGGCCTGTCTGTTCAGCTGTTATGAAGACCTGGCCTGCCACAGACTTACAGTTCCACATGGCTGGGAGGCCTCAGGAAACTTACAATCATGACAGAAGGCGAAGGGGAAGCAAGGCATGTCTTACATGGCAACAGGAGAGAGAGAGAGAATGTGCAGGGGAAACTGCCACTTTTAAACCATCAGATCTCATGAGGACTCCCTCACCATCGTGAAAACAGCATGCATGATCCAATCACCTCCCACCAGGACCCTCCCTCGACAGTGGGGATTACAATTCAAGATGAGATTTGGGTGGGAACACAGAACCAGAACATATCAGGCTACCATCTGGATAAGGTGGGCACTGGGAAAATGAATCCAGATGTAGATGCTCATGGAAAAGGCACAGTGCCCAAAGGTGAGAGTGATCTCTACATAAGAGTGAGCAAAATGAAATATCAGGATATTTTAGCATGTGGGTGAATTACAACTGGATGTCTGCACAAACATTTGGCACCAGGAAGATCTGCTTGTTTAGGGTGTGGGAACAGGGTTTTATGGAATGTGAGGACATAAAGATTGTCAAGAGTAAAGCCAGCAGTTAGGAGAGGACTGGGAAAGGACTTAGGACAGTGCTCAAAGGGGAAGTCCACCCAGATACACTGGACACAATCAGGGACTGGATTTAAAGTGCATGTCTAGGTAGGAGAACTGAAGTACCACTTAAGGGTTAGATTAAGAAGGATGTTGATGTGTATTCCTAATGGGATCAGCACCAGTGTTAGTCTGGAGGTCATTTAAGCATCTTCAGTTTAAAAACAGGCCTGATACCTGTGGCCTAGGCTGTGGAACAAAAAAAGAATGGAGAGAAAGAGAGTAAGGTTAGGATTCACAGACCTGACCCGCCACTTCATCTTCTCTCTCACCTCTGTCCTCTACAAGATCGAGCCATGTAGGATAACTTGGATACTTGTTCTCCTTAGCTCTCCTTTCTCCCTGCTGCTTGCTTTCTCTAGAATACTCTTCTTCTAATTTCTCTTGTTAAAAATCATACCCATTCATCAAGGCTCAGCTCAAATGCCATTTTCTGCCTTTCCTGTCATGCCTAATGGGGAACTTTAGTACCTTCCTCCTTTTGATCTTCTCTGTCAATTCCATGCCATAGAACTTTCTTTGAAGTTTTATAATCTGCATTGTTCAATACAGCAGACACTAGCCACATGTGGCTATTAAGCACTTGAATGTGACTAGTGACTAAAAAAGTAAAACGTTAATTTTATTAAATTTACATTAATTTAAATAGACACTTGTGGGCAGTAGCTACCGAGTTGAACAATGTAGTTCTATGACATCTTTCATAGCACTTCCTCTTTAACAATTAACAGACAGTTTTCATGCCTAATCTGTGTGAGGCTTGGTGATAGGTATTAGAAATATAGCATGATTATGATACAGTTTCTACCATCGAGAATTAGCACAGATATCCTCCCTTTTACTATAGTGATTGGCACATTTTTCTTATTTATCTTAATATGCTAAAAGCTTCTTTAGGACAAGTATATGTCTTACTTATCTTTGTATTCTCCCTCAGGCCAAAACACAATGCATGCATATTCCAGGTGCTGTAAGTTATTCATACTGAATTGCAAATCTGTTCTCTTGTGAAATATTAACCTAATCCAATGTCTAAAAATGAAGCTTTCATGATCTGTTTTATACTTGAAAACACTGCAGCCATTATTTAATATAATATTCTTACCTGGGCTAAAACAAATCTTCTAATTCAGTTATCAAAAATGAAAGGCCAAAGTGAATGGAGAAGGAAATAATTCAGATAGGAAAAGGGGAAGTCAAATTGTCTCTGTTCACAGATGACATGATTGTATATTTAGAAAACCTCACCGTCTCAGCCCAAATCTCCTTAAGCTTATCAAAGCAACTTCAGCAAAGTCTCAGGATACGAAATCAATGCACAAAAATCACAAGCATTCCTATACACCAATAACAGACAAACAGAGAGCCAAATCATGAGTGAACTCCCATTCACAATTGCTACTAAGAGAATAAAATACCTAGGAATACAACTTACAAGGAATGTGAAGGACCTCTTCAAGGAGAACTACAAACCACTGCTCAAGGAAATAAGGGAGGACACAAACAAATGGAAAAACATTTCATGCTCATGGATAGGAAGAATCAATATCGTGAAAATGGCCATAACTGCCCAAAGTAATTTATAGATTCAATGCTATCCCCATCAAGCTACCTATTGACTTTCTCCACAGAATTGGAAAGAACTGCTTTAAAGTTCATATGGAACCAAAAAAGAGCCCGCATAGCCAAGACAATCCTAAGCATAAAGAACAAAGCTGGAGGCATCACACTACCTGACTTCAAACTATACTACAAGGCTACAGTAACCAAAAGAGCATGGTACTGGTACCAAAACAGACATATAGACCAATGGAACAGAACAGAGCCCTCAGAAATAACACCACACATCTACAACCATCTGATCTTTGACAAACCTGACACAAACAAGCAATGGGGAAAGGATTCCCTATTTAATAAATGGTGCTGGGAAAACTGGCTAGCCATATGCAGAAAACTGAAACTGGACCCCTTCCTTACACCTTATACAAAAATTAACTCAAGGTGGATTAAAGACTTAAACATAAGACCTAAAACCATAAAAGTCCTAGAAGAAAACCTAGGCAATACCATTCAGGACACAGGCATGGGCAAAGACTTCATATCTAAAACATCAAAAGCAATGGCAACAAAAGCCAAAATTGACAAATGGGATCTAATTAAACTAAAGAGCTTCTGCACAGCAAAAGAAACTATCATCAGAGTGAACAGACAACCTACAGAACGAGAGAAAATTTTTGCAATCTATCCATCTGACAAAGGGCTAATATCCAGAATCTACAAAGGACGTAAACAAATTTACAAGCAAAAAACAACCCCATCAAAAAGTGGGCAAAGGATATGAACAGACACTTCTCAAAAGAAGACATTTATGCAGCCAACAAACATGAAAAAAAGCTCATCATCACTGGTCATTAGAGAAATGCAAATCAAAACCACAATGAGATACCATCTCATGCCAGTTAGAATGGTGATCATTAAAAAGTCAGGAAACAACAGATGCTGGAGAGGATGTGGAGAAATAGGAATGCTTTTACACTGTTGGTGGGAGTGTAAATTAGTTCAACCATTGTGGAAGGCAGTGTGGCGATTCCACAAGGACCTAGAACTAGAAATACCATTTAACTCAGCAATCCCATTAGTGGGTATATACCCAAAGGATTATAAATCACGTTGCTATAAAGACACATGCACATGTATGTTTATTGCAGCACTATTCACAATAGCAAAGACTTGGAACCAACCCAAATGTCCATCAGTGATAGACTGGATTAAGAAAATGTGGCACATATACACCATGGAATACTATGCAGCCATAAAAAGATGAGTTCATGTCCTTTGCAGGGACATGGATGAAGCTGGAAACCATCATTCTCAGCAAACTAACACAAGAACAGAAAACCAAACATGTTCTGCATGTTCTCATTCATAAGTGGGAGTTGAACAATGAGAACACATGGACACAGGGAGGGGAACATCACACATTGGGGCCTGTCGGCGGACGGGGGAATAGGGGAGGGATAGCATTAAAAGAAATACCTAATGTGGCTGACGGGTTGATGGGTGCAGCAAACCACCATGGCATGTGTATAACAAAACTGCACATTCTGCACATGTACCCCAGAAATTAAAGTATAATAAAAAAAAGAAAAAAAAGTAAATGGGTAGTCTCTCTATTTGTGGTCTCTCTACACTTCAGTGGAGTCCCCCTTGGCCCTATCCCCAACCATGCTATCAAACCCAGTAGCCTTATGTTCTTCTGTCTAATCCACAGCCAAAATCTATCCTCAGATTTATTTTCACAAAATTAGCATATATGACTAATAAAAGTCAACATCCTTTAAGATTTTTTTATTTAAATTGTTATCATAGCCTTAAGCTAAAGCAGTGGTTTTTCAACTTTATGCTATATTTCTTGGAAAACATACGTTCTGTGAAGCTCCCTTAGAAACCCATACTGGGGTGGAGAGATTAGGGCCATTGTCTTAGTCTGTTTTGTGTTGCTATAACAGAGTATCACAAACTTGGTAATTTATAAGAATATGAATGTACTTCTGACAGCTCTGGAGGCAGGGAAGTCCAGTATCAAGGTGCTGGCATCTTGTGAGGGTCTTCTTGTTGTGTCATCCCATGAGAAGGCAGAGGGCAAAAGAGCATGCAAAAAAAAAAAAAAGGGTGGAAGGGGGCCAAACTCATCTTTTTATCAGAAACCCACTCCCACAATAATGACATTAATCCATTTATGAGGTCAGGAGCCTCATGACCCAATCAACCTCTTAAAGGTCTCGCCTCTCAACACTGTTGCATTGGGGATTAGTTTCTAAAACATGAACTTTGGGGGACACATTCAGACTACAGCATTCTGCTCTTGGCCCCAAAAATTCATGTCTTTTTTACATACAAAATACATTTATTCCATCCCAATAGCTCCAAAAATCTTAATTCATTCCAGCATCAACTCATAAGTCCAAATTACCAATTGTCATCTAAATCAGGTATGGGTGACACTCAAGGCAGGATTCATCCTGAGGCAAATTCCTCTCCAGTTGTCAGCCTGTAAATCAAGACAGGTTATCTACTTACAAAATACAGTGATGGGATGTGTGGAGGATAGACATTCCCATTCCAAAAGGAAGATATAAGCAAGAGGAAAGGGCCAAGTAAGTCCAAAACCCAACAGGGAAAATAACAGTGTCTTAAAGCTGGAGAATAATCTTTCACTCTTTCACTTAAGAAATGTCTAAGAAGTTTCAGACTTTCCCTACAGCTGTCCTCTTTCTCTGAGCCCCCACCAGCATCACCTTTAATCCTCCAATTATTGCAATCTAGGCTTTTTCTAGGTTGCTCCTCCAAATTCTTCGAGCCTCTATCCGTTAACCAATTCCAAAGTCACTTCCACATTTTTAGGTATTCCTTATAGCAACAATTCCACTTCTGGTACCAAAATCTGTATTAGAATTCTCCAGAGAGACAGAACCACTCAGTTCTCCAACTCACATGCCAGTCTCCTCTGGAAATACCTTCACAGACATAACAGAAATAATGCTTTACCAGTTCTCTAGGTACTCCTAATTTAGCCAAGTTTACACCTAAAATTAACCATCACAGGCATCTCTAATTTTTGGTTCCTGTAATAGGATGGAAAATTATACACATATATAATGTACATATTATGGATATAAAAATTACAGATACGCTATAATATAGAGTGATATATATTATAGATATAAAAATATATATTATATATAGTTTTCTCCCTCCCTTTTAAAATGAACTTTATTGAGGCATACTTTTTTCTTTTAAGTGGTCTTTATTTTTTAATTTTCTTGAAGGTAAAATTTAAATTATGAGAATAGGTTTTCTTTTTTTTTTTGAGATGGAGTCTCACTCTGTCACCTACGCTGAAGTGCAGTGGCACCATCTCCGCTCACTGCAATCTCCGCCTCCTGGGCTCAAATAGCTGAGTAGCTGAGTACTTCCCAAGTAGCTGAGTACTTCCCAAGTAGCTGAGACTACAGGCAAATGCTACCATGCTGGGCTAATTTTTGTTTTTTTTGTAGGAAAGGGGTTTCACCATGTTGCCCAGGCTGGTCTTGGACTCAAGTGATCTGCCTGCCTCAGCCTCCCAAAGTGCTGGAATTACAGCTGTGAGATTACACAGGCTGAGAACACTTTTTCATAGATTGACTAAACTCCAAGTTTTAGAAGAACAGACACATGTCTGTCTGTTTCGCTCAACATGTTATCTCATTATCTAGCATACCTGCCACATAGCTGGCAATCAATAAGTATGCATTCAGTGAATGAATAAATGAGTAGATAAAATAGTTCTCTATGTTCTTTTTCTAGTTTAAATTTTTTCCACTGGCACGGTGGCTCATGCCTATAATCCCAGCACATTGGGAGGCCAAGGCGAGTGGCTCACCTGAGGTCAGGAGTTCAAGACCAGCCTGGCCAGCATGGTGAAACCCCATCTTTACTAAAAATACAAAAATTAGCCAGGCGTGGTGGCATGCACCTGTAATCCCAGACAGGAAATCGCTTGAAACCAGGATGTGGAGGTTGCAGTGAGCCAAGATCATGCCACTGCACTCCAGCCTGGGCGACAGAGCAAGACTCCATCTCAAAAAAAAAAAAAATTTTTTTTTCTTCATATGATTTTTTTTTCATTTTTAAAAATTGTGGCAAAATATACATAACACAAAATTTACTTCCTTAATCATTTTTAAGCATACATTTCAGTGGTATCAAGTTTATTCACAATCAGCCATCAAAACCATCATCTCCAGAACACTTTTCATCTTACAAAACTGAAACTCTCTACCCATTAAGCAACAACTTTCCATTTCTTTCCCCCATCCCACCCCTGCAACCCACAGCCCCTGGAAACCACCATTCTACTTTCTGTCTCTGATTTTGACTATTCTAAATACCTCATATAGTTGGAATGATATAGTACTTGTCTTTTTGTGACTGAGATTTCACCTAGCATAATGTTCTCAAGTTTAATCCATGTTGTAGCATGTATCACAATTTCCTTTTTTTTAAGGCTGGATAATATTCCATTGTATGTATATACCACATTTTCCTTATCTATTCATCTGTCAATGGGTTGCTTCCATGTTTTAGATGTTGTGAGTAATGCAGCTATGAACATTGGTATGCAAGATATCTCTTTAAGACGGTGCTTTCAATTCTTTTGGGTATATACTCAGAAATGGAATTGCTAGATTAGATGGTAATTCTATATTTAAAGTTTTGAGGAACCACCATACTGGTTTCCAGTGTCTGTGCTATTTTCTACTTCCACCAACAGTATATAAGGGTTTCGATTCCTCTATGTCCTTGCCAACACTTGCTATTTTGTGTTTTTTTTTTAATAGTAGCTATCCTAATGGGTGTGGGATAATATCTCATTGTACTTTTGAGTTGCATTTCCCTAGTGATTAGTGATGTTGAGCATTTTTCATGTGCTTATTGGCCATTCATCTATCTTCTTTGAAGAAATTATTGCAGTATAATTTACATGAAATAAAATGCACCCATATTTAAAGATACAGTTTGAAGAGTCTTGACAAATGTCTCTATTCATGTAACTATTAACACTACTTCAATCAAGATTTAGAGCGTCTCTGTCACTCCAGAATGTCACCTTGTGCCCTTTGGCCACCAGTTCTCTCACACTCCTGGCCTTGTGCAACTATCGATGTGCTTTCTGTCACTGTAGATTCATTTTGCCTCTCTTAGCACTGCACTTACATGGAATTCTGCACTAAGTACTCTTTTGCATTTGGCTTCTTTTGGCATAATATTTTTGAGATTCTTCCATGTTGTTTCAGGTAGATGCATGATATTTTATAAGTGAAAATTCATGAATCAGTGAGCAGATGGGAGGTCATAATAACAGTGATACTTATTAGACACTTGTTATGTGCTATGTGTTATGTGCTAAGCACTGTTGAAGCTTTATAAATACATACTATCTTATTTAAACTTACGTTTAAATCAACCCCATGAGGTGATATTATTAACCCATTTGAAAGACAAAGAAACTGAGCGACAGGGAGTATAAGTAATTTGCCAAATGTCACACAACTGCCCAGTGGTAGAGCTGGGATTTGAGCTCAAAGAATATAACTCCAGGGTCAGTTTGTAAAACTGCCACAGGGGAGGAGCCAAGATGGCCAAATAGGAACAGCTCCGGTCTACAGCTCCCAGCGTGAGCGACGCAGAAGACGGGTGATTTCTGCATTTCCATCTGAGGTACCGGGTTTCTCTCACTAGGGAGTGCCAGACAGTGGGCGCAGGCCAGTGGGTGCGCGCACCGTGCGCGAGCAGAAGCAGGGCGAGGGATTGCCTCACTTGGGAAGCGCGAGGGGTCAGGGAGTTCCCTTTCCGAGTCAAAGAAAGGGGTGACGGACGCACCTGGAAAATCGGGTCACTCCCACCCGAATACTGCGCTTTTCAGACCGGCTTAAAAAGCGGCGAACCATGAGATTATATCCCACACCTGGCTCGGAGGGTCCTACGCCCACGGAGTCTCGCTGATTGCTAGCACAGCAGTCTGAGATCAAACTGCAAGGCGGCAGCGAGGCTGGGGGAGGGGCGCCCGCCATTGCCCAGGCTTGCTTAGGTAAACAAAGCAGCCGGGAAGCTCCAACTGGGTGGAGCCCACCACAGCTCAAGGAGGCCTGCCTGCCTCTGTAGGCTCCACCTCTGGGGGCAGGGCACAGACAAACAAAAAGACAGCAGTAACCTCTGCAGACTTAAGTGTCCCTGTCTGACAGCTTTGAAGAGAGCAGTGGTTCTCCCAGCATGCAGCTGGAGATCTGAGAACGGGCAGACTGCCTCCTCAAGTGGGTCCCTGACCCCTGACCCCCGAGCAGCCTAACTGGGAGGCACCCCCCAGCAGGGGCAGACTGACACCTCACACGGCAGGGTATTCCAACAGACCTGCAGCTGAGGGTCCTGTCTGTTAGAAGGAAAACTAACAAACAGAAAGGACATCCACACCAAAAACCCATCTGTACATCACCATCATCAAAGACCAAAAGTAGATAAAACCACAAAGATGGGGAAAAAACAGAACAGAAAAACTGGAAACTCTAAAATGCAGAGCGCCTCTCCTCCTCCAAAGGAACGCAGTTCCTCACCAGCAACGGAACAAAGCTGGGTGGAGAATGACTTTGACGAGCTGAGAGAAGAAGGCTTCAGACGATCAAATTACTCTGAGCTATGGGAGGACATTCAAACCAAAGGCAAAGAAGTTGAAAACTTTGAAAAAAATTTAGAAGAATGTATAACTAGAATAACCAATACAGAGAAGTGCTTAAAGGAGCTGATGGAGCTGAAAACCAAGGCTCGAGAACTACGTGAAGAATGCAGAAGCCTCAGGAGCCGATGCAATCAACTGGAAGAAAGGGTATCAGCAATGGAAGATGAAATGAATGAAATGAAGTGAGAAGGGAAGGTTAGAGAAAAAAGAATAAAAAGAAATGAGCAAAGCCTCCAAGAAATATGGGACTATGTGAAAAGACCAAATCTACGTCTGATTGGTGTACCTGAAAGTGATGGGGAGAATGGAACCAAGTTGGAAAACACTCTGCAGGATATTATCCAGGAGAACTTCCCCAATCTAGCAAGGCAGGCCAACGTTCAGATTCAGGAAATACAGAGAACGCCACAAAGATACTCCTCGAGAAGAGCAACTCCAAGACACATAATTGTCAGATTCACCAAAGTTGAAATGAAGGAAAAAATGTTAAGGGCAGCCAGAGAGAAAGGTCGGGTTACCCTCAAAGGGAAGCCCATCAGACTAACAGCGGATCTCTCGGCAGAAACCCTACAAGCCAGAAGAGAGTGGGGGCCAATATTCAACATTCTTAAAGAAAAGAATTTTCAACCCAGAATTTCATATCCAGCCAAACTAAGCTTCATAAGTGAAGGAGAAATAAAATACTTCACAGACAAGCAAATGCTGAGAGATTTTGTCACCACTAGGCCTGCCCTAAAAGAGCTCCTGAAGGAAGCGCTAAACATGGAAAGGAACAACCGGTACCAGCCGCTGCAAAATCATGCCAAAATGTAAAGACCATCGAGACTAGGAAGAAACTGCATCAACTAACGAGCAAAATCACCAGCTAACATCATAATGACAGGATCAAATGCACACATAACAATATTAACTTTAAATGTAAATGGACTAAATTCTCCAATTAAAAGACACAGACTGGCAAATTGGATAAAGAGTCAAGACCCATCAGTGTGCTGTATTCAGGAAACCCATCTCACGTGCAGAGACACACATAGGCTCAAAATAAAAGGATGGAGGAAGATCTACCAAGCAAATGGAAAACAAAAAAAGGCAGGGGTTGCAATCCTAGTCTCTGATAAAACAGACTTTAAACCAACAAAGATCAAAAGAGACAAAGAAGGCCATTACATAATGGTAAAGGGATCAATTCAACAAGAAGAGCTAACTATCCTAAATATATATGCACCCAATACAGGAGCACCCAGATTCATAAAGCAAGTCCTGAGTGACCTACAAAGAGACTTAGACTCCCACGCATTAATAATGGGAGACTTTAACACCCCACTGTCAACATTAGACAGATCAACGAGACAGAAAGTCAACAAGGATACCCAGGAATTGAACTCAGCTCTGCACCAAGCGGACCTAATAGACATCTACAGAACTCTCCAACCCAAATCAACAGAATATACATTTTTTTCAGCACCACACCACACCTATTCCAAAATTGACCACATAGTTGGAAGTAAAGCTCTCCTCAGCAAATGTAAAAGAACAGAAATTATAACAAACTATCTCTCAGACCACAGTGCAATCAAACTAGAACTCAGGATTAAGAATCTCACTCAAAGCCGCTCAACTACATGGAAACTGAACAACCTGCTCCTGAATGACTACTGGGTACATAACGAAATGAAGGCAGAAATAAAGATGTTCTTTGAAACCAACGAGAACAAAGACACAACATACCAGAATCTCTGGGACACATTCAAAGCAGTGTGTAGAGGGAAATTTATAGCACTAAATGCCCACAAGAGAAAGCAGGAAAGATCCAAAATTGACACCCTAACATCACAATTAAAAGAACTAGAAAAGCAAGAGCAAACACATTCAAAAGCTAGCAGAAGGCAAGAAATAACTAAAATCAGAGCAGAACTGAAGGAAATAGAGACACAAAAAACCCTTCAAAAAATCAATGAATCCAGGAGCTGGTTTTTTGAAAGGATCAACAAAATTGATAGACCACTAGCAAGACTAATAAAGAAAAAAAGAGAGAAGAATCAAATAGACACAATAAAAAATGATAAAGGGGATATCACCACCGATCCCACAGAAATACAAACTACCATCAGAGAATACTACAAACACCTCTACGCAAATAAACTAGAAAATCTAGAAGAAATGGATAAATTCCTCAACACATACACTCTCCCAAGACTAAACCAGGAAGAAGTTGAATCTCTGAATGGACCAATAACAGGAGCTGAAATTGTGGCAATAATCGATAGTTTACCAACCAAAAAGAGTCCAGGACCAGATGGATTCACAGCTGAATTCTACCAGAGGTACAAGGAGGAACTGGTACCATTCCTTCTGAAACTATTCCAATCAATAGAAAAAGAGGGAATCCTCCCTAACTCATTTTATGAGGCCAGCATCATTCTGATACCAAAGCTGGGCAGAGACACAACCAAAAAAGAGAATTTTAGACCACTATCCTTGATGAACATTGATGCAAAAATCCTCAATAAAATACTGGCAAAACGAATCCAGCAGCACATCAAAAAGCTTATCCACCATGATCAAGTGGGCTTCATCCCTGGGATGCAAGGCTGGTTCAATATACGCAAATCAATAAATGTAATCCAGCATATAAACAGAGGCAAAGACAAAAACCACATGATTATCTCAATAGATGCAGAAAAAGCCTTTGACAAAATTCAACAACCCTTCATGCTAAAAACTCTCAATAAATTAGGTATTGATGGGACGTATTTCAAAATAATAAGAGCTATCTATGACAAACCCACAGCCAATATCATACTGAATGGGCAAAAACTGGAAGCATTCCCTTTGAAAACTGGCACAAGACAGGGATGCCCTCTCTCACCACTCCTATTCAACATAGTGTTGGAAGTTCTGGCCAGGGCAATTAGGCAGGAGAAGGAAATAAAGGTATTCAATTAGGAAAAGAGGAAGTCAAATTGTCCCTGTTTGCAGACGACATGATTGTATATCTAGAAAACCCCATTGTTTCAGCCCAAAATCTCCTTAAGCTGATAAGCAACTTCAGCAAAGTCTCAGGATACAAAATCAATGTACAAAAATCACAAGCATTCTTATACACCAACAACAGACAAACAGAGAGCCAAATCATGAGTGAACTCCCATTCACAATTGCTGCAAAGAGAATAAAATACCTAGGAATCCAACTTACAAGGGATGTGAAGGACCTCTTCAAGGAGAACTACAAACCACTGCTCAAGGAAATAAAAGAGGATACAAACAAATGGAAGAACATTCCATGCTCATGGGTAGGAAGAATCAATATCGTGAAAATGGCCATACTGCCCAAGGTAATTTACAGATTCAATGCCATCCCCATAAAGCTACCAATGACTTTCCTCACAGAATTGGAAAAAACTACTTTAAAGTTCATATGGAACCAAAAAAGAGCCTGCATCGCCAAGTCAATCCTAAACCAAAAGAACAAAGCTGGAGGCATCACACTACCTGACTTCAAACTATACTACAAGGCTACAGTAACCAAAACAGCATGGTACTGGTACCAAAACAGAGATATAGATCAATGGAACAGAACAGAGCCCTCAGAAATAATGCTGCATATCTACAACTATCTGATCTTTGACAAACCTGAGAAAAACAAGCAATGGGGAAAGGATTCCCTATTTAATAAATGGTGCTGGGAAAACTGGCTAGCCATATGTAGAAAGCTGAAACTGGATCCCTTCCTTACACCTTATACAAAAATCAATTCAAGATGGATTAAAGATTTAAACGTTAGACCTAAAACCATAAAAACCCTAGAAGAAAACCTAGGCATTACCATTCAGGACATAGGCATGGGCAAGGACTTCATGTCCAAAACACCAAAAGCAATGGCAACAAAAGCCAAAATTGACAAATGGGATCTAATTAAACTAAAGAGCTTCTGCACAGCAAAAGAAACTACCATCAGAGTGAACAGGCAACCTACAAAATGGGAGAAAATTTTCGCAACCTACTCATCTGACAAAGGGCTAATATCCAGAATCTACAATGAACTCCAACAAATTTACAAGAAAAAAACAAACAACCCCATCAAAAAGTGGGCGAAGGACATGAACAGACACTTCTCAAAAGAAGACATTTATGCAGCCAAGAAACACATGAAAAAATGCTCATCATCACTGGCCATCAGAGAAATGCAAATCAAAACCACAATGAGATACCATCTCACACCAGTTAGAATGGCAATCATTAAAAAGTCAGGAAACAACAGGTGCTGGAGAGGATGTGGAGAAATAGGAACACTTTTACACTGTTGGTGGGACTGTAAACTAGTTCAACCATTGTGGAAGTCAGTGTGGCGATTCCTCAGGGATCTAGAACTGGAAATACCATTTGACCCAGCCATCCCATTACTGGGTATATACCCAAAGGACTATAAATCATGCTGCTATAAAGACACATGCACACGTATGTTTATTGCGGCATTATTCACAATAGCAAAGACTTGGAACCAACCCAAATGTCCAACAATGACAGACTGGATTAAGAAAATGTGGCACATATCCACCATGGAATACTATGCAGCCATAAAAAATGATGAGTTTGTGTCCTTTGTAGGGACATGGATGAAATTGGAAATCATCATTCTCAGTAAACTATCACAAGAACAAAAAACCAAACACGGCATATTCTCACTCATAGGTGGGAATTGAACAATGAGATCACATGGACACAGGAAGGGGAATATCACACTCTGGGGACTGTGGTGGGGTGGGGGGAGGGGGGAGGGATAGCATTGGGAGATATACCTAATGCTAGATGACGAGTTAGTGGGTGCAGCGCACCAGCATGGCACATGTATACATATGTAACTAACCTGCACAATGTGCACATGTACCCTAAAACTTAAAGTATAATAAAAAAAACAACAAAAAAAAACTGCCACACTATGCTAATTTATCAGGCACTGGGTAAACCCAAGCACTTCTTCTTCTTCTTCTTCTTCTTCTTCTTCTTTTTTTTTTTTTTTTTTTTGATGGAGTCTCACTCACTCTTGCCCAGTCTGGAGTGCAGTGGCGCAATCCCAGCTCACTGCAACCTCCACCTCCCAGGTTCAAGTGATTCTCCTGCCTCACCCTCCCAAGTAGCTGGGATTAGGGATTACAGGCGCATGCTACCAAACCCAGCTAATTTTTGTATTTTTAGTAGAGACGGGGTTTTGCCACGTTGGCCAGGCTGATTTCGAACTCCTGACCTCAAGTGATCTGCCCACCTCGGCCTCCCAAAGTGCTGGGCTGACAGGCATGAGCCACCACATCTGGCCAAGTCCTTCCTTCTTTCAAATCCCAAGCACTTCTGAGAGTATCCGGTAAACATCCTGCTTCTCTTCCTCTTTTTCCTTTCTCTGGCATTCCCAGCTGGCATTCCCAGCCTCTTCTCATGCCATATCACCTGAATAAGGGGACGCATACACTTTCTAAACAAAAAGCCTAAATTGTCACTAGTAAACCAAAATCCTGGGGAAAAAACGAACAATAGAGGAATAGAAAAGAAAAGCAATTACATTACATTTCTCATTAATGCCAACTTGCCTAATTTCATGGGCCAGCGCTTATTTTCATGCTTGATTTCTCATGAGACTGGACAGGAACACTAAAAAATGGGTTCCCCAGCTCTAAGTCAGTGTTTATTTTGACAGAAATGGCAATCTACATTTCCACTGTATTACCAGAAGAATCAATATTGTTCTGCACCATTTCCATAAGCTAGCCTAGTGCTGTACATTTGTTTTTGAGTTAGTAAACATTTTAAAACGAGAACTTGCTTATTCATTATTCATTATATCCTCACAAAGGCCAGATTACTTTGGAAAGGCAGAAATTATAGGAGACCCATTTTTCAAGGTGACTGGATGAGTTGCCTGAGATTACACACCTGCTTCTGGATGATCTTCAAGGTTAATGGTCAAGCCAGGCCTAACTGGCATCTCCCAGCATCACCCCCTAGCCCTTGCTCTGGTCACCAGCACAGTGGTCTCTTGGGTGTAAGTAAGAAGTATGTTTCCAATTTGGGTTATGCTAGTATCAGTGGGAGATATTGTAATTCACTTCTCTAATCAAAGAACAAATTATTTCTTCATATTTTTAGTACATGAGAGTAGAGAATTTTAACAACAGATACCTTAATTACTGTCTTTTTTTCCAACTTGCTTTCACAGACCAGTGACCTTTTCTATTTCATAGTAAACAAACTTCATGAGTACTTGCCGGAGTCTAGGGATAAGAATGCACTACAAAATCAAAGCCAAAGGGTTGATGAGCTGGTGTAAGTACTAACTAGATAATCATCGATTTTTTTTTTTTTGCTAGGGTGTTAAAGATAAATGGAAGACACTGGACAAAATATATGCTGGGTTAATGATTAATGGCACTGCAAGTTTTTCTTCCTGTGGATTTTATTTTTATTTTTATTTATTTATTTATTTTCTCTTGAGACAGAGTCTCGCTCTGTTGCCCAGGCTGGAGTGCAGTGGCACGATCTTTGCCCACTGCAATTTCTGCCTCGTGGGTTCAAGCAATTCTCATGCTTCAGCTACCGGAGCAACTGGGATTACAAGCTTACGCCACCACGCCTGGCTAATTTTTGTATTTTTAGTAGAAACGGGGTTTCACCACATTGGCCAGGCTGGTCTCGAACTCCTGACCTCAGGTGATCCATCCATCTCAGCCTTCCAAAGTGCTGGGATTACAGACATGAGCCACCATGCCTGGTCTCTTCCTGTGGATTTTAAGAAATAGAACTCATTTTGTTCTAATTTTAATGGAAGGATGCACAAGAAACTAGTAATATTTGTTGTCTCAAAGTGGGAAAAATGGGTATCTGGAGGAGAGACAGCTTTCACTGTATTCTCTTTTTTACCATTGACATTTTGAGCCAAATAGTACCTCTCTGAAAATATTAAAAATTTAAACAATAATTTTAAAGCAGTGTCTGATTATCCTAAAAACTTTGGAAAAGAGATACATATAAAATGATTTAGTACTGACATCCAGCTATTCATTCATTCAACAATTTTTTTCTTTTTTTTTTTTTTAGAAAAGTTCTCACTCTGTCCCTCAGAGGGAGTGCATTGGTGTGATCATGGCTCACTGCAGTCTTGACCTCCTGAGCTCCACACTCAGCTAACTTTTGTAAAGATGGGGTTTTGCCATGCTGCCCAGGCTGGTCTCAAACTCCTGGGCTCAGGCCATTCGCCCACCTGGGCCTCCCAAAGTGCTGGGATTACAGCATGAGTGATATGTTAGCTACCCCGCCCGACCAGCAAATGTTTTTGAGTGTTTACTGTGTAGCAGTCAGAGTAGGCACTTAACCAATGTTAGCAATTTGATGTACAAAATTTATTTCCTGTACTTTTTTCTGTATGGATATCTGGAAGCAGTTTTAGCAAAAATTACTACTTTTGTGGAATTCTGAGCTTCTAATGAAATCATGCCATTTCTTTGCCTTTTATCGTTTATTTTCTAGGGCATGCATTGAAATTATACAGACCCTAGTATTGATGTTCAGAGAAACAGAAACCGAGTCATCACGCCTGAACACATTGGCAGCTAAGAAGTAAGGTCTTTTAGAAGACATTGGGACCTTGTAGTTGCAACCCATTAACTATTCTTATTAAGTGTCTTCCAAAGCACATAATTCTCCAACTTCCCTGTTCAACACCCTTCCAAGTATATTTCACTCTTTTGTTTTTCTCCTTCCTTCCATGATGAACAGGTTAATTGGCACAGGCCGAGTTCTCTCTGTCTCTCTGGATTATTAAGGGTACAAAGATTTTCTCAGCATAATTTTTTTTTGTCCTAGTCTGGTGAACTTGAAAAAGACCAAATGACCCATCATACATTAAAAGCCGGGGGATCTCCGCCAGAATTTCCCATAGTGTCCTTATATCCACACAACAGAAAAACTGCAAAATCAGGTGTTATAGTAGCCTCATTTACAATATAATCGTGTGACCTTAGAGTAAATGACTTTGGAGAGTTTATTAATATCTAGGGTGAGCTGCTGTAATAAAGACACTCTAGGCCAGGCACGGTGGCTCACGCCTGTAATCCCAGCACTTTGGGAAACCAAGGCGGGTGGATCACCTGAGGTCAGGAGTTTGTGACCAGCCTGACCAACATGGTGAAACCCTGTCTCTACTAAAAACACAAAAATTAGCCAGGCATGGTGGTGCGCACTTGTAATCCCAGCTACTCGGGAGGCTGAGGCACGAGAATGGCTTGAACCTGGGAGGTGGAGGTTGCAGTGAGCTGAGATCACACCATTGCACTCTAGCCTGGGCAACCCCATCTCAAAAAAAAAAAAAAAAATAGATACTCTAAAATATGTGGCCCAAAGAAGATCTTAATTGAAATCTTTCTTACACAACAGTT
Source organism: Homo sapiens (assembly GCF_000001405.40). Taxonomy (NCBI): domain Eukaryota; kingdom Metazoa; phylum Chordata; class Mammalia; order Primates; family Hominidae; genus Homo; species Homo sapiens. The sequence goes on along the minus strand of NC_000012.12, from coordinate 64,283,845 downwards.
CAGAGTAAATATTCAGGCTTTCAAACACAAGGTGAGCCAGGGACCTAGGTTTTTTCCCCTTTGTTACTCTGTTGCCTGCTATCATGTTGTCTTTGTCCTTATAGTGTAAGCTGGCTGACCTTGATGACTTCATTATACCCTGTGGGAAGCAGAAAGAGAAATAGAGGGCATTCCAGTTAAAAAAGAAAAAAAAAAAAAAGAGAGAGAAGCAGAGGGCAAACAAGCTTCCTTTTTAAGCAAGGCATGTAACACTTCTGCTCACATTCTCCTGGTGAGAACTTCAGGCACATGGCCACACCTAGCTGCAGGAGAGGCTGGAAATGTGTCTGTAGTTGGACAGCTATGTGCCTAACTTCGTTTTGAATGGTAATGGGGACATCTGTTATTAAAAGGAAGAATGGAAGAATGTATAGGGGGGGACAGTAGCATTCTTTGTCTTTTGATTTTGATTTGCAGTTTTGCATACTGTCTGCTTGATTTTTTATTTTATTTTATTTTTTTGATACAGAGTTTTGCTCTTGTCACCCAGGCTGGGGTGCAATGGCACGATTTCAGCTCACTGCACCCTCTGCTTCCTGGGTTCAAGTGATTCTCCTGACTCAGCCTCCCAAGTAGCTGGGATTACAGGCATGAGCCACCATGACTGGCCCTAATTTCATTAATTAATATTTATTTTTCTTTCTTTCTTTTTTCTTTTTTTTTTGAGACAGCGCTTCACTCTTGTTGTCCAGGCTGGAGTGCAATGGCACAATCTTGGCTCATGGCAATCTCTGCCTCCCAGGTTCAAGTGGTTCTCCTGCCTCAGCCTCCCAAGTAGCTGGGATTACAGGCGTGCACCACCATGCCCGGTTAATTTTGTATTTTTAGTAGAGATGGCGTTTCACCATGTTGGTCAGGCTGGTCTCAAACCCCGACCTCAGGTGATCCGCCTGCTTCGGCCTCCCAAAGTGCTGGGATTACAGGTGTGAGCCACCACGCCCGGCCTCATTAATTAATATTTCTTAAGTACACTTGCTCACTTGCTATGTGCCAGGGACTATGGGCATACTATGCTTTTTTTCTTTTCTTTTTTTTTTTTTAGATAGGGTTTCACTCTCATCCAGGCTGGAGTGCAGTGACACGATCTTAGCTCACTGCAGCCTCGACCTCCCTGGGGCTCAGGTGATCCTCACCTCCCCAGTAGCTGGGACCACAGGTACATGCCATCATGCCCTGCTAATTTTTTTGTATTTTTCATAGAGATGGGGTTTTGCCATGTTGTCCAGGCTGGTCTCAAACTCCTGGGCTCAAGTGATCTGCCCCCTCTTACCCCCAAAGTGCTAGGATTACAGGCATGAGCCACTGTGCCAAGCCGGCATATTATGTTGTGTAGCAGGAGTGGGCAAACATTTCTGTAAAAGGTCATATAGAAAATAGTTTTGGCTTATCACGTCATACAATCTGTGCTGCGTCTACTCAGTTCTGCCATTGTAGCCCAAAAGCAGCCATAAGCAGTACATGAACGAATGGACACAGTTGTGTTCTGATAAACTTTATTCACAGAAACAGGCTGTAGGCTGGATTTGGCCTGCAGGCCATAGTTTGCTGAGCTCTGCTTTACAGCAAACAAGAAAATACACCATGCCAAGCTAGTTCTTATTTTTTTATTTTTTTGTAGAGACAAGGTCTCACTTTGTTGTCGGGGCTGGTCTCAAACTCCTGGACTTAAGTGATCTTCCCGCCTTGGCCTCCCAAAGTGCTGAGATTACTGGCATGAACCACTGCGCCCAGCTTGAATACTTCTTTATGCGATTGGTAGTACTGCCGTTTCCCTAATCTCCAAGATGGAGATTCAACATTATTTTTGATATTTCTGTCTTCTCCCACATTAAAATTATCACTAAATCTGGTTATCCTTTTTCTCCACCTTTTGGTCTCTACCTTTCTGTTTCCAAGTTGAAAAAAATCATCCTTAGTCACCTCTGTTGTAAAGTATTGTTTTTATGGGGTTTTCTTTGTTCTTTTTCTTTAAAAGCGTTGCCTTTAATTGTTTTGTTTTAACTTGGTTTGATCACATCAGCCGTCCTATATCAAGCCTCTTTCCTGATATTACCAATTCTTTTCATGTCCTTCAATACATATATTACATTGCTATAGTAGAGTCTGGTTGTAATATTAACTTTTCTCAGCCAGTTTTTATATCCCTAGGGTCAAATCATGTGCCCCATAGTATTACGTAGCCCAGTAAATATCTAATAAAACTGTATTCGTTTTCTTTTTTCTTTTATTTTTTTTGAGATGGAGTCTCACTCTGTCACCCAGGCTGGAGTGCAATGGCATGATCTCGGCTCACTGCAACCTCTACCTCCATGGTTCAAGCAATTCCCCTGCCTCAGCCTCTCAAGTAGCTGGGGATACAGGTGTGTGCCACCACGCTCGGCTGATTTTTTTTATGTTTTTAGTTAAGACGGTTTCACCATGTTGGCCAGACTGGTCTCGAACTCCTGACCTCAGGCAATCCACCCGCCTCGGCCTCCCAAAGTGCTAGGATTATAGGCATGAGCCACCGCACCCGGGCTCTTTTTTCTTTTTTTGAGACAGAGTTTTGCTCTGTCGCCAGGGCTGGAGTGCAATGGTGCGATCTTGGCTGACTGTAATCTCCGCCCCCTGGGTTCAAGCAATTCTTGTGCCTCAGCCTCCTGAATAGCTGGGATTACAGGCATGCACCACCACACCCTGCTAATTTTGTATTTTTAGTAGAGACGGGGTTTCACCATGTTAGTCAGGCTGGTCTTGAACTCCTGTCCTCAGGTGATCCACCCCCCGTCGGCCTCCCAAAGTGCTGGGATTACAAGTATGAGCCACCGTGCCCAGCCAAAATTGTATTAGTTTTCTATTGCCATATAACAAATTATCACAAACTTAGTGGCTTAAAACAACATGTATTTCTTATCTCACAGTGTCAGTGGATCAGAAATCTGGGCACAGCTTAACTGGATCCTTTGCCCAGGGTCTCACGAGGTTTCAGTTGAGGTGTTGGCCAGGCCATAGTCTCATCTGAGGCTTGGGACTCTTCCTAGCTCATTTGGGTGATTGCTGGCAGACTAAATTTCCTTACAGCTGTGGGACTCAGGTGGCTTGTTTCTTTGCAGGAGAGTATCTCTTTTTCGGGGCTCACCTGATTAGAGCAAGCCTACTCTGGATAATCTTCTTTTGATTAACTCAACAGTCAGCCAATTAGGGCCTTTATTATATTCTCAGAATCCCTTCATCTTTCCCATTTCATGTAACATAATCACAAGAGTGACAGACAAACATATTCAGAGCTATTGCCCATACTTAAGGGGAAGGAATTTGATAGGGTTTGTACCAGCAGGCTGGGAATTTTGGAAGCCACGTTAGATTTCTGCCCACCACAATAACATGGACTGACTTAGGAGACTATCGATGTGGCCTTCAAAGTCTGTATTTTTAAAGATATTGTAGTACATTCAAAATTCATACATTAGAAATAATAACAACCTAAACAATAAAGTATTAAACTGTTGGGACTGTTTTTAAGGCTGTGATGTCAATCCTCTAAGTTATCTCTATTTTCAGGATGAAACTACCATTTTGATTAAAATTTCTTCTATCTATTATTGTCCTAGTGGATTTTAAATTGAATTAGCAGAAGGGGTGGATTTCAAATTAAATTCCATTTGGGTAAATAAAAAAGCGGTTAATCATTTCAGCATTTTCCTCTTTATTGTTTTCATGAGTGGAGATTTCATTAGTTCAACATACTTTGCTGTAACTTTCTTGAAATGTGCCATATTTTTTCATATCCTAGTATTGTTAGGGTTGAATTCATATGTTATCATAGCAAGTGACCCATAATTTGAGAGTTCTTTTTCTTTGCTTTGGATGTATGATACTTTGAAAATAAGCTGTTACTGAAAATAAAGGACTATAATTAAATATAACAGTGAATGGAATGCCAGTTCAAACAATATCAAGAAACACTTCTAAAGGGAGTGTTCTGTTGATTTTAAAAGGGTCTTCTCAAAGTAAGATTGGCCATTTTAAATAGCCTGAATAAAACATTATTAAATACCCTGTAGGGTATATCCTGCTTTTGTGAGAAATGTACTAACTGACATGATTCTTCTTTCCAAATATAAGAACTAGACTTGCTTTTTGACTTGGAGAAAGGAAGAGCATTGTATTTTTACTAGAGTGTAGGTTAATCATGAGCTTCTAATCATGGTGATGATTTAAATGATTCTAAGAAGATTAGAAAGCCTCAGATCCTACTAAACAAGGGTATTTATACTCACCCTCCTTTTTTCCATTATGAAAGGAATGCTTATGGTTATGGAGAACTTTTGTATAGTACTATCTTTGAATTATTTTACTACTCCTACCCCTCAAATCTACTCTGACATTGTCTTCAATTAGGCAACTGAGTTTTTAGCAGTCTGCCTTCAGCTGCTTTTCAACCATACAGGGGTTATACTACCCAATAGGAGGAGATAGCGTTATTAACCCAGCTCATCAGGATGCACATGTAACATTTAAGTGAGTTATCAATGGACGGTACCCCACATTGGAAAGTAAAATAACTGAGGTTTTTTGGGATCAAATAAGCATTTTACAAAATGGTGGAGTTGGGTGTGGAGGCTCATGCCTGTCATCCAAGCACTTTGAGAGGCTGAGGTGGGCAGATTGCTTTAGGCCAGGGGTTCAAGTCCAGCCTGGGCAACAAAGCAAGACCCCATCTTTATGTTTAAAAATTTTTATATTTAAAAAAAAGAAATGCTGTACATTATTAACAGAAACCAAGAAAAGGAAGCAAACTTACTGTCCAGCAATGGGTGAATGGATAAAGAAAATGTGGTACATATACACAATGGAATATTATTCAGCCATAAAAATGAAGTCTTGTTATTTGTGACAACATGGATGAAACTGGAGGATATTAGGCTAAGTGAAATAAGCCAGGCACAGAAAGACAAATACGAGTTTGACTTTTGAGTTCATGCATGATCTCACTTATATATGGAATCTAAAAAAGCCAAACTCATAAAAACAGAGAGTGTAGAATGGTGGTTGTCAGAGGCTTAGGGGCGGGGTGGAATTGGGAGATGTTGGTCAAAGGGTACAAAACTTCAGTTAGACAGGAGGAAGAAGTTCCAGAGATCAATCATACAAATATGGTGACCATAGTTAATAGCAATGTCCTGTATACTTGAAAATTGCTGACAATAGATTTTGTGTTCTCACTATATAAAAATAAGCATGTGAGGTGATGCATACGTCAATTCGCTTGATTTATAAAATATGTACACATTCTACAGTATATACATATTTCAAAACATCATGTTGTATACCATAAATATATACAATTTTTATTATCAATTAAAAAAAGTAAAAACTGAAAGTGGTCGCTCAAGCCTGTAATCTCAGCTACTTGGCTGAGGCAGGGGATCACTTGAGTCCAGTAGTTCAAGACCAGCCCGGGCAACATCATGAGATCCTGTGCCAAAAATAACCCAAGCAAACAAACCTAAAAAAAGAAAAAAGAAGAGCTGCATACTGTTGCTTTGTCCCAGAGATACACTGTGCATATTAGCATATAAAGCCTCTGAGAAGTCCTGTAGTAAACACATCTGATGAACTTGGTTTAACCAAGTATTTCCCCTATCTCCTTTGACCACAGAATCTATTTTAACTATAATATTGTCTGGAATTAGCAATCCATAAAAAGTCCTTTGGAAAATAATGCTATAATTGAAATTACCCAAATCTCCCTTAAATCCAGATTTTCTAGTCTTTCTAAGCTATGTGGACTTCTAGAACTACACTCGCTCTGAGCCAGAAGACCAAGAAGTTATATTTTCATTTAAATTTTTTATCTCTAGTTATTCATTTGCGTGTCCAAGGATCCAAAACTTCAGTCAAGGATGGTCTGCAATGCTTCATTCTTTTAAACATAATTATATCCAGTGTTTGAAACTTGGCTTCACCATTTTTCCTCTCAACACTTTGCTCACTAATTGCCTTTTATTTATTTTTTTCCAGGGGAGCACTATTTAATCTCTTGGTAATTTTAATTAGTGAGCCTCAGATTCCAAAATCTTGTCCTGTGTTTGATATCCAGTTGGTGGCTGATTCAGCTTTAGTCAGAATGTCTTTTGACGCTGAGGTGAGATGAGAATTTGGGGGGTAAACTATTATATATATATATATATAGGGGCCCTGGCTTCTTTTAATGTGGACCATGACACCGTAGAATAGAGAAACATAATTAAACCAAAGAGTAGATCTTTTGTCATTAACCTCAAAACTTAGATAACTAGTCAGTCTAAAGTAGATTTAGAGATTTAGAGGGTCAAGAAAAAGGAAAAAATAACTATTCAGTCAATATTAATATATCCCTTTTATATGTCTTAAGGTATGTATATTAAAGAAAGTAATTAGCATTCTTTATAAATTTGATAAATCTGTTTATGTCTGTCTGTGTACAAAACATGATGTATATGTAATTCCATAGCAGGGGTCTAATGGGTGAAAAATCACTGTCTTAGAGATTTTAGGGTTAACTCTTATACTTTACCATTTTCCTACTTATATGAACAGTATAAATTCTCAGCAAGAGTTACTTGTTTTTCTAAGGTTGTACCAAGACATTAGAAATATCAAACTGCCTAGAAGGCATACCTTCTGAGAGAATAAACCAACTTATTATTAGTTTATTTTGAGCCAGGTTAACAGACTTTTTTTTAAAGGATGAAACATGATTTGATAGTTCTTAAATATATGGTCAGAATTATGTTTTAGAAAACTCATTCAGTCATTCACTCAGTAATTTTTTTTTTTTTTTTTTTTTTTAAGAAAGGGTTTCACTCTGTTGCCCAGGCTGGAGTGCAGTGGCACAATCTCGGCTCACTGCAGACTTGACCTCCCAGGCTCAAGTAATGCTCTCACTTCAGACTCCTGAGTAGCTAGGACTACAGGCATGAGCCACCACGCCTGGCTAATTTTTGTATTTTTTGTAGAGATGGGGTCTTGCCATGTTACCCAGGTTGGTTTCAAATCCCTGAGCTCAAGCGATTTGCCTGTCTCGGCCTCCCAAAATGCTAAGATTACAGGCATGAGCCACCACACCTGGCCACAGTCAGTAAATATTTATTGAGCATCTATTATGAGCAAACAGTGTGCTAGGCAGTAGGGTCAAAACAGTAAGCAAAACAGACACGACCCCTGCCTTCATTAGTTTCTACTCTGCTGGGAGAGACAGACATTATTCAAATATATCCATGAATATATAATTACAGACTGTATATAGAGAGTCTCCAATACCACTTTCAATGGTGGATTAGCTATTAAAGAGTGGGGTGGAACCAAGACTCAGATAGGCAGGGCTATTAAGAAGTTAGTGCCATAATCTAGGTAAGGAAAGATATTGGCCAGAGGGAAGCATTCCTTGACCACCAAATGAGACTAGTCCTCCTTTATAGAGCTCCCTTAACTTCCTGTACATTTCTTTCATAGCCCTTGTCTCAGTTTATAATTAGGCATTTGTGTATTTGATCACTTGATGTTTGTTCCCCAACTAGATTGTATGTTCCATGAGGGCAGGTCTCATGTCTGTGTTGTTCTCCCTTGCGTCCCCAACACCTAGCATGGTGTCTGATGCATATTTGTTGAGTAAATAAATGAAGAAAAGGGATAGTAATTGTAAAGAGGAGTTTGGAATTCTTGAGAGGAATGAAGTATCTCTAAACCCTCTATTTATCCATCCCACAGAAGGAATCTTAGTTTAATTTGGGAATAAGCCTAAATTCCCCAGAGAATCTCTCACCTCAACTCGCGGGGGGGGGTGTGTATTTCTACATTCTTGAAAGGAAGTAGGGTTGTTGATCTGATTGATTTTGCAAATCAAATATGCAATTTTTTGTCTTAGTATTCTGTGGGCCAGCCAGGGATAATGGCTTGCATCTGAATCCCAGCTACTCAGGAGGCAGAGGTGGGAGAATCACTTGAGGCCAAGAGTTCCATACCAGCCTGGGCAACAAGCGAGACCCTGTCTCTACAAAAATAAAAAATCAAAAATTACCTGGGCATGGTGGCACATACCTGTAGTCCTAGCTACTGGGGAGACTGAGGTGAAAGGATGGGTTGGGCTCAGGAATTTGAGACCAGCCTGGGCAATATAGTGAGACCTCATCTCTACAAAAAATTAAAAAAATAAGATTAGCCAGCATGGTAGCTTGCACCTGTAGTCCCAGCTACACAGAAAGCAGAGGTGAGAGGAATGGCTTGTGCCCAGGAGTTTGAGGCTGCACAGACCCATGACCACAGCACTGTACTCCCACCTGGGTGGCAGCATGAGACCTTGTCTCAAAAAAAAGAGAAAGTTTATTGTATAAGTACCTAAAGGGAACCATGGGAAATTATCGTTTTCTGACTTGGCTTATGACATTGCATTGATTATTCTTGAAAATTCTAGTTACAGAAGCTTATTCTGGAGTATACAAATACTGCTACAGCACTTTTATATGAGATACTTCTGGTCTTTCAGCAGGTACAATTTTTAAAAATTATATTTTTACATATTTTATGTAACTATAAATTACATGACTATTATATATTATGATATATGTATATTATGTGATTATGTTATATGATTAATAATATATCAAAAATGCTTGTACTTGAGATGGTCTCCAAAACTGGTTGATTTCAATGATATGAACTTTGCTCTTAAGTGCTCATCTAGTTTATTTTCCAAAACTGATTTTAAGGATTCGATTAATCAGGATAAAAATGTATTTAAGAATGAGTATCCTTTTATATACTACTTGAACTTTATGAATATAACTTGTTTATTTCCTTGAGTCTTTTAGGGAAATCTCGGATTGGGATCCACAAAGTTTGCTATTAGCTGGATAATGTCCTTTCTACAAAGCTGTCCTCCCATCGTAAGTATCTAGAAGTCAAAACGAAATCACCCCCAAGCCTAATTAAACAGATACTCTTGTGCTTAATTAATAAAACACAGATTTTCCCTGTGATGTAATCAAGTTTATCAACCAGAAGCAAAGTGTAAATTTGACAGTTTATTATTTAATTGATAAATCGTTTTTACATTTTGGACCTGAATGTTTAAGGTACTGAAATTATATCTTAAATGGGAACGTTATTTCATGAAAAACTCTAAGATACATGTAGAAAACAGAATATTAAATTATTAGCTGTATAATTAGGTAAAAAGATAAACATTTACCTTAAATAGTGAGCATGAATCTAACACTTGGGATCATTTGTGTGCTCTGTCCCACAGACACCATCCTAGTTCCTATTATCACCATTTCTTTCCTTGATGCTACAATCACATCTCAATGGTCTGTCCCTGTCTTCCCACCAGATTACAGGCTGAGGGATCCATTTGAAATAAAAATCTGATTGTCATCCCTTGCTTCAAATCTCTCAATAACTCTTCCTTCTGAATGAAGACTAAACTCCTTAACATGGCCTACAGGGCCCTGCGTGCTATGGCCGACAGCTTCCTCTGGTCCCTCAGCCTCCCTGCTGTGTGGGTCTCTTGCTCACCATCCCTCTCCCCACCACCACCCCCCTCCCTGCAGCTGCATCACAGGACCTGTACCGTTGCATCTGTCTCTCCATTGGAAATGCTTTCCCTCCCTTTTTCACCTGGTCAACTTCTACTCATCCCTCAGGCCTCAGGGCCCCTTCCTGGGGTGTGGCAGTGGAGGACGCTTCTCTGCCCCCCGTGACAGGGGAGATTCCCTCATTAGAGGCACAAACAGTGCATGGCATGGTGTCCTCTTCCTCTGCTTTATAGGCCTCGTCACTGTTGCAGTTTGCATTTGTTTGTGTTATTATTTGCTTCTGCCGTGTCACAGCCATTAGTGCCCACTCATATTCTGTCTCTGCCTCCTTCTGGGCACATGGTGGGACTGCACTTCCCTCTCCATGTGAAATTGTGGGGTGGAGGCGGTCTCTGTGGCTGCTTTGGCTAATGAAATGTGATCAGAAGTGGCCTATGTCACTTCTGGGCAGAAGCTTTAAGAGCCAGTATGTGCCACCTGGCATTCTCTTTTCCTTCGGCATAGCACCCACAAGGTGGCTGCCCTGCCTGCAGATGGCCAAGAGTAACCACAGTGAGCAGAGCCCTGCAGACCCCTCTGGGACATGCAGTGTGAATGAGTAATCAACCTTTGCTGTTTCAAGCAAAGCACTGGTATTTTGGGAGGTTTGTTACCACAGCATAATCTAGTCCATCACGACTGATACAATGTCTTTCTCTTCCAACAGACTGCCAGTGCCGTGAGGGTAGAAGCTATGTCTGTTGTGCTAGGCACACCATAAATGTTCAGTAAAATATCTGCTGAATTAATTGTAGTAGAGGCTTTATCCCTTAATCTCTTCCCACCTCCTCAAACTTATGCATTCAGTCAACAAACACTTAATTGGAAATCTCTTCAAAAGAGTAATCTAAACTAAATTTCCATTGCTGATGGACACGAGGTAATATGTTCTTTTTTTTTTTTTTTTTTTTTTGAGACAGAGTCTTGCTCTGTTGCCCAGGCTGGAGTGCAGTAGTTCTGCGATCTCAGCTCACTGCAACCTCCACCTCCCAGATTCAAGCAATTCTCCTGCCTCAGCCTCCCAAGTAGCTGGGATTACAGGCACCTGCCACCATACCCGGCTAAATTTTGTATTTTTTAGTACAGACGGGGTTTCGCCATGTTGCCCAGGCTGGTCTGGAACTCCTGACCTCAGGTGATCATCCACCTTGGCCTCCCAAATTGCTATTACAGGCATGAGCCACTGTGCCCGGCCTGTTCTCTTTCCATATATGGACACGCATCTGTTGGACCATCAGTGGTCCCCTGCTGTTTCTCTAGAGTGATGTTGGGTCTGTTCTATGGGATCTAGACTGTCTTGTCAGATCCCTATGACATATGTTTACACAAAGCTGGCTGGGGCCAGAGGGTACATTTGTCAGTAGAACAGCCAGCTGCCTTCTACAGAAGTTGAGCCCATGAACTTGTCTTCCTCAGTAGCACACAGGCCCCAACCAATCTCAGACCATTTCACAGAATGTTTGAAAGTTATAGTCATTCACAGCAATGGAAGCTCATATGTGCAAGATGCAAGACCCCTTTGTTTTCTGTGTGGTGGCTGCAGACCCTATTACATGGACTGATGTGTGGAAATCTGGGTTTTACAGACTCCACGTAACAGGAAAGTTTCTTTTTATTTATTTATTTTTTTATTTTTATTTTTTTACTTTCATTTCCCATGTAAGCCTTCCTGCATGGTATTTATTTATTTATTTATTTATTTATTTGAGACAGAGTCTCCCTTTGTCACCCAGGCTGGAGTGCAGTGGTGCGATCTCGGCTCACTGCAACCTCCACCTCCTGGGTTCAAGTGATCCTCCTACCTCAGTCTCCCAAGTAGCTGGGATTACAGGCACCTGCCACCACGACTGGCTAATTTTTGTATTTTTAGTAGAGACAGGGTTTCACCATGTTAGCCACGCTGGTCTCAAACTCCTGACCTCAGGAGATCCTCCCACTTCGGCCTCCTAAAGTGCTGGGATTACAGCTGTGAGCCACCGTGCCTGGCCGCATTTATTTATTTTAAAAAATTTTTAAAAATGAGATGGGGTCTTGCTATGTTTCCCAGGCTGGTCTCAAACTCCTGGGCTCAAGCAGTCCTCCTGCCTCAGCCTCCTAAGTAGCTGGGAATACAGGCATGTGCCACTGTACTCTGGCTAAAAGGAAGTTTCTTTACCAGCCTCTAAAGTTGGTTCACCAAAGGAATTGGGTTGAGTATGAGGCTAGTCTGTGACCATGAAGCATGTAAGGATGAAGGGTTGGCAAAAGAAAGCTTCAATATTAACCCAGTTATAAACAGTATGGGCAGAAACAAATCATTCAAGAGACATTTGCAAGCAAAGAAACTGGGATCATTGCTATGCACCTGCATGTCAGTCAGCTCTCATTATCTTACTTGGTTAGAGAAAGGTGCTAGAAAAGTTAAAAACTTAATTTCTAAATAGGCTAATTAACATTGTTCTGTTCTACTGCCTCAGACTCTCTCAGCTCAAGCTGTGTTTGCCAGGCAATATATGTTTAATCAATATATATATAATGTTTTGTCAACACATGTAAATGGTCTGGAATGGGAAAAATCCACTTCCACCTACTTGCCCTACCTGTAGGGAAGGGCCAGTTGCAACATATTACAATAGAAAAGGCAACACATTTTTACTGATACTAATTCAATGGGTGTGTAGTGTGACCTGTTGGTTAGAGTTTGAAAAGGCACTAGTGTTCTTTTCTGCTTTTCACACAAGCCTACGTTTATGGATTGTAATTACACAGAAGAGTAACTACTTGCACTCGCCCAGGCTGGAGTGCAGTGGTGCGATCTTGGCTCACTGCAACCTCTGCCTCTGCATTCAAGCAGTTCTTGTGCCTCAGCCTCCCAAGTAGCTGGGATTACAGACATGTGACACCATGCCTGGCAAATTTTTGTATTTTTAGTAGAGATGGGGTTTTGCCATGTTAACCAGGCTGTCTAGAACTCCCTGCCTCAAGTGATCTACCCGCCTCAGCCTCCCAAAGTGCTGGGATTACAGATGAGGCACAGTGCCCGACCTGGCCTCTTATACTTTTTTTTGAGATGGAATCTTGCTCTGTTGCCCAGGCTGGAGTGCAGTGACATGATCTCGGCTCACTGCAACCTCTGCCTCCCGAATTAAGCGACTTTCCTGCCTCAGCCTCCTGAGTAGCTGGGATTACAGGCATGCACCACCACGCCTGACTGATTTTTGTATTTTTAGTAGAGACGGGGTTCCACCATGTTGGTCAGGCTGATCTCGAACTCCTGACCTCGTGATCCACCTGCCTTGGTCTCCCAAAGTGCTGGGATTACAGGCGTGAGCCACCATGCCCAGCTTCCTCCTATACTTTTTATTTGACATTGGATACCATTTCAATAAGGAACATTGCAACAGTGGTGTTAGGGTAGTGAGGGCCTCAGTCTAGATTTGTAGTTGAAGCTCCAGCTGAAATAGTTGCTTTTGTGGGTGGCACACAGCCTACATGTAACTGTATTTTCCTTGTCTAGATTACTTTTGTGGCCAGTATTGTGAAACAAGTGGTGAGGGGTCTTTCAGCTTCATTTCAGCTGCTAAGTCCCTGCCAAGCAGTTCTGTTGTACCAGCAATTTTACATCCTCAAGAGCTGTCTGCGGCACAGCAGGACTCTAGCTGAGTATATTAGGAATAACTACAGAGAAGAATTCAGGTAAGAAAAAATGTCTGAATCTAATCTGCAGTAAGATTTCACTCATTTCTGAGTTCATGCAAACCTGCAACATGGTCCAATATTTAGAAGATTAGGTATTTATCAGGAATTCTTTTTTGTTTGTTTGTTCTTTTTGAGATGGAGTCTTGCTCTGTCACCCAGGCTGGAATACAGTGGTGCAATCTTGGCTCACTGCAACCTCTGCCTCCCAGATTTGAGCAATTCTCCTGCCTCAGCCTCCTGAGTAGTTGGGATTACAGGCGCCCGCCACCATGCCTGGCTAATTTTTTTTTTGTATTTTTAGTAGAGACAGGGTTTCACCATGTTGGTCAGGCTGATCTCGAACTCCTAACCTGATGATCCACCCACCTCAGCCTCCCAAAGTGCTGGGATTACAGGTGTGAGCCACCGCACCTGGCCTATTTTTGTTTTTAATAATATTTCACTTTGATCTGTGAAAATGGTAGGATTTTGGGGACCTCTAAGAACCATTGCCATTTGAAGTATATTCCCAGGCCAGAAAAGACTAGTGAAACATCAAACTCTCTTTGAAGAACGGTTTGTCACTCATTGTCTTTATTGTAGCTGCATCTCACGGAAGTAGTAATAATTTTAACCTGCTGTGAGTAATTAAGAGTAATAAACTTGGCTGGGCATGGTGGCTCATGCCTGTAATCCTAGCACTGTGGGAGGCTGAGCCGGGCAGATTACTTGAGGTCAGGAGTTTGAGACCAGGCTGAGCAACATGGTGAAACCCCGTCTCTACTAAAAATACAAAAATAAGCTGAGCCTGGTGGTGCACGCCTGTAATCCCAGCTATTCGGGAGGCTGAGGCAGGAGAATCACTTGAACCCAGGAGGCAGAGGTTGCAGTGAGCTGAGATCATGCTGACACACTCCAGCCTGGGCAACGGAGGGATATTCCGCCTCAAAAAAAAAAAAGTGTAAATAAACTTCACTGAAGAGGATAATAAATTATGGATTGTGACTTACAATTGAGTTATTGGACAGAAGCAATTGATAAAGGAGTAACAATTAATGAACATGGTTATCAGGGGTTTTGTTTGTTTCACTTACCCCTCTCAGTAACAGAACAGTAAGAAAGAACAGTAGCCAGCATTGGCTTCATCTGCCAGCCTGTTCTCCTGCACCTCAGGGGTTCCATTTCTATTTATAGGCTGCCAAAGCCAAGTGCACTTAGCAGTGCAGCCCTGCATAGCACCCATTAAGGAGAAAACCCAGGTTGTCTCTGACTTAAGATGAAAAGGGTACAGCGGACACAGCTTTGTCATTTGTTTGGATGAAGACGTAAAAGGATGTGGAGACATAAATTACAGCCTTAGATTGTCTTTTTTTAAAAAAAAACTACAGTCCAATTTATAGACTTTTTTTTTTTTGACACAGGGTCTCACTCTGCCACCTAGGCTGGAGTGTAGTGCTGTGATCTCGGCTTATCACAATCTCTGCCTCCTGGGCTCAAGCAATGCCCCCTTCCACTTCAGCCTCCTGAGTAGTTGGGACTACAGGCATGCACCATCACGCCTAGCTAATTTTTGTATTTTTAGTAGAGATGGAGTTTTGTCATGTTGGCCAGGCTAGTCTTGAACTCCTGGCCTCAAGTGATTCACCTGCCTCGGCCTCCTAAAGTGCTAGGATTACAGGTGTGAGCCACCACACTCAGCCATGGACTTTTTGTCTTCCATGAGGTGTTCCATTCTGACTCCCATAAAAGGGATTTGTTTGGCTCTGAGCTCGTCCAAACAACCCAATTCCCATCTCTTCCCTCTTGCACCTCCTCACTTAAAAAAATATATATATTAAGGTAAATTTCACATAGTATGAAATTTACCATTTTAAAATATACAATTCCATAGTTTTTAAATTCACCATATTTTGCAACTGTCATAACTATCTAATTGCACACCATTTTCATCACCTCAAAAGAAACTCAGTATCCATTAAGCAATCACACCACATATTCTCCTCCTCCTAACCCCTGGAAACCACTAATTTACTTTCTGTTGTGATGGATTTGCCTATTCTGGACATTCTACATAAATGGAGCGTATAATATGTGATCTTTTGTGTCTGACTTCACTGAGCTTAATGTTTTCAAGGTTCATCCACATTGTAGCATGTATCATACAACTCAATTTTTAAAACTTAGATACAAACATCTGAAAATCAGGACAACTGGCAAAGTGGTGTCACACTTGTGAGATGACAACAGTTAGGCAGAACTCCTGCAGCTACCCCCTTAGGTGCATCATGTACTGTTTAGTTTGCCACCATCTCCTCTCTCTCTTGCTTACTCTTACCCCCTAAATTACATTACTGGTAGCCATTTAGGTGTGGATTCTTGTTTTAAACTAGTGTTTTCAACTCACATTGCATTGGAATTATCTGAGCAACTACAGGTTGAGCATCCCTAAACCAAAAATCCAAAATTTGCAATGCTCCAAAATCCGAAATCATTTGAACACCAACATGATGCTCAAAGTAAATGCTCATTGTAGCATTTCAGATTTTACATGTTCATATTAGGGATGCTCAACCATTAAGTATAATGCAGATACTCCAAAATCTGAAAAAATCTGAAATCCGAAACACATCTGATTGCAATCATTTTGGATAAGAGATACTCAACCTATTAAAAAAATACTGATAACCAGGTGTCACACGTAGAAATTCTGTTTCCATTTGTCTGGCGTGGTACCAGGGCTGTGAGATTTTAAAGATAAAGCTCTCCAGGTGATTCCAATGTGCATCAGGGTTGAGAACCATTCTTTTAAGTCATCCAAGGGGATGGTTGAAGTCTTTCTCATTTTTGCCTCTTCCTCTGGCCTTTCCTAGGCTTTTACTGAGGCCGTGGGGGATGAGTTCTACTCTTCCCTCTTGACTTGGCCCTAGTAGTCACCACAGCTTGACCCTTTCATTTCAACACCTCACTGCGCATTGCCTGATAAACCAAGAAGCAGGAGCCTCTGCTCATACTGTGGTGAGGACAGTCCACATGTCAGAGATTTTCTAGGTCACAAATGGGGGAGATTGGAGGGACAGTCCACATGTCAGAGATTTTCTAGGTCACAAATGGGGGAGATTGGAGATCTGAAAATGCTGACCAAGTCTTGTAGCTTAGATTCCCACACCCAACAACCCTAGCCAGTGAGTGTGAATGTACTCAAGTGACCAATGTGAAAATTCTTGTTTTTAAAACTCTCTATTTTGTTTCTTTTTATGATTTGCAGGTACTTTATTCACATGCCAGCCTTGCAGAAAAGGCTCCCATTGTGTTACCCCATCACTCAACCTACCATTCAACTTTTTCATGAAGTTCTGAAATTGGTTGAATAGAAACAAACAATGTACGCAATGTTAATAAGAGTATAAAATGTTAATCAAGAGTCAACTTGATATTCACGAGAAACATTTTTTTATTTGTTTAATATCTGGCTATCTCTGAGTCCTATAAACAAAGATTTTAATTGAATGTTCCATCAATACCTCTCTATGAGAAGTTTAAAATTTTAAAAAATAAATTTGATTTATTATAAGTGTGCAAAGATCTTTATGCCATTGGGCAAAAGAGCCATTTCTTTATTAGAGTAGTTCTTCAAACTCACTCTTGCCACAAAATAAACGACTATCCATCAAGACACAGGAAAAAGGAATGCAGGGATTTAGGAAAGCTGTACTCACTTCTCTTCCACCTTAGCAGCAAAAGCAAGAAGGTTCTCAAAATTCTCCTGATAATAGTTCTGTTGCTTAAGCAATAGGATGCCGGGGAGTGTGGGGGCCTGAGGCATGGGCATTCAAGTTCTTCTCAAGGTGTTTTATCTTCTCAGCTTGGGCACAGTGTTCTCGGTGAAACCATGCCAGGCACAGGAGCATGCTCTTCACCCGATTCTGTACTCAGAGCCATCCAAAAACCATTATTTCGACTAGGTTCTTGGAGTCCACTATGTCCACCACCAGCAGGGCCTGGCGCATCCACGCCACTTCTGGAATTACAGCTTGGTCTGGGCCTAAGGTCACTCACTCAAGATCTCATCCGCCAGCCACGCCTCCAGGTAGAACACCAAAGGGTCTCTCAGTTCCTGCACCAGAAACCACCAAGGCCGGAGGCCAGAGTTTTAAAATCTGCTACAAAGAAACCTACATCCATTCTGACATACATAAAGTGGTGCTAAACAGTAGCGTTTCTCCAGAAAAAAAGGTTCTAAGACAAAAATCTATCAAGGGAACAGAAGCCTATGGAGAGTGAACACAGAAAATATAATCTGGTGAGTTTCACTGGTGTAATAATGGTGAGTGGTGTGAAGCCACGAAACATCCTGAGATAAACTGTTGTGGGGAGTATAAGCTACAGAGTGATTATTTGGGAAATGCTGAGCAATAGGATGACACCCTCCTCCTCCACCTATACAAATTCTAGTGACAAAAGTATTCCTGGAAGAATGAGCAGAACACAGGCATAGCTGTATAGAATGTCACTTCCTCTTTTATCATAGAGAAAGAAGCTTGGACTTCAACAAAATTAAGTGCATGGTGCCACTCTGTTTCAGGCATCTGTGGGCTAATTTGTGTAGTCCCATAGAGTCTCTATGAAAGATAAATTGTCTACGAGCAGTTATGGCTCTCCCACAACCATTTAAAAACTTGTCTTTACTATATTTTATGCCATAAACTAATTTAATTCCACAAATACTTAACTTTGGCATCACCGTGAGGTGTTGAATTTGGACTTCTAAGAACATAGGAACTGGACTCTCCATTCAACTTATTATGACTTGAGGGAGGATCAGAGAAAAATCTACTTCCAAAGAAAGAGTTCCTAAGCCAGATTCGCCTGTGTTGGGCAGTGGAGATAATTACTAGGACATTTTATTCCAGGTTCTGACAGAGCCAAATGACCAGCTATTTGACTTCAAGCAAGTCAGGCCCCCTTTCCAGGCCACATCTGTTTCTTCCTGGGCTTCCTCTGCTAGGTGGAAGGGTGGGACTAGATGTTCTCCAAGTTCTCTTCCAGCTCTTACATTCTCTGCCTGTGACAAGACATTTAACACTCTGAAATGGAGTAGTGTGTTTCTCTGCTATCTCGGCTCAGTGGATGATTTTGCACTAACTTCAAGTAATCCTCCTTTCTTTTTACCCAAAGTTTCCCTTTCAGCTGTCACCAGCCATCACCCCATAAAGTGTCCAAGTCTTTTCCTTCATTACCCAATGAGGAGTCCACATTTTCTACCCTCAATTTTGGGGGCAGAGAGAGAGGAGCAAAATGGTGTTTTTGAGTGTCCTGGCTGTTAGATGGGGGATTATTTTCAAGAGACGGTCAATCAAAGGAATATGAAAAGATTCTTGGAACATAGGCAAGTATTACCTCAAACCGGACAAAGAATGTACTGATGAACCCGCAGGATGACAACGAGAGGATCAACTCAGCTCTGCCTTAGCTTCTCCGCAGTGCCCTGGATCTGGGCTAGTAGTCATGCAGGCTCTAGTGAGGGCTTGGGGTTTCTCTCCCACATGATTTCTGCATGCCTCTCCCACTCCTCTCTTTGCCCTGGGATCTTACTTTAATCTCTGGGAGCAAAATCTCTGTCAAAATATATCTGAATCTTTTTATGTGGGGCTAAAGTCAGTGGTTTTTTGGAGAGTTAATGGTTGAATATTTGTCACCCTGATTTTCTTCAGTCTACTCTGTATAACTCATGTCTATTCATTTGCACAGTCTGGGATCAGAAACTAATAATTCGAAGGATTGTCCAACCACTATTCTTCTCTGCTGTGTGGTTTTTGTTTGCATTGTTGTCAAAGGCAAGAAAAATCACAGAATAATCCATCTCTATTAGTGCTCAGACACATTTAACATTTTAACTAAATATTGACCTCACCTACAAAATAATTATTTTTCAGGAAATCTGATTGTAGAAAAATTTGACTATGAAGATCACATAAATAACTTTTTAAGAATCCAAAGGCTTGCCAAAAAGGCAAGTACACATGGACAGTTTTCCAGCCAGGGTCAAGATTCTAAACCCTTTGGCCATCTTTATAATACAAGCACTGCCATTTACCACCATTACCTACCCCCGCAGTCATCAGCTCTCCATTTGAAAGTATAGGTAGGTCGGGCACTGTGGCTCACGCCTGTAATCCTAGCACTTTGGGAGGCCAAGGTGAGTGGATCATGAGGTCAGGATTTCGAGACCAGCCTTGCCAGCATGGTGAAATCCCGTCTCTACTAAAAATACAAAAATTAGCCGGGTGTGTTGGCACGCGCCTGTAGTCCCAGCTACTCAGGAGGCTGAGGCAGGAGAATCGCTTGAACCCCGGAGGCGGAGGTTGCAGTGAGCCGAGATTGCACCACTGCACTCCAGCCTGGGTGACCGAGCAAGATTCTGTCTCAAAAAATAAATAAATAAATAAATAAATAAATAAATAAATAAATAAATAAAAAATATATGTAAATAGGCTGTGCACGGTAGCTCATGCCTGCAATCCCAACACTTTGGGAGGCCAAGGTAGGTGGATTGCCCGAGCAACGGAGTTCAAGACCACGAACATGGTGGTAACATGGTGAAACCCTGTCTCTAGTAAAATAAAAAATTAGCTGGGCGTGGTGGCGCACACCTGTAGTCCCAGCTAATCGGGGTAGGCTGAGGCACGAGACTCACTTGAACCCGGGAGGCGGAGGTTGCAGTGAGCCGAGATCGCACCACTGCACTCCAGCTTGGGTTACAGAGTGAGACTCCATCTCAAAAAATAAATAAAAATATAAAAATTAAAAAATTAAAAATATATATGTAAATAATATATAGAGATTATATGTAATTATATATAATTATAATTTTAAAATTTCATCTATATATAATGCGGGTAAGAACACTGGTTTTGGAGCCGAAATGGTTTAAATTCCAGTTCTGCACTTGTTTTGGACCTTAGGAAGTTACAAATATTTGTAAGCTGCAGTTAAAGCAAAGATAATATAACCTACTGCAAAGGGTGTTAGGAGATTTAAATGAAAACATAAATGCTTTAGCACACAGCACGGTATCTGACATGCAGTAAAGACTTGGGGTATATATTGTTAAAGTTAACAAAGCTGGGTGAGAATTTAGAGACTAATAAATATTGCCTTATTTTTTTAACCAATCTGAGGACCAGCCGCTGTACTCATAGAACCCCTGGTCTATAGAGCATTGGAGAACAGATTCATTTGAATTTTTTTTTTTTTTTTTGAGACTGAGTTTCACTCTACTTGCCCAGGCTGGAGTGCAATGGCACAACCTTGGCTAACTGCAACCTCTGCCTCCCGGGTTCAAGCGATTCTGCTGCCTCATCCTCCCAAGTAGCTGGGATTACAGGCTCCCACCACCACGCCTGGCAATTTTTTTGTATTTTTAGTAGAGACGGGTTTCACCATGTTGGCCAGGCTGGTCTCGAACTTCTGACCTCAGGTGATCCACCGGCCTCAGCCTCCCAAAGTGCTGGGATTACAAGCGTGAGCCACCATGCCCGGCCTGACAAGTGACTATTTTCACTGCTTACCACCAGGAAAGAGTGTTGGCTCTAATTAGCGCCATCAATGGAAGATCTACGTGGAAAACACTCTTTCCAAGGGTGGACAGAAAGCTTTTTAGTTCCTAAACTTTTTTCAGCCTTTGACTTGAACGGGTAATTGCTAAGTGACCAAATTGAAATAGCCATTCTTTACTTACAGAGTTCCAAATGGATTTACAGGTAGTGTTAGAGGAGATACATGAAGTATTCCTTTTCTTTTTTTTTTTTTTTTTGAGTTTCACTCTTGCCCCCCAGGCTGGAGTGCAATGGCACGATCTTGGCTCACTGCAGCCCCACCTCCTGGGCTCAAGCAATTCTCCTGCCTCAGCATCCCGAGTAGTTGGGATTACAGGCATGTGCCACCACACCCAGCTAATTTTGTATTTTTAGTAGAGACGGTTTCACTATGTTGGCCAGGCTGGTCTCGAACTCCTGACGTCAAGTGATCTGCCCGCCTCGGCCTTCCAAAGTGCTAGGATTACAGGGATGAGCCACTGTGCCCAGCCAAATTTCTTGAGTTTTACTGAAATTTAGATACTCTAGCTACTGTGCAAAGAGGGAAAAGCCTGAAGTTCCTATAACTGATAGCATGTTTTACATAATTTCATATTGAATCTCACTCACTGGCGGTACCACTTTTAATTTTGCATGAAGATGCTTGAGAGTACATTAATAAATGTTCTATAAGGCAGCTGATAAGCATAGTGAAAGCTTTTTGGCTGCTAAGCTTCAACCTGTGCCATTATATTTTTTCTGAGGCTACAACCATTTGTTTTATATTTCACATATTTGCATATTAGAGAGGTTCAGTGATAAATATGGAAGAGAAGCTGAAAATTCTTGACGAGATAAATTTGATTTTTTTTTTCTTGAGATGGGGTCTTGCTATATTGGCCAGGCTGTAGTGCAACGGCTACTCACAGGTGAGATCACAGCACACCACAGCCTCAAACTCCTGGGCTCAGGCAATCCTCCTGCCTCAGCCTCTCGAGTAGCTGAGACTGCAGGTACATGCCAGCATGCCAGGTTCATGGTGGGAATTTTTGAACAACTCTTAATAGTGTTAAATTACTGTCTGATTGCTCTTTGTTCATTGGATTTGCTTCTAAAATGCAGTACAGGCCGGGCGTGGTGGCTCACACCTGTAATCCCAACACTTTGGGAGGCCGAGGTGGGCAGATCACTTGAGGTCAGGAGTTCGGGCCCAGCCTGGCCAGTATGGTGAAGCCCTGTCTCTACTAAAAATACACAAATTAGCTGGGCATGGTGGCAGGTGCCTGTAATCCCAGCTACTCGGGAGGCTGAGGCAGGAGAATCACTTGAACCCAGGAGGCAGAGGTTGCAGGGAGCCGAGATTGCACAACTGCACTCCAGCCTGGGCAACAGAGCAAGACTCTGTCTCAAAAAATAAATAAAAAATAAAATAAAATAAAATAAATGCAGTGCAGGCTTGTAAGGTCAACTTGAATTTGGGTATCTATAGTGGGGAGACAGCCATTCTCCATGCCGTCAGACCAAGCACTTCTCTGTATTTCTGTGCCTTGTGGATCTGAAGCTTTTGTCATTTTGGGGAAGGCAACATGATTCCTTGGCTAGAAATCTGGGTAGTGTAACTTTTGGGATAAGATGCTATGTCAGACCTTGTTCTTACTTGTCATCAGACTTTTGGCAGGTTATTTTAAATCTTCCAGAACCTTTATTTTGTAAACTATGAGATAGTAAGAAGCCTACCTTAAGGGTTTTTGTGAATATGTGAATATTAATTAATTTGTATATAAACATCTAATTCTATGGTTACTATATATTAGGATGACCCATATAGCATTGCCATTTTCAAGTCCGAAAATGTTGGGATCTGCAATTCCATATGGTTCAAACAAACAGCAAGCCCTCAATAAATGGTAGCTATTATCTTAACAGAAATACTCACTTGCTTAGTGACCTTGTACTTTAAATATACAGTATATGGTTTATTCTCATTTCCCAAGTAGTTTGACACTTTGTTATAGCATGGCTTATTCTTGCACAGATTTGCATAAACCATACATCAAGTCATAGAATTCACTTACAAATTATTGTGTGGTTATAACATACCTAAACATTTTCAGAATGGAATTAATTTTCTTGATTGCCTTATGTGACAGTAAAAGTCTGTTCTTCCACTAGTCTCTCCCTCTAAGTGAATGGCACTCCATTCACTCCACTACTCAAAAGAGAAACCTGAGGGATCTGTTTCCTCCCTTCTCTTTATTCCCCAAATGTAACCCATCAGCAGTGCTTATTGGCAATTTCTTCAAGATATATTCCTGATCTACTGACTTCTCATAATTATGGCTATTACCCTAGTTTGAATCTCCAGCAACTACTGTAATAGCCTATTTAGTCACTTTTGACCCCTACAATCCATTTTTTAAAGGGACGGTGGTATTTTGAACATGGAAATCAATATAACTTCTGAGTTAATGAATTTAAATCTTTTTTTTTTTCTTTTGGAGACAGAGTTTCACCCTTGTTGCCCAGGCTGGAATGCAATAGTGCAATCTCGGTTCACTGCAACCTCCACCTCCTGAGTTAAAGTGATTCTCCTGCCTCAGCCTCTCGAGTAACTGGGATTACAGGCACCCACCACCATGCCCAGCTAATTTTTGTATTTTTAGTAGAGACAGGGTTTCACCATGTTGGCCAGGCTGGTCTCGAACTCCTGACCTCAGGTAATCTGCCCTCCTTGACCTCCCAAAGTGCTGGGATCACAGGCATGAGCCACCGTACCCGGCCAATGAATTTAAATCTTTGCACTGCTTTCCATTATCCAGGAGTAAATCCCACGTCCTTACCATGGCCTTCAAGGCCCTTAATGACCTCACCCATGATTACCTCTGTGACCTAATCCAAATCATTCTCCTCCTCATTTGCTACTCCCCAAACACATTGGCCTTTGTGCTATTCCTTCTAATAAACACCCCAAGCTCTTTCAGGCCCTGGAAATTTGTACTAGTAAATGTTTTTTCCCTGATCTTCAGCTGTCACTTCAAAGAGCTTCTTTGATCACTCTACAGTAGAGTCTCACCCACCTACATTACCTTTTAACGTATTTGTTTACTTGCTTATTCTTTGCAATGTGAGAATTTCAGGATGTAAGCTCCATGAGGGTTTGACCCTTCTTTGTCTTGTTCAATACTTTATCCTCAGCACCCAGAATAGTGCCTGGCACAAAGTGTTTCATCTATGTTGAAGGAATAAATGGACTAATAAAACACAAATTAGATGAGGATTAATTACTGGCTTAAGATTTCAGTATGGTTTGTTTGTTTGTTTCTTTTTTTGAGATGGAGTCTCACTCTGTTGCCCAGGCTAGAGTGCAGTGGCGCGATCTCAGCTTACTGCAACCTCTGCCTCCCAGGTTCAAGCAATTCTCCTGCCTCAGCCTCCTGAGTAGCTGGGATTATAGGTGCACACCGCCATGCCTGGCTAATATTCTTTTTATATTTTTAGTAGAGACAGGGCTTCACCATGTTGGCCAGGCTGGTCTCGAACTCCTGACCTCAAGTGATCTGCCCGCCTCGGCCTCTCAAAGTGCTGAGATTACAGGTATGAGCCACCACGTCCAGCATCAGTATGGTTTTCAAAAAAGTCAAAGTGATAGCTGATCTCCAAGCATGTTCCAAACCATACCATCCCTCACTATATTTGCATGTTACTCCTCCCATCAAGAGGTGAAGTTTGTCCAGGTGCAGTGGCTCACACCTATAATCCCAGCACTTTGGGAGGCTGAGGTGGGCGGATCACCTGAGATCAGGAGTTTG
Organism: Homo sapiens; assembly: GCF_000001405.40. Lineage (NCBI taxonomy): Eukaryota > Metazoa > Chordata > Mammalia > Primates > Hominidae > Homo > Homo sapiens. Next base: position 64,259,170 of record NC_000012.12, on the reverse strand, counting down.
AGATCACCTGGGCAACATGACAAAACCCTGTCTCTACCAAAATACAAAAATTAGCCAGGCATGGTGGTGCACGCCTGTAGTCCCAGCTACTTAGGAGGCTGAAGCAAGAGAAACGTTTGAACCTGGGAGGCGGAGGTTGCCGTGAGCCCAGATTATGCCACTGCACTCCAGCCTGGGGTGACAGGAATGAAACCCTGTCTCAAAAAAAAAAAAAAAAAAAAAAAAGAGGTGAAGTTTGTGTCTCTTCTGCTCTCATCTGGGCTGAGCCTGTGCTATTCTGACCAGAAGAATGTGGAGGAAGTAAAGTTCTAGGATTTCAGACCCCAGACTTTAAGACGGTCTGGGTCTGGCAGCTTCTGTTTCCAAGCCACCACGTAGAGAGGCCTTGGAGGATGACATCATAGGCATGGAGAGACCACACAGAAGAGCACCAGCTGCCCTTTCCCAGCAAACTCGTGGGAAACCCAGGTGAGACCTGTAGAAGAACTGCCCATCCAATCCACAGAATTGTGAGATACAATAAAGGGTTGTGTTAAGCCTCTTTTAAGTTTTTAAGTTTTGCATTTTGACAATATAAAACAGTCAATATTTTCATTTATCATTATACAAAATTATGCATTATACCAATGTTTGCATAATTCCAAATTATTATTATTATTATTTTTTGAGACAGGGTCTCGCTTTGTCACTCAGACTGGAGTGCATGGAGTGCATGGAGTGTAGTGGCACGATCTCAGCTCACCACAGCCTTGAATTTCTGGGCTCAAGCAATCCTCCCATCTCAGCCCCCTGAGTAGCTAGGACTACAGGCATGTGCCTCCATGCCCAGATAATATTTACTTTTTTTTTTTTTTTTGTAGAGACAGGGTTTCACCATGTTGCCCAGGCTGGTCTCAAACTCCTAGAATCAAGTGATCTGCCCACCTCAGCTTCCCAAAGTCCTGGGATTTCAAGTGTTAGCTGCTGCACCCGGCCGGTAATTCCAAATTAAATAATGCACCAACATCAGGTCATTCTAAACAATCCAAGTGTTTTTGTCTATATGCTCTTCCAGCTCTTTTTTCCTATATCACTAAAATCATAATATAGATTTTTTTCCTCTTGTCACTTTGAGTGGATTTGATAATATTCCACAGTTTTCTAGTTCCTTAGAAATAGGATTTAGTGAGCTATGATGGCGCCATTGCACTCTATCCTGGCAGACAGACTGAGACCGTCTAACCAACCAACCAAATAACAACAACAAAAAAAATGTGTTTACATACAGCAGGGTCCATGTCATTCTTGTCCCTTCCCGGGGAGAGGCCCTGGGAATCATACAGCACAAACAATAGTTGAGCACACAAGAAAATCAAGCATTGGGCCAGGTGTGGCGGCTCAGGCCTGTAATCCCAGCACTTTGGAAGGTTGAGGCGGGTGGATCACTTGAGGTCAGGAGTTTGACACCAGCCTGGCCAACATGGTGAAACCCCGTCTCTACTAAAAATACAAAAATTAGCCGGGCGTGGCATCGCGTGCTTGTAATCCGAGCTACTCGGGAGGCTGAGACAGGAGAATCACTTGAACCCGGAAGGCGGAGGTTGCAGTGAGCCAAGGTCATGCCACTGCACTCCAGCCTGGGTGACAAAGTGAGACTCTATCTCAAAAAAAAAAAAAAAAAAAAAAAAAAGACAATCAAGCATTAATGGAATATGATGTACACCAACTAGACTGGGATTGTTCCATCCCTCATCCCTTCCTTCTTCCAGCCAGCCCCTAGAAGGGACTGGGGGAAAGTTTTATAAAGCTGGGAAAAGACAAGGTCTTTGGAGGTTTATTGGTTATACATCGTAGAGATTTCCAGGTATGAGTAGACCTTGGGTGGAAGAGGTTTTTCTTTTTTTTCCATTTTATTTTTCCTGGTCTTCTTTTTCTTTTTTGTTGCCTTCTACTTAGAAGGTGATTTTGACTCTGGAGACTCTGGTGACTTTGACTTTGGAATTACTGGCCTGGCACAGTGGCTAACATTTGTAATCCCAGCACTTTGGGAAGCCGAGGCAAGTGGATTGCTTGAATTCAGGAGCTCAAGAGCAGCCTGGGCAACATGGTGATGCCCTGGAGAGCTAAGGACTATAGGTTGAGCAAGAGAAAAGAATGCAAGGTCTTCTTTTTTTTTTTTTTTTTTTTGAGACGGAGTCTCGCATTGTTGCTGGAGCGCAGTGGTGCGATCCCCGCTCACTGCAAGCTCCGCCTCCCGGGTTCACGCCATTCTCCTGCCTCAGCCTCCCGAGTAGCTGGGACTACAGGCGCCAAACAACACGCCCGGCTCATTTTTAGAATGCAAGGTCTTCTTAATATTTGCCCTAAGATTCTGAAAGAGGCAAAGAGGACGTTTAAGTTTCTAGGTGGTCCACTCCTTTGAAGGCCGCAGGATGGGTGTGGGGTTTCAGGACAGAAAGTGTGCCTATAAATAAAGCTGTTAAATTTGGCGGAAGCACGAATCCTCTTCCCTTCTCTTTCCTCTTTCTACTTCTGATGGTGATGGGGACAGAGTAGACTGTGGATATGGGATTTTTCATTTGTTTCACCAACAAGGAGGGTGGGACGGAAGAAGGAGGGTGTAAATCAAGTGATAGAGGGCTACTCTCAATACTGTTTCAAGTAAGATTTATATGGGTTTTGGTGGGTTGTCCTGCAACATCTGCCATTATTTACAACTTTGTTTCTACAGGGAAATTATTCTGTCTTCCACACAGCTGACCTACAAAATGAATTTGGAAAGGATACAAAGGAGTAGTTATTTTACTTCTATTAGCAACTATCACCACCAGAGGGCATAGTTGGATTAGGAAGAGAAAGAAAGGCAAAACTTTGGTCTAACCTATGGAATATTGATTTTTTTTAATTGTGAAAAATTCATATTGAGATGTACCCTCTTAACAAAATTTTAAGTGTATATGATTGTTACCTATATGCACATTGTTGTACAGCATATCTCTAGAAAGGTCTCATCTAGCATGACTGAAATCCTATACCCATCAAACTGCAACTAACTTTCCCCTCTCCAAAAACACCATTTTAGTTTGTATGAGTTTGACTCCTTTAGATGCCTCATGTAAGAAGAATCAGGCAGTGTTGTTGTTGTTTTTGAGATGGGCTTATTTCACTTAGCATAATGTCTTCCAAATTCTTGTTGCAGCATGTGACAGGATTTCCTTCTCTTTTTAACACCTTCATTTATAGGTCAGCTATGTGGAAGACAGAATAATTTCCCCGTAGAAATAAATAATGGCAGATATTGCAGGACAGCTCTGCTGAATAATATTCCATTGTCTGTATATACCACATTTTCTTTATCCATTCATCCACTGACGGACATTCAGATTTTTTCTACCTCTCGGCTATTGTGAATAATACAGCAATGAACATGGGAGTACAAATATCTTTTCAAGATCCTGTTTTGATTCAATTCTTTTGAATAAATACCAGAAGTGGTATTGCTAGATCATACAACACTTCAATTTTTAATTTTTTGGAGAAACTTTCATACTGTTTTCCATATGGCTGCAGCATTTTACATTCCCACCAACAGTGTACACATGTTGAAATTTCTCCATATCCTCAACGCTTATTTTATGTATTTTTGGTAATGGCCATGCTAACAAGTGTGAGGTGATATCTCACTGTAGTTTTGACTTTCATTTCCCTGATGATTAGTGACACTGGGCATCATGTGTGTATGTGTGTGTATGTGTATTTGAGATACAGTCTTGCTTTGTCACCCATGCTGGAGCATGGCCCACTGCAGTCTTGACCTCCTGAGCTCAAGCAATCCACCTCAGCCTCCCGAGTAGCTGGACTACGTGTGTGCCACTACAACCTAATTTTAAAAAAGTTTTTGTTTTGTAGAGACGATGTCTCACTATGTTGCTCAGGCTGGTCTTGAACTTCTGGGCTCAAGCGATCTGCCTGCCTCAGCCTCCCAAGTGTTGGGATTACAGGCATGAACCACCATGACTGGCTCTGGGCATCTTTTTATAAACCTGTTGGCTATTTGTATGTCTACTTTGGAGGAATGTCTATTCAGATCCTTTGCCCATTTTCAAATCAGGTTATTGGTATTTTTGCTATTAAATTCAATGAGTTTCTTACATATTTTGGATATTAACCCCTTATCTGATACATGGTTTGCAAACATTTTCTCTCATTCCATAGGTTGCCTTTTCACTCTGTTGGTTATTTCTTTTGCTGCATGGAAGCTTTTTAGTTTGATGTAGTCTCGTGTCTATTTTTCCTTTTATTACTTATGCTTTCGGTGTTGTATCAGCACTGATTCTTATACTTTAAAAATTCCTTCAGGCTGGGCGTGGTGGCTCATGCCTGTAATCCCAGCACTTTGGGAGGCTGAGGTGGCAGGATCACCTGAGCCCAGGAGTCTGAGACCAGCCTGCGCATCATAGTGAGACCCCACATCTATAAAACAAATAAAAAATAAAAATTTCTGCAAACCTTCAAAATTAAATCATTTTTGCTGTCATGCTTCTATAATACATACTAACATAAATGTACATGTAAGAAAACTTATTGTATTCTTATAAAATCAACAAATTTATAATCTAAAAGTTTATTAAATTAATGCAAATTAATATCAATATGATGCATGATGTTTTCCTGAAAATACATTTCTTTTTGCAAAGTGAATATAGTAAAATGCTACAATACACTCTTGAATTCAGCATCCTTCTGTGATCATGTTCCACTTTTCTCTTTCTGAAACACTACAAGTCTTTATTTACAGGCCATGCATCTTTCTGTGTTTCACTTGGCTTGAACATTTCACTATGGTAAAGTCTACCTCTGTTCTCTCTTTGACCGGAGACAAAGTTCTCCCACTTAGGGACAAACATTGGATCAATGTAAATAATGCAAACACAGGCACTTTAAATCACAAGCATTTTATTGAAATGAAAATAAAACTTTAAATTATCCAATAAACCCCACAGACTTTCTTTTTTTAAAAATTATTATTTATTTAAAAAATATATAGAGACGAGGTCTCACTATGTTGCCCAGGCTGGTCTTGAACTTCTGAGCTCAAGCGATCCACCTGCCTCAGCCTCCTAAAGTGCTGGGATTACAGGTGTGAGCCACCATTCCTAGCCACCTCACAGACTTTCAAGTTGAAATCTAGGCCAGGCATGGTGGCTCACACTTGTAAACCCAGCACTTCGGGAGGCTGAAGTGGGAGGATCGCTTGAGCCAGAAGTTTGAGACCAGCCTGGACAACATGGCAAAACCCAAGAAAACAAAAAAACAGCCAGATATGGTGGCATATGTCTGCAGTCCCAGCTACTTGGGTTGGGCGCTGAGGTGGGAGGATCACTTGAGCCTGGGAGGTAGAGGCTGCAGTGAGCCATGTTTGTGCCACTGCAGTCCAGCCTGGGTGAACAGAACAAGACCTTATCCCAACAACAACAACAACAATGAAAAAAAAAAAAAAAGAAAAAAAGAAATCTAGAGACCCCAACTTAACCTCTGCTAATAGAGGATAAGAGGCTCAAAGTGTTTTAGGTATGCTGACCTGACAGCATGGTTTGCCTGTGTGGGCCCTGGCTTATGTCTTTTACCCCCAGCACCCACTTTCAGTTTCAAAAGTGTCCTCATTTGGACACAAAGACATACAGAGTGATCTAATGGACTTTGGGGATGGGGTAGGGGGGTGGTTGGACGGGGGGAGGGATAAAAGACTACATATTGAGTACAATGTACACTGTTTGGGGGACAGGTGCACTAAAATCTCAAAATTCACCACTAAGGAACTCATCCATGTAACCAAAAACCACCTGTACCCCCAAACTATTGAAATGTTAAAATGTGTCCTTATTTGGACAATAAAACATAAGGTTATACACCCTGGTTACAGCCATCCTGGCCTAGGGTTTTAAGATCAGTAAAGAACCTGTGCCTTAACAGTAGGAGTTAGGAAACAAAAGGGTCAGTGTCATTTACAGAACTTTTAGAGACTTCTCTCAGGAAGCATATCTAGTCCAATACGAGTGAAGCTTTGAGGGCCCAACTGAACTTCAGATATCTTGTTCAGATCTCCTTTTGTGACTCAGACCTCAGTAGTTCCCCTACTCCCCACACCCCTAAAACACCACCTCAAAACACAGGCTATAAGAAAGGAAATAAAGAGAAAGATTTCATCACAATTAGGATCCCCTGAGATACGAGAGCATATAAGGTCATTTTAGGATAGGAAGAACGAAGCTTCTCAAAGAGTCAAATTTACTCAGAAAAGCTGGAAGACAGGACAGCAGTTTTGCAACCACATGACATAATTTGGCTGATGTTGTGAATAGGGATTGCTACACAACAAAATGATTCCTCAATGACAAGTCTCAAGATGAAATCCAGTTGCCAACGTGACTCCAAATGGTTTAGTGTTAACAATGATGAAAAGATGGAATGAAATAATGATTTTTAAGGAGATTGAGAAATATTTTCTCTAAAAAATATATAAAGTGTTTTGAGAGAAAGTGTGTGTACGTGTGTGTGTGTGTTGGACCATATCCAAGAACGAAAGTGGCACACAAACTGAAATATGCTGAGATTGGTGTGTTGGAGCAAAAAAGATCATCTTGGCAATCTCAAGTCCTCATTCCTTCAGAGGATGACTATTATTAGCACTACTTAATATCTATTAAGCCCCAGCTGGGGCAACTTGTCAAAATGGGCAAGGAAGGAAGAGGGGAAAATGTATAATTTGTCCCAGGCATGGGCGCTCGGTGTGGGGAAAATGTCTTTTAAGATATTTTAAGTTATCTGTCAGAAGGTTTAGGAGGTTTCATATGATTTTCAGAGATCTCTCTGCCCCAGAGAGAAACTGATTCAATAAGCATCTATTCTGAGTTTGTTTGATGCTTAGGGTACAGAAAAATAAATAAAACTGGGTCTCTGTTGTCAAGAATTTACATTCTTTTCTAAATTATTTGAATACAACCTTCAAAATATTTCCCATATCATCTGTATAATAGTACTCAATACAGATTTACTCAATGTTTTTCTCAATATTTTCCTAATATTACTCAATAATTTCCCAATATGTGTACCTACCTTAGCCTTGTCATAAAGAATACCTGGGAAATCACAGATTTGGTGTTCTAGGTATATAGTTTTAAATTACCTGTGTGTGCTTTTTTTTTTTTTTTTTTTTTTTGAGGTGGAGTCTTGCTTTGTCACCCAGGCTGGGGTACAGTGACACAATCTTGGCTCACTGCAACCTCTGCCTCCCGGGTTCAAGTGATTCTCATGCCTCAGCCTCCCGAGTAGCTGGGATTACAGGCCTGTGCCACCACACCTGGCTAATTTTTGTATTTTGAGTAGAGATGGGGTTTCACCATGTTGGCCAGGCTGGTCTCGAACTCCTGACCTCAAGTGATCCGCCTGCCTCAGTCTCTCAAAGTGCTGGGATTATAGGCATGAGCTACCATGCCGGACCCATTTTTTTCTTTTCTTTTTCTTTCTTTTTTTTTTAGATGGCGTCTCACTCTGCTGCCCAGGCTGGCGTACGGTGGCACAATCTCAGCTTACTGCAGCAATTTCTTGGGCTCCAGCAATCCTCCCTAATTAGCCTCCTGAGTAGCTGGGACTACAAGCACATGCCACTGTGCTTGGCTAATTAAAAAAAAATTTTTTTTTGTAGAGATAAGGTATCACTATATTGCCCAGGCTGATCTTGAACTCCTGGGCTCAAGCGATCCTCCTGCCTCGGCCTCCTAAAAGTGTTGGAATTACAGGCATTAGCCACCACGCCTGGCTGTTATGTGCATATTTCTAATGTACTTTTAAAAATAAACATACACATTTTTTTAAATTTTTAAATGTTTTTATTTTATTTATTTTTTTTGAGACAGAGTCTCGCTTTGTCGCCCAGGCTGGAGTGCAGTGGCGTGATCTCGGCTCACTGCAAGCTCCACCTCCCGGGTTCATGCCATTCTCCTGCCTCAGCCTCCTGAGTAGTTGGGACTACAGGCACCTGCCACCATGCCTGGCTAATTTTTTGTATTTTTAGTAGAGACAGGGTTTCACCGTGTTAGCCAGGATGGTCTCGATCTCCTGACCTCATGATCCGCCCGCCTCGGCCTCCCAAAGTGCTGGAATTACAGGCGTGAGCCACTGCATCTGGCCTACAAAATTTTTTAAAATGTGTCTTCCTTGAATTACCTAAAGTCATCTTTGTAGTACTCTATGGGAATGACCATAATAAGGAATGCTCAAAGAAGACATCATACAAGGGACTGAGTAGCTTTACCTGTAGGTAAATGCAGGTCATCCTGACTGAGTACATCAAGGAGGCCTATTTAGAAGAGTTGGCATTTGAGGAGGTTTAAAAACATATGTAAGCCTGTAATATTTCAAAGAACTAAAGGAACAGGACAAAATGATAAGATTTGACAAAGCTTGGCGGTGAGTTCACAGGTGTCGCTTTTCTTCTTTGAATGCTTGAAATATTTCACAATAACAATAATAAAGTATCTCTAGGATTTGGAGAAGAGAAAAGCATTCTAAGTAGAAGAGAATGCTGGACACGGTGGCTCATGCCCGTAATCCCAGTACTCTGGGAGGCCAAGGAGGGTGGATCACGAGGTCAAGAGTTCGAGACCAGGCTGACCAACATGGTGAAACCCTGTCTCTACTAAAAATAAGAAAATTAGCTGGGCGTGGTGGCGTGAGCCTGTAATCCCAGCTATTCAGGAGGCTGAGGCAGGAGAATAGCTTGAACCTGGAGGTGGAGGTTGCAGTGAGCTGAGATCACACCATTGCATTCCAGCCTGGGTGACAGAGTGAGACTCTTTCAAAAAAAAAAGGAAGAGAAAGTATGAGTGCCAGGCACGGTGGCTCACACCTGTAATCCCGGCACTTTAGGAGGTCTAGGAGGGTGGATTGCTTGAGCTCAGGAGTTCGAGACCAGCCTGGGCATCAAAGTGAGACCCCCATCTCCACAAAAATACAGAAATTAGCCAGGCATGGCTAATTTCTGAGTAGCTGGGACCACAGGTATGAGGCTGAGGTGAGAGGATGGCTTGAGCCTGGGAAGCAGAGATTGCAGTGAGCCGAGATTGCACTATTGCACTACAGCCAGGGCAACAAAGCCAGACCGTGTCTCAAAAAAAAAAAAAAAAAAAGTCTGAGCAAAAGCACAGAATCCTGAAATTCAGGGCTGGGTATCTGGTCCTATTGAAGGTGAGTGCTGGAAAATAAGGCTGGAAAGGTAAGATAAAGTCATATCATGCAGGACCTAAGTGGTCCTAACTAACTGAGAGGGCTGTGGTGGTGGGGAATCCCTGGACATTTCTGATGAGTAAGATGATATGATCAGAGCAGTAAATTATAAATAGAACTCTAGGAGAAATTTACAGGACTGGGAGGGCCCAAAGTTGAAAGGATCTTATTAATAGTGATTCAGGTGAAAATGATCTCCCTATACCCCCTAACATCCTGATTTCTTCCCTTGTTCTGCTTGCTTGCATTCTGCTTTTATTTAAAACAAAACAAAACAAAACCCCTGAAACTATACATTTCCACAGGGAAGTCACAATTTCTTCTTCCCACTCCAGATTCTTTGTAGTCTCATCCAACTATATTGTAGGCAAAGGGTTGGTAAACCTTTCACATAATGGGCCAGATAGTAAATACTGTAGACTTTGCAGGCCATACAGACTCTGTTGCAGGTACTCAACTCTGTCACTGAAGCAAGAAAAGCAGGCATAGAAAATATACAATGAATGGGCATGGCTGTATTCCAATAAAACTTTATAGACACTGTTAGATTTCAGATAATTTTCATGTGTCATAAAATATTTTGCTTTCATTTTTTTCAACAATTAAAACATGTAAAAAGCATTCTTAGTTTTCAAGCTATATAAAAACAGGCTGAGGACTATGGAAATGCAAAACAAACCACAGTGAGACACAACTTCTCGCTCCCTACGATGGCTATATAAAAAAGATGGATAAGTGTTAGCAAGAATATGGAGAATGAGAACCTTCATACATTACTCCTGGGAATGTAAAACTGCCACAGTTGCCTTGGAAAAGTTTGGTAGCTCCTCAGTTAAACATAGTTACCATATGCTCAGGCAATTCCACTTCTAGATATGTATCAAGAGAAATGAAAACAGCCAACACAAAAACTTGTGTAGGATGTTCATACCACATTATTCATAATAGCCAAAAAGTGGAAACAACCCACATGTCCACCAACTGATGGGTGAATAAACAAAATGTGGCCTAGCCATATAATGGAATATTATTTGGCAATAAAAAGGAATGAAGCATCCTAGCGAGAGCAATTAGACAAGAGAAAGAAATAAAGGGCATCCAAATCAATAAAGTGGGAGTCAAACTGTCGCTGTTTGCCAATGTTATAATCATATACCTAGAAAACCCCAAAGACTCCTCCAAAAAGCTCCTAGATCTGATAAATGAATTCAGTAAAGTTCCAGGATACAAAATCAATGAACACAAATCAGTAGCCCTGCTATACACCAACAGTGACCGAGCTAAGAATGAAGAATGCAACCCCTTTTACAATAGCTGCAAAAAAATAAAAATAAATAAAATAAAATACTGAGGAATATACCTAACCAAGGAGGTGAAAGACCTCTACAAGGAAAACTACAAAACAGTGCTGAAAGAAATCATAGATGACACAAATAGAAACACATCCCATGCTCATGGATGGGTTGAATCAATATTATGAAAATGACCATACTGCCAAAAGCAATCTATAAATTCAACACAATTCCCATCAAAATATCATTCTTCACAGAACTAGAAAAAAATCCTAAAATTCATATGAACCCCCCAAAAAAAGCCCACATAGCCAAAACAAGACTAAGCAAAAAGAACAAATCTGGAGGCATCACATTACCCAACTCCAAACTATACTATCAAGCTATAGTCACCGAAACAGCATGATACTGGCATAAAGATAGGTACAGAGACCAATGAAACAGCATAGAGAACCCGGAAATAAAGCCAAACACTTACAGCCAACTGATTTCAACAAAGAAAACAAAAACATAAAGTGGGGAAAAACACCCTAGTCAATAAATGGTGCTGGGATAATTGGCAAGCCACACATAGGAGAATGAAACTGGATCCTCATCTCTCACCTTATACAAAATCAACTCAAGATGGATCAAAGACTTAAATCTAAGACCTAAACCATAAAAATTCTTGAAGATAACATTGGAAAAACCCTTCTAGACATTGGCATAGGCAAGACTTCATGACCAAGAACCCAAAAGCGAATGGAACAAAAACAAAGATAAATAAAATGGAACTTAATTAAACCAGAAAGCTTCTGCACAGCGAAAGAAGCAGCAGAGTAAACAGAAAACCCACAGAGAGGGGAAAAATCTTTGCAAACTATCCAACCAAAGACTGATATCCAGAATATACAAGGAACTCAAACCAGTCAGCAAGAAAAAAACCAATCCCATGAAAATGGGCTAAGGGCATGAATAGACAATTCTCAAAAGAAGATATTCAAATGGCCAACAATCATATGAAAAAATGCTCAGCGTCACTAATTATCAGGGAAATGCAAATCAAAGCCACATGTGATACCACCTTACTCCTGCAAGAATGGCCATAATTTAAAAATAAAAAAATAATAGATGTTGGTGTGGATGTGGTGAAAGGGAAACACTTTTACACTGTTGATGGGAATGTAAACGAGTACAACTACTGTGAAAAACAGTGGAGATTCCCTAAAGAACTAAAAGTAGAACTACCATTTGATCCAGCAGTCCCACTACTGGGTATCTAGCCAGAGGAAAAGAAGTCATTATATGAAAGACACTTGCACACACATGTTTATAGCAGCACAATTCATAACTGCAAAAATATGGGACCAGACCAAATGTCCATCAATCAATGAGTGGATAAAATGTGATATATATATATATATAAAATGGAATACTACTCAGCCATAAAAATAAATGAAAGAATGGCATTTGCAACCTGGATGGAGTTGGAGGCCATTATTCTAAGTGAAGTAACTCAGGAATGGAAAACCAAATATCATATGTTCTTGCTTATAAGTGGGAGCTAAACTATGGGGATGCAAAGGCATAAGAATGATACAATGGGCTGGGTGCAGTGGTTCAAGACTGTAATCCCTGTACTTTGTGAGGCTGAGGCAGGTGAATCACCTGAGGTCAGGAGTTCAAGACCAGCCTGGCCAACATGGCAAAACCCCGTCTCTACTAAAAATACAAAAATTAGCCGGGCATAGTGGCGGGTGCCTATAATCCCAGCTACTCAGGAGGCTGAGGCAGAAGAATCGCTTGAACCCGGGAGGCAGAGGTTGCAGTGAGCCGAGATCGCACCACTGCACTCCAGACTGGGCAACAAGAGTGAAATTCTGTCTCAATAATAATAATAATAATAATAATACAATGAACTATGGAGACTCTGGGAGAAGCATGGGAGGTGGGGTGAGGAATGAAAGACTGCATATTGGGTACGATGTACACTGCTTGAGTGATGAGTGCACTAAAATCTCTGAAATCACCACTGAAGAACTTATCCCTGTATAACCAAATACGACCTGTTCCCCAAAAACCTACTGAAATAAAAAAACCACAATACAAAACAAAACAAAAAAGAATGAAGCATTCATGTGCTAGAACATGGATGAGTCTTGAAAACATTATGCTAAGTGAAAGAAGCCAGTCACAAAAAACCACATAGTGTATGACTCCATTTATAAGAAATGCCAGAATAGGCAAATCTATAAGGACAGAAAGTAGATTAGCAGTTACCTAGGGCTGGATGGTTGTGGGTTTTTTTGGGGAGGGAGTTGATTAAAACGTTATAAAATTGTAGTGATGGTTGCACAACTCAGTGAATATACTAAAAACCACTGAACTGCACACTTTAAAAGGGTGAATTGTATAGTATGTGAATTATATCTCAAATCAAGCTGCTGAAAAATAAACAACAGCGGGCTGTGAGCCAAAATTGTCCTGCAGGTGGTAGGTAGGTTGGCAACTTCTGTTGTGGATATATTCACGCAGGATGACAGATGAACTGATTCCTTTCAGAGGCCTGTTAGTGGATTCAGCTATTTGAGCTTGGAAGACTCACTTAAGGAGAGCTGGAAGTTGACTGTAATCAGAAAGTCCTTTGTTCTCAGGTCTTGCTGGTGAAAGGATCTATCTTATAGATGTTTGACATAAGCAATAATGAACTCCTCACCACCTGCTGGTTTGTAATTACAGCCACAAATTCAGCCCAGGAACTCAGGTACATTCAGACTCATTGTGGTTTCTAGTACTGGGTTCTTGCATAGCTACTTGGTTGCAAGGACCTTCACTTGGTCTCAGCCACACTTCCCAGACAAGCAATCATTTTATCCATCTCTCTTCTTCTAGACCATTTGGTTAGTGTCTTAGTCCACTCAAGCTGCTATCACAAAATGCCACAGACTGGGTGGCTTATCCAAAACAAATATTTCTCACAGTTTTGAGGAGCTGCAAGGGAAGTTCAAGATCGAGGCACTGGCAGATTTGGTGTCTGGTGAGGGCCTGCTTCCTGGTTCATAGATGGCTGTCCTCTCACTGTGTCTTCATATAGTGGAAGTGGCCAGGGAGCTCTCTGGAGTCTCATATAAGGGCACTAATCCCACTTTTGAGGGCTGTGCCCACATGAATCACCTCTTGAAGGCCACACCTCCAAATACAAGCACATTGGGGGTCAGGTTTCAACATATGATTTTTGGGGAGACGTAAACATTCAGTCTATAGTGGCTAGTCAGCTTCAATTCCTAACCGTCTCAGATTTGAAAAACAAAGCTTCATCTCACTGTCCTTTTGGAGAGCTAATATGAGGGGCTAAGGGTAGAGTTTAATTTAAATTTCCTTCTTACAATCAGAGTCCTCGCCAAGGCAACTGCTTAGTTTTCGTACTGCACTTGGGATCTTACACATTCATTCCACAAATACATATTTTATGGCTACTATGCATTGGGCACTATTCCAGGTGCTAGAGATATAGTAGTAAACAAGAAATAAAAATCCCTGCCTTTGTGGAGTTTATATTTTATTTTGTTTTTGAGATAGAGTCTTGCTCTGTTGCCCAGGCTGGAGTGTAGTGCAGTAGTGCAATCTCAGCTTACTGCAACCTCTGACTCCTGGGTTCAATCGATTCTCCTGCCTCAGCCTCCCAAATAACTGGAATTACAGGCATGCACCACCACACCTGGCTAATTTTTGTATTTTTAGTAGGGACGAGGTTTTCCCATGTTGGCCAGGCTGGTCTCGACCTCCTGATCTCAGGTGATCTGCCCTCCTCAGCCTCCCAAAGTGCTGGGATTACAGGTGTGAGCCACTGAGCCCAGCTGGAGTTTATATTTTAATAAGATGGAGTTAACCCTTCTTTCATCTGCTTCTTTCCATAATGAAATGCTATACTTTATTATCATGAGTTAGTCTTGAATCAGAGTCCTGTGCTCCATGAAAGGTCATTTCACCATTTCCTCTAGGCAGAATAGAGTCAGACTCATCCTGGACTGAACTGTTAAGTCCTGTGAGTTCTTTCTACAGCATAGTAACTAACCGGCACATTGTGCACATGTACCCTAAAACTTAAAGTATAAAAAAAAAAGATGACACACACACAAAAAAATAAATAAATTCTTGAAGAGCTATATTGAAAAAAAGAATCCCATCCACTTCTCTTCTCTTTTTCCTTCCTTCTTTTTTTTTTTTTTTTTTTTTTTTTTTTTTAAGAAATGAGGCTCTCACCATGTTGCCCAGGCTGGACTTGAACTTCTGGGCTCATGATCCTCCTGCCTCAGCCTCCTGAGTAGCTGGGATTACAGCTGTGTTCCACAACACCTGGCTCAGCAATAGCTTTTGTACACATCTCCCTGAATTTTCAATTTCCCCATTGTTATTAAAATAATCAAATCTGATCATATCCTTTCCTTATTTACACCTTTCAATAGCTTTTCTATTTTTCTTAGGATTAAGTCCAAAATATTTACCTGGCCTGTGGTGGCACTGCATTTACTAGTCCCTATCTACCTCACCTGAAATCACTCTGCCCTTGGCTTGCAATGTTCCCACCACATTGGTCTTCTCTCTTTATCTTGAAATGCCAAGCCCCTTCACACCTCCATTACACACGCTGTGACCTCATGCTGTGATCTCGCGCCTGAAACACATAAACCTTCACCAGGTTTATGTGCACTTACATCCACAAAACTCAGCTTTCTCCTTGAGGCTATTTCTGATCTTACCATATATACACTTTTAGTTATTACAATAGTTATTTATGTTCTTATTTAATTAACGTTACCTCCATTAGACTATGAGCTCCATGAAGCAGGGTCATGTATGATATGTTTACCACTATATCTCCTTACCTAGCCCAGGATCTGGCTCATAGTAGATGCTCAAAAGGTGTTTTCAGTCACAAACAGATATTTTGAAAAAGAAGATCAATTAGAACAAGACAATCATGAAATTACCTTAAAAAGTGAAAAAGTATTTTATGGCTAAATATTATGATACAAATTGAAATAATGGAAAAAGAGGGATATGATTAGAAAAGCAGGAAAGCAGACGGAGAGTGAGTGACAAAGAGACAAGGAGGAAATTGGCAGAATAATAGCTATATTGCAAGAGGAGGAGGGTGGGGAAAAAGAGAGAATTTTATTTAAAATAAAAACTAGTGATGGCTTGCCTGGAGGAGCATTTGTACTTTTAGGAGACTTGGACGATTAAAACCCAGAACTGCTACCCAGACACTGGTCAAAAACTACCCCAAATTTTGTAATGACCAATTTTGTCCACCTCTTTATGTCTTTTGTCTGAAAACTTCACATTCTCCCAAATGAGATATTACAAACCTTCCTCAGGAGGGCTAGAAGTTTTAGGAAATACAGCACATAGCAGTTTTTCTGCTTTCAAGAGGGAAGTTTCTCAGTCATTCACTTCCAGGCTCAATTCTAGGATAATTTGTGTTTCATATCCCCTCACTTTATGCCACCCAGGTGGCGATAGCTAATTTTTAAAAAGTTGGAAGACAATCTTTGGTTTTATCATTAAGTGTCAGAAAGAGGGCATTTATGGAAAGAAATGTTTACTAACATGCAGAAAGCAGAGTCCCAAGGGTCCGTGCAGACCTTTGCCTCAAATGTAAACGAGGGAATGAAGGGAAATGCCACCTTTTAGTATGTAGGCAAGAATGACAGGAATGAATGTTCAGAGGAGTTAAGAATTTAATGATAGATCCACACTTAACAAAAAGTGCTCTAAAGATCAACTCTGAGGTGCACAAGACATAAATTTTAATGATGCCTATGTCACTAAAAAAAAACAAGTCCACAAGGCACAAAGGGAGAGTCCTAATGAGTGCTCAATCTGCAGAAATAACTGGAAAGAAAATGTTGACAAAGGTATATTTCCCATCCAGTTCTAGAGTTTAAATAATGTCTATGTATGAAAACTCTTAAATTTTAAGAAGGATAAAAATTAGTGTATTTTATGGTGCTCATGGTATATAGCACTAGCAAAACTGATTATTTCAACAGTAAATTACAGAGTATTAGGTAGGTGCTCAGCGGTATAATGATTAATAAGACCCAGTGCCTAGCTTTAAGAAGCTTAGAATACAGCAAGGAGAACAAGTTAACCACAAAAATAACTATAAGGTAGCTGATAATAAATGACCAGGAGATTCAAAGTTTTGTGAGAGTTAGAAGGAGAAAAGGCTCATAATCTTACTGAGACAATCACTAACATTTTCATGAAGGAGGCAGCATTTGAGATGAGGCTTTTTTTTTTTTTTTTTTTTTTTTTTTTGAGACGAAGTCTTGCTCTGTTGCCCAGGCTGGAGTGCAGTGGCGTGATCTCGGCTCACTGCAAGCGCCGCCTCCTGGGTTCAAGCCATTCTCCTGCCTCAGCCTCCTGAATAGCTGGGACTATGGGTACATGCCACCACGCCCGGTTAATTTTTTGTATTTTTAGTAGAGACGGGGTTTCACCATGTTGGCCAGGCTGGTCTCAATCTCCTGACTTCATGATCCACCCACTTCGGCCTCCCAAAGTGCCAAGATTACAGGCCTGAGCCACCGTGCCCAGCTGAGTCTTTACAAATAGTAATATATTCACAGTCTGGGATATGAGGGAAGATGCTTTCAGATAGTGGGTGCAGCAACAGCAAAAGTACAGAAGTGGGAAAGCAGGAGAGATTTTTAGGAAACTCGATAGTTATTTTGCCAGAGTAGAAAGTGTATATGTTTGAGAAGAAGGGCAGTAGGAACTACAATTAGAAAGGTAGGTAGGAGTCAGATTGTGAAAAGCTTTTTATTCATTCATTCAACAAATATTCACTGAGTCCTTGTGCCTGGCATTGTGCTAAACTCAGTGGCCAAAACAAACAACAACAAAAAAAATAGGAGCCAGGCATGGCAGCACACACCTGCATGCCCAGCTACTTCGGTGGCTGTGGTGGGAGGATATAGCTTGAGCCCAGGAGTGCCAGACCAGCCTGGGTAACACCGTGAGAACCCGTCTCACACTCCCCAACACACACTCCCCAAAACAGATAGAGGCCTTGAATGCCACAACCACACCAACTATGCATTCATAGATTTTCTCAGAGACCCAAACATTCTTTTCTTAAATTAAGTTATATTTTTTTGTCTGCTCCCCAGCTCTTTTTTTTTTTTTTTTTGAGACAAGGTCTCACTTTGTCATCCAGGCTGGAGTGCAGTGGCATAATCTTGGCTCACTGAAGCCTCAACCTCCCAGGTTCAAGTGATCTTCCCACCTCAGCCCTCCAAGTAGCTGGAACTACAGGTAAGCGCCACCACACCCGGCCCATTTTTCTATTTTTAGTACAGACAGGGCTTCGTCATGTTGGCCAGGCTGGTCTTGAACTCCTGAGTTCAAGCAATCTACCCGCCTTGGCCTCCCAAAGTGCTGGGATTATAGGTGTGAGCCACCGCAACTGGCCTTGCTCCCCAACTTTCATGATGAGTTAGTCAAACTTATCAGTGGTGGTAGTCTGAGTACATGTGAAGAGAAATGCCTTCTCCCTGTCTCACAGGGGTTCAAAAGTAATTTTGAGGAAAGAAAGAAAACACATTTGCAACCAATTACACTTTCAAGTTACATTCTAGTTTCAAGAAACTAGGTCAGATTCCTTAGGAGGTTCGGAAGGATTTAACCCGTTCCTTTCTGGGAACAGTGCCTTCCATGACTTGTTCTGCCCAGAGGCTGGCTCTGCTTAGTTTGTCCCAGTGAGGGTGATAACACAGTGATGATCCTTTCCCAGTGGCTGATCCACCAGACTGGCCAAATTAGGACTTTAGCTACTGGAAGCAACTGCTAAAGAATTTCAAGGACAAATTCTTGCAGCTGTTTTCAGCCTTGAACATGACTAGAATATCAATCTATAAGCTGGAGGTGGCACACCTTGAGGATCTGTTGAAACTGCAGGAACCCAGATTTTAAAGCGGCAAATATGGACATGCTGGCTATTAAAATAAGAGGGTGTGTCTATGTTTAAACTCTTAAAAAGAAACATGAAATAACAAACATTAAAAATAGAAATGGAAATAACTGAAAGCAGGGCAATTATGCAGCTGACAATTAAAATGAAATGTAAGAATTCATTAGGGAAAAGACCATAATAAAAGATTATCATTAACTCAAGGAGTTATAACAAGGAGACTTCCCGGACTGAGTGTTACTTGGGTATAAGGTAGAGGCAGGGGCTCAAAAAGCTTTCTCAGTATGAAGCCCAAGCAGTGGAGCTCCTTGTCCTCAGGGTTTTAACTCAGGCCTGACAGTAAACACTTCAGGAACTGCTGCCAAACTTGTCACCCTAAGTCCTTACTCAAAGCTTCTGGGCTTTGAACATCCTCACTGATGAATGTGAATTTACTTACTATTCTACTTACCACTTAGGTATCAGTCTTCTAGTAATACAGTGTCTCAGAGTACCTAATCACTGTCCTCTTACCCTCTCAATCTGAAATCCGGGTTGGGCCAGCCCAATCAAGAAAATGGCCTAGTTTTGATTCCTCCAAATGTAGAAGCCATTTCCTTTTTACTTTTTTTTTTCTTTTTTATTGAGACAGGATCTTGCTGGAACGCAGTGGCACCAACTATCATAGCTCACTGCAGCCCTGAATTCCTAGGCTCAAGTGACTGTCCTACCTTAACCTCCCAGTAGCTAGGACTATACGATAGCATATGCCATCATGCCAAGATAATTAAAACAATTTTTTTTTTGTTTTGGTAGAGACAGGGTATCACTCTGTTGCCCAGGTTGGTCTGGAACTCTTAGCCTCAAGTGATCCTCCTCCCTCGGCCTCCCAAAGGCAGGGGATTACAGGTATAAGCCACCATGCCCCGCTGGAGCCATTTCTTAAAATCAAACTCTCAGTGACACTCTCTAGCTTGGAAAGGAAGACACAGCAGAACTACCCTTTTTTGAGACAGGGTCTCAATCTGTTGCCCAGCCTGGAGTGCAGTGGTACAATCACAGCTCACTGCAGCCTCAACTTCCCTGAGCTCAGGTGATCCACCCACCTCAGCCTCCTGAGTAGTTGGTACCACAGGCACGCACCACCATGCCTGGCTAACTTTTGTTTTTTTTTTTTTTTTGTAGAGACGGGGCTTTGCTGTGTTTCTCAAGCTGGTCTCAAACTCCTGTGCTCAAATGATCTGCCAGCCTTGACCTCCCAAAATTCTGAGATTACAAGTGTGAGCCACCGCACCTGGCCAGAAATACCATTCATTTAATTCTGTCAATAACCATACATGTTTTAGTGCCTAATATATTTCTAGCACTGTACTTGATCCTTGAGGAAGATAAGTGTCAGAGGCTAATAGCTATGGATTTAGGATCAACACAATCAAATAAAGGAACAACCATACATGTTTTAGTGCCTAATATATTTCTAGCACTGTACTTGATGCTTGAGGAAGATAAGTGTCAGAGGCTAATAGCTATGGATTTAGGATCAACACAATTAAATAAAGGGAAATAAAGAAACAAAGAAAGGTATAAGATAGTAAGTACATGATTGGCTGTTCATCTTTCTCCTTTATATATACTGTGCTAAAAAGGCACCCTTGTCGAACTGCTTTGCTACCATGGTGACAGTTACTAAGAAATGCACAGATGCACATATGAACAGGTTAACGAGTTCTGTTTTTTTTTTTTTAAATATGTAGTGTTTTCCCAGTCCAATGAATGATTCTTAATATCAGTTTCCATACAAAGGTGTTTCATACAATCACCTCTGTCGATTTTTTGTATTCAAGTCCTTAAAGAAACTGGAGCAAGAGCATGTGGACCTATCCGTGCTGACTCTCGACTGGGGATTTTCCTGCTGCTCAGGGATCAGGCATTAACTCTTCATGTGTAATCTGCGAAAGCTATGAAATGATCTGGGATTCTCTGATTTCCCTATTAAGAGATGGGGGGGTGGGGTGGAAAAAGAGAGAGAGATAGGGGGCCAGTACCCTCTAGAACACTCCTTCCTATGTCTGCCATTATCCACAGGCCAAGACCTTTTTACCTGCACTCAGCACGAAAGAAATCTGCATTCAGCCCTAAGAGTAGCTGCTTGGGCAGTGATCATAGCTCTGCTTTAAGGATAAGACTCTTATCTGTGACTACAGAAAGAGAAAAGGTTTCTCAAGGTTCTGAGTGCTGATTTCTCTGTGGCAGCCCTAAATTACATTTGAATGTCACCCCCAAAGGAATACACTAAATGACAACAAGCACAGATTCTTGTGAGGATGGATATTTCCCCTTGGACAAATTTCAATCTGTATCTATATATCTTTATACATACTTACCATGAGCCTGTTATGTACTGTGCAGAGCACCAGACCAGGTACCACGGAAGAAAACCGTAAAACAAAATTGGGATCCTATAGGAGCTTAGAATTTAGAAGCTAAGATCTTTTCACATAGAAGTAATAATGATGGAATGAAAAACTAAGTAGAATTTATTCATAGAGTTCTGGAATTTTTGGACTAGAAGTATTGTAAAGATCATTCTCTGTTTTGCAGAGGAGAAAACTGGAGCTCACAGAGTTAGTAGTTTACCTGAGGTCACAAAGTAAATTAGTGGCAGAGCCAGAAATACATCACAGTTATCAAGAGCTTTGTTTATCTTATCACATGTAACAACTATTAAGCATCAATTCCAGGCAAGGCAATGTGTAGCTTGAGATAATACATGTAAAATGCCTAGAACCAAGTCTGGAACTATTAGCTGTCATCATTATCACAATCATCATCATTATCATGGTTAAGAGTACAAATTTTGGTCTTAGCCAGACCTCGATGTGAGTCCCAGTTCTGTCACTTATTGTGTAACTGTGGACAAGCTACTTAAGTCCCAGTTTCTTTATTTATAAAATGAGAATAAAAATATCAACTTCATAGGATAATTGTGAGGATTTAATTAGATAGTATGTATAAAGTGCTTCAAATATCACCTAGCATGTTGAAACTGTTCAAATATTAGCTGTTCCATTGTGAACAGCTGACCTATGTACACAGGGAGTCAAACAAAGACACACATATAGCATATTGATGGAACTTCTCTTTGAGCTGACAAAAAAGGAAGCCAGTCAGTTAACAACATTTACTGAGTTTTCACTGTATACAGGTATCAGTACACAGTCATGTGGAACAAAGAAAGTAAGAGAAGAAATGCTATTTTGGATGTTATAATATATAAACTATTTATCATTCACAACAAATACACACCAACTACCTACACAGTGATGAATAAGACTGAGTTTCTGCAAAGAGCTAGTCTAGTGGAAGCAGCAGCAAGAAATTAGGCCATTATGACATGGAGTGATGTACACATTGCAGAGCTAGGGCTGAGAGCTATGGAAGGTTATGAAAGGGCATCTAATCCACTAACGGTGGAGGTAGGGAAGGAAGTGTCAGGGAAAGTTCCTCAAATGAAAGAATAAGGAGTTGTCCAAAGATGAGAAGAGTTGAATATAGCCTAAAGCAACAAACCTGCTGTGGTGAGTACTCTGGACTGGCTCTGGCTCTCAGCCATTCCAATCTTCTAGTGTGCTTTCTTTGAATACAGAGGTTAAAGAAGGAAAAGACACATTTCCCTCATGTCCTGCAGGTAGGGTTATGCTTCTGCCAATTAGATACACTTGGAAGGTGGATCCTAGGCTACAGTTATGTTTTGTTTCTGCTGGAAAACTAGTTGTAGACACATTGGGTATTTCTGCAGCAGTATTTCAGTGTCTAGGTCCTACCCCTGTGCCTGTTTAGAGGAAGTAGCAGGGGCAGCAGTGGCCTCTTGATCCTTGGATCACAGGTACAGCAGTATGTCTTTGAACTCAACACTCCACTGGAGGTCTCTGCCTGCCTGCCTTTCTGATTATTGCAGAGATGGCAGCTCCTCAGTAGACCATCCAGCAGACTTGCTCTAGGAATCATTTCTGGAGGCCTGCTAAGTGACCATTCCTTTAGACTTCCCAATGATTTTATAAGCTCCTGATACCCTGCATTAAATTCATTTTTGCTGAAAATAGTTTGAGTGGTTCTTTTTCTTACACCTAATACATCAGCAGAATACAAAAAATTCAAAATGTGATATATAGTTTTCAGGGGTCAGCAAACTAGCAAACTTTTCCTGCAAAGAGCCAGGAGTGTAAATATTTTAAATTTTGTGAGCCACATATGATTTCTTCTCCTCCTTCCTCCTTTTCTTCCTTCCTCCTCCTCTTCTTCCTCTTCTTTTAAAATAACCCTTTAAAAATAAAAAAACCATTCTCAAACCCTGCAAGCCAGATTTAGCCCATGAGCTATAGTTTGCTGACCCTTGATAGAGTGTTGATGAGATGTGAAAGAACATGATGAAATGTCAAAGAACTAAAATACTGAAGGAAAATAGCTCATATTTTTAAAAACAAGATATTTTTAATGAGGCCAGGTGCAGTGGCTCACTCCTGTAATCCCAGCACTTTGGGAGGCCGAGGCGGGCAGATAACTTGAGGTTAGGAGTTCAAGACCATCCTGGCCAACATGGTGAAACCCTGTCTCTACTTAAAAAACACAAAAATTAGCCGGGCGTGGTGGCATGCACCTGTAGTCCCAGCTACTTGGGAGTCTGAGGCAGGAGAATCACTTGAACCTGGGAGGTGGAAGTAGCACTGAGCCGAGATCACACCACTGCACTCCAGCCTGGGTGACAGAGTGAGACCCTGTCTCAAAAAAAAAAAAAAAAAAAGAAAAAAGGAAAAAATGTTTAAGATATGTTTAATGATGTTACCACACTAAGACACACAACAAATCCTGGGGTGGGATCAACAGTTGATGAGAGGAGGCAACAGAATTCAGGTAAATAAACGGTCCCTTGCCTACCCAACTTTGATGCCTAGTTCATTAAAAAAATTACTTTATTATGGTAAAAAAAACACTACAGTTCAGTAATGTTATGCATATTCACACAGCTGTGCAGCAGATCTCCAGAACCTTTTCATTGTGTAAAACTGAAACTCTACATCCATTAAACAACTCCCCATTTTCCCCTTCCAGCCAGTCCCTGGTAACCATTATTCAACTCTGTTTCTATTAATTTGACTACTCTAGTTACTACATATAAGTGACATAATATATGTCTTTTTGTGACCGGCTTATTTCACTCAGCATAATATCCTCAAGGTTCACACATGCAGTATATAACAGGATTTCCTCCCTTTTAAGGCTGAATAATATTCCACTGTATGTATGTAACATTTTTCTTCATTCATTCCTTCCTTGATGGACATTTGGGCTGCTTCCACCTCTTGGCTATTGCAAATAATGCTGTTATGAACATGGGTGTAGGAACCTCTCTTCAAGATCTTGCTTTCAATTCTTTTAGATAATTATCCAGAAGTATAATTGCTGGTGGTTCTATTTTTAATTTTTTGAGGAACCTCTACATTTTTTTCCACAACAGCTGCACCATTTTACATTCCTACCAACAGTGCATGAAGGTTCCAATTTCTCCACATCCATGCCAACACCTGTTTTTTTTTTTTTTTTGACTAGCCTAATAGATGTGAGGCAGTACCTAATTGTAGTTTTGATTTGCATTTCCCTAATGATTAGTAATCTTGAGTATTTATGTTCTCATATGCTTGTTGGCCATTTGTATATCTTCTTTACATAAAAGTCTATTCAAGTCTTCTGCTCATTTTAAAATTAGGGCTCTTTTTGTTGAGCTGCAAGAGTTATTTTTATATTCTAGCTATTGAGCTCTTATCAGATACAGAATCTCAAATATTTTCTCCCCTTCTGTAGGTTGCTTTTCACTCTGTTGATTGTGCTAGTCCAGTTTTAATCTTTGCCCATGAATGAAAGTCTAGTCTGGAGCAAACTGCTGGCAGTCTGGCCAGGTCTGGAGCTGTCTTCTGTCCCAAAGACACTAGTGGTAATGAGTCAAAACATCTGTCTTGGATACTTCAGATTTGGATATTCTGATCCTCTACAATATCCAAAAGCATTCCCATATCTTTGCTTTGAGCCAGAACCAGCCAACTCAAGGTTTCTGGGGCCGTAGAATTAGAAGCAGCCTCAAGACTGGGTAAGTGGGAGATATGGAGGTGGACTCATTAGATTCAGATTTGCATTATTAAGTGTCTGCCACTAGAACGCTGAAATCAAACAATTGCAATAAATATTTTTCAATTCACTATTGTTCCTTTTTGCTTCAAATGGTAGTCAGTTCAGTTTCTTTGATGCTTCATGCTTATGCTGAGGAAATAAAACATCCCAACCCTGGAGACCTGAATGATTCCAAGGAAGTACATGGAGAGTTAATCCAAGGCTTGGTCTAGAATGCAACTCAGTTCACACAAAACTTGCTCCAGAAAAACCTTGACGATTCTGTACAAGTGGATATGAACACTACGGAATGGTGCATTTGCTAAAACATCCTATTTGAAGAGATAAGGTTCTGACTTACAAAAGGTCTATTTCCTCTTCCAACCACTACTGCCTTTTCGAAGTACACAACTGGAGAAGCTGAATAGGTTGGCTTGTCAATATTGACGAGATTTTTAAAAGCCTAAAAAAATTTATGGAAAATGACTGATTGCCTCACTGTCAAAATTCTTATGCCTGTTGAGATTTATCCTTGGATAAAATTATTTATCCAAGATTGCTTATGGAAACAGAAAATTTCAGAAAGCCTTATGTGCATTATTTTTCTGGTTCCCACAAGAAAAATAAAATGGGAGAGAAGGTTAGGGACAGAGCTGCACAAGTTCAAGCAGAAAATATGCTGAAAATGTAGGGTCCTAATTCCCTGACTTTTATGTTAAGTTGTTGCTATTCAAGTACTTACATACAATGATGTTTATCACTGCATACTTCAAATTATGAATGTAAGGAATAGTGACATTTAAGCTGCCAAACACAGTAGATTAAAAAAATACTTAGTTTACTCATCATATCAAGAAATCCAGAGATAGGCGGTTGCTGGCATTGGTTTAAATGTTCAGTGATTTTGTCAAAGCCAAGTATCTAATTTCTTTTCTCTCATGGATGAAAAAGGGGTACGATAGCTCTGAACATCTCATTCCTTACCAAGAAGAAATAGTTAAGAGATGATACCAGCTTTGGCTGTCCCATTTTATCTGGAAGGCAAAATGTTTCCTGGAACTTCCCCCTCAACTCTCACAAAACTTGAGCTTATTTCTCAATGGCTGGAACTTGTAAGTGAGGCTACAAAACTAAATATTCCTAGATATTGTAGAGGTAGGTTAGTGAGAAGCGATTTGGGAATGGGTGCTTCTCTGCTAAGTTTTAGGGTTGGCCACAGAAAAACCAGGAAATATCAAAATATCCAACAATACAAGATTGACTGAGTGTCACGTGCCATATGAATCCCAGGTGGCTGTTAAAAATTGTGTTGTGAGCCAGGTGTGGTAGCTCACACCTGTAATCCCAGCACTTTGGGAGCCTGAGGAGGGCGGATCACATGAGGCCAGGAGTTTGAGACCAGCCTGGGCAACATGGCGAAACCCCATCTCTACTAAAAATACAAAAATTAGCCGGGCGTGCTGGTGCATGCCTGTAATCCCAGCTACTCACATACTCATGTGGCCGAGGCATGAGAATTACTTGAACCTGGAGGTTGTGGTGAGCTGAGATCATGCCACTGCACTCCAGCCTGGGCGACAGAGCAAGATCCCATCTAGAAAAAAAAATACTGTTGCAGATAGTTACATGCTAAATTATCTATAAAGTATTATCAACTAAACATTTAATATAAAATAATAAGAAAATTTCAAATGTTTTAGAGCAAAATAAATACATATTTAAAAATTTTTAATGGACAGATGCAAAAAGAAAAAAATGGAACTTATATTCCAAAAATGTTGACTTCAGTTGAGTTTTTCAGGAAATAGACTCTGAAGCAGAGGTTTGTATGCAGGTGATTTACTGGTGAGAACGCTCAGGAACAGCATCTGTTAAGGGAAGCAGGGGCAGGATTGGGCAGAGGGGGAGGGTGAATTGCAGGGCAGTTGCCACAGAGGCTTTAACTTGTCTCATGGGACACTCTAAAGCTGGGATATCCCAGATTGTGCCAATTGACTTGATGCCTTTGTACCTCCACAACTGACCAGTCGTTGGATTTGAGCTGACCCAAGGAGGGGAATATTGGGTGAGGCAATATTTCCCTCACTGAAGACAATTTTAGAGAGGAATTAAACTATGAGCCAGCAACAGCCAACATTCCTGGTAGCTGTATCTTGGGATCTGGGCAGCATACCACAGCATCCACTAGAAATGTCAACAGTGGTTATCTAAGTTTGGGGATTAATATGCTTTATTTTTCTATATGCTTTATTTTCTTTATATGCTTTATTTTTCCAAATTTTTCTATATATGCTTTATGTCTTCCAAATTTTTCACAATAAACACAGCATTGTACTAAGGATTAAATGAGTCAATTCATGTAAATCACTTAGCACAACTCCTATAATTTACGAAATATTCAATATATTTATAAATGATTATTTTGTATTTAGAAAGAAATCTGTATATATAGGTACACACATACATTTCTTTCTAAATTCAAAATAATCATAGGTAAATTTATTGAGTACTTAATGTATATACATATATAATTTAAAAAGAAAACATAAATATATACATTGTCAAAAAATGAAAGTGTGAAAAAGGATTTAAAATAACACATGGATCTTGCTATTCATTTTAGTTTATTTTGGTTTATCTGATCTGTGAAAGTCTTTCTTATAACATTGTTTCTTTCTAGCATATTCCAATAGAAAGTTCTGTGATGATGAAAATTTCTGTATCTGTGCTGTCCAATATGGCAGTCACTAGCCACAGGAGGCTACTGAACGTTTGAAATGTGACTAGCACAACTGAGGAAGTACATTTTTAAGATTTTATTTCATTTTAAATTCATTTAAAATGTAAATAGCCACATGTTGCTGGTGGCTACCATATCTGACAGTATGGCTTTAGACCAACACTGGGCAATGGTTATTTAGAGAACAGATTTAAAATATTATTTCTCTCTTGAAGCTTGGATTAGTTTCTTCCTCCATTGCTCTATATAATTCCCTAACCTTGATTTTAAAATCTCATTATAATTAGGTATGTAGAAAAACAAAATGGGAAGAGCTAATTAAGTGTAAATAAGAGTGTGTTTATGTGTGAGTGTTGTCAAATGAAAGGAAAAGTAATTTAGTTGAAAGTAAGATGTTGGCCAGGCATGGTGGCTAACGCCTGTAATCCCAGCACTTTGGGAGTCTGAGCGCATGGATCACTTGACGTCAGGAGTTTGTAACCAGCCTGGCCAACATGGTGAAACCCTGTCTCTACTAAAAATACAAAAATTAGCTGGGCGTGGTAGTGCATGCCTGTAATCCCAGCTACTCAGGAGGTTGAAGCAGGAGAATTGCTTGAACCCAGGAGACAGAGGTTGCAGTGAGCCGAGACCATGCCACTGCATCCAGCCTGGGTGACAGAGTGAAACTCTGTCTCAAAAAAAAAAAAATGTAATAATGTATTGCTAATTGTGTGGTACTTTTGGCAAATGATCTGAAAAAAAAAAAAAATGAAAACGTTTGTTCTGTGTCAAATATTTGATTCTTGGTAAGCCAAAGAAGACTTCTCCCTGAAACAGTATCTTTCAATCACACTGTTGATACAGTAAGAAAGATAACTGCAGAAACAATTTGACATTGCCTGAATAACAAGTGGAAATCTCTTACTACTCAGGTGGGAGGCCTGTGTGTGTGTGGACAACTCACTAACAGCAGCCAGGTTTACGGAGGAAAGCTACACAAACCTTGGTTTGCATCTTAGCCTTATTAGTTACTAGTTCTGTGTATTTGGACAAGTTACTTAATTTTTTGGAGCCCCCATTTCTTCATAATCAAGTGGTTAAAAGTACACCTACCTTGAAGACTTACAAGAAGATAAGTCATATATAAAGCACTTGGCCGGGCGTGGTGGCTCATGCCTGTAATTCTAACACTTTGGGACACCACGGCGGGAGGACTGCTTGAGCTCAGGAGTTCAAGATCAGCCTGGGCATCATAGTGAGACCTCATCTCAAAGACTAAGAAAACACTATATTAAAAGATGTATAAAGTACTTGGCACATAGTAAGTGCTGTATCAATGATAGTTTTACTGTTAGTGTCACATCCAGAAAATTGATCGGGAAAAGGGAAGTAAGCCCAAATAATATCAACTTTAGGTAGTAATTAACTGGCATAATCACAAACTGTAAAATCATTTTTGGAATATGTTACTTTGTATATATTGGCCACAAATGAAATTTCATCCAAGCCAGTACAGTGGCTCATGCCTGTAATCCCAGAACTTTGGAAGGCTGAGGTGGAAGGACTGCTTGAGGCCAGGAGTTTAAGACAAGCCTGGGCAACATAGCAAGACCCTAGCTCTAAAAAATAAAATTTAAAAATCAGCCAGGCACGATGACATGTGCCTATAGTCCTAGCTACAGAGGAGGCTGAAGCAGGATCAGGATCACTTGAGCCCAGGAGCGAGGCTGCAGTGAGCTATGATTACAGCACTGCGCTCCAGCCTGGGTGACAGAGCAAGACCTCGTCTCTAAAAACATTTTAAATGTAGTCCATTGTTTATTGAATAAATGAAAGAATGAATGCCTTGCTTTGTTCTTAAAGTCCTTTTGTCCCCAAAATGGGTTGTTATAACTAAAATGTTTTTTTCACTGGCATTGTCACGAGGGTTATTTTCAAAGACCTCTGAAGAGCAATACCAAATCAATGGTCTTGAGCAGAGTTGTTTTTCTAGACTTAAGAGAGGTTTTGCCAGAAATTAAGAAACAGTTTCTTGAGTAATAAAATATTACTGAAGGAGCAGTTAAGGCTTCCATCCTTACATATTTTTAGAAGACAAATAATTCTCTATGCTGAAAATGTCATCACCTGTGGAAGCCAGCCTCTAGGATAACCTCCAGGGATGCTTGCTTCCTAGCATTCAGGTGCTTCACTAGTCTCCTGCTCAAATTCAGTCGAGGGTGGCTCTGAATATGGCAGAGGTGATGTGTGAATTCTGAGGCTAAGTGATAAAAGGCATTGCAGCTCCTGCTTTGGTCTCTGAACCACTTGCTCCAGGATAAGCCAGTGACCATGCTGTGAGGCCACTCAAGCCGTCCTGTGGAGAGCCCCGTGTGGCCAATAGCTCATGCCAAGCTGCCAAGAATGTGAAAGAGCCACTGTGGAAGGGGATTCTCCAGCTCCAGACCAGACTTTAGATGACTACAACCCTTGCCAACATCTGACTGAAACTTTATAAGAGACTGACATAGAACCGCCCAACTGATCTACTTTTGAATTCCCAACTCACAGAAATTGTGAGAGATAATAAATGATTTTTATTGTTTTAAGCCACTATGTTTTGGGGTTATTCATTATGCAGCAATAGATATCTAATATGTTACCAATAACAAATAATGAGCCAGGTGTGGTGGCTCATGACTGTAATCCCAGCACTTTGGAAGGCCAAGGCAGGAGGATCACTTGTGTCCAGGAGTTTGACACCAGCCTGGGCAACATAGCAAGACCCTGTCCCTAAAAAAATAAAAATAAACAAATAGTTATTGCTGCTATACAAAATACCCTGCTCATGGGCTGAACCATTCAAAGTAACTTCTCACATTATAACTTTAACGTTTTAACGGCTTGACATGACATTAACACTATGTATTTTCTTATATCATTCTTATGAGACAAGAAGAATCAGTCAATTAAATATTTAATGAACATCTGTTAAGTTCAAGGTAGTACTCTAATTTGTAGAAACATACAATTTACCAAGACTGAATCACAAAGACACAGAAAATCTGAACAGACCAATTATGAGTAAGGAGATTGATCCAGTAACCAAAAACTTCCCAATAGAGAAAAACCCAGCAATATTCTGGCTTGTTTTCAGGTCACATAAATTTTTCACCTTTTACTCAAGATTCCTATGGAGAGGAAAGACTCTGACTTTTTAGCTAATTTTTTGAGGTCTTCCTTTGGCAGGGCTAGTAAAAAACAAAAAAGAAAGGAAAGGAAAAAAAAAAGAAAAGCCCAGACCAGATAGCTTCATGGGTGAATTCTACCAAGCATTTAAAACTGAAGAGAAAGGAACACTTCCAAACTCATTTTATGTGGCCAGCATTACCCTCACATCAAAGCCAGATAAAGATAACTACAAAGAAAAGAAAATTATAGGTCAATATCCCTGACTTCTGGCTCTACAGGCAAAAATCCTCAACAAAATATTAGCAAACAAAATTCAATGCCACATTAGAAGTATCATACACTAAGATCAAGTAGGATTTATTCCTGAGATGCAAGGATAGTTCAACATAGGCAAATCAACTAATGCAATATTTCACATTAACTAAACAAAGTATAAAAATCATATGATCAATTCAGTAGATGCAAGAAAAAGCATTTAATAATATTCAACATCTTTCATGATAAAAACTCTCAACAATTTAAAGAAGGAATATACCAGAGTAATTAGGCAAGAAAAAGAAATAAAAGTCATCCAAATCAGAAAAGAAGTTAAATTATCTCTGCATATGACATAATCTGATATATAGAAAACCCACCTGGGCACAGTGGCTCACGCCCATAATTCCAGCGCTTTGGAAAGTCGACGCAGGAGGATTGCTTGAGCTTAGCGGTTTGAGATCATCCTAGGCAACACAGCGGCACCTGTCTCTACAAAAAATAAAAAAATTAGCCGAGTGTGGTGGCGTGGGCCTGTAGTCCCAGCTACTTCAGAGGCTGAGGTGGGAGGATTGCCTAAGCCCAGGAGGTTAAAGCTGCAGTGAGCTGTGATTATGCTACTGCACTCTAGTCTGGATGACAGAGCGAGACCCTGTCTCAAAAGAAAGAGAGAGAGAGAGAGAAAGAGATTGAAAAGGAAGGAAGGAAGGAGAAAGAAAGAAAGAGAAAGAAAGAAAGAGAGAAAGAAAGAAAGAGGGAAAGAAAGAAGGAAAGAAATTAGAACAAACCAATTCAGCAAAGTTGCAGGATACAAAATCAACAAATGAAAATTGGTTGCATTTCTACACACTAACAATAAACTACCTAAAAAAGAAATTAAGAAAACATCTCATTTATAATTGCATCAAAAACAATACAATAATTACGAATAAATTTAACCAAGGAGGTGAAAAATCTGTACGCTAAAAACAATAAGACATTGATGAAAGAAAATGAAGATACAAATAAAGATATGTTCACAGATTGAAGAATTAGTATTGTTAAAATATCTATACTCCCCAAAGCAGTCTAGATTCAATGTGATCTCTATCAAACTTCCAATGGCATTTTTTTCATAGAAATAAACAATCCCAAAATTCATATGGAACCACAAAAGTCCTCACATAATCAAGACAATCTGGTTTTTTTTTTTTTTTTTGAGATAGAGTCTCGCTCTGTTGCCCAGGCTGGAGTGCAGTGGCGCAATCTCGGCTCACTGCAAGTTCCGCCTCCCGGGTTCATGCCATTCTCCTGCCTCAGCCTCCTGAGGAGCTAGGATTACAGGCACCCATCACCACACCTGGCTAATTTTTTTGTATTTTTAGTAGAGACACAGTTTCACTGTGTTAGCCAGGATGGTCTCGATCTTCTGACCTCATGATCTGCCCACCTCAGCCTCCCAAAGTGCTGGGATTACAGGCGTGAGCCACCGCACCTGGCCAATCAAGGCAATCTTGAGAAACAACAACAAAGCTAGAGATATCACACTCCCTGTTTTCAAATTATATTACAGAGCTATTCTAATCAAAACAGTGTAGTACTGGCATAAAAACAGACAGAGACCAATGGAAAAGAATACAGAGCTTAAAAATAAACCCACACATATATGGTCAACTAATCTTTGACATGGGCATCCAGAATACACAATAGGTAAAGGATGGTCTCTTCAATAAATAGTGTTGGAAAAACTAGGTATCTAAGGTAGATTACCTGCAAAAGGGTAAAATTATACCCTTACTTTACACCCTCCACAAAAATTATATTGAAATGGGTTAAAGACTTAAATATCAGACCTGAAATTATAAAACTCCTAGAAAAAAATATAAGGGGAAAGCCACTTGCCATTGGTCTTGGCAATGATTTTTCAGATATGCACCCAAAGTATAGGCAACAGAAGCAAAAATAAACAAGTTGGACTACATCAAACTAAAAAGCTTCTGCATAGCAAAGGAAACAATCAACAAAATGAAAGGGTAACCTATGCAATGGGAGAAAATATTTGCAAACCATATATCTGGTAAGGAGTTAATATCCAAAATACGTAAGGAACTCATACAACTCAAGAGCAAGAAAACAAATTGCCCAATTAAAAATTGGGCAAAGGATGCGAATAGACAGTTTTCCAAAGCAGACATAAAAATAGCCAACAGATACATTAAAACAAACTCAACATAACTAATCATCATGAAAATGCAAGTCAAAACCATAAGATATCACCTCACACCTGTTAGAATGGCTATTATCGAAAAAATGGCCAGGCGGGGTGGCTCATGCCTGTAATTCCAGCACTTTGGGAGGCTGAGGTGGGAGGACCGCTTGACACTAAAAGTTTGAGACCAGCCTAAGCAACACAGCAAGACTGTCTCTATTAAAAAAAAAAAAAAAAGGATAAGCAATAACAAGTGTTGCTGAGGGTGTAGAGAAACAGGAACCCTTGTACACTGCTGGTGGGAATATAAATTGATACAGCCATTACAGAAAAATAGTATGGAGGTTCCTCAAAAAATTAAAAATAGAACTATCATACGATCCAGCAATTCCACTTCTGCATTTATATCCAAAGGATTACTCACAATAGTCAAGATACAGAAACAATGTGTCTGTCAATGAGTGAAGAGATAAACAAAATGTAGTAAATACAAGACAATGGAATACTTACCCATAAAAAGTAAGGAAATTCTGACATTTGTGACAACATGGATAAACCTGGAGGATGTTACATTAAGTGAAATAAGCCAGACACAGAAAGACTAATATTCTATGACCTCACTTATATGGCGAATCTAAAAAAGTTGAACTCATAGAAGCAGAGAGTAGAATCATGATTGCCAGGGTCTTGGGGGTGGGGAAAATGGGGAGATGTTTATTGCACATTTATCAGCAATTAAAATGTTTCTTTTGGGAGCTAACCTATGAGAATGCAAAGGCATAAGCATGATATAATGGACTTTGGGGACTCGCAGGGAAGGTTGGGAGAGGGGTGAGAGATAACAGACCACACACTGGGTATAGTGTACACTGCTCAGGTGATAGGTGCACCAAAACTCTCAGAAATCAGTACTACAGAGCTTATTCCTATAGAAACCACCTGTACCCCCAAAACCATTGAAATAAAATTAAACAGTTTCTTTTGCTAGTTTGGTAGATGAAACATAGAATATAGTTTATTTTGCATTTCTTTGATTACTAGTGAGGTTGAGCATTAAAAAAGAATTACTTGAGTTTTATATTTCTTTTGGGACTTATATATTCATGTCCTTTTATTCTTGTTGGTTAGTAAGAGATCTTGATATGTTAAGTACATTAAACCTTTGTCTGACATACATTACAGATATCTTTTTCCCAGGATGTCATTTTTTTTTAATTATTATACTTTAAGTTTCGGGATACATGGGGCAGGTTTGTTACATAGGTATACATGTGCCATGGTGGTTTGCTGCACCCATCAACCCGTCATCTACATTAGGTATTTTATACAGTCAAATCAATCTCATCCTTTTTAAGTTCTTCCAATTCTTTTATATTTAGAAGGTCCTTCTCTATCTTTAGATCAATTAGTCACTTGTATTTTTTCTGGTTTCTGGTTTTGTGTTTTACACTTTTTTTTTCTTCAGGAAACAAGGTGACAGTCTATTTTCCCATGGTTAAGCATATTTCCTTCACTACTAATTGAGTATGTTTCTTCCCCACTAATTTATAATGTCACCTTCATTACCTAAGGAATTCTTATATTATGTGGGTATGTTTATGAGTTTTATAATCTCTTTTATTGTCTATTGGTTTTGGTGATAGTACCACACTTTTTTTTGATTACCTCTATTTATTCATCAAGAATCATCACACTCTCCTCCAGGAAGCCTCCTTAATTCTTCCAAAATGGTATGATTGCTCCCTTCACTCTCTGTCTTTCACCTTTGTCATGTTTAAAAATCTGCCTTGGCCAGGCGCGGTGGCTCACGCCTGCAATCCCAGTACTTTGGGAGGCTGAGGCGGGAGGATCACCTGAGGTCGGGAGTTCCAGACCTGCCTGACCAACATGCAGAAACCCCGTCTCTGCTAAAAATACAAAATTAGCAGGGCGTGGTGGCACATGCCTGTAATCCTAGCTACTCTGGAGGCTGGCCTTAGGCAGGAAAATCACTTGAATCCGGCAGGTGGAGGTTGCAGTGAGCTGAGATGGCTCCACTGCACTCCAGCCTGGGCAACAAGACCAAAACTCTGTCTCAAAAAAAAAAAAAAAAAAAAAATCTTCCTTGAAGCTGGGCGCAGTGGCTCATGCCTGTAATCCCAGCACTTTGGGAGTCCGAGGCGGGCAGACCATTTGAAGTCAGGATTTTAAGACCAGCCTGGCCAACATGGTGTAAACCCCAATTCTGTTAAAAATACGAAAATTAGCCAGGTGTGGTGGCACTGGCCTGTAATCCCAGCTACTCCAGAGGCTGAGGCAGGAGAATCACTAAAGCCTGGAAAGCGGAGGTTGCGGTGAGCCGAGGTCATGCCACTGCACTCCAGCCTGGGGAAAACTCCAGCCTGGGGGAAAGAGTGAGACCCTGTCCAAAAACAAAACAAAATAAAACAACCAAAAAAAAAAAAAACTGCCTTGTATCATTGTTAACAGGGTTGATCTTATCCAATTACATTCTTGAGTATAGGGAACAGGTGCACAATACCTATTCATTAAAATTAGATTAGTGGGATTTCCTTTAAAAGGTAGTGATGATGGCAGAACAGCTCTAGTTTGAGAAAAAACGAAAATAGGCAATTCTCTCATTTGTTCAACAAACATGGCTGCGCCGTCCAATATGAAAAGATTATAACTGTAAGTGAACCCTACTGTACCCTAGGGATCTCACCACTTGGGGAAAGAGATATGTAAATATATGCGATTAAATAGTGTGACTAAGAAGCATAAAATAAGTATGCACAAAGAAGAAAGGAAAAAACTATTGAGTAGTGGGTAGTGTTTCAAAGTAGTGGACATACAAGTATGAGCCGGGTTCATGGGGTTTCTTAAATGCCAAAGGAACTTGTAATTATTCTAAATGACAACGTGCACAATTTACATTAATGTATTCTTCATTCTGGCCAGGGGTGGTGGCTCACACCTGTAATCCCAAAACTTTGGGAGGCTGAGGTGGGAAGATTGCTTGAGCCAGGAGTTTGAGACCAGCCTGGCTAACATGGTGAAACCCTGTTTCTATTAAAAATACGAAAATTAGCCAGGTGTGGTGGCGCTGGCCTGTAATCCCAGCTACTAGGGAGGTTGAGGCAGGAAAATCGTTTGAACTCGGGAGGTGGAGGCTGCAGTGGGCCGAGATCTCACCACTGCACTCCAGTCTGGGCGACAGAGCGAGACTCCGTCTCAAAAAAAAAGAAAAAAAAAAGATAACTTTTTAAGGAAGGTTAATGCAGTTTGGGCCAGGGGCTCTACTTATTAGTTGCAGGGCTAACACAGACCCGGGAGAACTAGAACGGGATACAGGTGAGAGTTAACCGGTGGTGTGTGATGTGATGAAAACTAGGCAATGGGAAGGAGATCAACCTTTACCCGTCAGTCTTCTAATCTCAGCAAATCACTTCCATGAGTTGGTGTAGAAGGTGTCAGGGCTGACTAGGGTCCCTGCTGTGAGTGTGGGCACAACTCCAGGCACTTCCCCATCTCCCAGCCGGCCCAGCGAGGTGCCTGGAGAGCCCAGGCCAGATGTTCTGGCCAGGGCTGACGTCACGTTTGCATGACGTCACCAGCGCTGACGAACCACACAGAGAGGGGCCTGTCAGCTCACCTCAGAGCGCAGGCAACTTCTTAGAGCGGGGAACTGGCCGCCTCCTATTCTACCTTGACGGTCCGAATAGTCAGAGCTACAGGAGCCGAAGCGCCGAAGGAGCTCAGCAACCGCTACCTCCCTCTTTCCTTGGCCCTTATCCGCGTCTTCTCTAAGGCCCAGGAGCGGTCCCGGCAGCGGCGCGCTCACGAGTCCGCCGGTGGAGGCGGTCACGCGCACGCACGCTTGTGCGCAAGCCCGTTCCCTCAGAACCCGGAAGTGCGAGGCCGAGGAGAGCCACGTGGGTCGAGCTGGGGCGCAGCTCGCATGGGGGAGTCTATCCCGCTGGCCGCCCCGGTCCCGGTGGAACAGGCGGTGCTGGAGACGTTCTTCTCTCACCTGGGTATCTTCTCTTACGACAAGGCTAAGGACAATGTGGAGAAGGAACGAGAGGCCAACAAGAGCGCGGGGGGCAGCTGGCTGTCGCTGCTGGCGGCCTTGGCGCACCTGGCCGCGGCCGAGAAGGTCTATCACAGCCTCACCTACCTGGGGCAGAAACTAGGTACCTCCGCCCCGCCCCCCGAGCCCCTTGAGGAGGAAGTAAAGGGGGTATATTCCCCAGTCGGCAGTGGCTTGGGTTTCCCGTCTCTGTGTCACTTCTAGTCGCAGGCTCGACTCGGCATTCCCAGATCTCCTCCCACCGTTCCTTTCCTTCCCTGGGCTTCCACAAGCCCCGCCCACCGGCCTGCGCTGCTGATAGATTGGCGAACTGGGTAGATGCTCTTTGCAGGGCTGTGACCCAAACCGAAGGGTTTGCCCTTTTGCCTCGTGCATGGATTGATGCCATAAATGAGAAGTTAACCAAACTATGTCTTCATTGTTTTAATTAGTGACGCTGCAGCCAGAAGAGCAAAACTTTGCAAAACAACCTAGTTCTATTACTGAACACTGTTGTGTGGCCTCTTAAGGTTAAGGCCCGAGAGTCACATTTAGAGTCCTACCCCGTCTTCATAGTCCCCCAATACATATTTAATGACTAAAGTAATAAATGAATATTGGGCAGGAAAGGCAAGAAATATGCCTAACACTAGCAAGAAGAGACTTAAGGGGAAAATGGTAAACACTCTTAGCACTTCATGTACATCTTGCCTCTGAAATAAGATTCAAGAGCTGATTCAACTGATTTTTACTAGTAGAAGCAATAAGTATAAGTAGATGAGAAGGAAATAATAGATGTAAAAGGCATGGAATATGCATACAAAATAATATTACTGCTTAATTATGACAAATAAATATATTTGAATCCTAGGGGTTTCAGAGTCAGTACTTTGACCTGTTTTAGACTCTTCAATTTTCAGAAGCGTGAGGTCTGATGTGAATGAAGGACACGTATATAAAATACAGAGAATAGAAATGTAAAATTGGTGTAGATTTCATTTTGATCCACCCCCCCCCGTTCCCTAACCAGCCCCCTACTTTCCTTATATTGCCTGAAGGTGACCATGTACATCTTATTGAGCTTTCAGTAAACACTCAAGAGACAGGGCTTCCTGAGTTCGTAATTGCTGTAGCAAGTATGTTGATTTATACATACTTATTTAGTATGCTAATTTATTAGCAAAAACTGGTCAGATAGTTTCACCTTATTTTTTTCCTCCCCTTTTTACAATGGCATTTCTCACAAATTTGCAGTTGCTGCTATGGTGTTATTATTCCCCTTTCTATAGATTAGCAAATTATATATGCAGTTATGTTGGGTAGATGATAGAGTCGAAACCAAAATATCTGCCCTTGTACTCTCAGATTGAGTTTGCATTCATATAACTTATTAAAAATGTGTATGAAAATTATAATTTATGTATAATATATACAGATATATGTTTTTTATATATGTGAAAATGGGGTGGATTCTAGCTGTAATACTGAAGGTAGGTAATATTTAGGCAGTTTCAGTTGTTTTTAGACTCCCCCACCTCAAAGAATGGTGACTGATTCAAGTGCCATGATTCTTTGCTTTTTTTTTTTATTAACTTATCCATGGAAATTTGATGAAAGCTGTGTACTTACTCTCCAGAAAAATATATATGTACATATAATTTTGCGTATAACCTGAGTGGGTTCAGTTGAATTTTCTAAAGTCTATTTATTGACTCCATTTAAAAAAATCTGCTACTCTAGTTTTAAGTTGAATGAGCCAGGTTTTTACGTAAACAGAACTGGCTGCCCTGTGTGTAAGAATGTGTGTATAAGATCTTCACTGTCTCTGACTTGGGTTCTGTAAAGTGGTCCTCAATGTGTAAATTGATTAGTTCTGCTTGAACCCCAGCTGGCATGGGTGAGCATGAGGACTATGCCTTGAAACTGACCTATACAACATTTGGTGCTGTGAAACATGCCCAGGCACTGTTACGTTCCTAGGTGGGCTCCTCATTTCTGAGTAAATATTCTGAAAATGGTATATTTAATGCTTCATAACTTATTTACACGTACAGTAAACATAAGTTCCAGAATTTAAATTTTATCTTTGCACATTTTTTTGGGTACTGGAGTGTATATGATATCAGTGTGCTTACAATACGACTACACAATTACCCGGTTTACTATTTTCTTAAAAACTTCAGGAGAAAACTTTCGTGTTGCCATTTAAAACATTCCCATGTTCTCCAACTACTTTGCTCATTAGAACATTTATATAGTTTTCTTTAGAAAGCAAAACAAAAAGTTTATGCGTGCGTTTAAAAAATTTAAAACAATTCTGAAAAGTTTTTTTAGCCTTACTGAGATATAATTGACAAATAAAACTATATATATTTAAGATGTACAACTTGATGTTTTGATGTATATGTAAATTGTGAAATAATCACCACAATCAAGCTACTTAGTATATCCATCACCTTACATAGTTATCTTCCTTCCTTCCTTCTTTCTTTCATGTGTATATTGTGAGAATACTTAAGATCTACTCTCTTAGCAAATTTCAAGTAAAAAGGGAGTCTTTTTTTACCTCTCTTATGGATGGTATTTATTTGAGGCCTTAGCAGTGAATCCTGATTAAAGAAGCAAGCAGGGCCTTTAGACAAAGGATAGACCTTGACAGGGAGCTTTCTTTTCCTGTCTTGACCCTGTTACTGAAAAACTTCGAGTAGGGCCCTTATCTTGGTTCCTTCTCTTTCCTTTAAGAGAGAATAATACCTGTTTGGGGAAGGATCAGTGATTAAAATATGCTGACTCAATGCCTGTGGAGAATTTTAGAAGGTCATACTTTTCTTCCCTTTGTTTCATTACTGGAGAGTTTCCTCAACCTTGGGTTGCTGAAATTTAGCATAGTAGAAAATGACTTAACTTGAGAACTGATGTTTAAAAAGTATTATTAGCAAGAAGTTGGAGAATAAAATGCCCAAGATGTTTTACACGTTCCTTCAATACACTTAAAATTTCATGACATGAGATGAACTTGAAATCTTGAGAAATTATGAGCATTTATAACTAGAGCCTTCTAAAAATCATTCAAAGTAATCATATTTTTTAAATTAAAAATATTGAAAAGAGAAAGAAGTTGGATGTTTCTGATTCCTTGTTTTCCAGCATGAAGAAAGGTCAGTCCCCGCTGGATATTCCAAACCAAGATAGTGAACAGATAGGATTGGGTTCCTGAGAGCTTTGAGAAAAGAGAACTGTTTGAAAGAAATGTGTTGATGGTCTATCTCTTCCTTAGAGTAGTTTCACTTTACTTGGTTTCACATGCTGGTGATTAGCGTTTACCGATAAGCTTTTAAAGGTATTCTTTGTATTTATGTAGTGTTTCCGTTCCCCCAGATAGGGGTAATCTGATGAAGTTAGGTATCCTTTTTTTTTTTTCTCCCATAAGTCCTAGAGACAGATGATATCCCTTTTTCAATGTGAAGTTAAAATTTTCACCAAGGCCACCCCGTTTAATAGTACTAGATAGCTATTCTTTTTGTAGTATTTGAAGCTCCCAATTCACCACAGTTTCAGAAGCTCAATTATGTATTATTATTAGGAGTTTTAAAAAATGTATCAGTTATAAATAGAAGGGAAAGGAATTAGTATTATAGAATATATTCTTTGTTCCAGGCACATTACACACCAAATGTTATTTCATTTGTTTTTTTTAGCTCTATCACCAGTTTTATGTTAAAAATGACAGCTAAAGCTCAAAGTGGTTCAGTAGTTTGCACATCAACATAGCCTGTAATTGTGGGAGCTGGGGTTTGAAACCAAGTCTTTCAGACCTCCACAGCTTTTAGGTTTTATATGATACTCTTATTACCCTCCTAAGCCGAGAGGTTTTATCCTAGATGTGGGCACAGAGGTCTATTTATGTTGTACCCTTCACTGTACAAAATCAGCAGAGCTAAACTGAATATGGGCATGGGAGGAAGGCAAACCCTGTAGGGAACAGTTCCGTATGAGATATTGGTGTCACATCTGGTCCACCTGTACCCATATGGACTTTAATTGTATTAGTTGGAGAAATGATGTGCCAGCTACTCAATCTGTTTGGAACAAGCTTGTCCAACCTGTGGCCTGCGGGCCACATGCAGTCCAGGATGGCTTTGAATGCGGCCCAACACAAATTCATAAACTAACTTTCTTTCTTTCTCTTTCTTTCTTCCTTCCTTCCTTCCTTTCTTCTTTTCTTTTCTTTCCTTTGGTTTCCTTTCCTTTCTTTTCTTTTCTTTCCTTTCCTTTTCTTCCTTCCTTCCTTCTTTCTTTTCTTTTCTTTTCTTCTTTTCTTTTCTTTTGATGGAGTCTTGCTCTGTTGCCCAGGCTGGAGTGCAGTGGCACGATTTCGGCTCGCTGCAGCCTCTGCCTCCCTGGTTCAAGCGATTCTCCTACCTCAGCCTCCCGAGTAGCTGGGATTATAGGCACCCACCACCATGCCTGGCTAATTGTTTTGTATTTTTAGTACAGACGGGGTTTCACCATGTTGGCCAGGCTGGTGTTGAACTCCTGACCTCGGGTGATCCTCCCGCCTCAGCCTCCCAAAGTGCTGGTATTACAGGCATGAGCCACCATGTCTGGCTAAACTTTCTTAAACAATATGAGATTTTTTGTGCGTTTTTTTTTTTTTCCTCATCAGCTATGGTTAGTGTTAGCATATTTTATATGTGCCCCAAGACAATTCTTCTTCTTCTAATGTGGCCCAGGGAAGCCAAAAGATTGAACACCCCTGGTTTAGACAGTATATTGGAAAAACACTTTTCAAAGTATCAGTAGTTTGTCTGGGGTGTCAGAAATAAGTAGGGTAACCAACTGTTCAAAATTTTCCCAGGCCTGAGGGATTTCTAGGATGTGGGACTTTGTTTTAAAACCTTATAAAGATTTCCTGAGAAGCTAGACTTCTAGTGCTAAAACCTGGAAAGTCCTGGGTAAACTGGGACAAGTTGGTTACCTAGTAGTAAGGGAAGGAAGATTCATTTCTTGAAACATAAACCGAGCAATGAATTAAAATCAATATTGTAAAATGGTTCATTTATTAAGAGGATATTTTACAAATGCCTTGATACATTTTTATTCCTAATTACAGGTATATGTTTAGAATAGTAAATTCATTGAAGAGAAAATTTAAACTCTTGTCCATCTCTTGAGTTTTTTTATATATTCCTAGAAATCACTGTTTTAAACCTGCCCTGTTTCTTTTTTTCTTTTCATTTTCCTAATATCTTGCCTCTGGCCCTTTGGTGGGTGCAGAATTGCTTAAGGGAACATCCATGAAGCTGGCTCCATAATTAGAAATATAATTGCTCATGTGTACATACAGAAGTGAGTAAATGATATCTATGCTATTTGATCCTTTTTGGCTATATAAAGGTGTTTTTGGTTTTATTTTTTGCTGATTTCCTTTGGAATCCCTTGGTTACAGCAGCAGTTATTTATAATTGGTTCCTGGTCTTAATAATTCACAATGTGGTGCTTATTATTTATAACATATAGTGTCAACCTTGTCAAGAGTGCTAAGATTTTCTTTATTCTCCTGGGATCCCAGTAGTCTGTTTTCTTGCATAGAGGGAATATATGTGTATGTATTCAATTTTCTGGTATGATCTAAAAGATTAGATTCAAAGGAAAATACAACTCTAAAGCAGAAACAAAAAATCATGACACAGCAGGAATAAAAATAGTGTTTCATAATTTGTGTGCTCTTTTGCTTTGAATACATCTATGTGAAAGGTAGGCTTTTTAGTTCCAGTTGGTGTTATTTGCTAGGTTAATTATGCTCTGAAGTAAATCTGAATCCTCATTGAATTGGGGTGGGTGAGAATTGGTACATGGGTAAGCAAATTGTACACAGGTCCATTGCTACAGTAATGAATTCTATCAGGTATTCATTTAGCTTATTCCTTAGGGAAATTATGAATCAAAGTATTTATGATTATCATAAAGTATTTATGATAATCATAAAGTATTTATGATTATCATAAAGTATTTATATCTCAATCATAGACAGAGAATATGGTAGATGAAAACTTACTGAGCTCAATGGGTTTGGATTCTTTGCTTTTGCATGTTGGTAGGTGTTTGGTACTTACGGTTTCTCCTTCTTACTTGTCATGTGCTTATGTTGTTTGCCTACCAGGGGGCCAGTCTTTCTTCAGCAGGAAGGATTCCATCCGCACCATCTATACTTCATTGCATAATGAGCTGAAGAAGGTGGTGACTGGCCGTGGTGCCCTGGGTGGGACTGCTCCTCACGTGGAAGAACTCCTTTCCCACCTGTCAGAGCAGCTCTGCTTCTTTGTTCAGGCTCGGATGGAGATAGCAGACTTCTATGAGAAGATGTACACCCTCAGCACACAGAAGTTCATCAATGCTGAAGAGCTCGTTGGCCTTTTGGATGCCATCATGAAAAAATACAGCTCCAGGTCAGTGTGGGGAGGAGGGAGGGAGAAAGCGTGGCTGTCCTATCAATCCCACACAAGCTCAGAGTTTTTCTCCACACTCTTATGAAAATCTGTGATGAAATAACTGTGAAATA
The DNA here is from genome assembly GCF_000001405.40 of Homo sapiens. Classification (NCBI taxonomy): domain Eukaryota; kingdom Metazoa; phylum Chordata; class Mammalia; order Primates; family Hominidae; genus Homo; species Homo sapiens. The sequence continues at coordinate 64,215,564 of NC_000012.12, read as the reverse complement.
AATAACTGGATTACATTTTATACATATTCATTAATCAACAGGTATACATTAGGCACCTTCATTGGTCTTATTAACACCACACGGCTGCTAAGCAATAGCAAAAGACCGAGAATGAAGTAATCGTAAAACTTGTATTATAACCGATTTTGCTGCTTAGGAAAGAGTTCACACAACAAGAGAATTGTATATAAAATAATAGGAATTTCTTTTTTCTGGAAACCAAATTGTAACATAGTAAAATAATATGAAAATACGTATTATTGTATTTTCTGTTGCCCAGGCTGGAGTGCAGTAGCATGATCTCAGCTCACTGCAACCTCCACCTCCTGGGTTCAAGCAATTCTCCTGCCTCAGCCTCCTGAGTAGCTGGGATTATAGGTACACGCCACACCCAGCTAATTTTTGTATTTTTTTTTTTTTTAGTAGAGACGGGGTCTCACCATATTGGCCGGGCTGGTCTTGAACTCCTGACCTCAAGTGATCCACCCGTCTTCACCTCCCAAAGTGCTGGGATTACAGGCCTGAGCCAATGCACCTGGCTGAAAATAATGTGAATTTTTAACAAATTATTATTCAAATAAATATTGTCCCTTTTAAAGTAATCAGTGATTTATCTGCTTGTTCCTTTGAACAAGCCATTCTTTAACATGTGTTGGAAACTCCTTTGTAATTGCTTTTAGAGTTTCTGCCATACAGTTTAGATTTCATTTTAAGTATTCTTAGTGGAGGAGGGCATCCACTAAGTGCCTGTAATCTCCTGGGTTCAAGTGATTTTCCTGCCTCAGCCTCCTGCGTAGCTGAGATTACAGGCACATGCCACTATGCCTGGCTAATTTTTTTTGTATTTTTAGTAGAGATGGGGTTTCATCATGTTGGTCAGGCTGGTCTCGAACTCCTGACCTTGTGATCTCCCTGTCTTGGCCTCCCAAAGTGCTGGGATTACAGGTATGAGCCACCATGCCCAGCCGAGTTGAGCTTTTAACGGCAGGTAGGATTTCGAAAGCAACTGTAGGAAAGAAGACGGCAGGTGTTTTGAGATGAGAGGATATTTCAGAATACAAAAAGGCTTCAGGGTTTTGGTACTTGCAATTCTTTCTCTCTTATAAGTTCTTACTGTAGTTATCTTCTCATCTTTAAGTCTTGGTTCAAACAGAGAAGGCTTCTCTCACTATCCTACCAAAACTATTCTGCTTTTAGTCACTATCTTATTCTCCTGATTTATTGCCATCTGAAGTTACTGTTGTTTGTTTAGGGTGTTTTTTCTTTCCTTTTCTCAAAAACTAGAATGTGAGCTCCATCACAGCTGCTGTGCTTTTAGCACCTGGAACAGAACCTAGCACATAGTAGATGCTGAATAGATGTTTGCTGAATAAATGAGTGAATAGTTGTGTTCCAGGTTGAAAATTTGTACTTAATTTGGTAAGCAGTGGGGAACCATGAAAAGTTTTGAACCAGGAGTATCATGTTCTCATCTTAGACTAATTACTGTGGCACTGTGTGTGCAATGGGATGGTGAAGGGAGAGGTTACAGGAGAAAAGGTTAGTTTAGCAGGCTATGATGGTAGCCTAATAGGCAGAAGGAGGGCCTCATGGTTGCAAGACAGTGGGATAGGAGATGCTGACAAGAAGTCTATAAGTCTTGTCAACAGGATGGCAGGAATAATGAGAGGTTGCTGTCAAAGATGATACTTAGGTTTTGCCCCTCTAATGATAATATTGTTTACAGAATTGAAAAGACAAGAGGGACTGAAGAGGAACTGGTTTAGAAGGAAGGTAGTAAGCTAAAATTGGGGCAAGTTGAGTGTGAGTTGCTAGCAGATTTTCGAGTAAAGATTTAGCAGGCATTTGGAAATGGGGGTCTAGAGTTCAGACGAAAGGCCAGAAATAAAACAACTTGGAAGTAGACTCATACAGTTTTATGGTTTAAAAACTAAAATGTCATTGTTCTTTAATAAAACAGCAATTGATTTTTCACCTTGTAGGAAAAGGGGGGGAGGTGGAAATATTTATATATACCTATTCTGAAGGAAATTAGCATGTATTGAGCAACTACTGTGTGCCAGACACTATGCAAGACCCTCTTCTTGGTTACCTGGTTTGAAGTACAGGTATAAATAGTGCACCTTTTATAGAGTCCCAGAGAAGTGGAACACTTTGCTTAGAGTCATACAGCTTAGCTCTGTGACTTCAGAGCCCATATTCTTTTGTGTATGCATCATTGCTTGTTATTAAAAATTGAGATGTTTTTTATCTAGTCCAGATAAATAATTTCTCTTTGCTGATCATTTTGTAAGTCAATAAATTAGTTCTTCAGAAGACCTAGGAAGCATTTACTACATCCTCTTGCTAGGAATACGAGTTGTGTGCTACCTACAACCACATACATACATAGTCTTTCTGAGCATAAGATGGTTGGGTAAAAATTATTATGTTACTATTCTTTCTTTCTTTTTCTTTTCTTTTTTTTTTTTTTTTTTGAGTTTGTCTCGCTCTGTTGCCCAGGCGGGAGTGCAGTGACATGATCTCAGCAAACTGCAACCTCTACCTCCAGGGCTCAGCGACCTTCCCACCCCAGCCCACCAAGCAGCTGTGACCACAGGTGTGCACCACTATGCCTGGCTAATTTTTTGCATTTTTGGTAGAGACAGGGTTTCTCCATGTTGCCCAGGCTGGTCTCAAACTCCTGAGCTGAAGCAATCCACCCACCTCAGCCTCCCAAAGTGCTGGGATTACAGGAGTGAGCTACTGTGTCCAGCCTATTCTTTCTTTTTCCTCTAATTTTTTATTTTGAAATTTTTAATGCTATAAAAAATTGCAAATATAGTATAATGAACATAGTTACCATATGATCAGCAATTCTACTCCTAGGTATATATCCAAGAAAAATGAAAACATATGTCCACACGTAAAACCATTGACATGAATGTTCATAGCAGCATTACTTATGATAGCCAAAGGGCAGAAGCAACCCAAATGTCCATTGACCAATGGATGAATGGATAAATAAATGTGGTATATCCATATGATGGAATATTATTCAGCAATAAAAAGGAATGAAGTGCTGGCACATGCAACAACATGGATGAACCTTGAGAACATTATGCTAAGTGAAAGAAGCTAGTCATAAAAGACCACATGGAAATTACATAATTTCCATTATGCGAAATACCCAGAACAGGCAAAGTCATAGACACAGCAAGTAGATTACAAATTCATAGTCACAGAAAATGGTTGCCAGGAGTTGGAGGGGAAGGAGGAGTGATTGCTAATGGGCACAGGATTGCTTTTTTGGGGACCGTGAGACTTTTCTAAAATTGATCGTGGTGATGGTTGCGCAATTCTGCAAATATATTAAAACCATTGAATTGTACACTTTAAAAGGTTGGTACATGAAATAATTAACAGTAAAGCTGTTACTAAAAAAAAATGACTGTACAATGAACATATAACTGTCCTTCACCTTTATTCACAAATTGTTAACATTTTGCCACATTTGCCTTATCTCTCTCTGTATATGATTGTACTTCCCTGAGTTATTTGGAAGTAAAATGCAATCATCATGACACTTTCCTCCTACATACTCAGATTTTGTCTTCTAAGAACCATACATAATCATAACACAGTTTTGAATGAAAAAAACAGTTTTTACATTCAGGAAATCTAACACTGATTTTCTGCCGTTGTATAATACATAGTCCATGTTCAGATTTCCCCAGTTGTCTCCAAAATGTTCTTTATAGTTGCTTGTTATTTTTTATTGTCATAGCTCTTTGATTTTTGTGACATATTCTAAATTTTCTTTTTTTTAAATTGTTTGATATATAATATGTTCACATGGGTCAACATTTATAAAGTGTAACACAGTGGAAAGTCTTCTTCCTTCCTCTTAGCCACTTAGTTCCCGTCTTTAAGAGGCAACTAAAGTTAGCAGGTTTTTTTTTTCTTTAAGACGGAGTCTTGCCGTGTTGCCCAGGCTGGAGTGCAGTGGCGTGATCTTGGCTCACCGCAACTTCCGCCTCTGGGGTTCAAGTGATTCTCCTGCCTCAGCCTCCCAATTAGCTGAAATTACAGGCATGCGCCACCACGCCTGGCTAATTTTTTTTGTATCTTTAGTAGAAATGGGGTTTCACCATGTTGGTCAGGCTGGTCTTGAACTCCTGACCTCAAATGATCCCCCCACCTCAGCCTTCCAAAGTGCTAGGATTGGTGTGAGCCACTGCGCCCGGCCTAAAGTTAGCAAGTTCTTGCTGTCATTCCTGAGAAATAGGCTATGCATATAAATATATGCTTACTTTTTTAAACATTTAAAAATTTTATATTTTTGGAAGTATTCTTTTATTTCTTCCTCCAATCTGATTAATATGTTTTCTTTTAATAACATAGTTTTTTGAAACCCCAAAACTGAAGTACAGTTAAGGATATGATTCCTAAGGGGAAGAGATCTCATGTAGTAATTCCCAAACACTAATGTAAAAGTGGTTTGCTGAACTCTTCGGGAAGCTTAAGAAAAATACCCATCCCTGAGCCCTTCCTCCTCTTCCCTAAGAGGGTAAAATTTAGTGTGCCCAGAAACCTCTGTTTTCAAAATTCCCTGTGATAATGATACGTGGTCTGCACTCAAAAAAATTGGGTAACTAAGAGAAAGATGTCAGCTCCAGGATAGAATAGGTACTGAACCTTACTGATGTGTGTGTGCATACACGTGTGTGTGTGTGTGTCTCCTGGGACTGATTAGTATTAATTGTTTTCATTTTATTAGATTTGTGCCCTATCATCTTTATTTATTTCGAGATGAGGTCTTGTTCTGTCACCCAGGCTAGAGTTCAGTGGCGCTCTCTCGGCTCACTGCAGCTTCAACTGCCTGGGCTGAAGTGATCCTTCCACCTCAGTCTGCCAAGTGGCTAGGACTACGGGAGCATGCCACCATCCCTGGATAATTATTTTATTTTTTTGCAGAGACAGGGTCTCACTATATTGCCCAGGCTTGTCTTGAACTCCTGCGTCCAAGCCATCCTCCTGCCTTGGCCTTCCAAAGTGCTGGGATTACAGGTGCCCAAAGTGCTGGGATTACAGGTGTAAGCCACACACCCAGGCCCTATCATCTTTAAACCTTCTTTGAAACACCCCACTTCCCAGAGCCTTAGGAGTTTCTCCCTTTCCCTGCGGATTTAATTTTCAAAGTTCTTAGGGCAGTTCTTAGTTGAAACCCTCATCCTCTGAGTGGATATTGATGGAGTTGGATGGAACTGGATTACAGTATGGACAAGAGATGTCTTTTTTCATCTACAATTTCCATCTTCCACCCATGCTGCCTTTCTCTAATTAATAGGGAATGACTGATCACAGACACATCCTAGCCTGAAAATGATCTAAATTAGAGGCTTTGGGTTAATTTCAACAACATAAATTCTTTAAGGAATTCTGAAAAGTTGAACTTCTGTATAATGATTTTCTTTGGGCAGTGGGATTCCTTTATGTATCAACTAACATGATTTTGCCCTTTGCTAGGTTAATGTGCTTTTTTCTGTAGACTTTTTGATCTGGCATCTGTGCTACACCAAACATTTCTCCTTTATGGTTTCAGTGTTCTAGAGAAATAATTCATATTTTGGTATTCTGTTGTATTGAAAAAGTTAATCCTCCTCCCAAAGGATCCATTTATCTTTCAGGGAATGTCCCAGTGTAGCTGATCCATGTCAGAACTCTTATAACAAATTTTGTGACTAGTACTATGTTTCAAATGCTGAAATACCTTTGTATTAAAAAATTAATGAGTGTGATGAATAGCATGGAATCTAAACCTCTGGCCTTGATTTCACATGTAAGTCCTGTGTGAGTTATTGCAGTGTCTAGTCTGCTTTCACAGATGAATGGAAAGTATATTTTGGTTTTCTTCTTCTGGAAGCCAGTTGTGTTCACAGTAGAATGGTGTTAAAAAAGGCTTCCTTTTTGGTAAATTTATAACTTTTTTTATTTTTGAGATGGAGTTTTTGCTTTTGTTGCTCAGGCTGGAGTGCAGTGGCGCAATCTCGGCTCACTGCAACCTCCGCCTCCTGGGTTCAAGCGATTCTCCTGACTCAGCCTCCAAAGTAGCTGGAATTACAGGCGCCTGCCACCATGCCCAGCTAATTTTTGTAGTTTTAGTAGAGATCAGGTTTTACCATGTTGGCCAGGCTGGTCTTGAACCCCTGACCTCAGGTGATCAACCCCGCTTAGCATCCCAAAGTGCTGGGATTATAGGTGTGAGCCACTGTGCCTGGCCAGTTTATAACATTATTAAGCATATATAAGTTCTTGTTTAGGAATCACAGTCATTTGTGATTCTGCATTTTAAATTGAATTATTAACAAATTGAACTATATTAATAATATAATTATTATATAAGTTTAATTGTGTGCCATTTAGCGGAAGAAACATGAACTTAGCTTGTATAGGGTCACAGTATCTGCTATTCCTTGAGTACTTTTGAGGAGCAATAGAACTTGGGTTTTTGTTTTTGTTTTCCAAAGAAGCACCAGTGGAACATTTTCTGATTCTGCAGAATTTTTTACACACTTATTTATTGTTTGTGGGTATAAAAGAAAATTCTGGCTGATTTTTCTGTTTCATGGTTAAAACAAATTTGCAAGATAGATTGTAAATGCACATTAATATTTACTCTCCTAAATCAAAACTATAATATTAAGAAATAATACTTCTAAAGAAAGAAGAAAGCCATCACTTAGGCATTCTAGACCATTAAAAAAATCTCTACGGTATGGCAATAATAAACCATTCCATGATTTTAATTGTTAAATAATAATTTTATAGCTAGAATTTAAATAACATTAAAAAATTGATGTACATATATTTGTTTGCATTTTAGGAAGCACACTTTCTTGATCTGACTGCTTTAATTCACAAATTTCTCACGAAAGGCAGAACTACAATTTATTTAGCCCTTATGCCCACTTTTCGTCAAAAAAAGATTTTTGATGATAAGGCTGTTAATAAGACATTTTGTTAGTTGCATGTGTATAGTTAACAAGGTTAATTATTGCTCAGTGAAAATTTCACAAGCAAAACTAGTAGTAGTGCAATTTCTGTGGAATGCACTCTCTCCTAGTCATTTGACATGCTTAGATTTTAATAGTGAAGACTTAAGCAAGGTCTTCCATGATAGTGCCCCAGCCTATCTTTTCAAATTCATCTGCTACCTCCCATCAAATGCTTTACATTGCAGCTAAATTCTTAGTACAAAGAAAGAAACTTAAAAGGGCCAGGCGCAGTGTCTAATGCGTGTAATCCCAGCACTTTGGGAGGCCAAGGCGGGCGGATCACTTGAGGTCAGGAGTTTGAGACCAGCCTGGCCAACATGGCGAAACTCCATCTCTACTAAAAATACAAAAATCGACAGCTGTGGTGGTGTGTGCCTGTAATCCCAGGTACTTGGGAGGCTGAGGCAGGAGTATCACCTGAGCCCGGGAGGTGGAGGCTGCATTGAGCTGAGATCGCACCACTGCACTCCAGCCTAGGCAACAGAGTGAGAGAGAGAGAATCAAAGAGAAATCATTGAGGATTTTAAGCAGAAGTCCAATCATTGAGGATTTTAAGCAGAAGTCCAAAAACAGCCCCATAGTCTAATACTCAATATGTTCCTCATAAGGATTTGCCATTTCCTACCTCTCTGCTTAGGCTCCTGTTGTTTTTGTGCTCAGAATGTCCTTTTGTTGTTCTATCATGTATCAGTTTGCTATTGCCACAATAAGTCTGCATAACAGACTTCCAAATTTACACTTGTGTGTTTGCAGGCCTACTAGGATTGGCTGACCTGAGCAGGGTTCAGGCGGGTAGCTCTGCTTAACACTGTCTCACTGGGGTTGACTTTTTACTGTGAGCTTTGGGCTTAGGTCTGCTCCACATGTGTTCATTCTGAGCCCAAGGTTGGAGGGGAAGTAGCTACCCAGTAGCAATGTCCAAAGTGCAAAAGTATGACCAAGCTAAGCTCATTTTAAGCCTTTGCTTGCAGCCAATCTGTTAGCATCTCTTTGGCCGAAGCAAGTTACTTGGCCCAGTCCATATTCCATGGGTAGGAAAGGAGCTGCAAAGTTACAAAACAAAGGGTGAGGAATCATGAATGGGAGAAGACTGGGGCTGGAAAATCAAGCCCCCATCTTCATATGGTAAAATCCTGCCTACTCTTTCCCCCTGCTTTTTTATTTTGTTAAAAAAAAATACATAATATCAAATTTGCCATCTCTTTTTTTTTTTTTTTTTTTTTTTTGAGACGAGTTGGCTCTATCACCTTGGCTAGAATGCAGTGGCCTGATCCCAGCTCACTGCAACCTCCACCTCCTGGGCTCAAGCAATTCTCCTGCCTCAGCCTCCCGAGTAGCTGGGACTACAGGTGCATATCACCACACCTAGCTAATTTTTGTATTTTTGTAGAGATGGGGTTTTGCCGTGTTGCCCAGGCTGGTCTTGAACGCGTGAGCTCAAGGGTCCCACCCATCTCAGCCTCCCAAAGTGCTGGGATTACAGGCATAGCCACCGCCCCCAGCAAATTTACCATTTTAACTTTTTTTATGTATCCAGTTCAGTAGTGTTAAGTATATTCACAGTCTTTTGTAGTAGATCTTTAGAATATTTTCATCTCGCCTCACTGAAACCCTGTACTCATTGAGCAACATTTTCCCCCCTCCCAGCCCTGGGCAACCACTGTTCTGTTTTCTGTTTCCATGAGTTTGACTACTCTGGATACCACATATAACTAGAATCATACAGTATTTGTCTTTTTGTGACTGGCTTATTTCAGTTACCATAATGTCCTTGAGATTCACCTATGTTGTAGCATGTGACAAGATTTCCTTCTTTTTAAGGCTGAACAATATTCCATTTGTATGTATGTACCACATTTTCTTTATCCATTCATTTGTCAATGGGCATTGGAGTTGTTTCCACCTCTCAGCTATTTTAAGCATCATGGCTCAATTCAAATGCCATCTCCTCTATGGCTTCCACAATCTTTTGACCAAAAGGAATTGTTCCTTCCTCTGAAATGTTATTTTATTCATAATAAATGTATTAGTTTCTACTTTGTATTCATTATAAATACCTCCTTCTGCCATGGAAGGTCCAGTGGGGCAAATCTCTGGGTAATTTTTTATATCTTCAATGTATTGGTGTTTAAGCATTAGTAAACAAGTTGTTTTAAATGAAAAGATGTTACAGATTTTGTTTTGTCATGGTAAAATATACATAACATAAAATTTATCACTTTGGGTGCAGCAAACCACTGTGGTACACATATGCCTATGTACCAAAGCTGCATGTTCTGCACATGTGAAAAAAAAAATTTATCATTTTGGCCCGGCATGGTGGCTCACACCTGTAATTCCAGAACTTTGGGAGGCTAAAGCAAGAGGATTGCTTGAGGCTAGGCATTCAAGACCACCCTGGGAAACATAGCAAGACCCTGTCTCTACAAAAAAATTTAAAAATTAGCTGGGTGTTGTGGTGTGTGCCCGTAGTCCCAGCTGCTAAGTGGGCTGAGGTGGAAGGATGCCTTGAACCTGGAAGGTTCAGGCTGCATTGAGCTGTTCAGAGACCCTGCCTATAAATAGATAAATAAATAAACAAATAAGGACATATACCTTTTGGAAAGAACTCCGTGGTGCAAATTTGCAAAGGAGAAAGGCAGTGTTTCTAAAGTGGAGTTTTGTGTTGCATTAGAATATTACACAAATCTATTCATTTTATATTTTCCTCTATTCTATGGAGCGAACCTGCCTTCCTTCCTTCCTTCCTTCCCTTTTTCCTTCCTTCCCTTTTCCCTCCCTCCCTTCCTTCCCTTTTTCCTCCCTCCCTCCCTTCCTTCCTTCCCTTTTTCCTTCCTTCTTCCTTCCTTCCTTCCCTTTTCCCTCCCTCCCTCCCTTCCTTCATTCCTTCCCTCCCTTTTTCCTTCCTTCCTTCCCTTTTTCCCTCCTTTCCTTAGAGCAGATGTTCTCTGCAAATAGTTGTTAATTTATTCTGTATTAAGACTATTCAGACTCTTTCAAGCTTGCTGCTGTAGCTTAGGTGGATATTTTTGGATTACAACCATTTAACAGAGCCTCCTATGATACGAGTTGTGAATAGCTATGAGGCACATGGCAGAGTGGAAATAGGGAAATGATACATCATAATGCTAAGCTCTAAGTCTTGGCAGACTAACATTAACATGAATTTTTAGCTCTTCTTGAGGTTGAAAAATAGCTTCAACATTCACATTTATCTTTAATAAGTGTTGAGCACTTAAGCACTTTCAGTGTATGTTATGGAAGAGCTTGTTCGGAGTTCTTTCTGAAGGTTTGGACAGGGAATTTATGTCCTCTTAAGGAGAGCATTGGATTTGAATGATGATTTTCAGCTGAAAGCAGTAGAAAGATAACAATAGTGTTATTTGTACTAGAATTTTCTCTAATTTCATGTCATTAATCCTGTGATTAACAGTCTTACTATGTTGCTAGTTCCTGGGCAAATTTTCCTAATAGCCATGATTATAGAAGATTGTGATATTTAATGCTTATAAGTGTCAAGGGGCCTAAAAGCTAAGGTGGTAGGAGGCTTTCTTACAATTCAAAGATTTTGAGACTTATTCTATAACAGGGTTTTGCATGTGTGCATTTAAAACATTTTTAAAAATATACAGTATTTAAGTAGATTTTTTTAAAAAGTGTTATCCTTGTATAGGGGACATGCTAATCTTCTCTGTATCATTCCAATTTAAGTATATATGCTGCTGAAGTGAGCCTTTTTTTTTTTAACACAGGGTCTCACTCTGCTGTCCATGCTGGAGCGCAGTGGTGTGATCATGGCTCACTGCAGCCTCAACCTCCCAGGGTCAAGCAATCCTCCCACGTATGTAGGCCTACAGGCGCACTCCACGAGGCCTGGCTAATTTTTTTATACTTTAAGTTTTTGTAGAGACAGGGGTCTCACTGTGTTGCCCAGGCCGGTTTCGAACTCCTGGGCTCCTAATGATCCTCCTGCTTTGGCCTCCCAAAGTGCTAAGATTACAGGTACGAGCAACTGCTCCCAGCCTGAACTTTCTTAGTGTTCATTCTAAAATATATAATGTTTGAAAAGTCCAAATTAATTAAACATGTAAGCTGGAAGATTTGAGATCTGGTTTATCTTTCTGATTTTTTGTGTATTTATATATTTTTTTACTTTAATTTTTTTGAGTTCTGGGGTACATGTGCAGAATGTGCAGGTTTGTTACATAGGTAAACATGTGCCGTGGTGGTTTGCTGCACCTGTTAACCCATCACTGAGGTATTAAGCCCAGCATGCATTAACTCTTTTCCCTAATGCTCTCCCTGGCACCTCCAACAGGCCCCAACAGGCACTAGTGTGTGTTGTTCCCGTCCCTGTGTCCACGTGTTCTCATTGTTCAGCTCCTGCTTATAAGTGAGAACATGCAGTGTTTAGTTTTCTGTTCCTACGTTAGTTTGCTGAGGATAATGGCTTACAGCTTCGTCCATGTCCCTGCAAAGCGAGAACATGCAGTGTTTAGTTTTCTGTTCCTACTAATGTTAGTTTGCTGAGAATAATGGCTTACAGCTTCATCCGTGTCCCTGCAAAGGACATGATCTTGTTCCTTTTTATGGCTGCATAGTATTCCATGGATTGTGTATATTATTAGACTTAATCTCACCAGTGTTTTAGCTTCCTCAGCTGGAAGGATGTTGATGTAAAATGCAGATAATAGATGAAAAGCAATGTGTGTTTTTCACATGAATAACGACATTTCACATGATAATCGGTTTCTCTCTTATAATGTCCAACCTAGTGTGGACTCTCTTAACCATAATCCTTTTAATTAGTACTTAAATAGATTTTTTTTAAAAATTCTAGATACACTTGTGATTTTTTTTTTCTAATTGTTTAGTTGATAACCAGCATTTTCTTTTTCACCAGCAGCCAAAACAGGGCTGTGTGAGAAGCGTCCGTTTCATTAACAATGAAGTGATCAAATGCACTCAGGCCTGTAGATCATCTACCATAGTGCCTGGAACATATAATATGCTCCATAAATACAAGTACTTCCCCTGCCTTTACAGTGGGATCACTTGCTGAGGTGATTTCCGCAGCCTCTGCAGGTGCTGTGGATCTTTAGGAAGAGTGTAAGCGCTTGATGTAGGCTTCTGGAGAAGGAGCATGTATCAGGCCTGGCAGCCACTAGGCGCTTCTCAGAAGAGAAACTGAGCAAGAAAGCTCTGTGTGGTCTGTACAGGAAGGACTCTCCCTGCCATTCTAGTCTACTGTTACAGAACTTCGTTCAGCCCATAACCAGCAGGCAGAATCAATGAGGCAGAGACTTGGATTCATATCTTTACATAGTTGGTCACCACATTGACTAAATTTCTGCTTGAGTCATAAAGTTCTAGAGACAAAGGAGCGAATAGAGGAGGCAGCTATTACTTCCGCTTGGGGAGGAGCTTAAAACTAGGGTGGCTGTATGTCTGTTTTCCTGAGAAATTGTATGGTCAAACTACTAAAGTGGGAGAGAGGTATTAAGAAATGAGAGGATATAACTGGGGAAAGTGACCTCATCTGGAAGTGGACAGAGAAAGCTTTTCTAGGGAAATGACTGACGAGGAGACCTGAAGAATCAGGAAGAAGTACAGTATTGGTGAAAATGGGTCATGTGCTCACTTATCTAGGGTCCCTGAACTTGCCCTTTTTTCCCTGTGCCTAGAAGAGAGGATGTCCCACATCATGTTCTTTTCCCTTTAAACATTACTATTACATGTGAAGTAGAACAGTGTTTTACAAACAGCAGGTACTAATCTATGGGATATAAAGTTAACTTAGTGAGTTAGTAATCTGATTTAATATGTATAGTAGAAAATAAATATATATTTAATATATATTAGAAAATATCAAGTAGAAAATAAATATATATTTAATATATATTAGAAAATATCTATATATATTAGAAACTATCAATAGCGGAAGTAATAGCTGCCTCCTCTATTCACTCCTTTGTCTCTAGAACATTATGACTCAAGCAGAAATTTAGCAGAGTACATTGTACATAGTAAGAAAGTATTGAAATAAAATATTTATGTGTGCAGGTACTTGGTCACAATATAAAGTGTATTTTTTACAGTAGATCATAGTCAAAAACTTTTTTTTTTTGGAGACAGGGTCTCACTCTGTGAAGCACAGTAGTGCGATCACAGCCCACTAGCCTCAGCCTTGCTGGGCTCAGGTGATCTTCCCACCTCAGCCTTCTAATTTGAGTAGCTGGGGCCACAGGTGCACACCACCACACTTGACTAATTTTTGAATGTTTTGTAGAGATGGAGTTTTTCCATGTTGCCCAGGCTGTCTCATGAACTCCTGGGCTCAAGCAGTCCACCTGCCTCTGCCTCCCAAAGTGCTGGGTTTACAGGAATAAGCCACTGTGCCCAGCGTCAAAAACTTTTATACATTTTGTCTAGAACAAGTGGAAGTAAAATTGCACTACTGTCTTGTACTCCTTGTAGTATAATTGCATTTTCAGTTATTTACTGAGTATCTGGAGAAAGTGAGAAGAATAGGAATGTGGCTCAAACTGGGAAGGGACTACATTATTCAGTGCCTTCTAGTCCTTTTTACGGATTTGGGGTTTTATCCTAAGATAAATGGAAAGTGATTGAAGTGTTAGCTATTTCTTATTGGGTCACCATTTGTTTGTTTGTTTGTTTGTTTGAGACAGTCTTGTTCTGTCACCCAGGCTGGAGTTTAGTGGCACGATCTCAGCTCGCTGCAACCTTGCCCCCCCACCCCAGGTTCAAGCAATTCTCGTGCCTCAGCCTCCAGAGTAGCTGGGATTACAGGCACATGTCACCATGCCCGGCTAATTTTTGTATTTTTAGTAAGGTTGGGATTTCACCATGTTGGCCAGGCTGGCCACCATTTTGTTTTTTTTTTTTTTCTTTTTTTTTTTTTATTATACTTTAAGTTTTAGGGTACATGTGCACATTGTGCAGGTTAGTTACATATGTATACATGTGCCATGCTGGTGCGCTGCACCCACTAACTTGTCATCTAGCATTAGGTATATCTCCCAATGCTATCCCTCCCCCCTCCCCCCACCCCACAACAGTCCCCAGAGTGTGATATTCCCCTTCCTGTGTCCATGTGATCTCATTGTTCAATTCCCACCTATGAGTGAGAATATGCGGTGTTTGGTTTTTTGTTCTTGCGATAGTTTACTGAGAATGATGATTTCCAATTTCATCCATGTCCCTACAAAGGACATGAACTCATCATTTTTTATGGCTGCATAGTATTCCATGGTGTATATGTGCCACATTTTCTTAATCCAGTCTATCATTGTTGGACATTCGGGTTGGTTCCAAGTCTTTGCTATTGTGAATAATGCCGCAATAAACATACGTGTGCATATGTCTTTATAGCAGCATGATTTATAGTCATTTGGGTATATACCCAGTAATGGGATGGCTGGGTCAAATGGTATTTCTAGTTCTAGATCCCTGAGGAATCGCCACACTGACTTCCACAATGGATGAACTAGTTTACAGTCCCACCAACAGTGTAAAAGTGTTCCTATTTCTCCACATCCTCTCCAGCACCTGTTGTTTCCTGACTTTTTAATGATTGCCATTCTAACTGGTGTGAGATGGTATCTCATTGTGGTTTTGATTTGCATTTCTCTGATGGCCAGTGATGATGAGCATTTTTTCATGTGTTTCTTGGCTGCATAAATGTCTTCTTTTGAGAAGTGTCTGTTCATGTCCTTCGCCAACTTTTTGATGGGGTTGTTTGTTTTTTTCTTGTAAATTTGTTTGAGTTCATTGTAGATTCTGGATATTAGCCCTTTGTCAGATGAGTAGGTTGTGAAAATTTTCTCCCATTTTGTAGGTTGCCTGTTCACTCTGATGGTAGTTTCTTTTGCTGTGCAGAAGCTCTTTAGTTTAATTAGATCCCATTTGTCAATTTTGGCTTTTGTTGCCATTGCTTTTGGTGTTTTGGACATGAAGTCCTTGCCCATGCCTATGTCCTGAATGGTCATGCCTAGGTTTTCTTCTAGGGTTTTTATGGTTTTAGGTCTAACGTTTAAATCTTTAATCCATCTTGAATTGATTTTTGTATAAGGTGTAAGGAAGGGATCCAGTTTCAGCTTCCTACATATGGCTAGCCAGTTTTCCCAGCACCATTTATTAAATAGGGAATCCTTTCCCCATTGCTTGTTTTTCTCAGGTTTGTCAAAGATCAGATAGTTGTAGGTATGCGGCATTATTTCTGAGGGCTCTGTTCTGTTCCATTGATCTATATCTCTGTTTTGGTACCAGTACCATGCTGTTTTGGTTACTGTAGCCTTGTAGTATAGTTTGAAGTCAGGTAGCGTGATGCCTCCAGCTTTGTTCTTTTGGCTTAGGATTGACTTGGTGATGCGGGCTCTTTTTTGGTTCCATATGAACTTGAAAGTAGTTTTTTCCAATTCTGTGAAGAAAGTCATTGGTAGCTTGATGGGGATGGCATTGAATCTGTAAATTACCTTGGGCAGTATGGCCATTTTCATGATATTGATTCTTCCTACCCATGAGCATGGAATGTTCTTCCATTTGTTTGTATCCTCTTTTATTTCCTTGAGCAGTGGTTTGTAGTTCTCCTTGAAGAGGTCCTTCACATCCCTTGTAAGTTGGATTCCTAGGTATTTTATTCTCTTTGAAGCAATTGTGAATGGGAGTTGACTCATGATTTGGCTCTCTGTTTGTCTGTTGTTGGTGTATAAGAATGCTTGTGATTTTTGTACATTGATTTTGTATCCTGAGACTTTGCTGAAGTTGCTTATCAGCTTAAGGAGATTTTGGGCTGAGACAATGGGGTTTTCTAGATATAGAATCATGTCATCTGCAAACAGGGACAATTTGACTTCCTCTTTTCCTAATTGGATACCCTTTATTTCCTTCTCTTGCCTAATTTCCCTGGCCAGAACTTCCAACACTATGTTGAATAGGAGTGGTGAGAGAGGGCATCCCTGTCTTGTGCCAGTTTTCAAAGGGAATGCTTCCAGTTTTTGCCCATTCAGTATGATATTGGCTGTGGGTTTGTCATAGATAGCTCTTATTATTTTGAAATACGTCCCATCAATACCTAATTTATTGAGAGTTTTTAGCATGAAGGGTTGTTGAATTTTGTCAAAGGCTTTTTCTGCATCTATTGAGATAATCATGTGGTTTTTGTCTTTGCCTCTGTTTATATGCTGGATTACATTTATTGATTTGCGTATATTGAACCAGCCTTGCATCCCAGGGATGAAGCCCACTTGATCATGGTGGATAAGCTTTTTGATGTGCTGCTGGATTCGGTTTGCCAGTATTTTATTGAGGATTTTTGCATCAATGTTCATCAAGGATATTGGTCTAAAATTCTCTTTTTTGGTTGTGTCTCTGCCCAGCTTTGGTATGAGAATGATGCTGGCCTCATAAAATGAGTTAGGGAGGATTCCCTCTTTTTCTATTGATTGGAATAGTTTCAGAAGGAATGGTACCAGTTCCTCCTTGTACCTCTGGTAGAATTCAGCTGTGAATCCATCTGGTCCTGGACTCTTTTTGGTTGGTAAACTATCGATTATTGCCACAATTTCAGCTCCTGTTATTGGTCTATTAAGAGATTCAACTTCTTCCTGGTTTAGTCTTGGGAGAGTGTATGTGTGGAGGAATTTATCCATTTCGTCTAGATTTTCTAGTTTATTTGCGTAGAGGTGTTTGTAGTATTCTCTGATGGTAGTTTGTATTTCTGTGGGATCAGTGGTGATATCCCCTTTATCATTTTTTATTGTGTCTATTTGATTCTTCTCTCTTTTTTTCTTTATTAGTCTTGCTAGTGGTCTATCAATTTTGTTGATCCTTTCAAAAAACCAGCTCCTGGATTCATTGATTTTTTGAAGGGTTTTTTGTGTCTCTATTTCCTTCAGTTCTGCTCTGATTTTAGTTATTTCTTGCCTTCTGCTAGCTTTTGAATGTGTTTGCTCTTGCTTTTCTAGTTCTTTTAATTGTGATGTTAGGGTGTCAATTTTGGATCTTTCCTGCTTTCTCTTGTGGGCATTTAGTGCTATAAATTTCCCTCTACACACTGCTTTGAATGCGTCCCAGAGATTCTGGTATGTTGTGTCTTTGTTCTCGTTGGTTTCAAAGAACATCTTTATTTCTGCCTTCATTTCGTTATGTACCCAGTAGTCATTCAGGAGCAGGTTGTTCAGTTTCCATGTAGTTGAGCGGCTTTGAGTGAGATTCTTAATCCTGAGTTCTAGTTTGATTGCACTGTGGTCTGAGAGATAGTTTGTTATAATTTCTGTTCTTTTACATTTGCTGAGGAGAGCTTTACTTCCAACTATGTGGTCAATTTTGGAATAGGTGTGGTGTGGTGCTGAAAAAAATGTATATTCTGTTGATTTGGGTTGGAGAGTTCTGTAGATGTCTATTAGGTCTGCTTGGTGCAGAGCTGAGTTCAATTCCTGGGTATCCTTGTTGACTTTCTGTCTCGTTGATCTGTCTAATGTTGACAGTGGGGTGTTAAAGTCTCCCATTATTAATGCGTGGGAGTCTAAGTCTCTTCGTAGGTCACTCAGGACTTGCTTTATGAATCTGGGTGCTCCTGTATTGGGTGCATATATATTTAGGATAGTTAGCTCTTCTTGTTGAATTGATCCCTTTACCATTATGTAATGGCCTTCTTTGTCTCTTTTGATCTTTGTTGGTTTAAAGTCTGTTTTATCAGAGACTAGGATTGCAACCTCTGCCTTTTTTTGTTTTCCATTTGCTTGGTAGATCTTCCTCCATCCTTTTATTTTGAGCCTATGTGTGTCTCTGCACATGAGATGGGTTTCCTGAATACAGCACACTGATGGGTCTTGACTCTTTATCCAATTTGCCAGTCTGTGTCTTTTCATTGGAGCATTTAGTCCATTTACATTTAAAGTTAATATTGTTATGTGTGCATTTGATCCTGTCATTATGATGTTAGCTGGTGATATTGCTCGTTAGTTGATGCAGTTTCTTCCTAGTCTCGATGGTCTTTACATTTTGGCATGATTTTGCAGCGGCTGGTACTGGTTGTTCCTTTCCATGTTTAGTGCTTCCTTCAGGAGCTCTTTTAGGGCAGGCCTGGTGGTGACAAAATCTCTCAGCATTTGCTTGTCTGTAAAGTATTTTATTTCTCCTTCACTTATGAAGCTTAGTTTGGCTGGATATGAAATTCTGGGTTGAAAATTCTTTTCTTTAAGAATGTTGAATATTGGCCCCCACTCTCTTCTGGCTTGTAGGGTTTCTGATGAGAGATCCGCTGTTAGTCTGATGGGCTTCCCTTTGAGGGTAACCCGACCTTTCTCTCTGGCTGCCCTTAACATTTTTTCCTTCATTTCAACTTTGGTGAATCTGACAATTATGTGTCTTGGAGTTGCTCTTCTCGAGGAGTATCTTTGTGGCGTTCTCTGTATTTTCTGAATCTGAACGTTGGCCTGCCTTGCTAGATTGGGGAAGTTCTCCTGGATAATATCCTGCAGAGTGTTTTCCAACTTGGTTCCATTCTCCCCATCACTTTCAGGTACACCAATCAGACGTAGATTTGGTCTTTTCACATAGTCCCATATTTCTTGGAGGCTTTGCTGATTTCTTTTTATTCGTTTTTCTCTAAACTTCCCTTCTCGCTTCATTTCATTCATTTCATCTTCCATCGCTGATACCCTTTCTTCCAGTTGATTGCATCGGCTCCTGAGGCTTCTGCATTCTTCACGTAGTTCTCGAGCCTTGGTTTTCAGCTCCATCAGCTCCTTTAAGCACTTCTCTGTATTGGTTATTCTAGTTATACATTCTTCTAAATTTTTTTCAAAGTTTTCAACTTCTTTGCCTTTGGTTTGAATGTCCTCCCGTAGCTCAGAGTAATTTGATCGTCTGAAGCCTTCTTCTCTCAGCTCGTCAAAGTCATTCTCCATCCAGCTTTGTTCCATTGCTGGTGAGGAACTGTGTTCCTTTGGAGGAGGAGAGACGCTCTGCGTTTTAGAGTTTCCAGTTTTTCTGTTCTGTTTTTTCCCCATCGTTGTGGTTTTATCTACTTTTGGTCTTTGATGATGGTGATGTACAGATGGGTTTTCGGTGTGGATGTCCTTTCTGTTTGTTAGTTTTCCTTCTAACAGACAGGACCCTCAGCTGCAGGTCTGTTGGAATACCCTGCCGTGTGAGGTGTCAGTCTGCCCCTGCTGGGGGGTGCCTCCCAGTTAGGCTGCTCGGGGGTCAGGGGTCAGGAACCCACTTGAGGAGGCAGTCTGCCGGTTCTCAGATCTCCAGCTGCGTGCTGGGAGAGCCACTGCTCTCTTCAAAGCTGTCAGACAGGGACATTTAAGTCTGCAGAGGTTACTGCTGTCTTTTTGTGTGTCTGTGCCCTGCCCCCAGAGGTGGAGCCTACAGAGGCAGGCAGGCCTCCTTGAGCTGTGGTGGGCTCCACCCAGTTGGAGCTGCCCGCTGCTTTGTTTACCTAATCAAGCCTGGGCAATGGCGGGCGCCCCTCCCCCAGCCTCGCTGCCGCCTTGCAGTTTGATCTCAGACTGCTGTGCTAGCAATCAGCGAGATTCCGTGGGCATAGGACCCTCCAAGCCAGGTGTGGGATATAATCTCGTGGTGCGCCGTTTTTTAAGTCAGTCAGAAAAGCGCAGTATTCGGGTGGGAGTGACCCGATTTTCCAGGTGCGTCCGTCACCCCTTTCTTTGACTCGGAAAGGGAACTCCCTGACCCCTTGCGCTTCCCAGGTGAGGCAATGCCTCGCCCTGCTTCGGCTCGCGCACGGTGCGTGCACCCACTGGCCTGCGCCCACTGTCTGGCACTCCCTAGTGAGATGAACCCGGTACCTCAGATGGAAATGCAGAAATCACCCGTCTTCTGCGTTGCTCATGCTGGGAGCTGTAGACCGGAGCTGTTCCTATTCGGCCATCTTGGCTCCTCCCTCCCCACACCATTTTGTTTTTAACTATAATTAATATGAAGGGAATTTGGGAACCAGGATTGAATAAGGGCTGTCTGATAAATGCTCTATTTCTTTAATAAACATTTATTTTATCTACTGTGTTTTCCATATAAGCTTATAGTAGGTACTGTCATCTGCAAGATAGGCTTAATACCTCATAGCATTACTGTGAACATTAAATGAGTTTATATGTGTCATCTACACATTCAACAGATGTTTTAGTGACTTTTTTTGTTTTACCTCTGCCTCTTTAGGACCACACTCTGAAAAGAGCATGCCTTGTTTCAATGATTGTTTTAGTCATACAATTGCCAGAATAAATAAAATACACTCAGAAAGAATTATACCTAATTTAGGCCAGGCATGGTGGCCCACACCTGTAATCCCAGCGCTTTGGAAGGCCAAGGTGGGAAGATCACTTAGAGTTTGAAACCAGCCTGGGCAACATAGGGAGACCTTGTCTCTACAGAAAATGGAGTGTGTGCCTATGTTCTCAGCTGCTTGGGATGCTAAGGCAAGAGGCTCACTTGAGCCCAGGAACTGAGCTGCAGTGAGCCATGATTGTACAATTGCACTCCAGCCTGGGTGACAGAGCAAGAACCAGTCTAAAATAAATAAATAAAAAAAAAAAAATGAATTGTAGCTAATTTGGTATTCCTGTTGTTGAAAGGAAAAGTGGCCACTACTCTCAGGCTATTTCCACAGGAGAATATGATGTTGACATAATTTTGAAATGGTGAAATTATATCAGAATTTTAAAATAAATCAACATGTAGTTCCTCCATCTTTTCTTCCCCTGTCCTGAAGCATAATATTATGTTTGGCCATTTTGTTGCTTTGTGGTTAGAAAAATGTCAGTGTGGCAAGTGAAGTAACATTTCCACTTATCTCTATTTCCCTCTCCCCTTTAGATTTCACCACCCAATCCTCAGTCCTTTGGAAAGCAGTTTCCAGCTGGAAGTTGACGTCCTGTGTCATCTCCTGAAAGCCCAGGCCCAGGTCTCAGAGTGGAAGTTCCTCCCATCTCTGGTTAATTTACACAGTGCGCACACCAAACTGCAGACGTGGGGCCAGATCTTTGAGAAACAGCGGGAGACCAAGAAACATCTGTTTGGAGGGCAGTCTCAGAAGGCCGTGCAGCCTCCACACCTTTTCCTTTGGCTGATGAAACTCAAAAACATGCTTCTTGCCAAGTTTAGCTTTTACTTTCATGAGGCTCTGAGCCGACAAACGACTGCTTCAGAAATGAAAACGTTGACAGCAAAAGCTAACCCAGACTTTTTTGGAAAGATTTCCAGCTTCATCAGAAAATATGATGCTGCCAATGTGTCCTTAATTTTTGACAACAGAGGTTCTGAGAGTTTTCAGGGTCATGGTTATCACCACCCCCATTCCTACAGAGAGGCCCCCAAGGGTGTGGACCAGTATCCAGCTGTAGTGTCTCTGCCCAGCGACAGGCCAGTCATGCACTGGCCCAATGTCATCATGATCATGACGGACCGCACATCTGATCTGAACAGCTTGGAGAAAGTGGTCCACTTCTATGATGACAAAGTTCAGAGTACCTACTTCCTAACCCGCCCGGAACCTCACTTTACCATTGTCATCATTTTTGAGTCAAAGAAATCTGAGAGAGACTCCCACTTTATTTCCTTCCTCAATGAGGTCTCACTTGCCCTTAAGAACCCCAAAGTGTTTGCAAGTCTGAAACCTGGAGCCAAAGGTTAGCAGGTGATTTGCGTGGAGGGGTTTCAAGACTAGAAACTGTTCTTAATTGCCCTAATGATCTACGGTGGTCTGTGAATAGAGTTTACATCCATTCATGCCTCTTTCAGAACTAAATTAAAGACAAATCCTCCCTGTGTTGCACACTTTATAAGCAATTAAGGCCAATTGAATTAAGTTTCCAAAGAGTAATCTAGGAAGTGGTCATGGGCTACCATGTGTCTCCATGGTACAGCAAAGTAGTTTCAGTATTTTCCCCTATTTTGCTATATTTCTTGTAGATTGAATATTTATTGGGCTTTTTTTTTTCCCATATGTTTTTCTGTTGTTCTAAACATTGTGTTCTACTGCAATTCCAAACAGCCTCTCTGTTTCCCTCCTTCTTGGAAGAGTAATAGGGATGAGATATTAAATGGCCTTTTTAGAATTAAGAACTATATGTTTTCTGTCTCATAAATTAGCAAATGAATATGGAGTTAGTAGATTTATGATTCTGATCTACAAATTAACATTTTTGATGCCAAAATTAGGGTCTTGGTAAGAAATTTCTATCAGTTATTGAAACTGAAAGTGAGTCAGATTGGTAGCATGACGTAAGGTTTTAACAGTTCAGAAGATCCTCATGGCAGCTTTAATAGCCATGGGTTCTTTTGGGGTAATGTACACACCTAACTGCATTTGTTTTGACTTCTTTAATGTTTGAATGTTTCACTCTGTTGTAAAGTCAGCATAAGCCATCATGTGGGCTTTCTTCATTCTTCAGCATATTATCCGCTTCGCTTTCTGTTTATCACTTTTCTGCTGAAATGTACATGTTTGGCTCTACTCCTTGGTTATTTTTAGGCTTAAAAGCATGCAGTCGGTTTTTCAGCCACTTTTAGATACTCATGCAACATAGCCTACTTTTATAAAATCAAAATGAAGGTCTTCATACGCTGTACTTGCTAAAAATCAACTGTGCGCTTGAAAGACCTCTTCATAGTTGAGTAATCACCTCAGTACTTAAGCACTTCTGAACTTGGGTTTCATGCCTGCCCCCCACAAATTATGTTTAGAAGCAGCACTGCATCTTAGCACATGCTGCCTTATTTCTTTCCTTCGGCAGGTGTTCATGGGAAGTAGGTGGATCAGTGAAGGCATAATGGGCTGTGGAGACCTTCACTTCTAGATTATTGATTCAAAATAAAAAGAAGCCACAAAGAGTAATTGAGTTGTTACTGGTTTGATGGTTCCTTTGAAGCTTGTGTGAAATGTAATGGTCATATTCGTCTTTTTTCCCATGATTGTGTGGAGCCACTGTTTTACTGGGTGTCCACAGCAGGTATGCCAGCAACATCAGCAGAGACCAGAGAGCCCCTCAGAGTCCATGTAGGAAGCCTGCCCACCTAGGGTGGACTGCCTGGCAGAAGAAAGAAGAACCGGCCAGGCACGGTGGCACACGCCTGTAATCCCAGTACTTTGGGAGGCTGAGACGCGTGGATCACTTGAGGTCAGGAGTTCGAGATCAGCGTGGCCAACATGGTGAAACCCCATCTCTACTAAAAATACAAAAGTTGGCCGGTTGTAGTGACGGGTGACTGTAATCCCAGTTACTCTGGAGGCTGAGGCAGGAGAATTGCTTGAACCTGGGAGGTGGAGGATGCAGTGAGCTGAGACTGTGCAGCTGCACTCCAGCCTGGGTGAAAGAGCGAGACCTGTCTCAAAAAAAAAAAAAGAAGAAGAAGAACCAAGAATCTACTGGCCTATTTTTTATTTTCTGGGAAGAACATGTGTTTTTCCTTTTTTTTTTTTTTTTTTTTTGAGACAGGGTCTTGTCTGTTTTCCAGGCTGGAGTACAGTGGCACAATCACAACTCACTGCAGCCTCAACCTCCTGGGCTCAAGTGATCCTCCCACATCAGCATCCCGAGTAGGTGGGATTACAGGCATGAGCCATCACACCTGGGTCTCACTATGTTGCTCGGGCTGGACTCAAACTCCTGGACTCACATGAGCCTCCCGCCTCGGCCTCCCAAAGCACTGGGTTTATAAGCATGTGCCACTGCACCTGGCCTCCTTTCTTTTTCTTTAAAAATGGTCATAAGCTTTGTAAAAAGCTAGTTTGCTTTAAATAGAAAGTAGTGATTTACCTCTGCATTTTATTCACTCAGGTTCTATAAAAAAAGTCTCAGCAGATTTTACAACATTGACCTTACCTAAGAAATTGAAAGCAATTGGAGCTAAAAAGTCAAATCACTTTTCCTCTCTATTGTGTTCTGCCAAGAAACTGAAAAATATTCCTTGGTATGCATGTATTTTTTTCCTCTTAGATTAAACCACCATTAGCCTTAATGACACAGTCCCCCAAATACCTAGAAGAATATATACTTCAGTGGAACCCCGAGAGAGGTGTAAGTAAAGCATATATATGTTATTTAAATAACCAGTCCTCACCTAGAACATATTTGAATTGTATATCTATTTTTAAACATAAACACAAAAAGAATTTCAAAGAACAGAAGGCAGATGTGAATATTAAGAAAATCTAAGACAATATGTATTACTGTGCAGCTGTCATAGACTGTACTGGAAGAGTTTTTGAAGATTGAATATTGATACTTAAATTATTTCTGAAGCTCTTCAATAAAGTTTTCTAATTATAAAAACTCCACATAATTTGGTTCAAGCCAAGAAACAAAGTCATTTTACTCTAAGATTTATTCTCTAAATATAGTAATGAGATCTGTAAAGTCTGTGTTTTGCTAATTAAAAGAGTAAATCTGCGTATTTTCTGCAGACTGCTTTCTTTGAATCTGTTTCTAAACCACAACTTGATAAGTTTTTATGGGTAACTGGGAATATGGTCAACACTGAGTTTTCCAAGGGTTCCATCCAGGAGTATTTCATTTTAGGATGCTGTTTGGACACAGGGTTTGTAACTTTGTTCTCTCTGGGTCCTACCTGATCTCTGGCTGTGTCATTTCAGGGAGTGTGTGAAAATAAAGCCCAGTTCTTAACCAAGGAGCCAATACCCTTGATATAATTGCTTTGGATATTTGGACATATTGGGAGAAATGTGTCCAAATACTTTTCTTTTCTTTCTTTCTTTCTTTTTTTTTTTGAAAAGGCAAGGTCTGTCGCCCAGGCTGGAGTACAGTGGCATGATCATAGCTCTCTGCAGCTTTGAACTCCTAGGCTCAACAGTCCTCTTGCCTCAGCCTCCCGAGTAGCTAGGACCATGCCTGGCTAATTTTAAAAAAATATTTTAGAGATAGGGTCGCACTATGTTGCTCAGGCTGGTCTCGAAATCCTGGGCTCAAGTGATCCTCCCTCTTTAGCTTCCCAAGTGGGAATACAGGTGTGAGCCACTGTGTCCAGCAGAAAATGTACTTTCTAGAAAGAAAATAATTGGTACTTCACTACTTTCCCAGGGAATTCCTTCAGGTGAATGTCCACCCTTTTGATCTAGAAGCAGACTCACAATTTTGTTTGTTTGGCAAATCAGCCTCTGAGCTCAACTTCCTTGTCTGTAAAATGGGGCTAAGGAAATGTGGGTTGCTTTTTCAAAGGTTACTGTTAGGATGGAATGAGATCATGTGTGTAACAAAGGCTTTGGAAACTTTCTGGAATTTGAAGGCTATATAAATAAAAGATGGACCACTCTTTCCTTAAATTTGGCACCTTTCCTGTTCTTTTCTTTCTCTTCAATTCTGTGGCAAACCTGTACCTAGTTATTATGTTTGAAAGAGAACTGGTTTAGAAGAGGAGGCAGATAAATGCCTAACCAACCTACCCACTCTTCCTATTTTAGAATCTTTGTGGTTTTTTGTTCCCAAATTTTTATGGTTGGTTGATAGCATCATTTTAGTTCTCCTATATTATGATTTCTTTTTTTTTCCTTTGGTTACTCTATCAATTACTGAGCGAGGTATTTTAAAATCTCCAGCACTGCTTGTGGATTTGTGATTTTCTTCCTTTATTTCTGTCAGTTTTTCCATCCTGTATTTTGGAGCCCTGTCATTAGGCCCATATACATTTATAGTTTTTATTTCTCTTGTATTCACCATTTTATCATTATGAAGTTTCCTGCTTTATCTCCACTGCTACTGCTTACTCCAAAGTCCATTTTGCCCAGTGTTTTTATGGCCCTTCCAGCTTTCTTATGCTTACTGTCTGTGGTGTGTGTGTGTGTGTGTTTTCCATGTTCTCATTTTTAACTTACTTATTTATATCTTTGTATTTGAAGTGTCTATAGACAGAACTAAGGAGATAAGACAGATTAAAAAGAACAACAATCTCTGCCTTTTGATGGGAATGTTTAGTTTACTTCTCGTGTAAGGTTTTTACAGTCAGGATTTTGATGACAGTATCCTTGAACTATCACTTGTTTTTCATCCTTTTTTCCCCCTTTATATTGGAAGTTAGAGCAAGATGTTTAATCAGATTCAGCTTTTCTTTGTGTAGTGGTGTTGTATATTTTATTAGGAAGCAGCTAACAACTGGCATTGCCTAGATAGATTATATCATTAGAGGTTACAAAATGGTAATATTCTAATTGTTATTCCTTTTCTCATTATTAGCCAGAATACATCTACAAAGAGAAATTCACCTCCAACTATTTAGTACCTTGAAGTACAGTTCATATGGAATGGATGGATAAATCCTTGATTCTTTTGCTTTTCTTTATTTTATTTATTTATTTATTTTTTGGGATGGAGTTTTGCTCGCTCTTGTTGCCCAGGCTGGAGTGCAATGGCACGATCTCGGCTCACCACAACCTCCGCCTCCAGGGTTCAAGTGATTCTCCTGCCTCAGCCTCCTGAGTAGCTGGGACTACAGGCACGTGCCACCATGCCCAGCTAATTTTTGTATTTTTAGTAGAGTTGGGGTTTCACTATGTTGGCCAGGATGGTCTCCATCTCTTGACCTCATGATCTGCTTGCCTCAGCCTCCCAAAGTGCTGGGATTACAGGCATGAGTCACCGTGCCTGGCCTTTATTTATTTATTTTTACTAGTTCTTAACATATTTAGTTCCTTAGCATCTTCCAGACAATGGGGAGTTTTAAAAGAAATGTATATGAATTTATAAGGATTTCTGACTCTTAGGTTTAACCCTGAATTTGAAATAAAGCAGCCGTTTTCTCCCTGACCACAAGATTTTTTTTGGTAAATATTATGACTTTCCTTTATTCCTTCCTCATGGTTAATTTTCTCTCTTAATTACTGTTGATTATTTATTTTCCTCCACATTTTTTCCTCTCCCTCTCCCTCTCCCTCTATCTCTCTTCCTCCCTCTTTCCTTCTTTTCCTCTCTCTTTTCCTTCCTTCTCTCCCTCCCATCCTCTTACCTTTTTCTTCTCTGTCACCCAGGCTGGAGTGCAGCGGCACAATCTCTGCTCACTGCAACCTCTGCCTCCTGGTTCAAGCAATTCTCGTGCCTCAGCCTCATGAGTAGCTGGGATTACAGGCATGCGCCACCATGCCCGGCTAATTTTTGTATGTTTAGTGGAGACGGGGTTTCACCATGTTGGCCAGGCTGGTCTCAAACTCCTGACCTCAGGTGATCTGCCCACCTAGG
This sequence comes from Homo sapiens, assembly GCF_000001405.40. Lineage (NCBI taxonomy): Eukaryota > Metazoa > Chordata > Mammalia > Primates > Hominidae > Homo > Homo sapiens. Next base: position 64,188,287 of record NC_000012.12, on the reverse strand, counting down.
CCTCCCAAGTGCTGGGATTACAGACGTGAGCCACTGTGCCCAGCCCCATCCTCTCTTACCTTAGTTTCTGATTTCTTTCTCATAGCTTCTGCTTTAGCCACCTTTCTTCCCATGCCTCTGAGATCCAGGACATACACCAGTAGTCTCTGACCCAGTTTTGGGAAACAGCATCTGAAAGTATTCATTTTGATTGTTTTTATAACCAGTTACTTTTTTTCAGGCAGCGAGGAAGGAATACATAGAGGGGGAAAGGTCAGTGTTGATACTAATAGGGTGACCACAATTAATCCTAGCCACTTCATGAACACACAAGGCCTTTGGCCAACTGCGGCCAAGCATTGCTGTATGTATTTGGCAGGTTATTTGGCAGGAAAAGTTACTCAAAACTAAAATCTTTTCAAGTGTATTTTTACCATGTTATTTATTATTATTATGTAAAAGATCACTTTTAGTGTATTTGCACTAATTATTGTATAAAAGCATTAAAGTAGCCTCTGATTTTTTTCAAGTAAAAATGTAAGAAAACTAGATTTTTTTTCTCCTAAGTGAGAAACAAAAAACATGCTATGTGACTCCCCACAAAAGCCCTGTAGGTTTAATTTAATTTAGCAATTCCCTCTCTACTTTTCTACCAGGTTCCTGTTACCAATGCAATTATTTCGTGGCCTTTTGCCTGAATTATTCTAAGCTGCTTCTCCAGAGGAAATGAGTCAGAAGAAATAGGCTTGATGTGCATTTCTGCCTTTGGAGACTTCTCTTGATATGGTGTAAATCCGTAAGGTTTCATTAATGCCTTGTCTGCATATTTTTTCAATCTGCTTTTGATAACAAGGTCTGTTTCTAGGGTACTTCAAATTTAAAACCGTAGGGTATGTGTAAAATATCACCACTAGAAAATGGAGAGATGCAAATGGGTTCCCCCTTCTGTAGTCCCTCCTAATGTCAGAATCTGGGGTTAGGGTTCTAAGTGATGGTAGCACTCAGGAGAGGGTCACAAGAGGCAATGACATGGGACTGCATCCTGAAAGATGACTGCTTAGACGTGCGGCGAGAATGGCCGGAAAACGGAGGATGGCGCTTGACATTGATCTAGGAAAGGAAGACAGTCATTGGGACTTTTGCTAACTTTGTCCCTAGAGAGTGAATTCTGCTTTTGCTGGTCCTAAAAACTGTAGAGTAATTCTACAATCCAGTTAAATTTGTAAATCTAATGCCTGATTCAGTCTGAGATTTATGACTCAGCCGGTTGATCCAGCTTAGGTCTAGACTCATTTCACTTTTGTTATGACAAGATACGACAATGTAGGGCACACCCTTTACCCCCCAGGGTCATCCTGATGTCAGTCATTTCAGGCTAGGCCAGTGTCAGAGCAGTCCCTGAAGCAGAAGTGGATGGAAAGAGGTGAATGATTTCTAATATTCAACATTCATTAATTTAACATCAACTATGTTAAGGGTAATGATATAGCAGTTAACCAAGACCAACATGGTGTCTGCTTGGTTGATGCTTGAAATAAGGTGACCTGGCCCCAGCCACCCGGGTGGCCAGGAGCTGAAAGGGCTGTAACAAGTAGGCAGTGAATAGTCTTCAAACTTGTTACTTGCATACCTCCCTACAAATTTTGGAAAAACCATGAGACTCTGATTGATTTTTTAAAAGAATATCTAAAATCATTATGTTTAAATAGCCTCAAAAGAAGCATTTTATTATGTATTGTAAATATTGGCATTTTAAAATGTTATTCGGTCTTTTAAATGTATCCAGTGAAATGTTGGTACAATAGAGTTTTGATAGCTACCATTTTCCATTTTTAAAAATACTTTAACACGCTTTGTAACAGTTGGAAATATTGTTTGATTCCTTTTGCTCCCTGAACTCCATTCTTCTTCTTCTGAAGAATTTTATCCTAAAATGAATTTATTTTTTGCTTAACAGTCTTATTGGTTACCTTATTAAATATTACTCAGTATATTATAGATGTAAGTGTTTTTTGTGTTACCATAGGCTCTAAGAGTTTAATGACCAAATGACATTTTAATAAATATTAAACTTAAAAAATTACATTTGGCTGGGTGCGGTGGCTCACGCCTGTAATCCCAGCACTTTGAGAGGCCGAGGTGGTGGATCACTTGAGGTCAGGAGTTCAAGACCAGCCTGGCCAACATGGTAAAACCGGTCTCTACTAAAAATACAAAAAATTACCCGGGCATGGTGGTGGGCGCATGTAATCCCAGCTACTCGAGAGGCTAAGGAAGGAGAATCGCTTGAACCTGGGAGGCAGAGGTTGCAGTGAGATGAGATCACACTCCTGCACTCCAGCCTGGGTGACAGAGCGAGACTCTGTCTCAAAAGACAAAAAAAAAAAAAGTTATATTTAATTTGAAATACATTGAAATTTGAATAGGTATAATATTACAGTGATTTGGTTAAAGAAATTGTCTAAATGTTCTTTTGTTTGTTGGACAGATATTTTTACACCCTATGATAATAATACCCCATGTTAAAAACTGGGAAGGATTTGCAATTTTACCGTATTTGCTAGCTAACAACTTTCCCTGACATAGTTTCACAGATGTGGACAGAAGACACAAGACAGTTATTCTAGTAATAGCAGGGGCTGGATAACATCATTTTTGCATTTTTGATTTCTTAAGCTTCAGTTCTATCAGGGCCAATGTGGATGGGCCCAGATGGATGCCTGCTCACATGCATGTGAGAATTCTGATCTTTGGAAACCCAATTTTTTTTTTTTTTGAGACAGAGTCTCACTCTGTCGCCCAGGCTGGAGTGCAGTGGCGTGATCTCGGCTCACTGCAAGCTCCGCCTCCCGGGTTCATGCCATTCTCCTGCCTCAGCCTCACGAGTAGCTGGGACTACAGGTGCCTGCCACCATGCTCGGCTAATTTTTTTGTATTTTTAGTAGAGACGGGGTTTCACCGTGTTAGCCAGGATGGTCTTGATATCCTGACCTCGTGATCCGCCCGCCTCGGCCTCCCAAAGTGCTAGAATTACAGGTGTGAGCCACCGTGCCCGTCCCCCAATCTTTTATAATGGTTTGTAAGCATGCCTTCCCTTTGCTCCAGAGGGAGACATTCCTATTCCAGCCAGTAAGTGTGTTGGTTTCCTAGAGCTCCCATAACAAAATACCAAAAATTGGATGGTTTAAAGCAACAGAAATGTATTGTCTCTCAGTTCTGCAGGCTAGAAGTCTGACATGGTGATGGCAGAGCCATCTTCCCACTGAAACCTGTAGAGATAGTGCAGAACTAAGGGCAGTTGATGCCTTACTCTCAAGACCTGCAGAACATGAAAAAACCCATGGAAAATGGTCTCCTAATACGCTATGGTAAACGTATGGGTGAGAGGTAAGTTTATTTTTTGGTAAGAGAAAGGCAGTTATTAAAGGAGAAGGTAGAAAAAGCTTAGTTTACTAAAAGCACTTTCACAGGTTCTTAGGAGAGAGTTCATATGGAAGTTGAGGAATCTGAAATTGATTTCCTAAAAATTGATTTTCTTAAAATGATCTCTATTCTCATATCTTTTGAATAATATTTCCATATCTCAGTAGAATCCCAGCTTGAAGGGACATGAGGTACATCTGAACTGCTGTTCTCTGGGAATCACCACATACAGTACAGCTTTGAGATATTGATGCCATAATGCCCCCTTCTATTTTCCTGAACTTTCCAAGAAGTTTTTGCTAAAAGTTGTGGATGGGCTGAGCAATGTGATCAAAGAATTAAAAGAGGGTTTTCTGCCTTCTTTTAGGGGAGGGCAGCAGTAGCAGGAGGAAGGTTGAGTCCAGGAATTGCCAAAGGTGGTATGCCACAGAGCCCCTGTCAGCCTGTGTACAGGGAATGTGGTCAGGAGGCAGATGAGTGGCGGAGGCAGCAGACAACTGGATTGGAGTCCTGATTTCCAGAAATAGTAAGCAGAGGAATTTGTCAAGAGCCTGGAATTCCTGTAATTAAGCAGAATGGGGAGTTGACATTTTCCTAATGGATATTAGCAAATAAATGTGACCTCATTTTAAGCTCCCATTGGCCAAGGCCTGGACATTCCAGTTAAAGTTTTTGACCAAATTATATACGGCTAAGTTGATGTGGAATCATTCAGTTCCACAGTAAACCATTTATACAGACAAAGTGACTTATTTGCATATTTTTTCCTACTATGTTTTTTAATAACAAGGCCAGTTTTTGTGAATGTAACTATCTAGTCTAGCAAGTATAGTTGTCCTTGGAAAGCTTGAGAAAGTGCTTCTTATAGTATTTATTAAATGTCATTTTTAGTTTGAAAACCAACACAGATCTCCAGGAGCAATAATGTTTTATGTTATTAAAGTTGAGCCCCTATAGTCTTGCTTGATTTTAAAAGGATGGATGAATGACATTGAGGAGAGGAAGATAAGTTTTTTGTCTCTGTCCTCAGGGAATTAACTTCCAAGGAAGGGGGACCACCAGCACCTGAAGAGATATCTAGCTTTAAAAAAAAATCGTATAGATTTATCAAACTTTACAGGTGGGAATTGTAACAATATTGAAAAAATGTCAACTACTTAACAGCTGGTAAGAAAATTCTTAGGGAAAGTATTAAATGTTTAGAGAAAATACTTTGAGGAGATACTTGGAGTAGGATTGGCCTTATTACCTGCAAGGCTTTCATTTTTCCTTCCCTGGAGAAAGAATATGGTTCAGGGGGAAGAGATGGCTGGGTGTGATAGAGAGAGGAGCCAAGAGGCTCAACTCAGCCTAGTAGAATTAAATAGACCCTTAGATGCACTACAGCAAAGCAGGTGGAGAATGCATAGGGGGAGGTCTCTCAGGGTGTCAGTTGTGAGGTTACAATGTAAACCTCTCCTCTCTCCTCTTTGAAACCTTCAATAACTCCTTGAGCGAATTTTTTTTTTTTGAGGGGTCCTGACCGCAAAGGAGGGAGGAGGGACAATTGACATCTAAGGGCACTATATTCTTTCTTCCTCCTTCTGTTCCTTAAGTTATAGGAGGAAAGGATTAGCAACCTCTCCTTTCATTAATCAACAAAAAAGTCTTTAATTGTATTACGTGCTGCGGGCTTGCTGATGCATAAGATGGTGGTTGTGACTTACGTTTATCACCCATATGTATTGATTTTATAGGAAGGTGATATTGGACGGAAAGGCCAAACATGATCAGTCTTCTAAATTTTAATGTGAACGTGAGTGAAAGATAAGGTGCTTTGCTGGATTAAAAAGCAAAAAGGAAAAGAAGGGAAAAGCATATGAATGAGGAGAATTAAGTGCAACTCTCTTTTCCTTTTAGCTCTTAGTTTGTGCCAGTATGATGAGGTGGAAGGTAGATGTGGGGTTAGACAGTTCATAAAGAGGAAAGGAAGAAAAGTAATAAAAACAAAAAACCAGGGAAGGAGGAAGTGAACACAAGAAGAGTGAAGAGAGGCCAGGCATGGCTCATGCCTGTAATCCCAGCACTTTGGAAGGCTGAGGGTGGCAGATCACTTCAGCCCAGGAGTTTGAGACCAGTCTGGACAACACGGTGAGACCCCATCTCTACAAAAAATACAAGAAAAAAAATTTTGCTGGGTGTGGTGGCATGTGCCTGTAAGTTCCAGCTAGTCAGGAGGCTGAGGTGGGAGGATCACCTAAGCCTGGTAGATGGAGGCTGCTATGAGCCAAGATCATGCCACTCCAGCCTGAGTGACAGAGTGAGTACTGTCACACACACACGAAAGAATAGTGAAAAGAGTTACTATGGCATTCGGAAATAAAGAATCTTTGCTGTTCTGGTCAGTGCCATGGGCTTATGAAGTAAGTGTACAAGACCCTTTCATTGTAGTTCAATAAGAGCAACAAAGTCCTCACTTGGGGAACCTGGTCCTTGCTTCCTGCCTCCATGGGGTATGTGAGAACCCATTCAATTCTAACTCTCAGCTATTCAGCCAGAATCCCCGGCACTATGTTTATTAAGCTTACCAGGATAACCACTTTCTACACACAGCCTAGCAAAGAGAATTACTTTTAACGAAACAACAACAACAATAACAATTTTCAATGCTGTTATATCCCTATTCCATTCTGTGGGCACAAACCTCTGCTTATTCATAATCACTTCATATACAACACATTAAAAGCATCTTTTGTCTTAATTATGTGGGGCTAACATTTAGGGAGCATTCACCATAAACTCTGTTAGTCAGTGCTGAAGCTTCCTAGTAACATTGTTGACATTTGGTCTTGCCTTACTTTTTTTTTGGAGCTGGTAGGTTTCTGTTAAAAAAAACTTTTTTTTTTTGACCTCTTGGGGACTGAACTGTCTAGAGAGGCTCTGGATAAAAAAAGCAGCCTAATTGCAAAATCTTTCCTTTGGCAGTGAAAAGATTGGGAATGAGAGTCAGTGAGCACCAGCCAGTAGATGGCAACACTAAAGCAAGACACAGCTTCTTGGCTGTGGCTTCTTTTCCATCCTGGGACAACCCGTGCAGCTCAGCTTCTTTGGACAGTGGGAAGTTGAGCAGTATGATGTTTATAAAAATGACAATTTTTACTGTTTAAGGTTGGGGCATTAATGACTGCTCTTGTAGAGACAGGTATTCAGGCAAGAATTGGTTCAAGAAATGAGTCAGAAACTCTTCTGTCATTTCCAGTGAGTTTTAACCAAGACATTCCAAATGCCTTCCTCATCTGGTGACTGTGCAGTGAGCTTCTCCTGACTCAGAACCATCCACGCATGACTGTAACTGCTGCTGCTGCTTTGTTCCTGAGGCATTTTCTGTTTGTTCTGAGACTCATGCTCCCTCCCCAAATTTTCAGACAAGAGGGCTTACCTTGCTTGGAGTGTTTAGAAGGATGAATGGAGAGTATTAACATTTTTGTGAGGGAAAAGGGAGTTTCGTGCTCCTTGAGTTTGTAATGAAAGTACATACCTCTCCCCAAATGTCCATGAACACAAATAAAATTTTCTTTAATAATTTGGGAGGTTCATGGGACTCCCCATGAGTCCATGGGCCCGCAAGATAAAAATCCCTGTTTGGGAAAAGCTCTTGATGAAGTCCAAATAGGCTATTCAGGAGATACAGTAAGTCTTAAAGGTCAGTACTGTCCCAGGCGGATAAATAACTGCTGGATGTTTTCACCCGGATATCCTGTAGGCAACTCAGCACTTTCCTTTGCCAGACTTGCTCCACTTGGCATCCTTAATTCTTTCTTAGTATGACTCTTGTCCCAGTCGCCTTCTCTTCAGACTTTGGAGTCATGTTTGATTCTTCTGTTTTAGTCACTGCTGAATTTTCACAGCACTCTCATATTCGTCCCATTTTCATAGTCAGTTCTTTCTTCACTTTGGGCTATTAGATAAGCCTGGATTAGAAATCTCATCTCCTGCTTGGTCTCTCACCTTCTGTTTCTTTCTATTCCAGGCCTTCCTTCTTACCTTTGCTAGGGAATTCTTTGAAAACCCTGAGCTGGTTGTGTCTCGTTGGCTCTGCCTCTTGCTCCCTCTTTTTAAAAAGTCCTGATTAAGTAGCTCCCCAGAGTCTGCTGGAAGAAGTCCAGTTCTGACAATCAGGTTCAGCCTTTTCTTTTTTCTCTTCCGGCATTTCCTTGCTTTACCTCAGTTTTACGCAAAATGGAATACTTGGCTGGCCATGTATTTTCTTGCCTTTGCTCCGAGTTTTCTTTGTCTGGAATCCTTCTAGACTAGGGGTTCTTCACATTTTTGGTATGATAAAAGATGAGATTTCATTGGCAGCCTGCAAAGCATACACTTTCTCACAATGTTTTTAATGTATAAAATGATACACGAAATTACAAAGAAACCAATTATATTGAAATACAGTTATAAAAATCTTTAAAAATCTGCTATGTTGTATGCATTCTTCTTTATTAATACATTTAATAACATGATATGGCATTGGTCCTAATAATTATCGTGGCAATTTATGGCCTACATCTGTAATGGAAGGAAATGCTAAATTTCAGTTAGACATTAGGGAAAATAAAGATGTATTTTTTTCCTATCCACATTCACAGACCCCAGGCTAAGGATCTTAAATCTAGATTATTGATTCTCCAATAAAGTATGAATCAGAATCACTGGGATGCTAAACAAAGCATGCTAAGCCTCATTTCTGATTCAGCAGGTCAAGGGTAAGACCCTGGCTTTTGTATTTCTAAGTGTTGCTGATGCTGCAGGACCAGGGATTGCAGTTTGAAAACCTCCAATCTGCCAGGCGCAGTGGCACACACCTGTAATCCCAGCACTTTGGGAGGCTGAGGTGGGCAGAACTCCTGAGGTCAGGAGTTCGAGACCAGCCTGCCCAACATGGTGAAACCACTAAAATGCAACTACTAAAAATACAAAAAATTAGCCGGGTGTGGTGGCAGGTGCCTGTAATCCCAGCTACTCGGGAGGCTGAAGCAGGAGAATCATTTGAACCCAGGAGGCAGAGGTTGCAGAGCCGAGATCACACCACTGCACTCCAGCCTGGGTGACAAGAGCAAGACTCCATCTCAAAAAAAAAAAAAAAAAAAAAAAAAAAGAGAAAGAAAACCTCTGATCTAGGATAGATCATCACCTCTTGCCATCTTTACCTGCCAAAACCCTATGCCTCCTAAAAGACCCAGGGAAAGGCCACCTTTTGTATTAAGTTTTCCCCTATATCCCCTATTGGAAGTAATTTCTTCTCCTTCAAGGACCCTGTCCCAATTGTTCATCCCACTCTCATGGCATTTAACTTTCTGCCTTGTTCGCTGGAGTAAGATGTGTCTATTCTCGACTTGGACTTGAGCCTTCTAAACTATTTGTACTACTGGAAATGCTATGATATTTCAGACCTCCATGAAGGAATAAATGTCTTCTCTCACTCATTAGACTGTGAGCTTTTCTAGGGTATGAAACATGTCTTACAATTTGTGGGAGAGAAGAGGGACTAAGGAAGGGAAGAAGGAAAATTTCAATAGAGAACTCCTCATTAGGGAAATTTATCTAGAAGCACAGAAATTAGTCATGAAAGAGAACACCTCATTTATTCACATAATACCCTTCCTGGGTGCTACGGGCTGAAATGTCCTTTATCCAGATTAAAAAACAACAAAGTAGGTTACACAGTGGACCTTCCAGCAAGTTTTCAAAAGATTTCCATTGGCCCATGGTCATCGCACAGTATATGGCCTCATCCAGGTCCCTGGTAAGAATGTTTTATGGGTCAGAGCCCTGGGAGTGCATATGGATTTTCTGCAAAGGCTTTGATGCAGTACTTTGGAGTTATTTTTAAAGACAGGATAAGCCCACTGGGGCCTTTGTATGGCACAGCTTATCTATACCTGATCAGACCTCCTAACTAGTGAATATCAATCGTTTGGAGTCAACCTGGGAGGAGACAGAGAACTAAGTAAGCGTTGAGCTGCAGGATTATGATTTCATCCCTGTACTGTTTCATTCACTTGATTTTTTTCTTCCTTCTCCCCCTTCCCTTTTTTTTTCTTCTCTTCGTCTCTCCCTTTCTTCCCCTTTCTGTCCCTTTTCCCCTCCTTTCCTTTTTTTAATCCAATGACTAGGTTAGCAATTATGCTGAAGGTTGGTCTATAGGGGCCTGTAGGTTTCCTTCCAGATAGAAAATTCTGAGACTCTACAAACAGATCCACAGTAAGGTGTTCTCCCTTGCCAGGTAGCAATTTTATCTGTGGTATTGTTGCTTCCCATACTTTAAATCTTGTTTATCTGACAGAGACTATGCCTTTGTGAAGTGGAAGCATGCTCTGAGATTTCCATTCAGGTCTTCTGTCTCTATCTTGCTGTACTTGTATGAATTGTGTGATCTGAGTTACTCTGTCAAGTTTAGATCGTGAATATAGAGGCAAAAATAGCAATTATTAACAGTGATGATAAACATTTGGATGTAGTGCTTTTCATTTCTAAATGGCTTTGAAGAGACCAAATACATCTGTTAGTATTAGTCATTCTGCCTGTGGGATTCCTTATCTTGGGTCAGAGGGTTTTGCTTGGACTCTGTTCTAGCTGTGTAGAAAGACTCATTTTGGTAGCTATTGAATTTTTCCCCCTATGAGGCATATTCTAAACTTTTAGTCATTTCTCATGGGTTACATATGTTCTCTTGGTGCTAGCTGTGCATGTTTCTATTCTCATACATGCATTTAAAGTGAATTTATCCTGGTACTGTGGCTAGATAAGAAACTACTGTTACTGAATTCTTTCCTAGGAGGGAGAAATGGAATTTTCTCTGGAGGTTCAGAGTAGATCTTCAAATAAAACTCTGATCTTCACAGTGGTACCCTATGGGGTAATTCAGCTGATACGTTGAATGCCTTTTTCCCTAAGGCGGTGGGCTAACAATGGTAGCTACCGTTTCTCCTGGGCTAGTCTAGATGCAAACGTTCAGGTGAAGGTTGTCCCATGCACATACCTCTCTCTCCCTTGTCACTTTCTGGGTTTTCTAGATGGATTTGCATATAGTTCTGTGTGTATGAGTAAGCTGTAAGGAACAGGTACTGGGTCTTTTGTCTTTTTACACTTAGTGTTGGTATGTAAGTGGTGCTCAAAAATTGTTGCGCTGAAATCCTCTTTATTCTAATCTCAAACCAAACCATATCCCCTTTATTATCATCTTCAACCACAAACAAAAACATTGTTTTCCATGTATAGATTCAAACTAAAATCATATTAAATTGATTAGGGAGCACATTTTGACTTAGTACATGGCTTCGAGATCTAAGGATTTATTTTTAATAAATACCGCTGCTTGCATGTGGAGCCCGGCTCCTTCCCCAGGCTCCTCGCATGCGTTCTTCCCTGGCTCTGTTTGGGTCCCAGGAGCAGCCCATGCTGTTCCCTGTGTCTTGCATGCTTTTCTTCACCCTCTATCTTATGTCACCCTTTATCCCTGCATCCCTCAGGCCTCATCTCAGTCATCACTTCCTCGGGCACCCTAGCCCTGTTTCTGCCCAGCCCTGCTCAGTCTCCTTTAGCGAAGGGCTCTTCGGTTCCTTTCCTTCGGAGCCCTGATCACCATTGTAAGTGGTTGACCATTTACTTCTGAGTAACTCCCTTCCTTTCTGTTCTATAAACTTCCTGAGGCCAAGGGCTAAGCCCGTTTCTGCTGACCTTTGCATTTCCAGCCTTTGCACAGTGGCTGGGGCATAACAAACACCAGTGGCCGTGCCAAGGAATGCTCAGGGTTGGAGTACCCCATAATTTCTATCATTCCACACAAAATAGTTCTATTCTTGGATATGAACTATTGCCATTTTCCCACTCTCTTGTAAAATGTGAACGTTAACTCCACAAGGGCAGGCCTTGTCTGTCACTATGTATCTTGAGCATTTAGATGAGTGCTACCTAGCAGGTGCTCTGAAATATTTGTTGAATTGATAAAGGTGTCTTGAGAAATCTTTGTTTTCATTGATCTGTGATATTCAGTTGTATGTGCTCTGCAAACCCAGTTTCAAGGCAGGTGCCTTCCCTCCTTTCTCTAACTCCCCGCCTTCTAACTAGACAGCACTTTCAAGTCCATTGCTTTAGCAACTCTGGCACTGCCTACTGGTAGGTTCTCAACACGTATTTTATGAAAGTCCAGAGCTGCTATTTTTCAAGGAAGTTTCTCAACAGTACACACCTAACAAAAGTGTGGTCCAACTAAGAGGGGGTGGGCTAGGGGTGGAATAGGTTTCCCAAGGTATCTCTGCTTCCAACAGTATGCTACGAGTGATTCATGAATATATATGCAGTTGGCTTTGAGCAAGTACCCAGCAAGATTATCAGCTGAAAAATATGTTTTTATTAAAAAGCTTAACAGCGAGCAGGTACAGTGGTACATGCTTGTAGCCCCAGCTACTCAGGAGGCTGAGGTGGGAGGATTGCTTGAGCTCAGGAGTTCAAGAACAGCCTGGACAGCATAGGGAGGTCCCATCTATAAAATAATAATAATAATCACCACCATCATCCTCAATCATCATCATCATCTCAACAGCTTTTTAAAAGGATAGCGTTTTTTAAAAGCCATTTTTAAATTATAAATACTGGTTTACATGCGCATATAAACAAGAGCACTTCCATATGCATGTATCCCTTCCCCCCATTATTTACTTATTTATTTTTGAGATGGAGTCTTGCTCTGTCACCCAGGCTGGAGTTCAATGGCACAATCTCAGCTCACTGCAACCTCTGCCTCCTGGGTTCAAGTGATTCTCCTGCCTCAGGCTCCCAAGTAGGTGGGATTACAGGCGCCCACCACCACGTCTGGCTAATTTTTGTATTTTTAGTAGAGACAGGATTTCACCATGTTGGCCAGGCTGGTCTCAAACCTCTGACCTCAGATGATCCTCCTGCCTCAGGCTCCCAAAGTGTTGGGACTATGGGCAAGAGTAACTGCACCTGGCCCCCCTCTGTTATTTTACTGGATTGTCACTTCCCACCGTCAAAGTTTCCTTGCAGTTCAACTTGTCAGTGGCCTCATCAAACAAAGAAGGCAGCTTGTTGTCACCAGCAACCAACATCTGGTTTAGATGTGGCTAGCATGCCTAGTTGCTGTAACAGAGGGGATGTCATAATTAAACTGCAAGTCATGGTGAAGGGTATGGCTGTCATACATTACCACACTTCTGGGATAGAAAACAAGGTCTTGAACTTAGCAGGGAGATGCAGGAATACAGTTATTATGCACTTCTTGAAATTGTCTCATTCCAAAAAACATTTGGTTTTAGGGAAACACTTTGGAGAATTAAAACACATTGAAAAGCTAGAAATAGGTCAAAGTGATTGCAAAACAGTCTTTCAGCATTGTGGTGGGGCACCTACTGGCTTTCGTTGGTCACCCAATCAGAGAGCTTGTCTTTAGACTAATGCTATTCAGCTGGTTACCATGGCAATGATGGAGTACTAGTTGTCATGGCAATGAAATGGAAATTTGGGGGACCAATTTCTTTAGAAGAGGTGGATTCATTAAGCCCTTTCTTTCTTTCTTTCCTTAAAACTTGACCATGTCATACAATACTTTTAAAGGGTGTCCATTTTCATACTCTATACATTTTAGGATCTATAAATCTTTTCTTATTCTTGGATCTCATGTCTTAAGTCTTTTCACCTCTGTGATTTGAGTAGACACCCCCACCCCTACACAGTCTTTTGTGGCTCATATTAAAGAATGACACTGCAAAAGCTACGTTTCTTTTCATCCCCCCAAAAGTGTTTCTGCCAAACTCCATTGGATTCCTCCAAAGTTATTTTGGTATGAAATAGAATAGGTCAGAATAATTATATTGGACTAAATGATAAATGAGACTTCTACCAATGCATTGCAATCACCTGTTCCTCACTGAGGTGTTTATCAGAATTGTACTTTAAGGCAGATCCTTTTGAGAAGCACCAGAAGCCTGGCTCTTTTTCCCTCCCTGGGCTGATGGGGGTTTTATTCCTTTTTGCTTAGAGTCCACTCTGTGGGATCATCAATGGGAAATAGATCTTGTTCACTTGTTACGCAGACTTGAGTGACCTTTTTCTTGACTTCTCCCAAGGAATTAATTTAGCTGCTTATTTTGAGATTCTAGAAAAGAATAAGTGGTTATATATATACGTATATATACATATACGTATGTATACATATGTATACGTATGTGTACATATATACGTATATATATAAGTATATATGTATATATGTGTGTATATGTATACACACACACACACATACATATATATATATATTTGTTGTTGTTGTTTGTTTGTTTTGAGATGGAGTTTTGCTCTTGTCACCCAGGCTGGAGTGCAGTGACGCTATCTCGGCTCACTGCAACCTCCGCCTCTCAGGTTCAAGCGATTCTCCTGCCTCAGCCTCCCGAGTAGCTGGGATTACAGGCGCCCATAACCACGCCCAGCTAATTTTCATATTTTTAGTAGAGATGGAGTTTCACTATGTGGGTCATGCTGGTGTCGAACTCCTGGCCTCAGGTGATCCACCTGCCTTGGCCTCCCAAAGTGCTGGGATTACAGGTGTGAGCCACTGTACCCAGCCATAAGTGGTAATATTATCGGGTTGGCTAAATCTGGGGATTGTTAGAGATTTTAGAGAAAATATATTGGATCAAATCTGAATTCATGGACCTCTAAATTTTTCTGAGATTATTTTTGTTGTATTAACATGAACTCTGGAAAAGACCTTTTGGTATATTTTTATACTGCGAGTTTGCTGCTATAGAATTTTTACAGGATATTTGTGACAGTAATTCTCACATTCTGTAATGAAGGAAAATCCCTTGGGGATTTAGAAGGAACCTCTAAGAGCCTTTCCTATAATCTGTAACCCCTCATTATTATAGATACACTACTTTACATGAAATCCTGCGGGAGGCTCAGTAGACCTTGCTGGGTCGAACACCCCCTGTATCCGAACTCAGGCTCTGTGACCTGAGGGTTCCAATCCTGCATAAGGAGGAGGCTGGGCTTTTGTCTGAGATCCTCCCCCTTTTTACTGCCTATTGCCTCCCTCCGGTGCCTGTGGATTGGCCTGCTGGAGCTATAACAAATTACCACAGGCCAGGTGACTTAGACAGCCGAAATGTATCTTATCTCAGTTCTGGAGCCTTGGAGTTCCAGATGGGAGTGTCAGCAGATCTGGTTTCTCCTGAGGCCTCTCTCCTGGGCTTGTAGATGGTGACCTTTACCCTGAGTCCTCATGTGCCCTTTCCTCTGTGTGCACATATCCCTGGTGTCTCTTATGTTTGTCCAAATTTCCTCTTCTTAAAAGAACACCAGTCAGATTGGATTAGGGCCCACCTTAACAGCATCATTTTAACCTAATCGCCTCTTCAAAGGCCCTGTCTCCAAATACAGTCACATCCTGAGTGCTGGGAGTTAGGGTTTCAACATATATTTTAAGGGGACACACTTCAGCCCATAGCAGACTGCAACACCATATTATTTTCATTGTTGATTGTTTCCAGCAACTCCCTGGCTGGGATCTGAAAGAAATGGTGACAAGCTTCATGAAATCAGACAGAAATACTTCACCATTCTCTGCAGTGTTGGGGCACAGGAGTAGGTAAGGGGTCAGGGGGTGGTAAGGAAGCAATCTCTTGATGTTCCTGGGAGCATAGCTGGGTTTCCTTGGCCTAGTGAGATGGACAACATCAGAAGGGGTTTGTGAGAAGTAAGGTGTTATTAAACGAGGCAAGAAGAGCAGATGGGGTGGGGGTGGGGGGCAGAAATGCCCTTTTTTTTAAAGGCCTCTTCTTGGACTAAGATTTGAGTTCCCTTAAGGATTACAAACTGAAGATTAAGATGCAAGACTGGAATAATTTTCAAATTTACACAAAAGTCTAGATTTGTAGGTTCTCTTAGATGATGTGACAACAGAGCCCATATTCCAGAGCAGAAATAATTTCTTGCTAACCTCCTTGGGCTTTATTAAAATAGCTTCTTTGCTTTCAAAGAAGATATGGCAGATGAGCTTCAGCCAAAGGAAGTGAAGCCAGTGATCACTCTATGAGCCATGCTGGAAGGCCCCAGCAGGAAGTGAAGAGGTGGCCATAAGGTGAGAACTGCTCATCTTGCTTGGGGCAGACTCAGTGTGTTCAGGGCTCCCAACCAACCTATAAGAAATAATCCATCAGAAAGGTGTCCAGCAATGTCCCCTGCAGGGAAGAAAGGGCATGAAGGTACTACCACCAACTGGCTTGCTGTTATAGTTAGGCAATCTTTTTCTTTCCTCCCTCCCTCCTTTCCTCTCTCCCTCCTCCCTTCTTCCTTCAGTCCTCCTTTTTTCCTTTCTCCCTTCATTCTTTCCCTCCTCCCTTCGTCCCATTTTTTCCTTCCTCCCTCCTCCCTCCTCTTTTCCTTCCTCCCTCCCTCCCTCCCTCCCTCCCTCCCTCCCTTCCTTCCTTCCTTCCTTCCTCCCTCCCTCCCTCCCTGCCTGCCTGTCTGCCTGCCTAGAGGTAGTGTTGGGGGTGGTAGATACTGGCTGCTGGGTCTGAGTCCAGGGACAGTGACAGAGGCAGTGATGTCTTCTAATCATTTCTGTGGCATAACCCTGAGTGAGTTCCTAGCTAGGAGACCCTCAAGCCTAATTTTCTGGTCTTCCTGCAGGTTCTCTGAACTACTAAAATAGCTTTAAATAAATTCAGCTTTTGCATAAATTATCCAGAGTCAGTTTATTTTGCTTGCCAAAATGAATGCTGATACTCTTTGTCCTCTGCCCAGACTTACTGGTCACAGACAAGAACCTTGAGATGGCCACAGGTCCCAAATTGTTATCCAAATTTCCAGAGAGACCCAGAGCCTGTCTTAGGGAGCCCCAGATGAGTCAGTCCCCAGATACATTCCATGACTCCTCATGGTAATAGTGTCACTTCCTTGAATGAGGAGCTTGAATGAGGAGGTAGGTGACCAACTCTTTCCAGCAGCAAATTATGCCCATTTTTTTTTTGTTCTTTGCAAATGAAACATGCTCAACAAGTTCAAACTAACTTCAATGGAATTTCTAGCTGTCCGTGTCCAAAGTCCCATCAATAGTTGTTCTCTTTTTCTTTAAGTATGAAAGTGTTTACTGGAAAGAAAAAAGAATTTCTCATATTCTGTGCTTTTCTCTTGCACAGAAAAATACAGCACCAACCTTAGATTTAATTAGAGTTAAATTATGACCCAAGCAGGAATAGGGGTCATTCTGAAAATCACAGACTTGGCAGAGACTTTCAGAAATTATTAATGCTGTTCCCCTATCTCTGGATTTAAAAAATTGGATTATGCAAGAAACCTGAGTGTTGGGATTGGGGGTGGGGAATGGAGTTCGAGAGAACCCTGGAAGTGGAGTAGGGAGTGGAGATAGCCAAGAAGCATCCTTTTCTTAGGTTGATTGGGTGTCCATCAGCTCTCCATCCCCAGTGAAGTTCCATCTCTCTCCTCCATACATTAAAATAATGCCTTAGTTTTTCTTTTATTGAAAAATTAGTAAATTTATTATCAATACTAAAAAGCAAACAAAACGGAAAGGAAAAATAGTCACCTGTAATTTCACTACTAGAAGATAATTACTGTTAATAATTTGGTGTCTGTATTAATCTAAACTGTTGCTAGTGACAACTCAAACTACCTTGAGTTAAAGAAAACGGAAATGCATTAGCATATAAAACTGCTAAGTCCAGGGTTATATATAGTTTTAGGCTTATCTGCATTTAAGGGTTCAGTGTCATGGGGGGTTTGCGTGAAGAAGTGAGATGATGTGTTCCCCTTTTTAAAGATTATTGACTTATTTTTGTCTTTAACTGTCTTTCCTGCTCATCAGAGCAGAAGGAATTCTTTCTTAAGTGTAGTATAAACATCCACCCTAAAAGCCTCTTCCCAGCAAAGAGCTGAGAAAGCTGTAGATGCTCATGGGGCTAAAACAAGCAGACTTTTGTGAGGTGCTAAGAGCTAAGTCACAATATAGATCCATAGCATGTACATTTAAAAAAAGAAGAGGAAAGGAAAAGGATGCCCATGTAAACCGTAAACAGTGGAAGTCTAGAACCGTTATGAAGCCTGTCTTGCTTCCAGCTGCATGCAGAAATGTAACATTGATATTTTTATCATTTATTCTCTGGATACCAGATTCCTTAACTCAGAAAGAAGGATACCAAATTCCTTAACTCTTTAACTCAGGGACTTTCTAGTTCATGGGAGTGCTTATCCTGACTCATAATTCTTCATAATTCTTCCTTTTGTTTCTTCCTTTTGTTTCCTATATCCATGCATACATAATTCTTCCTTTTGTTTCCTATATCCATGATATAATGACAAAGGGACAAGTAGAAAATTTACATGTATTAACAAGTTAATATATCTTGCATAGTTTAAAATAACATTACATTTTAAGTCAACTCTCTCTATTGCTTTTTCTAGAATAGCTGTAAATGAGAAAATGATCTCATTTGTTCCACCAGTTGGGCAAACTGACAAATAATTACCACCAAAGATATGCTAAGGAGAAAAGTACTTCCTTCACCTACTAGGCACAATTATGTGATATGTTGCCTGTAGCATCTGTTTTACTGAAATGCTTATTTACTCCTTCTGTGTAATTGTTTGAGCCTCTCAGTCATGTGCCAACATGTTCCTCTGATTCTTTGTGTTAGCGTTGGCAATTTTAGATTCGCTGCTTCGGAGGAAGCTGCTGCTGTGTTTACCCTGCAGGCAGGGATGTTGTCCAGTACTGTGCTTTGGACACAGCTCTCAAAAAGGCCAGCAACTACTCAACTGTTGGTGCTTCTTTGCCATATTCAGCATATCAGTACAGGACCAAGGAGACAACTACTGCATCCCCTGAAGCACTTCGAAGCAAGAAGGAACCTCAAGGCCCATAATATGGGAGGAATGAGAGCCTAAGAGGGAATAGATGGACTTTTGGAAATTTTACTGTGACTAGCAGTTAGAGGTTGGAGCGCAGGCAGTGTAACTCTAGAGTGTAATAAGGATGGTGCGGCCGGGCACAGTGGCTCATGCCTGTAATGCCAGCACTTTGGGAGGCTGAGGTGGGTGGATCACCTGAGGTCAGGAGTTTGAGACTAGCCTGGCCAGTATGGCGAAACCTCGTCTCTACTAAAAATACAAACATTAGCCAGGCGTGGTGGTGCGCACCTGTAATCCCAGCTACTCGGGAGGCTGAGGCAGGAGAATCGCTTGAACCCAGGGGCAGAGGCTGCAGTGAGCTGAGATCGCACCACTGCTATCTCCTGTCTTCACTGTGACCAATATATTTCCAGGTCTAGAACTTCCTGGTAATTATTTTACAGAATTTTTTCTGCTCATCTTGCATTGCCAAGACTCAGTTATCTTCATTCTAAGAATATTTCTCAATTCTAGTAGACTTTTAAAACCATGATCTGCATATGACCTAATATGAATTCTTCTTATTTTTATTTTCAGACGGGGTCTTACTCTATTGCTCAGTCTGGAGTGCAGTGGCACAGTCTCGGCTCACTGTGACCTCTGCCTCCCAGGCTCAAGTCAAACGATCCTCCCACTGAAGTAGCTCCTCCTGAGTAGCTGGGACCACAGGTGTGCACTGCCATGCCCAGCTAATTTTTTATATTTTTGGTAGAGATGGGGTTTTGCCATGTTGCCCAGGCTGGTCTGGAACTCTTGACTTCAAGTGATCTCCCCGCCTTGGCCTCCCAAAGTGTCGGGATTACAGGCATGAGCCACCATGCCTGGCCATGGATTCTTATTTTGAAATTTCCTCTATTCAATGTAAGTTATCCCCAGTTTCCATAAGTTATTTTGAGGGGTACATAAGCAGATATATTGGAACCCCTTCTTCCCTATTTACATCATTGGAGGCATTTGGTTCTCTGGCAATGAGGCTTACTATTTTTTCTTCATCAATACACTCCCATTCTAAACAAGATATATTGTAACTTTTCTTTTTCCAAGTGGAGATTTATGAGCTGTTATGGATGACCATTTTATTTATTTGTTTTGTTTTGGTTGAGTATTTTCTTTATTCAGTGAATATTATTATGTATCTTGTTTCACACCATGCTAAACAAATTTTCCTCATTTCTTTTTTTTTTTTGGAGACGAAGTTTGGCTCTTGTTGCCCAGGCTGGAGTGCAGTGGCATGATCTCAGCTCACCGCAACCTCTGCCTCCTGGGTTCAAGCGATTCTCCAGCCTCAGCCTCCCGAGTAGCTGGGACTACAGGCATGTGCCACCACGCATGGCTAATTTTGTATTTTTAGTAGAGACAGGGTTTCTCCATGTTGGTCAGGCTGGTCTTGAACTCCTGACCTCAGGTGATTCGCCTGCCTCGACCTCCCAAAGTGTTGGGATTATAGCTGTGAGCCACCATGCCTGGCCCTTTTTTTTTTTTTTTTTTTTTGAGATGGAGTCTCGCTCTCTTCCCCAGAGTGCAGTGGTGCGATCTCTGCTCACTGCAACCTCCACCTCCCTGGTTCAAGCCATTCCCCTGCCTCAGCCTCCTGAGTAGCTGGAATTACAGGTGAATACCACCATGCCCAACTAATTTTTTTGTATTTTTAGCAGAGATAGGGTTTCACCATGTTGGCTAGACTGGTCTTGAACTCCTGACCTCAGGCAGTCAGCCCGCCTTGGCCTCCCAAAGTGCTGGGATTGCAGGCATGCGCCACTGCGCCTGGCCAATTTTACTCATTTTTGATCACCTTTATTTTTTCCTTTAAAAATATATTTTTTTTGTTAAAAAAAAAAGAGAGAAACTAGAATACCTCTAAGATGAAACAAAACACTTTCTGCCATGGTTCTGCTTCTAAATGCTAAAGTGATTAAACCAGGTAAAACGAGGATAAGTTCTGGCTGAGTCCTTTCCAAGCCATCATCTCTTTCTTCTTTTAAATTTTAATTTTAAGTTCTGGGGTACATATGCAGGATGTGCAGGTTTGTTATACAGGTAAACGTGTACCATGGTGGTTTGCTGCACCTATCAACCCATCACGAAGGTATTATGCCCAGCATGCATTAGCCATTTTTCCTAAATCTCTCTCTCCTCACCCAAACCCCCTACAGGCCCCAGTGTGTGTTGGTCCCCTCCCTGTGTCCATGTGTTTTCATTTTTCAGCTCTCACTTGTAAGTGAGAACACGTGGTGTTTGATTTTCTGTTCCTGTGTTAGTTTGCTGAGGATAATGGCTTCCAGCTCCATCCATGTCCCTGCAAAGGACATAATCTCATTCCTTTTTATGGCTGCGTAGAATTCCATGGTGTCTATATACCACATTTCCTTTATCCAGTCTATCATTGATGGGCATTTGGGTTGATTCCATGTCTTTGCTATTGTGAATAGTGCTGCAATGAACATATGCATGCATGTACCTTTGTAATAGAATGATTTATATTCCTTTGGATATATACCCAGTAATGGGACTGCTGGGTCAAATGGTATTTCTGGTTCTAGATCTTTGAGGAATTGCCACATCATCTTCCACAATGGTTGAACTAATTTACATTTTCACCAACAGTGTAAAAGGGTTCCTATTTCTCTGCAACCTTTGCCAGCGTCTGTTGTTTCTTGACTTTTTAATAATCACCATTCTGACTAGTATGAGATGGTATCTCAATGTGGTTTTGATTTGCATTTCTCTAGTGATCAGTGATGTTGAGCTTTTTTTTTTCATGTTTGTTGGCTGCATGAATGGCTTCTTTTGAGAAGTGTCTATTTATGTCCTTTGCCCACTTATTTATATATTTATTTATTTACTATTTATTTATTTATTTGAGCTGGAGTCTCACTCTGTTGCCCAGGCTGGAGTGCAGTGGCATGATCTTGGCTCACTGCAAACTCTGCCTCCCAGGTTCCAGTGATTCTTCTGCCTCAGCCTCCCGAGTAGCTGGGATTACAGGAGCACACCACCATGCCCAGCTAATTTTGCATTTTTGGTAGAGACAGGGTTTCACTATGTTGACCAGGCTAGTCTTCAACTCCTGACTTCAAGTGATCCACCCACCTCGGCCTCCCAAAGTGCTGGTATTACAGGCGTGAGTCATTGCACTTGACCCTTTGCCCACTTTTTAATGGAGTTGTTTTTTTCTTATAAATTTGTTTAAGTTCTTTGTAGATTCTGGATATTAGACCTTTGTCAGATGGATAGATTGCAAAACTTTTCTCCCACTCTGTAGGTTGCCTGTTTGCTCTAATGATAGCTTCTTTTGCTGTGCAGAAGCTCTTTAGTTTAATTAGATCCCATTTGTCAATTTTTGCTTTTGTTGCAATTGCTTTTGGCGATTTCGTCATGAAATCTTTGTCCGTACCTATGTCCGGAATGGTATTGCCTAGATTTTCTTCTAGGGCTTTTTATAGTTTTGAGTTTTACATGTAAGTCTTTAATCCATCTTGAGTTAATTTTTGTATAAGGTGTAAGGAAGGGGTCCAGTTTCAATTTTCTGCATATGGCTAGCCAGTTCTCCCAGCACCATTTATTAAATAGGGAATCCTTTCCTCATTGCCTGTTTTTGTCAGGTTTGTCAAAGATCAGATGGTTGTATATGTGTGGTCTTAATTCTGAGTTCTCTATTCTGTTCCATTGATCTATGTGTCTGTTTTTGTACCAGTACCATGCTGTTTTGGTTACTGTAGCCTTGTAGTATAGTTTGAAATCTGGTAGCATGATGCCTCCAGCTTTGTTCTTTGTGCTTAGGATTGTCTTGGCTATACAAGCTCTTTTTTTAGTTCCATATGAATTTTAATATAGTTTCTTCCAATTCTGTCAATGGTAGTTTAATGGGAAAAGCATTGAATGTATAAATTACTTTGGGCAGTATGGCCATTTTCACGTTATTGATTCTTCCTATTCATGAGCGTGGAATGTTGTTCCATTTGTTTGTGTCCTCTCTGATTTCCTTGAGCAGTGGTTTGTAGTTCTCTTTGAAGAGGTCCTTCACTTCCCTTGTTAGCTGTATTCCTAGGTATTTTATTCTCTTTGTAGCCATTGTGAATGGGGGTTAATTCATGATTTGGCTCTCTACTTGCCAGTTGTTGGTGAATAGGGATGCTTGTGACTTTTGCACGTTGATTTTGTATCCTGAGACTTTGCTGAAGTTGCTTATCAGCTTAAGAAGTTTTTGGGCTGAGATGATAGAGTTTTCCAGATATAGGATCATGTCATCTGCAAGCAGAGACAATTTGACTTCCTCTCTTCCTGTTTGAATACCCTTTATTTCTTTCTCTTGCCTGATTGCCCTAGCCAGAATTTCCAGTACTATATTGAATAGGAGTGGTGAGAAAAGGCATCCTTGTCTGGTGCCAGTTTTCAAGGGGAATGCTTCCAGCTTTTGCCCACTCGGTATGATATTGGCTGTGGCTCTGTCATAAATGGCTCTTATTATTTTGAGGTATGTTCCTTCAATACCTAGTTTATTGAGAGTTTTTAAGGTGAAGGGATGTTGAATTTTACCAAAGGTCTTTTCTGCATCTGTTGAGATGATCATGTGGTTTTTGTCTTTAGATCTGTTTATTTGATGAATTATTTTTATTGATTTGCATATGTTGAACCAGCTTTGCATCCTGGGGATGAAGCCAACTTGATTGTGGTGAATAAGCTTTTTGATGTGCTACTGTATTTGGTTTACCAGTATTTTATTGAGTATTTTTGCATCAATATTCATCAGGGATATTGGCCTGAAGTTTTCCTTTTTTTGTTATTGTATTTCTGTCAGGTTTTGGTTATTAAGATGATGCTGGTCTCATAGAATGTCTTAGGGAGGAGTCCCTCCTTTTCAATTGTTTGGAATAGTTTTGGAAGAAAGGGTATCAGGTCTTCTTTGTACTTCTGGTGGAATTCACCTGTAAATCCATCTGGTCCTGGGTTTTTGTTGTTGTTGTTGTTAGGCTATTTATTACTGCCTCAATTTCAGAATTTGTTTATTTGTCTCTTCAGGGATTCAACCTCTTCCTGGTTCAATATTGGGAGTGTGTATGTGTCCAGGAATTTACCCTTTTCTTCTAGATTTTCTAGTTGATTTGCAGAGGTGCTTATAGTATTCTGTGATGGTTGGTTGTATTTCTGTGGGGTCAGTGGTGATACCCCTTTATCATTTTTTAAGGTGTCTATTTGATTCTTCTCTCTTTTCTTCTTTATTACTCTAGCTAGTAGTCTATATATTTTATTATTATTTTTCAAAAAACCAGCTCCTGCGTTCATTGATTTTTTTGAAGGGTTTTTCAAGTCTCTATCTCCTTTACTTCTACTCTGAGCTTGGTTATTTCTTGTCTTCTGTTAGCTTTGGGGTTTGTTTTCTCTTGGTTCTCTAGTTCTTCTAGTTGTGATGTTAGGGTGTCTATTTGTGATCTTTCTAGGTTTTTTGATGTGGGTATTTAGTGCTATAAATTTCCCTCTTAACACTGCATCAGCTGTGTCCCTGAGATTCTGGTACGTTGTCTCTTTGTTCTTATTGGTTTCAAATAACTTTTTGATTTCTGCTTTAATTTCATTATTTACCCAGGAGTCATTCAGGAGCAAGTTGTTTAGTTTCCATGTAGTTGTATGGTTTTGAGTGAATTTCTTAATCTTGAGTTCTAATTTGATTGCACTGTGGTCTGAGAGACTGTTTGTTATTTCAGTTCTTTTACATGTGCTGAGGAGTGATTTACTTCCAGTTATGTGAGCAATTTTAGAGGAAGTGCCAAGTGGCACTGAGAAGAGTGTATATTCTGTTATTTTGGGGTGGAGAGTTCTGTCGATATCTATTAGGTCCACTTGATCCAGAGCTGAGTTTGAGTCCTGAATATCTTTGTTAATTTTCTGTCTTGATGATGATCTATCTAATATTGACAGTGGTGGTGTTAAAGTCTCCCACTATTATTGTGTGGGAGTCTAGGTCTCTTTGTATGTCTCTAAAAACTTATTTATGAATCTGGGTGCTCCTGTATTGGATGCATATATATTTAGGATAGTTAGCTCTTCTTATTGAATTGACTCCTTTACCATTATATAATGGCCTTCTTTGTCTTTTTTGATCTTTGTTGGTTTAAAGTCTGTTTTTTCAGAAACTAGGATTGCAAGCCCTGCATTTTGGATTTTCCATTTGCTTGGTAAATTTTCCTCCATCCTTTTATTTTGAGTCTATGTATGTCTTTGCATGTGAGAGGGGTCTCTTGAATACAGCACACCTATGGGTCTTGACTCTCTACAATGTGTCTTTTAATTGGGGCATTTAGCTTATTTAAATTTAAGGTTAATATTGTTATGTGTAAATTTGATCCTGTCATCATGATGCTAGCTGATTATTTTGCAGCCAAGCCATCTTCTCTTGAGGCAGCAAATGGGATGCTCACACACCCCCTGGTGTAGATAGGCACTATTTTGCAACTGTTGTTGTCTGCAGAATTTGGGAAATTCTCCCTGGTTAAAAGGCAGCTTGGTCCCAACTAGCATGTACCTTTTTAACATTCAGGGTTCTGTTTACTCTCCTCTCAAGAATAACTTTTTTTTTTTTTTTTTTTTTTTGAGATGGAGTCTCACTCTGTTGCCCAGGCTGGAGTGTGGTGGTGCAATCTCGGCTCACTGCAAGCTCCACCTCCTGGGTTCATGCCCTCCTGTCTCAGCTTCCCGAGTAGCTGGGACTATAGGCGCCCGCCACCATGCCTGGCTAATTTTTTTGTATTTTTTAGTAGAGATGGAATTTCACCGTGTTAGCCAGGATGGTCTCAATCTCCTGACTTCGTGATCCACCCGCCTCAGCCTCCCAAAGTGCTGGGATTACAGGCGTGAGCCACGTCACCCAGCCAAGAATAACTATTTTACCTTTACTAGGAAGAAAATTGTTCCTAACAACTTGTATCAGTCAGCACTTTCAGTTGCAAGCATCAGAAACCCACTCCAATTGATTTTAAGCAGAAAGGATTTGTTAAGAAGCTAAAGGAGGAGCTTGTGTTTAAAGGTGGTGATTTCAAGACAGACATTTATCTTTACAGCCTCCAAACACCTCTCTTAAGGACAATTAGGGGCATTTAAAAGAAGATATAAGCACACAGGTTAAAGAAAATAAGAGAGGTACAACAGTTACAAAGCTTTGGAAGCTACAAAAGAGATTGCAAAGAATAATTAATTTAGCATCTGAAGAAAGTTGAATCCCAAACTGGAAACCTGACTTGCATTAAGGAAACTTCTCAAAGTTTCAGAAATTGATCCCACTTGATATTTCTGTGAGGTGAGGCTGAAACAGGGATATTTGTAGCTATAAGAAGCAGTTAAGTCTCAATATATTTTCCAACTCCATGTGGCCAGGCAAATATACTCCTTATTGCTCTACCAGGAGACTTGGAGATTTACTTTCTAGAGCAGTAGTTCCCAACCTTTTTGGCACCAGAGACCGGTTTTGTGGAAGACAATTTTTCCACAGATGATAGTGGGATTTAGGGGGATTAGATTGTCATAAGGAGCGCACAACCTAGATCCCTCAATTGTGCAGTTCACAGTAGGGTTCACCCTCCCATGAGAATCAGCCTTGGCTGATCTGACAGGAGGCAGAACTCAGGCGGTAATGGTCACTTACCCCCTGCTGTGCAGCCCGGTACCTAATGGGGTAGGGGGAGGGTAATGAGCATTATTGAGGTATAATTCATATATCATACAATTTAGTACTTTATTGGATACAATTCAGTGGTTTTTAGTATATTTACAGATGTGTAGTTATCACACAATGAATTTTGGAACATTTTATCAGCCCCAAAAGAACATCCCATACTCCCATTAGCAGTCATTTCTCTCCCCAAACCCTTTTCCCAGCCCTCAGCAACTACAAATCTACTTTGTATTTTTATAGATTTGCCTATTCTGAACATTTCTTATGGATAAAATATACACAATATGTGGTTTATGACTGGCTTATTTCACGTAATAATGTTTTCAGTTTACCCATGTTGTAGCGTGTATCAGTACTCCGTTCTTTCCCATCTTCATTACAGAATAGTATTCCATTGTATCAATATACCACATTTGCTTATTCATTTGTCCCTCTGTTGATGGACATTTGCATTGCTTCTATCATTTGGCTATTATGGATAATACTGCTATGACAATCTGTTTTTTAGTGCCCTTCTTTAGTGCTTGTTTTTAAATTCGAGCAGATAGCCAAGGATCACCAGGAATTTTAGGAAAGCCTGTAACATAAACGAAAGCAAAGCAAACACAGGTCAAAAATTTAAAAAAGCAACTTAGAGGAAATACAGTGTGCAGAGAGAAGAAAACTTAGAAGAACTATCACTAATAATCTCAAAATAAAAAAATATATAGGACCTGTCAAATAAGGACAGGATTCTATAAAAAAATGAACAGCCAGCTCACAAAAAGAGCTTTTGGAAATTAAAAGCATGAGAGCAGAAATAAAGTACTTAACAGAAGAGTTAGCAGATAAAGTTGAGGATATTTCCCTGAAAATAGAGCAAAAAGTCAAATAGATGAAAAACTGGAGGAAAATTAGTAAAATTATAGGATCAGTTCATGAGGTCCAACCTCCAAATATTAGGAATTATAAGAAAACAGATGGAATGGAGGAGATAAAATAATCAAATAAATCTTCCTTGATAGATCCAAGAAGGTTTATAAACTATAGCATGTTTTTAATGCATTGAGTTTGAAAGCATTTCTGTGGAAGATTTTGAGAATGAATTAATTTTTATCTACTTATGTACATAGAAAGCTAAGCAAATGAAATAAAAGTAATTATAAGCTCCAGGGAAAAGAAGACTTTCCAGAATCAAAGTGTAAGATGGGCTGAAATGGTCTTCAGTACAATGAATCAAAATAGATCCACATCAGGATATTCTGAAATTTCAGAAACCCTGAGAAAAACATGCAATAGTAAATTATGTATAGGGAAAAAAAAGAACATACAAAGTAACAGAATTAGAATGGCTTTGGAATGTTCGGTAGCAACACTGATGCAACATCTCCAAAATCCTGAGGGGAAATGATTCATAATGCTAGAGAGAATAGAGAAATATGGGCACAATCCTTCTTGTTTGTCGATCTCTCCTTGGCTCTGCCTTTTCATGCTGTTTCTACCTCTTTCTGCCACCTCATTCTTACACTTTCCAGATAATGAGCCACTCTGAGAAAATCTTCCTCACCTACCATACTGATATTGAATGTTTAGCTTGAAGTTATCGGCCCCAGGACCCAGCCACTGGCAAACAGAGTCTGGGCTTCCTTGTGAAGACAAAGGGGTAAGGAAAATAGGAGAGTAGCCATATGCCAGTGGTACTGATTATTCATACATTAATCTTCCGACATATGAGATATATTTGCCTTTTGATTGAGAAATCTATGGTGATGGAAACTAAAGCCAAGTAAATCTAGGGCTGGGTCATTTCCACTTACACTGGGAATTACTAGGAGGACATATTTTTCCTCCTTTCCTTGACCACATTGATTTTAAGTTAACATCCTAAGTAAGATTTTATACTCAGCCAGACTATCACAATTACATGTGAGATAAAGACACTTTCTAGACATGGAATGTCTCAAAATACACTCTCAATCAGGAAGCTGATTAAGGATATACTGTGTTAAATCTAGGTCAGTCATGACTAGCTGAGATGGCTGTATGAGGTTCCAGGAAATAGTGGAACCAACTCAAGAGAAAAGTGGAGTGAGTCCCCAGAGATCTTAGGCTCTCAGCTATGCAGTAGACTTAGAGAACAACTTATCCATACTGAAACAGGTCAAATGCCTCTTTAAGTGATGGATCCAAGATTTATAAACTATAGCATGTTTCAATGCATTGAGTTTGAGAACACTTCTGTAAAAGATTTTTGAGAAGGAATTTTTACCTATTTATGTAAATAGAAAGCTAAGCAAATGAAACAAAGGTAATTATGAACTCCAGGGAAAAGAAAAAAGAAAGGAAAAGTAATTGTATGCATCAGGAAAGGCTACATTATGCTGTGGCATAACTATGCAACCTAATTCTCAATGTCAGTAGCTTGATATAACAGTAGTTTATTTCCTGCTGTTGTAGAGTCCACTCGAGTCCAAACAATTCTCCAGGATGACCATCCTCCATGCAGTGACTTAACAGTCTGTGCTTTTCTAGCATTACAGCTCTGCCATCTTAACGGGAGGCTTCTATGAGTGCCATGGCAGGGGAAGAGACTGCTTGGAAAGCTTGAATCCTCTCTCATACGTTATTGTTATTATTTTTTGAGACAGGATCTCACTCTGTCACCCAGGCTGAAGTGCAGAGGTATGATCTCAGCTCACTGCAGCGTCTACCTCCCAGGCTCAAGCGATCCTTTCACTTCAGCCTCCCAAGTAGCTGGGATCACAGTCACACACCACCACAACCAGCTACTGTTTGTTTGTTTGTTTGTTTGTTGAGATGGAGTTTCACTTTTGTTGCCCAGGTTGGAGTGCAATGGTGCAATCTTGGCTCACTGCAACCTCCGCTTCCTGGGTTAAAGCAAGTCTCCTGCCTCAGCCTCCTGAGTAGCTGGGATTACAGGCATGCGCCACCACGCCTGGCTAATTTTGTATTTTTAGTAGAGATGGGGTTTCACCATGTTGGTCAGGTTGGTCCTGAACTCCTGACCTCAAGTGATCCACCCACCTCGGCCTTCTAAAGTTCTGGGATTACAGGTGTGAACCACCGTGCCTGCCCTACAGCTAGTTTTTTAAAAAACTGTTTTGTAGGGATGGGGTCTTGCTATGTTGCCCAGGCTGGTCTTGAACTCCTAGGCTCAAGCGATCCTCCCACTTAGCCTCCCAAAGTGCTGGGATTACAGGTGCGAGCCAGTGTGCCTAGCACTCTTTTATATTTTAACCCACAAGTGACACAGATCATTTTTGCTCACAACCCACTGGCTAGATTTAGTACATAGATCCACTGAATGATGTGAATGGTGGGGCAGAGAGGGTTCTTATCATTTTTTCCTCAACCTGACCTCTGATTACTGTTTGACATGTTCCAAATGCTCCGTAAGTTGTCAAGGCACATGATATTCATGCATTTTCATTGGGATTTTTCATTTTTATTAGGTTGGTGCAAAAGTAATTGCTTTTTTTTTCTTCTTAAGATGGAGTCTCACCCTGTCACCCAGGCTGGAGTGCAGTGGTGCGATCTTGGCTCACTGCAACGTCCACCTCCCGGGTTCAAGTGATACTTCTGCCTCAGCCTCCCGAGTAGCTGGGACTACAGGTGCACGCCACCATGCCCGGCTAATTTTCGTATCATTAGTAGAGACGGGGTTTCACCATATTGGCCAGGCTGGTCTCAAACTCCTGACCTCATAATCCTAATTATTTACTAGACTTAAATGAAGTTACATTTTTATCAAAGCATAATCCAATCAATACTGATTTTAATTTAATTCTATGTCAACTAAGAGGGTAGACTTTAGCACCCGATGTGTTGGGTTTGAATCCCTGGTTTTTCTAGATGAATCTCCTTCAAAAGCAATTGGGTCTTAAACTTTTCATATACTTGAAATCACAATCCATGAAGTTGCTTTAGTATTTCATCCCTGACAAACCAGAAATGAGAAATTTTTAAGTTTTTGGAATAAAGGACAAATACAAAGCAGGAAATAGTTTTAATTTAGAAACATCTAATCCTAGATAATTTAGTAACATTGATTATAGCACAATTCTTGAGCACTAACTATGCACCAGGCAGTGTTTAATTGCTCTGGGCTCAAGCAATCCTCTTGCCTCAGCCTCCCAAATTGTGGGGATTATAGGCGTGAGCCACTGTGCCCGGCCCTGGGTTCTTTTTCTTGCATTATAGGAAGATGACATTTCCTGGCCTCCCTTGCCATGTGACTTGGACATGTACAGTAGTGATTCATGTCTCCTCCATACCAAGACAGAAAACCTCACATCATTGCAAGTGCTTTCTCTTCCTCTTCATGGTGGCCACGTACTAAGGTGGCAGCAACAAAAAAAATGGAAGGAGCCCAGAACCCTGAGTCACCTGCCCGATCCACACCAAGTTGTGATGTGAAGGAGAAATTCAGCTTGATTGTGTTACTGAGTTTGGGGGGTTGTTTGTTACAGCAGCTAGCATCAGTTATCTCTTGTGAAATCACACAGCTAACAATTGAGCCAGTATCTGACCTAGATCTATTGCCTACAGAGCCCCACATTTAACTACTATTATCTGGCCTCTTTATTGCCCCCACACACTTGAAATATAAATTTTTAAAGACATTTTATTCTTTTTTCTATCCAGAATTTATTGAATCCTGATCATTTTTTCCTTAATGTTGATTTTGTAGACTCATTTCCAGGAAGAACAATGTCAGGCAGAGAGAAGGAATTGAAAGAGTATTTTTAATAAATTTGTACATGTTAATATAATTTACTTATTTGCAATTCTCATAGCTATACGATATTCTATCCCATTTCCAGTGTGGCAGCGACAAAAAAATGGAAGGAGCCTAGAACCCTGAGTCACCTACCTGACCCACACCAGGCTATGATGTGAAGGAGAAATACAGCTTGATTGTGTTACTGAGTTTGGGGGGTTGTTTGTTACAGCAGCTAGCATCAATTACTCTCATACAGATGTGTAAACAGATACTTGCACTATAGTGTTTTAGGCCCTGCTTCAGCTCTTCCTACAGTGTCAGACATATGGTAACCCTCATGAGTTATTTGTTCAGTAAATGATGAATTTAGAGGTAGACACATCCCTTTGTTACAGTGGGGGTCTGAAGGAGTGTTGAGGGGTGGGAAAGCCACCTCACTCTATGGGAAGGCGTGTGTACTATCGCTGATCTTTCCATGTAACACCCTTTCTCCTGCCAAGAATGCCCCCTTTTTTTTTTAGAAGTGCAGCTACCATATCAAACCATCCGCTTTCTGGTCCCAAAGCATGAGCAGTGCAGGCCTAGCTGTTAAGGTCTCTCAGGTCAGATAATTTTATGCCTTATTCCCCCTATCACTTCTTCAGAGAAGGTAATCTTTCCTAGAGAAATGTGTTCTTTCGCCATTGACCCCTGGCAGTTGGTAACATTTTCACCAGCCTCCTCCTATTAAACTGCAGTGATGCAGCAGCAGCCCAAAGCCATAGAAAACATGGCAAATGTGATTTTCCATGTGTACCAACACTCATTGCTGAGCCCACTTTCCTTGAGGCCCTAACCGTGCACGTTCAGATAGATGGCTTATTATTCCCTGTTGTACTCGGTGTAATAAGGCTAGATTAATAGATTTAACTTCTATAAATATTCATTTATTTTATCATTTCCTTTTAGCTTTGCCTCTAACAAAACCCCTAATCTTGGGGTCAGGGCACCTAGAAACGTGCTCATACCCTTTCATCCTGTAGATGAGTACCCTTGGGTATCCATCACAAGGAATAGGATGATAGAAAATGAGTAACATATGCAGAGATTCAGAGTATTTGCTACTAAAAGAGCAAAAACACTGGAAATGGGATAGAATATCATATAGCTATGAAAATTGCAAATAAGTAAATCATATTAACATCTACAAATTTATTAAAAATATTCATTCAATTCCTTCTCTCCACCTGACATTGTTCTTCCTGCAAATGAGTCTACAAAATCAACATTAAGGAAAAAATAATCAGGATTCAATAAATTCTGATGAAGACAAAAAAGAATAAAATGTCTTTAAAAATTTATATTTCAAGTGTGTGGAGCAATAAGGAGGCAAGATAACAGTAGTTAAACGTGCGGCTCTGTAGGCAATAGATCTAGGTCCAGATACTGGCTCAATTGTTAGCTGTGTGATTTTACAAGAGATAATTTCTTTAAACCTCAGCTTTTGTTTGTTTGTTTTAATCTGAAAAATGGGGATAATAATGATTCCGGTCTTACAGGACTAAATCCGATAATATGAAAGCAGTTAGCACAGTGCTTGGCACATAGAAAATATTTAACTCAGCCAGGCGTGGTGGCTCATGCCTGTAATGCCAACAGTTTGGGAGACCGAGGCGGGTGGATCACCTGAGGTCAGGAGTTCAAGACCAGCCTGGCCAACATGGCGAAACCCCGGCTGTACTAAAAATACAAAAAAATTAGCTGGGTGTGGTTGTGCGCACTTGTAGTCCCAGCTGCTCTGGAGGCTGAGGCAGGAGAATCGCTTGAAACCGGGAGGCAGAGGTTGCGGTGAGCCGAGGTCGTGGTGAGCCGAGGTCGCGCCACTGCACTCCAGCCTGGGAGACGGAGCGGGACTACGTCTCAAAAAAAACAAAGCAAACAAACAAACATAAAAAATATTTAACAAGCCTGAACTTGTTTATTTTTTAATATATTTATTTATTTATTTATTTTGAGACGGAGTCCCACTCTATCACCCAAGCTGGAGTGCCGTGGCGTGACCTTGGCTCACTGCAACCTCCACCTCCCTGGTTCAAGCAATTCTCCTGCCTCAGCCTCCCGAACAGCTGGGACTATAGGCGGGCGCCACCACACCCGGCTAATTTTTTTGTATTTTTAGTAGAGATGGGGTTTCGCCATGTTGGCCAGGCTGGTCTCAAACTCCTGACCTCAGGTGATCCGCCTGTCTCGGCCTCCCAAAGTGCTGGCATTACAGGCGTGAGCCACCGTGCCCGGCCTTAACAAGCAACATGGTGAAACCCCGTCTCTACAAAAAAATACAAAAACTAGCTGGGCATGGTTGCATGCACCTGTAATCCCTCGTACTTGGGAGGCTGAGGTGGGAGGATCACTTGAGCCTGGGAGGCAGAGGTTGCGGTGAGCCAAGATCATGCCACTGCACTCCAGCCTGGGTGACAGAGTGAGACTCTGTCTCAAAAAAAAGAAAAAGAAAAAGAAAAAAATATATATATTTAACAAATGTTAACTATTTTTATTATCATATTTATGTTAACAAATGCACACTAGAAATGGCAATCATTTCTTCCCTGGGTACTGATCACATTACATGCTCCTCCTGGTTTTCCTCCTCCGCCCTGGCTGCTCCTTCTGTCTCCTCTGCCAGCTCCTCACTCCACCCAAGCTCTCCCAAGCTGGGCTTCCCAGGGCTTGGTTATGTGCTCTGTACCTTCCTTTCTCTTTCTCTTTCCGGGAGTCCCATAGCTTTAAATATCAAATTTACACCTTCTGGCCAGAAATCCTCCCCTGAGCTTCAAGTCCATCTGCCTCCTAGACTTCTCCACTTGGAAGTCTAATACCTATCTTAAATTAAATAAATTCAAACGTGAATACTTGGTTGTACATCCTGGCCAACTTCTTCCTTTCCCCAGTCATTCTTTTTAAGTATATATCAATATATTCCACCCATTTGCTCAAACAAATACTAGGAGCCACTCTTGATTCTTTTCTTTCTTTATTCCCATATTTAATTTATTAGCAAATCTTGATTTTGACTCTGAAACGAACCCCCGGTTCATCCCTTCCTCTCCTTCTACCTGGCTATCTAGTCCAAGCCACCCTCATCTCCTGTGTTGCTCCTTAATTGTGGTCTCTCACTTCCCTCATGCCATTCCTTCCCAAGCTCCTCCCCACCCGTGGACCCCAAACACAACTACAACATCTACAGTGATGTTTAAAATTGTGGTTAAAAAATTACATAGTATAAAATTTACTATCTTAACCATGTTTAATATGATGTTATCTGCATGCATATTGTTGGACAACAGATCTTTAGAACTTTTTATCTTGCAAAACTGAAACCCTGTAAACACTGAACAACAATTTCCATTTTCTTCCTCATCCCGATCCCTGGCAATCACCATTCTGCTTTCTGTTTATAAGAGTTTGACTACTTTAGATATCTCATAGAAGTAAAATCATGCAATGTTTGTCCTTTATTGATTGGCTCATTTCACTTAGCTTAGTATCCTTAAGTTTCATCCATATTGTGGCATATGACAGGAATTCCTTCTTTTTTAAGGCTGCATAATATTCTATTTTATGTGTATGGCACATTTTCTTTACCCATTCATCCATTCATGGGTTGCTTCTCTCTTGTGGCTATTGTGAATTAAGCTGCGTGAACATGAGTGTGCAAATATCTCTTCTGTTTTCAATTCTTTTGGATATGTACCCAGAAGTGGGCTTGGTGGATCATATGAGGGTTTTATTTTTAATTTTTTGAGGAACTTCCACACTGTTTTCCTTAGTGGCTCTACCATTTTACATTCCCACCAACAGTGCACAAGGGTGTCAGTTTCTCTACACCCTGGCCAATACTTGTTATTTTCTGGAGTTTGATCATTTGAGAGTGGCCATCCTAATGGGTATGAGGTGATATCTCATTGTGGTTTTGAGGGTCATCTTCTAAAAATATAGATGCTGTCATGTTCCTTTTTGGAAACTTCCAATGGCTTTCCTTGAACTTAGAATGACATCTAAGTACCTTACTTTTTTTTTTTTTTTTGAGATGGAGTCTCACTGTGCCGCCCAGGCTGTAGTGCAGTGGCACAATCTCGGGTCACTGCAACCTCCGTCTCATGGGTTCAAGCAATTCCCCTGCTTCAGCCTCCCGAGTAGGTGGGATTACAGTTGTGCACCACCAAGCCCGGCTAATTTTAAGTACCTTACTTTGGCCTCCAAAATCTGATCTCTGTCCACATTCTGGCCTTTATTTTCATCTCCAGGGCTTCTTGCTTATGGTGGTACAGTCACAGTGAATGTGTTTGACTCTTTAACCACGTGAGCATGGTCCTGTTTTCCCATGTGCAGTTCCTTCTGCTTGGGTCTTTCTCTTCCTTTTCACATGGCTGGTTCCTTCTCATTATTCAGGTCTTAGCTCAAATGCTACCACATCCAAGGTGGCATTCAAGCTGTCCCATCTAAAATGCTTCTCCTAGACACTCTAAATTCTATCACCCTGTTTATTTCACTTTTGCTTTTTGTAGCAGTTATCAACACCTGAAATTATTTTGCCGGTTTAGCTGTTGGCTTATGTAGTGGTTTTTTTTTTTTTTTTTTTTTTTTTAAATCATACCAGGAAGTACACTCCATGAGACCAGGAGCCCTGTGTGTCTCATTCACAGCTAGATCCCCGGAAGGGAGCCTGATTTAATGAAAACAAAATGTAACAGAACAATTAATGCCAGCTGGGAGGTTTGGGGAACCCTTCATGAAGGATGTAACCATTTTGTTGGGTTTGGAATGATGAATATAATTTCAACAGGCAGTTGTCAGGATGAAGTAGGGGACATTTTAGGCTGAGGAATGACATGAAGTATATGCGGAGGGAGCACACAGCATCACATTTTCAAAGAAAGGTAGCTTGCTATGGCTGAAACTAAAGGTTCCGAAGAGGAGGTGGTGAGCAGGAAGGCTGAAATGGCAGGCTGAGGTCAAAGCGGCAGACATTGAATTCATTTCAGTTCCGCCGATTTGCTATTTAGTTAGTGATGCATTAGGCTTGAAGATACAAAGATGAATAAGACACAGTAGTATGCCGTCCTGCAGCAGTGGGGACCCACGTGTGGCTTTTGAGCAGGGTAATGACATGAGCATGTTACAGAGGTCAGAATGCAGCAGTGGTTATGAGCATAGCCTCCAGCACCAGATGGCGTGGAATCAAATCCTGCTCTGTCACTATCTAGCTGTGTGACCAGGGCAAGTGTTTAACTCCTGCGGCTTAATTTTCTTACGGATAAAGATGATGATAATAACTGTGGCTCTCTTGGCTTTCTTATGAGGGTTAACATTTGTAGCATGGAGTCTGGTACTCAATACATGTTGGCTATTGACATGCAACGTGTTGAGGAAAACGATGTCAGTACATGGTACATTTTCAATGATTGTTTGTTAGGTTTCTCATTTTGTTTTTGAGAAAGATGATTTATTGGCAGCAGTGTAGATAATCATTTCAAGGAGGAGACAGTGGGCACAGCCACACCACCGTGGAAGCTACGGCAATCGTTGTGGCAAGGGGAATGGTGCACAGAATTAGCTTAGAGCAGAGATAGGCAGCGGAACAGATTGGAGGATGTAGAGGGGCTGCAGAATATTTTTTGGAATGAAACAAAGTGGGTTTAATTTTTGGGTCTGTTGAGCTTAAGGTGCCTGAGGAAAATCTCTGTTTGCTGATGTTTAGCTGAAACAATAAAGAGTCATCTGAA
This sequence comes from Homo sapiens, assembly GCF_000001405.40. Taxonomy (NCBI): domain Eukaryota; kingdom Metazoa; phylum Chordata; class Mammalia; order Primates; family Hominidae; genus Homo; species Homo sapiens. The sequence continues at coordinate 64,151,773 of NC_000012.12, read as the reverse complement.
GTTTAGGACACAGAGGTGAGTGAAATAGAGATTTGTACTCTGGAAATGTGGGTGTGCACATTAACAAACTGCTAAGAATTTGCATTGAGCCTATCACTCACCTAGTACACTGGTAAAGAAACATGACCATGTTTTATACTCGTGTACTGTTATGCATTACTGGCAGGGATGTAAATTTGTACAACTTTGCTGGAAAACAGGTCGGCAATATTTGTCATGAGCCTTACAGATAATTGCATCCTCTGACCCAGTGATTTCACTTTTTGGAGTCAATGCTAACTTTATGATCCAAACACAGACAATTAATTATTATATACAGAGCTGCTCACCACAACATAACATTCAATTGAAAAAAAAACAAAACCTTCAAACAGGCTCACTCAGTGACAGGAAAATGGTTAAATAATGATGTGTTCATACGCTAGAATATTATACAGCCATTAAAAAATCATGTTGACTGAGACTCCTAGTGTGAATTGCTATAAGGGAGAAAAACCCAATGTATATACAATTATATACAGAATATGAGTTTGACTCTGCTTAAAAATAACATAATGTAAGGATTAGAAGACAATATACTAAGATGTTCATATTATTATTTCTGTTTGGGAAATGGAGGCATGGGTTGGTATTTGTTGAAGTCTAGTAACTGAGTTTGACTTATGACTATATAATAGATTTTTGGCTTACTTAAAATTTCTTTTCCTTCTTTTCCTAATGCATCTCGTAATATTTAGTTACTAACACAGTAACAATCTTTGGGCTTACAGACCAAAATTCAAATGGCAATTTCTATTACAAATCTTGACCATGTTTTTTTTTTTTTTTTTTTTTTTTTTGAGATAGCTTCTCACTCTTCCACCCAGGTTGGAGTGCAGTGGTGCAATCATAGCTTATTGCAGCCTCAAACATCTGGGCTCAAGCAATCTTCCTGCCTCAGCCTCCCAAGTACCTAGTACTATAGGCATGTACTACTATGTCTGGCTAATTTTTGTATTTTTTTTTTTTTTGGTAGAGATGGGATCTCACAAAAAAATATAAAAATTCGCATTTTTTGATCCTCCTGCCTTGGCCTCTCAAAGTGCTGGGATTACAGGCATGAGACACCACTTTTTGTTTTTAATAGATGCAGTCCATCAAAGGCCCAGAACCTCAAACTTCATTTTTGAGTTAATGTCATGTCATTGTACAATTTTGAATGTGCCACTGGACCACTGAAGATGTTTCCTTCTCTCCTGGCTTATTGGCACAATCATCCACTTGCATTTAGAGGGACATGATTTTTACACAAGGGGTTCCTTGGGTATGTCAGAGACAGAAGATTAGAACAATACACCATCATTGAGAGGGTAATTCATCAAAAGTCCTAACTTCAGCTGCACAGCCAAGCAGCTAAAAGAAACCCAGTGACCCTCGGAAGCACCCCTGATAGACAGCTGTTGGGTGTGAAGGATCCATCCATAAGTCGCCAGAATTGGATCGCAAATATCCTAGAGCTGACGATCTCCTGGATCATGCTGCCATAACTGCCTTCAAGATGTTAATACTGAACAAGGCATGTTGTTTCAGCACTGCGGGAGGAGCAATCTCTCTTCCCAACCCCTCCGCACCCTCCCACCCACACACGTGCACATGCACACAAGCACATGTGTTGATATCCAGCCCAGTCCCATTTCTCTTGCTGAGACTGACCTTGATAGAAAAACTATTTTGTTTTTATTATAGAAGGCAAGTTTTCTATTTACTATGTAGAAACAGATAAAAGGCTACTGAAGAGGTGATGAACCTCACCGTGATTATTAAGTGAGCAAAAATATTTATACTAAAGTTTAAATACTTATTTGCTTATACTATAGTATAAGTAAGCCAAAAATTGATTATCTGGTCCTAATTAATTCAAATTCGTTTACTAAACTTCAATAAATTACCAACCCATGCCTCAGTTTCCCAATATTTTCCAGGGCTATATGGCCTGTGGATAGAATTTACCATCATTCTGTGCTTTTAGGACCTTTTTGACATTCTAGGTCAAACTTGGGGAATTTTCCTTTTTAGGAGTCCCAACTACTCAAGGCAGAAGCCAGCAAACACCCTTGCTCTGCCTTTCTAAGATTCTTACAGGGTGCAGGCATATGAACTGTGGGAACTGACGACCAGTTACACCCCGTTGGGACTCTGGTTCGGGAGTGAGAGATGGGGAGGCAGGCGCAATTTTCTCAACAGGAGATGGTCGTGGCAGGCTGAGGAGCTTAAGATTTGAGGGTAGCAGGATGGTGGAGTCTTTCCTGGAACAACTCTACAGACTGATTTGGGCATTTGTTCCTGGTGGGCTAGCCTCTAAATCCAACTCTGTGGTCCTAAAGTAGGCATTGAAGAAAAAGCATCCAGCATCGGGTAAGAGAACATGACTTGATAAGCATCAAGTAAAGCTTCAACTAGTTTCAGTGTCATCTATGAATATTTCCAGTCTCCATATCAGACAGTGCTTTTTTGGAAAGAAAGAAAAGTATCCTTGCCTTTGAGTAGGCCTTCCGGTCAACAGGTTAGTTCAACATTATTCCGTCATAGTTTGGGAAAACAATTCCTTTGACAGGTGGGTCCCTCACCCCCCATTCATTTCTCCATGTTTAAAGATATCTGCATATACTACCCAAAGTTTAATCAGGAAATACTAAAATAAATATAATATTGAGCATATTCATGTAATGGAATTCTATATAGCAGTAAAAATGGAAAAACCACTATTTTACTAACAATGACGACTCTTACAAACATACATTTCAACAAAAGGAGCCAGACACAAAATCTACATACTGTATGAACCCATTTATAGAAAGCTAAGATGACAGGCAAAACTACACCATGGTGTGATTAGTCAGGATACTGATACATTCACAGAGGCATGAGCACAGTAGCTTCTGGGATGCTGATAATGTGCTATTGCTTAAACTGGGTGGTGGATACATCAGTGTGTCAGCTCGTGAGAACTGTTACACTAATGATTTGCACACTTTTGTTAGTATTCTGCACTTTAATAAAAAGTGTTTTTCCTTGATTTGCCTGTCATTTTTTAAACTTTATATCTTATCAATATTCAATCTTGCACAACTTACATTGTTTTACAAAGCTATCTACTACATATTGCTAGACCTCAAGTTATCTTTTTTTTATATTTAAAGAAAAATACCTGGCCAGATGCAATGGCTCACACCTGTAATCCCAGCACTTGGGAGGCTGAGGCAGGTAGATAGATCACTTTAGGTCAGGAGTTTGAGACCAGCCTGGCCAACATGGTGAAACCCCGTTTCCACTAAAAATACGAAAAGTAGCTGGGTGTGGTGGCGGGTGCCTGTAATTACAGCTACTTAGGAGGCTGAGGCAGGAGAATCGCTTGAATCCAGGAGGGGGAGGTTGCAGTGAGCTGAGATTGCACCACTGCACTACAGCCTGGGTGACACAGAGAGATTCGTCTCAAAAAAAAAAAAAAAAAAGTAAAGAAAAATACCAATACACGGGGAGTTCTAAGCACAGAAAAATAACCTAAGGATTATTTTTCAATTTATTCAAATGAAACCAAAGATGGGCTTGCCGTGGTTAACTAGAGTCTTTCTCAAAAGAAAGATTTCAATCTGGTGTATGTTTAGGAGGCTTGTACACTCTCAGCTTCTCAGTTAAGTGTCTGCCAAGACTCTTTTCTCTGACTACACATTGAGCCTCCAAACCATGACTGAAAAACCACAGCTTCATGGGCAGGGCCCTGTGCAGGACACCCTATTTCCAAATGAACAAGAAATGAAAGTGAGATAAAAAAATATTTTAAAGGTAAAAGTTTCACATTATTTAATGCAAGCTAGCTGTCAAGGAGAAAGTAGTGATGAATGAAAGGAAAGGAACAAAGACACCACAGAGATGCACATCAAACTGGAAGCAGACAAAGGCAGCCAGAACTATCTTATTTATTATAAAGATACACCGTGAAGAACAAACCTGACTGTATACTGAAGCCTGTAATGGTACATGCCAAAAATGTACAGTACTATACATAAAAGTGCATTGTCACAACAGATTAACAAAACATTTTTTTTCTTTCCAGACTGTAAAAGCATCCCCCTTTATTTTCACCTCAGAGAGGAGGGAATGAAATGGTGAGAGGCAGTACAGAGCACGGGCGAATGCGATGCTGTCAGCAGCACATGAGCGGGGGACTGATGCGGTGGGATGGGAGGACACAGGGGTGAGAAAGGCACAATCACGTCTACAAGGAAAACGAGACAGTCTGAGGACCGACAGGGAGGTGAGATGGGACATTACTGAGCACCGAGGCACAGGAAGGCGGGGATGGGGAAGGTGGGGGACAGGGAGGAAGCTTCGAAACACTCGAGTGGGCAGCAGGAATTGGGAGGAGGAGGTGGGGGTGGGGCACAGAGCGGGGCAACGGTACAAGAGCAAGGCTAAAACTCCTCTAAAATAGAAAGGCACTTTCACATGTACATACTACAGATGTACATTGACACAATTAGGTAACAGTCACAAGCAGGAAGCTACCGGTACCGCAATTGATCAAACCGACAGGAAAGGACAATACTGATTTAATTACGCGGGCAGCAGTTACCCTTCAGTACGTAGGTAAACAGCAGTCTCTCCTGTTACACAGCCACTTACTATACTTTAAATATCTATAATAACCATCACACTACACACTGAACTTGGATGAATGCTCTAAGGGGGGCATTCACAAATGCACGGTTCATATATTTTCTTTTACTAAAGTTTCTAAGATAAGCATTATGGAACCCAGTACAATTATTTAAACATACAAAATTCCCTACGTAATTTAAAGACACAGGTATCCATCTCGATTATACCACATAGACTTTTTTTTTTTTTTAAGAACGTATACTAGGGTAAGTGAAAGCTCAAATTCCAGTTTGCTTTATGGATCTGACAAAACTTCGCCAAAGTCACCCTGCACCAAGCCTGACTCTCCAGCCCAGCTGGAGCTTGTGTTCTCAACTTGGGAGGTGGGTGGCAGGTGGTCTGGAGTAGGGAGCTCTATTTACGCCTGGGTAGAGACTTCTAAGCTGCTCTGTGTCTCAGGGTTTCTGTGGTGGATAATCGAAAACAAGACTGAGTCCTAAGCACATTTCCTGCACAAAAAATGGCCTCTCACTGCTATGGTCAGGAATCAATGAGCATCATCCCAAATTTGAATCCTCTAACCCCCGCCTCAAGAGACACATAGGCTCTTTAACTTTGGATTTCCAAGGCTGATCAGATGAAAGTTTCTTCAGTTTGTAGACTCCAGAGGCTATGTCATTCCTAAATGTTAAGGACACAACTACCAACCCACGCCTCTTTTCCTTTTCTTTAAATTATAAACCCCCCCTTTTTTTGGTCGCGGGGGGGATAGCAAAAGTTAGAAAACCCTTAACGGATACAATTTGACTCTTGGAGCACTATATCCACTGATAACTGTTCACGATCATTGCAGTAGATTGTGGGACCCTGCTATAAATTATTCTACAGGTGGCTCAAGGGGCACCAAAGCCAGATTATGTTGTACGAAGATGTGCAAAGCTGTTGAATGGTGTTGACACTGAACGTGAACATGGAGCTCTACAAAGCGCCACTCAGCAGGTTCAAACAGTTCACGTAACGCCCATTAGAAAATGTGTACTAAGTACACCTTTCTCTCTATCCCCAAATCCACTCCCCAAACCCCAACCCAGTCCAAAAGGCTGACTTGATGAATCTCCTTCAGTGAGTTCTATGGATGGGATGTGAACACACAGTTATATCAGCTGAGAATACATATTCTTGTGTCAGTGGAGTCAGGTAATCTTTGTAGAGCCATTATTTACCCACCATCAAAAAGCTCCCCTCCCCAAATTGCACATGAAGCCTGATAAGCTCCTTGAAATTGGGGGCAGAACACCTCAAGGCCTCATTATCCTTCTTCTCTCGTTTCCCTGTGTCTTCCCACCTCCCCTGTGTGCTGCCTCTGTGGCTATAAAGAAGGGCTGTGAACCTTCTCAGCTGCAGTGGCTTTTAATGAGCTTTACTGAGCATGATTCTGGATTCTTTGTGAAGTGGCCACCTTGTCTTATCTCTGGAATCTGAAGACATTTAATAAACCAAGTAAGGAGAGGTGAGTCTTTACTGAGTCCTCACTCACTCTGAGGTCATACCCTTCATTTGGAATTGAAAAAAAAAAAAAGTCTCAAGCTGACAATAGGAGTATAGGGAAATAAGATGGAGACAGGTAAAGTGAGTGATGGGAGAGTATTAGGAGCTGTTTCCTGAAACAAGGCACAGCCTGTGAGGCTCTGCAGCAGCACGACTCCTGCCGGCCAAGACAGCAAAGTCCTGATGGGGAGCACAGAAAGGCAATCCTCGTTCCACCGTAGGTGGACACATCAGAGAGAGGAGCCGCTGGGGAGGATGACCAGATAGAAGGCTGAATAAATGAACAGGTAGGAGGAAGATCTGAAAAGCTAAGGCTGAAGCTCAGAAAAGACATTGAAAAAAAATAAATTCAAAGACACCTCTGGCCCTTTGATGCCCTCTGTTAACATCTTACTCTTCCATCAAACAAGGAATATGGTTTTTAAGAATTCTTACTATTTTAAAGAAGTGGTGGAATGGCCGGGCATGGTGGCTCACATCTGTAATCCCAGCACTTTGGGAGGCTGAGGCTGGTGGGTCACCTGAGGTCAGGAGTTTGAGACCAGCCTGGCCAACATGGTGACACCCCATCTCTACTAAAAATACAAAAATTAGCTGGGCGTGGTGGTGGCGCCTGTAATCCCAGCTACTCAGGAGAATTGCTTGAACCCGGGAGATGGAGGTTGCAGGGAGCCGAGATTGCACCACTGTACTCTGGCCTGGGCGACAGAGCAAGACTCCAACTCAAAAAAAAAAAAAAAAAAAAAAAAAAGTGGGGGATTATTTTGGAAAGTTTAAATTCCTAAGGAATTTGTGAGGATTGTTTAAAAGGGCTAGTGCTATTCAAAGCTCAGTCTTGGCTGGATCTCCACGGTGTCCAAGGGTGCTGAAGGACCCCAAAAGCTCAGGAGAAATGGGGAGGGGCTAGACAAGGTGCTGTCCTGGGCTTCTTTTTCAAAATGGGCAAAAAGTATGGCTCTGAAAATTTGGAGGTTTAAAAGTTTACCATACCTAGAAATACATGGGAAAAAAGTCACTATTCATTTGTGAAATTAGGCCCCAGGCAAGCAATCAGCAGTGTGACTCTGAAAGTAACAATATCTCATCAATTTAATCTCTTCCTGCAATAGAATGACTACACTGGCAAACTGAGGTAGAGATCAAAGTAATGATCTTGATTTTAGTACAGATCCCAGTTCTTTTCTGCACGATGCATTCACCAATGGGCTGATGAAGTAAAATCTACACTGTGTAGCTCTTAGATGGGCGTGCAATTGGCTGCCAGTTTGAAATGAAACCAAGAAGGAAATTAATGGTGGGCCAGAGGGATTAGTTGTGGGAAATCCATTTCTCCCAACAACAACAACAACAACAAAAATCTTTATCAGTAACTTCAATGATAGAATAGATAAAATGCTCATAGGTCTACAGGTGATATCAGCTGCTGCTAGTAGGAGAATGGAAATCAAAGCAAATTTTCTTAAGATGGGGGAAAATGTAGCATAAATATAGGCTTAAAAAATTGCCTGTGTGCTAGGATGCCAGAGAAAGAGGGTCTCCAATTGAGAGTTCAGCTGACTATGGGAGTTACATAGAGCCCACATACAAAACCAAAACCAAAAAGGGGAAAAGGGACAAAGAAAAAGAAGTTGTGGTTGTGAGGTACACAACTGGGTGAGAACCACAAGGCCATGTTCTGCTGATGGCCCTGCATGGCTCTTACTCAGGTACCAGGGCCAGTTCAGGGTTGGCTCAAAGACAAATGGAGAGGACAGTTGGGATTTCAAATTTAGGATCATCAGGACTTTGTAGCATTTTTTTTTTTTTTAAGAGACAGGGTCTCACACTATGCTGCCCAGGCTGGACTCGAACTACTAGGCCCAAAGCCATCCTCCTGTGTAAACCACCCGAGTAGCTGGGAGTACAGGTGTGCACCACCATGCCTGGGCTTTGTAGCATGTTTAAAGGAACCTAGGTGATTTAGTCAAAAGAGAACACTGCATGAACCAAGGCCTCAGGTGCTTCTTGCTGCCTTCATTTCCACAGAGGAGAACACAGGGATTTAGAGGAGATGGAAACATTTTCTAGGCAGTTATTGAATAACGGATCTTTGGAGGAGTTCGTGGAGTAGTGTAACCAGAAAGTCTTTAAAATTAAACCCTTCTAATCGTTTGTAAGTGTAGATGGGGGGACTTGGAAATCTCCGGGGCCTAATCATGCTCGCAAAAGGAGTGACATTAATAGCTTTGGAGATGGTGTCTTCCTCTCCTTTCCCAGGTTAAGTTCAAGCAGTAACAGCAGAGGTTCTACCTCCTTCCATCGAGTCTTTAAGCTGGACCCGGGGAAATAACTGTTAGGAAAGAGGCAAGCATCCAACCCACTCGAGCTGTGGGCTGACAGTCCCACTGGGATCGTCCCATGGAGACAATTGCAAGTCTTTTGCATGAGCTAAACCCCGCTCCACATGGAACCGAAGGTGCTCATTGTCAGCTACCACGCAATGCCATTATCACCTTTCAGCCCAAGTGCCACAGACCAACACTGGCTATACTCCAATGAGGTGTGGCATTCGGGTTCTTCTGCCTTCAGGTCACAACCTTTCTGACTCAGCTGGGCTACATTAAACCTGAAGCTCTGTACAATGTGGAGAGCGGTGTTGCCTTCATTACAAGTGGTGCAGCATTGGATTTTCAAGTAAGTCTAAGTGTTTCTATTGTCCTTAAAATGACATATGTCCAGTTATTTAAAAAAATTACAAAATACAAATGCCCGTGTTAATTTAGCTAGTCTCAGACATTACATTCGACAACATAGAAAAGCCAAAAGATCTCCAGTTATAAGCACAAAACTAAGGAAAGTTATGGATCAGTGACTTTTGTCACTAATCCATTTTCTTTTTTAAGTCACCTCCCTTTATGGCCTTGCTTGGCTGGTTTTTACATTGTGCATGACTTGTCTGTTGGACCCTGGGGAGGTGGGGCAGGTCCTATGGTAGGATTTGTTTTTGGAAGAACAGCAGGTTTTGGCCTAAGGGCTGGAGGCTTCAGCTGCACGCCCATTCTGGGTGCCACCATAGGCTTGAAAGTACTCATTGTGTCACTGGAGGAGCTCGTGCTACGTCGAATCTGAGGCTCGGAGCTCCTGAGGGCAACGTTGTGCAAAGGGCTGAGAGATTCCGTGGAAGTGGCAGGGGTGGGAGAGTTTTTCACTTGCTCCAGGGTATCCAGCACCACATCAGGGGCATGCTTTGCTGTGCTCTGTCTCTCCAGTTCTCGGAGTTCATTCAAAGCTGTGTTCATCGTTTCTTCAATATCCTATTGAAGAATAATCGGAAAGAGAGAAAGCACAGACTGATAATGAATACTAATGTATAGAAACCCAGACACTTAATTTCAAAGTAAACGGCCCAGCAGAGTATGGATATCTTTGACTCCATAGTCTGCAGAATATGTAAACATTATGCCATCTCACACAATCATCATTTTGATTCTTGATTCAGGAAACTGAGATATAATGGCTCATGGAGCCATGTATCAAACAATGGCCTTCCTAAGGCCCTAAGGTAGCCTTCTAATGGTCTCTGCCTTGCATGCTGACTTAAAAAAAAATTTTTTTCTTTTGAGGCAGGGTCTCACTCTGTTAGCCAGGCAGAGTGCAGTGGTGTGAATCAGCTCACTACGGCCTCGACCTCCTGGCCTCATATGATCCTCCTACCTCCTGAGTAGCTGGGACCACAGGTATGTGCTACCTCCTGAGTAGCCTCCTGAGTAGCTGGGACCACAGGTGTGTGCTACCACAGCTGGCTAATATTTACATTTTTTGTAGAGATGGGGTCTTGCTAGTTGCCCAGGTTGGTCTTGAACTCCTGGGCTCAAGTAAGCCTCCTGCCTCTGCCTCCTAAAGTGCTGGGATTATAGGTGTAGGCCACCACATCTACATGCTGACTTATTAATATAGAATTCTATTTCAACTTATGATAAAAGTTTATGAAAACTTTTGAAAAAAAGATTTTCAACTTTTTCCCCCCCCAAGATGCAGTCTTGCTCTGTCACCCAGGCTGGAGTGCAGTGACATGATCTCGGCTCACTGCAACCTCTGCCTCCCGGGTTCAAACAATTCTCCTGCCTCAGCCTCCCAAGTAGCTGGGATTACAGGCGCCCACCACCACGCCCGGCTAATTTTTGTATTTTTACTAGAGACGGGGTTTCACCATGTTGGCCAGGCTGGTCTCGAACTCCTGACCTCATGATCCGCCTGCCTTGGCCTCCCAAAGTGCTGGGATTACAGGCATGAGCCACCGTGCCGGGCCAAGTTTTTCTTTTTTTTTTTTTTTTTTATTATACTTTAAGTTTTAGGGTACATGTGCACATTGTGCAGGTTAGTTACATATGTATACATGTGCCATGCTGGTGCACTGCACCCACTAACTCATCATCTAGCATTAGGTATATCTCCCGATGCTATCCCTCCCCTCTCCACCCACCCCACAACAGTCCCCAGAGTGTGATATTCCCCTTCCTGTGTCCATGTGATCTCATTGTTCAATTCCCACCTATGAGTGAGAATATGCGGTGTTTGGTTTTTTGTTCTTGCGATAGTTTACTGAGAATGATGATTTCCAATTTCATCCATGTCCCTACAAAGGACATGAACTCATCATTTTTTATGGCTGCATAGTATTCCATGGTGTATATGTGCCACATTTTCTTAATCCAGTCTATCATTGTTGGACATTCGGGTTGGTTCCAAGTCTTTGCTATTGTGAATAATGCCGCAATAAACATACGTGTGCATGTGTCTTTATAGCAGCATGATTTATAGTCCTTTGGGTATATACCCAGTAATGGGATGGCTGGGTCAAATGGTATTTCCAGTTCTAGATCCCTGAGGAATCGCCACACTGACTTCCACAATGGTTGAACTAGTTTACAGTCCCACCAACAGTGTAAAAGTGTTCCTATTTCTCCACATCCTCTCCAGCACCTGTTGTTTCCTGACTTTTTAATGATTGCCATTCTAACTGGTGTGAGATGGTATCTCATTGTAGTTTTGATTTGCAACAGACAAACAGAGAGCCAAATCATGAGTGAACTCCCATTCACAATTGCTTCAAAGAGAATAAAATACCTAGGAATCCAACTTACAAGGGATGTGAAGGACCTCTTCAAGGAGAACTACAAACCACTGCTCAAGGAAATAAAAGAGGATACAAACAAATGGAAGAACATTCCATGCTCATGGGTAGGAAGAATCAATATCGTGAAAATGGCCATACTGCCCAAGGTAATTTACAGATTCAATGCCATCCCCATCAAGCTACCAATGACTTTCTTCACAGAATTGGAAAAAACTACTTTCAGGTTCATATGGAACCAAAAAAGAGCCCGCATCACCAAGTCAATCCTAAGCCAAAAGAACAAAGCTGGAGGCATCACACTACCTGACTTCAAACTATACTACAAGGCTACAGTAACCAAAACAGCATGGTACTGGTACCAAAACAGAGATATAGATCAATGGAACAGAACAGAGCCCTCAGAAATAACGCCACATATCTACAACTGTCTGATCTTTGACAAACCTGAGAAAAAGAAGCAATGGGGAAAGGATTCCCTATTTAATAAATGGTGCTGGGAAAACTGGCTAGCCATATGGAGAAAGCTGAAACTGGATCCCTTCCTTACACCTTATACAAAAATCAATTCAAGATGGATTAAAGACTTAAACATTAGACCTAAAACCATAAAAACCCTAGAAGAAAACCTAGGCATTATTATTCAGGACATAGGCATGGGCAAGGACTTCATGTCTAAAACACCAAAAGCAATGGCAACAAAAGACAAAATTGACAAATGGGATCTAATTAAACTAAAGAGCTTCTGCACAGCAAAAGAAACTACCATCAGAGTGAACAGGCAACCTACAAAATGGGAGAAAATTTTCGCAACCTACTCATCGGACAAAGGGCTAATATCCAGAATCTACAATGAACTCAAACAAATTTACAAGAAAAAAACAAACAACCCCATCAAAAAGTTGGCGAAGGACATGAACAGACACTTCTCAAAAGAAGACATTTATGCAGCCAAGAAACACATGAAAAAATGCTCATCATCACTGGCCATCAGAGAAATGCAAATCAAGTTTTTCAACTTTTATGATAAAAGTTTAAATTTAGATACTGCAATAATTTCTCAAGAAATAAATACAATAGGAATAAAAAATCTGGCTTCATTCATTCATTCAACAAATTTTTGAGCACTTACTACACACTTGACTAATTCCAAGAAGTTCTTCGAAATTCAGTTTAAGTCTTCCCCTGATACAGTTTTCCAGTGGATCTCACTGAAAGTGGTACTGTCTCCTATGGGGCATTTTTGTAATATGATGTATGTGTGTGGTTTTTAATGTCACAATAACAAGGCTGCATTATTGGCAGCTGATGGGCAGGGTCAGACATATTAGGTATCTTGCCTTGGTGAGTTTACATGTAGTGAATTTTCCTGCACCTTGTTCAACTTTTGAATGTCCTCCAGACATTTATATAGGTGAAAATTGTTAAGAACCTGAGCCTAGAACCTCTTTTTCTAATATATAAACATAAAATATTTTTTAGATGGTGTTAAATTTTTTAGGAATGTTATTGTTTTAGAAAGTTATTTTTTGTTTTGATTGGAACAGTATGACCAAGGGTTGTTCACCATTTTGGAGAAATATTATCACTAATGGAAGCTCTTTTCATGGAATTTGAGTTAACTCAATTAACTGAATACTCTCATATCAACATGCATTTTTAATTATTGCATTTATGGAAACTCTACCATGTAGGTGAAAGCATCACTACCTCATTTGTCTTCTAGTGTAGTCAGTAATTAATTGAAATACATTTAATTGTTTTAATATCAATTTCCCTTTATTTTTATTTTATATTCTATTTAGAGATTTATATATATTTTTTCAAAATAGATATATCAATCAATTTATTTCAGATAGCCAGGCGTGGTGGCACACGCCCAGCTACTCTCAAGGCTGAGGCAGGAGAATTGCTTGAACCCAGGAGATGGAGGTTGCAATGAGCCGAGATGGCGCCACTTCACTCCTTCACTCCAGCCTGGGTGACAGAGTGAGACTCCATCTCCAAAAAAAAAAAAAAAAAAAAAAAGTCAATTTATTTCAGATAGTAAAAGGGGGGAAGTTACAATAAATTTGTTTCAAAAAGGTGGAGTGTGCCCCATCAACAGATGGATAAACAAAATGTGGTATATACATACAAAAAAATTTAAATTATGAAAACTTCCCTTAAAGGGAAATAAGTCCTACCGCATGCTACAGCATGTGTAAACCTTGAGGACATTACACTAAATGAAATGAGCCAGTCACAAAAAATACAAATACTGTATGATTGCACTTATATGCAGTAACTAAAGGAGTCCAATTCATAGAAACAAAAAGTAGAATGGTGGTTGTCAGGGACTGGAGGAGGGTGAAATGGGAGCTGTTTAATGTGTACAGAGTTTTGGTTTTGTGAGACGAACACAGTCTGGAGAGATGTTTCACAACAATGTGAATATACTTTTCTGAACTATACATTTAAAAATGGTTAAGATTGTCAATTTTATTATTTTTTATATATATATATATATATATTTTTTTTTTAAGCACAATTAAGAAAGAAAAAGGCAGAGTGTTGTGTGAGATGGTGGAGAACCACTGCCCTGGTGACTGAAATATCTCTTCCTGACATATTCCCAGGGCTTCTCCCACTCATCTGGAGCATACCCCTCATGGCACGGTTTAATGGTAACTGATTTCCCTATTCATTTCCATGACTAGATTGAATGTGAGCACTTTGAGGCTGCGGCTATTGTTTAATTTTGTTTGCATAAAACCTAGTGTGAGACATGGCATACAGTAAATGCTCAATAAAGATTTGCTAAATGAATAATCTAAGATCCTGATATTAAATCACTGTCTCCAATAATGAATAAACCAAGACACGATGATTATGTATGGATGTGGTAGTCTTTTGAAAAATCTCCATTAGGCATTCCATTAATTTGCTTAATAAAATAATCTGCATTTTTTTAATGAACACCTTGATGGCATGCTCACTTGTCCCCATGGGAAAATCTGAAGGCTAAAGATGGAAAGATAAAAAACAAATCTGGAAGACATTTTACGAGGGTGACATCACTTTTCAAGTTATTACTTTCATATGTGATTTCCATTTGTGGCTAAACATATGGATTTTTTTTTTTACAAGTATTTACCTCAGAGACATGTGCAGAGCCTAGTCATCTGTTGAGTTTTTGTTTTTATAATTTACATTTTTTTTTTTTTGAGACGGAGTCTCACTGTGTCACCTAGGCTGGAATGCAATGCAATACTGTGATCTCGGCTCACTGCGACCTCCGCCTCCTGGGTTCAAGTGATTCTCATGCCTCAGCCACCCGAGTAACTCAGATTACAGATGCCTGCCACCATGCCCAGCTAATTTTTTTATTTTTTGTAGAGACAGGGTTTCACCATGTTGGCCAGGCTGGTCTCAAACTGCTGACCTCAAGTGATCCATGCGCCTCAGCCTCCCAAAGTGCTGGGATTACAGGCATGAGTCACTGTGCCTGGCCTGTTTTTATAATTTACAATTTAAAAAATTTCCTGATTCTAGAAGTCAAAGGGTTAAACAGACCTTATATGCCTTCCTACCTCCAAGCACCTAAATCCCTGTCTCTCTAACCCAAATTATGTTTCACCTGCTTATTATAAGCAGTGATGTTATAAGTTTCTCAAATCATTAAATTCAGCTATAGTAAAATATTGCTGGTTGTAAGTATGCCTCAAAGGGCCTTGCATAGCACTCTAAACAGAAAAAAATAAAACAGTCAAAGCCTTTTTGATTTTTGCTGAGAAGTTGCTGTACACTTAAAATTGCGTTAATTTTTAAAAAACACATTAAACTTCTCACAATCTAATTTGCTATCCAAAATTCTTTTTAGTTAGAACACTCAAAATAGCTTGGACATTTGTCATATTGGGGCCGGATTCCTTGGGTACTTTTTATTAAAAATAACCCATCTTTAATCCTTTTCCATGTTTCATTCATTTCTCATTCACTCTTTTTTGAAATCTACTTAGTTTTTAAACTTCAGTGATAGCTGGAAGTTGCCTTTTAGATTATTCAAATGGTAATCCCTGAATCTATTAACCTCTTTTCTCACTGATTATAAACATACATATATTTGGAGACAGGGTCTTGGTCTGTCACCCTGGCTGGAGTGCAGTAAGACAATCATAACTCACTGCAGCCTCCAACTCCTGGGCTCAAGCAACTCTCTCGCCTCAGCTTCCAAAGTACCTGGGATTGCAGACATGCACCACCACTCTTAGTGTGATGGTTAATACTGAGTGTCAACTTGATTGAAGGATGCGAAGTATTAATCCTGGGTGTATCTGTGAGGGTGTTGCCAAAGGACATTAACATTGGAGTTAGTGGGCTGGGGAAGGCAGACCTACCCCTAATCTGGATGGGCACCATCTAATCAGATGCCAGCGAATATAAAGCAAACAGAAGAACGTGAAAAGGTTAGACTGGCCTAGCCTCCCAGCCTACATCTTTCTCCCATGCTGGATGCTTCCTGCTCTTAAACATCAGACTCCAAGTTCTTCAGTTTTGGAACTTGGACCGACTCCTTGCTCCTCAGCCTGCAGACGGCTTATTGTGGGACCTTGTGATTGTGTGAGTTAATAATAAACTCACCTTTATATGTATATGTATTCCATTAATTCTGTACCTCCAGAGAGCCCTGACTAATACAGGTTTTGGTACCAGGAGTGGTTCTAGAGGGACAGAATATTAAGGATGGAGTTCTTTCATTGATTTTGGGGCTTCTGCTTTATATGATTAGACCAAAAAATACTAAGGACTTTACTTCTAATAGGATGGAGAACACTGATAGTTCTTGGTGTGAACTGTTTAGAGAGTTATGCAAAATACGTGCATTTGACACTCCTGATTCATCGCTCGTGAGAGGCAAGGAGTTTAGTGACTCCGTACATAATACATTTGTATGGAGTATTATGTAGAGAACCAAGGAACATAGTGAAGCTGGTTGGTTGTTCCTAAGTTCAGTGGACAAAGTGATGAAAAAAAATGATGAACTCAAGGATTCTATCTCCTGGCTTCAGAAGCAGATACTGAACCTCAAATCTGCTAAGACTGCCCTGAGTGTGAGTCTTATCTCCCACAGATAAAGAACTAAAATTATGGAGAACCAGACACGAGTTCTTATGCAAGTCGCTGACCTGCAATGAAAGATACATGCACAGCCTCACCAGGTGTCTACTGTTAAAGTGAGGGCATTGATTAGAAAAGAATGGGACCCTGCAACTTGGAATGGGGATGTGTGGGAGGACCCTGATGAAGCTGGGGGCACTGAGTTTGTAAACCCTGATGAACCTTTTTTGCCAGAAGAAACAGCTTCCCTATCCCCAGTAGCGGCAACATCCCCTCCCTGACCCATGCTGCCATCAGCCTTTCCACCTTTGTCTGAGGAGATAAACCCTGTGCTGCCTGAGGCAATGGTGATGGCCTCCCATGAGGCAGCTGCCAGGCAAGATAATGTTGACTCTCCTCAGGAGCCACCTCCAACACTTCTGTTTGCTTCTAGACCTGTAACTAGACTAATATCCCGGCAGGCCCCTGGAGGTGAGGTTGAGAGTGTGACCCATGAAGAGGTGTGCCACACTAGAAAAGAACTGCTTGAGTTTTCTAATTTATATAAATAGAAATCTGGATAACAGGCATGGGAATGGATATTAATGGTGTGGGATAATGGTAGATGGAACATAGAGTCAGATCAGGCTGAATTTATTGATTTGGGCCCATTAAGTAGGAGCTCTGCATTTAATGTTGCAGCTCGGGGAGTTAAAAAAGGTTCTAATAGTTTATTTGCTTGGTTAACTGAAATATGGATTGAAAGATGGCCCACTGTGAGCACTGTGAGTGAGCTGAAAATGCCTGCTCTCCCTTGGTTTAATGTAGAGGAAGGGATCCAAAGGCTTAGGGAGATTGGGATGGTGGAGTGGATTAGTCACTTTAGACTTACTCATCCCAGCTGGGAGAGTCCTTGACCAATGCCTTGCAAAACAGATTTGTGAGAGCAGCACTTGCATCTTTTTTTTTTTTTTTGAGATGGAGTCTTGCTGTGTCGCTCAGGCTAGAGTGCAGTGGCGCAATCTTGGCTCACTGCAAGCTCTGCCTCCCGGGTTCACGCCATTCTCCTGCCTCAGCCTCCCAAGTAGCTGGGACTACAGGCACCCACCACCACTCCCAGCTAATTTTTTAGATTTTTAGTAGAGACGGGGTTTCACCATGTTAGCCAGGATGGTCTCAATCTCCTGACCCCGTGATCTGCCTGCCTTGGCCTCCCAAAGTGCTGAGATTATAGGCATGAGCCACCGCACTTGGCCAGCACTTGCATCTTTGAAGAGCCCTGTAATTGCTGTTCTCTGTATGTCAGATCTAACGGTGGGAACCACAGTCACTCAACTACAAAATTTAAATACAATGGAGATAATTGGATCCCAAGGTAGCAGGAGCCAAGTGGCAACACTCAATCATCAAAGGCAAGGCGACACTCAATCATCAAAGGCAAGGTGGGCATAGCTACAGTAATGCACAGCAGAGGCAAAGCAGCAAGCAGAATAGTCTGACTCGTGTAGAACTCTGGCATTGGCTAATTAATCACGTTGTTCCTAAAAGTGAAATTGATAGGAAGCCTACTGCATTCCTACTTAATTTACACAAGCAGAAAACTTCTAGGTTGGATGGACAAAAGACTAATTTGAATTATGAAAACAGAGAATCATGGCCCCTCAATCAATTTCCAGACTTGACCCAGTTTACAGACCCAGAACCCCTTGAATGAAGAGGAGGCCAGGTCCCTTTGAGGAAGGACCCCGCTATATTACTGACAATTTATGCAGTGAATCTTTATCCCATCCTTCCCCAAGGGGACCTCCAGCCTTTTACCAGGGTAACTGTGTAATGGGGAAAGGGAAATGATCAGACATTTTGGGGACTAATGGACACTGGCTCTGAGCTGACACTGATTCCAGGGGACCCAAAATGTCGTTGTGGTGCTCCAGTTAAAGTAGTGGCTTGTGGAGGTCAGGTAATTAATGGAGTTTTAGCTCAGGTCTGACTTACAGTGAGTCTAATGGGTCCCCAGACTTCTCCTGTGGTCATTTCCCCAGTGCCAGAATGCATAATTGGCACAGACATACTTAGCAGCTGGCAGAACCCCCACATTGGCTCTGGACTGGTAGGGTGGGGGCTATTATGGTGGGAAAGGCCAAATGGAAGCCATTAGAGCAGGCTTTACCTAGAAAAATAGTAAATTAAAAACAATATTGCATCCCTGGAGGGACTGTAGAGATTAATGCCACCATCAAGGACTTGAAAGATGCAGGGGTGGTGATTCCCACCACATCCTCATTCAACTCTCCCATTTGGCCTGTGCAGAAGACAGATGGATTCTGGAGAATGACAGTGGATTATTGTAAGCTTAACCAAGTGGTGACTCCAAGTGCAGCTGCTGTACCAGATGTGGTTTCATTGCTTGAGCAAATTAACACATCTCCTGGTATGTGGATTGGAGCCACTGACTTGGAAAATGCCTTTTTCTCCATTCTTGTCCATAAGGCCCACCAGAAGTAATTTGCTTTCAGCTGGCAAGGCCAGCAATATACCTTTACTGTCCTACCTCAGGGGTATAGCAACTCTCTGGCTTTGTGTCATAATCTTACTCGGAGAGACCTTGATTGCTTTTTGCTTCCGCAAGATATTACACTGGTCCATTACATTGATGACATTATGCTGACTGGATCCAGTGAGCAAGAAGTAGCAAACACACTGGACTTATTGGTGAGACATTTGTGTGCTAGAGGATGGGAAATAAATCTGACTAAAATTCAGGGACCTTCTACCTCAGTAAAATTTTTAGAGGTCCAGTGGTGTGGGGCCTATCAAGATATTCCTTCTAAGATGAAGGATAAGTTGCTGCGTTTGGCCCCTCCTGCAAACAAGAAAGAGGCACAACGCCTAGTGGGCCTATTTGGATTTTGGAGGCAACACGTTCCTCTTTTGGGTGTGTTACTCTGGCCCATTTATCGAGTGACTCAAAAGGCTGCCAGTTTTGAGTGGGGTCCAGAACAGGAGAAGGCTCTGCAACAGGTCCAGGCTGCTGTGCAAGCTGCTCTGCCACTTGGGCCATATGACCCATCAGATCCAATGGTGCTTGAGGTGTCAGTGGCAGATAGGGATGCTGTTTAGAGCCTTTGGCAGGCCCCCATAGGTGAATCACAGCGGAGGCCTCTAGGATTTTGGAGCAAGGCCCTGCCTTCTTCTGCAGATAACTGCTCTCCTTTTCTTTTTGAGATGGAGTCTCTGTCTGTCACCCAGGCTGGAGTGCAGTGGCGTGATCTTGGCTCACTGCAACGTCACCTCTCTGGTTCAAATGATTCTTCTGCCTCAACCTCCCGAGTAGTTGGGACTACAGGCGTGTGCCACCACACTTGGCTAATTTTTGCATTTTTAGTAGAGATCGGGTTTCACCATATTGGTCAGGCTGGTCTTGAACTCCTGACCTCGTGATCTACCCGCCTTGGCTTCCCAAAGTGCTGGGATTACAGGCATGAGCCACTGCGCCTGGCCAACTACTCTCCTTTTGAGAGACAGCTCTTGGCCTGTTACTGGGCTTTGGTGGAAACTGAACGTTTGACCATGGGTCATCAAGTCACCATGCAACCTGAACTGCCTATTATGAACTGGGTGCTTTCTGACACATCTAGCCATAAAGCGGGTCGTGCACAGCAGCATTCCATCATCAAATGGAAGTGGTATATATGTGATCGAGCTCATGCAACTCCTGAAGGCATAAGTTACATGAGGAAGTGGCTCAAATGCCCAGGCTGCACTGATGGCCTCATGGGGAGTTCCCTATGATCACTTGACAGAGGAAGAGAAGACTAGGGCCTGGTTCACAGACGGTTCTGCATGATATGCAGGCACCACCCGAAAGTGGACAGCTGCAGCACTACAGCCCCTTTCTAGGACATCCCTGAAGGACAGTGGTGAAGGGAATCTTTCCCAGTGGGCAGAACTTCGAGCAGTGCACCTGGCTGTGCACTTTGCATGGAAGGAGGAATGGCCAGATGTGTGATTATACACTGATTCGTGGACTGTAGCCAATGGTTTGGCTGGATGGTCAGGGACTTAGAAGAAGTATGATTGCAAAATTGGTGACAAATTTGTGGAAGAGGTATGTGGATGGACCTCTCTGAGTGGTCAAAAACTGTGAAGATATTTGTATACCATGTGAGTACTCACCAACGGGTGACCTCAGCAGAGGAGGATTTTGATAATCAAGTGGATAGGATGAGCCATTCTGTGGACACCATTCAGCCTCTTTCCCCAGCCACCCCTGTTCTTGCTCAATGGGCCCATGAACAAAGTGGCCATAGTGGCAGGGATGGAGGTTACTCATGGGCTCAGCAACATGGACTTCCACTCACCAAGGCTGACCTGGCTATGGCCACTGCTTAGTGCTCAATTTGCCAGCAGCAGAAGCCAACACAGCCCTCGATATGGCACCATTCCTCAGGGTGATCAGCCAGCTACCTGGTGGCAGGTTGATTACACTGGACCTCTTCCATCATGAAAAGGGCAGAGGTTTGTCCTCACTGGAATAGACAGTTACTCCGGATATGGGTTTGCCTATCCTGCACACAATGCTTCTGCCAAGACTACCATCTGTGACTCATGGAATGCCTTATCCACCATGATGGTATTCCACACAGCATTACCTCTGACCAAGGCACTTACTTTATGGCTAAAGAAGAGTGGCAGTGGGCTCATGCTCATGGAATTCATGGGTCTTACCATGCTCCCTATCATCCTGAAGCAGCTGGATTGACAGAATGGTGGATTGGTCTTGTGATGTCACAATTGCAACACCAACTAGGTGACAATACTTTGCAGGGCTGGGGCAAAGTTCCCCAGAAGGCTGTGTATGCTCTGAATCTGTGTCCAATACATGGTGCAGTTTCTCCCATAGCCAGGATTCACGGGTCCAGGAATCAAGAGGTGGAAGTGGAAGTGGCACCATTCATCATTATCCCTAGTGACCCCCTAGCAACATTTTTACTTCCTGTTCCCGCGACATTATGTTCTGCTGGCCTAGAGGTCTCAGTTCCAGAGGGAGGAATGTGCCACCAGGAGACACAGCAACAATGCCATTGAGTTAAGATTGCCACCTGGACACTTTGGGCTCCTCCTACCTTTAAGGCAACAGACTAAGAAGGGAGTTACAGTGTTGGCTAAGGTGACTGACTCAGACTATCAAGATGAAATCAGTCGACTACTCCACGATGCAGGTAAAAAAGAGTGTGCATGGAATACAGGAGATCCATTAGGGCGTTTCTTAGTATTACCACGCTCTGTGATTAAGGTCAATGGGAAACTACAATAGCCCAATCCAGGCAGGACTACAAATGGCCCAGACCCTTCAGGAATGAAGGTTTGGGTCACTCCGCCAGGAAAACAACAACAACAACAACAACAACAACAACAACCACGACCTGCTGAGGTGCTTGCTGAAGGCAAAGGGAATACGGAATGGGTAGTAGAAGGTAGTCATCAATACCAGCTATGACCACGTGGAAACAGGGACTGTAATTGTCATGAGTATTTCCTTCTTTCGTTAAAAACATGTTTGTGCATGTATACACTTGTACTAGGAAAATATCTTCATTTTATTTCCTTTTTCCTTTAGCATGTGACATAAGATTATATTGACTTCCTATCAGCATTTAAGTATTGTTAACTTTATGTAATAGCATTTGGGTTGGGGATTGGTGTGTTTCCGGTTATAGGAAAGGACAGTTGTATCATGTTAGGCGTAATTATGACATTATTGTTTTTATTTGAAGATTATGTACGATCTCAGGAGATGTTTATGGGTTCAAGTTGACAAGGGGTAGACTTGTGATGGTTAATACTGAGTGTCAACTTGATTGGATTGAAGGATGCAAAGTGTTACTCCTGGGTGTGTCTGTGAGGGGGTTGCCAGAGGAAATTAACATTTGAGTCAGTGGGCTGGGGAAGGCAGACCCACCCTTAATCTGGATGGGCACCATCTAATTAACTGCCAGTGAACATAAAGCAGGCAGAAAAACATGAAAAGGTTAGACTGGCCTAGCCTCCCAGCCTACGTCTTCCTCCCGTGCTGTATGCTTCCTGCCCTTGAACATCAGACTCCAAGTTCTTCAGTTTTGGAACTTGGACTGGCTCTCCTTGCTCCTCAGCCTGCAGATGGCCTATTGTGGGACTCTGTGATTGTGTGAGTTAATACTTAATAAACTCCCCTTTATATGTATATATATTCCATTAATTCTGTCCCTCTAGAGAATCCTAATATACCTAGGTAATTAAAAAAAAATTTTTTTTTTTAGACACGGGATTTTGCTATATTGACCAGGCTTGTCTCAAACTCCTAACCTCAAGCTATCTTCTTGCCTCAGCCTCCTAAAGTGTTGGGATTACAGGTGTAAGCCACCCACTAGGCCTACGAACATATGTTCTCATGGCCTGTGCTGTGAAAAGAGCCAGAACCAGAGGGAAAAATGGTAGAATGATGGGCAAATTTATTAGTATTGTTTCCCTTTTACTTGGTCAATTTTAGTCATTAGAAGAAAACTACACAGCCCCTCTGCAGTCACTGTTGGGAAGCAAAGACCTGAATGTGTTCAGGAGGTACATAGGATCCAGACTTGTTCTTCAAATATCTATCTATTATTGATCACATTATTTATTAGGTCTCATCTTTTCTAAGTTGAAAGTGCCATCTTTATCATATACAGTAGGGGTTTGCACTATCTGTGGCTTCAGGCATCCACTGGGGGTCTTGAAACATATGCCCTGCAGATAAGGAGGGACTACTGTTTTAAGGTTTTTCTGTTTCTGGGCTCTCCATTCTGTTTCATCCATCTGTCTGTTTTACTAGCTTTAGAATGCATTTAGGATCTGGCAGGGCCACTGCTTTCCCATTCTTCTTTTTCAAAGTTTTTCTGGCTATTCACAATGATAGGTTTGAGTGTCCTGGTCCTACGTTTTTGTCATGTTTCTGTTTAAATCACTATGAACCTTTGGGCCCTTTCAGTAACAAATTGTTCAAAAAAGACTCAGGGCCTAAGTTAAAGAATGAGCTGGTTTTGTTTCTGTTTTCTTTAGTTGGTTCTATACAGAAATATAAAGTAAATAAAGTAAAAAGTAAATAAAGTAAATCTTTCACACCTCCTACATCACACTTAGGTACTTAAAATGCAATATGTAATTAAAAGCATCGTACCTGAGCAATTGTCTCTGGGTCCAGTGGCTTGTGGTCATTGAAGCCCGTGTATTGCCCTGATGACGTGGACCTTCTAATGGGAGGGCTGTCGATCTTCTTGAGGGAGTCGTGCCGGCTGATGTTGGTCAGGCTGCCATGGCCAGGCCTGCGCCTCCGCTCAGGACTGTCATTGTTGAGGCCACGGTTCTGCAGCAGGCCCCGGGGGTGACTGGCAAGGCTTGGGGACCCTAGGTCAACTGAGGAGTTAGAAAGGGCATGTGGAGGGTGGAGCGGGCAATGGCCATCACTGGTCCTGCCAGGACGCCTTACTGGAGGGGGTGGCTCTCCTCTTTTTCGTTGCCTAGACATTCACAGAAACAGGGAGAAAACAGAAGAGCTTATCACACCGGGCAGTACTGCAAGGCTGAGGTGCAGTGGCTCCTCATGGCCCCAGGAGGAGCGGAGGCTTAGGGGCCTGATTCCCAGGCTCTACTTACCTGGCTAAATAGCCGTCAGGATGACGGTCTGTCGGGGAGTTCATGTCCTTGGATGAGGACTTGTCTTCCGTGACTGGCCCACTGCTGGCCTCACTGTCGGCTTTTTGGCTCAGAGTGTCTGAAAACGTATCATCCCTGAAGCAGTAAGAGGAATGGAGACAAAATTTACTAGATTTACAAATTTTACAAAATTTGCTAGATGAGTGGAGATGAAAATTTACGTGATAGCATTTATGTATGAAATAGCATTATGCATGAAAGCCCTTCTTTTATTAAAATAACTTTTCTCTTTTCATTATAAAAGCAATACAATTTCATTACAGGTACAACAGCAATTTCAGTTATACAAAAAAGACTGAAATAATCACCCATAATATAACATCCAGAGACAACTACTGTTAGAATTTTAAGAAATATCCTCCTCCATCTTCTATTCTATGCCTGGGATACATATCTGTGATTGTGTACATACATATGTATGGCATTTATACTACAGTCACGTGTTGCTTAACGGCGAGGATACGTTCTGAGAAATGCGTTGTCAAGCAATCTCATCATTGTGGGAACATCATAGAGTGCACTTACACAAACCTAGATGGTAGAGCCTATTGCACACCTAGGCTACATGGTGGAGCCTATTGCTCCTAGGCTACAAACCTGCACAGCATGTTACTGTACTGAATGCTACAGGCAGTTGTAACACAATGGTGTAAACAAGTATTTGCGTATCTAAACATATCTAAACATAGAAAAGGTACAGTAAAAATAGGATATTAAATCCTATGGGACCACCATCATATATGTGGTCCATTGATGCTCAAAATGTCATTGTGTGGTACATGACTGTACAGATAGTTATGCAAATTTATTTTATATATGAATATATTTATATGTAGATATTTCAGATATATATGACTACATGTCTGCATATACACACATTTCTTGGCTTCCGAGATACACATTTTAACATTTCTGAAATTAGGCTGAATGATTCAGTCACTGTATACCTTTTGTGTGCTATATTTGTCTTTTCCTTAAAAAGCTACTTTTGGACTACACATTATTTTGCAACCTGTTTCTTTCACTTAATATGTTATGACTATCTTCCCATGTCTTTAAATACTTTTGAAATTAGAGCTTTCTCCTCAGCAAAAAACAAAACAAAACAAAAAACAGCATAGCAATGATTCCCTCTGACTTTAGGTCAGTGTCCTTCCTCTGGGGAATCTGGAATTGAAACGGTAAACAGACATCAAGAGAAGAGCACTGCTGTTTTTGGAATTACCAATGTCACTTCAGCTCTTAACACCATTCTATGCATAGGTTATTTTTCTAACAATCTGAAAGCTTCAGAAGATGTCTCCCCAGAGTTCTTGTTCCAAACCTCCTGGGCCCTGACTTACTGTTAGCAAAGAGCCACTGGCAAGGTAAGGAACTGTGCCTAGCTCTGAAGTTTTATCTCTGTAATCCCTTCTGCTCCTTTCTCACAAGACCAAGGTCAGTTTAAGAACAATGGCTGGAGTCCTCTATTGGGAGCACTCAGGCAATCAAAGTTGAGACTACTCACATATCCTGCACCACTATATACTGGTGAGGCACCAGCCCGTCAATCCCGTTGTGCCTGCCTTCCCACCAGTCCTCAGATGCACGGTGATACAGCAGCAGGGAGGCACCCTTCTTGAAGGATAGTTCTCTGGCAGACCGCCCAACATAGTCAAACTTGGCTATTGCTTCTATTGGCTCACATTCTACAACGAACACACCAGAAAACAGCGAGAAACAGGGTTGTTAGGAAGGCATGGTATCCTATCTGTGAGGGCTCTATGAGGCTTCAAATGATCAAGACCATTTTAATATCTAGACTGAACAGAGTCATCAACATATTATCAAGGCAGGAGAAAATAGAGGCTGTTTAAAAAGATACAGAAAAACATTATCTTGCTGTCATCAGTTTTTCAGACAAAGAAAAACTGAACACTGGATTTTCATTTCCACAGCCTCTTACTAGAGATATAATGACAGTCAAAAAAAAATACTTTAAACTTTGCAATAGGATATATAAAATCTCTCCTTGAGTTGTAATATCCTCCACAATTGCTTCAATATGATTTTGGCATTGATAGATGACACTGAGGGAATTTCCTTGTAACATGTTAATACCATTTATAACATGGAAAAAAATCACCATCTCAGAACATTAGGAAGTTTATGCTTTACCGGCTTACTTAAGAAAAAATCAAGTAAAATCACAATAAATAGTATGTGAATACATTTAATTTCCCCATGTGCTCTCTGGCACTATCAAATCTTCAAACTAACACTGACGGTAATCCCGATTTTTTTCTCTAGTATCAGTAACAAATTTTGGATCTTAACCATAAAACAAATATGCCTTAAATTGCCCTCTGTCCAAATTAAAAAAACAGATGCAAAATTTTTATTTTTCTTGAGATCAAAAGATATTCAAGGGAATGATGGTGAGTGAAAAAAGCCAATCTCAAAAGATTGCATACCATACAATTCCATTTATATAGCATTCTTCAAATGACATAATTATAGAGATAGAGAATATATTAGTGGTTGCCAGAGGTTGGGGATGGGAAGGTGATGGAGGGAAGCGGCCGTGGCTACAAAAGGTAGCACAAGGGTTCCTTGTAATGGAACTGTTTGTTATCTTGAGTATGGGTTGTGGTCACACAAAGCTATACATGTGATAAAACTGTACAGATCTAAGTAAACACACACACAAAGGAGTGCATGTAAGGCTGCTGAAACATTTATATAGTGAATGGTTTGTATCATTGTCAATTTCCTGCTTGTGAAATGATATTACAGTTTTGTAAGATATCACCATTGACAGAAACTGGCAGAAGGTATACGAGATCTCTCTGTATTGTTTTTTACAACAGCTTGTGAATCTACAATGATTTCAAAATAATAAGTTAGAAAAAAAAAGATATCAACTGCTAGACTTACAATTGGAATTCAGCTCTGATCTAATTCTGACCACAAATATTGAAGGCAAACAGGAGGACAGACTCAGCAACCAAAGAGGTGTTTCTTTGTGATTTATCTTACTGCAAGAAGCTCCTCAATTTGAGGCCTTATGATCTTTGCTCCCCTCTCCCACAAATACCTCATCCTTAGCCTTGTAATCAACAAAGGTGAGTAAACTTCTCTTCAATAATAAACAGGACAAAAAGGGGCCAAGGCAAGGGGCATATACTTACAGGAATATGCCTATGCAATGAACAATACATCATTTGCTAAAAACTGGGCATGCATTCATTTCCAAATACTCTAGAATACGTGTACACAGAAGAGATTAAAACCTGCCTATCTCAAAAATTCCCCGGGAAGTTGTCTTCTATTTGGTAGCAAACCTTCCCATTTAAAAGAGTTTATTCTTCCAAAAGTTTACTGCAATAGCCATTGTACTTATAATCATTGCATGAGAAATTCTTGGACAGACAGCTGGGCTTCTTTCTCATTTGATATATTCAAAATTCTCTGGGACATAGAAGGCGAAAGCATAAAAACCAACAAACATATTAAAAAGCTTAGGCTTCACCTTATTATATAAAGGCCCTGGCCAAATTTCAGCCAAACATTTTAAATAAAGACAAAGAAAAATGCCCCTTCTTTTTGCTTTGGATAATTTTTTTTTTCTTTTAAACAGTGACAGGGTCTTGCTACATTGCCAAGGCTGGTCTCAAACTGCTGGGCAACATAGCAATCCTCCAGCCATGGCCTCCCAAAGTGCTGGGATTATAGGTGCCTGGTCTCTAGTGGATAATGTTTGAGGCGAATAATATTTTGTATTGCAGAACCACAACACTATAATCTGCACAGTAGGCTTCCCAACAAAGTAGTTGTAAGGATAATGTTTAAAACAACAGTTTAAATCTTTTAGTGGCTGGGTGCAGTGGCTCTCGCCTGTAATCCCAGCACTTTGGGAGGCCAAGGCAGGAGGATCACTGTGTGGCCCAGGAGTTGGAGACCAGTCTGAACAACACAGTGAGGCCTCAGTTCTATAAAAATAAATAAATAAATAAATAAATAAATAAATAAATAAATAAATCCTTTAGCAATTGAATAAAACTTTTAGATTATATGTTAACACTCTGGTATTCCCCCAAATTATATTTTACCAAAACAATATAAATAGCAGCTTTATTAAACATCTATGTGTCTGCTTCATAGAGGAGGGACTATAACTTTATATTTAAAGGGAATGATCTCATTATAGTTCAAAACTTAAAGAATAAATCCTGGTTGACTTGAGATGACAGATACCCAAATATGTACCCCAGTTATTCCTATGAAAAAGAAATAAACACCCCATGGAAGAATGAAGACATGCTAGTTTTTGTTTTTTTGAGACAGGGTCTCATTTTGTCACCCATGCCGGATATAGTAGCACAATCATTGCTCACTGTAACCCCAAACTCCTGGGCTCAAGTGATCCTCCCACCTTAACTTCCTAAGTAGCTAGGACTACAGACGTGGCATGCTAATTTATTTACAAGAACTTCAGGACATGTAATTTGCAAATTCCTGTGTGAACACACCCACATATTTGTATTTGGCTTTACTTACAAAAATTAAAAGATACCAACACATGATACAGTATACAGTCTACATATACTTATGTTACAGAAATAAAGACAGAACCATTAATATTCTTTAATGACATTCAATCACACACTGTCAATGCTGGCCATTCAACATAGTTAAAACTATTCAACAGATATATACATATTTTATTATAATTGCACAATCACGACCTCTATGATCATCTCCTCTTATTATTATTTTATTTTATTTTGAGACAGACTCTTGTTCTGTTCCCAGGCTGGAGTGCAGTGGCGTGATCTTGGCTCACCACAACCTCTGCCTCCCGGGTTCAAGCGATTCTCATGCCTCAGCCTCTCGAGTAGCCGGGACTGCAGGCACGTGCCACCATGCCCCAATAATTTTTGTATTTTTAGTAGCAATGGGGTTTCACCATGTTGGCCAGGATGGTCTCGATCTCTTGACCTTGTGATCCGTCCACCTCGGCCTCCCAAAGTGCTGAGATTACACGTGTAAGCCACTGGGCCTGGCCTTATTATTTTTTTGAAACAAGCAACAGGATTATCAGACTCTGCTTATTTATTCAAATGTGGTCAGGTTATGACAGGATGACCAGATAAATCAGCAGAACATTTTATTGGCAATCCTAGTACATCAACTAGTAATTCTCAGCAATTTCATTATTTTTACTCTTTCTACTCCTGTGAGAGCCATTTCACAGTCAAGTGTCAATCAATAAGCTATTTACACACATCTTAGTCTGGTCATTGCAGAGCAAATCAATCTCAGGGCATGGTACACTGTGCCTCTTTCATATAGAAAGCCTCACAGTACTTCAAGGTCCTGCAGAGACTTCATAGAATGCTGCTACTGCTGCTATCAATAACAATAATAGTGAGAGTGCAACATGATCACTTAGTTTTCCTGCATGGGTAATATAATTTTGTGCAAAAGGGAAGACAATTCAACACAGCTGATTCCCTGACTGCCTGGTGCTGTCAAATCTTATATTTCCATTTCTTGTAATGTTATATAAAATGTGATCACACTTTCTCTTTGGAACCTTGCTGTTGCTGACATTTTTCCTCCTAGATCTGTTACCCACTGTCCTTGCAGAGAATGGTTTTGTTCTGTGATAGCCTGTCTTTCAGAAACAAAAGCTACTCTCTCTAGTGATCCATGACAGAGAAAAAATACAATACCTCGGCAATCAAAGGATAATTGATACTCTAGTTAATTTAGTTATAGGATTTTGGAGGTTGGCTGCGGGTGAGAATATCTGTCCTTTGTAAGCAATGTTTTTCTTTCCAAAAAATCAGGTGAACATGGTCAAAATGTTATCTAAAACACAGAGCACTCAGCAAAGCTCTCTTATAGTCAAGAGGTAAAAGGCAGATGGCATGATGGTGAGATTCATGTTTGGGAAGAGAGATGGCTGGGCTTTGTCCTGGCTTTTCTGGCTACTGGGGAAAGCAGGGAAACACCTAAGAGAAGGCAGCAGTGAAAAAGAAATAAACCATGTGAGAAACAAAGAAACCCAAAAGAAAGGATGGTGGCAGAGGCAGGACTCAGAGACTTTCAAAAGCAACATCACAGGCTGGGCATGGTGGCTCACGCCTGCAATCCCAGCATTTTGGGAGGCTGAGGCAGGAGGACTGCTTGAGGCCAGGAGTTTGAAACAACCCTGGGCAACACAGGAAGGCCCTGTCTCTAAAGAAAAAGAAAAAAAATAAAAATAAAAAAAGAGCAACATTTTAGAAATAGAAGCTCTCACTTTAAAGGATGTCTTGTAAATTAAGTTCAGAAAATGTCAACTGATTTTACTTTTAAAGACACAAGGAAGGCGGGGCGTGGGTGGCTCATGCCTCTAATCCCAGCACTTTGGATCCCAGGAGGATCGTTTGAGCCCAGGAGTTTGAGACCAGCCTGGGCAACATAGGGAAACCCTGTCTCTACAAAAAATACAAAATTAGCCAGGCATGGTGGTGCATGCCTATGGTCCCAGTTACTCAGGAGGCTGAGGTGGGAGGATCACTTGGCCCCAGGAGGTTGAGGCTACAGTGAGCCAAGATTGTGCCACTGTACTCCAGCCTGGGCAACAGAGTGGAAACCCTGTCTCACAGAAAAAAAAAAAAAAAAAAAGACACAAAGAAGCTTTCTTTTTTAGCAGATAGTGGACACTAGATACCTTAATTACCCTCCTGCTAGAATGAACAAAAAATGCTGGATTTAAAAGCAAACAACCAACCTTTGTAATTGCATTAATAAGCTATCAAGACAGTAAAGAATACTAAAGACCAAAATGGAATGAAAGTGGGAACCCAGAGAGGTAAGCAGAACATTAGAACATGAGTCAGATTTTGCCTTGAGGGCATTTTTCTAGCCTGGTCACCTTAAGCTTTTTAATTTTTTTTCATAGGAGATTAAGTCCAGGGCTTGCCCAGTGTTAGGGAATCTAAGCCTCTTCCCCTCCTCCCCACCCTCAGAGAATTACACCCTCAGTTTCAGAGTGAACTTCACTCTAGTGTTCTAGAACTTTCTACAACACTTCTAGTTCTAGAACATCTAGTTCTAGAAATCTTATCCCCTTGTAGCTCTCAATACCTCTCCATAGATTGTAACCATCTCCCCTGCCCTCCACCCCCATTAAGGAAATAACCTATCTTAAACCTTGACACAAATCATCTGAGAATCCCATCCACATTCCAGTTCTCAGGTAGGTTTGCAGTTTAAATTTGCACTACCTGGGTGGTTTGAAAAACTTCAAGCCAAAAATTCAATGTTGTCCTAGGCTGGTTGTAACCCAGGCAGAAGTACATGAAAACCCTCTCTGGAAGAATCTACCTTCCACTGAGCCTAAAGTTCCAAGAAATCTGTACAAAATTTACAAACACAGTGGAAAATAAGACTCAATGAGTGAGAGCCAACAAAACAAATTTGGGAAGACATATGGAAATTATCAGACACATATTCTGATGGGAAGCGCTAATGAATAAATAGCCAGAGACTATAAAAAATGATCAAGCAGCAGATATAAAAGCACATCAAATACAACTTGTAGAAAGAAATAATATTTAAAGGCTGGGCACAGTGGCTCACACCTGTAATCCCAGCACTTTGGGAGGCTGAGGCGGGTGGATTACCTGAGGTCAGGAGTTTGAGACCAGCCTGGCCAACATGGTGAAACCCTGTCTCTTCTAAAAATACAAAAATTAACTGGGCATAGTGGCATGCACCTGTAATCCCAGGTACTTGGGAGGCTGAGGCAGGAGAATCACTTGAACCTGGGAGGCGGAGTTTGCTGTGAGCTGAGATTGTACCATTGCACTCCAGCCTGGGCAAAAAAAGCAAAACTCTGCCAAAAAAAAAAAAAAAAAAAGAAACAAATAATATTTAAAAATAAAAATTCAATGGATCTGCTTAAAGCAGATTAGTTACAGCTGAAGAAATAAAAAAAAGAATTTGTGCATATAGCTAAAGAAGTACTAGAGAAAACAGACAGCTTTAAATGTTTATATTAAAAAGTAAAAAGTGTTGAAAATGAATGCTAAGCCTTAAACTTAAGTTAGAAAATGAAAAAAATCTCTACAGAGAAAGAATAAAAAGTTTATTTGGGAGACATTAAATAACTGGAAATATGTTCATGGACTGGAATATTGAATATTGTAACGATATTAATTCTCCCCATATTAATATAGGTAGAATTAATACAAAGGCAATCAAAACTCCAGTTGGGCTTTAGAGGGTTTTGTTTGTCTGAAGAACTTGAAAAACTGAGTCTAAAATTTAAGTGGAATTGCAAAGAGCCAAGAATTACAAAGCAGAGGTGTTGCTTTATGAACGATTAAGATTTATTAAAAGGTATCAAAACTAGGACAGTGATATAGGGATAGACATGTAGACTAGTAGAAAAGAATAGAGCCCAGGAGGAAATTCACACAAAGAAGATACTTCATTTATGGCAAAGATGTAGAGCAGTGGAGAAAGGACAATTAATGCTGAGATAATTGCGACAATTACATATCCATATAAAGAAAAAGGGAATGGATCCCTACCTCATCCCATACCCCCAAATAAATTGCTGGTGGAATAAAGACTTATGTGTGAAAAGCAAAACCTTAAAGGATTTAAAAGAATATATGGGGCTGGATGCAGTGGCTCATGCCTGTTATCCCATCACTTTTGGAGGGTGAGGTGGGCGGATCACTTGAGGTCAGGAGTTTGAGACCAGCCTGACCAACATGTGAAATGCTGTCTCTACTAAAAATACAAAAATTAGCCATGCCTGTAGTCCCAGCTACTAGGGAGGCTGAGGCAGGCGAATCACTTGAATCCAGGATGTGGAGGTTGCAGTGAGCTGAGATCATGCCACTGCACTCCAGCATGGAGGACAGACAGACTCCATCTCTAAATAAATAAATAAATAAATAAATAAATAAGGCACCAAAGAAGACATATAAACAGCCAACAGGTATATTTTAAAATGCTGAACATCACTAATCATCAGGAGAATGCAAATCAAAACCACATATGAGGTTATCCCACTGTGTTAGGAAACAAACAAAACAAACAAAAGGTAACAAATGTTGGCTGGACACAATGGCTCATGCCTATAATCTCAGCACTTTGGGAGGCCAAGGCAGGTAAATGGCTTGAGCTCAGGAGTTCAAGACCAGCCTGGGGAACACGGCAAAAGCCCATCTCTACAAAAAATTAGCTGGGTGTGGTAGAATGTGCCTCTAGTGCCAGCTACTTGGGAGGCTGAGGTGGGAGGATCACTGGAGCCGGGGAAGTCCAGGCTGCAGTGAGCCAAGATCATGCCACTGCACTCCAGCCTGGGTGACAAAGTGAGACCCTGTCTCAAAAACAAAAAACAAAAACAAAAACAAAAAGATAAGCGTTGCCAAGGATGTGGAGAAATTAAAACCTTTGTACACTGCTGGTGGGAACACAAAATGGCACATCTGCTTCAGAAAACAGCACAGAGATTCCTCAAAAACTTAAAAATAGAACTACCATGTGATCCAACAATCCTACTTCTGGGTATTTATCCAAAATAACTGAAATCAGGATCTTGAAGAGCACTCCTATGTTCATTTCAGCACTATTCACAATAGCCAAGATGTAGAAATGGCCTAAATGTCCACGGACAGATGAATAGATAAAGAAAATATAGGTAAATACAATGGCATTCTATTCAGACTGTAAAAAGAAGGAAATCCCGACATATGTGACAGCATGGATGAACCTGGAGGACATTTTGCTAAGTGAAATAAGCCAGACACAGAAAGACAAACACTATGTAAGTTCACTTATATGAGGTATCTAAAAGAATCCAATTCATAGAATCAAAGGGTGGAACGGTAGTTGCCAGAGGCTGGGGGAAGCGGGAAATGGGAAGTTACTAATAAGCGAGAATAAAGTTTCAGTCAAGCAAGGAGAACAAGCTCTAGAGATCTGCTGTATAACACTGTACCTATGGTCAACACTAAGGTACTGTACACTTAAGTGTTCTTACCAAAATAAAATAAAATAAGAGAATATAGGAGAATTATTTATTACCTCAAGACACAGAAGGATTTCTTAAAGGAGATGCGAAGTAAAATTACCATGAAGGAAAAGATTGATAAATTTAACTACTTTAAAATTAAGATGTTCTGTTTTGCAAAAGACATAATAAGCATTTGAAAAACAAAGCTACAGAGCAGGGGAAGATATCTGCAAAGCATATACCCAGTAAAGGACCTGATGTGGACCCACAAAGAACCCTTACAAATCAAATAAAAAAACAACTAAATACAAAACCAAGCGAAACCAAACAAAAAGAGCCCAGAAAACTCAATAGAAAAATGGGCAAAAGACTTGATAGGAATTTTACAAAAGATAAATAAACACATTATCAACCATGTCTTTTATCTTCTGACCTCTTGGGCCTTGCTGACCTTGGAGGGACAGTCCCTCTAGGGTTAGCCAATTTCTGGAGATAGTAAACAACTCACCCACAAGCAAACTTTCCAAACACCAACCTGCCCATTGGAGCCAACACCCCACCACCCTGATTATCAGGCTCTCCCACTCCAGGCCACTGCTGCCCTATTCTCGGCACCCCAGGGCCAGGTAGGTACCAGACAACTTGGGACATCCCCTAATGCCCCAGAGCCTGCTGAAATTATTCCAACTAGGCAACCCTAAAGCTGCTTACCCTGCCTCACTGATGCCTTCCTGTGGAAAGCACACCAAAGTCTTCACTCTCCCTCTGCCTCCTGATGCTTCCCCAGGTAGCTTCCCATAGCATGGCATGCCCCCTTCTCTGGGGAACTATAAGTAGCAACTGTCTTCATAAAAATGGTTTGACAGTATAGAGTAAAGCTGAAGACACGGTTACTCCTAGGCATACATCCTAGAGAAACTCCTGTACATTTTCAGTAGAAGACATGTTCAAAATGTCCTAACAGTGCATAGCAGCACTGTTCTTAATAGCAACGAGTAGAAAATACCTGACATATTCATCAAGAACGGAATAGATACATACAATGGAATATTATACAGTGGTAAAATAAACAGTTCAAACTGCAAGCAACTGCACAGATGAACATCAGGAACATAATACTGAGTAGAAAAAACTCACGAAAAATATATACAGTATGATCCCACTTATAGAAGATTTAAGAAAATAGAAAAGGAAACAAGAAACTATTTAAAAACACAAACATAGTGGTTACTCCTGAGGGGGTAAGTAAAGCAGTCAGATCAGGGAAGTGCAAAGGAAACAATAAGTCTTTTTTTCTTAAGCTTGGTGGTGGTTTCATTGGTTTTCATTGTAATGTTATTTTTTATACCTTACACATATTTTATGAATTTTTTTTAATCTACTTTTTTTTTTTTTTTTTTTTTGAGATGAGGTCTGTTCTGTTGCCCAGGCTGGAGGGCAGTGGCGCTATCCTAGTTCACTGTAGCCTCAGACTCCTGGGCTCATGCAATCCTCCCAACTCACCCTTCTGAGTAACTGGGACTACAGGTGCACATCACCACGCCTGGCTAATTTTTTGTATTTTTTTGTAGAGATGGGATCTCACTATGTTGCACAGGCTGGTGTTGAACTCCTGGGCTCAAGTGATCCTCCAACCTTGGCTTCCCAACGTGCTGGGATTATAGGTAGGAGCCACTGTGCTTTGCCTCTAAAATGTTAATACAAGCAATTGTTTACAATAGGGATATAAAGACTGGCTTTATAATAGCATAAGGGGAGAGCATACCATCTTCACTTGTGTGGGGCTCTGTACCAGCATCTTGGTCCACTTCCTCCAATGTACCGTGCTCACTGTATGGGCTGTCGCTGTAGAATACAAATGGAAATTCATATGAAATTAAAATAGACAAAAATTTTTTGAGACAGGTTCTTGCACTGCTGCCTAGGCTGGAGTGCAGTGGTGTGATCTTGGCTCACTGAAACCTCTGCCTCCCAGGCTCAAGTGATCCTCCTACCTCAGCCTCCCAAGTAGCTGGGACAACAGGTGTGCACCACCACACCTGACTAATTTTTAATTTTTTTGTAAAGATGAGGGTCTCATTATTTTGTCTGGGCTGGTCTCAAACTCCTGGGCTTAATTGATCCTCCTGCCTTGATCTCCCAAAGTGCCAGGATTACAGGTGTGAGCCACCATGCCCAGCCTGAGAGAATTTTAATAATGAGCAATTGCTACTGTAATGAAAACTATAAGACTCTATAAGGACAAAAGAGTAATTGGATAGTTGTCAATGGAATCCTGGCACCTCCATTGATTATGCTGTCCTACAGGAATATATATTAGATACATACATTCATCTTTGACTAGGTTATTTTACAACTCTATAAAGACAGAAGTTAACTTGTAAAAAATGGATAGCATTATAAGTAATTCTTATCCACAGAAATACAAATTAGTTGAATTCTGGTAGAATATGATTATTGCCCTATGGATAGACCAGTTTTTTACAAATTCATTTTGCTATTCCTTTACTACATATAAATTGGTCATTCTTTGATGTCTCCTTTGAACTGCTTGTGGCATCTTTACCACCTTTTCTTGACACATGTTCATTGCATATCTGTATGAGAATCATGATTTTATCCTCTTTTAAAACTTATCCCTTAACACTGTCACCACCAATCCTCAACTGTGTGCTGATAAATGGAATACATGGGCCACAAATATAAACCTACTATTACTGTAAAAGCCCATTTACATTTCTGATGTTGGGGGACAAGTATAACTACTACACTGTTGACTTCCTGTTTAAAATGAGCAATACCCATAGAAAAAGATAGACACCATCGAGCACACGTTACTGGCTGCAAGACTGTCATGGGAGCTTTACTCTGTCTGGAAAAAGTAGCGATCACAAAATGTCCTAGAATATAAATAATATTGACCAGACATCTACAAACTTGCTCTTTTATAAAATGAACAAGACAGCAGAGCTTACTGACATAGCCCTAATATTTAAAAATGCTAACCAGGCCAGGCACGGTGGCTCACGCCTGTAATCCCAGCACTTTGGAAGGCCAAGGTGGGTGGATCACCTGAGGTCAGGAACTCGAGACCAGCCTGGCCAACATGGTGAAACCCTGTCTCTGCTAAAAATACAAAAATTAGCTGGGTATGGTGGTGGACACCTGTAATCCCATCTACTTGGGAGGCTGAGGCAGGAGAATCGCTTGAACCCGGGAGGCAGAGGTTGCAGTGGGAATACAGTGAGTCAAGATTGCGCCATGGCGCTCTAGCCTGGCAACAGAGTGAAACTCTGTCTCCAAAAAAAAAAAAAAAAAAAAAAAAAAGCTAACCATATCTTTGGTACTGGCCTTAAAACAAATACAATGATGAAAATAAAATCATGTATCTCAGCAGGGTTGAGTTGCATTCATTTACTTTCCCAGAGCCAAGCTCAGTCAGTATCTTTCCCATACTAAGTACTCAAGTAAATATTTTGAATTGAACTTCATGTGTAAAGTTGGTGAATATACTACAGAACTGGAATCTAGGTATGTTTCATTCTTAATTTAGAAAACAGTACTTCTGGAAATAGTCAACTAAGTTTTCTTAAGGCATATGACCATACTATGATTCAAGTTAAAAAAAAAAGTACTTTCAGTTATTTAACTATCTTTCAGCTACTCATTCCACTTCTACTTAATCTTTGGTAAGAAAATGAGAAAGAAAGTGTTGTGAGCAGGGTCCAGAATAAGGGATTTAAACAAACCTATTTCCAGCTGCTCTTGAATCCTAGCTGCACAGGGCAGTTTCTGAGGTGGGCAGGGAGGTTGCTGAGTAAGAAGACTCACATATGCTTTGGAATCACACACACCTAACTTTGATTTACTACTAATCATTGGAAGGCTCCTTGGCCTTTCCTAACTTATTTGGTAGAGTGGTCATGCTAAATAAAAGAGATCATGTGCACTAAGCAGCTGAGATATAATAGGGGTTCAAGAAATTGAAGTTTCTTTCTTTGCTATTTTTTAATTGATATATAATAGTTGTACATATTTTAGGGGTACATGTGATATTTTGATACCCATATACAATGTGTAATGATCAAATCTGGGTAACTGGGATATCCATCACCTCAAACAATTATTTTTTCTTCATACTGGGAACCTTACAATTCTTCTGTTTTGAAATATACATTATTGTTAGCTATAATTTTCCTACTGTACTACTGAATACTAAAGCTTATTCCTTCTAAATTTTTTTATTTTTTTGAGACAGAATCTTGCTCTGTCACCCAGGCTGGAGTGCAGTGGCGCGATCTTGGCTCACTGCAACCTCTACCTCCCATGTTCGAGCAATTCCCCTGACTCAGCCTCCGGAGTAGCTGGGACTACAGGCACGTACCACCATGCCTGGCTAATTTTTGTATTTTTAGTAGAGACGGGGTTTCACCATGTTGGCCAGGCTGGTCTCGAACTCCTGACCTCAAGTGATCTGCCTGCCTCAGCCTCCCAAAGTGCTGGGATTATAGGCATGAGCCACTGCGCCCAGCCTTTTTTTTTTTTCTTCTTTAGAGACAGGGTCTTGTTTTGTTGCTCAGGCTGGAATGCAGTGGTGTGATCAGAGCTCACTGCAGCCTTAAACTCCTGGGCTCAAATGATCTTCCAGCCTCAGCTTCTCAAGTATCTGGGACTACAGGTGCAAGCCACTGCACCTGGCTTATTCCTTCTACCTAACTGTATTTTTATAGCCCTTAACCAACTTCTTTTCATCCTTCCTATTCCCCTTCCCTTCCTAGCCTTTGGTAACCATCACTCTACTCTCTACCTCTATGAGATCCACTTTTTTAGCTCCATATATGAGTAAGAACATGTGATATTTGTCTTTCCCGCCTGGCTTATTTCACTTAACATAATGACCTTCACTGCTAGGTATACATCCAAAAGAAAGGAAATCAGTATATTGAAGAGATATCTGCACTCCCATATTTATTGTAGCATTAGTCACAATAGCCAAGATGTGAAAACAACCTAAGTGTCTAGCACTGAATGAATGGATTAAAGAAATTATGGTATATCTACACAATGGAATATTATTCAGCAATAAAAAGAATGAGATCCTGTCATTTGCAGCAATGGGAGGCAATATTGCCATGCTAAAAATTTTATCCCCAAAATATATTAATATAATAAATTTGCTCAAAATGACCTAAAGGTCTAACTATAATTATAGCTAGAATTATATTCATTAGGAAGAGTGAAAATGAAAAGTTAAGAATGAAAATACATTTGGTTGACAGGGCTCCTTTAAAATGAGAATTTAAAAACACTTTATATGAAACCAAAACCTTTGATTTAGACTGAAAAATAAAATGTCAATCTGTTATCTTTTCTTGATTTAATGTAATGATAAAAGTTAACATAGCTCTACATAACATCAAAACCCTTTTTGTCTACAAAAACCACGATAGGGTAGATTTATTTGAAAGATAAGAGTCCTTGGAGAAAAGAGAGGGATGAATATGAGTTTCCATGGGTCTTAGTATTCTAAAAATTTATTTCAAGTTTTACTGCTTCTTCCTTTTAAGTTGGAAGCATTGGTGGCTTATGGGAAACTCTTTCTTCTAATCAAATTGATAGCTATATTTCCATAATTTTCGGTGGGAGAGGAGGACTAAAATTCTTAGACTTACCAATAGTCATCTCCAGCCATACATTTCTCATAAACAGGGCCATCCAGCTCTTTAGCATCTGGGAAAATAGTCTCATGGTGGATGATGATGGTTTTGATAATTTCATTCACATGTGCCTGGCAAGACACTTGATCCTGTATTTCTGGGACAGGCATCAATGTTGGGCCAAAGCAAATGGCCAGGTTATAAGGGTCCATCATATTCTCATCGCTGTACTGTGATAGACTACAAAAGGAAACAAGAAAGGAGTTATAAAAGAACAAAGAGAAAAAAAGGATATAAATGTTTAATAACAAGATACTTCAATACTTTAATAAGATACTTCAACTTTAAGTTGGCTCAGCAAACTCCAAAGAAAGTGAAATGACTTATGACCTTAACTAAGTAGAAATTGAGAGGGGATTCTAAGTCCTATTTGCTTAACTAAGTAGCATTTTTCAAAGTCAGGAGGGGGTTTAATATAATATTCACTACAATGGAGACCAGGATCACATAAATGAGTTTTATTTGCAAATGTGACGGTCAAGCTCTAAATGTTCCTCAAGTAAATTTAGGATACACAGTGAGGATTTCCATAAAGCTTTATGGATGTCTTTAAAATTGTCTTCTCCCCACTCAAATATATCTCAGATTTTTAGTTTTCTCCTATAAATCTTGGAGAAAGCCTAGAAAAAAACAAAGAACCTTTTCTTTGTAACTACTGAAAGGAGCCAATAACTCCAGGCTTTATAATCTGCTTTTGGGTAAGACATTCAACACTAGGTGACAACCAGTGTCACAAAAGCCATTATAAATACAAGAAAAGGGGAAAAGAATCCTCAGTTCTCTTATTCTATGCAAGGCTTGCAAACTGTGGGGGAGATTTCCAGTTGTCTAGTACTAATTTCTACATTCTACTCAATGGGTATTTGTGAAATATTTTCACAGTGACTCAAAATAAGCCAGCTCTTTATTGCTATGCTCCTTGTTCTAGGGAGAGTTTAGATATGTTATCTTTCAGTGTATAGAATGTCAATCTTGAAAGGAAATGTAAAATCCAGGTGAACATATGACAAATGGAAGGAGAAAAAGGAGACTCAACTACCTTTGTGAGGTGATGACAGATACAAAGAAACTGAGATACCACATGACATGATACTTTACCCTTTTTTTGGAAATAAGATAGTCTAGGAAGTAGAAAATACAAAAGCATAATTTCCATAGCTAACATATGTCTTTCCCTTCTGCCATTTCTCAAACACACAATATTTTTTAAAAAATCACAATAACAGTAAATGATCATATTACAGATCATCTTGAAAATGGAGATTCTGAATAAGAATGGCCTAATTTCCAAAAGACATACTTCAGCTCAGTGGAGACAGTCACAGTTAATCTTTCTGGGTCTTTAGTGCTGGCTTGCAAACAGAAACTTGATGTAAAAATGTTACTTCCAAGTTTTGATTTTGCAGTAAAAAATAATAGCTAATTTCTCTTTTCATAATCCCCATCCCAAGCATCCTGCCCTAGAGGCTGGGCCCTTGTGTCTGCATGAAGGCAGGTGCAACCAGCTAGGGGGCCTCTGGGTAGAACCACTGGAAGCAATAACAGCAACACCCATGGTGCATTTGCCATTCTTTGAGATGCATGATGAGTTAGGTTCAGGTTTTGAGAACTTTCTTAATTAACAGACTGCTTTCCTAGTCCATTATGGATTATTAGTTCACAGTGGATTTTGTTCAGGTGTGTCAGGAAGATTTGGTAGGAATGGTATGGAGGGGGCCAGCAGGAATGCAAGGTACTCCATCCTGGTGTATGGTGGTGGTGGTGATGGTGGGGCAACAGGCAAGCCTCTGGACTTTTAAAACTGCCTGAGTGAGTGTGTTTCCTTAAAGGTAAAAATGTATAGTGTCTAGCCTAACCATAGTTTAAACTTAACTCTCTAGATACTGCTTTTTTCCAGTGGTGATTAATGTACAAAGGGGTTGCTACTGTCGTTTGTGAATGTTTTAGGCACCACAGGTCAGCAGTAGAGTCTCATTCTGTATGGTTCTCTGCCAACATTTCCCTATTGTATGATACTTGGCTCTTGGGGTCAAGCTGAGTGGGTATGATTTCAGGACTAGTCAGCGGGATTGTAATAAATCACCGTGGCTTCTGAGAACTCCAAATGTCCCATGAAATAGAGAAAAGAAAATATCCGAATTTTAGGAAAGGAGAATCCATGCTAGCATGAGAAGGCATTTCCCCAAGTTTACTCAATAAGTTGATTCCCCCTGCATTTCTTTGTTTCCAGCTGCTTAGCTGAAATGTTGAATAGCAAGAGTACTCTTAGATAGGACTTGGGGAAGCTGTTCTTATAATGGAACCCATACAGCAGGAAGTAGCATAGCTGAAAATCAAGTTGCTGAAATTAAAAGAATAAAGTTCTTTGAAAATAATGTAGTAATTTAAAAGATTTGTTACTCTGTTTAGGAGAACATTTTGAGGTATTTTCTTGTTGATAAGGTCTCATTACAGTGAATTTGCAGAAATTCTTTTTTGGATCTGTGTACAGCTCCCATCTATGATTTTCTTCCATCCTCAACTACAATATTAAAAAGTCGCAGAAATTTTCCGCAATGAACAGCCAGTTTACATCATTTTGACAAAAACATTCATGACAGTTTTGGATGAAAGTCTGAAAAACACTGAATAACACTTCTCACTGAAAAGTTGTGGTTTTTTTTTAGTAATATTTAAATATCTTTGCATTTGTGGCCACAGTTTTTACATCTGGGGTAGGGCTTTCATCTATCAATGATGTTGATCTGCTGAGGAAAAATGTACCTTCAGTACATTTTTCAATGTATATTCAATCATTTTTCTCTTTGACTCTGCTGATAAATGGAACCCAACGTACATTTTACAGGATCGAAGAACAAAGACAGAATTCAGATGGGCCTTTTGTCAGAGCATTCAGGTACTTACTGATTGAGGAAGGCAAAGAGGTACCTCATCA
This sequence comes from Homo sapiens, assembly GCF_000001405.40. Lineage (NCBI taxonomy): Eukaryota > Metazoa > Chordata > Mammalia > Primates > Hominidae > Homo > Homo sapiens. The sequence continues at coordinate 64,109,006 of NC_000012.12, read as the reverse complement.
CTATAAGGACCGACCTGGGCAAAGTCAGGAGGAGTTTGCGGATGTGAAGCGCCCTCTCATAGAGATTATCTATTCCTACAGACAGAAGATGACATGGTCAGAGTCCTTTCACTTGCCACATTTAAAACAGAACACTGCAGTACATGTATTACCGGTACACATCTGAATATAAGCAACACCCTGCTCTTGTGTGAGATCCAATTGTAACCAAAACAGCGAATAAATGATCGGCTTGGGTATACCACCATTCCAGAGGGCATCTCCTCTGACCCTTACCGTTTTCTCCGATTTTCATGGACTTGGCTTTGAGTAATTTAGAGTCTTCTAGATTTAAAAACCATTTTTTCCTTTGCTGCTAATTCTAAATTTTGCATCTGATATGATTTCAACTTCTTGCTGCATGCTAACCAAAGTAGCTTTCTGGGGCATGGCACCTCTCCCCGAACTGTTATGCATTAATTCATCATATATTTGTCTATAATTATGATCCAGGCAATGTGCCAGGTTTAGAATCTCTCCTTTCTCAAAATTACCACTGCATTTTACTTATATGACTTTTCACCTTGTATTACATTATACCATCAATATTAGGAGAGCCCACCAGGTTTCAAGCACTAAGAATACATTAGCAATACAATTCCTGCCTTCATATGATGCATGTCCTGATGTTTATAGCTATTTATTTCCTTATCTCGTCTTCCCTGTGGGATGGTGAGCTCCCCCAAGACAGGATTACCTGAGACTAGTGTTATGCTACCTCTTTACCAGGAATACAAACTGTCTAAAGTGTCTGAATACTAAAGTGCTTGTGAACATCAGCAAAAAGGTTACTACTACAACACATTATTTGTATAATTCTCTATATATTTAAAAACACATTTTCACACTTGCTATCTAAGTTAAAAGGAATAATAAACTTTGCAGTAGGCAGGGCACACACTGTCATCCCCATTTATCAGATTAGGAAAATGAGAACTGGGCAAGTGGCATACCCAAGGTCAGCGGGCTAGAAGAGGCAGACCTGGGACTGCAACCTATGTGTCCTGTTTCATAAGTCTGTTTCACAAGTCTGTTTTCTGTTTCATAAGTCTGGTTGCCTTTCTTGGATCCCAAGACTACCACTTTGTAAAGCTGTACCTTTACAAAGTACAACTTTGAAGATACCCAATAAGCATACATTTGAGAAAATATTTCCAAAAAAGTATTATGTTTGAAAACAGTTCTGAAGCTTCCTATACTTTTATATCACCATATTGTTCTTAATTGCTTGAGATATTCATGAAAATACTTGAAAATTCTCAGTCCATAGCCTCTGACACCATAGTCAACTCATTCTCATTATTATTGTTGTTTTTTAAACCTTCTTCCACCTATAAATGTGGATAACTCTCAAAGATATCTACCTGGTTCTCCTCAATGGCAACCTCATCCAGTTGCAAGGTTACAAACATCACTTCTAAGATGATATCCTTGCTTCATTTTTCTCCCTTGAATGGGAAAGAAGTCCTGTAGTTTCTACTTCTAGATATCTCACTGCTAATTTTCTAACTGAAGTCTTGATTATTTCTAACTTAGACTATCAAAATACTCTCCTAACTCAGTTTCCCTTTCCGATTCCTCTTGTATCAGTGGTTCTCAACCTTGACTTGGATTCACTTGGGGAGATTAAAAATGCTGATGCCTGAGATTCTTTTATGCAGCCAGGGTTGAGAACCACTGTCTTAATTACTCTTGCTAAGCTTATTTCCCTGGAATCTTGAGTGCTGACCCCAGCTGTTTTCCACTTATTATCAAACTGGGCATTCTATTTTCCCTTTTGCATAGCTGAAAAGGTACGAAAAATCTATTAGGAATATTCTTGATTAACCAAGAATGAGCTGACAAAACAAGCAATAATTTATCAGGATTCCTGAGAAAAAACCACTTCCATTCCCACCTTTAAGTATGCCAAAGTTGGAACCGTAGCTCTGTCATCTTTTAGCAAATGCAATTTCAGAAACTCTTGAACCAGAATGTAAGTAAAACATTATCATGCAATTAACATTCTCATTCTTTCATTTTTATTCTTTCAATATAAATCTATAATTTATAATAGTGTGATCTTAGTAATACTGAATTGAATATACTACATTTTGCCTTTTTTATTTGTAAAATATTTCAAAATGGAGAAAATATAACGCTATGAACAAGGCAGATTAGGGTTACGTCTATTGCATACAAGCACTTTGTTAACATACTTCCCAGGCAATGGTCTTGATTTATTTTTCCCTGAAAAGAGGGAATAAGATGCTTAAAAAAGAAGTTATTCAACAGGTGTATAAATTCTCTCAGGCCACAATAACTCAATAATTAAGTTATCAACATTTCCACCCAGTTTGGTCCTGGTAGGATCAAGACATGTCCCAGAGTAAGCTGTTTATCTCCATGACAACTTCATGTGATATGTGCAAAACCACATTGTACAGAGAGGGAAGATGAAATGCCTAAACATGAAGTAATTTGCAAGTCATTGAGAATTTAATGGGAATTCTGTATCTTTAAATACTATTTCAACACAGCTGCATTATTATCTCATATCAGAAATTAACTGGTTGAATGCTTATTACCTAAAATAGCTGATTTTATAAAAAGTGTAATGTTGTTGCTGCTTTAAAGAAGACAAAGATGATTTAGCATACCTGTATCTAGAAAGTCTATCTCTAAAAATGAAAAAGAAAAAACTCTTCAAAAGCGAAATTATACATATTATGATTTATTCTTAAGACAACAATAAAACTTCTCCCGCTGTTTATTGAGAATCTTGGGTGTTTCAAAAGTGAAGTTTCCTCATTCTCCCAGCAAATCCTCATTTTAAAGTTAAGGTCGAGGCTAAGGTAAGAGAATTGCTTGAGCCCAGGAGTTCGAAGCTCCAGTGAGCTATGATCACACCACCACATTCTAGTCTGGGCAACAGAGGAATACATTGTCTCTAAAACAATTAATAATCATAAAGTTAAGGTCAACTATCAGGGACAGGAGTTTTGTAGCTTAACGCTAGTTTTAAAGTCCTAGAGTTAAAAACAAAAGGAAAGGAAAGGATGTAAAAAGAACCACTCTTACTATATTATTCATCTTTAATATTTGTCAAATCCCATAGACAGCAAGTCACTCTGGAGGCTACATTCTCTGTAACTACAGGACATAGGCATTAATTCCAAGAGATTTTGTTGTTGTTGTTGTTTTTGAGACAGAGTCTTACTCTGTCATCCAGGCTGGAGTGCAGTGGGGTGATGTCAGCTAACTGCAACCTCTGCCTCCCAGGTTCAAGTGATTCTGATACCTCAGGCTCCCAGGTAGCTGGGATTAGGAGCACCCACCACCATGCCTGACTAATTTTTGTATTTTTAGTAGAGAGGGGATTTTGCCACGTTGTCCAGGTTGGTCTCAAACTCCTGGCCTCAAGTGATCTGCCTGCCTCAGCCTCCCGAAGTGCTGGGATTACAGGTATGAGCCACCATCCCCGGCCTCAAGAAGTTTAATCTTAATTCAAGATCTTCTTGTTTCTATCTCTTGGTTCTAAACTTAGTCCCTCTACCTCTTAAAGGCAGTTTTAAAATTTTATTTAATAAGAATTGAGGGAACAAATATTTGTACAGCAGTTTCAGAGTAGCATTATTCATAATAACCAAAAGGTAGAGACAACCTAAATGTTCATCGACAGATGAGTGGATAAACAAAATGTGGTATGCACACACAATGCAGTATTATTCAGCCTTAAAAAGAAAAACATTTCTGACACATGCTGCAACATGCATGAGGCTTGAGGACACTATGCTAACTGAAGCCAGTCACCAAAAGAACAAGTATTATATGATTCCACTTATGTTAGGTACCTGGAATAGGCAAATGCATAGAGACAGAAAGCAGAAGAGATAAAGCCAGGGCCTGGGGCGGAGGTGCAGGAGGATGGGGAGTTATTGTTTGATGAGTACCGAGTTTCTGTTTGAGAAGATGAAAAAGTTCTAGAAATGGATAGTGGTGATAATTGTGAATGTACTTAATGCCACCGAACTGTACACTTAAAAATCGTTAACATGGTAAATTTTATATTTTTTATATATATATATATTTTTACCACAATAAAAGAATGAGGGGGCCTGTGGGATGCAAATGAAAGACTTCAGGGGAAAAGCAACAAGGACATAAGTGACACTAAAAAAACTAGATAAAGTTATATGAGGCAGATGTACATTCTCTTTAACTACAGTCAACACAAATCAAAGCAAAACAGAACTGCTGGCATTCCTGAAGTAGTAGCAAATCTGTTCGTCTCGAAGGCCTCTAACCGTGATGGCTGCGAGCAGGACTCCCAATTCTACCTGGCTGGCTGCTCAACAGGCGCGCAATGTGTATCCTACAGGAGCTTCGCTCTGGTACAAATGACTCATTTACTGTCCTGAGTCCAGTTAGTGGGCAAAATTTATGGTTGCTGCTGACACCCTGATGAATGTGTGTTCCTAGCTGGCTCTGAGTGTGGCAAATTTCACAATTTCATGCTGGAGGGAAAGATGGGTCTTTTCTTCCCCTCAGAAAAGTTGTCAGTGGGGAAAATCAGTATTTCACTTGGATTTCTTGTAAGCTGGGCTTTGTTTTCCACAATTCAAGGTCTCATGTAATTAGGTAAAAGTGGCATTCATCCAACCTTGATCACATGCTCAAAGCTCCCTGGGCTAATATATGTTTTTTTCCCAGCAATGCAAGATTCTCATGTTAGCGTCCCAACTTCCCAGCAGGCGGGTTAGATAGCTCCATGTAAATGCATGTGAAAAATTTACCATAAAACACAAGTTACTTCAGCAAATGGCAAAAAGTTCAAATGGTCATCACTCTGAAAATACTGGTTCTTCTGTGGACTATTTGTAGAAGTATTTGTTTGCCAGAAAATGAATAATAAATCACAAGATGCAAATTTCTCCTTAGGTATGAAGACAGGGAAGGAAATTCCTTGGCAGCCACATTTAGAAACCGTTTATTTAACAGTGGGTACACACATACTTGTGAGTTCCATAGCCTAACAGCTGGCATTCAAGATGAATGTATCAGTTTCAGGACATTTTTAGGTTCACACTAACAATGTCAAGGTGTTAATCAAACCTTTGTATATAATTGTTTAACAGACTGACTTCTGTGAATTAAACCATTGATTTCTCTCCTAAATAACAGCACTATAGAAATACATACATAGATGTTTCCTATTCTGCTGAATTATCATATTGAGGTTAGTAAAGAAACTGAGTCTTAGCCTAGAGAGCTTTACCTACTCAGTTCAGATACTCAGCCTATTAAATATTTTTAAGGATAAAGGAAAAATTAAGAACATTATTATAAGGCATCAAACAGAAATTTAGAATTCAGAGAGAAAACTACCATGTATGTCAATAAAGCTGAAAGAAATTTTTATAGCAAAAACATATATTGAGCACCAGAAAAAGAGTTCAAAAGCTTTTTTCATGAAATAATCAGAAAAGGCAAATAAATTTAGGTACTAAGAAGCTCATCATAGTATTTTGGTATAGTTGCAAAATCACTGGAAACAATCTAAATGTCTAAACTAGGGGATTTGTTACATAAAATAGAAATCATTATAGGGTCACTAAAAGCTATATTTTGAAAATAATATTATTGAGTTTTAAAAAAGTGGTTTATGAAGAGCCAGTATGGCGTGGCATAATTTTTTACAACAGCTTGGCCGGGCACAGTGGCTCACACCTTAATTCTAGCACTTTGGGAGGGCGAGGAGGGTGTATTGCTTGAGTCCAGGAGTTCAAGACCAGCCTGGGCAATGTTGTGAAACCCTGTCTCTACCAAAAAAATACAAAAATTAGCTGGGTGTGGTGGTGCACGCCTGTGGTCCCAGCTACTTGGGAGGCTGAGGGGGGAGGATCACTTTAGCCTAGGAGGTTGCAGTGAGCTGTGATCACGCCACTGCAATCCAGCCTGGACAACAGAGTGAGAGCCTGTCTCAAAAACAATTTTTTTAACAACAGCTTTATTGAGATATAACTAATATACCATATAATTTACCCATTTACACAGTTTAACAATGATTTTTAGTACACTCAGAGTTGTACAAGATCACCTCAATCATTTTAGAGCATTTTCATCACTTCAAAAACAAACCTCTTATCCATTAGTGGTCACTTGGTACGATATAATTTTTATGAAAAGTACATAGGAGTGTGTACCCACAAAATGGATTTTTTGGCAATCAAAAAGAATGAAGTACTGATACCTACTGTAACATGGATGATCCTTGAAAACATTATGCTAAGTGAAAGCCAATCACAAAGGACAACATACTGTATAATTCTATTCATATGAAACGGCCAGAACAGGCAAATCTATAGAGACGGAAAGTAGATTAGTGATTGCCTAGGGCCGGGGGTGGTGGTGGTTATGAGTAAACGGGGAGTAATTGCCAATGTTTGCTAACTGGGGTTTCTTTTGGGGGTAATAAAAATGTACTATAATTGATTGTGGTGATGGTTGCATAATTCTGTGACTATACTAAAAACCACTGGCCTGTACTCTTTAATGGATGAATTGTAGAGTATGAGAATTATATCTCAATAAAGCTGCTTTACAAAGTACATAGGTACTGTAGAAAAACTCTGGAAAGATACTAAAAACGTTATCACTATCTCTGTGTAGAGAAATTACGATTTGTTCTTAGTTTATAATTTTTCTACAGTGATAACATGTTAATTGCATAACATTAGGTTGGTGCAAAACTAATCGTGTTTTTTGCCACTAAAAGTAATGGCAAAAGCCGCAATAACTTTTGCACCAACCTAATAAATAAAGCATTGACTACTCATTCGATGATTTAAGGAATTATTGTTGGTTTTAAGGGTATGATAATGGTATTGTGGTTATGTTGTATATTAACATGAAACATAGTATTTGTTGTTGTTTGTTGTAAACAAAATGTGTACATGCCAGTGATTCTCTTTGGGTAGTGGAATTATGGAATTTTGGTTGACAATATTTTGTTCTATGTGCTTTTGTGCATTTTTCAGGTACTCTACAATAACTACATGTTGGTTTTGTGATAGGAAGAAAAATTCTCCCTTAAGAAACCGTTTCCTCATATCCAAGTAGTCACCTAAATAATAACACCTAATGTAAAATGGAATGAAAAAGTTTCATCTGGGCTCACAGCCTTAAGGCAGTCAGAAAAAAAAACATGAATTACTTGAGTGGCTTTTCTAGGGCAAGTCACTTGAACTTATGCCCTAGGAAATCTCAGAGCCATGATGCAGGGATATTCTACAAGCTGCCCAGACTTTGTGGGTATGACCTGGAGCATTGACAAAACCACTCACAAAGTGGATGGTTAAAACAAAACAAAACAAAACAAAATAACTCTTGGGTGAGAAACTGAGAAACTACCAAGTTTGCCACTTCAAATTTATGTTGCATTTGGTTTTACTATGTCTTCATCCAGATAAATAATCTTTAAAAAGAAATGTACAATAAATTGGGGAACAAATAGTGCATATTTTTAAAAAAAGAATGCTAAGATAAATTTCCTTTGACTACATATATTTGTAAGCTTCCAAAGAACGTGGTCACTCAGGGTCATAAAGCATAAACATGGCTGGATAACTACTCATCACACACACACACACACACACACACACACACACACACACACACCCCTTTCCCCAAACAATCCAAAAATACGGAAGCGAAAAGTAGTGGGTGCTACAGTGCCTTATGCAAACTCTTAGAAAAGATGAAAAGGGAAGTTTTTCTATACAAAATAACTGTCATGTGAAATTACTTTAATGGGGAAAATCAAACCCAATTACAGCAATGCTACAAGATGACAGGGGTAAAAACAATCTATCACTCAGATCTCTCTTTCCTCTAAAATTTCAAAATCTTTGTTTCTATCATATATTAACTTAGCCTGCATTTATTTGTAAATATCTTACCTTTCCTACTACATTTTAAGCCTCTTAAATGCAAGAATCAAGTCTCTGAATCCCTAGACAGTTTTATACATTGTAGACTATTAATCAACTTGGTTCAAATCGTCAAAAGTCTGCAATATTGATAAGGGGATACAATGATAAAAGATGTATTATGCTACTCAAAGGATTTATTGAAAATCCAGGAAAAATGCAGGAAAATCCAGGAAAAATGCATTATGGTCACATTGGTAAGAAAAAAATGCTTGCTTAGAGATAATAACATCCAAGAATCCTCTCTTTCTTAAGAGGTTACATGTTGGAGGAAAAGGGGTTGTTCTATAAAGAGGTTGTTAGTGTCAATATGTATGTTTTTGAAACACCTGCCATTCTGTAAAACTTTGCACTAAAAGTAACAAGACTTATGGGGAAAAATAGGATTGGGGCAGACTACTCAACATTTATGAAACTTTGTAACTACTGCACTAATGAAAACATTAACAATCCTATTAAAATCCAAGGATTATGAATCCATTGATTTTGATTAATCCATTGTTTTAATACAGGAGGGAATGTCATTGTAGCTTCTTCACTTGCACTTGAGCACTGTAGGTACCCTTACATGAGATATCTCCATAGATTTTTTCCTTGTAGTTTACATATTTGCTAAATATGACTCTAATTGTGAGAAAGCTTGACATTGATTGCTACAAGGTATTTAATGTGCTGGGAAAAATCATGCTGGAAACAATGTAACTTGAGGATAACACAAATATTTCTAAATTCACGTGAGTTAATTATGCCAAAGAAACACATACTTAGCAGAACAGACAGATTGATAAGTGGCCAACCCAGGTATTGGCATATGTGACCACAGTTTATAGTCAGAGTAATTGTAATAGTAGTAATGATGACAGCTTGCAACACTTACTGAGGGTTACTATGTGCCAGGCATGATGTGAAACCCTTTACATGGACTGTCTCATTTATTCTTCACATAGACTCTATGAAGTAGGTGAAGAAACAGCTATTTAATAAGATTAAGTATTAATCTTTGCCCAAGTTTATACAAAGTTGGAAAGTGGTAAAGCTAGGATTTGAACCTAGATCTTTCTGACTCTATGGCCTCAGTTATTAAAAACCACTATGAAATGATATTTTTCATCCAATAAAAGTGTGAAATGATTCTATAATGGTAACTGACAATGTGGCCCAACACTCTTTATCCAATTGGTACATGTACATGTTACAGCTGACATGATGTATGGACCTAGAAAACCACTAAGCATTGTACAGCACTTGTTATTTTTCCAGACTTAAGCTTTTTGGCTAGGATGTGAGGGAAATCTTTGGACATGGCCAAAGGAGAATTCCAGAAGTGAAACACCTCCTTTTCATTTCTTTCCAGCTGGGTCAGAGGTTCATTGTGATGACTCAGGCTACGCAAGGGCCGTGGAATGGACGTGCAGCTGTACTTCTAAATTCCAATGGGACATCAGACTGGGGAGGATTATGACCGGGAAATTCATACCCAACTGGAGCCAAGACTCTAGGCACTGATGCCAGACAAAGAACTCGTGGTGGAATCTTGACTTTTCAATTCATTTCATCTATAAATTCTATTTAACTTAACATGCTCCAGGAATTAACTAATTCCTAACCTTCGGGAGTGGACAAATGTTAGGGCTGCAAAACTACTCCACAAGCCTGTGGAGCTAACTGTGGGCACTCCATTGAGCATATTCTGTGCCAGGCACTCTTCTTGGCATTTTACACATATTAACTCACTAAATTCTCACAACCCTATGATGTAAGGATTAATGTTCCCCCTATTTTATAGGTGAGGAAACTGAGATGCAGAGAGCTTAAGAAACCTGACTAAGGTCACACAGCTGATGAGTATGTGACAGAGCTAGGATCTGAAGTAGGCTCTTTGAATCCAGAGCCTCTATTCTTAACCTACTGCCTAAACTCATTTTCTAGTAGTAGGAGACAGAGGGGTTAAAAAAATTATAATGCGGGGAGATCAGAAAAATTCTGGACATACGTACCCAATAGAATAATGGGAGAGGAGAAAGTGATTAATCCTGGTTGGAGTGGTGGGGAGGACAGAGTTGTGGGAGGAATGCCAATTTGGCAAAGCCTTCACAGCAGATGTTGAATGGTTATCATGGACAGCTGAGGAAACAGCATAGGCAAGTGGATGGAGGTGGGAAATGGCCCAGCATATGTACAGTCTGCTACTGCTGAAATATACAGTAAATATGGTAGGGTAGCAGGAGAGGGCTGTGCAGCAGTAGCAGAGATCAGAGAGAGGAATAATTCAATTATATGAATTGGCCATGCCATGGAGTTAGCTTTTTTATTTTTTTATTTTTTTTTGAGACAGAGTCTTGCTCTGTCACCGAGGCTGGAGTGCAGTGGCACGATCTTGGCTCACTGCAATCTCTGCCTGCCAGACTCAAGTGATCCTCCTGCTTCAGCCTCCCAAGAAGCTGGGAATCCAGGTGCATGCCACCATGCCTGGCTAATTTTTTATTTTTAGTAGAGATGGGGTTTTGCCATGTTGCCCAGGCTGGTCTCAAACTAATGGAGACCAAGCAATAAGCCCACCTTGGGGAGTTTGCTTTTATATTGAAATAGGTTTTAAAAAGGGGAGAAAGCAAGCAACCCAGTTTTTTTTTTTTTTTTAACTCTAGCTGCAGTGTGAGAATGCAGGGCCAGGGGGTAGGGGTTGGGAAAAGAAGGCAAAATCTAGAAGTAGAGTCCATTTAAGACACTCTAACTATCCCCAGTGAGAAACCAAGGTGATGGGGATGGGGAAGGAGGGATGAGTAGTGAGATGTTTTTTTTGAGGGCAGATCAATAGGACTTGTTGATTCAGATGGGGGGTGGAGGGACTGTACGGAGATTTCTTTATTAAGAGTAAAAAGTTGATTCTTATGAAGCCTAAGTGATTGAAGTCAGCTCTAGACTCTTGCTGGGAACTCGGACTTAAAAGGGACACTGTATTTTTAGATGCATGGATCTTGATTGTGGCTAATAATTAATTCATGGTATCATTATTTTCACCTTCCTTTGTATAGTGTCAAAAAGCCCCCACTGAAGTAAACAGCAATGCTTTACTTTGCCAATGATTATCGGTTTCATAATATGTCATACACAATCCCAGAGCAACTCTGCCTATTAGCTTGGGTTGCCCACTGACAGATAATTACCACCTGGTGTTCCTGCACTGTAATAAGGATCTTTGATTTCATTTTATCCATTTCTTGAAATAACATTGAAAGATGGATAAATTACCCCACTCCTAAAATTGGTTGAGAAAAACCAAGAATCAAAAGCCAAGAAAAGGTCACATTTCCCAGCTTACAACTTCCTCCTTTCCCTTAGGCAGCTGGCACCTGGCTTTCTGCTCAATTCCAGCCATGAGTGGGAAGCTCCTGGCTTTCTGGAGCCAGAGGATGTTCAGGAGGAAAGCCCACTCAGCCGAGGGTGAGGCCACAGCTGGGAGGATGACTCGCACTGGATCCAGAAAGAAAACAAATGGTCCCAGAAATATGGTGGTAATGGGGTAATGGGGGTGGGGGTGTATGGAGGGGGGCCACTGCCTTTTCCAGGAAGTTAGCTAGTGAAATAATTCTTGTGGGAAAAGATGAAAAAAATGTCCACTTACTGATACAAGAAATCAGATCGTTAAATCTTTCCTTAGGAAAGAGGGGGTTTTCCAGCCCACGGAAATAGAGCTTCAGAACGCCAGCAACTGAGTTAATATCATGGTTACTCTGGTCATCAGCCAAAGGATTTTCACCTAAAAAAAAAAAAAAAACTCATTACATTAACAGTGCTTCTTTTTCTCTGAACAAAAATATATTTCTATGAACATACACGTTGCTATATATACATGTATCTTTTAATTATGCTTTATGAAAGATTATATGGTACTAAAATTAAAATAATTGGTTTAGATATCCCACCCCATGATTAACCTAAAAACAGTTGACTAAAATAAAGCTTTTAAAATCTTATGCTACTAAATAATCCCTTACAAGTTACTCAAATCTTAAAATAAAATATTGTGGAATTTATAATTTTACCCAACCCCCACTTTTTTTAAGCTGAAATCTGTAATCTTAGTTTGACATGAATTCAAACACTACATCCTGTGTTTCTTACCCTACTGGGAAAAAGACACACCATAGGTCTGTCTGACTATGCTATATGGGTCAGCAAAATTTATCAGAAATGTCATAGGTGCCACTGAATTGTGAACACCTACAATTAAATAAGTAGGTATTTCCCAAAGTGGCATGGTGGTGTTCACAGCACATCTGAAGGCTGTCTTGAGCAGAGGCAGACTCTAAAATCAGATAGAGGAACTTGAAAATGTACCTTTCATGTTACCAAGGAGTTTGTATAAAAAGTGGGAATTTAAAAAATATATCACAAATATAAAATTATTTTTTTTATGGTAAACAACTTTAAAATATTAGGCAACTAGTCTGGTGAGCGTTTCTTTCTGAGAACTAAATTAAATTATTAGGCAACAAGTCTGGTTATTGTTCCTCTAGAGATAAAATCCTTAAGAAGTTCAACATAAAATACAACCTTAAATCAAATTCTGTTTTTTATTTACAGTTTTATGCTTCTCTTCTAAAGTTCACAAAAAGTGTGCATTGCATTTTAACGTATTTTTTTGCTTCTTAGGGCAATTTATTTTTAGGGATCTGTTGTTCTCTTTTCTCTGTTCCTAGGGCAAGAAATCACTGAACATGAATTTATCAGAATATAATAATTACTATTATTTTTGCCCACTGTGAGAAAGCCTCACCCAAGCAGATCACAAACAAATAACAAATACTGGGAAAATTTCCAAGGAAAAATGATCATGTATTTTGCCTGTGGTGGCTAGCACAGAACCTGATACTTTACCATATTTCAGCTTACCCTGAAGATGGCCAATGCATGAGACTTGGCACATGTGGCTGCTCTGCTCTAACCATCAATTTTTACAGTTTTGCAGGTGAGGAAATCGAGGCCAAATAGGAATTGAGCGACTTGACCCGTATCACATGATTGATTAGTGGCTGAGAGTCTGATATGATTCTAGGTCTGCCTGACACGAAAGTGTGCAGCTTTGCTAATTATAATGTGCTAATTGGAATGTTTCTAACATAAGGAAATGATATGTGCTTCAGGTGATGGATATCCCAGTTACCCTGATTTGATCATTACACACTGTATGCCTGGGTTAAAACATCATATATACCCTATTAATACATAACACTATTACGTACCCATAATAGTTAAAAATAAAAAATTAAGGGAAAAAAGTATTGACATTGAAAAAAGATAATGTATATGGCATATGACCCAGTTTAGTAGAACTTATTTGACAGCCAATTATGAACAAGCATAAGGCACCCCCTAGGGTCACAGGGAAGGAGTCTGTGGACCGTGAGAAGAAAAAGGGAAGAGCTCCCGACAAAGGGAGGAGCTGGGCAGCAGGGAGGAGCTGCCTCCCTCACCTGCTGTCTAGGCCCAGGGCTGCCCTGGCCACTCTTCCAGAACTCTTTCGGCCCCACATTTGCTATACCTGGCACCGATTATCAATGTCAGTCCTCAACCAGGATGCAGAGCTCATATGCTTTTCTAATTTTAATAACAAGGGCTTATAGTTTTGGTACCATTTCTCAGCGATTCTTAATGGATTCTTACTGCTGCACCCCTAATGCAGTACATACAAAGAAAGGTTTTGAGGATATACAGAATAAGGGTGCCACTTCAGTTTACAGAACATGATGACTTTTCAACGTGGTTTGCTTATAGGGATAGACGTGCAATTACCTCTCTCAAATGAATTTTTAATATCATTGACTTCCACCTGGGAACCAGACACTCTGAAAATCCCCTGATGCTGAAGACCTAAAGAGAAAAGAAGGGAAAGAGGATAAAACCCCCATCACATTGTCTAGGTCCCTCTTTTCCCAGGAAGTAAATTTACTGAAACACTTCAAGTGATTTTTTAAAAAATAAGAATTCTGTAGTTTATGGCTTACCATAGAGATTGATGAACCGAATACAGCTTTCCACAATGAGGGGAATAACCTGTCCTGAGTCCTGGGTAAAGGGATGGAAACCAGTTAACCTCAAGGGAGAGGTATAAATGCCTCATAATAATAAGGCTTAGAGTTTAACAGTAATTAAAGAGGGATTTTTGCAGTTCTGGAGCAAACCAAGTTAAATACATTTAAGGCAATTCTGTTTCAACTTACTTTGCTGTGCCTAGAGATGTCAAAACCTAATTCATCTCTTTTCTTATATTAAGACTTACATACCAAAATGAATATGTGAATAACTCATTTTTAAAAGCTTATTTATACAAGTGACCAATCTTTAATGGACTTAAAAAGAACTCTGTGTATTATAATCATAGCATCTTCAGTTTGATTCGCTATATTCATCATGAAAGACAACCTTTCAGCCATCTCAGGATTCTCTCTCTGACATCCCTGAGAGTGCATCACCTAGATGACAAGTCATAAAAGGGCTTCCATATCTATATATCTATAGATGCATAATATGAGAATTGTTACAGAGATAATTAAAACATGTATTTACTTAGTTTGCATCAGAACTTACAGATTTTTCATTCATACATTGTCATATTTTAAGGAATAAGAAAAAAATGGCACAACTGTATATCGCAGATTTGTTTTTTTAGAAAGGAACATTTTTGGGCCTTCTTTCCCCACATCTTGTAAAACAGTCACTGCCTTCTACTGAACAAATGTAAACCGTGGCAGTGTTTTAAAACATGTATAGGATGACAAATGAGATGAAGGGCTGCTGAGGCCACAGTTAAATATGTACCAATGCCATGTACTCCATGAAGTTAAAGAAGGTTACTGACTACAGAATTATTTTTCATGTGTTTTTAAGACTCTGCTTTTTCAGGAATTAGATCTTTTTTAAAAAGAAAGCCAAAAAAACAAAACCACAGGGCTCGAAAATGGTTAGCTGACATCAGGTATTAATTCGTGAGGAATTTTATTTTGAAATGCAAGAAAAAGTTGGTTGTCTTAATATATTAGAACAATTCAGAATCCATTAACCTTTCCAATTAAGCAGTGGGGGAAGGATTAAGAATAATGCAGTTCAGCAATTTAAACGCTTTACTATTCCTGGAATGGGTATTATACTTCTTAAGGAATTGTCTTATTTTAGGTTTTAACACAATCTAATCAGTGTATAAACCAGTTAATGGCTCAATTACTTCTGGAGACTGTATTAAGTTTTTCTAATTAGTTAATTTGTTTTAGGAGCACAAATTTTATTAATTTCTTAAAGAAGAGTCTTAAGAATAAAAACGCATTTTAGTGTGGACTAGTTGGCTCAGGAACAGCAATGTAATTACATCATAACTTACTGAATATGTGAAAGGATTTTTCTTTAAGATATAAGTGTTTTAGGGGAAGTAAACTATACGAACAATTCATGGAACACTAATCTGAAAGCAACATATTTTTAAATGTAAGTGATAAAAAGAGATCATTAGTTTACATCTCTGCTGAATTTAGTATTAAAAAGAAAAGCAAAGAATACAAGGTTATGAAAAGGAAAATGTTTGCACTAAGAAAGTTCTCAATAAAAAATGTCTTCGGTTTTCATATTTTTAAAAAATGTTTTTGTGTTTACATTTACTAATTGCTTTTTAAAAAAGCTATGATCAGTATTTCATTCAGATATAATTAATTTTGTAGTCAAAAAGTAATGAGTATATGTGATTTAATTTAATTTAATTTTACAGATTTCAGATGCATGGGTAGAAAACATAAGAAAATATTTTATAAGAACAATGGGGGTGCATTCCATCTATCATTCAAACTAATCCCTTGGTGTCGGTTTTCCCAAGAGAAAAAAGAGAAAAAATGGTTTTGCTCTTGCTGTCTTCACAGTGACATTGTGGAGATTGCAAGTGATCAAGCCCTTTTTAGAAGTGGAAAGGAGCCCTCTGTATTGTTTCTATTACCAAAGATTCTTCAATGTGCCATCTGGGCTGTGAAGAGCTCCTATAAGTGAATTTTCCATGATAGCTGGTTTATTTATTCTTTGGTACCTCAATTTACTTTCATTTAACTGCTCTTAATGAAAAATTGAAAAAATATGTAATATGTGCTTTTCTATCATCTTAAGCAGCCATTCTCGTACTGTATTATCAAATACAACAGAATCCTACGTCTGCTTCTTGCAGCTTTTCTATATTCTCTTTCTCTGCCAGGCCATCAGCTGCATATCTCATTGCTTTCATTTTATCGTTCCTCTCTCTCCATATAATTTGTCCCTGCTTATAAGCCAGGGGCTGGGAAAATAGGTAATCAAATTTGACAATAATTTTATATTAAATTAGAGCCAATAAGGTTCTTCTGGATTTAAGGCTTAAGGCAGTAGATCTGTAACTGCTATTTAGGTTCTTCAGTGGCTTTCCACTTAATTCCAGAGTAGGGCTGATTTTTAAGGCTGCCAGAGGTTTTTAATCTATGTACATATGTATGTATGTATGTATGTATGTATGTATGTATATATGTATGTATGTCCTTATACATGCCACATGCACATTTATTTAATTATTAGTACACATATTCAATAAACAGACCTAAGAAAGTAAGACGTCTGTAATATATCATTAAGGGAGGTTATTAATGACATGGTTTCTCAGATAAACTTAGTTTGCAGAAACACCGCAGCCCATGCCATAAAATGTGAACTACAAAGGAGAAAGCAAGCCCTTTTCTTTTTTGTAAAATTCACACTAGGGTCCATAATCCAGTATTAAATGTGTATTTGGTATTTAACATTGACTTTCCCTAATAAAGCCCTTGATCAAACTTGATACATTTGCCAAACACATAATGTAAAAACTAATAGTTTAATGTGCCCATTTTTCCTCTAGTGTTTGATTGCTACAGTTTCTAAGTAAAACCTATTTATAAACTTGTCTGATTTCCAAATGCAAACATTTTTCTTTTAAAAACCTTAACAATCTAATTAAAGCCAAGCATGAGCACGACTTGAAAATGATACCAACAGTGAAAGAGCACCCTCACGTCCCTCTAGCACTATACCTGATGTCTTGTGTGCGAGTTTCTTCGTCCTCGGCTAGAAGCATTATCAGAAATACAGGATGAAAAAGAAGACGAAGAGTAAACACAGCAGAGGTACAAGGTATAGATCATAGTCTTACAATTCATTCAATATAATGAATTCCTCAAGTCATGGGAAATCAAAACTCCTGCTGTGTTTCAGAGCTATCCTAACAAGCAGACTTTAAAGAATATTTTGTGCCATCTCATTTGCATGAGTAAAAATACAACATTTTTATCAGGTTGCTTTTTAACTTTCTGTACAAATTATGGCTCTTTTTAAAAAAATAAAGAAAGAGGGCTTTCTTTTATGCCCACATAATAATACTCACATTTATTCTCTCTTCTGAAGGCACTCGACCCAAATATTCTTTCCTCTCTGACTTCAGGAAATATTATATTGATTTTCTGGGAAAGCAAAGAGCCCCAGGACAGACTTGGACATAATGACCTTCCTCCTCTTACAAGAGGCTGAGACCATTATAGTAAGAAGCATGGAGATCAGCCACCCAGATGGCTGGTGCCAGTACCTTGACGAATGTTTCCAAATCCCCATTAAACAACTTAGTATTATACTGTGAGCGGGGCCTGGACTTCCTGTGTTTCTGGGGCTTAGGGGGAACATTTGGAGGCCTAAGGGAAGGGAATATAATTACTGAGCATGGCAGAAATCAAACAATAAATGAAACATCTATAGGTCACATCAATATTACAAAACACGGGAATCTTGGGTTCCTTCCCCTCCCCCAATCACAGGGGAAAACATTCCCTCCCATTTCCCATTTATTTACTTTCACTTCTGTATCAAAAAACATACAAATTGTTTATTCACACTGCTGTTTCCCTGTATGCTGCAGCTGACATTTGTTTGTTTGCTGGTTTGTTTTAAAATAAGCACTACCAAGTAGACTCGTTAGCTATTTGGCCAAATGTTACAAACCAGCATTCTTGTTATTTGGTTTACAAGTCACACAGTAAGATACAACCGGTCATAAAGATTAGGGCTCCGGTAGATCCCCAAATGAGGAATTAAATATAACATTTTTAGGTACACATAATTTTTTTTTTTAAGTCAGAGTCTTGCTCTGTTACCCAGGCTGGAGTGTAGTGGAATGATCATGGCTCACTGCAGCCTCCACCTTCTTCTGGGCTCAAGGGATCCTCCCACCTCAGCCCAAGTAGCTAGGACTACAGGCGCATGCCATCATGCCCAGCTAATTTTTAAATTTTTTATAGAGACGGAGTCCCCCTGTGTTTTCCAGGCTGGTCTTGAACTCCTGGGCTCAAAAGATCCTTCCACCTTGGCCTCCCAAAGTGCTGGAATTATAGGCGTGAGCCACCTCACTCAGCCCAGCAAACCAATGCAAGTAACATCACATCTGTTCGATACCCCTCCAGCAGTAATGGAATTTTATTTCATGCAAAAGTAACTATTAATAGGTCACAAGTGAGAAAAATAATTTGGGTTCACTGCTTTTTCTAATTTGGGGGACATACAGGCTCGCATGAGTTATTATTTCTTTAGAACAAACTATTCCACCACCTAAATATCTGAGGATGTACTTGTTTATGCCACTGCAGACTCTCTTCCTCTCCAGTCTGCCCATTTGCTCTGGTGAATAAACCATTCTCTCTGACATATGCACATCTAGTGCAGCATGTAGTATATTTAGAAACTGTGACATCTTGCCCTGTGACTGCAGAGAGGGAACCTCTTCTGCTCTCTCCCTTTAGTGGAAAGAAGGCCAGAATTACCTGACTCAACTTCTACTACTGTGCTGAATGAAATACATGGAAGGAGAGCCCTGAGACCTGTCTCTGGATGTTTTAATGTAAAACTCCTTTTTAACTGCAAGACTTATAGGAGGATACACACCACACCAGGAAATTGTGTAAAGCCCTTCATTAAGCTTCAGACTCTAGGAAAATTTATCTTTTTTAGTTCATTTAGCTTAAGTTCAGAAAGTCTGGTTCATATACCAGATCCCAAGAAGTTACGTGGAAGCCTGACTAGCTTCCTTAGACACTATCATGTATGGAAACAAACCTACTGGTACAGCCTTCCACAGCTAAATTCTAAGACCCTCCCAGCAGATGGGCTCATATGATGAACAAGGTGCACAGCAAGCAGCACCTGAAGTTCTACAGTGCTGGCGAGGTTAAAAGAAGCCTTTGCAAGTGTCTAGGAGAGAATATGGAAACTTCTACCAGGCAACATGTCATCTCCTGCCACGGATGAAATTTCTGAGATCTCTTTTATACACTGAGTTCTGGCCATTCATGGAGGAAATAATCTGATAGGAGTAAAAAGAACAAAACAACCAACCACCAAAGCATTTAACCCTACATACTTGATTTCATCCACTCCTTTCACTATTTTAAAAGTGTTTTAAAGTGTGGATTTCATTTTTATTCAGGTACGGGGAGGCCAACGTTCAGGAGACAACTACCACTGAAAAGATAGTTTGTTAAAGAGTTGGGGATGTGCCCCACCACCAGGGAGGCCACAGAAGGAAGCACCGGGGTGGGTCAGGAGGCAGAAGGCACAAAGGAAAATGTGGGCAGGAGTCTTTATTGTGGTTCCCACTGGAGGGAATGGGAGAAGCTGGGCAAGCAGGTTTAGAATAGGCTAGTTGGAATGATTCCAGTGGGCTTTGGGGCATAGGGACTATCCCTAAGTTGTCCTATACCTGGCCTTGGGGTGATTAGGGAAGGGGAATAGTGGCCGTGAGTGTCAGAACCATGAAGGAGGTGGTTGGAGGTAGGTCGTCTGGATCACCTGGCTTGCATACAAAAGGCACACTTGGCAAGCCAGTTCTTACTACTACTGCTAGGAATTGGCTAATCCCGGGAGGGGCAGTACTTCTGGGGTCAGAAAGTCCCCAATATACCAAAGCATTAAAAAACTAGAAAATGTGGTTATTACAATAAGGTCCAAGAGAGCTTCACATCTGGTGATATCTGGAGAAGCTGACAAAGCTAAGCAGATTAGAATTTTGTTTGGTCACTGATTCACGGAGCAAGCCAATCTTGTAGACGGAGCCAAAAACCTCCAATGCACTGAATCATTGTCCCCGCATGACTGGGAGACGCAGGGTAATGCTGGCTAATGGAGGGATATCTTTTGAGTCTTCTATGAAAGGCCTGAAAATCACCTCTGTAGGATTCTATAGTACGGTAAATATGAACGCATGCAAGTTGTGAGAGGAACCTGGAATGAAAACGAATTGCCTCAGTGCTTATCAAAGTAATTTCCATGGCAGAGGTCTGATGATTCTTGCTCTGCTACACCCACATCAAGTGAACAGAGCCAGGGACGTTCAACATTCCAATTGCGTGACTCATTCTGATTCTGTGGCTACCACATGACTTCCTGATAATTTGGTTTCCTACAGAGGATGCCCACATGAGAGGAAGTACTGGTCAGGTTGATGTGAATATCTAGTCTATTTGGCAATTATAGCTCTCATGGCAAATTAATATATTTCCATTTCTGCTTTTTAAAAAAATCTCTTTTTTTGAAGTGCCTTACAGTAATTATAATTGAGAAACAACAGGTAAAATAATTGATAGTGCAAGGAGATGCTATAGGTGAAAAACATCTCTATAAGCTGCATATTACCAGGTCGAGGTAATAGTCTTCTTTTTCACTGACACAGTGAAGAAAAACCTCAGTGTTTTTTTCTTTTGTTAGGTTTGGAAAAGTCAGGAGCTGTATCTTTCTAGTTGGTTTACCATGAAGTACGAGGGGCTTCCTTATGAATAAGCTGCCCAGCAATAACATTATAGATCCTTGAAAGTCAACTTGCCAATTACTGCAGCAGATATACCAGTGTTCTAAATGCGTCTTATTTCAAAGAGAACTCAATTTCAAAAATGCAACATCTTGCTATGCTAATTAGATAATTTCTGTCTGTTGCACAAATGGTGACATAGAAAAATAAAAGTTGCCACAAACTTTCCCGAACCCAAATCAGAATCTGCTGCCCAAATGGCTTTCCTTTCTTGTAGTAGCTTCACAATCCTCCCCTGAATGAAGAAAGTACAATATGGGAGTATGTGTTAAAAGTTAAATGTTTAAAGTGAATCAAAATGGAGAATATATAGACAGCTAAAATCCTAAAGATATTCAATATAG
This sequence comes from Homo sapiens, assembly GCF_000001405.40. NCBI lineage: Eukaryota > Metazoa > Chordata > Mammalia > Primates > Hominidae > Homo > Homo sapiens. Next base: position 64,087,770 of record NC_000012.12, on the reverse strand, counting down.
CTCAAATTTTTATTTTTATTTTTTATTTTTATTTTTTGAGATGGAGTCTCGCTCTTGCCCAGGCTGGAGTGTGGTGGCGCAATCTTGGCTCACTGCAACCTCCGCCTGCCGGGTTCAAGTGATTTTCCTGCCCCAGCCTCCTGAGTAGCTGGGATTACAGGCGCACACCACCACGCCCGGCTAATTTTTTGGTATTTTTAGTAGAGACAGGGTTTCACCACATTGGCCAGGCTGGTCGTGAGCTCCTGACCTCAGGTGATCCACCCGCCTCAGTCTCCCAAAGTGCTGGGATTACAGGCTGAGCCACTGCACCCGGCCAGCTCTAATGTTTATATGACTAAAGGAAAATAGGAACAGAAAATAATTGTACTTTCTACTTACTTATGCAGTAGATGTACACGTCGTATTTTTTTTTTAATTAAACTATCAAATCAAAAGTCCTGTCACGCTATTTAGAAACAGTTAAAGTATTCTGGATTAGATAAACCAAGCCGGTTTAACTTAGGTTTTTGTTACTGTCTCTGCCTATTAAAGAGCTTTACAATTCCAGAGGGAAACAAAAATAAGCTAGAACATACCTAGTCTTGTAAGAAGCCCAAACATTTCATGTTGCTATGCTTTGTCAAGCCAAAACTATCTCCCGTATTCATTAACAAAATGTTAATTCTTTCAGCATTGAAATGGTTGCTTCTTGTTAAAGAGAAAGTAAAATACGCTATAAGTTATGATAAAATATTTTCCTACCTTGTAGTCATATATTCAGCTCTATGACCTGCAGGAAAAAAATTTAAAGTAAGTAAACTGAAAGGAATCAGCAGAGTGTATGTGGTACTCTTTTGTATCTCCTATCCGGTATTTTAAAACACTGAGTTTGTAATAACTTACACGTTTTTATGGCAGAAAACATGAGGATAGCATATGAAGATAGACACATAATTCAGTGTAAACATTTCATAAAATCTATACATAAAATTTAATAAATTCTATAGATTTGAGAATCATGTTTCACTTGGCAATTTGAGGCTGTGTTTTTTTTTTTTTTTTTTTTCAGAAAAGAAACAAGAATAGCTGCTTGATCATAACTGTAAGCCCAAAAATGAAATACAAATAAGACATATCCAAGATTTAGATGTTAGTTATTCTCTCTGTTTTGACTGACACTTGTTAGCGAGAAGGATGGGTTCAAATACAGTTGGGAGGGTTCAATTTTCCTTAGACTAAGTTGGTGTTCTTTCTATAATATGAATCAGGGGACTGGAGAGAAGCTGTATTCTGTAATCAGAAATGACATTTGCGAATATTAAAGTACAAGGACATTAAATGATACTACATTCCACCAACTTGTAAGCTAAAAGCCTTTCACAGAGTTCTCTGTCCATTAAAACATCAACTTCTTATACATTTGGGTTTCTTGACTTGTTTTAAGTAACAGGGCTGAATTTTTGTAGGGCTCCGACAATCTGCAATAATTTCAAGTTTGCATGTGTTTATCGGTTGCTTTGTACATTTAGGGCGGAGTAGTGGGAAGGAATGTGGGAAACATTGAACCATTCAGCTGGTTTGTTTGCAAAATAATGACATGGTCCTGAAACAGCTTGAAAATATAGCTGGCAGGGGATGGTCACGTTGCAGCACAAACAGCTAAGCTCAGCCTATCATATCATAATGCAGTGATTCAGATTTCTAGGGCAAGGCCAACATGACAATGGTAAAGAAAGCTGGCTTGTTGGGAATGGTGAACCAACACTTCCAGGCTGCAGTAGAGCCTTTGACTCTATTATCTCCTCTTGAATAACAAATAACATAAAGGATTTGGTTAATATCTATTGATTAAATAGGGTGAAACAGTTAAAATCTGAGACTACCTTTCTTCACATAGGGCCAGGCCACAGTAAAAATGTTGGCAGAATGAGTTCATGGACATGACTTGAAGTGGGGATGAAGGGAAGGGAAGAATCTCCTCTTCCTCCTCTTCCCAGTTCTACTTATTTAAGTTATAAGTCCCTTCCTTTTGCTGGCCTTCTGCTACCTTGGAGGAGAAGAAAAAGGTGAAGGTGTACATAGAACTTCAGAATAATTTATAGCTATTCATGAATGGGAGTGAAGGTCTACTGAGAAGTAGAGTGGGCAGATGGTGAGCTGACTGTGGTATGTGGTGCCTTATGGGATATCCTAATGGCAGTGTTCGGCAGCAAGCTGGCTATACAGGGTTAGAGCACAGAGAAAAGACAGGGCTGGAGATAAAGATGTGAGAGTCACCACCATTTAGGTTGTGTTGGGTCCATACGAGCCACGTAAGATCACCCAGTGTGAGGCAGTAGAATGTGCAAAGGGTTGAGGGTAGAGAAACTGTCTGGCTTGTGTTGTATTATGTTGTTATGTTGCATACTTTATGACAGCATTAAGTCTAATTAGGTATGATGCAATATATATTAGTAACAACAATAAAAACAGCAATGATGTCTAATATTTATTAGACACCATTATAAGCACTTTATATTACATATATTAACTCACAATTTTCACAACGACTTTATGAGGTAGCTTCTATTGTTATCCTTATTTTACAGAAAAGACTGAGCATATAGAAAAGTGACTTGCCCAAGGTCACGCTATTAGTATGGGGTGGGTGTGGCACTCAGGTCCAAGTTTGTTTTAATCCCAGTCCTGAGATCCCAGGAACTATAATGTACTAGCTCCCAAGCACTATAATGTACCACCTTTAAAAACGTAAGTCTTTTTTCCTGGCAAATACTTTGAAAGATCCTAGAAGAAAGGTAGGTATTATGGCTTACAATTCTGTCTGCCTCATATGCCTAAAGCCAAATACAAAATACTGAATATTTAAATAAATTTAATAAATTCTATAAATATGTACATTATTAAATTAATATCTATAAATGTAAATTTAATAACATAGGTAATCACTTTCAAGTGATTCAATAATGATGCCAATGAGAATTCCTTAGAAATGAAATGTGTTATAACTTTGAAATTCTGCTATTTTTGTAACAATATCCTAACAAATTATTCCCTAGATTTAGAAAATGATATGTAAAATGCTTAAAATTATTTTGCTCCATCCATCCATAGTTAATAGTATGAGATAAAAAATTAAAAACCTATAAAAGATACATTTTGAATAATGAACCAAGAGCGTGCTTTGCAAGAACTATGATTCACAGTATAACCACACTACCACATCCATCGTTTTTTCAGCTAATAGTCCTGAGTGTGTCTCAACTGATGAATGAGGTTTTATTTTTTAATCAGTATCATCATTAATAGATCAATAACACACAAGCTTAGAAGACTCTTCTTCCCAGAGAAATGTGAAAGCTTCCAGCAGTCTGAGGATTAGATTTCAATCATTTTCTTTGGAAAGCTACTTAATTATTAAAAACAACGGACCACTCCTTCCCCTCGCCACACCCCCCAACATATAAGCCATTTTGAAGGAAAAAAATAACCCAGGCTTAACTTGTTCTTGGTTCAAACATTTTTTTTCAGCTACTCTTAAATTTCACTCGAGAATTATGAAGTGAATTATTTTTCACACCTAAATGCATTTTATCTCCTACATATAGTTAATGGGATAACCAAAATACAGTTTGGTGGCAATTTGATATTTTAAAAAAGGAGATAAAATACTTAAAATGTGTATGGCTCAAATGAGACACAGGCATCCTGGATTTGCTCCCTAATGAATGACTGATGAGAACTCCTGGCATTACTTTCCAGTCCTTTTTCTTCCTTAAGAATACCAACTACTGCAGTGCTTTTCTAAAAAACCATAATTACTCACATTCAGCTTCCCTTTTGAAAGTATACTTGTACTCCTACTCAAAGACAGACAATGGATTGTATGAGGATAATCTATTAAATTCCTTTGTCAGAAACCTTATGCCCAGGGCAAGAAGCAATAAAATATGGAGCTCAGCTCCTAGTATCAGATTTTTTATTTAGCAAAATCGCACTGATATTTGCACCCCCTTAACTCCAAATGCTGCACACAAAGAAGCCAATGTGAACATTAAGGCTCATTACTGAAAAAGAAAAAAAAAATCAGTGCCTCAGTTTTATAGATGTATATCTCATTTACTGTGGTCAATTTAACTTCTATGATTTAAAAACAAATGACATCACAAAAAGATACAATGGTGTTGCTGAGGGATGAAGAAAATGATAATAATGAGTTTGGTCTTAACAACTCATTGCGTGCTTCTTTCTATTTCAGTAGTTTTCAAAGATTTGGAATTCTGAATTTTGACAGTGCCACTTTAAGAGCCCAATCTAGTTGCTTCACAATGTTGTAAATCAAAGAACTTACTGGGCCATTGGCAGCCTACCAAAAAGCGAGCAGTAAGGCAGGCCAAACACATGTCTGTAGTTACAGATTCAGCTGTGTACGAGCAACTGCTAAATCTTCGGGTTAGGCTCTATTTGTTTTACTATGAAGGCAGTTTTTGCAGCGGTGAGTCTAGTATACTTCAGAGAGGTGATTTCTATATAAAAAGTCAGGACTGTCCCCAAACATAACCATTGAATCCTGTATTAGTAACCCTATCACACCAAATCTGGACTCAGATTCCTCCATAAGAGCTCACCATGGGATTACTTCACTATGTGATGGGCGCCATTAACTCTCCTGGTCTCCTTTGATGTAGCCTATTAACATGAAGAGGGCTTGCACAGAAAGCCAGCAGGCTTATAATGGTTGAGTTAAAAGGTGGGGCATGTCTCCCATGCTCAGCTTTTCTCTGGGCAAATTTGTCAGTGTCATATCCAGGCAGTGACCAGCAATTGGTGTGCCACCCAGCCTGCAAAAGGGGCAGGGCTAGGAAGCAGAGATGTCTGCAACCAGTGGGCAGAGGCTAGTGTGCCTGCTGCTGATGGATGAAAGCTATCCAGTTTCTTCTGCAGCATAAATGGAGTCCTGTGAAGGTTTTATACACGTCAGCACAGCTTGTGTCCCTGGTATACCAGAGCCCGTTGAAAAAAATTCCAAGATAAAGAAATCCTGAGCTGGGCACGGTGGCCCATGCCTGTAATCTCAGCACTTTGGGAGGCTAAGGTGGGTGGATCCTGAGGTCAGGAGTTCGAGACCAGCCTGGCCAACATGGTGAGACCCCTGTCTCTACTAAAAATACAAAATTAGCTGGGCGTGGTGGCAAATGCCTGTAATCCCAGCTACTCAGCAGGCAAGGCTGGAGAATCACTTAAACCTGGGAGGTGGAGGTTGCAGTGAGCTTAGATTGCACCACTGCACTCCAGCCTGGGCGATGACAGTGAAACTCCATTTCAAAAAAAAAAAAAAAGAAAATTCTGGCTTGCAGTTCACAAAGTATAATACAGATTTATGCAGTTCAGCAGCTAAAGACGGAATTTGGCATGTGGACTCAATAAATTGGCTAGAATATAGCCCCATCCAATAATGACATGTAGAAGAATATTAACCATTGGGGCTTTCTCTCTAGGAGACACAAGAGAATCCATGTTGAATAGGTACCATAAAAGTTTCAGAATGTGGCCCCAAGCATATTAACACATGTGTCTGCAAGCAGTGCCAAGAATGAATTCCCCCACTACTTCATGCTCTCAAACACAATTTCTAAAGTGGTATCCATCCTCATAGGGTAGGACTTTGTGCCTATAAGCGTTCATCTACACTTAGGATAATTTATGCTTTGGGCCTGGCAACTGACCTTGAGGGCATCACTTGAAATATCAGGCATTTGTGAAAAATTGAAAAAAAAAAAAAAAAAAAAAGACCTTACATGACACTGTGAGGGAAAAAAGAAAAAACAGGACACAATTATAAGAAAACTATTCAAAGATAAAAAGACTTTTTTTTTTTTTTAAAGTTCAAACCTACAGAAGAGTTAAAAGAGCAGTACAGGAAGTATCCTTATCCCCTTCATGTAGATTTTCCGGCTGTTAATGTTTGCCACATTGACTGTACCTTCTTTCTCTCTCCCTCTTTTTTTTTTTAGAACCATTTGAAGGTAAGTTGCAGACATCATGACACTTTAGCAAGCATTTCTTAAGAATAAGAATGTTCTTCTTTATAATCACAATACCATTATCATATCTAGGAAAATTAACACTAATTCAATAATATTATTTAATATACAGTCTGTATTTCAACTTCCCTAATTGTTCTTAAAATGTCTTTCATAACTTTTGCTTTTTGATTCAGTATCTAATTTAATCTAGTGTGTGAAGGTTCATACATTGTATTTGGTTATTTTATTTTTTAATGACACTTTTTAGTAGTTTGCGTTGTTTTTTTTTTTTCCTTCTAGGTGTAATTGGCCTTTTCATCCTAACTGTGTCAGACATGGTTCTTAGGTCATGATAACCTTTCTCCATGTGGTCATTCCCTGAGGATGATGAGTTCTTTGGTGGAAACCAGGAGATAAGGTGATAGAAACTTTATGGTTAAGGAAGGTTCCAGAATTGTGGGAGGCAAGAATTTAGGTCTAAGAGGCGCAATCTCTTTTTTGACCTGAGTTACTCACACAACTCAGTCCTCTCATTTCCCACTCCCTTCCACATTCTCTTTTACTTTTTCTAACTTCTGGCAGGGTCTAGTGTGAATAAAAGATAAAGTTACAGACTATGAAGCACTTAAGACAGGAACTTGGCTTGTATTTATTTTTTTCCTTTTAAATTTCATAAAGACAAAGAGAAACATTAACATTTATACAGTCCCCTTTGCCTGTATTCTCATGCCTCCCCTCAGTTTCCTCATTTGTAAAAACGGAGAAATTATTAGTGCACAGTAAAATATACAACTCAGAACAAAGCCTGGCACAGAGAAAGCCTTTCAAGTGTTAGCTGTTGCTGTTGTTTTGTTACTATTATTAGACATAGCAATCTACTTATACTTTAAGATTGTTTCTCAACTACAGCCAATGCCTGCTGAAAGAAAAAAATCACCCAAACTGGTTTAACTGGTTTCCAGAGTCTAAACAGGCAACAGATGGAACAACAAATACTCGCCCATTAAAACAAACAGGGGTGGGGTTGGAAGGGTGCAGAAGTCTGAGAAGGGAAGGAAGAAGAGACTGGGGGGTCAGCAGGTAGGGGAGGGGCAGTGTTTCCAGACTTTTCTACGATCAGGAGCACCACACTCTGAAGATCCCTCCCTAGGAGCTCGGTATTGACTTTCCAGCCCTCCCTAGATTTCACTACGCTTCCTCAAGGTTAGCACCATGCTTTAGAAGAAAATCGTGCCAGGAGAACTTAATCATGACATATACAAACAAAACCAAATCTAAACACAGAGTGTCCTCTGCTTCTTAAAGCACAAATATACAATTCATACTCTTTCTGGAATATATACATGATACGATGTATCATCCAGGTCATCTTCCCATACATTTTGGATAACTCACCTTCTCCCAGGGTCCTCTGCAGCAAGTCATGTTTGGCTTGAAGTTTTGTGATGAGATTACTGCCTTCCAAATATTCTCTGAGTTTCTGCAAAAGGCAAGAATAATTTTTAAATCTTTTTTTTTTTTTGAGACAGAGTTTCATTCTTGTCACCCAGGCTGGAGTGCAGTGGCGCGATCTTGGCTCACTGCAACCTCTTCCTCTGGGGTTCAAGCGATTCTCCTGCCTCAGCCTCCTGAGTAGCTGGGATTATAAGCGCCCGCCACCACACCTGGCTAATTTTTCTATTTTTAGTAGAGATGGGGTTTCTCCGTATTGGCCAGGCTTGTCTTGAACTCTTGACCTCAGGTGATCCGCCTGCCTCGGCCTCCCAAAGTGCTGGGATTACAGGCGTGAGCCACTGCACCCAGCCTAATTTTTAATTTTTAAAAATTATTCAATGTCAAGGAACTTTTCATAGATCTAAAATCCAGCCACTTTGATCTTCTAGACGCCAGAAACTTGTTACTTGAAGTGTGGTCTGCAGACCAGCAGCATCAGCCAACCCTTGGGAGCCTAGGAGAGATGCACACTCTCAGGTTCCTTCTGTACCAGACCTCTGGAAATAAGAACTGGCACTTTCACCAGCTCTCCTGGTGACATGTATAGATATTAAAGTTTAAAAGTACTGTGTGTTTTTAAATTTTAGAGTTGGGGTCTCACTCTCTTGCCCAGGCTGGAGTGCAGTAGAATGATCTCAGCTCACTGCAACCTCTGCCTCCTAGGCTTAGGCGATCCTCTCACCTCAGCCTCCCAAGTAGCTAGGACTACAATTGCACATCATTATGCCTGCTGGCTAATTTATATATCTATATAAATATAAAAACATATATAAATATATATAAATATAAATATATATATATGTTTTGTAGAGACAGGGTTTTGCCATGATGCCCAGGCTGGTCCCAAACTCCTGGGCTCAAATGATCCTCCCACCTCAGCCTCGCAAGTGTTGGGATTAGAGGGGTGAGCCCCTGTGCCCAGCTAAAAGTACTGTTTTATACCAGTCCTCTAACTAACTAAATAACTCCTAACTAACTAACTCCTAAATAACTCCTAAACTCTTTCCGAAACTGACTGAATCAGGAACTCTGATGGTAGACAGGAGTCTATTTTAACAAAAGGAACCCCAGATGGTTCTGATGTGACTATAGAAGTGGCACTTGGGAATCCTAGATCTGAGCTCTGTAGAGTGGCTTGGGAAGTGGCGGGCACACCATGAAGTAGAACTGTTCAGTTTCCTGCTGGTTGGCTCTTCTCTTGGCGATGCTGGGTTTACTCAGGTAGGTTTCAGAGACAGTGGACTTCACTGATTCTGTGGAACGACTGTGCTGGAAGCATTCAGAAACATCATAGTCCTCGATGGTGACCATATCTTGTATCGTCTGCAAGGTGGCTTCAGTCGTTTTCTTAACCTGGGAATAGAAATACATTTCTCACGTTAGTACATTATTTCATGAATCCCACAAACAGGGAGAGTCCACTCTGTCAGGTAGAGATGAGGACACAGGGCCTGCCCCCGCCAAATTCACAGTCTATTAGGAGAGAAACAAAGGTAAAAAACACTCCATATCACCAGTTTAAGAGAATGATTTCTTCAAAATCATCCTAAGGAGGTTATCACTTTATATTTCAGTCCTTATAAATCTCATATCTGGGTACTCTCTCAATTACTTTTTTGTCTTAACATTTTCAATTGAAGTCAAACTACACATAGAAAAATACACAGACCATAAGTGTGCAGCTTGATGATGAATTATCACAAAGGGAGCACACCTATGTGAGTAACAATCAGACCAAGAAAAAGTATATTATGAGACTGCTTGTGCCTCTCCCAATTACCATACACCTATACCCTCTCCTTCTCCATTAACTGGACTTCTAAGATTAGATATTAGCTTTGCCCTTTCTTGCTCTTTACATGAATGAAATCCTACAGGATGTATAATTTTTGTCTTCCTTTTGCTCAACGTGAGATACACTCATTTCTTGTGAGTATATTTCACTGCTATTCATTGTAGGAATACACTGTAATTCATCCATTTTACTATTGATAGATGATTTTTTTTAGTTGTGGGCTATTTTGAATAATGCTGCTATAAACACATTTTTGTTTAGTCACACATATATGAATAGAATTGCTGCTTAACTGTTTTCCAAAATGATTGTAATTTACATTCTCACCAGCAGAGTGGAAGAATCCCTGCTATTCCACATCCTCATCAACAGTTGGTATTGTCAGTCTTTCTTTTAAATTTAAACAATTGTGTTGGGTGTGCAGTGGTATCTCACTGTGGTTTGAATATGCATTTCCCTGATATATGAGATTGAGCACATTATCATATGTTTAAGGCAATTTGGATCTCCTTAATTGAGAACACTTTGTTAAAATCTCTTGCTCCATTTTCTAAGTTATGAGTCTTTTTCTTAATGATTTGTTGAGATGGATATGAGTCTTTTTGTAGTTGTATGTGTTGCAAATATTTTTCCCCACTGTGCTGTGGTTTTTCCCTCTTTCAATAGTGTCCAGATGAACAAAGATTCTAATTTTAATATAATGCATTTATCAATTCTTTCCTTTTAGTGTTTTTTGTGTCCTATTTAAGAAATATTTTCCTATCTCATAGCCATAAAGATACTGCTTTATGTTATCTGTTAGGAGCTTATTTATTTATTAATCTCCTAGTAGTCTTTTTATTCACTGAAGGTCATATTCTACCTTTGCTTATCAAAGTATAATGTAAATTGATAGCTTTTTCCTTCTGTCACACAATGTAAAGAGTTTAGAACACCTTAACTTCATTTACTCCTCCTGATTTATATGCTATTTTTGTAATATATTATAATAGAATATATATAAATATTAATATATAAATTTAAGACATTATTATTTTATGTAGTCAAGATTCACTTAGCATCACCCATGTATTTATTACATTCTTTGATGTCGAGTGCTTATATTTTAAGTGTACCCTTTAGAAGTTCTTTTTAGTATGTGTCTGTTTTGTTGACTTGACAACGTCTTTTATTTCACCTTCATTTACTAAATATCTTTTTCTGTGCAGCAGTTATTTTCTTTTTGTATATTAGAAATATATCACTGTACTTTGTTGTGGCTTCTATGTTCCTGTTGAGTGAGAAGGTTACCATCAGTCTGTCATTGCTTTGAATAAAATCTGCTTTCTTTTTCCAGCTGCTTTAAAAATTTTCCATTCATCTTTGGGTTTCTACAATTTCACTGTAATATATCTAGGTAAGGATTTAAAAAATATATTCTGCCTGGAATTTCTTGGACTGCTTGAATTTGTGTGATGTTTTTCATAGGTTTTAGTAAGTTTGCAGCTTTTATCTTTTCAAATATTGACTCTATATTCTTTAATTTTTCTTTCTGAGCGGGGCGTGGTGACTCACACCTGTAATCCCAGCACTTTGGGAGGCTGAGGCGGTGGATCGCTTGAGGTCAGGAGTTCGAGACCAGCCTGGCCAATATGGTGAAACCCTGTCTCTACTAAAAATACAAAATAGCTGGGCGTGGTGGTATGTGCCTGTAATCCAGCTACTCGGGAAGCTGAGTCAGAAGAATTGCCTGAACCCAGGAGGCAGAGGGTGCAGTGAGCTGAGATCGTGCCACTGCACTCCAGCCTGGGCGAAAAAGTGAGACTCTGTCTCAAAAAAAAAAATTTTTTTTTCTTTCTGGGAGTTCAATTAGTATATTAGACATTACTGTGTTCTCTATATCTCTTATTCTTCTTTTCCATATTTTATTATCTTTTGTTTTTGATGCTGCGTTTTTATTATTTCTTCTGATTTGTCTGCTTTCATGATTTATTTTTTAGCTCTACCTGATGTTAAACTCACCCACTGCTTTCTTAATTTTGGTTATTTCTCAGTGCTAGAATTCCTATGTAGCTCATTTTCAAATCTGTTATTTTAGTGCTTATGATTTCCTGATGAAATCTAAGCTTGGCTTTTAAAAACCTCCTTGAACATTGTAAATAGTTCTTTTGTCATTTATTTCTGATAATCCCAATATCTGGAGTTCCTGTGGGTGTGTCTCTATTGTCTATTATTTCTTCTGGCTATCACTCATGGTTTCTTATCTCCTCATTGTCTAATTATCTTTGCTAGATATTTTTTGTAGAGTTACTTGAGGTCAAAGGTGAGGTTATCCTCCAAAGAGAATGTTTATTTTCCCAAACCATTAGGGGCACTAATAGCTCAGAATCTCTGGATTTTATTACTGTTCAAAATATTGGATGCTCTTCCTTTTGGGAAGATATGGTTCCCTGTGTCACAGGTTTCAGGCTTGGCCATGCATCTTGTCCTAGAAAATGAACTTTGAAAGAATCAGTTGAGTGACCCAGTCCATCATTACAGGAAGTGGAAATCTTTTCAATTACTTTTTTTTTTTTTTGAACAAAATAATGTTTGGGAAAGAAACAGTAGCAATTAGTACTAGTTTGGATGCTTAGAAGGTCATGTGATGGAATTAATATTAAAAAAAGAAGGGAAAGAAATTTAATAGACAATAATCATTCCTGGGGTTATGCACAATGCAAAGAGTAGATACTGTTGGAAAAAAAGCATATTAATGACCATTAAAAATACTGTAATTAATTACTTTAAGGAGGTCATAATCAAATATCTATAGACTGAATTAAAAGAGTCACCATCCTACACTAGTCAAATAGGCTCTTGTAGCTTGTAGACAAATTTCTAATGACAGTATCACGCACAGGTTTTAAAAGCACTGTATTTCAAACAAACAGATGTGAAGATGGTATACTCTGAGAAAAGTGTACTTGATGACTCTGTTGGGAACAAGCCCCCCAAAATCTGGCCATAAACTGGCCCCAAAACTGGCCATAAACAAAATCCCTGCAGCACTGTGACATGTTCATGATGGCCATAACACCCACACTGGAAGGTTGTGGGTTTACCGCAAGAGGGCAAGGAACACCTGGCCCGCCCAAGTCGGAAAACTGCTTAAAGGCATTCTTAAGCCACAAACAATAGCATGAGCGATCTGTGCCTTAAGGACATGCTCCTGCTGCAGTTAACTAGCCCAACCTATTCCTTTAATTCGGCCCATCCCTTCGTTTCCCATAAGGGATACTTTTAGTTAATCGAATATCTATAGAAACAATGCTAATGACTGGCTTGCTGTTAATAAATATGTGGGTAAATCTCTGTTTGGGGCTCTCAGCTCTGAAGGCTGTGAGACCCCTGATTTCCTACTTCACACCTCTATATTTCTGTGCGTGTGTCTTTAATTTCTCTAGCGCCGCTGGGTTAGGGTCTCCCCGACCGAGGTGGTCTCGGCAGACTCAAAATGTGGCTCTGGTAATGACAAACACAATATCAGGATATATGAAGAGCCTTCATAAAATTGTGAAAATGAGAAAAATATAGTATTTCTAAATTAAAAGTTTTATATAATGTGATTTAAAATATTTGTGCATAACTAAATTAATAGCTGAATACTGAAGGTAAATATTTGACTATGTTATCTACATCTCCATAAATTTTATATTTATAATACTTTTAAAAAATGGAAGCCTTTACTTGTGCCAATATTTAGTAATTAAAATACTACAAAGTAAATGCTGTTATTTCTTTATTCAATTAAACTCTTGAAATTGACAAACATGTAAGAAAACAGGCAAAACTCAGTATACTGTGTTGTCTGAGAAGTCAGGGAAGGTGCCATTCAAAAGATAAATTTTGAGTATGTATTAAAAGGTGAGTAGGTGTTCACTGAAAAAAAGGGCATTCCAGGCAGAGGAAAAAGTGGGAAAAGAGAGACCCTGGCCTTCTTGGGCTAAAACAAGTAGCTTTATATGAGAAGTAGGAGTGCATAGCATCTAGAGAAGATGACTTGCTAATAAAGGACCTTTCCATTGTATGATACTGGGGTTAGAATTTTAAAAAATAAAACAAAAAATAAAGGCCCTCATATACCACACTTAATTGAGAATCAACAGGGAGCCACTGATACCTACAAGGGACAGTTTAGATTTACATTTTTAAAAGATCCCTGAGTTGATGAACAATAAAAGGGAAAGAGACAGAAAGCACGAAAGTTAGTCAGGAGACCCTAGTCCCATTGAGAGATGATGAAACCTTGATCTAACGAAGTAAGAGTGGGAATGAACATGATGGGGGATATTTGAAAAACATTTAAGCAACAGCAGTAGCAGTTAATCGTTTTCAACAGATGGCTTAAATAGCAAAACTGCTGGAAAGAACTACAGCTTCTTTTGCTCTGGAGGGCAGAGCAGAACTTCCAAATACATAGAAACATGAAAAATATATAATGTTCTTCAGATATCAGTGAGGTGAAGCATAAGAATAACATGATGTAAGGTTCAATAAGGTGCTCTGATATGTACCTAAATTAAAACACAATTAAAGGAAACAATGACAAAAAAAGCTTCTAAAGCAAACAAACAAAAAAACACAAAATCCATCTGAACAACCAAAAAACGCAAAAAGAATCATGAACCAAAATAAACATTTGTAGTTTGTCTTCAAATACAGTCAGGTTTTTTTTTTTATGGATTCTGTATCCATGTATTCAACCATTCACAAATTCAACCAACTGTGGGTCAAAAATATTTGGAAAAAAAAAAGAAAAATAATAATACAACAATAAAAAATAACAAAACCCAGTATAACTATTTACATAGCATTTACATTGTTTTAGATATTATAAGTAATCTAGAGATGATTTAAAGTATAGGAAAATGTGTGTAGGTTATGTGCAGATACCACCTCATTTATATAAGGGACTTGAGCATCTTCGGGTTTTGGTATCTGTGGGAGGTGCTGGAACCAATCCCCCTTGGATGCCAAGGGACAACTGTAATCTGTAAATCTGTTGGAATTTTGCAATTAAAGTGTGTTCACTGAGTTTATGAGACAGATGGTTACATAAGAATGTTTCACTAGAACCATGTTCTTACATATGGGAAACCAGAGACAGCAGCATTATCAAATGCACACATGGAATACATATACGAAGAATCAAAATCAACAACACCATTTTTCTTTTTTTCAAATTCCTTCTCAGAAGCAATGGTGTCATGGTTAAATTTGGAAGTATCAGGAATAAAGGATGTGACAGAAGCCACCAGACTCAATGCTGGGACTGCATATCATCCCATGGGATGCTCGCAACAGACAGTAACACGAGCTTCTGACATACACCAGCCATATTAATAAGTCTCAGGGGGGAACATAATGAGGCAAATATGAAACAGCTAATATGAGCCTTGAAGTACCTCCCCATCAGCAGCAGGAAAACACAGTTGGGTTTTGGTGGAAGGAGAGGCCAAAGATTTGACAAAGGATTCGTGAGAAACCAGAAGAATGCACTGCACTGAAGGAGCTGCCCAGGTAGCTTGAACTCTGAGCTGTGGGTCAAAACAAATGAGGAGGGAGAGGTGACTTCTGTGGACTTTTGTGGACTGGCTTTGTTGCCTTTGTGTTACCAGGACATTACCATCACTGGGAGAACAAGACAGCCATTTCAGTGTTCTCATTCCCTGAATGCACTGTGTTAGCCTGCTAAGGCAAACCAGGTACTGAGTGGCTTAAACAACAGAAATGTATTGTCTCACAGTGTGGGAGGCTAGATGTCTGAGATCGAGGTGTTGGTTTGCAGGGTTGGTTCTTTCTGAGGGATGGGAGGGAAGGATCTGTTCCAGGCCTCTCTCTTTGGCTTGCAGATGGCCATCTTCTCCCTATGTCTCTTCATATCATCTTCCCTCCACCTGTGTCTCTGTATCCAAATTTCCCCTCCCCTTTTTATTATAAGGACACCAGTCATATTGACCTCACTTTAATTTGATTACTTCTGTGAAGCCCTATCTTCAAATAAGATCACATTCTTAGTCACTGGAAGCTAAGAATTTAACATATGAATTTTCAGGGCGGACACAAATCATACCATAACACACTCCATGTATATTATGGCACTGTGCCTTGTACCTTGCACCTGATGCAGTCCTATTCATCCTTTAAGACTCATCACTCATCTGTGAAGGTGACCCTCATCCCTTCCTTTGCCTCCCCACTGAACTACTTCCTACTTGTCATTGCTGACCTTGAATGTATTTCAATTACAGCACTGTGTCATTTCAGATGTACTAAAAATTAGCAGAAAGAGCCCCCCCCCGCCGCCCACACACACACACACACACACACACACACACACACACACAGAGAGAGATTGGGTCAACTCCGTAATTAATTAGCCAAGGGTACAGAAACTCACAGCTAGCACAGGCCACAGAAGGCGAGAGCACAGGCAGAGCATCCTGCCATGGCCTTCTCTTGCTCCTTGTACCCTAACATGGGTGCAATGCTAATAACCCTATCCCCTGTCTGTGTTGGGTAGGCATTACCAGATTTGAAAAAAACAATGTTTGCTGCCCCACGACTTTTTTTTTTGGGGGGGGGTGAGGGTAGGGAATGTCACATCACCATTCCAGAAGAATTCACACTAATAATTTATGTACCTGCATTTAAGGTAATGTTTACAAATGCTAGGCTCTCTTGTTTTTGAACAAAATTCATTTTCAGCAATGATATAACTTAATCCAAGGAAGAAAACATCATTGTTGCTCAGGACTCTCAGAACAAAGTCTCTGCCTTCAGCTGTGTCTCAGAAAACCTGTTTTCCTGCGGCCCACCCCTGACTCTGATTTAATGACCCATGAGGGTGGACCTGACACTGAGTGTGGTCTAAGGAGCATGATCTCAAATCAATTTCTCACAAGCACATGCCTCACTGTTTAGAGGTTTATATTTCCACCTACGGTGGAAGCAACTTGAAGTCAGTGATAACTTAATAATCTTTATAGCTCCAGGGACTAGCATGGTGCCTGAAACACAGCAAATTATCAGAAAAAGTTCACTGAATGAACAGTGGACGCTGAAGTTATCCTTTCAAATCATGGATGCCAAAATGCTCAGTGCATCAGAGAAAACGAGTGGTTTCTCCACTGAGAGCCATCCTGAGCTCTGCCATTTTCTTTGGGGTGCTCTATCCCAGGACTCATTTTTATACCCATCCTAGAAATTCTCTTCATTTCTCTTGGTATTCTTTTGGATCAAGGCCCTCCCTTCAGTGAGTTAAAGCTTGCTTGAAACAAAAAATATAAATGTGTGTTTGCGGTGAAAGACGGTTGATCCTATTTTTAATTTTGGCCAAGAAGATGTCATTTAAGGAACAAATGGCAGTTATCTTTTACTTAGGATTTTCCTGTTAGCTCATCAGTAGAAGGTTGCAGGCAAGTCAAAGATACTTAAATCAGTAAAAATGAAGTTAAAGGCCACAGAGAAGATCCAAAACAGCAATTATACTTAAGTGGTTATCAGGCTTCACATCTTATATCAAGTCTCAAAAGAACTTGAGAATCCCCCATGAGAGTTTGATCATTGACTTACATGACCTGGGATTCTGCTGAGGTCACTGGTACTATAAGAAATTTGGGGGG
Source organism: Homo sapiens (assembly GCF_000001405.40). Classification (NCBI taxonomy): domain Eukaryota; kingdom Metazoa; phylum Chordata; class Mammalia; order Primates; family Hominidae; genus Homo; species Homo sapiens. The sequence goes on along the minus strand of NC_000012.12, from coordinate 64,070,830 downwards.
AAAATGTGATTTTTCTACCCTAGGAAGGAAGTATAACTGAAATATCTCTTAGTTCCCTCAATTTCCCATGCCATGCAAATTGTCTCAAATGTTTGCCTAAAATCTTGCTCATTATTGTTGAAAATATCTTGTGTAAGTAATGTATTTTTAGAACAGTCTGTGAAATACTCCTTGGCAAGCTGCTGGTGAAAGACTTTAAATGGTGCTAGGAAAATTTACGTGGAGCTATCTGTTCATTCAACACTGTCGCAAATTGATTGAGAAATTATGGGCTTCTCTCATTGTACATTCCCCTCAGGGTGGTAAATCTACTATAATTTGAGAGAGACTAGTTGTTTTACATGTGAGAAGGTTCTACTCATAGAACAGCAGTGACATGCTGATGAAATCTTTATTTTCTGGACCAAATATTGGGACAAATGGTCTGAAAATGGGGCACGCTATTAAAAGCCAACGCTGTCCTAAAAAAATACAAAAGGCGTAGTTGCTCTCCTCAAAGTAGTTCCTTTTCTCTTTCTTTGACTATGTATAGCTAAAGGGAGGGATGAGAAACTTGAAGAAATGAGAACTGTAATAAATGGTGAGTTACTCCAGAGGCTAGTTTGGAAAGAAAGAAGCAACAGTAATGACCCCTAAGCAGAAATCCCCACAACAAGGTTAAATGCAAACTTTGATAAAGCAGACAAGACAGTGCAATAAATGTTTATAATGAGAAAGGTATAAATGATCATTTAGTTTGCTTTTGAAAAGTTGCCTTTAAGAGCAATGCTGGACCGGTGGCTGAAATGAGTAATGTGAGCCGGCTGTGGCTCTCACCTGTAATCCCAGCACTCTGGGAGGCCAAGGTGGGAAGATTGCTTGAGCCCAGGAGTTCAACCGGCCTGGGGAACACAGGGAGACCCTGTCTCTACAAATAATAAAAAAGTAGCTGGGCATATTATTTTGTTTTTTGAACAAAATTCATGAACAATAATTGAAAATTTAAAGAATAATTCAAAATAGTTATTTGTAGAGACACTGTCTCTACAAACAATAAAAAAGTAGCTATTTGGGAGGCTGAGGCAGGAGGACCACCTGAGCCCGGGAGGTTGAGGCTGCAGTGATTGTGCCACTGCACTCCAGCCTGGATGACAGAGCGGGACCCTGTCTCAAACAAAACAAAAACAAAAGTAATGTTTATTAATGTTTCACTTCAAAGTTTTAATAAACAGTTAAGTAATCAAAATAAAACAATAAATGGGAACAAGGCTGTGTGGCAGCAGGCCCTGCTCTAATTCCATATGCACAACACACAGTGGGCACTAATGAATATTCACTGACAGATCGGCTGGAAGTTGGAATCGTGAGACTGAGGTACCAAGGGTGCAAGTTTGCAGCATAAAATAAAACTCAAACCTCATTTTAAAAAGTTTAACAGGTAAATGTAAAGTTGGGAAGTGACAATAAATGTCACAATCTCTTATGAATCTTCACCAACCACGTATTTAATTAAGCCCTCTCAAACCTTTTAACTTTTACTACTTGTAAGTATACTGAGGCCATTTCACAAGTGTGTACTGCTCTCTTCTCTTTGTTTTAAGGCAGGTGATACAAACTCAAATATCTTTAAGGGCCAGGCAAGCCATGAAAATGAGGTGAGTGGGCTGAGTGGAGAACATGGCAAACAGGAAGCACACATTCTGTGTCTAAGGGAAGTCAGTTACCGTCCTGTAGAAACACAGGTCTAGTGTGATCAGTTCTTCTAATTTTTAAAGAGGCTGGATATTGATAAATAATATATATTTATAATATGTATATATATACACACATTTTTTTTTTTTTGAGACAGAGTCTTGCACTGTTGCCCAGGCTGGAGTGCAGTGGCATGATCTCGGCTCACTGCAACCTCCGCCTCCTGGGTTCAAGTGATTCTCCTGCCTCAGCCTCCTGAGTAACTGGGACTACAGGCATGCGCCATCATGCCTGGCTAATTTTTATATTTTTAGTAGAGACGGCGTTTTGCCATGCTGGCCAGGCTGATCTCGAACTCCTGACCTCAAGAGATCTGCCCGCCTTGGCCTCCCAAAGTGCTGGGATTATAGGCGTGAGCCACTGTGCCCACCCTGCATATTAATATTTTTTTGAAAACTTACAGTGTTTAAAGGACAGCAAATAACTTTCAAAACCCAAGCACTGTAGAGCAAACAAAAGTTTTCAGGCCAGGAGTGGTGGCTCACGCCTGTAATCCCAGCATCTTGGGAGGCCAAGGCAGGCGGATCGCTTGAACCCAGGAGTTAGAGACCAGCCTGGGCAACATGGGGAAACCCTGTCTCTATGAAAAATACAAAAATCAGCCGGGCACGGTGGTTAACACTTGTAGTCCCAGCTACTCAGGGGGCTGAGGTGGGAGGATCACCTGAGCCTGTGAGGTCAAGGTGCAATGAGCTGTGATTGTGCCTCTGCACCCCAGCCTGGGTGGCAGAGTGAGACCCTGTCTCAAAAAAAATTTTTTTTTCATGGGCCAGATAGGGTCTGTTGCAGGTGGTGCCTACTACTTTTTTTTTTTTTTTTTTTTTTTTGAGACAGAGTTTTGCTCTGTTGCCCAGGCTGGAGTGCAGCGGCACGATCTCGGTTCACTGCAATCTCCCGGGTTCAAGTGATTCTCCTGTCTCAGCCTCCTGAGTAGCTGGGACTACAGGCACATGCTGCCATGCCCAGCTAATTTTTCATATTTTAGTAGAGACGGGGTTTCACCACGTTGCCCAGGCTGGTCTCGAACTCTTGAGCTCAGGCAATCTGCCCGCCTTGATCTCCCAAAGTGACTATTTAAAGTATTCTAAGATTTGGTGAAAAGGCTCATGTTCTACTTAGCTGTACTGTCCATGCTTTTTAAAACTTGGGTGAAATTCTCTCTCAACTTTTTTTTTTTTTGGGAGACAGGGTCCCATTCCATTACCCAGGCTAGAGTGCAGTGGCACAACCATAGCTCCATGCAGCCTCAAGCCCCAGGGGACCTTCAGTATTTATTGTACTGAACCACAGTAACAAAACTCCTTAACTTGGCTCTCAAAGCTTCTTGTTGAATGACCTCACCTTCTCCATCAGTTCATCCCCAAAGAGAACTGGGGTGATAACCAAACTGTTCTATTCTCCCAAAGCACCTTGACATATATTGAAGTATCTTTTCTTCCCTCTATTTTTATGGTATCTACTGATTATCGAAAATCTAATTGAAATCTTACTTTCTTTGGGAATCCCACTCCACTACAGTAAATTTTCTTCGGTGTTCAACAAATCATAAACCAGTAGTCATGCTCACAAGAAACATTAGGATAATCCAATTCATTTGCTTTTTCAGCTAATGTTTAAAAATTACTTTTTAAGTTTTATTTTGCAGTCAGTAGGTTTTTAAAAATTTATTTTAATTAATTAATATTTTTAAGAGACAGGGTCCTGCTCTGTCACCCAGGCTAAAGTGCAGTGGCACCATCTCACCTCAGTGCAGTCTCGAACTCCTAGGCTCAACAGATCCTCCCTCAGCTTCCCAAGTTCTTTAGATAATTTTTAAAAATTAACCCTCACAAAGCACTGCCTGACTCTCTAAGTTTATAAGGACACTGTGCTTCTCCACATTATGCCTAAAAAGGCATACATTAAGGATCACAAACTCAAAGGCCTGCGGAGGCCAGACAGGTAACACAAACAGTCCAGTGTAAGAGAACTGGGAGTTGAATGACTGGCAAAGTAGGATTCAAATGCCCCAGCTCTTCAATTCATGAGGCAGTGCAGGGCCAGAGTGGCCAGACCTTTTTTTTTTCTTTTAAAAAAAAACAGGTCAAAACTTTGGGAGCCAAACAAAACAGATCTGTGAGCTGCCAGTTTTGACTTTGTGTATAATACACTATTTTCCTTGAGTTTAGAGAATGTTATCCAAATAAAACAGCAGGAGGATATGCAGGGAAAAACAAGGGAAGTCACTAGACATACAAACTGTAGATAGAATAGGATCCAGTAAACTGCATTAGGTATTTTGTGAAGCCTAGACAAAACCTAGGCTCTCAAACGCTGCCTCAAGGTGAGCAATAGCTTTCCTTTGGAAAGGCTCATCTGTGGGACCCTACATAGAGATGACATTGGTTGCATCTTAAATATACACATTTGAATAAGGGCTAGTTTGTTTCTACTCGGAATAATAGAAGCCAAAAATTACAATGGGTTTTGACCAAATTATACTGGTCTAAAAACACATCATTCTTTCTTAACAGAAACAAATACACAGAGCTCAAACATCTTGGTGGGATTAAAACAAAACAGGGTATGAAAGTGAATTTTGATAATTCACTTTATCACTGTAAGTTATTTTTTTGCTTCTGTCCCACAGTCCTTTCTTTTGGGAATTGTCTGTCTCTAGAAATACACTATTTCTGTTGGAATTCTCAATCAAAGAGTTCTATGAGCTGCACATTCTCCAGGTTGGCCAATGACAGAATCTCATTTCCTAGATGTAATGGTTTGTCCAGAAGTATGCATGACTTCAGCCAGGTCAGTGAAGAGTCAGTCCTACTTCAGAGACAAGAATGCTAGGATGGAGTGGGATGGAAAGCTTTAAAAGGGACCACATAGTTCTGCGTCTATCCTGAAAACACTACCAACACACATGAAGAAATCACTTCAAAGTGATAAAGAGAGAGTCCTGATAACATCATTTGAACACAAATCCAGTGATGTCTGAGGATACTGCAAACACTGACCAATAGTTAACTTTTTAACTTGTGTTCCTGTAAATTACAATTGGGAGCCTTGACTAATGCAAGAAACATTTGTGGTTTGTATCTTTATTTTAGGAGAACGTGAATTCAAGTAAGTTAATTTCAGAAATAGGCAGCTGAATTGTATAATTGCTTCCTAGCTCAACATATATTGATAAATCATATTTTATATTCTATTCATTTAAATACAGTAATGCTGGCAAATAAACATTTTCTATCCTCATTCAAGTACCATTTGAAAATATGATTTTGTTCTAATTATATCAGTAATGCCATGTTCAGTACCAAAAATTTAGAGAATATAGGAAAGCATAAGGAAAAAAAGAAGTGAATTTTAAAAGTTAGGATTAAATTAACATGGCACACTGTGGGCCAGGCACCATAATGGCTCATGCCTGTAATCCCAGCACTTTGGGAGGCCAAGGCAGGAGGACTGCTTGAAGCCGGCAGTTTGAGTCCAGTCTGGGCAACATAGCAAGGCCCCATCTCTACAAAATATTTTTTAAAATAAGTTAACATGTTAGTCAAAAGTTCCACTGTACAAAAGATTGTATATTTTTGGATATATATGTTGAATTTGATAACCCACGGGAACTATTTTCAGTATAAATTACAATTTAAGGTAAAAAAAATTGTGTTTACATGTATATGCAGTTGAGTGTCTAGTAAAATATTAATCTATGGCAGAATACAGAATCTTTGCATTTATCCCCTACAAAGAGTACTACAGGAACCCTGAGAGCAGGAAATACGTGATGAAGAGGTTGAATCTTGAATATTAAATATGCCCAAGTCATGTGAGAATGTCTTCCAGTTATATTTGAATTCAGATTACTGGTGTGGCAGGACGAACGCATGCTCACCTCTTCATTCTCGATTTTGAGCGTGGCAAGGCGGGACTGCAACTGTTGGTACCTGAGCATGAGCTCTGCCTGGACTGGCTGCTGGGCACTGACCTGGCACACCTGATGGAGAATGAGAAACCAGTTACAACAGGGCACCATCAACCCACCTCCAGAAGCACGGCTCTGTTATTTAAATGATGCATGAATCACACCAATCCTCTCAAGGTTCCAATTACATATTTACTTTTAATAGGCACATCAAAACTTCACTTGTAAATATGGAGCTGTTACATAAGCTGCAATAGCAGAATGCAGCTGCTTGGCCTGGCTACAACTGGGAAGATGGCAGCTGCAGGAAGGACTGTGGTAAGAATGGGGCGGTTCCTGCGATGGAGCTCCGATGCTGAAATCTCACTCGTGGAATTCTTAATGACTCTTTTGCAGAGGCAGAAGATGATTCAAGTGGATTGTACGGACATAAGTAAAGAAGGCAGCAGGGCTTACTGGTTAGGGTCTGAGCTCTCGAGTCCGTCAGTTGTACTCGAACGCCAGCTCTGTCCCCTACCAGCCAGGTGACTGTGGTAAGTTACAAAACCTCAGTTTCCTAATCTGTAGAATGAGGATAAGAGTTCTTATATCACAGGGCTGCTGTGGGAATGAAATGAGACAACGTACACAAGGAACTTAGAACAGTGCTTGGCACACAGTAAAAACTCAGAAAATGTGAATGACTACTTTAGCATCTTTCAAATATGGCTTCCCTAACCAATATCAGCCAAGTCACGTGATTCACCATGAACTTCAAGAAGTCACTTATCTTAGGTTTTGATAGAAGATATTTGGCCATGATCTCAATTATGGATAAGTTCAAAATTAGAGCATTATTAAAACTGCACCAGAAACAAACAATTTCTTCTTATCTGCCTTGTTTTAGAAATGCTCTTGGCTCATGGGGGTTCCTTTTATAGAGTTTCCAAAACATTAGAGAGATTACCACTGCTCCTTAGCAGAACTGGCCATAAAAAAAGGGCAACCAACTTACTTTATTAAAACAATTAAACCATTAAAATACAACTGATGTCATTTGTCTGTGATATGTTAACATGCCATGCTTAACATATCCACAGCTGAAAAATTAAAACAGCAACCATTTGGTTTTGGAAAGATGGGATAAGCTACTCATCTTGCTTGTCAAAATCCATGTGTGTTTGGCTTAAATACCATTTCTATCAAACACACATAAAATCCAATTAGAAATACAGCAGGTACATTATATGTGTATATATATATAAAATATATATAAAAACATGTATATATTTTACATGTCTTAATACTTGGTGTTTCAGAAAAAAACATAGCATTAAAGAAATCTTTTCATGATCTTATAATTACATTTGGAAAAACAGACTGTCACCATAATAAGTTAAGACTGAGTTTTTATCTATGAGTTTTGTTTTGCACAGCTGAGACAACAAGTGCTATATAGCATGCTCCCTAAGTTGGCTTTTTTTGTTTTCTCCTGTCTGTAGACAATAATATAAACAACTGTAACTCATAATCAGTTTAAATGCATTTTTTTTGGTAAAATAACATAGAAAGCTGAATTTATATAAAGGATCTAAAACAGTCATAATTTCTAAGGCTCATTTTATAGCTTTGGAGCCAACTTGAATTTTAAAAAAAGTTTTGTACTTTTTTTTCCTTCTTCCATTTTCCTGCCACATACAATTACTTTTCTTTATGAGAATCTTTAAATCAGGATTATCAGAAGCCATCAGACAGATTCTATCAGACCAGCAAAATGCCTTCATTTTCATTAAATTAAAATGTCTTGAGGTGGAACAAAAACTTTCTATTCTGGGACAGCTTAGTGCAAGGCAAATCTGCACCTTTTATCTGTTTGGCCTCTGTGGGTATTTGAGTGTTTGACGTTTGCTTTAAAAGGCGGTAGCGACTAATCTTAGCATTATATTAAGAGCCTCTGCAAGGACAGGAGAGAGAAAACAACTGGGAATTATTACAACTGTTAGATTATAGCAAGTGAGGAGAAATATAAGTGAAGAGACAATTCATTATTTTAAAAATGATCAATTACTGACCTCATCACCCATGTGAGACTGAAACTCAAACTTCATTGGTGGACAGAACGCAGCAGGGTACATCTCCATGAATCTCTGCTTATCGCTCCTGGGCTCTAAATTATCAACTGCATTCTCAATAATGTCTAAGCCCTCATGTCTGGAGGTTTCAAGGTTGTACTCCGCAGACAGATATGTTCTTAGGGCTCTGTTCAGACTTGCATGGTAGCCAAGATCACAGCACTTAAAAAGTAAAAGAACACCACATACAAAAATGAATGCAAAATTGATCAAAGACAAAAATGTGAGACCTACAGCTATAAAACTCTCAGAAGGAAACATGGGGGTAAGCTTTCATGACATTGGATTAGGCACTGGTTTCTTGGATATGACATCAAAAGTACAAGCAACAGATGAAAAAATAAATTAGATTCATCAAAATTGAAGACCCCCCGTCTCTACTAAAATACAAAAAATTAGCCAGGCATGGTGGCACGCACCTATAGTCTCAGCTACTCAGGAGGCTGAGCCACAAGAATTGCCTGAACCTGGGAGTTGAAGGCTGCAGTGAGCCAAGATAGTGCCACTGCACTCCAGCTTGGGCTACAGAGCAAGACTCCATGTGAAAAAAAGAAAAAAAAAAATAGACACTATCAAGAGAGTGAAAAGAGAACCCACAGAATGGGAAGATATTTTTGCAAATCACGTATCTTATTAGGTACTTATATCTAGAATATATAAAGAACTCTTACAACTCAATAATAAAAAGACAAAGTCTAATTTTAAAATGGGCAATGAATCTGAATAGACATGTCTTCAAAGACGACATACAAATGGTCAACAAGCACATGAGGAGATGCTTAATATCACTGGGAAATACTAATGATAATCGGAGAAATGCAAGTCAAAACCACAATGAGATACCACTTCACACCCACTAGGATGGCTGCAATCAATAAGACAGACAATAGCAAGTGTTGGAGAGGATGTGGAGAAATTGGAGCCCTCATACACTGCTGGTGGGAATGTAAAATGGTAGAGTCACTTTGGAAAGCAATCTGGTAGTTTCTCAAAAGTTAAACATAGAGTTACCATATGACTCAGCAAATCTGCTCCTAGATATATAAGAGAAATGAAAACATATTTCCACCTAAAAATGTGCACACAAATGTTTATAGCAGTATTATGCATAATAGCTAAAAGGTAAAAACAATCTAAATGTCTACAAACTAATAAATAAAATATGGTATAGCCATATCATTAAATATTATTCAGCCACAAAAAGGAAGGAAGAACTGATACATGCCATAACATGGATGAAACTTTGAAAACATTATTCTAAGTGAAAGAAGCAAGTCACAAAAGACCACATATGATTTTATTGACACGAAATGTTCAGAAGAGATAAATCTATAGAGACAAAAAGTAGATTGTGGTTAATGAGGGCTAAGAAGAGGGAAGAAGTTGGGGGTGATGGCTGAGAGATGCAGGATTTCTTTGTGGGATAATGAAAATATTCTAAAATTGATTGTGGTGATGGATATACAACTCTCAGTATACTGAAAGACAGCTGTAGATTTATAATGGGTGAACTGTGTAGTATGTGAATTGTATCTCCATAAAGCTGTTAAAACATAAAAGAGGCAAAATCAAATACCAAAAGAAAAGAATGAAAAATAGCATTCAAGTTTTATTTGTGCAATACTGATACTGATACAATCATTTATTGAAATCTGTGTAGGTTGCAAATACACTAACTACAATATTTTGAATTTGCATATTTTTATTGAAGATCAAGAATAAACTTTTAGAAGTGAGAAGAACAGGTTAGAATCTGCCAAAATAGTCTAGGAATGCCTTCCCTCTTATCCCCAGAATAAAATTCTTAAATAATAAATGATTGCCAAAGTCTGCTTATTGGAGATAGAATTTCATTTAGTATTCCTAGGAATATAACAGCTTTGAGATTCTTGAATCTTCATTATCTTTAATTTGCATTTGTATTTTTTCATGTTGCATTTTAAGAGAATATGACTTGAAAAAAAGCATAATACTGGAAATTAGTAATCAATTACTGACAGGTTCATTTTCAATTTGTACATAAAAGCAGTATAAATCACTTAAAGAGGAAAGAAGTGACTTTAAAGTTACAAAACCAGGTCCTTTCCCTATATTGTTCCAGTGAAGTTCAATCAATTCAGTTTGATTCAATTCAACTCACTAATTGGCCATGGATTAAGTGCCAGGGAATATGCTAGGCTCTAGGCATATAAAGATTGGAACATAGTAAATAAACTATCTCCATCCACAAGGAATTTGAACATAAGCTGTCCGTTGGTTTGCTGTTAAAATAGTGGAGGAGTCGCAAAGAAAGCAACTTTTGTACAAAGGATGTATCTACCAGGATGTGAAACATTGGATCTGTCTTCACTGACCTGTCTTTAGAACCTGTTTAATTCCACCCTTGGAATTAAATTAAATAGGTTGGTCCTTACAACTAACCTATTTAATTCTAACCTTTACCCTCCAATTTCAGAATTATTAAATTTGAAATTTTTATGTAAAGATATTCTAAAATCTTGCTATTTAAAATTTAGTCTGTGGACTAGCAGCAATGGCATCACCAGGGGCTTGTTAGAAATGCTGGATCTTGGCTGGGCGCGGTGGCTCACGCCTGTAATCCCAGCACTTCAAGGGGCCAAGGTGGGAGGACTGCTTGAGCCCAGGGGTTCAAGACCAGCCTGAGTAACATAGTCAGACACTGTCTCTACAAAAAATTTTAAAAATTAGCCGAGTATAGGGGTGGGTGCTGTGGTCCTAGCTATTCAGGAGGTTGAGATTGGGGTATCACTTGATCCCGGGAGGTAGAGGCTGCAGTAAGCTGAGATTGTACCACTGCACTCTAGCCTGGGCAGCAGAGTGGGACCCCTGTCTCAAAGGAAAAAAAAAAAAAAGAAAAAAAGAAAGAAAGGAAGGAAGAAAAAAGGGAAGGAAGGATGGAAGGAAGGAAAAAGAAAAAAAAAGAAATGCAGGATCCTGAGTTCCACCCCGACCTATTTCAGAATCTGAAGATTAAAAAGGATCCACAGGTGATTCATATGCACATTAAAAGTCTAAGAAGCAATGCCCTAAAACAATCATCAAGTAAATGGGCCTGCAACCATGTCTTTTGGGGGTGCTATTTCCCCAAGCAGAAAAAAGGACTTGATTAAAGATGACTTGATTTAAAAAAACAGAAAGTAGCTGTGACACCATAATTACAAATACAAGCAAAATACAATTGTGAAATGCAGCAATCAGTCTCATCATTAATACATTTCCAGTGGAATCAGCTGCACTCAAATATAGAGAATGATTCATTTTGGTTAATTTAGAAATTCTAGTCCCAGATGAACAAAGTCCTCTTGTATTCCTCTTGCTTTTCAAAATCTATAATGGTTGTGTGGAGCGGTTTTATACATATCAGAGGGCCTGAAAAATTATTCTATCTTTCAAGAAAGATAGGAAATTTGCGTTAATGAAAACACAAATTTGTAAAGGAAATGACCTTTTTTTTTAGATGTACCAGTGTTTAAAAACATCTCACTATTCTGAAAGAAGATAGATTCTACTGGATTATAATGCAGCAGATGAGACAAGCTGTTCTATTTTATGAGTATTGATTCCAACGGGACTTAAAAAATTGAAATCAAGAGGAATGAAATCAGGAGAAAAGCCTCCACCTCCCACAAAAACCCCCAAATCTCTTAAACAACTTAAAAGAGAAAGACAGAGAGAAGGAAAAGGCAGAAAAAAAAGAGAAAGCAATCTAATCCCAACCACCAGATTGACTTGGAGCTCTGAAAAATACATACTAAATTTTCATTATTCCGAGACTTAGCTCACGCCTCAAAATTTTAAGTGTAGCTTCTTTGGGGAAATAAATATGAAGACTACAAAAGCATCGGTGCATGTTTCCATACCCAGTGCAGTCAGTTGGATTCTGCAGGTCTGGGCCCAACAAGAGATAATTTCATCGTGGCTTCCTCCTAGGCTGGGAGGAGCGTGCATGTGGCTTACTAACTGATAGAGGAGCCTCCCCAGGTGTCTTCTGAGCTTTGAGTGCTACCCTTAGGAGGCTTCTGTGAAGAGTTTTGATAGGAAATTTCCTTCTCTGACCCCTATGGTGCTTGTCAGTCTATAAGATCACTTAATTGGCTTAATTTTGTTACTTCTGATAGGCAGCATTTCTACACTCTAGGTTTTTCAGGCATCTTGAACTAGAAACAAGATACAGAAAAAAGGAAATTCTTATTCAAGGTCTCCTGAGACAGCAAGGCTAGTCACTGAATCTTTTTTTTTTTTCTAAACTAGAAACTGAAATGACACTGGATCTGTTAAGATTCAAGATACTTGGTTAAAAAGGTTTAGAGTAATTCTATGGAGCTCATGAATTATTAATGACAATATGAAAAGCCAGCCTCTGCACAAAGAGCTGAGTTATAGCCCAAGTGCATTTAGTGATGAAAATACATAAGAAACCAATACAAGATTTCATGAAAACAAAGCAATGTTCTGATGGATGAAAAATTCTGAACAGATACATAAAATTATGGATTAAAATTGGAGAAGAAAAGGCTGTTGGAAACAGAAGGGCATATGTATATTTTTAAAATATCTGAAAACCTGTCAAGACAGATTCCAATAGATATTAGTCTAAATCATCACAGTAGGCTAATTTTCTTAGGCAAAAGGGTTGCAAATAGTATCAAAATGAAGATGAAATCCAAGTACAGACGCTCCTCAATTTACAATGGGTTACATCCCAATAAACCTGTTGTTAAGTGGAAAATACTATAAATTAAAAATGCATTTAATGCCCCAATAAACTTATTGTAAAGTCGAAAAGTTGCAAGTTGAGCCATTGAAAGTCTAGATGCTCCTCTATTTGCAGTGGGGTTACGTCCAGATAAATCAATTGTAAAGCTGAAAAACTGTAAGTTGAACCAGTGTAAGTTGAGGACCATCTGTATGGAGGACTGTGACAAATGCTGAGAGTTGGCTGAAATAACATGGTGAGTATAATGTGTAATGTTAGGTATAACTGGATCACAGCTGTTCAGAAGGAATATCTTTTATTTTTTGGCATAACTCCATGATATGAGCCCTAGTGGGGTAGAAGTTTGCTCCTAAAACAGGAGTTACCATAGTGGAACTGTATGGGAAACAAGTCTGACATTCATGTTTCAAGAACAGTAGCAGCCACAGTCGTTCACCAGGGTTGCACTGGAGTAACTGGAGGGCAGCCCCAGGCTCCCATGTGACTCCAGAATTCAGCAGTTGTCGTGAGAATGGAAAGGAATTACTCTCTTCGGCAGAATTATTCTACCTTCATTTCTATACTCTGCAGAATTCTCTTCTGCAGAATTATTCTACCTTCATTTCTATACTCTGGTCTCTGTTTGAGAGACTTCTGTGATCTCATGTCCTGGGTCTTATCTCTGGGTTTAAAGAAGCCTGGCTTTGGTCATTCTAAAGCCATGGATATTGGGTATAGACTCTATCCACTCCTTATTTTGAGCCTTCTTGCAAAATAGTGCAACCTAAGCAAAGTGAATTATAAAGGACCAGAAATAGAAAAGTTCAGAGCTTTTACATAGTAGTCAAATGAAGAAAGTGGATTTCTTCTGCATAACTACCTCTTTGACCTTCTCTATTTTCCTAACTATACAGAATTTCACCCTAGATACCACAAACACATTTTGTGAGAGACAGGCATCTTGCAGGACTGAACCAGATGTCTAAACTTCTACAGGCAACTTTTACACACGAGTTTTCATATCTGGGTTCCTGAAGGTCCACAGAGAGCTAGCTGACAATTTAACTCTTCTTGTTGTTTTAAGAACTGTAACCAAGCATTTAGAAAAAGTTGTTTTGAGTTTTCTCTTGAGCAATGAAAAGATCAAAATGGCACATCTGTGTGATAGGGATGGGTACAAAGTAGCAAATAGGAGGAGTGAGTTGCATGTGCCTCAGCCAATGAGTAGGCCAAATAGATTATTTGCTGCCTAACACATCACCCACCCATATAGCAATGGACAATCATTTCCTTCAGAGGAGCTGCTACTCATTTTTCCCAGGCTAAAATCTCTGTAACCAGCCTGAATCAAATAATGAGAGAGGAGAGAGAATGAGCAAACCAAACCCAATTAAATACAGGCCAGATGGTAAATGCTATAGATAAGATAAAGGGTCAAAGGAATAGGGAGAGTTAGGGGAAAGGGTGTTGTCCTTTTATATAGGGCAGCTGAAGTGCAACATAAATGAAAAGAAGCAGTCAGTCCTGCAATGCTCTGGAAAAGTGTTCCAGACAAAAAGTGCAAAGGCCCCAGGCGAGAAAAAGCTTGGTGGTTCTGAACAAAGAAAGCTAATGTACCTGATGTATGGTGACTAAGGGAAAAGTTGCAAGAGATGACACTAAATGCAGGTAGGCATCAGTTCATACAGGGTCTTGGTGAATAGTTTGGATTTTATTCTAAGGACAATGGGAGGTCTTTGGAGAATAGGAAATAGGAATTGATATATCTGATTTATGTTTTTCTTTCTTTCTCTCTTTTTTTTTTTTTTTTTTGTGGAGTCTCATTCTGTTGTCCAGGCTGGAGTGCAATGGCATGATCTCAGCTCACTGCAACCTCCACCTCCTGGATTCAAGTGATTCTCCTGCCTCATCCTCCCAACTAGTTGGGATTACAGGCACCTAGTATCATGCCCAGCTAATTTTTGCATTTTTATTAGAGACGGGGTTTTGCTATGTTGGCCAGGCTGGTCTCAAGTGATTTATGTTTTTCAATACTCTGGCTGCTTGGGAAGAGAATGGATTTTTGGAACATATGAGTGTAAGCTTAGGAAGCTATTGCAATAGTGCAGTCAAAGAATGAAGAGGCTTAATTTAGGAAACTGCAAGTACAGCTAGTGAGAAGTGGCAGGGTTTGGGACATTTAGGAGGTAAAGATGACAGGATTTGCTGATGAATTTATATGTGTGGAACAAGAGAACTGGTTTTTAGCGGAAAGTGGCATTATTTTCTGAGGTGTAAAACATGACTAAGAAGAATGTTGTTATGTGTGTGGAGGATGATGACAGTAGGGCGAATGGATATAAATAGTTGTGTTTTGAGTATTTTACATGTTCAAGATGCCTGTTAGACATCTGGTTAGGGATGCTCAGTAGTGAGTTGATGTACAAATCTGGAGCCCAGGAAGATGATCAACGCTGGTGGTAAAAATCTAGGAGCCATCAGATGGTACTTAAGCCATGGAAGCAAGAGATAATGCCTCAGGTGACTCCCAACATTCAGAAGTCCAGCCAAAAAGGGTAAGTGAACACTGGAGACTGAGAAAAGAGAAAGAACAGCCCATACTGCAGGAGGAAACCAGATTGGTGCAGCTTCCTTTAAGCAAAGACTCCTGGAACCTCCACTGAAAAGAACTTTAAAAGCCAACTACTCTGTTCCATTGATCTATATCTCTGTTTTGGTACCAGTACCATGCTGTTTTGGTTACTGTAGCCTTGTAGTATAGTTTGAAGTCAGGTAGTGTGATGCCTCCAGCTTTGTTCTTTTGGCTTAGGATTGACTTGGCGATGCGGGCTCTTTTTTGGTTCCATATGAACTTTAAAGTAGTTTTTTCCAATTCTGTGAAGAAAGGCATTGGTAGCTTTATGGGGATGGCATTGAATCTGTAAATTACCTTGGGCAGTATGGCCATTTTCACGATACTGATTCTTCCTACCCATGAGCATGGAATGTTCTTCCATTTGTTTGTATCCTCTTTTATTTCCTTGAGCAGTGGTTTGTAGTTCTCCTTGAAGAGGTCCTTCACATCCCTTGTAAGTTGGATTCCTAGGTATTTTATTCTCTTTGAAGCAATTGTGAATGGGAGTTCACTCATGATTTGGCTCTCTGTTTGTCTGTTGCTGGTGTATAAGAATGCTTGTGATTTTTGTACATTGATTTTGTATCCTGAGACTTTGCTGAAGTTGCTTATCAGCTTAAGGAGATTTTGGGCTGAGACATTGGGGTTTTCTAGATATACAATCATGTCGTCTGCAAACAGGGACAATTTGACTTCCTCTTTTCCTAATTGAATACCCTTTATTTCCTTCTCCTGCCTAATTGCCCTGGCCAGAACTTCCAACCGCATATTCTCACTCATAGTTGGGAATTGAACAATGAGCTCACATGGACACAGGAAGGGGAATATCACACTCTGGGGACTGTGGTGGGGTGGGGGGAGGGGGGAGGGATAGCATTGGGAGATATACCTAATGCTAGATGACAAGTTAGTGGGTGCAGTGCACCAGCATGGCACATGTATACATATGTAACTAACCTGCACAATGTGCACATGTACCCTAAAACTTAAAGTATAATAATAAAAGAAAAAAAAACTTAAAACAAAACAAAACAAAAAAAGCCAACTACTTCAGTCATCCAACTCATTTCAGTTTTTAAATACCCTTTCTATCACAAAGGGATAAAACCATGCCTAAATCAGTTTACATTATCTCTACAATATCCTAACCCATTTAACATGATCTCTCCATAATCTTCCTAATAGGAGTTCATGTCTAATGGGGAATACAGTACTACAATGGGACAGGTTTCCATGGACAAATCTTAATACCGTTATATGGGGGAAAAGTCAAACTAAGAAAACTCTGAACTCTGAATAAGTTGCTTTTTAATTAAACACATGTCCCAAGACACAAAAAAGATAAGGCTAAAAGCTTTAACGTAGCTGATTATTCAGAAAAGATAAAAAAGGATGGCAGGCAATATATGATGTAATCTAATTTCAATCTTATTCTGCATAAATGGCCAATAAAACACATGTGACAGATAATCTCTATGAAGAAAACTGGCTGGAGTAGGGGATTATTCCTTGGCAATATTCCATAATTATAATAACAAAGATTTATCTTTCACGCTTTCAACCAACCTGCAAATGTTTATAGGGAGAAACTGGAGACCATGAAACTGTACTGCAAGGATGACAAATACTTTATTATTACTGGGCAGGTGCTCTGGGAGAAAGCACGGATAGAATTTTATTGTTGAGGACTGAGTTTCTCTGAATACATTTTGAAGGTGTGGAACTGAACTGGAAGAGGCTACATTATCAGTAATGCAATTTTAAAACCAGTTGCTTTAAGAATTCCATATTTTCAGTGTGTTGAATCTGATTATAGATCAGAGGATCCTAGCATTAAGACTTGTACTCTAATTCTTTTCTCTTAGCAAATCATAATCTTTTGGAACTCTCAGCATTCAATTACAAATATTTGTTGCCTGTTATGATTTTTCTTCTAGTTGTAACACATCCTAATTCTTACAGGATAATAAGTTATAGGCTCTTTTGCACTTAATATTGGGGATAATAATTATCACTGATATTTAAACTATTATTTACAAACACTACAATCTATTTTCCTCTACAATGATACCTTTATTCTCCCAACCAATTAAACTTCCTTTGGCCAATATTTGCAATATATTTATTCTTACAATTTATATTTATTCTTTAGCATGACATAATAAAAGTCCTTATTTGTTGTGAAATTAACAGTGTATTCCACTTCCCACTTGATTCCAAGCTAAGAGATTGTTATTTTACAAATTAAAATTTATTTAGGACTTTCTTCAGAGACAGAGGAGAAGCACTCTTAAAAGTCTTCTGTTTTAAGTGATACTCCAGGTTAACTAACACTTGCTTCATTTTATAAATCAGGATCCGCAAACTAGAGCCTATGAGCCAAATCCAGCCCGCAGCTTGGTAAGGTAAAGAAAGTCTGACTGCAATACAACCACACCCGTTTGCTTACTTATTATCTATGGCTACTTTTGCACTAGAGTTGAGTAGCTGTGACACAGACAATATGGGCTCACAAACCCTAAAATATTTACCATCTGGCCCCTTACAGAAAATGTTTATCCACCCTTGCTCTCAAGCATAGTGACCAATGCCAAAGGCAATGTGAACACACACAGCCAGTAGGTGCTCTCTAATACTCCTCTACATTTCTGCTCCAACAATTCATCTGTATGCCTCCAAGAACAGACTGTACAATATTTGTGCCATTTATATTTATAACTATAATTTAATTACCTATGAAATAAACTGATAAAATAAGTCTAAAAAATTGTTGGAAAGACTCAGGAGTAAACAAAATTGCTATTAGGTGAGGCAAAGGTATAACAACTGTGCAAGATTGTGAAAACGTTGTACATGTCCAGAATATTTTTTCTTCATGAAAAAACCCTCAAAACTAGAAATTATAAATGATACACAACGAAAGTGATTTGTGTAAAGAAAGATTACTCTGAACTCTGTACAACAGATAAATCATTAAAAGTATATAATGCATAGTAAAAACAAAGAACAAAAAGATAAATCATAATATTAAAAGATTGGCAGGTACAAGTATATTGGTGAGCTTTAGATTAAACATATTTAAGGCATATATCTATCATTTTACTAATTCCATGCTTTTTCTTTTTTAAATATAAAATATGCCATACTTACAGAAAAGTACAAAACATATACGTTTATTTTGTTTTTTTTTTTGAGACTGACTTTTCTTCTTGTCGCCTAGGCTGGAGTACAATGGCGCAATCTTGGCTCACTGCAACATCCACCTCCCAGGTTCAAGCGATTCTCCTGCCTCAGCCTCCTGAGTAGCTGGGATTATAGGCACCCACCACCACGCCTGGCTAATGTTTTTGTATTTTTAGTAGAGACAGGGTTTCACCATGTTGGTCAGCTGGTCTCGAACTTCTGACCTCAGGTGATCTGCCTGCCTCAGCCTCCCGAAGTGCTGGGATTACAGGTGTGAGCCACCGTGCCCAGGTTATGTTCCTTTTAATGTTACTGATATTTCAGAAGTTCTCCAAGTTCCCCCTCCCCAGTCACAGTTCCTTCCCTTCTCCATAGACATAATTCAATATCTGGAGTACCCACAAGTGTCCAACCCTTGTTTGGTATACTACATTCAAATATTTTCAGCTGAAATAAAAGAATAGATACTTGGTTAACAATTGAGCCATTTTCTTCATTGTATTACCATCAATATCAATAAACGTTAGAGTTCTGATATCTAATATTTTTAACTTGGACTTGATCAAGAAATTAATTTTTACCTACTAAGTTTATGAAGGAGTCATGTTCAGTGATGGAACTCATCATAATGTTCATTCATTGATCCTAACAAGGCACAATTAAGTATGTAAGATTTACTAAAAATACATTTCAGTAGACCTCCAAAAACCATTATTTATAAATGATTAGAGATTTTCTACATTGGCAGCAATTTCTCAGAGAGATACAGAGAAAAAGAGAGAGAGACAGAGAGAGAAAGAGAGAATGCACTTTAGTAATTCAAACTAATATTGATAGGTAAAGGTTATCTCAAACAGATAAAAATTGAGAATTATTAAATATTTTTAAAACCATTAGATCACCTCTAAATATATAGAAAAGACAAACTTGTCTATTAAAGTGTTGAATTATTAAAAGTTTTAGCTGTAGTAGTTAACAAAAGGAGATTCCATTAAATACAGTGTCAATGACACATATGTAAACTGATTAGTCTGAAGTGCTTAAAAACATTTTAAAAATTGTTATTCCCCTTTAGTTTACATTATTAATTTTTACTGTAAGAAAGAGTTTTGCTGAACAAAAGTAAATTATAGCTCAGATGTTGCTGAGTTCCAAATTAGTAGATTTCCAGTGTAATAAAATATAAATTTGAGAGGTTTTAAAATATCCATAGTCTGTTGTAAGGAGGGAAGACTTAACTATAAAATGTAGGAAATCGAAGTCACATCACCCAAAGACAGCAATTTTAGCATCACCGTTGGTGGGTTAAATAGATGTTGTGGTATGCCTAAATAAGATGTAGCAACACACTTAATGATGTATTCTATTGCAAAGTGCTTAACTTGAACCCATCAGGCCTTTATGTAAAGTTCAACTTGCAAGAATATACAGGACAAAGAAACAGGATAAATGACATAAGGAGGTAATAGACAAATCCAGAAGCTGAGGCATTCTGAGGAACACCTGTCCGTGTCTCTTCAACAAAGAATTTTGCTGGATTAGGCTGGGCACAGTGGCTCAAGCCTGTAATCCCAGCACTTTGGGAGGCCGAGGTAGGCAGATCACCTGAGGTCAGGAGTTCGAAACCAGCCTGGCCAACATGGTGAAACCCCGTCTCTACTAAAAATACAAAACAATTAGCCGGGCATGGTGGTCCGTACCTGTAATCCCAGCTACTTGGGAGGATGAGGCAGAACTGCTTGAACCTGGGAGGTGGAGGTTGCAGTGAGCTGAGATTGCACCACTGCACTCCAGCCTGGGCAACAGAGCAAGATTCCATCTCAAAATAAATAAACAAACAAATAAATAAAAGAACTTGCCTGGATTAAAAAATACTTAAGGGACATATCATCCAGACATAATGTGTAATCCTAAATCAGATCTTGCCTAGACACATCAGCTGTGGAACATTCCTTGGGGTCACAAATGGAAATGTGGTATGTATTAGATAAGACAAAAATCTACTGAGATGGAAGGATAAAGATTATTGATTTTAAAAAGCAGGTTAGAATGCTCTTTGTAAAATATCATTTCATACTCTCCTTCTGGTTTAAAAATGTGTATATATAGGGACATAGAGAAAGTCTAGCTTTAACAATGATGATCTTAGATGGTAAGAATGTGATCACTGGAAGTCCTAGATAGTGGAATCAGAGAAGAGAAAGAAATAACGTACAAATTGGGAAAGAAAAAGTCAAATTATCCTTGTTTACAGGTGATATGATCTGATATTTGGAAAAAGCTAATGATGCCACTAAAAAACTATTAGAACAGATAAGCAAATTCAGTAAAGTTACAGGATACAAAATCAACATTTCTATATGCCAACAGCACATAATCTGAAAAAGAAATCAAGAAAGTAATCCCATTTATAATAGCTACAAATATAAAAAGATACCTAGGAATAAACTTAACCAAAGAAGTGAAAGATCTCTACAATAAAAACTATAAAACACTGATGCAAGAAACTGAAAATACAACAAAATGGAAAGATATTCCATGTTCATGGATTGGGAGAATCAATATTGTTAAAATGTCCAGACTTCCCAAAGCGGTCTACAGATTCAATGCAATCTCTATGAAATACCAATAATACTCTTTACAGAAATAGAATAAATAATCCTAAAGTTTATACTGAACCACAAAAAACCTCCAGTAGCCAAAGCCATCCTGAGCAAAAAGAAAAACACTTGAGGAATCACACTACCTAATTTCAATTATACTACAAAACTATAGTAACCAAGACAGCCATAGTAACAAAAGCTATAGTAACCAAAACTGTACTGGCATAAACATAGACCAGTGGAACAGAATAGAGAACCCAGAAATGAATCCATACATCTACAGTGAACTCGTTTTCAACAAAAGTGCCAGGAACATTGATATGGTTTGGCTGTGTCCCCACCGAAATCTCATCTTGAATTGTAGTTCCCATAATCCCCACATGTCATGTGAAGGACCAGGTGGGAGGTAATTGAATCATGGGGACAATTACCCTCATGCTATTCTTGTGATACTGAATGAGTTCTCACAAGATCTGATGGTTTTATATGGGGCTTTTCCTTGCTTGGCACATCTCTTTCGTGCTGCCATGTGAAGAAAGACGTGTTTGCTTTCCCTTCCACCATGATTGTAAGTTTCCTGAGGCATCCCCAGCCATGTGGAACTGTGAGTCAATTAAACCTCTTTCCTTTATAAATTTCCCAGTCTTGGGCAGTTCTTTATAGCAGTGTGATAATGGACTAACACAAACATACACTGGGGAAAGGTCTCTTCAATAAATGTTCTGGGAAAGTTGGATACCCGTATGCAGAAGAATGAAACTAGACCTCTATCTCTCACTATACACAGAAATCAAATCAAAATGGATTCAAGACTTAAATCTAAGACTTTGAACTATGCAACTACTACAAGAAAACATTGGAGAAACTCTCCAGGCAATTGGTCTGGGCAAAGACTTCTTGAGTAACACCCTAGAGGCAGAGGCAAACAATGCAAAAATGAACAAATGGAAACACATCAAGTTAAAAAGCTTCTGTGCAGCAAAAGAAACAATCAACAAAGTGAAGAGAGAATCCACAGAATGGGAGAAAATATTTGCAAGCTATCAATCTGACAAGAGATAAATAACCAGAGCATATAAGGAGCTCAAACAACTCAATAGGAAAAAATCTAAAATTTGAATTTAGAATAGGCAAAAGATCTAAATAGAGATATCTCAAAAGATGACATACAAATGGCAAACAGGTATATGAAAAGGTACTCAACATCACTGATCATCAGAGAGATGCAAATCAAAACTACAATGAGATATCATCTCACCCCAGTTAAAATGGCTTTTATCCAAAAGGCAGGAAAGAACTAAAGCCGGTAAGGATGTGGAGGAAAGGGAACTTGTGTACACTGTTGGTGGGAATGTAAATTAGTACAGCCACTATGGAGAACAGTATGGGAATACCTCAAAAAACTAAAAATAGAGTTATCATATCATCTAGCAATCCTACTGCTAGGTATACACCCAAAAGAAAGAAAATCATTACAACAAAGAGACATCTGCATTCCCATGTTTACTGCAGCACTATTCACAATAGTCAAGATTTGGAAGCAACTGAAGTGCCCATCAATAGATAAATGGATAATGAAAATGTGGTACATATACACAGTGGAGTTCTATTCGGCCATGAAAAAGAACGAGATCCTGTCATTTGCAACAACATGGGTGGAACTGGAGGACAATATGTTAAGTATTAATAAAATAAGCCAGGCACAGAAAGACAAACTTCACATTTTCTCACTCATTTGTGAGAGCTAAAAATCAAAACAATTAAACTTATGGAGATAGACAGAATGGTAGTGGGGGTGATTGGGAAGTGGGGATAGTTAATAAGCAGAAAAATATAGTTAGATAGAACGAATAAGAGCTAGTATTTTTCAGCACAATAGGGTGACTACATTTAAGTGTACAATAAATTACTACACAGTAATTACTACACAGTAATTTGTTGTACACTTAAAAATAACTAAAAACATATAATTGGAATGTCTGTAACAAAAAGAAATGATAAATGCTTGAGGTGATGAATACCGCATTTACCCTGATGTGATTATTATGCATTGTATGCCTGTTTCAAAATATCTCATGTACCTGATAAATTTATATACCTACTATATAGTCATAAAAATTAAAATTAAAAATGTGATCACTTTATATTTGCTTATAGTATTTTCTGGTTTTTTACAATACACATGTACTGCTTCTATAATAGTTTCTACGGAAAATTTATGACTTTTCTGTGGTATCAATAGATCCATTTATAATGGTTCATCATAGAAACTTTGTTAGAAAAAAGACAGATACTGACATGAGTGGAAGGTAAAAGGAAACTGGGGGTTTATATAAAAAGATCTCAACTTTAATTCTCTGACTCTTTATAATGCTTTGAATTTATCAAGATACATTTACTGCCTTTCATGTCATTTCACATACAAAATGCTGTGCATTAAAAATGTTGTCTTGACTTTTTCTCACCGGAGGCATTACAGCTCTTCTCATTATTATTAGATAGCTCAGTATAAGATGTACTTCGCTAAATAAACTCACAAAGCATGAAGAATTCTAGATACCTCTGCATAATAATCTACCTGTTTCTTTTTCACCAGGAAGGGTCAAGCTTAATGGTTGTTAGGATCACTACTATATATGCAAATTGGATTCCTACAAAATAAGCAACCATTTTAGAATATACATATTCACACTCTAATTGCCTTAAAAGTGAGTCATGGAACATAAAAATTACTTTCACTAAGAGAGTACCCAATTTCAGCTGAATATACAACAAACCAACTTCATATCATTTATTTCCAATATCTTAAGTTATATTATTTGAGAATTGTTCACATTTTAAATTTAAGACTGATCTTTCAAAAGTCCAACTTTTTTAAAAATGGAAAATCACTTGGGATATTTAACAGTTACTTATTTAGGTCAGAGTCAATTAGATCTGGAAGTTAAAAATGTATGAGTTTGAAGCCTACCCCTGATTGGCTGCATAACCTTAGGCAAGTTATCTAGCCTAGCTAAATCTCAGTTTTGTTTTGTTTTTTTTTTCAGTCTATAAAATGGAGAAAACACTATTTATGTCAGAGTGTTGTGATGATTCAATGAGATTATGCTGCCTGTTACATGGTAGGCACTCAATAAATATCCATGACAATGATGGTAATGACTCTCAAAATCCTGATATGCGATTCCAGTCTGATATATCCCAAGAATATTGAGGATGCTCCTTTACATCTCCACACAGATGTCTGATAGGTATCTCAGTCTTCTCAGACATAGCAGGACTACTGCTCCCGCTTCAGCCTGCTTCTCCCCTGGGGCCCCCATCTCAGTAGATGGCATTATCAGTAACCTAGGAGTCATTTTTTAGGACCTCAACCTAGCAGTCATTTCTATCCTCTTTTTCACACATGGCAGCAAATTCCTGTGAGCTCTAGCTTCAATCTGTTTTGATCCTACCACTTGTGTAGGTCTATCACTACTACACCAGTCCAAGCCAGCATCATCTTTAGCCTGGGCAACCACAAAGACTCTTGCTATAGCTCCCTGTTTTCACTCGTGTCCTCCTGCCTCCTTTAGTCTATTTCTCACTCTGCTGCCAGAGTGAATCTTTAAAATGTAACCCAGGTGATGTCACTTCCCTGCTCAAAAAACCCTTCAATGGCTCCCCATCACACATAGAACAAAATTCAAACCCTTCCCTATCCAAAAGATGCTAAGTGATAGGGCTTCTGCCAACCTCATCTCCTAGCACCTTCCTCCTCACTTGCTCAGCTGCAGCCATCCTGGCCTCCTTTGCTATTCCATGAGCATCTTAAGATGGGAAGACACACCTCTGCCTCTGCACCCTTCAATATGCCAGTCCTTCTGTGTGAGGCATTCCTTCCCCAGATAGCTGCATGGCATTGCAGCTCACTCCTCTACTCAGGTATCAGGCTTTTCCTGGACACCCCATCAAAAGAACCACATCCATAGCTCTGTTTCATTTTTCTGTATGGCATTGTCATGACTTATTTTATATGTGTGTGTGTATACATGTACTTGTATGTATATAAATTCATTTATAGTTTGTCTCCCAACTCGTACATAAAATCAATAAAGATGAAGCCTTCATTTTATTCACTGCTGGATTCCCATTGTCAGGAATGGTGCTTAGCACCTTTTAGGTATTAAAGAAGTACTTTTCTATACACGGAGAGTTTTTCTTGTATTAAAGTTGGTTTGGATGGGCTGGGCACGGTGGCACGTTCACACCTGTAATCCCAGCACTTTGGGAAGCTAAGCCAGGTGGATCACGAGGTCAGGAGTTCGAGACCAGCCTAACCAACATGGTAAATCCCCATCTCTACTAAAAATACAAAAATTAGCTGGGTGTGGTTGCGCACGCCTGTAATTCCAGCTACTCAAGAGGCTGAGGCAGGAGAATTGCTTGAACCTGGGAGGCCGAGGTTGCAGTGAGCCAAGATTGTACCACTGAACTCCAGCCTACGTGACAGAGTGAGACTCCATCTCAGAAAAAAAAAAAAAATTGGTTTGGATTTAGCCAAGTACTCCAATCACTACGAAAATGAACCCCAATCAAAAAAGCAAGAAAGAATATTAGTTCTTTTATATTCCCTATACCTTGGAGAAACCTGACAGATTTAAGTTTGAAAACTGGGGTTATAAAATTCTTTATTTTTACTCAAAAAACTAAAATAAAATCTTTTATTTAGGAAATCTAGGGGCAGTGTAACAGAAAAAGTTCGTTTTATTTCATTAGGGTGCTGGAAGAAGTAAGTATTTAAAACAACACAAAAAGGTTCTGCATTTAAAATAATCAAGTGATTACTTGAATGAAATATTTTGTAATAAATGAAAAAAGAAAAATTTCCCTGGTTTTATTTATTACTACATGGTTCTATATAAACAAATTATGATATTATAGGATAAAGTTGTTTTGAGACGAAAAGAAAAAATTCACATCAGAGGTTGGGTGAGGTGGCTGGCCAGGCACAGTGGCTCAGGCCTGTAATCCCAGCTCTTCTGGAGGCTGAGGCAGGTGGATCACTTGAGCTTAGGAGTTCAACATTGGCCTGGGCAACATGGTGAAAGCCCATCTCTACTAAAAATACAAAAATTAGCCTGTGTGGTAGCATGTGCCTGTAGTCCCAGATACTCGGGAAGCTGAGGCAAAAGAATCGCTTGAACCCAGGAGGCAGAGGTTAAGTAAGCCGCGATAGTGCCAGTGCACTAAAGCCTGGGTGACAGAGTGAGACTCTGTCTTAAAAAAAAAAAAAAAAAAAAAAAAAGAGGCACATCAGAGTGTTAATAAGCTAAAAAATAATTCCTTCCCTCAACAATTCTTTTGTAGAAATCCCAAACTGTGGCTGAACAGTTTGGCACAGCTAAATACATGAGACTTAAATTCACCAGAAAAATGAAGTTGTTTTAACCTACTGTATGTTTAAATTATGACGGCTACTATGAGCCATAAAATATTCTATAATAAAACTGTTGAATCCAGGCAATACAAAGCAGTATATGAATAAAATTCCAGCAGATAACCCTCTGAACCTCTATGACTTTATCTGTGCTGTTTTTATGGCACTTAATCACTTGTTATCTTTTATTTGCAGGCAGTGGCATTTTTGGACATGGGATTTTTGTGTTTCATCTTTGCAGTCTCTTACAGTGTTAGCACAATTACTGGGCTACTCAGTACATGTTTTCTGAATGAAAGGATGAATTAATAATGTGGAGGGTTAAAGTTGGGGAATAATGGCAGTAAATGCTGCATACATATAATGAATATGTATTAGGAGAGCTCTAAATAAACCTAATTACTGCTTTTTTATATCATATCCTATGAGAGAATGTACAGAGACTTAGTTACATCTGTAAATGTCACTTATGTGCACTCTATTTTGCATCCCAGTAATGATCACAACTGTAATAAAGTAATCATCCATTTAATCATTTCTTAAGTATGTCTTCTCCACTTTAAATCCTAGAGGGTAAGGGCTGCATATGGCTTCTAAGAGCTTCAGCATCTCACAGTAGTGGGGGCCCAATAAATATATTTTGAATTAATGAATGCAGTTAGGGCTGTGCCACTGCATAACTTGCAAATGACTGGGCCCTGTCTTAGCTAAGTTTACCAGGCTTCTCACAGCTTCACAGAATCTAACCAGTTATTTTTCATTGGTTTTAGGATACACGCTTTTTCACATGCATCTTACAGATGATAGTGTCTTCATATTACGGATAATTTAAATAAAAGTATTTTTTTCTTTTTGAGTATTACGTAAAATAACAGTCTTAAGAAATGACAGTATTTTCCAATCAACGAAATATGGTTATTGTTAATTTCATTTTAATATGGAAAAGACAAAAACTTCAAGTACTCACATCAATTAAATCAGAAAGATCATGAATATAGTACTTGAAAACTGAGGCATTGGTGGCTTCAAGTGTTAGGAGATATTCGTTCCGTGCCTTAATTGATTTTAGCTTATTTTCTGAATATTTTGCTTGTCTCTGGAATGAAGAAGATCCAGGCATTGGGAAAGAATGCAAAGTCATTTTTAATCAAGACAGAGAAACATACATGCATTTTTATTAACCTTAACAATTTATTCCACATATACAAATGACCCTGAAAGTCCTTTGCCAAAAGTACATTTTGAATCTGATTTAAATAGCAAACTAAAATTACCCAGCTATGGGGAATAATAACAATGTATTTGGGCTTCAGGCCCATTTGCAATGAAATCTCCTTGTTAATATTCAAGTTCTCCACACTGTGTATTGAATACTTGGCATTCACCACTAAATGATGTCCAGCTGTTATTACATGATTTTTATATTTCCTAAACATTTCTCATTCCCATGGGAGGAAATGCATGTCTTTTCACAATAACTTACAATGTGTGGATATCAGCTATTGCATCAGTGTTCTTAGTATTGTCTCCTCAAATGAAGGCAGAAGAGCTCTGCAATCTCTTTACTTACTTTTTCTTTCATTTTTTCAATTTTCTTTACAGAGCTTCGCCGTTGATGTCTCTCCTCTAGTCGAATATGGAAGACTGGATCACCAGATCTCCCAATTTGCTTTTCCTCTTGTTTTTCGGCCTCTTTCAGCTTGCTCTCTGCACTGATGCTCTCTGCATGATACATATGGTATGTTTTCATCACCTGTGGAAAAGTGACCCAAATTGTTACAAGATGTCTGTCTGTCATTTAGAGAGTGAATGGGAACCATTTATACGACGTATATGATACACATACCACCTTCCAAATGGCAGAGGGGAAAAGTCAGATTGTCAGTAAAGTAAGTGAATTATGGACTACTGCTTCTACATAAAGCACACAGAAATATGCAAATTCATCTGCCAGGAAAAAGCACCTAGAGGACAGGATTTGGTGAAAAAATGATTTACGGAGTCTTATGCATACTTTTCAATGTACTTGAAAAGTTCTCTTAAGCTTAAAAGTATTTCTGTAAAATCTCCTCTACATTATTAATTTGCAGAATAAACCGTTTATTCATGGATTGATTTTAGCCCAACCCAAACCCAAATTAGTACAGTCTTTATTAAAGGAATTTTATTGCATAAAATCTATTTTTCAAAGTAAAAAATGTAAATATTAAGGTTCATACATAGTTTTAGTTGAAAAAACATTGTTTTTCTGACCACAAAGTAATATATATTTTTTATGTTCAATGTAGAAAACATTTATTTTCTTAAAAAAACAAACAAACAAAAACAAAACAAAACAAAAAAATAGGCCGGGTATGCTGGCTCATGCCTGTAATCCCGGCACTTTGGGAGGCCGAGGCAGACAGATCACTTGAGGTCAGGAATTCGAGACTAGCCTGGCCAACATGGTGAAATCCTGTCTCTACTAAAAATACAAAAAGTTAGCCAAGTGTGTTGGCACATCTGTAATCCAGCTACTCGGGAGGCTGAGGCAGGAGAATCACTTGAACCTGGGAGGTGGAGGTTGGAGTGAGCTGACATTGTGCCACTGTACTCCAGCCTGGGTGACAAAGTGAGACTCCATCTCAAATAATAATAATAATAATAATAATAATAATAATAATAATATAAAAGAAAATAAAGAAAATAAAAAGCAATCAAAGATAACCACTGACAAGATTTTAGTATAAAGCCTTCCAGCCTTTTCTCTATGAAAACACACACACACACATACACACATGTACACACATTTCTTCCTTTAAAAATGCCATATATGGCTGGCTACTGTAGTGAGGGGATGGCAGTTAAAACTAAGGGCAGGGCATGGTGGCTTCACGCTTGTAATCCCAGCACATTTTGGGAGGCCAAGGTGGGAGGACTGCTTGAGCCTAACTAAGAGTTTGAGACCCGCCTGAGCAACACAGCGGGACCGTCTCTACAAATATAAAAAAATTAGCTGGGCCTGGTGGCATGCACCTGTAGAGCCAGCTACTTGGGAGGCTGGGGCGAGGGGATTGGTTGAGCCCGGGAGGTGGAAGTGGCAGTGAGCTGAGATTGTGCCACTGCACTCCAGCCTGGGTGACAGAGTGAGACCTTGCCTCAAAAAAATAAATAAATAAATAAATAAATAAATAAATAAATAAAATAAAATGCCATATATGATTTCTCTCTTTAAAAAACTGAGATCATCCTACGTTTGTAATTTTTAGATTACAATGTCCTTTGCCACTTAGATATCAGCATATTTTCCTATATCATTAAATATTCTTCTAAACATAATTTTAAGTGCTACATAGTATTTGTCTATATGACTGTTCCATAACTTAATTCCCCATTGTTAAAAACTTTAGGATATTTCAACTATTTGCTTTATAAAGTTGTGTTAAAAACCTTTGATGTATATCTAATTTATTCTCTTAGAAATGATATATGTAATTTGAATTTTAATAAATTTAGGAATATATAGAACATAACAATTTCATAATGTATTAAAATTTACAGAATGAATCCTCAATTATTACACATTTTGGCTATATTATTGTTACAAAAAAGTTTGTGTACAAAATTGTGTCATATTTCCTAGGACAAATTTTCAGAAATAGAATTGCAGCATTAGAGAATATGCACATTTTTGAGACTTAGTAATATATTGCCAATTTTATACTCAGCTAATTAAAATAAACTGATCTATTGTGTTATCTCTGAAAGTATTTCAGACAACATAGGTGCTTAATAAATATTTTCTTAAATAATAAACAAGCTATTCATTATTTTTATAACGGTACCTATAAATCGGTATGTAATCTCTGTATTCTTAGGTACAGGAGAGTAACAGTCACAGATTTCAGAGTCACAGATTTTATCTGAAAATCATAATTTTTCCAATATAATTTCAGTATGCTTTCATATGTCAGACATCCGGGTGAATTCGAAAACCTGTGTATTTTGAGCACAATTATGCTCCTTAAAAGAAACAACACATGTAAGGTGTGATGACTCCAATGCAAAGGATGTATCGAGGAGCACACCCGAACTCGGCACCCAGTGCTAAGCATTTGTGGCAGTACTTTATTATAAATGATGTCAAATTCTCATCCCCAGAAGACAGACTTCATTTCATATGGAAATAACCACGTTACTCAGAGCCAATTTTATAACTAAGGTCTAAGAAGTTGAGAATAATGCAATGTTTTCAAGTAATGAATTTGATTTTTCTCATTTCAAGAGATGAGTTTTTAAATAGTTTGAGACCTGGAAGCATCACTGGAACAAATATATTTATTTAGGTTAATCCATATGAAATTGATGTTTCTGTAGGTTATTAAAAAGGTGGAAAATCAGCATTTTCTTATGGTTCAACTTAACACATGTTCTCAAGATGACTATTTTGAAGGGTAAAACATGGGGTTAACGAAGAACCTTTACTTATTTTCATAAAATCTGATGATGGCTTTCCTTAAAAATGTAAGCTGGTAAATCATGTTAAAGGCATTACAGAGCCAGAACAAAGTAAGGGCTAAAATATAAAGCACTGGCAGCTTTTTCTGAGCCGTGTGTAATTGGAAAGTTGTCTGTTTTTAGTAATTATTGAACCTGTCTGGGAGAAGTTTGGTTGGCTACTCCAGTTTAAAAGCAAAATAAAATAGCAGTAGGAAGCAGCTGAGCAGCTGGGAAATGAAAAGGGAGTCACCCCGCAGCTGGGCAAACAGCAAAAGGTCAACGAATCTACACACACCTTGCATTTCTTTCTAGGCTTGGCTCTTGTTATTCCCTGCCTGAAGCAAACCCACATACTATTATATTTGGGTCTTGGTTCCAGTTATATCTTAAAATGAGAGGGTGTACACACACACACACACACACACACACACACACGTTGCTCAGCTGTCTGTATTCTTGCTAATAGGAGTGAGGAAATGAGAACATGTGACTCTCATTACACTTGGATGAAAAGGCACCTCAGGCCACCCCGAGTATCTGAGAAATATTTCTTTTAAATAAATTATCGCAAAGAAAAAATCTGAACTTCTGACTCTTGCTTGACTTGGACACTGAGGACTAGTATAAACAGGTAGTTTGCACAAACTAAGCCTGAGAGAAAGGATACTGCGCTGACTGCCAGCAGGGTGTTCCTTACTGACTAGTGTGGGTTAAAAGGAAAACATTTGAGTCTGACCTAACGCTGGAAAGAAAAGAGTGTATCTCATCATAATGTGGTTCAGCACAATAGCTGAGTATTCTCTACCTAGTTCGGTGGTAATTTCCGGAAAGCAAATTTCTTTGTTGAGTTTTCCAATTTGTCTTAGGGTTTCCACTATTCACTAAAATGTTAACAGTTACAGTGAATGAATTTTAAAAGTTGGGGAGATAAACGCTAAAAGCTTTTTCGAGAACTCTAATTGCAGATAATGAATGCAAGTACAAACTGCATTATTTAAAATGTAAGCTGTTGACAGAAGTCAAATGTATTTTGTGTTTAAAATAACAGACAGTTCTCTTTCTTTTTCAGAGAAGTAAAGGAAAGCTTTTATTTTTTACAGGTGCATTTTGAATACATACTGCAAAGAAAATAACAGCTTCTCCACCAGCTTAATGCAAACACAAGCCTTTGCATACCAAATGACCTGACAGGCATATAGCCATGTAAATGTACTCCCATAGCATATTTTCCTGTTTGAATTCTTCTCTACTAAAACTTCATGCATAATTCTCCATTCAATACACCTAATTTATCTTTCTTGCTCCATTTTTCCTCAACTGCTGAAAAAATAGTCAAGTAGAAAACGACCCACGTCATGAATTTCCTTAGGAGATTGGGATATCCTATATGATAACTTGCACAGAAGTTAATATTTTTTTCTTACTGACATGGCCATATCATGTATCTGACACTACTCTTATAGTTTAAATCAAAATAATAAAAATACCTGTAGCAAATTTAATGCTTCGTGTTAAGAAATCACTATATATCTGAAAACTATATGTGTTGGAGAGATCAATAGATTAATGATATAGTTTCTACTTTTTGACTACTGGCTCAAAAGTTAGAAGACACGGATCCCAGGAATGGATCTACAATTACTAGGTGTCGGGAAATTATTTAATGCCTCTTGATTACTTTACAAGGTCGTCATGGATGCCAAATTGTGTGTCCCTGTGTGTGTATTTTTTTAATTTAAATTTTATTGAGTATTTACTATATATATCTATGTATACAATATATACAGATATGTACATATATACGTATAATTTACTTTAGCAAGCATTATATAATGCTCACTATGTGCTAGACATACTTTTCAGCATTTTACGAATAACATATTTAATCCTTCTAGAAACTCTTATGAAATAAGTACCTTTATTCTTCCCTTTATGTTGATGAAAAAACTGAGGCAAAGAGAGGTTATGTAACTTGTCCAAGGTCACACAGCTGGCACAGCAATGGTGGGAACCCAGACAGCCTGGCTTCAGATGAGGTGTTTGGGACTGCTACGCCATAACCTTTGGAAAGTCTAAAGTATCATACAATTGGAAGGCCTCTTTATCTAAGGGATACAGTCACTCTTAGTTATATGTAGGAATAGAGGAAAAGAGAGGATGAAAGATATTTATGTATTCAACATGTGCTTGGTGCTTACCACCCATAACCCACTGATGGGTGTGAAAAGAAATACTTGGTTTCCATCTTCTAAGAGTTTAAAATTTTGGAGACTAAAAAATGGGCCTTTGATATTCTGATGGGCACAGATGAAGGGAGGGCATCCAGGCTAGAAAGATGGTACAAGCAAAGTTCTAATAAGGCAGGGATGCGGGAAAGCACACAGGTGAGGTGGGCATGAGCAGACCAAGATGGCAGAGAAGGGGTCCAGGGAAGAACTTGGAAAGTAGATGGTTGGGTAACAAGCTGAAGGATAAGATTAGATAAGTTGGCATGGGCCAAAGAGTCTTGAAACCCCCACTAAGAAGGGCATAATGTATTCTATAGGTGTTGGTGAATCCACAGTGTTGCAGACAGTATGGTCAAAGCAGTGTCTTAGTAATAACATGGTGGAGATATGCAGGATGGCTTGGGGTGACTTCATTTAGTACGGAGGAAGAGGGAATGGACAATAAGAAAAAGAATCCACGATGACAGTTATAAGGCCTTTTCCCTGTTACCATTCTCTTTGACCTTTTCTTAAACTTGACATGATTCCCTCTACCATGGAGTTCAATGCTATCAGACTGGTCCCAACACCCATCCAAGCAGCAATTTGTGTACCACTCTGAGTCAGTCACTCACGGCTCCCTCCCCAGAATTTATATGTTCCTGCCTCTGCAGCTTCTCCCAAGCAAGTCCCTGAGCTGCTGTCCCCCAGCACCTCCTCCTTTTGACATTTGACCCATTCTCCATGGCAAGCTTAAATCTCACCTATGGCTAAGTGTTCCCTGGCTTCTCAGCCAGAGGGATCTTATTCTTCTGATTGCCAAGACAAGTATTGTCTTTCAAGACAGCTCTTCATTCAGAGTCTTCAGCACATAGCACTTTAGCTATATGTCACAGATCTCTGTGTACCACCCAGATTGTGGACTGTCCTGTAAGAAGAGCCAGGGTACCAGTCATGTTTATGTACCTTCAGATTCTTAAAACTGTCTCATATACAGTATGAGTAAAATAGGTGAGAATCAAATGAAGGATAAGAACCCATTTTATAGTAAGCTTGTCCATCCATTTATTCACTTAACAAATATTTATTAAACATCTACAATGCATCTGGCATTGTTCTTTTCTATCCTCGGCTTCCAAAATAGCACCAGCAATAAATACCTGGGATTGGACTAATGGGATGACAAATAGTTCTAAGTCATTTGTGAAATATGGTTAGTGTTGGAATTTATGGCCTCTCAGAAAAGAAATGATGTGGTGGTTTGGCAGGGAAGGGAGATGAAAAACAGTATGTTAGTGACAATATTTCCTAACTCTATATAGCCTGCTGCTTCACTAAATCCATTAATCACTAAAAGCTCTTCTGAGAAACTACATTCTTTGGGTTTCTTATCAACTACCTAAGATAAAGATCTATTTTCTACAATCAATACATAAGAGGACTCTAACTGTAGCTGAATTTCTGCAAGTGCCAGACTAACCAAACCACTGGGGTAATACCACAGCCTTGGAAGCCCACGCCCATTGTTTCCCAGGAAACTCTCAGGTGCGTGGGGAAAGCCACCAGGGCCACCTTCAGCTGAACCCCAGGAACCTAACACAGCCACAGTACCTCCCTCCAGGTCACAGCCTCTCTTTGGGCAAGCTGTCTCTCTGGCGGCTTGAGACAGTGGTAGTGGGCAGGAATTCCCTCAAAAAGAGCACTCAGGACACGTGTGCCATGATCTTTACATCTGCAATCTCCAGTCTTCTTGCTCTTTAGTATACCTGGCCAAACCCGCTGATGAACACAGACTCTGGAACCAGGAAGACCTGGATTTGAGTTCCAGTGCCATCAATTCTTAAGTGGGCAAGTTTCCTAATGCCCCTGAGCTCCAGTTCCTTCGAGGTAAAATGGGGATGAAATGACAGAATGTAAGCACACAGCACGGTGGGTAGTTATGATTCTTGACAGTGTCTAAGGTATGATGTAGAAGTAACAGTGCAGGCTTTGGGCCTTCATATCCAGGCTCTAAGCAGATAGGTGCAGGCCACTGTCTCCCAAAGGCAAAGCAGCAGAGAGAACTGAGGTACAATAAAAGCAGACCAACAGATGCCTTTTTGCTATTTCATGTTGAGAACTGGGCTAGCACAAACCTCATAAAAACTAAAACAATATATCAGTAAGGATGGCCTTGGAGGCGACTGCAAAGACACACATTTATAAAACACTCCTGAATTCACACTTTGGAAATGCTTTTGGCCTGTCTACACACACCTCTTATAATTAGCGCCTTTTTCAATGTATGGTGACAGTTACTCTAGAATCAGGTAGACATTAGCCCAGGTTTCAGGGTGCAATGTATACTGATTTTATTTATTCATCCACCAAACAGCTACTGAGTGTCTGAATACCAGACACTGTGCTAGGCCTTGAGACTAGAGATGAAAGACATAATCTCTCCCCAGTAGGGGTGACACAAAGGCCAGCCTACTCTTACTGCACTACAAATAGGAAGTGGATATATGCAGAGGTGGGAGAGGGGCAGTTGCTGGACTTCAGGGTAGGCTGAGTGAGAATTAGGTAGAGAAAAATTCCCAGGCTTCTTTGTAATCAGCTTATATTTAAGTCTGGAAGCCCATTTAGGGAGAGAAAAAAATGGATAATATATTTCATTTATATAAAGGATATAAAGGCATGAGAAGCCAGCCCTTAACATACACCTACAATGGATGTCTCTGTTTCTCAGTTCCCATCCCATCCCCCACCTCCCACTTAAGGCCTGCAAGTGAAACCAGAAAGTTTTTTTTCTTTTCTTTTTTTTTTTTTTTTCTTGTTCCCAGCATCAGGGCTGAAAGAGTTGCTGATCCCTGAGGTCATGAGTGGCCAGCAGGACTGTTACAATGATAAACTTTCACAAACCCACCTTCTCTCCCTGGGCCAATGTGGCTCTTCATAAATCAGTGAAAGCAAAGTTTACAAAACTTCAATTACACTTGCAAAGCAGCATTTATAGGACAATTCAGTTTGAGTAGTAGCATACTCATGGTTAAGAGCTCCGACTCATGAGACAGACTGCCTGGGTTCAAATCCTGCCTCTGCCCTTACTTGCTGTGAGGTCTTTGGCAAGTAACCTAACCTTTCTGTGCCTCAATTTCCTTACTGTAAAATCAGAATTACAATATTACTCACTGCCTAAGGTGGTGGGGGGGATAAAATGTGTTAACACATACGAAGAGCACAGAAGAGGCTGACATATAAGTGCACAGTAAATGTCAGCTATTGATATTTGAAAAGAATGCCATTAAATAATTCATTTCAATAACAGGTCATAATTTTTCCATGATTGGAGGGATTGTTGTTTCTAATAGAGGTAAAAGGAAGAAAATCAGCAATATTTCCATTTATATACTACTCTGCTTTTGCACTGCTATAGAGAACCACCTGAGACTGGGTAATTTATAAAGAGAAAGGATTAATTGACTCACAGTTCTGCAGGCTGTATAGGAAGCATGGCTGGGGAGGCTTCAGGAAACTTACAATCATGGTGGAAGGTGAAGGGGAAGCAGGCATGTCTTATGTGTCCAGAGAAGGAGGAAGAGGGCAAAGGGGGAGGTGCTACACACTTTTAAACAGCCAGATCTTGTGAGAACTCTATCATGAGACAGCACGAGCAGGATGGTGCTAAACCATCAGAAACCACCCCCATGATCCAATCACCTCCCACCAGGTCCCACCTCCAACACTGGGTATTACAATTCAACATGAGATTTGGTTGGGGACACGGAGCCAAACCATATCAGTGAATATGTTAAGAATTTTAGCAAAGCTCTTTATTTATTTATTTATTGAGACAGAGTCTCACTCTGTCACCAGGCTGGAGTGTAGTGGTGTGATCTCGGCTCATTGCAACCTCCACTACCCCCTCACACCGGGTTCAAGCAATTCTCCTGCCTCAGCCTCCTGAGTAGCTGGGATTACAGGCGCCTGCCACTGTGAGTGGCTAATTCTTGTATTTTTAGTAGAGATGGGGTTTCACCATCTTGGTCAGGCTGGTCTTGAACTCCTGACCTCATGATCCACCTGCCTTGGCCTCCCAAAGTGTTGGGATTATAGGCGTGAGCCATCGCACCCAGTCTTATTTATTTATTTATTTCATTTAGATGGAGTCTCGCTCTGTAACCCAAGCTGAAGTGTAATGTCATGAGCTCGGCTCACTGCAACCTCCGCCTCCCGGGTTCAAACGATTCTCCTGCCTCAGCCCCCAGAGTAGCTGGGATAACAGGCATTCGCCACCATGCTGGGCTAATTTTTGTGTTTTTAGTAGAGATGGGGTTTCACCATGTTGACCAGGCTGGTCTTAACTCCTGACCTCAGGTGATCCGCCCCCACCACAGCCTCCCAAAGTGCTGGGATTACAGGCATGAGCCACCACACCTGGCCACAAAACTCTTTAGAATGAGCAAATAGACCAAGGTGAACAATTAAATAGCATGAGATACGGTCTTTAGGGCAAGTTTATCAAAGGAAATTTGAGATACGTTGTGACTCCACTGAAATGAAATCAGCATAACAGTTTGAATTTATCATCAAATTATATTTATAATCCAAACAAATGCTTTGAACAAAAGACACTGTCTGGGACTCTGCACCCTGCTGGCTAGGGACTGCCAAGTAACCAAATGACAGGGCAAACGAGATGCAGGGACTAAGTAAAACAAAGGGAAAAATGGAGAACACATATGCAAAGGGAGGAAATAAAGCTAAGAAACATCACAGAAATAATCAGCTTCTGTTCACTGTAGTGTTAATACTTTTGTTTCAGGAGTTATCATACAGAGCGGCATTTTTTTTCTTTTTTGGGGATTTAAAAAATATTTTTATTTGTAATTGACACAAAAAAATTGTACACATTTATGGGGTACAGTGTGATGTTTCCCTCTACACATACTTTGTATAATGATAAAAAATGACTAAAAAAGGTAATGTAGATAAAATGTTTGATGCAAAAATAACATTAATATTATATGAAAATATGTACATTGCTAAAAAGTAAAAGCACTGATACTCATACATTTAGATGGGTCAAATAATGCAGCAGAAAATTCACAGACAGGCTAAAGAAATGTTTGAAATGTGCTCAAGATCAATAATAAGTGAAGAAACATGAGGCAGAATTTTTTTTTTTTTTTTGCTTTGAAAGCTCATCTCACTTGTTTGTAATAGGAAATCACGTCATCCAGAATTTAAAAAGTGACTGTGGGGGCTTGTTGTCAGCTGTCGGGGGCAGGACTTATGTGCAGAGCTAGGTCCGTGGCTCTGGTCAAGGCACTGCCTTGGGTCACTCTGTGCTGGCCCAGGCCTGCTCCATGCCTGGCTGCTGGATAAACCAGTTCTCTTCTGACCCACAAAGCAATCCAATGGTGGGGCAAACTCAGGATCTCTCTCAGCCCAGAGATCTGACTGATGAGGCAGAGTTTTTAACTATTTGTAAAAAAATGAAAGTATCTCATACTACCATTGACACAGCCAGGTGGGAGGGGGTCACTGGAGAAACGCCAACTGGCCTGCCCATGGGATGGAACCTCGGCAAGTTTAGGCCCTTTGCAGTGGGAAGGAGCTGGTCCCTCCTCTTCCTGTGTAGAACCTGAGATTCAGTCTTCCAGTGGGAGAAGCACTGGAGCATGGGACACTGTCCCAGGGAGAGTTCTGTTTCCCCCTTTTCTTCCTTTTCACCAAATAAAACCCTGTCTTACTCACCATTCAAATTGTCTGTGAGCCTAAATTTTCATGGCCATGGGACAAAGAACCCTGTCTTTAGTTGAACTAAGGAAAAGTCCTGCAACACCATAGCATATTGAGATTTTGCCCCTAGTAAATTTACAGAGTAGCATTTTTAATGGAAAGGTCTATGAACAACAAACCTGGATTTTGGTCCTGGCTTTGCTGCAAAATAACTCTGTAACCTCAGCCTTTCTGACCCTCATCTATTAGAGATGACAACATGACAACATGAGGTCTCTCTACAGGATCAAAATTAGGGAGACAATCAAATCTAACTTTATACCTCAGGCACTTTGAAAAGTGTAGGATGAAAGACAAAGTACAAAGTAGAGGCGTGATCATAGAGGGAAAAATTGATCACATAACTTCTGGGTGCAGAAGGCTTCCTTTCAAGAGAATTTTAATATATCCTTTAAAAGGAGAATATCTGATGAAGCTCAGAGGAAATAGTGTAGGATGACATTTAGGAGTAGTATATGAAAACAGTGTCCTTACTGTTATTCCAGTTTTTATTTTCTGTTGGAGCCTTCAGTCTCCCATGCAGAGACTGTGTGACTCTAGGGCAAGGTTTATGTAACTCCTACAAAGGAGGTGGTTGGTTTATGTGCCCTCTTGGATCGTTTCTAACTCTAAAATTCTACTGATATTGAATCCATGATTTCAAATTTTTATCTCATAGTAACTAAATTCTGTAAGAATTTATTATTTGGGGAAACATATATAACATACTTCTCAGTGTCAGGGTAGATGGCAGCTATTTTTTTTTTTTTTTTTTTGAGACAGAGTCTTGCTCTGTCGCTCAGGCTGGAGTGCAGTGGTGTGATCTCGGCTCACTGCAACCTCCTCCTCCCAGGCTCAAGTGATTCTCCTGACTCAGCCTCCCAAGTAGCTGGGATTACAGGTGTCTGCCACCACACCCGGCTAACTTTTGTATTTTTAGTAGAGACAGGATTTCACCACGTTGGCCAGGCTGGTCTTGGACTCCTGACCTCAAGTGATCCACCCACCTTGGCCTCCCAAAGTGCTGGGATTACAGGCATGAGCCACCATGCCCAGCCAGCAGATAAATTTTAACCAAAAGAAAAAGCCAGTATAACAACAAATTGTACTAATTATCTCCTTCTGGTTCTGTTGACCTGAGACAGCAAGGAGTCCACTGTGCTATGCCAGGGATATAAGATTCCTCCGGGAATTCTCCATGGGCTCCAAGGCCATAACTCATCTGCTTTGCTGAACAGAAATTATATCTAGAAATGAACAATGCCCCTATAGTCTGTCTAGCACACTGTTAAATTGATGAACCTTATACAGGGATATCTATTACTCTAGTGACTTTAATTAGCTCCCAAACTGATTATCGATCAATCAGCAAGTGCTCATTAAGGAGGAAAACCCAGGAGCTATTTGGTCTGTGTGGGCTGACATACTTACAGATATGCTACATGCTTCTATTTTTGATGGTTACATTTAAGTTAAATCAGGGCATTAGTCATCTTTTTCAAAATGCTAAATTTAACCATGATTTTTAAATGTTAACATAAATTACAATTAGTTTCATAAGATTTTGGTACTTTAATAAAACTAATGAAAAAGGATCAACTTACCCTAAAGAAGATAAATTGTTTTATGCCTTATTAAAAAGAAAA
The DNA here is from genome assembly GCF_000001405.40 of Homo sapiens. Classification (NCBI taxonomy): domain Eukaryota; kingdom Metazoa; phylum Chordata; class Mammalia; order Primates; family Hominidae; genus Homo; species Homo sapiens. Next base: position 64,030,447 of record NC_000012.12, on the reverse strand, counting down.
TGTTTCTATTTGTAATGAAAGTAAAGTGTACTTATAAATCTTAATCTGCACTTGCTCTTTCCAGCAGTTATTGGAGGCAGGCTCTACTTTAAGTCTTTGAGTCATAGGTGGGGTTATTGGTTTTGTTTATCTCTAAGGAACTCTTGATCAACATTCATATTCATCAAAAGTTTCTCAAGCCCTCTACTATGTATAACAAATAGGCCTTGTCTTATTGGACTTAATTAATGTTCTATTGCTAGAAATCCAATTATGTTTTCTTCTTTATTGATTTATGCTAGTTCATTAGTTCATAATTTTTTATAAACATAATTATCAATTTGGTGTTATACTACAGTATCTGCCCACTTCACAATTACCAGAGATTTCGACATGAAATAAATGCTATTTTATCCAATAAATTCTAATTTAGCAAAAGATTCTTTTCTCTCAAGTACTCATTGTAGTGGGGTAAAGAGAGAATGGTAAGGAAATGGGATTTTAAGAAATCTCAGTTTAATGCTTTGTTTATTTATTTATTTATTCATTTATTTATTTTTTGAGACGGAGTCTTGCTCTATTGCCCAGGATGGAGTGCAGTGGCAAGATCTCGGTTCACTGTAACCTCCACCTCCTGGGTTCAGGTGATTCTCCTGCCTCAGCCTGCTGGTCTCGAACTCCTGACCTCAAGTGATCTGCCTGCCTTGGTCTTCCAAAGTGCTGGGATTACAGGCGTGAGCCACCGCCCCCAGCCTGCTTCATTTATTTTTACATCAATGATTTGCTAACAATCTTGCAATATTAGAGTGTACGGAGTTCCCTGCAGAGGCAATGTTTCACACATCTGTGCTTTCCGTCACACACTCTCCTCTTTTTGGAACGCTTTTCCCATCCATCCTTTATCACTAAATTCAGGTGTCAGCTTCTTCAGGAAGTCTCCTGAGTGGTTCCATGCTTGCCCAGAGCCATAGAGATCTCTATGTAGTCTGGTGCCCAACACTGTACATGGACATATCTCACCAGTCTAGCTCCCTGATCACAGGGCTGTGTGTTACTCGGCCATGCTCAGGACTTACATATTCGTAGAAAGAACCCATCCCCAGCCATTCAGTGTTTAAGACTTGGATGCAATAAAAATAATCCTATAACAATTTCAGAGCAGAAGCAACAATGCTTTTAGTACTCTCCATTTATCTGATTTAGAGACACGACACAAATTCTGAGATTTTGGCCAAATGGGGAGTAACTGCATTCCACAAATTCTAAGACCTTAAAGTCATAGCTCCTCTCTCCGTACTTGCTGGCAGCGACCCGGAAAGAAGAGAGGAGCACTGTCCTAAAAGACAGCCCATTCCACTTCTGAACAGCTCTAATGGCTCATCCCAGGAATCAGAATGCTTGGGTTCAAATACTAGTTTTGCCTTATACCATGTTCCTGGGTTTACTCACCTCTAAACTGGGAATAAGAGTATTACCTGTAAGGTTGGAAAAATGAATATAAAAAATGAATAAATGAGTAAATGAATACATGTCAAGCCCTTGCAGTGATCACTGGTACACAGTGAATGCTTCACGAATGCAACACAAGTAATAAAGTACCCCACTCTTCTATCACATCTGCTATGGTCTGAACGTTTGTGTCCACCACAACGTCATATGTTGAAATCCTAACTTCCCAAGGTGATGACAGGATTGGGGGGACATAACCAGGGTGATCAGTCATGGGAGCAGAGCACTCACGAATGCAACCAGTACACTTACAAAAGAGGCGTGAGAGAGACCTCTTGTTCCTTCAACCATGTGAGGGCACAGCAAGAAGTTATTGCCTATGAGCCACAAAGGGGTTTCACCAGATACTGAATCTGCTGCTGCCTTGATCTTGGATGTCCCAGCTCTAGAACTGGAAAATAAGTTTCTGTTGTTTATAAGCCACCCAGTTTGTGGTATTTTGTTATAGCAGCCAGAACAAACTAAGAAAATCTTTTCAGCCCACAATAGCTATAGCCTATCCAGTGCTCACTTGTTTATTCTCACACACCTGAGAGGCCGGGGAGCCGAGGGATGGTTTTTGTTTTATGGGTCAAAGCAACTGAGCTGCAAAGAGACTTAATCATGCCCAACAAGTCAACAAAGAAAGTCAGTGACAGAGAAGGTCATTCAGAAAGTTCTTATTTCAAAAGCAGTTTTCATACAGTGTCTTCAGAGGCACTGAAATACAAGTTTAATCTACTGAAAGAAATATCCAAGAGTTTGTGCATGGAATAGATATTAACCAGGGCCACAGTGGTAGCAGGAGCTAAGCAACAGCCTTTGGTGGCAAAGGAAAAGTTTCAAGTAGTTGGCAGTGTTGAAGGGGAAAGCACATGCATAATGAAAGCCCACCAAATTTACTAGAATTTCAAAGTCACATGCAACTTTAAATATTTAGTTCTCAGGGAAATGTTTCACATGGCTTCAACATTACATGTGTGTATTAGACCTCTATATTACAAGGTTTAATATATGAAATATTTACAATGAGGACCCAAGATACTTCAGAATCTTGAAATCATTAAAGACCCACACCTTTAGAATTGCAGCATCAACTAAAATGGAAAGGCTGCTATGGAATCGTTTTCTTTTAATGAAAAGTGGTTCGGAAATTGACACGTATATTGTATGCCCCTAATTCAATACATCTCACTCCTTTTATTGGAACAACAGAAAAAAAGAGAAATAAGAGGCCTTTGTTAATCTGTGCAAGAGAGCTTTTTGAGTTTGCAAACTGCTTTTGACTTGATGTCTAACCATTTCTTTTGCTGCCTATGTTCTTTGCAATCTCGTTTTAGTAGCTGTTCCTAAATCATTCAACTTCTGATTTTCTCTCTTTCCTTAGATAGGGCTCCAGAGGGAGATTCTATGAATGTACTTTGTGCTTTTTCCCAACTCTGTGCCTTGGCTCTCACTGCTCCTTTTCCTCAGATGCCTTTCCCCTGTTTCATCTCTCCTCTTATTGAAATCCTGGCTATCCTCTCAAGTCCATTTTTAGACCTTTTCCTCTCTGCAATTTTCTCAGTCCTCAACATGGACCCCTCTCTTTGGATCTCCAAAGCCCTCTCCCTGAACCTATCTGTGGGTACATAATAGTCTGTGTTATGTACCCACACTATATTCACCAGTAAAAAGGGAGTACAGCATGTGGGCTAAGAGCATAGACTGCCTCATCTGAGACTTCCTAGCTGTGTGACCTTGGGCAAGGTACTTAACATCTCTCTGCCTCAACTACCTCCCATGGTTGTTGGGAAAATATAAAGAACTAATTATGTAAAGTGCTTAGAATAGTGTCTGGCACAAAGGTTAGCTGTTATTATGTCCTAACTTTAGCACTTCTGCTAGACTGAAAGCCCCCTGAACTGGTACTGTCTCACCTGAAGCTCCTAGCATGGCAGCACACACCTCATAAGAACCTACTTGCTAATCTGAATTAAAATAAAACCTGGGTTTCAGTTCCAACCTGGCCATGAGTTAGCTCTGGGACGTTAGTGAATCACTTAATCTCTCTGAGTCTTCCAGATATTCTTCCAAAATAAGGAGATTAATTTGAACATTTCTTTTTTTTTTTTTGAGATGGAGTCTTGCTCTGACCCCCAGGCTGGAGTGCGGTGGTGCAATCTTTGCTCACCACAACCTCCTCCTCCTGGGTTCAAGCGATTCTCCCGACTCAGCCTTCCAAGTAGCTGGGATTACAGGCGCGCATCACCATGCGTGGCTAATTTTTGTATTTTTGTAGAGATGGGGTTTCACCATGTTGGCCAGGCTGGTCTCGAACTCCTGACCTTAGATGATCTGCCTGCCTCGGCCTCCAAAAGTGCTGGGATTACAGGCATGAGCCACTGCGCCTGGTTCTTAATTTGAACATTTCTAAAGGTCCATTTCGGTCCCCAAACGCTATCAAACTATGGTAGGATCAAATTCACATAATCATGTGAGTTAGAAAACTATGCCAGTGAGTTAAGATATGTTGAATTGGATCATCTGATAACAACTGATTTAGAGCTTGATTTCCTTTACATGATTTTTTACATTTCTATTGGTCAACATTTCTGGTCCAATTTCAAACAGTAAAATCCAAGAAAAATGCCTCTAATTTATTTTGGCAAGTATCATATATATTTATTACTATAAACTGCTTAAGATGTCTGTCATTAAAGCATTCTAATCACTTAAAAATTATAATACTGTATTTCAGAATGTAGTAATTTGGACAAAACACTTCATTGAGAAGGATTCTGGATATAAAACATTCTTTAGAATTTTTTTTTCACTAAACTATACTTCCTAACACATTCTCATTTCTAAGCTAAATAATTACATTGGGGTTCATATGGCTCACTTTTTTTTTTAAAGAAGACAGCCTTACTTGTGGTATATAAACATTAATCATAACTAATTCTTAAATATCAGAAAGAAAATGAAACTATAAACGGGAGGTAGGAAGCAGTTGGCATCACTGATCAGCAGAATGCCCTCAAAGATGTCTACATATAAAGTTCTTATCAAACAGTTCTTCTCAGAGATCCTTGAATTGGTCATTTTATTAATCCCGATCATTCTGGCAGAAAAAACAAAGCCAGGTTAAATTAGCTAATCTAGTCTCCAAAGTCAGTGTGCGTCAAGGCCAAGATTAGAATTCAGAAGTTGCTCACAGAGAGTCACATGACCCCAGTCCCTCTTTCTTTCCACTGAAGTGTCTAGCAATCAAAGCCAGGGTAAGGAGGTACGGAAATCCTTTGTCAGCCCAAGGTCCCTAAATAGAGTGTTTTTAAAAAAGTTTTCCAGGAGGCATCATGGAGAATGTGGTATTCCAAAGATATTTTCAGTTTGGGAGCGTTTTACATATTCCTACTCCTTATTTCCCTTTGTTCAGTGTTTTGTTTTGAGACCCAGGCCTCTGTAGTCTGTCTCAAAGGAATGAATTTTCATTTTCACTACAGAAATATATGTTTCAAATTCTTAAAATGCCCTTGAGCTAAAACAAATACGTAACCCCCACTCCTCCCTTCTCAAGCTCAAAAACCTCTTTGAGGCTCAGAGAAAAATCTTCCGATATGAGGTGGCAAGTATCTTGGGCTCTCGGAATGACTTTTCAACCTTGCCTTGGGCATGTTTCTTCTTTATAGAAGGATGCCTTAGCTCCTGGTCTGTGGGAGGCTCACAAAACCAGCCAACAAAGTTTCCCTCCGCAGTCCTCGGAGGCTGTTTTCAAGGAAGGGCTTGAAATAATAAACAGCATCTTTTCATTCCCTCTAAAAAATAATTAGCTTTTTTTTTTTTTTTATTTAAACGTTTTAAAGAGACAAGGGCTTCAAAGATACGTAAAGGCCAGGCTAGATTCTGTGCTCACATCAACTCTGCTTTTTAAACCGCTCCTGTGAAAGTTACTCAGCCCACCTCTGGGTTTGTACCAGGACAGCCTCCATCCTCCATTTACATTTGCTAGGCATTGATATGGTTTGGCTGTGTCCCCACCCAAATCTCACCTTGAATTGTAGTAATCCCCACGTGTCAAGAGCGGGACCAGGTGGAGATAACTGAATCATGGGGGTGGTTTCCCCCATGCTGTTCTCATGATAGTGAGTGAGTTCTCAGGAGATCTGGTGGTTTTATAAGGGCTGCCCCTTCACTTGGCACTCATTCTCTCTCCTGATGCCCTATGAAGAGGTGCCTTCTGCCATGACTGTAAGTTCCCTGAGCCCTCCCAACCATGGGGAGCTGAGTCAATTAAACCTCTTTTCTTTATAAATTACCCAGTCTCAGGTATTTCTTCATTGCAGTGTGAAAACGGACTAATACAGGCATACTGGAGTTAGCGCTCATTAGGAAGAAAACAAAGTCGAATGGAGCAAGACATGGATCCTTAGAAGTAACCACTGTGTTTCATATGCACACTGAACAGGAAGTTTTACATTATAACACTAAAGCTAAATGAAAGGCTGCACCCAAAATGAACATATCCTAATTGTTTTTCTTTTTCTTTTTCTTTTTTTGAGACTGGATCTTACTCTGCCACCCAGGCTGGAGTCCAGGCTGGAGCGCAGTAGCGCAATCATGGCTCATTGCAGTCTTGACCTCCTGGACTCAGGTGATCTGCCCACCTCAGCCTCCAGTGCAGCTGGGACTATAGGCACACACCACCACACCCAGCTAAATTTATTAATTTTTTAGGAGAGACAGGTTTTTGCCATGTTGCCCAGGCTGGTCTTGAACTGGGCTCAACTGATCCTCCCAGCTCAGCCTCTCAAAGTGCTGGGATTACAGACGTGAATCACCACACCCGGCTTCATATCCTAATATGAAAGCCGATTACACGAAGTCATTTGGGTTTGCCCATTCTGTAACCCATATAACAGTCTAGAAAGCTCATGTTTTTACAAGTATCCATCATAGAATGAAGTGTGAGAGTTTTACTGATTCTTTTAGCTCAGGTTTATCCCTCCTCCTACCACCTCCTCTGCACATCCTTCTCTAAGGCAGCTGCCCAGTGAGGAACTGATGGGCCTTGGGAACAGAAGTGGGTTTAGATTTTGGATCAGTCATTTACTGTCTGTATGATCCTGAGCTAATTATTCCAAGCCCCAGTTCCCACATGTAAGCCTGAGATTAGGCATACCTGCCTCACAGTGCTGCTGCGGGAAATAAATGGGATAATGTGCTTGCCCTCATGGTAAAGGGCTGGATATATCTTCATTTCCTCAGTTCTTTTCCTCTTGATCTAATGGAACTTGAGGATAGGTTACCTCTTGACTCTGGCTAGCTGTGTGTGCTGCTGATGCATAGAGAGTGTGATAATCAATTACACACAATTAACAATCAATTTCACATGGATTTATCATGACATCTGTGTTAATCTTGATTAGAATTAGCTGACTGAGAGTGGTCAACTCCTTGTTTTGTAAAATGCTGAGTGTAATGCTGTAAAGCCTAGAGAAAGTAAAGAAATAGTAATAAAGGGCAAATCATGGTTTTTCTATTAAAATACTACATAACCTTTTGAGATTTTGGTAGTGGGACGGGCTTAACACTTTAAACCCGTTTCATATGACCTCTTTACTGGGCCGATGAAGGCACATTTTGTTTTGAATGTTCCCTCTAACCTTTGTGTCACCATTTTTCTCTGTTTTTGCCTTTCACTTTTCCACTTCTTCGATCACAGCCCTGTTAACATTTACTATCAACGTAGTTTCTTAGGGAAGTTACCTTCCTTTTTTTTTTTTTTTTTTTTTTTGGTACAAAAGTAACATATATTCATCATAAAAAAATTCATATATATGTAAAAAACCATCTGTAATTACTGTTAAAATCATTCCTGATATCTGCATTTACTTTGTGAGGCTGACATGAAGCTGGGGCCATCCCCATTTCACTGATAAAGAGGGCGATGATGATGAGGAGGCTAACATTAACTACTAATGTTTTTTAAACATTTACCGTGTGACAGGCACTGTTCTGAATGCTTTACCTGTATCAACTCAGCTGTACTTTTCCTCTTACCTCTTACACCTCCCATATTATACATTTATTTATGGCCCCTCTCTCTCTCTTCACTGGAATGTAAATGCCTTGAGAGGAAGGACTTGGTCTGTTTTTATTCACAGCTATATTCCCAGTACATCTCATAGTGCATAGCTCAGCAAGCATGCAAAATGCTTCCATTTGTCTTCAGAACATTCATTCAACAACTCTAAGAGGTATTATTTTGATCTCCATTTTACAGATGAGAAAACTGAGGTGCAGAGTTGTGCACACCAGAAAGGGACAGAGCTGTGATTTAAGCATTGACCCTTCCCCATTATATCCTTGTGCCTTGTCAGATGCCGTAATAATTAATTTTATGTGTCAACTTGACTAGGCCGTGGGGTGCCCAGATATTTGGTCAAACATGATTCTGGATGTGTGTGAGAGTGCTTCTGGATGAGATTAACATAGGAATCAGTAGGCTGGGTAAAACAGATTGCCCTCTCCAATATAGGTGGGTCTTATCCAACCTACTGATGACCTGCATTGAACAAAAAGGCTGAGTAAGAGAGAATTCACTCTCTCTGTGTGATGGTCTTTGAGCTGGAACATTGGTCTTTTCCTGGAGTTGAATTGGAACTTACACCATTGGCTTTCCTGGTTTTCAGGCCTGAACTCAGACAAGAACTATACCATTAACCCTCCTGGCTGGATCTCCAGCTTGCTCACTGGAGATCTTGGGACTTCTCATCTTCTGTAACTGTGGGAGCCAACTCCTTATAGTAAATCACTTTGCACATGCACACACACACACACACCCATTCTGTTGGTTCTGTATCTATGGAGAACTCAGACTAATACAGGTGCCCAGAGAAGCTAAATGATTTCCCAGTGCCACACAACTAACAATTAATGAAGCTGGGATTCAAATATAAGCTTGCTGACTGCCAGTGCAGTTACTTTTGTTTCATGATAGCACAATGGTGTCCCTGGTTTCTTAACCCTACTCCCAAACTTGCTAATTCTATCCTTTAGCTTGCTTTCAAATGTTTAACTCAAAAAGAATTAGCAAATTAGGCTGAGAAAGGGAGTCTGGGGATCCTGGTTCACCCTTTCACTTTTAGCCAATGAATTCCACCTGTTAAATCATTTAAATACACATGTCTAAGAAGTACAGGTTGCCATTGAGCCACATGTTCAATTTGCCACCTACATTTTGTTAAAGCAACATTAATGCCATTGATTCTAAAAACTATAAATGAGCTGTAGATAAATTGCTTATGTTCTCTGTGTTGTGGGGGAGGCATTAACATTTAGAGATCTTATTTAGAAAATAGTTCCCCACAACTATGGCGATAGAGATAAAAATGACAGTAAAGGGTAGAGGCTCTGCAGCCAGTCCTAGACTTGAGATCCCACCCTGCCACTTACTGTGCACCCTGGGGCAAGTCCCTCTGAGCCTTAGTTTCCTCGTCTGTCAAATGAGGATCATGAGAATAACTACCTCATAGAGGTGCTGTGAGGATTACATAAAATAATGCAAATAATATGCTTAGCACAATAACTAGCACCAACATAATCAGCATGTGGTAAATGTTAGCTACTCTGGCAGGCATGGCTAGTTAGCTACAAATCACTCTCTTTCTCTTTCAAATGAACAGAATCCCATTTTTAAAAAACAGGTTAGCAATGACCTGACTAGTGAAAATACTGAAATTCCCAGATCTCCTTGCAGCCTGGTGGAACCATGTTCTAAGTTCTGGCCAATAAGATGTATATGAAAGTCTTGTGTGAGACTTTCATGGAGTCTCCTTAAAAGGCAAGGCCCTTCTTCCCTGTTTCCATTCTGTTGCCACGAATGCAGATGTAATGGCTGGAGTTCTAGCAATCATCTTGAATTCTAAGGACAAACCTTACAATGGGGTTTAACTGAACAATGCAGTAGGAGGAGCTTGAGTCTTGGAAGGCTTTATGTTACCTCCATACCCGGCCTGCACTGTCAATCTTTGGTCTTTTTTTTTTTTTTTGTGAGACAGAATATAAACATCTATTTGGTTTATGCCATTATTTTGAGAACCTTTGTTCAAGGCTGAAGTAATCATCTTTCTTTTCTTTTTTTTTTTTTTTTTTTGAGACGGAGTCTCACTCTTGTCACCCAAGCTGGAGTGCAGTGGCACAATCTTGGCTCACTGCAATCCCCACCTCTTGGGTTCAAGCGATTGTCCTGCCTCAGCCTCCCAAGCAGCTGGGATTACAGGCACCTGCCACCACGCCTGGCTAATTTTTGTATTTTTAGTAAAGACGGGGTTTCACCATGTTGGCCAGGCTGGTCTCGAACTCCTGACCTCAGGTGATCCACCCGCCTTGGCCTCCCAAAGCTCTGGGATTACAGGCATAAGCCACTGTAGCCAGTGAAGACTGAACTAATCTTAACTGCTCTGGCTGTCTTTTGTAGTGGCCTAAGAATTCAAATAGAGGTTTAAAACCATTTGAGGCCTTTTTCTTTTTTTTTCCCAGCAAATAAAGGCAAGATTGGGCAAAAATATAGAAAAGGAGCTGCAAGTCTTCAAAGCCTTTCCTTTCAGTAGCCACTCTAATGCCACCATCCTGTCTTTGCTTTAAGTCCAGGGCTTCGTGCCATATCCACACAACCTGTGCTCTATTGTATTATATATCTATCATATCATCATATGATATCATATCTACCCCATCATCTGCACAATCTGGCCTGGTAAAACTAGGTTCACTCTAACGTATAAATGGACCATAGGGCGTCTCTCTCTATTCTCCTTCCTGAGCATATATATTTTATTTGAGACACAGCCTTCTGATAAAATGTTTGAAATAATCAACAATTGCTGTGGGAGCAATATTCTGGGGTAAGGAAGTCCAAACATAAGGCTGTCACCCACCACAAAGGTTGACTGTAATTTAAAATTAAGTACTCCACTGGCATATGGAAGTTAGTATACTTCTCAACTGCTCACTTTCAACTCCCAAGGAGTGTCAAGGTTTGAGAGCAAGTGAGGAGTGAATATTTGCCAGAAAAGACAATTAAAAAGCATCCTCAATTCCCTGAGGCTATGTATTTTATGCCTGTTACTTCAACAATCACTATTACATCATCAGTTGTACAAAATTCTATGCACGATGCAACTTGGTTATTTGTTCATGACCAAAATGCCAGTGAGTGGTTGAATGGGGAACCTAAACTACATTCCTCCAAATATTGTTCCACTGTTCAAATATGCCTCATCTTGCCTCTTTCCTAATATAAACTGAGTAAGTATTAATATAATGGATAGATTTGATTTGAACAAGACAGAGTTTGTGTATCTGAAGATAAAATGCAAGAAAGACAAAATAGCATCTCCTTTTAGAATAAAAAGGGAGAGGGTGTGTGTGTGTGTGCATGAGTGATATGAAGTTCTCTCCCCACAGAATATGACCTCTGGCCTTGCTGAGCATGCTCTCTGATTAAAGTAAATTTTTTCCCCAGGAGCTCAAAGTGATCTACAGATGACATAATTAAAACCTCATTACTTGTCTGCCCTATCCCTTAATTCCTCAACCAATTCTGAGAGCTTAAATGACTGTGATAGGGTCACTCCAACCCTGGTGGCCTTTGGTAGAACCTGACTCTTTCAGGCTTTCAGGCTGATATTGATAAGAGTTCTGAGGTGTCAGCTTACTCACTTGAACGCTACAGAGTCTGCAAAATGTCTAGGTGCAATCGATAGGCTGGATCTAGGAGAAATTTAATTATATATATCTCTCACTGAGATAAAATTTTCAGGACACTCTATTGACTTTTCTTGTATTCAGTGGTCAAGTTCATCTTTGCCACTGTTGTCTTTACTACTACTACTATTTTCAGACCATAATCAACAGGCTCTAACCCAAGATGGCATGACAACCAGCAGACTTATTTTTTTAAGGTATTAGGGACTGATTTCTATTTCTAGGTAAAACAATGTCTAAGCAAAGGAACCTCAAGGAAAGTGCCACAATGTCCTCATCTTAAAAGAGTTCAATGGAAGACGACACAGAATTTCTGCTTGTTCCTCTTTGGAAGTCTCAGGTATACAAAGGTCATTTAACTTTTAAATTACTGGGCTTCTAGAAATGGTTGATACCTTAGGGTATCAGAAGCTAACAAATCACATAAAGCAGGAGCTAGAAATTGGCCTTTATCACATAAAAATCAGTTTCATTAAGCATTTGGTATATAGATATAATCTCTTAACCTGAGGCTTTTGTAGGTTGCATGGAGAGTGGAAAGTTTCTGAAGGAGGAACACATAGAAACTGTCAATTCAATTTATATGCACAGATGCAGTAAATGTGCTTTATAAAAATAGATTTATCACACACATAGTAAAAAACTAGAAAGTTCATTTTATAAAGAATCATTTTATAAAAGTTTAATTTACAAGTTTAATTAGTAAGTATCAAAGGAGCATTAAAAATTTAATTTACAAAACTGTATTTTACACACGTGCCTTTTTAGGAACAAATGGAATTGGTAAATCAAGAAACGTGCTTTCAAGTTTCAGGTTTAGTTTGCCTATAAAAAAACAATTCAGGCCAGGCTCGGTGGCTCATGCCTGTAATGCCAACACTTTGAGAGGCTGAGATGGGCGGATCACATGAGGCCAGGAGCTTGAAACCAGCCTGGCCAACATGGCGAAACCCTGTCTCTACTAAAAATACAAAAAAATTTGCCAGGCATGCTGGCGCATGCCTGTAATCCCAGCTACTCTGGAGGCTGAGGCAGGAGAATTGCTCAAACCCGGGAGGCAGAGGTTGCAGTGACCGAGATTGTGCCACTGCACTCCAGCCTGGGTGACAGAGTAAGACTCCTCAAAAACAAACCAACAAACAAAATAATCTTGTACAATAAAAATCCAAATATCTTTCATTAATATAAATTAATATTACTCATTTGTTGTTATTTTATTCTCTTAAAATAAAATATCCCCCAAAAGAAATTTGTATTTAATAACATGATCATTAAGTGTGAAAAAATACTTACATAAGTATATTACTAATTCCAACTTGCAACATCATTAGGTGTTAGTTATTTTTAATAAAGTAGTTTTAATTTATTTAATTTTTAACGATTACATGAAGTACCCTAAATAATATGTAAGTCACAAAAGCAAATTATTGCAAAAAAAAAGATATCCTTCAAAAGTAGTTTTAATATGTCATTAACAAAACAATTAATTGAACTAAAATGTGGGAAAAAAAGAAAGTACCAGAATAACGCAACCTAAATTGCTCAAGTTCCATAACGGCAACATTTTTTTTTTTTTTTTGAGATAGAGTCTCACTCTGTTGCCCAGGCTGGAGTGCAGTGGTGTGATCTTGGCTCACCACAACCTCTGCCTCCCGGGTTCAAGTGATCCTCCTACCTCAGCCTCCCAAAGAGCTGGGATTACAGGCGCATCCCACCATGCCCAGCTACCTTTTACATTTTTAATAGAGACGGGGTTTCACCACATTGGCCAGGCTGGTCTCAAACTCCTGACCTCAAGTGATCCACCAGCCTTGGCCTCCCAAAGTGCTGCAATTACACCACGCCTGGCCACAATGGCATCAATTTTAAACAAAATATTCTCGAATTCAATATATGTAGAGATCACATACAATCCAGTTAAAAACATATCTTATGGAGACATCTATACTTCAATTTCTTAAAGTGTGCTAATTGTGTATATACATGTGTACGTAGACAGACAGATAGGTAGATAGATAATTTATTTGAATACAGTTTCTCCAAATTGGAATGGAGTGGCGAAGGAATGTAGCTGTGTATACCTATCCCTTGTTCCTGTATTTCAAGCAGATGAGGATCCATTGTCACTCTGGCTTGGAATGAATACTACAATGAGCAGTGTTTTTACAAACCAGAATTCTAACCCAAGGATTCTAGAAAAGAAGAAAGATTATGTCCTTACCGTATAAAGCTCATTAAGAACCTTCATTAAATCCTCATGAAGTTGGAATGCAATCTCTTTGCTCTGTAATTAGAAAATAAAAAAGAATATTTTAAAATTATTTACATCTTAAAAAGTCCACTAACTGAAAATAGAGGAATGTATCTAACACGACAGAAAGACAGCAAGCCTCTGTAGTAAACATCTTTAACGGAATGGCCCTTTGTAAACTCTAGACATTGTATACAGATGGTCCCCATAAGATAAACAGAGCAAACAAGTGACAACCATGGGTGAACGGCTCCCCCGCCATCCAAACAGACTTTACCAAAAAGAGAGAAAAAGTAAGCAGGTTGAAGCGTCATGCTTGCTTAAAAGTTGAGTTGCAGAACTAAGGACCATTAAAGATGAACTAGATCATGACATTTTACAGTGTGATTCCCAAAAAGCTAACTTAGAAACCAAAGGGGAAATTAACTCCCTCTGCCCAAAGTTACAATGTGACTCACAACAAGTTTAATTTTGAGAAAGCACTTTTTTGTTTTTGGAGACAGGGTCTCGCTCTGTCACCCAGGCTGCAGCGCGGTGGCATGCTCACAGCTCACCGCAACCTTGAACCCCTGGGTTCAAGCAATCCTCCCACCTCAGCCTCCCGAATAGCTGAGACTACAGGGGCATGCAACCAAACCCAACTAGTTTTTATATTTTTTGTAGAGACAGGGTGGCGTGCAACCAAGCTCAACTAGTTTTTATATTTTTTGTAGAGACGGGGTTTCACCATATTGCCCAGACTGGTCTCAAACTCGGTAATCTGCCTGCCTCAGTCTCCCAAAGTGCTGGGATTATAGATGTAAGCCACTGAGCCTGGCAAGAAAGCACTTTCAAAGCAGTAAAATGGTAAGTCCACTCAAGGTCCATCAACTTTTACCTCTGCATTTATTATTATTTTCAATGAAGACAAAAAAGTGGAGAGTATCATTCTTCTACCCAGTTGGTAAAAAACAGCATTTGAAATAACCTTCCCTAGGCTAATTCTGAGAGTTTGATAGAGAAGTATTTGAATATTATTTTCAACAAAAGCTGTAAGTTATTTTAAGGAAATCATATATCCAAATGACCTTTTTTCCCCCATTTTGAGTTATGTAGTCAGCTACAGAAAATGGAAAAAAAATGTGTAGCATAGCTTAATCTACAGTTTGCAACATTAACAACATCCACTGGTCCGTGAATGTACCTCTCACTGGACTATCAGTGTTAGGGATAAGGGCCATATCTTAATCAGTTCTGCAACCCCTCGGTGTCCTGTGTGGTGCTTGGGCAAATGGGCACCAAGAATGCAGAATTTAAAGAGGGTCCTAGTCCTGGCCCAAGTCCATCTGTAAACATGAGGTCATTGGGTCAGGCCTCAACAAAAGCCAAACAAATATGATAGACTGAAGACTCATGGAAGATAAAATAGTGTGGGAAGATGGCATCAGAGCAGTACCTGAACTTTGAGAAATTTAAATTCATTAGCAGTATTTTTCACTGAATTTCCCTGGAGTATCTAAGAGAGTGCTGCTATTTACTAAGCTCTGACAGCTTCTAAAATCCCAAATTGGAGTTAAGGATTTTGTGTCTTGCTGTGTCCCTGATATGTGAAGATGTGGGTTACAAATCACTCAAGAGTGAAAGGAAAGTCATGAGTAAAAAAATGAAGTCAACTGAAACTCATTTTATTTTTCCTATGTCTTGATTATTGAGAGGGTATATATTATACTACAAATCTCCTATGACTTCAGTTTGGTGTTATTTTAATATCAGATTTCATTCAAGGATCTGGGCCAACAATTTAGAACTCTCTAATGGGATCAAAGGCCACCAACTAACTCTGCTCAGCTACCCACGTTTCAGGTAGCAAGTCTAAAAAGAAAAGATGGCTGGTCGCGTTGGCTCATGCCTGTAATCCCAGGACTTTGGGAGGCCAAGACAGGCAGATCACTTGAGGCCAGGAGTTGAAGACCAGTATGGACAACATGGTGAAACCCCATCTCTATTGAACATACAAAAATTAGCCAGGTGTGGTGGCACACACCTGTAATTCCAGCTACTCAGGAAGCTGAGGCATGAGAACTGCGTGAACCCAGGAGGCAGAGGTTGCAGTGAGCCGAGATCACAGCACTGCACTCCAGCCTGGGTGACAGAGTGAGACTCTGTCTCAAAAAAGAAAAAGAAAAGAAGAAAATATTTCTTGGCTAAGACTTCAGAACAATAACAACAACAACAACAACAACAAATTCCCTTATGTTCAAGAAACGTTAACCCAAGAAAATATTCTGGGTCAGATAAAAGATTTAGGTTTGGGGTTATAAGGGTCCTCAAAGCTATCTTAGGCCAAATATCTTTAGGACAAGATGATTTTTTCTTTTATTTAACGTTTATTTTAAGTTCAGGGCTACATGTACAGATCTGTAGTATAGGTAAACTTGTGTCATGGGGGTTTGTTGTGCCAAATTATTTTGCCCAGGTATTAAGCCTAATATGCATTAGTTATTTTTCCTGATATTCTCCCTCCTCCCAGCCTCCATCCTCCAGTAGGCCCCAGTGTGTGTTATTCCCTTCTATGTGTCCATGTGCTGACAAGTCATAGTATGTTCCATATTTTCTAAGACTTTAGATAATAAGGTAGAAGAAATCTGGCATCACAGACAGACTGTGGTCTGCCAGACATACACTTACATTTTTCTTTTGTCATTCCCCAGAGGCCCTGAAATATATAAAGTTTGTCTGCAGGCAGTATAATATAATGCTTAAAAGCAAGGTCTAAGGACTAGAGTCAGAATGCCTAAGGTGAAGTCTCAGTGACTTTGGATCTGCCTATGCCTCAGTTTCCTGACCTGTAAAATGAATATAGGCATTGTACTTATCTCATAAGGTTCTTGTAAGTGTTAATAAGATGATTCATGCATAGTATTTAGAATGGTTCCTAACACACAGTGAATACACCATAATTATCATTATTTCTTTTTCCAGACACTATTCGTTATGGCAACTCCCTTGAGTGAAAAGGCCACATCACCTTGTCCTTTCTTGTGGTCTCTTTTGACATTGATTCTATTGGCTTCCCTGTAGGAGGGGCTTGAGTTGACTTTGATGTCCCTCCCCACTGCCCTGGCCTTTAGATTCCTTCAGGTGACCCTGGATTCCAAAGGGCCCTTAAGGATTATGCTCCAGCTTTTCTTATATCCATATTCCCTTGCCATGTGTGTATATTAAACCTATCTTCCTATGTTACATTTTCTCAGGGAGTCCTACTACCAGTGCTATTGAATGAATTAATGAAACATCCCTTAGGAAACTGATAATTCCTCAAGTCCCCATAATAAGGTATATGTAACTGATGAAAGAGGCCCTAGAGGAGCAGGCTCCAGTGGGAATTTTAGATTTTGTGAAAAGTTGTTGTGGAGTTCCTTTCAGTAGGTAGACCCTTGGCTATCCTCATGACACAGCACCAAAGTTTCTGCCTGTTTGTCCACTTTGAATGACAGTCCAAACCCTCCATAGGTAAATAACGTAGAAATTAATGATTTTCTTCCCACCACTAGCCTTCAAAGATTGCTAAGGAACTGAACTATGCTCTGAGAAGCACTGGTTTATGCGACTAATTTGTGAAACATGAATTCACACATCCTTGTATTCACAGATACTTGGGCCAGATAAAACATCAAGTCCTAATCTGAATCCTGGGGACATGGTTCCTGTCCTCATGGTATGGCAACAGTGGAGGGAGCACCTCATGTTACCCCCACTTTAAATATGTTTCCAGTTTATTACAGTAACAATGAGAAACAATTGTTTTTTCAAAATGCTACTCTGGACTCCCAAAGAAGCAATCTTTAAACCAAAATGCACTTGGTGTGGCCCAGTTAGCATACGACATTACTAGGCTAATGAACTGAAATCCTTTAATTAGAAAATATCTGGGTTGTTAAAAGTCCATCAGAATTCAATAAGTGAGGCCAGGTGTGGTGGCTCACACCTATAATCCTAGCACTTTGGGAGGCTGAGGCAGGAAGATTACTTGAGCTCAGGAATTTAACACCAGCCTGGGCAACACAGTGAAACCTTGTCTCTATTAGGAAAAAAAAATATTTAATAGGTTAAATACACCTATGGATTCTATTTCATTAAAAATTTGAAAACAGGCCGGGTGTAGTGGCTCATGCCTGTAATCCTAGCACTTTGGGAGGCCGAGGTGGGCAGGTTGTCTGAGCCTAGGAGTTTGAGACCAGCCTGGGGAATATGGGGAAACTCCATCTCTAGAAAAAATACAAAAATTAGCTGGGCATGGTGGTGCACACCTGTGGTCCCAGCTATGAGAGGCTGAGGTGGGAGGATCTCTTGAACCTAAGAGTTCGAGGCTGCAGTGAGCTGTGAGCATACACTCCAGCCTGGGTGGCAGAGTGAGACCCACTCTCAAAAAAAAAAAAAAAAAAAAAAAAAGATAATAACTTAAAATATTTGAAAGCAGTGAGAGCAGACCCTTGGCCCTTGAACAAGAATTGCCACATAAGAAAAATAATATAAGTATTAAGAAAAGCAATCAATGTTTCTTCTGTGTTAGGGAAGAAATTTTTGTTACCCAATAATATATTCAAATAATGGTAAAACTTCTAATATTCTAATACATTTCATTAGGATTCTGGGATCCTGACCCAAGGGGAAGGAAAATGGATAGAACTTCAATTCAGTTAACATTTACTGAATATCTCCAGTGTATAAACCCAGAGTTTAATTCCAAGCCTATTTCCAATTGTTTACTGTTTATTGTCATTTTGATGTTTCAGATATTTCTAACATAAGTCCAAAATGAACAGTCTCAAAGTTTTTAATCTTTTTCCATCATGAAAATGAACTAAGTATATTGAATACTGAAGAAATAAGAGAATAGAAGGACAGTCCCCCAGCTCATTATAATTTTTTTTGTTTGTTTGACACAGGGTCTCCCTCTGTCACCTAGGCTGAAGTGCAGTGGCCTGAGATTCTCCCACCTCAGCCTCCTGAGTAGCTGGGACTACAGGCACACACCACCATGCCCAGCTAATTTTTGTATTTTATGTAGAGAGGGTTTTGCCATGTTGCCCAGGCTGGGCTCAAGTGATCTGCCTGCCTTGGCCTCCCAAAGTGCTGGGATTACAGGTGTGAGCCACTGCACTTGGCCCACCATTATGATTTGATGTATTTCTTCAAGTTTATTTAAACATAGGTCTAAGTATATTTTCCTATTTTTTTAAGTTACGATACATTTTTACATGTAATTATATAATTTTCAGAACCACAATTTGATTCATAACAACTACCTAGTAAATGTACATTAACATTAAATTTAAGTGTACTGTTTCCAATGTTTCCACTATTTTCTACCAACTAGTCAATCATTTATTTCTTTATTCAATTTCACCAATATGTTTTAAGCACTCTGAACTAATATCATAAATGCTGGTCAAAAGGCATATATCTTGCATTTGTATTATTTGCTTAAGCCAATTCCCAGACATGAAATTACTAGCATAAAAGTATAAACATTTTTAAGACTCCTGATACATGTTAGAAGATTATTTTTTAAAAGGGTTATAATGAAATCATAATGCTTCTAGGACAACAATGTCACTCAAGTCAGAAATCTAGGGTTCCTCTAAGACTGGCTGCTTTTCCTTGAAGAAGTTACCAATCTTATCAATTCTGGCTGATCAATTTTTTTCTATAGGTCATCAGAACTAAAATAAAATCTAATTAGGCTTCCTCTGATTAAAATTGTTGAAAGGCTTGCTACATTATTTTAGGATAGAGTTCAATTTTTTTTAACTCATCCATAACTTCTGCCTAACTAGTCTACTTCACTTTCCACAAATCCCACACCCCATCCTTCAGCCTGGTCCTAAACTGCTAAGTCTCAGGCCCCGCTTTCCCATCTCTGTACTTTCCTCAAGCCATTTCCTCTTTCCTAGACTCTCCCTCCTTCTCTTTGGCTGGTACAATCCTACATGTAACTCTGTAAAAACTTTCTGGTAACTTCAACTTGCCCCCAAGGAAAGAGATTAGGTCTTTCCTTCCTTTTGATTTTATAATACATTAATTTATTACCACCTCTAGGCCATCTAGTATACTGGCTAAGAGTTCAAACTCTAACGTTGAAGTGCCTGTGTTCAAACTACCTTGTTACAGTCTGTGTACAAGTTAAATAATTTTGCAAAGCCTCAGTTTTTCCACTGACAAAAAAGAATTGCTAATTATCTCTGTCACAGGGTTTTATTGAGATGGTCCTTATTACACACTTGAAATGTTGCTAGCAGGCTTGTCACATTTGTTTCTTTCCTCATAAACACAGTTTCTTTGAGAGCAGGGACCACATCCTAACAATTGTCCTTGCATTCCCAGTGCCTACTTTGGTGCTTGGCACCCTGGAGGTACAGGAGCTACATCTGCTGAATGAACAGCACTGAGTAAGGACTGGTTTCTGCACTCCAGTTTGCAATCTCACAAAGACGCCAGACATACCAAAACAGCTTTCTACATGGAGTGCTATGGTAAATGCTACACTGGGTGGGCCCTGGCCAGGGTCCCTATTCCTTACCCTATCCAGTCTTACCCCCAGAACCTCCCAGAAAGGAGGGAGAGGAAGAACAAAGAGGATAGTTAAAACAACCACGTATGAGTACACTGAGCAATCTATCAAGTGATCTATGTGGTTGGATTCAATGACCCATTCAGAAGGCCTATGGCCTTTTACAGAAGTATTTTTAAAGTAAATCTACTGTGATGACCAGTCAAGAAACCCAGACTGTATGCTGAGTCACCGCGGGAGTAAAAGAGAAAGAGAAAAACCAGATTAAATATTTACTGAGAGGGTTTCAGATGATGGCAGTGTCTCATGCTCAGTCAGTTTGGGATGTAAATTCTGGTTAAAGGGATCAGGCCATACTTCCACAGTATGTGTGCTTTTAAGTTTCCAAAGCTCATGATCATGTGTCTCTATGATACATTCCCTTAATTCAGGTAAACTCTGAAGACACAGGCAACAGCGTCTTCTAAAATGCCTAATGGAGAAAGTTGGGTTGTGCTTGATGGCCTGAACCAAGTTTCTGGGTAATGTTTACAGTGTTTCTGCACATTTCCCTTCTAACTGTCACGGGACATGGTTTTGTACTTACTAAAATCACAACTAAGTATTGAAGCTATCTAACTATCATGGAATTAGTTTCATGATCTACTTTACCCTAAAGGGGTAAAAACCAGATTTTTTTAGACAAAACTCCATGCCACTAGAAAAGGAGAAATTAGAAGGAATCACAAATACAGAGAAACCAGAGCTTCATTTCAAATCAAGACAAAACTTAACCATAAAGGGAACTATCTGGGGCATCTCTTACAATTACTGATGTAATTGCTGGACAAATGTGGTATTCTACATCCAGGTGAAAAAGGTCGGCTGTTGCTGTGTTCAGCCTTCCAGCAGACAATTTGAAAGGTGCATAGTCATCAACACCAAAGTCACTCACAATCTACCACATATAAACAGTATTTGAATGGGCTGATTAAGTAACTCAAGACTGAGATTTAAATCCTACAGGAAATAAAGTAGATGAAACAAGCGTCTTCATTTTCATTTCCCTAGCTCTTCAAGAAACACATGAAAAGTTGTTTCTCTACTCAAAATGCTGATAAATTGGAAACACCTTTTCAGTGTCACTAAATGAATAACCAGTTACATATAAATTCTCAGTGGCTGATGTAAATAAACCTACTTAATTAAAATCAGAATGAGTTATAAAACTGTTTCAGACTATAATTAACTAAAAATATCAAAAAGTAGTTCCAAACCATTTTCAATATGCTGAACTTCACAAAAGTGCAATCAACTCAGCTTTATGAGCAATTTCTCACTATTACCATAATAATATGTCTTCTTTAGTGCATGAACTTGAGCCTGCAAATTTATTAGTAAAGCCAACTGGCCTTCTTTTCTGTGACAGCCATAATTGTGAGAGATCCAAAGCTATACCGTTCCCTGGTGTGACCAAAAGCTCACATCTACAACTCAGGTGGCTGGGATTATAAGTATATTATGTAATGAAGCAAATTAGACCACATTGTGTAGGAAACCCATAAGCTTACTCTTAATAGTACTGTGGTAAGAAAAACCTAGGGACTAAGCAAATCAACAAGCAGGAAATTTGCTCATTTATAAGTCATCCATTGGATTAGCAAGCAAAAGGCAGAGATTCTTTGAGATATTGAAGTTCATTCATTCACATACTCAGTCACGCATTAACCCATTAATTCTACTAATTTTTACTAAGTGTCTCCTATGTGTTTAGGAAAGAAAAGTGGCCTTACAGTCTAGGAGAGAAACAGAGAGGTAATCAAAACAATTTCAATCCAGTCTGATTTACGCATCTTCAAAAACACTTTAAGCCAAGCAAAATCTCTATATTTATATCACTCTGGAACTATACCCATACTTTTTAAATAAAGTAATTGATCTTTAAAAATTTAAACGAAATCAGAAACTTCCTTTAAAGATTGACATTTGGCTGAATAGCACCACCTCAGAACTACAGCCAGTTAACTGGTCACCAATCTGACAATGGATGTAAGTAAAGGTACCAAAACAAATAGAAAAAGAAAAACATTCTTATGGAGTAAGTATCTTTTTGACAAAGACACTTGGGTTGCTGAATACAATCAGAGAAATTTTAAAAATCCTTGTGGCTAATGGGCAATTGCACATGGGATGACAGGCACTTTAAGGGGGAAAACCCCCAAAACCTTCAAGAAGGGCCAAGCTATTTAAATATCTGTTTAAATATATTTAACTTCTCTGAGCTGTTTCCGCTGTAAAATAGGGAAAGATCACAGTATATACTCCATAGCGTTGTTAAAAGGATTAAATGACATGCCCATGGTTATGTGCTTAACAGAGTGTCTGGCACATACTAAGCATTCCATAAGTATTATCTCTTATTGTCATTATGATGCTATTATTAGCTCAGCATCTTATCTTTATCTTGTGAAGACACTTTGTTTTTCTAAATTTGAATGCAACAGTCTATTCATATAAACTTTCAAATCAGAATGTCTTAGTCAACTCAACATAATTCAAGATTTACTTTTTAGAATATTCAACTGTGTTTGTGGTACTATATTAAGGAAGATAAAGTCCCTTCCAGAGAATATTGCAAAACTGCAACAAAGCAGAATTCTAGATGTGAGATAGCCTTGCTGACTTCAGACTGTTAGAAGGTCTTTCTTAGGATAAAGTAAACCTGTCTCTACTTAAGTTCCTCCAATTGGTCTTAACTCCTGTAGCCTTATAGAGTAGGTATGCTGATACCATCTTCTGTATGACAGGTCTTCAAATATTGAGTCCTAGCTGAGACTTATTTTCTCTGTACTAAATATTCCCAATGTCTTTAACTGCTCCTTATATCAGGGGTCCCCAACCCTTGGGTCATGGACTGGTACCAGTCCGTGGCCTGTTAGGAACTGGGCCACACAGCAAGAGGTGAGCGGTGGCTGAGCGGTGGGTGAGCCACCATTATAATGCCTGAGCTCTGCCCCCTGTCCGATCAGCCGCAGCATTAGATTCTCATAGGAGCACAAACCCTACTGTGAACTGTGCATGCAAGGCATTTAGGTTATGTGCTCCTTATGAGAATCTAATGCCTGATGATCTGAGGTAGAACAGTTTCATCTCGAAACTATCCCCTTGCCCTTAGAAAAATTGCCTTCCATGAAACCAGTCCTTGGTGCCAAAAAGGTTGGGGACCACTGCCTTATATGACACAGTTTACAGAAATCAGAGCAAATTCTCCTTGCCTCACAGATAACGGTTCATTATTTTCCAGCTAGTGATATTAAGTACAAGTTTTTATATTTCAAGGGGTTGAAGCTAAGATCTTGGGAGGATTAGGAAGCAACACAGGCCACTCAGTAACTTGTAATCACTTGTGATTGCCCTGTTTGGTGGAGTCAGTCCAAATCCATGTCTGCATAGATTATAAGCCCAAGAATCTATGAATCAGGATTAGATTCTTTTTCTTTTCCCAGTAAGCTAAAGATCCATCAGCTAAAGAAGTAGAAGCCTTAAGAAAATCTGAATAGGATGGACTGAATAAAAATATTCTGGATTTAAATTACTAACAGGGCTTTTAAAAGTCAACAGCAAAAATCCATTCAACTCGTTATTAATCTGCACCAATGATAATTCTTTTTTCCCCCCCAGGACACACTGGTGGTTGACAATAATAAGAACTTTTTGAAGGCAATGTCATTGTAAGTATAGAGTTATGCTCTGGCCACAACTCACATGATAGGATAAAAATTATCACCCAGATTACTAATGCAACAGCTTCCTCATCAGGTTCCCCAAGACAAGTTTCTTCCCATTCCAATGCTTTCAAATGCTTCACAAAGCTGATTAAGTCATATATCTGCTTTAAAACTCTCTTAGCATCCTTAATTGCTTAGATAACAACATACCAATTCCTCAAACTGAGATTCAAATTCTTGTGCCCTCCACAGCCTGCCTCTCCAGACCTCAGACAGCTGTTACTCACTGTTTATCCTTCATCACGCCATAGGCTACACTCCTAACACCAGCCAGCTGGGTAAGAGATGTGAGCATTTGCTCTAGGCACAGAAGTGGCCTAATTCATCTTTAAAACTCATTGCTGTTAAGGGGCCACCAGGAGTCTTATCTACCCTTATCTTTCTCTAGCTTCATTTCCTAGATATGTGCTAGGCTGGATCAGAAATTCAGAGCCTTGTCCTTGCTGGTCTGCCAGTATAGAAGAATGTACTTCCCCCAGTTCCTTTGTAAAATCTCACCAAGTTTAAGAGCTTGATTAAATGTCACTCTCTCTGTGAGGCCTTTCTTCCAGCCAGAATGCTTTACTCAATCCTTTGTGCTCTCATGGTCTTAGGTCCTATCTATCTAAGAGCAGTTACCAATTTGTAATGTAATTTTTATGTCTATAGTTCCTTTCCTTACTAGAGTCTAAGTTCCTATGGGGGTACCAGTTGAAGATTTGTGTCTTACTCGCTTTTGTGACCATAGTAGCCGCCACTGTGCCTATCACATAAAGGTTATCAATAGAGGTTTGTTGAATAAATCAAGAAATATAATGCCTATTCTGTTTTGGGAAAAAGCTGATTTCAGTAAAGTTAGGTTTCAGAAAAAATAAAAAGGGAAGAGAAGTATAAGTTACTATGCATTTGTCATGACTTCTTCGGTAGAGTGATTAGATCTTGTTAAATAATAAAAGCTGATTATAATAGTAGATCTGTGCAATCTCCATCTTTAGAGCTAAAGAGTTAAAACTTTTTTTTATTTTTATTTTTTTTTAAGAGACAGGGTCTTGCTCTGTCTCCTAGGCTGCAGTGCAGTGGTGCAATCATAGCTCACTGCAGCCTTGAATTCTTGGGCTCAAATAAGCCTCCTGCCTCTGCCTCCCAAGTAGGTGGGACTACAGATGTACACCACCATGCCCAGCTATTTTTTAATTTTTATTTTTGTAAAATGGGGGTCTTGCTATGTTGCCCAGGCTGGTGTGAACTCCTGGCCTCAAGCAATCCTCCCACCTTGGCTTCTCAAAGTGCAGGGATTACAGATGTGAACCAATGTGCCCAGCTAAGATAAAACTTTCATGGGCATGTTTATTCAAGCCAGCACATTAGCCAATTATGGTTCTATGTGTTCATTTGAAACTGTTAATGTTTAAAAAGTAGTGCTTGTGTTTATTTACTAATTATTGAAAATTATTTTTTCTCAATCTAAATAGTTCATACATCCACTGTCAAGATCTTTCCTTTTTTATAGGCTTCTAGGAGAATTATACAAAGTATTTAGTTGGCAAATTTTCTTGTTCCTATTTAACTGCTTCACTCACAATAATATTTTTTTTCTTCTGAGTTTTAAGAGGTACTGAAATAAATCTGACAGCCATATTCGGTATCTCTTCTGCAAATGCATATTTTTAGGTTGATATATTCCAAGGTATCACAAGTGTTTCTTAATTCAAATATTTGCTATATGTACAATCTCCCCCAATATGGCATTTCTTACAGCTGCTGAAAAATCTTTTAGAATCCCTATCATGTGGTATGAAACATAGTCTTCAACTGGTAAGAAAGTTGGCTAGCAACCAGAATACTGTTCTTAGGTTGCTTTAGAATTTGTTGACTCAACTGCAGACACCTCAACATATGGTAGGAATGTTCTCTCCTCATCAGTGTCTTTCTTAAAGCAGCATCTTCTTTCTCAGATGAGAAAAATGGGTAAGGATTCAATGTGTCTATGCCTCTTTGAAAATGAACTTTATTGGGCCGAGCGCGGTGGCTCACACCTGTATTCCCAGCACTTTGGGAGGCCGAGGTGGGCAGATCACGAGGTCAGGAGATCAAGACCATCTTGGCCAACATGGTGAAACCCTGTCTCTACTAAAAATACAAAAAATTAGCTGGGCGTGGTGGCGGGCCCTGTAGTCCCAGTCACTCAGGAGGCTGAGGCAGGAGAATCACTTGAACTCGGAAGGTGGAAGTTGCAGTGAGCTGAGACCACGCCACTGCACTCCAGCCTGGTGACAGAGTGAGACTCTGTCTCAAGTGAAAAACAAAAACAAACACAAAAACAAAAAAAGAATATGAACTTTATTAAGTGCTCATCTTTTATAAATAACTGAAATGGAATAAACCTGGTACTGAACCATATTTTTAAATTCCTTTTTCATGGGACATGAGGGACTGCGTGCCTTCTGACCTACCCCATGTTTGTTTATTGAATTTGGACTTGCAAACCCTAAGATGGGAAAACAAGCCAAACTGGAATATTTCTTTTAAAAAAACTAGGATGGAAGACTCAATTGACTTACATTAATGTTTCTCAGCTAGGGACAATTTTGCCCCCAGATGACACTTGGCTTGTCTGAAGACATTTTTGGTTGTCACAACCTGTGAGGTGCTGCTAGCATTTAGAGGGTTGAGAGTCTCACAGCCATTTGAATTAATGTTCCCCACAAAATAATGTATCATTTTTCACTGGCTGCTTTCAATATTTTTTTCTTTGTCTTTAGTTTTCAGTTTTATTATGATGTGTGTAGGTATGGACTCCTTTGGGTTCATCTAGTTTGGTTTTGCCGAGCTTCTTGAATGTGTAGGTTTATGTCATTTGCCAAATTTGGGAAATTTTCTTGCAATTATTTTTCAACTAGTTTTAATTTTATGCCCCACACTCTTTCTCCTCTCCTTCAGGACCTCTGATGACACAAATGTTAGACATTTGGGTATCATTCCCAAAGTCCCTGAGGCTCTGTTCATTTTTTTTAAAATATTTTTTCTCTCTGTTGTTCAGACCAGGTAATATCTGTTACACTACCTTCATATACACTGATTCTTCCCTCTGTTAGCTCCATTCTGATATTGAGTCTATCTAATGAATTTTTTTGTTGTTGTTTTAGTTATAGCATTTTTCAGTTCTCAAATTTCCATTTATACCTTTTTTTTTTTTTTTTTTTTTCTGAAACTTCCTGGCTTTCCATTCATTTCAAGAGTATTCACCCTTACTTCTTGGAACATTTTTATCGTGGTTGCTTTATTAAAAGTCTTTGTGGTCAGACATGATGGCTCAAGCCTGTAATCCCAGCACTTCAGGAGGCCAAAGTGGGCAGATCACTTGAGCCTAGGAGTTCAAGACCAGCCTGGGCAACATGGTGAAACCCCATCGCCAAAAAAATAACAAAAATTAGCCGGGCATGGTGGTGTACACCTGTAGTCCCAGCTACTTGGGAGGCTGAGGTGGGAGGATCACCTGAGCCTGGAGAGGTCAAGGCTACAGTGAGCCATGATTGAGCCACTGCACTCCAGCCTGGGCAACAGAGTGAGACCCTTCCTTTCTCCCTCCCTCCCACCCTCCCTTCCTCCCTCCCTCCCTTTCTTTCTCTCTTTCTCTCTCTCTCTCTCTCTCTCTCTCTCACTCACATACACACCCCCCCCAAGATCTTTGTTAGATAATTCAAACATCTGTGTCATCTCAGAATTTGATGTTTATCAATTGTTTTACTCATGGAAGTTGAAATTTATCTGGTTCTTTGTATGCTGAGTAATTTTGGATTGTGTTCTGGATATTCTGAATATTATATTATGAAACTCCTAGTCTTGTTTAAACCATATACAGAATTCTGATAATTTTATTCTATCAGGAAATCAATCTGGTTGGATTCGGAATACAAATTCTGACCAGTATCCTATTGTTAATTGTTTCCAACACCTTTGCAGTGCTATCTGTACCTGTCCTGCAGATGCACCACAAAGTGGCCTCTCTAGAACTCACACAATGCTCCTATTCTATAGTTCAATTCTCGAAGTCTTTGGTAGGTTTCTGTCTAGGATTAGTCCCATTCATGTGTAGCTTAGGGATTCAGCAGTTCATAAAGAACTTTATGGTGTTGCTTTCTCAACCTTTACCCCTTCTGAAATCTCCCCAGTACTTTTTGGTTCCTAGGGCTCCCCTTTTCATTGCTCTAACTGGAAAGTTGGGGCTTTAGTTATTCTAATCTACTAAACACTCCTTATGACTGTGTCCACATCTGAGGCCAAGTGGCAGCAGGACAGACAGAAAATAAAACAACAGGTTGTTGCCCCACCCTCTTGGATCACAGCTCCTCTGATCAGGGAGGAAAGATTCTCTATTTCAGAGTTGTAGGTAGTTGTAGGCCTCTGTTGGTGTCACTGCTGCTGTTGCCATTTTGGGATTGTCTGGTGACTGGGGCATGAGGAAGTAGCGAGAAAAATGAAAAATTTGGGATCATCTTTATTTTCCCTTTTCTGCTTTTTGTGTCACAGCTAACAGCTTCTCCTACAGCCCTCCATGTTTATGTAAGTCCAATGTCTCCTTCCAGGTTTCTAGCTGCCTTGCATTTAGGCTGGAGGATACTGAAGGAAAAGAAGTGGAAAACATAATGCCAATTTGACGGAATTTTAAAAATCTGGTCTTCTTCCCCAAACTACCTGCTACTTTTTAATTTTCAGTTTTTAAACTGCTGCGGGTATTCAGTGTTTTTAAAAATGCCTTCAGTGGGAAAGGCATGGTGGAGTATACTTAGTCAATTTACCCAAAACCTATTTTTATCTTTTGATTTCATCTACCTTTTGGGGAGGGCACAGGTCTTTACCTAGTGTATCATTTAACTTTTGCTGTGGAACAAAACATCCAAATTTAGTGGCTTTAAGCAACACTTTACTTAGCTCAGTTTTCTGTGGGCCAGCTGGGAGGTTCTTCTGTTGTGAGCTGGCTTGGCTGTGTTCTTTCTTGCATTTGCAATCAGCTGGGGTCAGCTGGCAATTGGATGATCTAAGATGTCCTCAATATATGTGTAATATTTGGCTGGCTGTCACTTAGGAGGCTTCAGTTGCCTTCCATGTAGTCTTGTGCCTCATCCAGCAAGCTAGCTAGGACTTGATAACTTGTTACATGTCCAAAAACATCAAAAGAGGGCAGGCCACAATCTGGAAGCACTTTTCAAGTATCTGCTTGCTTCACATTTACCATTGTCCCATTGACCAAAGCAAGTCATATGGCCAAGCCCAAAGTCACTGTGGGCAAGAAATACTTCAGGGAGTTGATAAAAGGAAAATGCTAACTTTGCACACAATCTACCCAAACTAAGTGTGTATTCAGGAAAGTACACTACATATTTAAGATTGCTCTTCAGTTGCTTTTTAAAATGAATAACAACTTGGTTGTATCTAGAATTTTGGAGTTGTAACTTTCCTTCAATTGTCCTTGCAGGTTTTGCTCCATTGTTTTCTGACATTTAATATTATATATAAGACCTAATCTGTGTTCTTTTTGAAAAGAGGATGATTTTATGGAATGCTGGGTAGAAGTCATGCAAGCTTGAGGCTCGAAAGTACTACGTGTTTGTGTGTGTATGTGTATGTGTGTCTTTTCAGCAAGTTTGTTTGAAAACTCATATTTTATTTTCATATTGTGATATTTTCTCAAGTGGGGATTCTTTTTCATATCATATTTCTTTTATTTTTAATTATCGGTCCCTCCAAGGGTTGGTTGAAATCTTTTCTACTTTTTCTCAAACCTTATTTTCCCAATAGACCATTCTTTCTTCTCCTCTTGCTTATGAGATGTTATCACTTCTAACTTCACAAAGAAACAGGAATAGAGAATCCCGCATCCATAGGAACTCTTCTTTCATCTCCAAATACAGTCTTTTGCCAGAGGCTAATCCCTCTGCCTGTCCTTTGGGTCCCATTACCTGCCCCCTTGGCAGAGTCTTGGATCAATCAATTACACCTGTTCTCTCCTAACATGTCAAGCTTCCCTTTTTGTGGCTCCTTTTCCTCAACATATTATTTTTGGATTTTTTTAGACAGGGTGTCACTCTGATGCCCAGGCCAGACTGCAGTGGTGTATTCATTGCTTACTGTAGCCTTAAATGCCTGGGCTCAAGCAATCCTCCCACTTCAGGCTCCTAAGTAGTTGGGAGTAGAGGTGCACATCGTCATGGCTGGCTAACTTTTAAATATTTTTTCTTCAGAAATCATGTCTTGCTATGTTGCCCACGCTGGTCTTGAACTCCTGGTTTCAAGTGATCCTCCCACTTCAGCCTCCCAAAGCACTGGGATTACAGGCATGAGCCACCAGGCCTGGCCCTCCTCCACATTTTAAACTAGTTTGTCCTAACATCCTGGTTTTTTTTTTTTACACACACACACACACACACACACACACACACACACCCCTACCTTTCTTGACCAATGTTCTTCTTCAAATACTTCCCTTATCTTTCCTCCTCTTCACAGGCAAATTTCTAGACAATACTGTCCACATTTGCTGTCCTAACTTGCTCACTCAACATCTGCCATTCTGCCCAGACTGCTCTTACAGAGATAACCAATGACCCTTTGCTGCTCAGTTCAGTGGACATCATGGACCTTTGCATATTGACCACTCCCTCCTGGCAGCATTTTCTTCACTTAGCTTTCCGGACACCTCACTGACCTGCGTTTCTTCTCACCTCTCTGGCTGATCCTTCTCAGTCATTTTATAGGATACAGTTCTTCTTCTTATCCTTTAATTCCTAGTTTTGCTGCGAGTTTTTCTTACTCTTCCCTCCTCACCCTATATGTTCTCCCTGGTTTATCTCAGCTACTCCCAAGATTTTAATGACCTGCCAAAGGTGGAAGATTCCCAACTCTCTAGTCTTGATCTCTCTCCTGAAGTTCTTGGTCTGCTTATGGGGCTTCTCTACCCAGTTATCCATAGGCACACCCAAAAGTAAACACCGTGTTTTCCATAATCCCGTTCCCATCACAGCCTCTGTGTCCTGAGCCTTCTCCTCTCATATGACGCCTATCACCCTGACAACTGCCCAAGCCTGGGTGTCACCTCTGACTGCTCCCTCTACATCTCTCTTCTCTCCCACCCAGCCAATCAATTACCCAGGCCTACATATTCTATCTCCAACACACCACTCGAATCCACCTGCTCCTCTGTTTCTACTGCCACAACCAAGGAAGAGCATCCTCATCTCTCATCTGGATTAGTTCCAAGAGCTGCAAACTGAGACTTTCTGTCTTATTATCTTTCAATCCACTCTCCACACTCCAGGCACACTGAAAGTGGATCACGTCACTATCGTGTTTAAACCTGTGAATGGCTTTCCACTGCTCTTAGGATAAATTTGAACTCCTCAATATGGCCTTTAATTTCAACTCCTTATTTCTCCAATCATCTCTCTTGCCATCTGCCCTCTCCCATTCTTTGAGTCACCTACAAAGAACACCTTTTTCCTCCATGAAATCTCTCACGGCATGTGGTTCTTCACACATGCTGTTTCTTCCTGGAAGAGTTTTCTGCTCCTTTACCACCATTTTCCAGCTAACTCTTAATAACTGATTCAAATTGCAGCTTTCCTCATCTCCAAGTCATAAGAAGTAAGGGGCTTCTCCCCTTACTGTACAATTAACATGCTGTTCTGTAATTAAGATTGTAATTGTACTTTCCCACTATAAGATCCAAGGGGCAGGGAGAAGGCCTGTATTGGTTACTGCTGTATCCCCAACATCTTGACAAATGCCTGAGACAAAGAAAGCTTCAATAAGTACTTATTGAAGAAGGAATGAATAAACTATAGCATGTATTTAGAGGAACTATGTATTCTTCTCTGTTTATTCATACTTATTCCTGCAAGTATGTGCATAATTATCTCTCTAAGGAAGTTCATGCTTGCCTGGTATTGTCTTAAGAGTCAAATGGCAGGCTGAGCTTGATTTTGAGTGACAGTTCTTGAGTAATTTTTCTATAGACTGGATTTCCAAATATCTCAAGGAATGATGAAAAAGAATATAAATAATCCTGAGAGCAATTTTCAGTTGGGAGAGTTAGGTGGGAATCTGTGCCATGTGAACCTTCCGGTGAATTTCATGGTGCCTATGGGTGCTTAGAGCAAAGTGTGGTGCTTTTTAATGCCATGGTCCCAGGGCTACCAATCTGTGATAGAACAGAGAAGATGCTCCAGTGATGAGCATCATCAGTCCTCCTAGCTGACCTGTGAAGGTAGGTTACTACTAGGACCCACTCTGATTTCTTTCTCTCAGGAAGTAGGATGTACATTATAGTGTTGCTTAAACATAGCCTTGCTAATGCTGGGTCTTGCTGAAATGCCTTGAAACTTCTGTTATGTAAATGCCACTATCTTTGGTTTCTAATGCAGAAGTAAATCTTTATTCATTACTTATTCATTCAATAAATATTTACTGAGCACCTACTCTGTGCCAGTCATTGTTTCAGTGAACAACATGAAGGTCTCTTCCCGTAGGAACTTACACTGGAATTGAGGGGACAGAAAGTCAACAAATAATTAAGTAAATATATAGTATGTCACAAAGGGATAAGTGCTATAAAGAAGAATAAAGCTGGGGAAGGGAGGTGGGGATGTAGACTTTTGCTCTGAGTGTGGTGAGAGTCATTAGAAGATTTGGGCAAAAGAGTGATAGGCTCTGCTTGAAGTCGAAATAATTATTCTAGTTTTTCCTATTTATGTATTCGATTGGTCATTTAACAGATACTTTGGGAAGTAAGGTGGTTGGAGCCCATGTAGAATCTGCCGTCATAGTCAGAAGTCCTCTGATTTCATGTCTTCCTATTTTAACCATCTTAAGAGTGCATAATCCAAGTGAAATTTTCAATTGGACCCGGAGAATAGGCAGATTCTCCATTAATAAGCAGCATTTGGGGATGAATTATTTACTGGATAGGGTTTTCCCACTCCTTTACAGCAAACAAACACTGGTATACCTGGACCAAACTTTTCCTTCAGACTTCAGTTTACAAAAAATAACTGTTTTATTGTGTGTTTTATTATACAACTTGTTCATTGTGTAAAATCAGAAACTACAGATAAGCAAACAGAAGAAAATAAAAGTAACTTAGAGATATCCATTTAAAACAATTTACCCTTCTAGATTTTAATTTTAGCTAAAAAATAAGTTTTCAAGCATTCCTTGACCACTTATCTCAATGTAATTATGAGTTCAAGTACAGGCAGGCCATTACTTAACCACAGAGACATATTCTAAGGAATGCATCATTAGGCAATTTCATCATTGTGTGAACATCATAGAGTGTACTTACACAAATCCAGATGGTATAGACTACTATATACCTGTTCTATATGGTATAATCTACTGTTCCTAGGCTACAAACCTGTATAGCATGTTATTGTACTCAATGACGGTGGTCCCATAAGATTAGAATGGAGCTGCCCTATGCAGGTGTATCATTTTTTTTATCTTGCATACTGTAATTGTATTGTACCTTTTTCTGTGTTTAGATACTCAAATACTTACCATTGTGTTACAGTTGCCTTCAGAATTCAGTACTTCCTCTTGTTATATTAAAGTTAAAGCCAGGCCAATCACACATATCCTGTTGTTACTAAATAATAAAAGCAACAATGTAACTCCAAGAACAGCAGCACCAATAATTGCTATTCAGAGAGCATTTATTATGTGCTTGCCATCCTGATAAGCAATTTATAAATACAAATTAAAAATATTTTCTAAAATATTTCAGAAAATTACATCATTGCAAAAAATGATAGTTTAGTTTTGGCTTATTTCTTAAAAAATAAAAAGTTAGTCATAGGGTTGATAAAACCCAAGAGAACCAGCTAGCAGTGTTAGCTTGAACTATTCTTATTTATCCAGGCCCTATCAATAATTAAGCTGCCCCTTGAGGCCACCAGAATACCATTTAATTCTTCTGCAACACTGCACTAAAATGCTTTGGAAAAGTTCTTCTTGTTATATTATTTACTACTGTTATATAAGTATACTAAACTATATGTGTTAGCTTACTGCTAATAAAAGCCAATTAATTTTTCAGCGAATATATGACCTGTTTGTACATGACAACCATGACCATCATTACTCCAGAAAAGAAAACAGTAAGAATTTAATTCAAGACATGAAATTCTAACAAAATTCAAAGGCCACCCTCTGACTTGATAATTCTACTTCAAAAAATGTAGCATAAGAAAAAAAATCATAGATTTAAATGTCTAACAACAGAAAACTAACATGGCCATGCACATAGTAAAGTACTATGTAGTCATGAGGTAGCCTATTTCCAGATGTGAGAAATGCTAATAATATTCTATATGAAAATGGCACCTTTCCAAGCCATATAGAATGAAATCTCAATTCTGTAAAATATACACATATATATTTAAGTATATGTATACACATATAAATAGTGAAAAGATAGAGCCTAAAATTTAAAAGTAGTTAGTGTTAATATGGGTAATTATTATTTCTTTTTATATTTATAGCGTTTTCTAAATTTCTACAATCTATATCTATTTTTATATTCAAAGAGAAATAGGTTCTTTTTTCACATATAGAGATTGGTAGTTTTCAGATGCTTTTAACTTATGGTACTTTTTTTAAAAAAAAAAACAAGGTCAGAGCCTTAGAGATCTGTAGTCAAGTGGTATCTTTTATTAACTTCTACTAAAACATGTTTGAATATTAACCTATTTTAAATGGTGTATTTGAAACTACAGCTTTTCTCCTCCATAAAATATCTTTGCTTTTTTTTTCATGTTGGGGTATTTAAATAGAATATGGCTGTCTTTGATCAAAATAAAAAATAAGTATGAATCTTACTAGTAACCTTTCCTTTCTTTCAGATTAAGCCACACAATCAGCAATACCTAAAGTGAGTCAACTGAATTTCTGTGAGTCTGACTCTGACAACCTATGGGACTTATGCCAAAGAGGGGTTATTCTCACTGGCTTTGGGCCAGTTTCTGCTGCTTTGAATCCCTCCCTATAACTTGGATGATTGACAAATGTTGTGCCTCTTCCCAGAATATCATTCTTCAGTCTTTTCATAAGAATGACTAGGACAAGAACCATAGTGTCCTATTTCTCAGAAGTTTCTGACCCTATGCATTGGGTGACATCTCTACCACCAAAAAATACCAACAGAGTACATAGGAGCTATGAACTATCTAAGACATACGGGCAAAGACAAGAATACATGCTAGTCAGCCTGATGCTGCAATTTATACTCCTGAGCATTTTGTTTCCTTATCCCTGAAGTGTGGATATAATACCTGTTCTCTGGGCAGCTGTGAGGATATGTGAGCTAATTTATGAAAATGTAGAGTACAGTGCTTGGCACATAGCTAAAACTCAGTAAGTGGCAGCTTATAGATATCATTATTGGTGAAGAAACAAGATGAATTATATTGTACATGTATTTATGTAAACCAAGGAAGGATAAAAAATATTAATGATTTTAAAACAATCTTTGGGGAAATGACAGACTTCAAGGTAATTTAAAACCCATAGAGATAACCTAACATATTCAAATGCCACCATTTGATGGTATACCTCCAAACTACATACTTCTATTAACGTTCTTAAAATTGGTAAATAACACCTTGTGATTAGGTGCTTAAATAAAGTGATTATTGCAAGCTGGCTGGATAGCCTGTCCTGCAACTGTGACAGATGACATTAATTACATTTTTATGCGTAGCATATGAACTGCACATTTTCTGGCTGCAGAACCAAACCAGATGCAGAGTACTCTGTTTCAGCATGAGTAATGGAAAGAAGGAAGCAAAAGCTCATGACTGCAGAAGGCAGAGCTGGAGAACAGGGCAAGAGGCACATCAGCCCTGGTTCTTTGGGAAACAAGTGAGGGTTGAGAATGAAACAAGCCCTTGTGTAGCAGGAGCCTCCAAATTCTGACCTTCTCTTAAAATAGCTAAGCAGAACTTAAGAGGTTAAAAGCAGAGTACTCTCCTATCTGTGTTTACATTGTCTACATCTAGTAGAAGGTCTGGAATTAAATAACTCTTTTGTTGAATGAAGAAATCAATTCAGCCTCAAAGGTAAGGCGCTCCATGTGAAATGGCTGTGGGGGATTTGAGAGGCATGGAGTCTCGGCCAGCTTGTGCATTCACTTGGATACTCCCTGATTTCCCACTAAATGTTCAAAGGTGAGGACAAAACTCTTAATTTAGCCACAAACAATGCTGTTGTGAGGGCACTTATCACTGTTTGCTTACAAATATTGTTTGGAACTTCATAATAAGTAGTAAATAAAACTGATTCTCTGGAAGGGTTTTTCACATCATTATGATACTCTCCTTAGAATGAGGACACATTTGGTATAATATTTGGTATAATCTCACATTACATAATTATTGTAGGTATATAGAATAAGTGCTTATAATAGAGATAATAATAAAGATATTAGATAAAAGTTACCAGGACTTATTAAGTCCAGACACTAGGCTAAGTGGTTTTCCATATATAACTCATGAATCCTCTAAACGACTATCTGGAGTAGATTACTATATCCACTTTATAGCTGCAGAAACTGAGGCGTATTTACAAATATTCCCAAGTCCACACAGCTCCCAACAGTGGTAAAGCCAGGATTCATACCCAGAATATCTGATTTCAGAACCTAAAAGCTGAATCACTATTATTTTGACCAATAGGCTTCATTTAGAATTTTAAAGGCATAAATCTAAAATAATCAGTATTTGAATAGTTGAATATTGTTATTTTTAAAATGCTTCACTTTTTTTTTTTTTTAACCTGTTGAAAACTTTTGAGTTTAGGCAACTATGTCTATAACTGGTTCTGATGTAATTAAGATTTAAGTCTTGAAGCTGTTCCCTATAGCTCTGCATGGAATTATTTCTACAAGTGTCTTCTTGATTATTATATCCATTTAGACAGAAAAAAATTCCTGAAATTACCTGCTCCAAACTCCTTATCAGACAGAATAATTTGGGTAAATGATTTTTTGTCATTGACTAAACTGTATAAGATATGGCTGTTTAAGAGGCCAAAACTATCAGGCACACAGCATTTATTTGGATCTCCATACAGACATGGGGACATTATTGAAACATGCGGAAGTCTCAAAATCTTCTCCCCAAGGAAAACAAGCATTATGCTCACTAATGACTCCACAGCAGTTCTAAAGGCTGCTTCAGATTCACACTAATAATTTCTTTCCATTTTGATAGAAAATAGGCTTCTGACCTAGAACCATAACAATGGAAGAAGAGCTAGAAAAGAGGAAGATCGGTGATTAAAACCCATTTATGCCTAGTGTTCCACTATTGGAATGCTAAGCATGTGGGAGTAATTTGTATCTTGCTGGTCAAGGTAATTGCCAAGTTCTAATTGTAAAAATTAAAAAAATTGCAACCTCAGGCATAAATGGGTACAAAAAAAAAAGGCAGGAAAGACTTTCTAATCTAAAGGGACCTGGAATTCTTTGGACTTGGTAGATATAGATTCTGGCTTCCTATTCTTTCAGATGACAAATGTGTCCTAGGGGTTGATCTTACTCCTCCGTAAACTCTGATTTCTCCCTGTGTCCTTTGCCTCTCTTGTTCTTTCCTCTTCCAGCAATAACACAGATGGGAAGGTAAGGTCTGTAGTCTGCTGTGTTTGCTCGAGGAAGGCAGAACTTCACACCTGTAATTGTAATGACTTGTTACCCTTCCAGGTGGTCAGCAATGGTTAGGAATGAGAAAGCTGATCAGGAAGCATAGAGCATTCCCCCTACTAAATGCCAAAGTAACCAGGAATCCACTGTAAATAGGCAGTTTCCAAGGATGAAATTCTTTGAGAACCAGAAAATCTGGATAAGAAGAGAACTCCTGGTAGCAAGCAAGAAGACATATCTGTTTTTGTCTGTCTCTCTGTCTCTCTCTCTGCACGTGTGTGTGTGTGTGTGTGTGTGTGTGTGTGTGTGTGTGTGTGTGTGTGTGTGTGTATTTACTGTGCATTCTCCAGGCCATTCCTCAAGAGCCAGCAACTCATTCCTCCAACTACTGGGAATACCGGCTGCTAGCTGTTGAAACTCAGAGCTGATCCCTCTCTGGGAATTACCCTCCACCAAAGGGAGCTGCCTCACTCCAAGATTACTTAATCCCTCCCCAAAACAAAGGCCAAGTCTCCTTGCCTGGATATGAGATCACTCCAAATGCCATGCCAGCCCCAGAGCACTCACAGGTGCAGCCTCTCCTTCTGCCCAATTTTGCCTTTCTTGCTTCCTCAAGAATGGAGAGCCTGCTCTTGAATCTCTGGAATGATCTCCCAAGATCACAAAGCAAGTATGCAGAAGGGCTGGGATTTAAATCCAAATCTGTTTGACTCTTAGCCCTAGGTTTCTATCAACTTTATCAAGCCCTTGACTCTGACTTACAAAATACACATCCTCACATTTTAGCAAGACGTACAAAGTCCCTTCTTACATGACCATCCTTTCTAGCTTCACATCCCATCACCCACTCCCATACGATCCCTGGTCCAATCATATCAAACTCTTTCCTTTCCCTGAACATGCTCATGCTCTCCTTTCCTGGAATAGCTCATTGTCCTTCTGTTAGATGAATGCCTCCTTCTCCTACAAGTCTCACTTCAAGTGTTCCCCTTTCTGAGAACAATTTCCTCATCCCCTAGGTAGAGTTAAGATCTCCAGCCTTCCAGTTCCATTTAGCGTAGTAACTGTTAATTACTGTAATGAGCTCCTTGCAGGC
The DNA here is from genome assembly GCF_000001405.40 of Homo sapiens. Lineage (NCBI taxonomy): Eukaryota > Metazoa > Chordata > Mammalia > Primates > Hominidae > Homo > Homo sapiens. The sequence continues at coordinate 63,991,894 of NC_000012.12, read as the reverse complement.
AGGGACATGTCTTTTAGCTCTGCTCCCCTAGCCAGGCATTTTAAAGATGCTTTGTTGAATGGATAAATAAATGAACTCAGTAGAGTTACTGGTCCTAGAGGCCCTGTCTGAATAAGAAGCATTATATAGTGCCATACAAATTTGGATAAATTGTGACCTCCTTGAGCACCAGGAATAGATTTTCTTCATCTTTGTAGCCTTTTCAGCACCTGTCATCGTAGTCTCCTGCCCATAGGAGATGCTCAGAAAAACCTGCTGAACCAAACGAGATCTCTGCATAAAGAGCTCATATACAAGAAAATTATTGCACTTTCACAGCTCTGTCTAAATTATTTTTTTAAAACTCTACTATTTAAGACGCATAGGATATTTCTTTATCTCTTCTTAAATTGTATGCTCCTTAGTTTCAATTTTTAAAGTTTCTCCTTTGTTTGAAATTTGTTTTTCTATTTAATGGAGCATAAGGTGACTTAGAGCTTGCTAAATTCCCTTTCTAGGTCAGAAATCAAATCTAATGTGGATACATCAAACATGACTAAGAAATTTTCCAGCTGGCCTGCTTAACACTATGTCTTTGTTTTAAGGAGCCTCTCTGAAACATAAATATGTCATTAATCTACAGAGAGGTTTTTCTCCCCGCTACTTTCTGAAACTAATAATTACTCACTGAATAGAGGTACAGGTATAGGTACAGGCATCAACATTCCTAATACAAAGCTGAGAGAGTGGGGGAAAACTCTCATCTTGCAAGCATAAAAAATGAACGCTAGTCGTACTGGGCAAGTAGCTGCATTCTCTGCACAGGAAATGGTCCCATTTTATTATTTGTGCTCAGCAAAAATGTCCACACAACAAAAAAATTGCTGAGAGTTGGCTGAGATTAGTAACAACGATTAGAAAACTTCAAAGCCCAGTTATTGTTTTTTAATGGATTTGGGAAGGAGGAAGCTCGCTGGTGTGTAAGGGATGGAATTTTCTGTGCCCTGTGAAATTTTCTTCATGTCGCTCTCTCACAGCCTCTACTGCTGGTCTGGTGAACTAAGAAAGACTGTGCTAACATCTTCTCAAGAGAGTAGCACATGTAATAATCTTGTTCTTCACAAGTTTCTCATCATGTGTGAGCCCCAAACAAAGAATTCAAGGCATTTACCCTCTGGTCTGATTTTTCATGAGTACAGGTAGTCCGTTCCTGGGCAGAGGTACAATTTGCAGGAACATCTTATATCAAAATTTTTGCTCACATTGTGTAGCTCATAGATTCACTGACTTATAACTCTATAAGTATGCCTTATACCTAACTTTTTTATTCTGTATTTTTAAAAGATTAATTCATCTAATTTTTAACTCTTTTTTTTGTTTGTTTGAGTCGGAGTCTCACTCTGTCGCCCAGGCTGGAGTGCAGTGGCACGATCTTGGCTCACTGCAACCTCCGCCTCCTGGGTTCAAGTGATTCTCCTGCCTCAGCCTCCCAAGTAGCTGGGACTACAGGCAAGCGCCACCACGCCCAGCTAATTTCTGTGTTTTTAGTAGAGACAGGGTTTCACTATGTTGGCCAGGATGGTCTCGATCTCTTGGCCTCGTGATCCACCCGCCTCAGCCTCCCAAAGTGCTGGGATTACAGGCATGAGCTACCACGCCCGGCCTAATTTTTAACTCTTTATTCCGTGTCTTTAAAACATCCATTCATCTAATTTTTAACTGTTTATTCTGTGTCTCTAAAGGATTCATTCATTCACCTAATTTTTCAGATACCGTTCTCAGTCCTGGTTATAGACAAGGCAGTTATTGGAAAGCACACTATGGCAGGATTTATGGAGTGTACCTTTTTAAACATCCTGGTAGAATCCTCACTTATCTGCATGAACCGCATAATCACATTGTTCAGATAGATGTCACTCAAGGTTGCATGGTCTTTGCTTTCTCTCCTTACTTGGTTCAGGAGCAAATACCAGCAGTTCACTGGAGACAACAGGTTCTGGTCTTTCCTAAGAAGTGAAGAAACACAGAATTACCACCCATTTCAAAGTTGCCCCAATCAGATGAGTGAAGTCACCAAGGCAAACTAAAGAACCACAACAGATGGATACTGTGCTGTGCATCCTGCTCTGAGCATTTCTCAGACCAGGACACTTATCAGCCAGCAGAACAGGCTTCCAGCCTGTGGATGGCATAGAGCCAGCAATTGTCCAGGTTTGGAAGGAAAAACTTGGACCATGAACACTGGTGAAATCCATATTCCTGACAAGGACCATGGGACCCTAATATACACAGTGCTTAGGCAGGCCCTCAGCTTTAAACGCTCCATTGAAGAAAGCAATTTATGTTTACATAAAAATCTACTGACTACTACTGTCCAGACAGACTGTGGTTTTGCCACGGCATACAAAGTCTGCTTTGAATGTTCAGTATGTTGCTGGAAAAGAAATTTGGCTAGTTATGCATTCCATGGAACATAAATTTGAGGGTTATTTATTAATCCCCTGATACATAACCTCCAGTCTCCCAAAAACTATTCCTGGGAATCAGAACTTTATTGCATTGTCTCAAGGCTCATGAAGAGAACCATGAAGTTTGCTGGCTTATGACTTGTCACATGTCCTGTTGAAACCCATTAAACTGTTTCAGACTCATAACTGCTCCTTGTTTTATTCTATAAAATAAAGCTAAAAGTTAATATAAACAGCAAAAGAAAACTGTTTAAAAATCTTAAAGAATAACTCAACAAAAACAGTGAGCAACTGGGATGATACAGCTTAAGAAAAATTACTTTTTAAAAAATTTTTGCAGCTGGGCGTGGTGGCTCACGCCTATAATCCTAACATTTTGGGAGGCCGAGGCGGGTGGATTGCCTGAGATTGGGAGTTTGAGACAGCCTGGGCAACATGGCGAAACCCCGCCTCTAGTAAAAATACAAAAATCAGCCGGGCATGGTGATGGGCACGTGTAATCCCAGCTACTTGGGAGGCTGAGGCACAAGAATTGCTCAAACCTAGGAGGTCGAGGTTGCAGCGAGCCGAGATTGTGCCACTGCACTCCAGCCTGGGCGACAGGGCGAGACTCTGTCTCAAAAACAAAGAAAAGAAATTTTTTTGTTTGTTTTTTCTTTAAAAAGTAACTGTAAAATGGCAAAATAGCAGAGAATCCTTATGCTAATGCAGGAACAAAAGCACCCTTTAATCAGACATGTTATCCTCCTATTATTTATGATCATGTATGACTCTGAATATTAATTAAGTTAGGAAAGAAATGATGAAGTTGGGCCTCTGCCATTACGTCTCTCAGATTCAGGATTTAATACTGCATTAAGTCAATGCCCTCTCTAGAAGAAAATGAAAGTAGACAATGGAAGCAGGAATGGGCATAGGGAAAGAAGGCCTGATTTAGGCTCCTAGCACTTGGCACCCATGAGGGCAGCCTCCCATTCTTCCCATTGGCACACTGAAGAATTATACCCTCTACCCTGAGATCTCCCTTTTTTCTTAACACCATCAGGCAAAGAGCAGTGGTTCTATAACAGGTAATTGGAGCTTTTCTATTGAGAGTTCCTATCTACCCAGCCCTATATAACAAGGTAAATGTTACCTTATTTCTATTAACTTTCATGTAGATCTTCTTTGCTGAAGTAACCCACAAATTCTTTCAGAACATTTCATGCTTCAACATATCCTCAGGGCCTTGCCCCACAGTAAACATTAAATAAGTGTTATTTCACTCATTGCATAAATAATTATTATTGCCTTAGTAATAATAGCAGTAGTAGTAATATTGAAAATAATAATAGCTATCATTTAATGAGCACTTACTGTGAAAAGTAATATCCATGTCAAGCTCATGGCCTCTGGAGCTGCACTGTCTAGGTTCACATGCAGGACTACCCCTTACTAGCTATGAGATCTTGGGCAAATGATCTTAACTGCTCTGTGCCTCAGTTACTTTGTAGAATGGGTAAAATAACAGTGCTTATAAGATTGTTCATGAGAATCACTGGAGTTAACATATATTTTAAAATGCTTATAATAATGCCTTGTATACATGGTAAGTGCTATATAAAGTCAGCTGTTTTATCACGGGCTGGTATAAAGATTTTACAGACATCAACTCTACTTAATCCTTATTACTACCATTTGAGGCAGAGATTCTTTGTATCTTCTTTTTATTTATTTTTATTTTTTTAGATGGAGTTTTGCTCTTGTTGCCTAGGCTGGGCTGCAATGGTGTGATCTTGACTCACTGCAACCTTTTCCTCCGGGGTTCAAGCGATTCTCCTGGCTCAGCCTCCCAAGTAGCTGGGATTACAGGTGCCTGCCACCATGCCCGGCTAATTTTTGTATTTTTAGTAGAGACAGGTTTCACTATGTTGGTCAGGCTGGTCTTGAACTCCTGACCTCAGGTTATCCACCCATCTCAGCCTCCCAAAGTGCTGGGATTACAGGTGTGAGCCACCGCACCCGACCCTTTGTATCTTTTCTATCAGTGAAAGAATGGAAGCTTAGCAAGGCATACTGATTTGATAAAGACCAAAGCTAGTGTCTGAGAGAGTCTTTTTTTAGTCCAGGGAAGCTAAACCAAGCCTTGGTCTTTCCACTATGCAGTGGCATCTTTAGGCCAAAGAATGTTCTACACAATAAGTGTCCCAAAACTGAGTAAGAACCAGACTCCAGAATATAGCTTAAATGATTGGTAATGATATCATGCTAAAGACATAACATGTGTTTGGTTAAAAGGAGAAGGAATATCAAGTGCATATCCTGGGCTGGTTATCAATCGTATCAAAGAGTTTATCACATTTCTCACTTAAGGGTCATAAAACCTCATTTTACAAGTTAGGACACCAAGGCTCAGAGAGGTTAAGTAACTTAACCAAAGTCACAAAGTGGAGCCAATATTCAAACCCAAGTCTGGCTGACTTTTTTCCCAATCCTGTTTTATCCTTTTCAGAGACATATTCATCTTATCTTCAGTCCCATATTCAATAATAAACTTACTCAAATTAAAGAAAATTTCAAACTGCTTACCTTTTAAAGAAAACTACCAAATAAACCAAGAGAAACAAAAACGTGTCCATCCACCATGGGGCCAGATAAGGTACATGGACCCATCCATATTTTCCCTTCACAGCCACCAATTACCAAATGCAAAACACAGAAGATACTAAAAAATATTTACTGAATGGGCTGTGCACAGTGGCTCACACCTGTCATCCCTGTACTTTGGGAGGCTGAGGCAGGCGGATCACTTGAGGTCAGGAGTTCAAGACCAGCCTAGCCAGCATGGCAAAACCCTGTCTCTAGTAAAAATACAAAAATTAGCCAGGCGTGGTGGTGGGCACCTGTAATCCTGCTACTCGGGAGACTGAGGCAGAAGAATTGCTTGAACATGGGAGGAGGAGGTTGCAGTGAGCCGAGATTGCACCACTGCACTCCAGCCTGGGCGACAGAGCAAAACTCCATCTCAAAAAAAAAAAAAATTACTGAATAGATGAATGGGCTGTCTTCTTAATTACAACTGCTTTTTAAAAGCAACAGTTAAGTTACTATGTGAATACAGTACTGGCTCCAGCCTCTGCTTCCCAGCCCCGCTCTCTGTTAAATACATATAACATTTGTTCACCCTGGGGATCATCATTAAGATTTATTTTTATGCTGGACCAACAGTAAAGGTTAAAGTTGAGAGATTGTGTGTGTCGGGGGGGAGAGAGAGAAAGAGAGAGAAGAGAGAAAGGGAGAGGAAGAAAAAAGAGAAGAGAGGAGAGAGAGAGTGAAAGGGAGAGGAAGAAAAAAGAGAAGAGAGAAAAGAGAAGAGACAGAGAGGAGAGAAGAGGAGAGAAGAGAAAGGAAGAGAACAGAGAGGTATTTCTTATCCAGAATAGTTTTGTGTTTGCTTCTGCACAAGTAGCCCAGGGATAGTTCCCATCCCATTTTTTTATGCAGGGTCCAAGGTCATGGAGAGGTGTGAAATGAACGGAACTGCAAAGCCAATGGTGACAGAAAGGCATGCTTCTCCACAGCCCCTTCCAAACAGGAGCCCAGGCTGAGCAGCCAGGTCTTCTTGTTGTGCCCTGTGAAGGTGGGTAGAGGGGTTTCTGTTTTACCATTTCACTGAGATAGTAGCTCTTCTGGTTCTGGGATGCAATGCAATGGGGTTGGTGGGGAGGAAGCTCTCAGTTCCAAGTCTTTACTTGGCACAGACCTTATCTTCTCTGCCCCAAGTGAAATTAAAGGGTGGATACAATTGCCACTTAGGTTTTCAGTTCCCTCTTCTTTTTTTGGCCCCTAGAAATTTATATGTAAAAGGATGTCCATTATATGTTAACCAGCATTTCTGAGAGTTTTCAGATAGACATGTTTTTCAGATGATCTGGCCTGCTGTATTTACAGAAATGAAAGCCTGCACTGTCTTTTTACTATCTCCAAAACAGGTCAACTTCTCTCTACCTGCAGTGTTCCTTCTCATGCCCTCAGGAAAAGGTCCCAACTGGCCAGGAAGATCCCCAGGTCCCCATGACCTCTGATTCACACCTGCAGCCATGCAGCTCATCGCCTCCCTACTCACTCCCACTGGACTACTTCTGTTCTGCAAACCTGCTGTACATCCCTTAGCCAGGCGTGGTACATTCCCTGCCGGCCCCTTGCCCATGATGTTTCCCTTGCCTGGAATATCCTCCTCTTCTCTCCTTTATTGACCAACTAGTCCTTCAGGTCTTTGCTTAGATGCCACTTCTTTCAGGACCTTCCCTTCCCCACCTCCAATGCAGAACAGATATCAGTTGGGTCTGTCCAGGGTCTCCCCCGCCTTCCCCTGTTGGAGCACTTGAATATTTCACTGGAGTTGTCTGCTTACTTGTCTTTCTCTGTCCTGAGGCCTTTTTTTTTTTTTTTTGAGATGGACTCTCACTCTATTGCCCAGCCTGGAGTGCAGTGTTGCAATCTCAGCTCACTGCAACCTCCGCCGCCCAGGTTCAAGCTATTCTCCTGCCTCAGCCTCCCGAGTGGCTGGCATTACAGGTGCATGCCACCACACCTGGCTAATTTTTGTATTTTTAGTAGAGACGGGGTTTCACCATATTGGTCAGGCTGGTCTTGAACTCCTGACCTCAGGTGATCCACCTGCCTTGGCCTCCCAAAGTGCTGGGATTACAGGTATGAGCCACCCCACCTGGCCCTGTCCCCAGGATTTAAATCATACATTAACTTTCATTAGCAGAACATCTTATGTGTGTTTTTTAAAGCAAATAAATCATAATTAAACTTACTTTATGCTCATTCATAGCATTTTCCTTAAAACTTTTGTTTTAAATCAGTGTCAATTACAATGACCATAAACATGATGGGCAGGAAGGGGGGCACAAAATTCAAGCAATTCTTACTGCTTACTTTCATATAAATTCACTAGAGAAAATTTGAGGTCTTTGCTTGAACAAAAACCTATTTTAAATCTGTCCTACCTATAGCAGATATCAACTCCCGGGTTTCTATAATCAAGAATTTTACAAACATATACCTTCTCTTCTGGCATATAAAGCTATCCATAAATATATATGTATTGGAAAGACAAAAGTGTCAACAGATTACACTAGTTTAAAATGATAAACTGATGCCCATAAGTTACAAATGTAGAGGGCTGCTTTTATTTATGAGAATATGCTCTACAACCACTACTCAGACAAAAATAGAAAAATAAAAAATCCACAAAGGTGGCAAAGGCAGTATGGATATCACCCTTGGAAAGGTGAATTAGATTCAAATCTCTTACTTGTATTGTTGATGATCCTTAGTGCTTCTTGTTTTTGCCATGAACCTTTCTGCTAACTTCTCTAGATTCCGGGAATATTCCGTCTCAATTTCAGCTTTTTTTCGGAAGAAATCTTGCAGATCCTGGAGAAGCTGAACTCGCATCTCCGTTTGCTGCTCCAGGCATTTTTGTTGTTCTACCAGTTGAGCTCGAATTTCTAAGGAGAGAAGAGAAGCCAATGGATGGTTACATTAAAATTAATGAGGTATGCTGGTATGTGCAAGATATAAGTCACGAAATATATATAAATATATATATATATATATATATATATATATATATATATATATATATATATATATATATTTTAAATGTATTTATTTATTTATTTTTGAGATAGAGGTCTCGCTCTGTTGCCCAGGCTGGAGTGCAGTGGCGCAATCTCGGTTCACTGTAACCTCTGCGTCCCGGGTTCAAGTGATTCTCCTGCCTCAGCCTCCTGAGTAGCTGAGACTACAGGCATGCACCACCAGGTAATCCACCCGCCTTGGCCTCCCAAAATGTTGGGATTACAGGCGTGAGTCACTGTGTCTGGCTATGACTCCTATTATTTATTTAGCTCTGTATTGGACCTTTGTTAGAATACTGTGTCCAGGTTGATTCTTAAAATAAGTTATCTGCTGACCCTTTAAAAGAACAAGAGGAGCCTCAGGAAAGAATGTAATAAATTAGAATAAATATGTGGGTTACATTTGTAATGCCACAAACACACAACGAGCCATGAGGGGAAAGAATGAAAGCCTTTCAGATAACAATTCGTAACATCTTTGGGTAGCTGGAAACACTGCAATTTTTTCAACAGCACTCTACCTCAGCTATCCCTTTTGAGTTTGAATGGCAAAGAAATAAGCATCATTTCTTCCAGGCTCTGAACCATTACACATTTGCCATTTGGCACATACAGAGACTGACATCTGGTAATTTTTATTTAGTGCATAATTTCTAGTTTGTAAAACACATAGCTTCAGGGCTTATAGGGATGCTGTGCCTAAAAATAACTTCTTTCCATAGCCAAATAATCCATTCATAACAGTGCAGTCCTCAGATTCCAGTATATTATTCTGTTCACAACAAAAAGGCCTCTTCAGCTGGCCTTCACCTTTTACGCATTGTTCAAAATAATACCCTTACTGACACATTTAATCCTCAAAGAATCCTCTGATAATTTTAATACATTAGGAACATGAAAGGTGGTCATTTAGTGATTCAGCAAAAGCTCAAAAGCAAAAATGTGGCATGCAAAAATATGTGTAAATGACTGTAACAAAGAAACGTGTGTTTTGGAAAATGAGATACAGTAACTAATAACTACCGACTTGTTTTTGTTCTAAGACCTAAGTAAGGCTAAGCTCCAAAGACAAGAACATCATGCTGGAAAACTTCTTCATTTCATCTTTCCCAGTGTCCGTGCATTTCCCAAAAAGTGAAGGCTGAATCTAATTCAGTGGAGTTAGTAGAAATCAATGTCCAAATAATGTCTCTAAATTTCTTGCTATTCCTCTTAGATAGAGAAGGCCAGTACTGATAATATATACATACATACACTTGACCATGTTTAACCAAGTTCATTAACAGCAAGTTCACAGCAAGTCCATGAATAAGGTGGTCAGGTTCTGAATGGGGAGTCAGGAAATGTGCTTAATTTAAAAATAACTAATAATAACTCAGTGTTTACTATTCTGTGCCCTAATGAAGTAGGTTTTAGTATTATCTTCCATTTTACAAAGAATAATTGAAGTTTAAGGAGTATAAATACTTTATCTAAGGATTTTAGCCAGTAACTGGTACCCCTGGAGACTTTTGACCCTGATCTGTCAGTCTGACTAATCAAACACTTCCCATCCTTGTTTTTTTTTTCTTTCTTTTTTTTGTTTTTGTTTTTGTTTTTGTTTTGAGACGGAGTCTTGCTCTGTCTCCCAGGCTGGAGTGCAGTGGCGCGATCTCGGCTCACTGCAAGCTCCGCCTCCCGGGTCCACGCCATTCTCCTGTCTCAGCCTCGAGTAGCTGGGAATACAGGCGCCTGCCACCATGCCTGGCTAATTTTTTATATTTTTAGTAGAGACGGGGTTTCACTGTGTTAGCCAGGACTGTCTCGATCTCCTGACCTCGTGATCCGCCCACCTCGGCCTCCCAAAGTGCTGGGATTACAGGCGTGAGCCACCGCGCCCGGCCAAACACTTCCCATCCTTCTATCCATCAAACCTTTTTTCAGGCACCTATACTGTGCCAGGCTTGCATACCGGCAAAGAAGAAACAATAACTAATGAAACAAGATCTCTGCCCTCAATAAGGTCAGGCTTCAGATACTGCTGTTTCTGGGGAGTCCTGGGGGAAAACAGGGAAGAATTTCTCAAGTGTCCTTGCTTGGTCTCTCCACCTCTAGATTGCAGGATTTTATTATAACTTCACAGACGTGTGCTGAACACCAGAGTTGAACACATTATTACAGGCTTTTAACTACTATGAACAGCATCTGGTTTTTAGTCAATCAAAGTAAGTGTTTTCCAATACAGTATTATAATCAGCATGTTTGCCAAACTTTGTCTTTCAAAAACGCAGAGCTCTTTTTGTTTCATGAAGAAAAAGAATATATCAAGGGTGGAGTGTTTCCCATTCAGGGATCCCAGTAAGTCTTTTAAGATGAAGTAATTTTAGAACATCTTGCTGCACTAAGAGAAAGTAAATCAAACATCTTAAGCTGTCAACTAGTTTTCTGGGGTTTTTTTTGTTTGTTTTTGTTTTTGTTTTTAGCTGCCTTAGTGCCAAGTAAGAAATAAAAGATAAAAGTACAAATCTCAAATCTAATCAGAAATACACAAAAATTATACAGGCTTTTTTCTTGGGTCTCATTTTTAAATATTTTCTTGCTTACTTCCATCAGGATTTAAGATCAAGAACTAGGGAATCATGAGAATGATGGATTTAACAATTAAATCCTCATCCTTGTTTTACAAAAATTAACTGTTATTTTGTGTCATCTGTAATTTTCCAATCAAAATAAGGCACTCAGCATTCTCCATAACAGGAAACATGTAAGGAACAGAATCCAGAGCATCACTGTGCGAAAATCAACTCCAAAACATGGAGGATAATCCATTCAACTACCTCTTCCATTTAGAAAAGTTTAGGACAAATAAGGAAAGGATCATAAGAAAGATCATTTTTAAAAAATCAACAGAAAACTACTACCATAAGAAACATCTCCTTAGAGGCCAGGTGCGGTGGTTCACGCCTGTAATCCCAGCATTTTGGGAGGCTGAGGTGGGTGGATCTCTTGAGGTCAGGAGTTCGAGACCAGCCAGGCCAACATTGTGAAACCCTGTCTCTACTAAAAATACAAAAATTAGCCGGGAGTGGTGGCATGCGCCTATAATCCCAGCTACTCGGGAGTCTGAGTCCCGAGAATTGCTTGAACCCAGCAGATGCAGGTTGCAGTGAGCAGAGATTGCACCACTGCACTCTAGCCTGGGCAACACAGCGAGACTCCATCTCAAAAAAAAAAAAAAAGAAACATCTCGTTAGGAAGAGAAAATCTTTGGATTCCTTATACTGCCCCAGCATCATAAGGCTGCACAGTACAGTGGTTACCTCCCTGCACAAATGGCATGGCTATCCTAATATGACTTCACTAGATTTGTGCTCACCTTAATCAGCACCAAAGAATTTAAAGAATTTTAAGAATTTACCTTAAAGAGTAAAATAAATGATTGGTCGCATAAATTTGTGTCTGCTGCTCGGAACAGATCAAAGGGCCATGCAGACTGGCTCATGGATGTAATCCCAACACTTTGGGAGGCCAAGGCAGGTAGATCGCTTGAGCTCAAATGTTTGAAATCAGCCTGGGCAAGATAGGGAGACCCTATCTCCACACAAAAAATTAGAAATTAGCTGGTTGTGGTGGTGCATGCCTGCAATCCCAACTACCCAGGAGGCTGAGGTGCAAGGATCGCTTGAGCCCTAGAGCTTGAGGCAATAGTGGAGTTGTGATCACGCCACTGGCACTCCAGCCCGGACAACAGAGTGACACCCTGTCTCAAACAAAAAAGAACAAATCAAGGAAGCCCATGGTGCACTCGGCCCCACACTGCATGAATCCTGCCATGGGGCCGCAGGCGGCTGCAGCTAGAGGCACCACTGTCATCATGGGAACTACAGAACATTAAAGCTGGAAGTGGTGAAAGCGTAAGTGCAAGGGGTGAGTTTGAGAAAAACTGTGAGCCTTATTTCTGCATAAGACATTGCAGCTTCCTTCCTACCCCTAGATTCTCTGACAGTCTATTAAGGCTCCCACCCCTTTTTAGAGGCGTTTTTAGGTTAGTATTGACCTGAATCATTTTTTTTAGACTCAAGGTTCATTTTAGTTTAGGTGAACAAGCAATTATTGAGTTTCCATTTTGTGTTAGGCAGTGTCCTAGGCACTGGAGATACAAAGGTTTGTAAGACACAGGTCCTTCTTGTTAGGAAGACAAATCCTAAACCAATCATTTACACTCTGTTCACTGCCATAACAATGAAGTGCAACAGGAAGCTATGGAAAGAGGAGCAGAAACTGACTCAGACTGGAAGAGTGTGGAAAACATAATGCATTGAAGGGTAAGTAGGTTACAAGATACACGGCAGTAACCACCAAGAAAGTGAAAAGACAACCCATAGATGGGAGAAAATATTCACAAATCATATGTCTGATAAGGAACTTGTATACAGAATACACAAAGAACTCTTACAACTCAACAATAAAAACAAAATCTCAATTTTAAAAATGGACAGGCTGGGTGCGGTGGCTCACGCCTGTAATCCCAGCACTTTGGGAGGCCGAGGCAGGTGGATTATGAGGTCAAGAGATCGAGACCATCCTGGACAACATGGTGAAACCCCATCTCTACTAAAAATACAAAAATTAGCTGGGCGTGGTGGTGTGCACCTGTAGTCCCAGCTACTCGGGAGGCTGAGGGAGGAGAATTGCTTGAACCTGGCAGGCAGAGGTTGCAGTAAGCCAAGATCGTGCCACTGCACTCCAGCCTGGTGATAGAGACTCCATCTCAAAAAAAAAAAAAAAAAAAAAAAAGGTCAAAGGGTCTCAACAGACATTTCTCCCAAGATGATATACAAATGGCAAATGGCCAGTAGCATATGAAAAGTTGCTCAATATCATTAGCTTTCAGGGAGATGCAAATCAAAAGCACAATGGGGTGCCACTTCACACTCACTAGAATGGCTATAATCAAAAAGATTTAAAAAAAGTGTTGGAAGACAATGTGGAGAAACTGGAACTCACACATTGCTGGTGGAAATGTAAAATGATGCAGTCCTTTTGGAAAACAGTCTGGCAGTTCTTCAAAAGATTACACTTAGAGTTACCATATGACTCAGCCATTCTGCTCCTAGGTATACATTCCAGAGAAATGAAAATCTATTTCCATACAAAAACTTGCACGTGAATGTGTGCAATAGCAGCATTGCTCATAATAGCTGAAAGGTGAAAACAGCTCAAATGTGTATCAACTAATAAAGAGATAAAATGTGATATAGCCACACAACACAATACTGTTTAGCCATAAAAAGGAATGAAGTACTTATTTACAACATGGATGAACCTTGAAAACATAACTTTAGTGAGTGAAACCACTCACAAAAAACCACAGTCTATAATTTCATTCCTATGAAAGGTCCAGAATAGACTAATCTATAGAGACAGAAAGTAGATTAGGGGTTGCCTAGAGTTGGGAGGGTTGGGGAAAAATGGCTGCTAAGGGGTGCGAAGTTTCTTTATAGGGTAATAAAAATGATGAAAAATTGATTGTGGCTCTGGTCGCAAAACCTGGCATATGCCAAAAGCCACTGAATTGCATTTTTGAAATGATAAATCATGTGATATGTGAAATACATCACAGCTGTTATATACATTGAAAGATAGCTATATCACAATTCCATGAAATGTTGGTTGTTGATACCTTTCTGATAATGATGATAGCAGTAATAGCAACAAACTCCTATTTCCACACCCAGTACTTTTTGGTACTTTTTGTCAAATGTCCAACATGGGGACAAGCACTTTAAAAGGATTTCATGAGCCCAAAGGCACTTAATGGCATAGAAAAGATTTACCTAATAGAATATTAGGAAAGACTTTTCACCATGAATGCCCCAAAACTGCATAAAACAGCACAACCACTTTTAGGCGGAAAAATGTGATCTCTGAGGAGGCTGTAAGCAGTCATTATTTAAATCTAGGTCAAGACCTACTAAATAATCATAATGGCAGTTTTAATGGAGGCTAAAATTTACTGTTTTTTTTTAAATGACTATTATTTCATTTCTGTTCTACCAGAGCATCACTACGGAATGAATCAATACCAATAATCCAACAAGAACAATGCACAAAATGAGTGTGCTTTTCAAACTGCTGCAATTAATTTGTTAAAAAAAAAGAAAAAATGGTTCCTCTCAGCTATAAAAATCTGCTAATACTTGCCAAATAAAATGGAATTGCCTAGAAACAGACGAAATGAAGGAATGTCTTGCTATTGCTCTCAGAAAGGGAAGCCCTAACTCTTAAAATAAATTTGTGTGAAGCCACAAACTGATACATATTTCACGGAAAGATTGATCCACACTGGGCTGTTTCTCTAATATATTACTGAATGACTACGACCAGGACATAAAATTGATACGCTGGTGTGATACTCATGATCATCTAGCAAATAATATAATAACATTTCTAAAGTATCACAAATCATCTCTGTTATTTCACATTCTCATTTGGTCAGAATTTCCTTATGATACCAAAGGGGTCTACATTCTCTTAAGATGTATTATTACCTCTATCCAAAGGACAGAAGGGATTTTCCTAAATGACAGGGGAGAGCCACTGAAATGTCTTTCAGAGCAACGCAATGAGATGCCAACGGGCTCTATTGATTATTCCCATGCTCACAGCTCATGTGAATATTTATACAACCTGGTGACTGTTGATTAACTAAACACCAGGTGCAAATTTTGCATAATAAGCTTTTTTAGGCTAAAAATTTGGAGCAGGCAAAAATTCCATAAAAGTGAGCTTTTTTTTTTTTAAGTGAATCAACTGAATAAACAAAGGCAATTTCTCCACTTCACTAGAAATCTGAACCCAAGATTTATGCTTCTCTTATACTCTGCACATAAATTAGGAAGCGTCAGGATGTACGCTACTTAATTCAATTTACCAAATTGAATTCTGGATGGGTAGGAGATCTAGTCACAGACTAGGTCAGAAAGGACCCAGACTAGGTTAGGATGGACCCAGATTGGAGTTACAGTGTCACCTAATACAAGTCATGTGACATGTGGCAAGTCTCTCAACCTCTCGGAATTTCATTTTATAAAACAATACTTCCCACCTCACAAGGCTGTGCTGAGAATTAAATGAGATGATATAAGTGAAAAGCATGCTGCAATCTGTAAACCACTATGAAACAGATGGACATGTTATTATTACTAGCACCAGCGAGCTTTCATTAAAAAATATTTATTGAATATTTTCTTGTGCCAGGCTCCTTATTCGTGGACATAAATAATAGACTGAAAGTCATGAGTCCCATTCTCAGTGAGGAAGCAGAGGCAACACAGACAGATAATGAGAGGGGGCGACTTTCACAGCCTCAAGGTAAGAATGTCAAGATGCAGTGAGAGTCTGGGGCGGACATATCCATGGCTGGGCAAGAAGGCAAGGGCACAAAGAGGTGACCCTGAGATTGACTTACCAGGAGTCTGGCTGAAGGAAGTAGGAGAGAAGGAGAGTTATAACAAGTACTTCTCAATTGCCGAAATTGAATTCTGGATGGGTAGGAGGTCTAGTCACAGACTAGGTTGGAAAGGACCCCATGTGGCATGCTAAGGAGTCAGATTTTATTTCACAGGTCAGCTTTGCAAATTGGCTTGATGATAAAAACCACCTGGCGTCCTTACTAAAAATACCTGTGTTTAGGCTGGATATTTGGATCTTGTTGGTCTAGCAGGACCTCAATGGAGGATGCTTAGAAGCATCAGTGGGCAAAAATTGAACAATTTTAAACAAGGAAGATTTATAATCAGACTTACGTTTCAGAAGAGAATACAAATGAATAATAAATGCAATGCTAAGCATCCGACACCTTATGAAATAGAGTTTTCTTTGTAAGTTGTATGGTTTCCCCATTTGAATGA
Organism: Homo sapiens; assembly: GCF_000001405.40. NCBI lineage: Eukaryota > Metazoa > Chordata > Mammalia > Primates > Hominidae > Homo > Homo sapiens. Next base: position 63,975,922 of record NC_000012.12, on the reverse strand, counting down.
GGAATCACAGGGCAAAACAAATTAATAAAAACAACAAAAACCCTCACAAGAATGAATGGTATCCATATTTTCCCCTAAGCCTCTTATTATTATAATTATTTATGAATCACTCATTTCTGTCTTCTGGTGTGGAACTAATGATGATTTCCATTTAATCTGTTATCAAGGAGTAGAAGCTGATTTGTAGCTACATTGTGGAGAAATCTTAAGCACTGTGCTGCCCAGTATGTAGCTGCAAGTGTCACTGAGTACTTGCAAGGTGGCTAGGCTGAAGAGAAGTGTGCTGTGAGTGTAAAACACGCACAAAATTCTGAAATCTTATGAGAAAAAAAAGAACGTAAAATGTCTCAATCATCTGTATATTAATTCATGTTACAATCATAAAATTTTGGATATATTGTATTATATAAAAATATTTTAAAATTAATTTCACTTATTCAATGGTTTCTTTTTACTTTTTAAAATGTAACTCCTAAAAAATCTAAAATGACCAATATGGCTTTTGGACAGCTCTCCTCTAGGATATGAGGGAATTAGCAACTGAATTTGTTGTAAGTGGAGTCGGCAATGTGGAGTTCCTATAGGAACGGGTCCTTGAGGACTTGACAGGCTTAATCAGAAGGCAAAACCTATGCCCAAGGCAAACACAGTACAGAATACGGAGTGTCTGAACACTGTTTCTAGTCAGAGGAGGTGTAACACTGGAGAAGGGACGATTTCTTTGGAGCTCATGTTTCCTTAACTGCGAAGTGGTCATTAATAACTACCATGTTTCCCTTCCAAAGGTGATGGAAGCTTTCAATCAGATGAAATAGGAAAATACTTTCTCATTATGTAAAGTGTTGTGCTGGCCAATTATTAAATGTATAATGAAAAAAAGAAAAATACAAGTTCTAGATATGATGGTGCAGACTACTTAGTTTAAGGGACATTCAGGAAGGAAAGATCACTGGCCACTTGGGGGTCATCATCACAGATAGCTTCAGAGGGGTTGGCTCTGGACATGTAGGATTTGGGAGGCTGCATAAATGTAGGGAATGGAAATGTCATGCCTTAAATAAACTCAAAATGATATTCTTGATACCCTAGTCCAGAAGAGTTATTTTCTAGGAAGTTTAGGGTGGCTGAACCAAATGTAACTTTCCAGGTCACTGTCTTAAGGAAAATATGACTCCCTAAGGTCTTTTTCTACTTTAGAATTATGGTATCACCAGCAATTTAAGCAAACAAAATAGTACAACGAACATAATATAAAATCAAGTTGCTTTCATTCCAAGCTCAAAATCATAGGCTCATCTTAGAACTCTAGAGGTGACTAGCATATCTAAGGGGTAACAGAATTATAATAAAATCCTTTTTTGTATTAAAGTAAGACCAGAAGAAAAAAATAAATAAAAATTAAAAGAAAATAAGGAACTGTCTTCTCAGTACAGTTAATCCTCACTATTTCACATGTGAAAGTAAAGTAAATTTCAAAAAATTTCTGACACATAGAGGCTGTATTCATTATTCTAAGTCTTCATTACAATACCTTCATTTGTAATGATGTTAACCTCAATATTATTTTAAAATAAAAGCTTACTACAAAACTGTCAGTTTTTCATAGCTTTTGAAAGCCAAATATTATATTTTGGCCTACATAACATTTTTAGATAAAGTATGGAAAACAAACTTGCACTTTTTTTTTCATATGAAAGCTAGCCAGGATAAAAGGCAATAAATTAGAGTGTTCAATGACTGCAGTTGAACAACATTGTAGGAAAGGGCAGTTTAAAGAAGTGCAAATCTGAATGATCCACTATTGTACTTTTATTTAAAATGCACAGGAGGCAGGGTTTCATTAACTTCCCCATAATTAAGCAAGGACATTTCAGACCTTATTAGTAGATTGATTTTTACTACTACAGAAAGACAGTGTGTGGGAATTATTGATTTATAGAGAATACAAAGATTTACATTTTGGAATGACTGTGTTCCTGAAAAGCATTTGGAATGACTGTGTTACTGACAAAGGTTCAAGGCATTTGCCAAACATTGACATTCTTTCCTGATACAATTCAACATGAAGTTTCATGGAATATATATCAAAGTTTACACATGTTTTTCTCTGAATAAGTTTTAAAAATGGAAAACTTTTTTGGGAAAATATTGGAAAGGAAAAAAGAAAAAAAATGAAAAACTTTTAAACTAGTTTAAATCTTTTGCACTGAGTACTGAGTTAATTGCAAATTGAGCCTTTTTCAAATTAAAGCTATTTGTCTTATTGCAATAATTCCAATTTTAAAATGTCTACTAGAAAAGTTTAGACTTTTAAGCAATTTAACATTTATATCTAATAAAAGAATATTTATTGATTTCCTATGATGTTTTCAGGTTCTGCGGTAAGTACTTGATACAGTTTATCTCATTTAATTCTTACAGCAATCCTATTATGTGGTGTCTCCATTACAGAGATGATAAAATTGAAGCAGAGAGTGCATAAGTATTTTGTTCAAAGTATGATAATTAATAAATACCAGAACTTGGATTCCCATTCAGGTTTGTCTGACTCCAGAGACTACGATGCAAACTTACAATGTTCGGCAATTATACATAGTATGTAATTATGCAAAGCAAGCTAAAGTGACCCAGGCCTGTGCTTCTAGATGGTCTACTAGAATGTTTAGAATATATTAGAATGTATAACTATTAATCCAATGAGAGTTGATGCAGCAAATAACAGTTTAGGTGCCAAGGGTCTAGTGTCATTTCTATCATTTACTTTTTTTCTCTTTTGAGACGGAGCCTCACTCTGTCACCCAGGCTGGAATGCAGTAGCGCGATCTTGGCTCACTGTAACCTCCGCCTCCCGGGTTCAAGCAATTCTCCCTGCCTCAGCCTCCCATGTAGCTGGGATTACAGGCGCCTGCCACCATGCCCGGCTAATTTTTGTATTTTTAGTAGAGACAAGGTTTGTCATGTTGGCCAGGCTGGTCTCGAGCTCCTGACCTCAGGTGATCTGCCCACCTCGGCCTCCCAAGTGCTGGGATTACAGGCATGAGCCACCATGCCTGGCCTTCTATCATTTACTTAAAGCCAAAAGAACTCTCCAAAATTCAGATTTTTTAAAAAAACTAGCTAAATGCCTAAAACTAATTTCCTAGTATTTCCTGAATGTCATGACTTTCTAGGAAACTATGTATTTAGGTCAACTGCTTTTGTTTTAGATCATTATTGTACTATTGCTATTATGTTCTAATTAACATAAAGTTTTGAACTATAATGTATTATAAGATCCTTGAATACAAATAACAAGTTTCTAAATTTCCACAGAACACATAGTAGGTACTCAACAACTATCTCTGGTGTACATCTGTTTCAATAAGTATACTAAGTTATCAAAATGCTATCGACTTAGGCACCAAATTCTGCCAATTCAAAAAAATGGTTTGCCTTCTCCACTCCCTGCAATCAGCCACTGCATTATGACTTCTTTTTTATTCTTTGCTCCTTATGGCCTCCAACCCTATAAGGTTTCTCCTATAAACAGTATCTTATTTGATCAGCAGTGGAAAAGAATTCCAGTTAGATCCATTGAATATCATAATGTTCTAAACATCTCTGAAATAAAAGTATATTTTATTTATCTACTTCTACCACAAGAGAATACCTTAATCTAAAACACTGACAAAGGAAACACTGATCATTTCACTTAATTTTCTTTATACCTCTATTAGAGACTTTTTAAGAAAAATCGAGACAAGGTCTTGCTCTGTTGCCCAGGCTTGTCTCTAACTCCTGGGCTCAAGCAATCCTCCCACCTCGGCCTCCCAAAGTGCTGGGATTACAGGCATGAGCCATGATGCCCAGCTTTCTATTAGAGACTTTGATTGGATTTCTATTGGCAACTTTCTTATTTTGATTTAACTACATTTCAATAAATGAGAGCTCCAATCACCTCTGGTCCACATGGACTACCTGGACTCTGGACAGGAGCTGAAAAAAGGAAGCCAGAGAATAGCCTCATTACCCATGCTTCCTCAACATCCATTTTACAACTGAAAGCCGCAATTCTAAATCATAAAATAAAAGCCTTTCAAGTTTTAGGCTACAAAATCCTTAAAGAGATGGCAATTATTTTTTCAGCTAAAAAAAAGATCACACACACACACACACACACCCACACACACACCCCTATACCCACACACACCTTTTAAGATTTTTCAGGCCTTAGCAAGTACTGACCATTAACTAGCTTTAAAATGTCAGATATGTTAATTCTCTTCTTCATTATTTTATCTCTTCAAGTACCAAAGAAAATGTCCAATGTGACAGACAACCTGTGTTAAAAGTAAGTTTTCTATTTCATCCTCAGATGTGAGCCAAACTCTATAATAAAAGTATACTTCTAGTCCTGCACAAACATCCAGCTTTTACCTGCATAATCTGAAAAAAAACTGAATTCAACAATGTTCATTAAACAATGTCTAGTCAACAAGGAACAAGTAAATTTAAAAATGCTTACGTACTCATCTGACAAACATTACTGAGCATCTTCCAGGTAGTGGGCTCTGGAGATATAAAAAATCCATTATTTCTTTACCTTGGGGCCTCCCAGGTTACCTCCTGGTCTACAGACAGGAAAACATGTAACTATTAGTTGTATAATTATCATCATTTACAATGCAAGGTAATAAGCCCTATCATGGAAGCATGAAGAAAGTACTATGAGAACACATAGGCAGGAACAACAAATTCTGCCCAGGTAAATCAGGGAAGGCTCTGGAATGACACTGGAGCTATCAGCAAAGCAGAAATTTGGTAAGTTGTGGGTGGGCTCCGAAAGGGTACTATGGACAAAAGGAGTGGCTGAGAGTGTCTAGAGAGCTCAGGGTGTTAGAAGCATGGCAGTTTGCTTTGTATCGCAGGGTGGTTAGGTAGGCAGAGGCTGGGCTAATTATTAGGGCATTTTAAAGTAAATATTCTAAAATGATATAGGATGCTATCTTGATTCAGCTCTTTGTTCATTTATTACAGGAAATGCTTCAACTTAGTTAACAAGTTAAAAACAAATGTAAATTATGCACATTTAGAAAAGATAGCTGTAGATTTATGTTCTAACTAATGAAATTATCAGGAAATGACATTTCCTGCCAAATAGGGAACAACAGATTTTTAACATTGTTTTGTGTTAATTTTGATAAGGGAGGGGGCAGTTCCAGCTACGTTCAAGGATATGGAATGGAAGGATTTGTGAGTACCATAATGCAATCCGAGTTGCCTTTCAATATAATTAGATTTAAATTTTGAAAGAAAGTGGCTTAAAATTACAATTATTTTAAACACTGATCTTCTGCTTTTCTTATTTGTTTTATGGTCTATTCAACTTGCAAACTACTTTGAAAAGTTACACTTCTTTAAAAATATATCATTAAATATTACAACAAAGCAGCATTGCAGAAATACTATGATGAAAATGTTAACATTTTTTAATCTCATACCTCTACTTCCCTATAAGTTTTTTGTAAGGTCTCAGATATGATTAGCAATATTGCCTCTGCCACACCCACCCTTTTACATCTGTTCTTATCTGGAAGAGTTTCATTTCTAAACATGATCAGATGCATAAATAGCTCTTAGTGCACTGCTGGAGAAATACTGTCCTCCTTCATCCAAATCCCCAGCACCAGATAGCTCTCACCACCTCTCCCCCTAATTACGCATCTACAATGTAAATGTTGCCTTTTAATTTAAACTCTCCTCCCCAGCTTTCTGCCCACACAGTACACTCCTCTCTGTTAAATTTCCCTGTGTCTTGGAAAAGAGGCGGAAGTAGTAAAGAGATGAAAACAGAAGACCCTGGACTGATGGTCTGGGGAAAGGGGGAAGGTGGGAACAGGAAAAGGATAAAGGGAAGCATAGCTCAAGGGGAGTAAGAAAAATTTAAAAGAGGAGAAAGTCAGGAGGGACATGTGAGGAAAGGCAGCATGGTAGAAAATGAATCAAATGTAAAGTAAATGATGAAGGTCTTCAGGAAGTCACCAAATCACATATGGAAACATGGGCTCTAGTGGGATTTCAAGAGAGTTTTGGTCTGTACATGCTTGTCTTCAGGACAGTAGATTTTTTAGTTTTTTTTTTTTTCTTTTTGAGACAGAGTCTCGCTCTGTCACCCAGGCTGGAGTGCAGTGGCACAATCTCGGTTCACTGCAAGCTCTGCCTCCCGGGTTCACGCCATTCTCCTAACTCAGCCTCCCGAGTAGCTGGGACTACAGGTGCCCACCACCACGCCCGGCTAATTTTTTTGTATTTTTAATAGAGACGGGGTTTCACTGTGTTAGCCAGGATGGTCTCAATCTCCTGACCTCGTGATCCGCCTGCCTTGGCCTCCCAAAGTGCTGGGATTACAGGTGTGAGCCACTGTGCCTGGCCGATGTTTCAGATTTTTAAACAGTACATTTTGCTGCCAGTACATTCCAGGTATCAGACTTTACTCTTGGGCCAGCATGAGAATAAAATTTCAAGTCAAAACAAAAGCACGATTTCTTTTTCTTTTAGAACGAAAGAGTAGGTTATTCGGTTATAAGACCTCCCCACCCCCACCGCTTTAAGACCTTAGAAATGGTGCAATCAAAATCAGTCATGAATATGTAACTTCAACTTTAATGAAATCTGCCATCAGATTCATCCAAGATCTTCTTTCACAGTTCCCTAATTCTAAGGTAGCTCTGACACCAAACAGAAATTCTTTGTATTCATTTTATTTTCATGGTTAGGTTTTAAATGCAACTACTCTAGCTTAATTATCTTGGCACCTAAAAACAGGTGGAGTCCATCAGAATGCTTCACACCATCTTCCTTCTCTGTGAAAACGAGTAAAATTCAAGAAGACCAAAAGCTTTCCACACCGACCCACAGTACGATTTTTTTCCCTTTGAAGTTTAGATGTTTCTGGCGGGGACCCACACTACTCACAGGCACAGCTGATGTTCTCTTGGCTGCCGGCATTCAGAAAGCTGTCTGAATGGATGGCATTGAGCCTCTGCCACTCCATTGGATGCTTCCCCAAGCACAGGTGCCAAGTAACCATGAGCAGAGGCAAGCGAGCAGTCTGCAGGGCACTTCAGGCCCAGTCTCCTAGACTAGGGCTCTCCTGAATGCCAACAGCACAGCACAGGATGAATACATTTTTTCTTCTTCCCTCTGGTTACAGAGTTGACTGGCCAGGATTATCCTGAAGACACAACACTCTGCCCAAATCCAATGAAACACTTCACGTTGTTCAGCAGTCCTGACAGGGTTGAAACGGTAGCCACTTACAGACTTAAGACCTGCCTGTGAGCCTTACACATGGAGCAGGGGTCACAAACTCCAATGCCCTCACAGACAAGACAGGTCCCCCAAATGAGAGATGCAGGCAGGGTGTAAAGTAACAAGAGACGGTAATGACCATGGTTACATGGGGGGCACATGCTTCATCTAGCCACCAACCTCCAGATAATGGCCACTGTGTAGGAGGTATGATGCAGTTATGCCAAATCTGGTATTTTTGTTTTCTGAGAGAGAAGCCAGAAATCTGGATTTTTGGGTAAAAATCTCCAAAATGTTAAATATCAGTAACTAATTAAAACAAAATACTGTACAGCCAAACAAAGCATATTCTTGTGCCAGATTTTCCCTATGGCCTACCATTTTGTAACTTCTGATGTACAGAAATTCTAAGCTTATTGGACAAAATTAATACCTTGTCATAAATATAAGAGGAACAAAATTCACATCAATAATAGTGTATAGGACCTCATGAATGTGGCAGCAATGTAAATGGTGTGTGGAGACCAATTAAAATAATTTAAGGTAACATATTTAGTGAGTCACATTATTTCCTGGCTCTTAAGTAAATGTATTTGTAACTTGGATGCCAATGAATTGACTTATTCTAAAACTTCTCACACTAGTTTCCTAGCATTGAAAATACTAGAACAGTTTCTCCTCCTCACCATTCCCTTCCTGGGGCTCAGCCTAAATCTGGAAGATGATCTGAAGTCCAGGCTTACTGGAACTGTTTCTCAGGATGAGCACTGTTGATGCTGACTCCAGAAACTGGGGGAAAGCCCTTCTGCTCTCAGTGCTGATACAAAACCTGTTCATCACTTTTGCTAACAAAGGCTTTCCAGGACAATCTGCAGTTCCAATTAGCTTTTCATATCTCTTCCCTTTGGGCATATGCTAGAGAAACAGAATTACAGAATCTCACACTTAACAACAAGGCTTAAACATCACTTAGTCCTACAAAGAATCCAGGGGTCAAATCCCCCCAAGCCCATTCCTGCCCAGAATGTCCCATCTCCCAGAGCAACCTGTGCTTTTGTCAGGCAACTCCAACCCTAGGAAAAGTTTCCTTGCCTGCAATAAGAACTCGTCCACTGGTTCAACAAAAATGTATCGAATGCCAACAATATGACTCATGCTAGTTGCTCTTTTTTTGCTAGTTAAGCGCTTTTTGAGACAGGGTCTCGCTCTGTCACCCAGGCTGAAGTGCAGTGGTGCAATCATAGCTCACTTTAATTTCGACTTTCTGGGCTCAAGCCATCCTCCCTCTTCAGCCTCCCGAGTAACTGGGACTATAGGTGCATGCCATCACATGTGGCTAAGTTTTTTTATTTTTAGTGGAAATGAGGCCTCACTATGTTGCCAAGGTGGGTCTTGAACTCCTGGGGAGAAGTGATCCTCCCACCCTGGCCCCGCAAGGTGGGGGAATTACAGGAATGAGCTACCACACCCAGCCTGCTAGTTGCTTTTATATAAAAATGAATAAGCCAGGCTACTGCCTGCCCTCCTCCCAAACGGCTCACAGAAATAATTTTTAAAATAAATATCAAACTTCCAGAAGGGTACTGTATGAGTAAATGCACTTAAAAGACAGGATAAAGCCAACCTATCAAAAAGCTCAGGACATAAGGCAACTTATGAGACGTGAATATGGAAATTCTTAGGAAAAAAAGGGTTAATCATTATGAATACTCATATATGAAATTTCCTTCAACTCTAATCTAACATCTTTTCCTAATCTGGGAACCAGAGGCTAAAAGGAAGACAGTCACCAAGCTCATTACCCATTACAGAAGGGGAGCCGATTTACTTACCCATTTCCTCCAGACTTGGAGTGCACAAAACCAGCTTCCAGTATCACCACCCATTTCCACTCAACAAACCTCTCCCTTCATGTTACCTCTACCCCTTGTTTTCCTATGCTGTCTTTTAAGCCTAAATTAAGAAAAAGATATTCTATTAAAACCACCCCCATTCCTTCCCTCACCCCCCAAGTTACCAAATTAAAAGAAATTCTAGAAAAAAAAAATTAGAATATGGGGTGGTAGTTTAAGTTTATATTATAGCTAACAGCTGAGAAAACTTGATCCAATGTGAATTTGGTCATAAATTCTGTGGAAAGTTTTATTTCCCTAGCTTAGCATAAGTGAAGATTTCCTTTGTTAACATAATGAGGATTTTCTTTTTCCTTTGAAAGCACAAGTTTAAGTTCTGAGTCCTGCCTTGGGTAATTTACATCATCATAAGCCTCAACTGAAATCAATCTCATTAACCTGTTGTGAGGATTAAATTAGAAAATGCATGGAAAAAGTTCAAATATAGAGCCTCATACAGAAAATGCTCAATAAAGAATAACTACTATCAGTATTATTATTATTATATCTATTGGTCCTAAAACATCTTCCCACATTCCCAAGAATTTATATTTTTGTGAGTTCTAATGTACTGCAAATTCCATTTGGGGTAGTGATTATGCCTATGAAAAATGCACTTTTGGCTGGGCACGGTGTCTCATGCCTGTAATCCCAGCACTTTGGGAGGCCAAGGCAGGCGGATCACTTGAGGTCAGGAGTTCAAGACCAGCCTGGCTAACATGGTGAAACCCTGTCTCTACTAAAAGTACAAAAATTAGCTGGGCATGATGGCGGATGCCTGTAAATCCCAGCTACTTGGGAGGCTGAGGCAGGAGAATCACTTGAACCTAGGAGGCGGAGGTTGCAGTGAGCTGAGATGGTGCCACTGCACTTCAGCCTGGGCAACAAGAGTGAAACTCCATCTCAAACAAACAAAAAAAAAGAAAAATGCACTTTTATCTTCTCCGTTATTCATACAAACATGCTTATTGTAGAAAATTGGAAAAGTAGAAAGGAGGGAAATCACCCATTCAGAGAACACATATGTTAACATAGTACAATTACTTTCTGTGTTTTTTTAAATTTATTTATTTTTTGCAGAGATGAGGTCTCACTGTGATGCCAATGAGGTCTCACTATGTTGCCCAGCCAGGTCTTGAACTCCTGGCTTTAAGTGACCCTCCTGCCTCAGCCTAACAAAGTGCTGGGATTATAGGTGTGAGCTACCACACCCAGCCCACTGTATTTTTTTTAATGTAAATGATGTTTTAAATAAAAAAATAACTTTTTATTCCTACAAAAGTAGACATATGCATCATAAAAAGTTAGAAAATGTAACCAAAATATGCTTGATTTTCTATTACCAAGCTATTAATACACTTACCATTTTGTTGTATATCTTTTTAAAATAAATTTGCCTGTTGTATATCTTTTCAAATATTTTTCTAATACGCAAAGCTCTAGGTTACATTCATTTTGATTTTCCAAAACCCAATGATGTGTTCATATACTGTCTTTGGTGCGGAAGGTACAACTCCACTGGTCTATATAGGTAGAATTTTCAGAGCATCAATACCCACTGTCACTGGGCCCCTCCCAAAAGCCAGGCTCTTTATTAGCTTACCTTGAATCCTTATAACAGTCCCAAAGCACACATTCGAACATTCCTATTTTGCAGATGTGAAAACTAAGATTCAAAAAGGTCCCCTAATTAGTCCAAGGCTACAAAACGTTAAGTGACAGAGCCAGGTTTCAATGCATCTTTGTCTGGCTCTAAAGCTCGTATTTTTTCCCCGTATAAGCCTAAATTTAAGCAAGATTACAGATTCTGTATCTGAAAACAATTAGGCGAGATCAATGGATCCAGATCCTTAATTTGGGAGCAAAGTAGTACGATTTTCATTTTACAAAAGGACAAAAGTGACTCAATATTACATAGTGAACAGGGAATTGGGCCTTAAACACAGTTAAATTGGATGAAGACACCATCATTTTAATACAGTTAGTCCTCTGCTATGAAATGTTAAAATTTAGACTTCGCTGGGGTTTTAGGTAAAATGAACACACTCTCAAGCCATCCACAAGTAACCACTAGTGAGCTGTTCTTGGGATGTAATTCAAAGAAGAAAACCCACAGTGTAACTAGGGAGTTATATAGGCCTCAAGCGTAATGCTTTCTCTGGGGTTTATTAAGTCCTACTTCTCAGGCTACTGGAAAGGGTCAATTGAGAATACTAGATGAGATTCCCAGCTCTGCCACTACTTAAGTGACCCTGGGCAAGTTACTAATCCTCTTTAGGGCTCAAGTGACTTCATCCTTAAAACAGGTATAATAAATACTCACCCTTGTGGACTCCCAACACTGTTGCATGAAGGATGAAAGGATGAATGACAAAAGGCTTCAAAAACTTAAATTTCTCATTCAAATATAAGATATCTAATAATAGTAATAACAATTATAATCATATATTGCTATAGCTAAATGTGAGAGAGTGGATATTATGTCAGACACAATTCTATTTTGTAGGAATTAACTCATTTAAATTCTATACCAATCCTATTAGATAAGTATTATTATTATCATCTCAGTTTTACAGATGAGGACTGAGGCAAAAAGAGACTAAGAATTTGCCCACAGCCACCCGGCTGGTAGCTGAAGCTGGGTGCTGAAGGCGGGTTCCTAGAATTCTTTACTTCCTCCTCTTTTCTCACTTCCCCAGGGGAAAAAAAATCAAACCAAAATACATTCTGTTCTCTCAGCAACTTCTGCTGTTCCCAATTACATAATTTTCTTTATAAAACAAATAAAACAACCTTACTCTGACAACCTGTTGATTTAAAAAATGATTTTGTGTATTTCAGCAAAGTTCTATTTGGGTATACTGGGTGATTTAATTAAGAAAAATTTCAAAGAGCTCACAAATCTCTGAAATACTGAATACTATTATCTTCTTGTATTTAAACATTTTTTTTTACTTCTAAAATGTTACTCATGAGGGAGCTTAAAAAGTTGCTCTCCCAGAAGTAAAGAAAATAGTGGTCATCAGAGACTGGGAAGGGTAGGGAGGATGGGTGATACAGAGAGGTTGGTTAATGGGTAAAAAATTACAATTAGATTGGAGGAATAAGTTCTAGTGTTCTATAGTGCAGCAGGTGACTACAGTTAACAATACATTATTGTATATTTTAAAATAGCTAGAAGACAGAATTCTGAATGTTCCCAACACGAAGAAATGATAAATGTTTGAGGTGACAGCTATGTCCATTACTCTGATTTTATCAGTCTACATTGTACACACATATCAAAATATCTCATGTACAATTATGTGTCAATTAAAAACATTAAAAAATGAATACTACTATTTTAACAAAGGTTCTCACTAAAACTTTTCCCCAGTGGTCCTGAAAAATTATACCTTGCTCTTAAAAGATGACACTATCTTAAAACTTCAGTTCCGAGAAAAACTTAAAAAGAAGAAAAATATGCCATGGAGATACAATTTTAAAGTAGTAACACTCATATTTAAAAGAAGCTCATTAATCTACTAAACAATGCACTGTCTATTGATTCTTCTCTCTTAACTGGTGGTTCCTGTGGAGTTATGCTCTGTGGCTGTTGTTGAACATATTCATCCCATACATTTTTATTTTCTCTCCACGGCATATACCCTTAGAAAGTAAGCAAACAAAAATAGTATATAAGCTATAAATGTAGGCCACAAACATAATTCTAAATTTTCTAGAAGCTACATTAAAGCAAGTAAAAGAAACAGGTAACATTTATTTTAAAAATATATTTTAACTCAACATACAAAAATACTATAATTTCAACATGTACTCAATATAAAATATTAATAATTTTATGCTTTTATGATTTCTTATACTAAGTCTTCAAAATCTGCTGTGCATTTTACCCCGACAGCACATTCAACTTGGATTAGCCACCTTTCAAACCCTGAATAGCCACGAAGGGCCAGTAGCTGCCATATTGGACAATGCAGTTCTATAGAGTAGTTTTAAGGGTATAATGAGAATTAGAAAATCAGGATGTTTTGGCTGGGTGCGGTGGCTCACACCTGTAATCCCAGCACTTCGGGAGGTCAAAGCGGACAGATCACCTGAGGTGAGGAGTTTGAGACCAGCCTGGCCAATGTGGAAAAACCTTGTCTCTACTAAAAATACAAACATTAGCCTGGCATGGTGGCAGGCGCCTGTAATCCCCGGTACTCAGGAGGCCGAGGCAGGAGAATTGCTTGAACCCGGGAGGCAGAGGTTGCAGTGAGCCAAGACTGCACCACTACACTCCAGCCTGGGTGGCAGAGCAAGGCTCTGTCTCAAAAAAAGAATGTTTCTCACTCCCAATCACCAAACCATTGGTCAAGGGGAAAAGTTAGAACAAGTGGTAATTCTGCACTGTTTAAGTATTGTTTTAGCATAAAAGTCTCCTTAAACTAGAATTTAAATAGCAGCCTACATTGTAAAAAGTGGACACTCTTATTGGGAAGTAGAGGACATATATCAGCATCCCAAAGTATGTAGTTTGAAAAAGGAATATTCAATATTACAGTGAAATTTTGTATTTGGAAAAAAAGACCATATAGATATATATACACACAATTGTCAATATCTAAATAATGACCATCAGCAAAATCTCAGCCAGTATGGGCACCCAGTGTAACCACACAGAGGGAAGCAGTGGGAGAAAATGTGGGAGAACACTATTAGGTGACTTGAAGTTCTGAAGATCAGTGATAAAACTGGAGCCCAGATCATTTAATTTCCTCCTTTCCACCTTCCCTGTCTTACTTGATTGAGGTCTGTCCTCAGATGTCTCCTCCCCTGAAAGGTTTTCTGCAACCACTTATCTAAAATATATCCACCAGCCCCCGACCTCCGTCACTCCATCCCATTACTATGGTTATTTTTCTTCATAGCACTTATCACTCCCTGACATTAGAATATACAACTATTTATTGACGAATCAGCTCTTTCTCCTTCTGGAATGTAAGCTCCATGAATCAGGGAAATTGTTTTATTCTCTGTGGAATTCTAGTACTCATACAAATCAGGGCATGAGTGGGTTTTCAGTAAATTTGTTTATTCAACAATGCTATGCACCTACCACCCACTATCAGGCATTGTGATAGGTACAAAGAGGACACCTTCAGACTTGGGCAAATGGGGGCTCTGTCCTGGTCAGGAGTCCTGAGGGCCAAGGGAATGGAGGCCACATCCTGCCCCACATTTAGAGTATGCTCTACATATACGATCTGGAATCCCCCATCCATACAGCCCAAGACTGCTTCCAGGGCCTGCCTGGCCTCTGCTCCAGGCACATCCAAGGCCCTGCACAGTGAGGAGCAGAGCTGGGGGTGAGGAAAGAAGGGGGCGAGGCTTCCAGAATTCCATGTGAGGAGATGCTAGCCAATATTAGGGGCAGGTCCAGGTAGACAAGGCACAACTCCTGTCCTAAGCATGCTGTCCAATGGAGCGTGCTGCAACTATGGACATGTTTTATGCTGACACTACACAGTACAGTAGGCTCTGGCTGCGTGTGGCTATGGAGCACTTGATACGTGGTATGGCTAGAAAATGGAACTTTAAAATTTTTGTCTCTAATTTTAATTAAAGTTATATTTATCTAGGCACATGTGGCTTATGTACGTGATATCTGACAGCACAAATCTAGTGGGGAAAAAAAATCAATGATTACAGGTTTGTATATGTTTCCAACTGCTTCTCTTACAAATGACCACAAACGTAGTGGCTTGAAACAACACAGATTTATTCTGTTATAGTTCTGGAGTGCAGAAGTCCAGATGATTTTTCAGAGGCAAATACCAAAGCATCAGGAAGGCTAGCGACTTCTGGAGGCTGTTGGGGAGAATCCATTCCTTGCCTCTTCCAGCTTCTAGAGCCTGCTGACATCCCCTGGCCCTGGACTGAAAGCACACCCCAATCTCTGCTTCAATGTCACATCATCACCTTCTCTCCCTCTGACTCTCTTGCATCCCTGTTATAAGGACCCTTGTGATTACACTGGGCCCACTGGGTCACCTAGGAGAATCTCCCTATCTCAAGATTCTTCACCTAATAACGTCTGCAAAGTCCCTTTTGCCATATAAGGTGATGTTCACAGATTCTGGGGATAGGGATGTGAACATCTTTGGGGGAGCCATTATTCAGCCTACCACAGGTTATTGAGTGCTATAGGAGCTAAAAAGACTGAGAAAGCAAGAGAGAGCCAGAGAAGGATTTTCATCAAGAAAGTGGCATAAAAAAGATCACTCTGGTAGCAGAATGACTGCAGCAAGGTCAGACTGGGGGTAGAGGAACCCATGAGGAAGCTCCTTGGAAGGAAAGAGTAGAGAAGAAAAGAGAAGCCGAAAACCAGCTGGCGGTGGAGGGGCAAGGAGAAGGACGGACAAACATGGGAAGCACTATGGAGCTGGAACCCACAGAAGCTCCGGAGGGGAACCCTCAGTCTGAAAGGATGTTGGTGGAAATGACAAGGAAAGTAAGAATTTCAGCATTCATCTCTCGGAATTCCAGTTGGTGATTTAGAATATCTGTGTCATTTTCCTATTGATGTCACCTTAAATGGATTCCACTATTGGACCAAACACGCAGGCATTTTCCACAATGTGGGTGTTGTAAAAAGTTGATCCATCGTCTAGGCACTAATTAGAACTTTCATCAGGAGTTAAGGATGTGGATGCACACATAGTACAAGGAGGCCACAGGGTCAAGTCCATCCTTCACTTCACCTCAATGCTGAGTTAAAAGGGGATAATGCAAAGGACTTGAAAGTTTCAAAGCCAGAAGATAAATCTGATGAATTCATCTGAGTAAAGTCTAGTGATTAAGCCTGTGAGCTTTGACATCTCACACACCTGGGTTCCAACACTCCTTTGCCACTTTACCAGCTTTGTGACCCTTGAGGGAGGCTAGTGAAGAACACTAGTTTCTTCATCTTTAAAGGAGAGATAAGAATGCATATTATATGGTTGTTGTAAGGGTTAAGTAATATACTATTTCATGCCCAATACAGTGTAGATCTTCAATAAACGTAATTATTATTAACTGGAAGACTTATTTAAAAGAATCATAATCAGAAAAACATACTGTTTATTACTAATAAATCTACTAAGGCTCCCATTAACAGTTTAAAAAAAACCCCTCACACAAGTAGGGATTTCAAATCTGGAAAGAAACGTTATCAGCAAATCCTCACAAAATAACTATGGATAATCTAATGACATGGGTTTAAATATTCATGATCAGTGCCAGCTGAATTGGATTTCTTGAGTTTCTATTCTAGCTTTAACTATTGCACTGGACTTCACAACTATTTTAAGGAATATAGTAAAACTTCCTCCAAGTTTAACCAGCTGTCCTGGCACCAATACTGAATTAGGAAAAAAAATTAAGTGAACAGGTGTCCTCAGTTTATGAGCTAGTTATGTTCCTGAAAGAATATATGTTGCAAACTAGATTTTGCAAATCAGAACTTATTTTCTCATAATAATTTCAGATATGTGTTTCTCTGGAAAAATTCAGTAACTTTTTAAAAATTTTAAATCAGACGATTAGGGTAGATGGTATCTGGTTTTCTGGCACGGATGAAGTTAAACAGATTGCCCCAAATTAAATTTTGGGTCTTGCTAGGGTCATGTTTTGACTAAAGTGGCAAAGTAACTCTCATCTTCTGGTAATGAAAAAACACCCCATCCTGTAATTGATGAACTGAAAGATGTTCAATCTAATGTACAATGCATTTATTTGTATTACCTCCCTGGAGCAAGACATTCTACTTACATAAAAGACAGCAATTACCCAACTTCAATAAATGCTTTACATAAATGGGACTTGATGAATAGACACACCATTAATCAAAGGCAGAAAAAGAACACCGAGGGAAAATTAGAGTTTAAATATAAGAAATTAGTAAAAATCAGCCTTCCGTTGACAAGGCTTATAGTAAGGTGTGGTGTATGATTTTTAGGACTTAATTTCAATTCATCATTGGGATTTTGTTTTTTCAAAGTAACACTTGCAGAAAGCAGGTAAACAACTTAAGAGTTTGCCTGAAGTAACACAATTTGGCCAACCAGCCTCCTATTTGCAAACCTAATTACCTAAGTACCAAATTAAATGATAATCTTCACTGTCCACACTCAGTATTTTTAAAATGATATCCTCTGTGCTCTACTTCACCTTATTAAACATTCAGTGAAGTTGCTCATCAAGTCATCGTTCAACAAGGACAATCAATCATAGTTAATGGCCACTATGAAAACCAGCCTGCAACACCTAGTAGACAATTTTGTAATTAGTAGCAAGTGTGGGACACAGCCTTTTGGTAAGGAGGGTCCTAATTCCTCCATCTTCTGGGGAGTGAGAAGGGAGGGACAGGGAGTAAACCGAACCATCCCTGCAAGACAGCTGAGCACACTGCACGGAGAGTGGCACTCTGAGGATGGGGCCAGGAGAACTTTCTGGGGCTCTGCAAGGTTTCTGAGAAGGAATGCAAGGGCCATAAGAATACCACTGGGTGCCAGGGTGTTTTCTTCAAGCTGTCACTCACCTTATTCCCTATCAAGCATGTTCTCAGCCATGTCAGTAACAATTTTGGAAAAACTCAGTCCCCTCATCCTAAGGGTATATACCCATCCCAGTATCTCAGTATCTCTTTGGAGCCAGAAAAGAAGCTAGTTTCAAAGACTTCAGATAGGTACTCAAGACTGCTCTGCATCCTTCCCCAGGGCTGCTGTGCCTCAGGTGGCACTATGCAGTGCACTATGCACTTTGTCCTCGTGGTCCCAGACTCAGCACCCCGCAGAGGCATGCAGAATAGAGATGCAGGTCTGAGCAAAAAACCATTTCTGGAGATTTTTTTATATCACTCATCTCATTTGAGATTAAATCATGCACAAAGGAAGGGAAAAGCAAATCCTCCAAGAACAAAATTGCTGAGAGAAAAAAGGAACACATTAAAAAGCAATAGACAAGTAACCAAGACAAGCAGACGGGTACTGCAGCCCTGCCTCTATCGGCCCGTATGTTTCACCTCACACCCATATGCTCTCTCTCAGTTCCCATATGGTTTTTCTTTTTCAATATGAAATTTGGAGTGGGGTAAGGGCAGGGACGAGCAGCATTTTATAGAAACTTTGTTTCTCTAGAAGTTGCCACAGACACAGAGTATCCTAGAGCATCTTAGACAGGAAAGCTGAGGTCAACAGAGGCATGGCCAGGCTGCGCTATGCCTGACTCTGGCTCCTTCCTTCCATCTTTTCTCCAGGGCCAGATACTTGTGGATGTCCCATCATAGTTATGGGTTCGCTGGCCCAGCCACAGGCATTTGTTCCTGTTCATGGTGGTCTCCTACCAGAAGCCTAAACCTGAGCAGATGACCTACAAATGTGAGTGTGCCAAGGAGGCAGAAGCCCAGGAAGCTCACTGGCGCTGACCTGCTGATGTCCAGGTCTTCACCTGGACCAGTTAGGGCAATGGTGAGGACCCCGGCCTGTGATTCACGATCTTCAATGATAATGTGACCTGGAAAAGTACTGTGCCTTCAAATGTTTACAGCAGCGTTATTCATATAACCAAAAAGTAAAAATGACTCAAATGGTCGTCAACTGATGCATGGATAAATGAAATGTGTGTATCCACACCACGGAATATTATTTGGAAATAAAAAGGAATGAAGTACTGGTACATGCTACAACATGGATGAACCTTCAAAATATTATGCTAAATGAATGAGGACAGACATAAAAGGACAAATATATGACTTCATAAACAGGCAAATCTATAAAGACAAAAAGTAGATTAGTGGTTGCTTAGGGCAGAATGGAGAGTGATGGCTAATGGGTGTGTTGTTTCTTTTGGGGATGGTGAAAATGTTCTAAAATTGATTGTGATGATTGTTGCACAGCTCTGAATATACTAAAAACCATGGAATTATACACTGGAAATAGTAAAGTGTATGTCTCTATCTCAATAAAGCTGCTGCAAAAAAAAAAAAAAAAAAAAGCCTTGCTTACTGATCATCAACAAGCAAACATATCCTATCAATAACAGGAGGCTGCTCAAAACCTGAGACCAGATGATAAGAGCTCCTTACATTTTTGTTGTATTAGGAGATAATATTTAAAAGTTTTTCTTGTTGCTCTTTCAGTATGTCTATTTCATATGCTTCTCTGCTATCCAGCACCCAATCATCTTGAACTATTTTTTTGTTTTCCTTTTAAAGGCGTTTACACAAGTTGTTTTTTTTATAGCCTTGGTGCCTCCTTGCACAATTTATGCATCTGCAACTTTGAAAATATGCATCTGACAGACATTCTACCTAGTGCCTATATAACAGATCAAATTTTTAATGACACTTAGGCTGGGTGCAGGGGTTCATGCCTGTATTCCCAGCAATCTGGAAGGCTGAGGCAGACGGATCGCTTGAGCCCAAAAGTTTCAGACCAGCCTGGGAAGTTTAAGATCGCTTGAGCCCAGAAGTTTCAGACCAGGCTGATCCCAGAAGTTAAAGACCAGCCAGTAATTTTGTACTTTTCACAGAAAAGTACAAAATTAGTCAGGCATGGAGGTGCATGTCTGTAGTCCCAACTACTCGGGATTGCGCCAATGCACTCCAGCCTGGGTGACAGACCTAGACCCTGTCTCAAAAAAAAGAAATCACTCTTATGTCATGCAAACAGGGCTAACAGACATCAGTGACTTATCAAAAGTGTGTTGCACAATCAGTAGCTCAGTCATAACAAACTGAAGCACGTGTTCACTTTCGGACGGAGCCTTTTGAGAACACAGAGTACTTTTAGGGAAGTGATTTATAATCAGAACTGTACATCCTCAAATAATTTTCAGTAAATGGGTCCAGGCAAAATAATAGTCATTAAAAGAAAAGAATTTGCTCAAATTATATTTTAAAAGTTTTTTTCCTATCCCAAACTCAAATGTCCATAAGCAGCTCATTATTTCAATTCAAATATAACTCAGTTTAAGGCCCCTCTTCAAAAGCTTGTTTTTTTTTTTCAAAAATAAAAAAGAGAAACTTATGAACATCATATTAGTCAATACAGTACCTGAAAAACAGATGGCTTATGAAGAAAACCAACATTGAGAATTAACTCCTTTTCTATCAGTTGGCCTTATCTTATGCCACAGTGGAGTCTCTCTTAAAGTTACATTTTCACTTATTCAGTCAAGTGGGTATTTATAATGACCTTTACAAAGAACTGGCATGAGGAGTTAAGTCTAACTAAATTAAGTATTTAAGAAGGACCACAAAAAAATGATAAGTGTGTGAGGTAATGCATGTGTTAATTAGCTTGATTTAGCCACTCCACAATGCATAACTATATCAAAATGTCATGTTGTACACCATAAATATATGCAGTTTTTATTTTTATTTATTTTTTTTCTTGAGGCAGAGTCTCACTCTGTCACCCAGGCTGGAGTGCAGTGACATGATCCCGGCTCACGGCAACCTGTGCCTCCTGGGTTCAAGTGATTCTCCTGCCTCAGCCTCCCAAGTAGCTGGGACCACAGGTGCACATCACCACACCTGGCTAATTCTTTGTATTTTTAGTAGAGATGGGGTTTCACCATGTTGGCCAGGGTGGTCTCAAACTCCTGACCTCAAGTGATCCGCCCACCTCGGGCTCCCAAAGTGCTGGGATTATAGGCGCGAGCCACCGCGCCGGGCCTTTTATTTGTTAATTTTAAAAATTAAAAATAAATTTAAAAGGCTTCAAAAGCAAATAATTTTTTAAAAGCTTAATTTAAAAAAAAGGAAAGGGGAAGGAGGAAGTGTACTGACAATTGGGACACTTTGCATACATCTCCTCACTTATTATTTAAAACAACCTTGGAGGCAGTTCTATACTAATTTTACAGATTTAAAAAACCAAGTTTCCAAAACGATAAGTAACTTGTTAATGGTCCCACAAACTAGGAAGCAGCAAAGCTCTAATTCAAACCTACAATTGTGTAGCTCAACTATTTTTCCATTGCTTCAAATTGCCTCTACTCACACTGCTTTTTCTTTTCTTTTTTTTTTTTTTTGAGATGGAGTCTCGCTCTGTCCCCCAGGCTGGAGTGCAGTGGCACGATCTCGGCTCACTGCAAGCTCCGCCTCCCGGGTTCACGCCATTCTCCTGCCTCAGCCTCCCGAGTAGCTGGGACTACAGGCACCCACCACCACGCCGGACTAATTTTTTGTATTTTTAGTAGAGACGGGGTTTCACCATGTTAGCCAGGATGGTCTCGATCTCCTGACCTCGTGATCCACCCGCCTCAGCCTCCCAAAGTGCTGGGATTACAGGCGTGAGCCATGGCGCCCAGTGCTTTTTTCTTTTTAATGAGAAAGATGGGGGAAAATTCCATTTAAATAAGGCAAAGAATAAAAGAAAATTAGAAATTGCTAGGGCAAGAAAAGTTTTTCATGAAAAGGAAATATGTAAACAAAATGCTAGAATGTTAACTTTTCTGTGATCTTAATCTTTTGACTCTTTAAGACATCTTCCTAATAGAGTTATATAAAACTACAACCTTTTTCTCCTAGGCAGAGGAAAAAAAGTTTCCTATGGAGCTACTTTCAAATCACAGTTTGTTGAGCAAAACAAAACAGAAAAGAATATCTCTGCAAAGTTTTATAGAAGAAACACTGAGACTGATGTATGGATGTATGTGAGTGCCTCTGCTACCAAGACGATGTCTGTAGAATAGCAAAGAGAATTAGTGAAATGTCCTAAATAACAAGAACAACAAAAAAAGATTGACGGTGAAAAATACACAATTTATTTTCATATATTGGGAAGACTGTCAGTGAAAGTTTAGGGCTCAGAAATAAGCCAATGATAAGCTCTCCAAATGTATTTCCACTGTTAACAACAGCACCATTGCTAGAAGTGCTGACATGAACCAGTTCCATGTTATTTTTTTAAATACTGAGATGGCAGCAAGGATGAAAGTCTGGAAGGAATGGTTTCCTTTAACCTTATACTTCATACTCTTCCAGATGATGGAATCATGGGCAGTGGGCAAGGTGGCTCATGTTTGTAATTCCAGTGCTTTGGGAGGCTGAGGCGGGAGGATCATTTGAGACTAGGAGTTTGGGACCAGACTGGGCAATAAAGTGAAATCTTGTCTGTAAAAAAAAAAACTTTAAAAATTAGCCAAGTGTGGTGGTGCATGCCTATAGTCTCAGCTACTCGGGAGGCTAAAGTGGAAGGATCGCTTGAGCCTGGGAGGCAGAGGTTGCAGTAAGCCAAGATCACACTACTACACTCCAGCCTGGGCCACAGAGTGAGATCCTACCACCAAAAAAAAAAAAAAAAAAAATCAATCAAGAAACTTACATGAAGACCTGTGCAAAAGAGAATAAGGCAGAGACTTTAAAAAGTGAAAAGGCTTTTCCTTCTGAGAAGATGAAAAAAATAAAATAGAAACTTAATGAGATGATGTACCATGTCAGATTCTCCACATATGGTTTACCTTCTGTCTCCCAATCCCTGTGTTTTCTCCCCACTTTCCAGTACTGTCTTATCACACTATCAGCAGCCACTTAACAATAAGCCACTGGACAATCTGGTATAATGGAAACGGTACAAGCTCTGGAGTCAGAGATCTAAGTTGGAAGCCATCCTCTGCCACTTACTATTTGTGTGACTTCAGGCAAATTACTTATTCTCTTGATGTCTTTCTCCAGCAAAATGGGAACAATACCTGCTTTCAAAGTTGTTTTAAAGATTAAATGAAATGATACATGCAAAGTGTTTAAAAAGTGTTAGCACCTGGCCCGGTACAGTGACTCATGCCTATAATCCCAGTACTTTGAGGGGCTGAGGCAGGAGGATTGCTTGAGGCCAGGAGTTCGAAAACAGCCTGGGCAACATAGTGAGATCCTGTCTCTATTTATAAATAAAAAATAAAAAAATTAAAAGTGTTAGCACCTGTAACTCCTTTTCCCTTCCTCCCTATTAGTTTAGGTTTATTCAGCACCTCCACTCAGGGCTCTTTGTAAGGGCTTCATCAAGATATTTTTTATCCCCAGTACCATGAAACATAAACTGTGTCTGAGGCCCACTAAGCTGATCATTCTGGGACTAACTTCTATTTGGTGTGTCAAAGGCAGGATGCATCTGATTCTCATCCAGAAATCAGAAGGAAGGCTCATTGGTGTGGATTTTTTCTTTCTTTTCTTCCTTTCTTCCTTCTTTCTTTTTAAGAGACAGGTCTTACTCTATTGCCTGGGCTGTAGTGCAGTGCACAATCATAGCTCACTGCAGCCTCAAACTCCTGGGCACAAGCAAGCCTCCCACCTCAGCCTCTCCAGTAGCTAAGACTGTAGGTGCATACCACCATATCTGGCTAATTAAAAAAAAATTTTTTTGTAGAAATGTGGTCTCACTTCGTTGCCCAGCCTAGTCTCAAACTCCTGGCTTCAAGCAATCCTCCTGCCTTGGCCTCCCCAAATGCTGGATTACAGGCATGAGCCACTGCATCCAGCCCTGGTGGGGGTCTTATTCATCCATTCTATTTCACTATTTTTGGTACACTAGGGCTACAGAAAGCAGAATAGTGAGGTGCAGAGTGGGGAGGGGGGTGAGTGTACATTTAAAGTAAGGAGGACACAGACTCTAAAACTGTCCTGTGTACTAGATGATAAAAATGTTAACTAACTGAGGCCAACAAGGTCATTTTCTGCATGAGCCATAGGTGAGAAGCTGACCCCTTCCTACTCTCTATTACATATTTTAAAAATTGGCTAAATCACACTTAACCTACCCCCACCTCCACACACACACACAAACCCAAAACTGGATCCACTGAATAAAAGTATATTCCTTCTAAGCAATAAAATGTTTTCATAATGTATATAGTTATGTAAGACTATCAGTTACTAAGTCTGAAAAGCAGATCTTCCCCTAACAGCAAGAGCTTTTAAATCAGAAAACCAGGAGCATGCTGAGGAATCTTGAGAAAGTTTGTCTTCATTCCATCAACATAAACATTCTACAAGTCAGTCTAAAAAAAACAAATAAAAATTCAAATAAAATAAAGAGCCATGGTGGAAGAAGCCTTCTCTTTAAGTTTAATCTGTTTCTTGTAAGCAAGCTCTACAACACTTAAAAATATCTGCCAGAATTGGGACAAGAACACTGTACAAATTTTGATAGAGTTGTTTTTCAGATCAGTTTTGCTGCTGTGGCTGCTGGAACACATTCTTCACCTAGCATACAAGGTGAGGGCAGTGGTTAAAATAGTTCTAAATGAAGGCCGGGTGCAGTGGCTTATGCCTATAATTCCAGCACTTTGGGAGGCCAAGGCAGGCAAATCACTTGAGGTCAGGAGTTCGAGACCAGCCTGGCCAACATGGCGAAACCTCGTCTCTACTAAAAATACAAAAATTAGCCGGGCATGGTGGTGGGCGCCTGTAATCCCAGCTACTGGGGAGGCTGAGGCAGGAGAATTGCTTGAACCCGGAAAGCGGAGGTTGCAGTGAGCCAAGATCACACCACTGGACTCCAGCCTGGGTGACAGAGCAAGACTCTGTCTCAAAAAAAAAAAAAAAAAAAAAAAAAAAAAGAGTTCTAAATGGCATGGACCAGCCCATTCACAAATATGAATTAAGTACTTACTATGTGTCAGGTACTCAGATAAGACACCTGAGATAAAGTAAGGATACGAATGAATCCCTTCCCGTTCTCTAGGACCCCACATAATTACCAAAAAAAAAAAAAATCAGACAATTGTCATATAATACATAGGTGCTGACATGGCAACAAGTAGAAAATTGTTAAGAAAACACTAATGTGGGGCAACTAATGCATAATGGGGGTGGGGTGGGGTGGAGTGGGGGACTCAGGACAGGACACACAGGTAGGCTTTTCCAGAAGAGAAGACACTGTGTAAGGAGAAAAGGTCACTGTTTGAAATGATCAATGCCAGGCAAGGCTTCCAACACATCTCAAATGTTTCTGCTCCATTTAGAGAATGTCAACAATTCTACGGAATGCAAAGGTTTATACAGATTTTATCACCTCCTTGAAAACTCAAAGACTTTGGTTAAGATGGCGGGCTCTGGGATGAAAGGAGGGCACGGAGGGACACAGGAAGAGGTAAACCTTTCTCAGATTAACAGGATGTTGCCCCAAAGTGCCACTCTGAAAGAAAGCTACAAGCATGTCATGAGCTGGAGAGAAGGGCCCACCTAGACACCATGTGCAGCACGTTAGAGCCATCATCCTGCCAGAAAACAGAGATGGACTCTAATAAAAGCAAAAAAGAAACAGTTGAGTTACAAAAAGCACAAAAAGCTTGTGGTATTTGCACAATTCCTTAAAGAGGGAGAAGTCAGAAAGAAAACCACACTCCTGGTGCAGGGACTTAGCAAAGAATAAATCTCCCAAGATGAGGATTACTAGTGAGCAAGAACTGTCTAGTTCTCTGAGGTTTTGGACATCTAAAAACCTCTCTCTCTGAAGATGCTTTCTAAAAAGGTATGTGGAGGCTGGGGGCTGTCAGAAAGGAGGAAGGTTATTAGGTTGAGGGCTTTATTCCTCTCCTTCTTTGAGAAGATATGTCTTTCAATAAGTTTATTCACATTCTAGCCAGCTGCAAAACAGGATTGAGAGCCAAGTTCCTATTGCCAAAGTTCACTCTTCAAACCGGCAGCCTGAGGTCTGATAACCAGTTAAAATGCTCAACACAATCACCGCCTTTTGGTGGAAAACAGAGGCTGCATTGTTTAGAGATACATTTTCAAGTTTAACTCTTCTAGAATTATGAAATTCAAAACAAGAGCTATTAGTATTAGGTTCAATCAGTATCAGGGAAGGGAATTTTTGTGTATATTAGTTTGGATTCCTTTCTTATTTTTTCCTCCAAAGAATCATTAATTGGATTCCTCTGGTGATGGTCAGAAAAGTAAGTTGTCAGTAATGATGAGTACTCACAAACTGAAAAGCTGCTTCAAAGTTATAAAATTCCACATATGTGCTCTACCGCATTTCTACAATACGTTGTATCCTTAAAAATAAAAATGTCTCTTTGGGAGGCCGAGGCGGGCGGATCACGAGGTCAGGAGATCAAGGCCATCCTGGCTAAAACGGTGAAACACCGTCTCTACCAAAAATACAAAAAATTAGCTGGACGTGGTGGCAGGCGCCTGTAGTCCCAGCTACTCGGGAGGCTGAGGCAGGAGAATGGCGCAAACCCGGGAGGCAGAGTTTGCAGTGAGCCAACATCACGCCACTGCACTCTAGCCTGGGTGACAGAGCGAGGTTCCGTCTCAAAATAATAATAATAATAATAATAATAATAATAATAATAATAATAATAAATAATAAAAATGTCTGATCCAAGACACCAAGTTTTTCAAAGACCAACAGCAAAAAAAAAAAAAACAAGTTGTGACTAAGCAGCTATCATATAATTAAAGGGTACTTATAAAAGAAGAGTTGAGAAAATATTCTTCATTTGTACCAGAGATATATTCTCTTATTTGGTATATATATATATGGAAAAAATATATATATATATGGAAAAAAAAATATATATGGAAAAAATATATATATGGAAAATACATATATGAATGTATATATATGGAAAATACATATATGAATGTATATATATGGAAAATACATATATGGAAAATACATATATGGAAAATACATATATGGAAAATACATATATGGAAAATACATATATGGAAAATACATATATGAATATATATATGGAAAATACATATATGGAATATATATATATGGAAAATATATATATGGAATATATATATGGAAAATATATATATGGAATATATATATATGGAAAATATATATATGGAATATATATATATGGAAAATATATATATGGAATATATATATATGGAAAATATATATATGGAATATATATATGGAAAACATATATATGGAATATATATATATGGAAAACATATATATGGAATATATATATACATGGAAAATATATATATGGAATATATATAGGCTGTGTGTATCTATTCCTTCTGTAAACACAAGTAAAATGCCTGCTACATACAAGGCACTATACCAGGAAGGAACTATGAATATATAAAAATAGGTACAACATGGCTAGTATCCTTGGGCACTTCCAATCTTGTGGGAAATATGAAATATAAAAAGATGCAGAAAAAATAACATTAAGTGTCCTAAGTTACAAAAACATAGGAGAAGTGACCATATTTCCACTGTATCAAGAAGAAAGGTAGGAATGGGATATCCCAAGACAGAGATGACTGTGTCCCTGACACTGGACTGTGGGAGACACCAGCATCCCTGCTGAGCAGAGTATTCTGTGGGTAATGAGAAGCCAGTGATTATTTTTGTTAAGAGAAAAACAAACAATATGGCCAGGAGTGTTCTTCAGGGAGGTTTTTCTCAAATCATGACAGGAAGGAAGAGAGACTGGGTGGGAAGAATAGTTAAGAAGCCAGTCAACTCATCAAAATTAGAAGTAATTAAGGCCAAAAGTAGGATGGTGATAATGGTAACTAAAGGAGAAAATGGAACCCAGGTCTTTTCCACTGTTGCTTTAACATTATAAAGACCTCCATTTTATTATGCATTTTAGGGCGAAAGAAAGCTGGTGATATTTTCACCTGACATAATTCCTTATATTGCTAAGGTGATGTCTGCGGAATAAAGTAGAACAGTGAGATTATATCAATAGATGAAAAAAAAGTCATTTGACAAAATTCAAATCCATTCAGGAAAAAAAAAACTGTTAGCAAAGCAAGAATAGAAGGAAACTTCCTCATTGTGATGATGGGGATGTATGAAAAACCTATAGCTAATACAATACTTAATGGTAAAAGACGATAAATGTATTGCCTGAGATTAGGATCTCTTCTAATTCACACTGCTTTTTATTCAACACTGAACTAAAGGTTGTGGTGAGTGCAATGAGCTAATTCTAAAACAAATGGGAAAATATTAAGACCTTGAACAGCCAACACTTTTGAGAAAGATTAAAAAGTTGAAGGATTTATATACTACCTGATTTCAAGACTTATTTTAAAGCTACAGAATCAATAAAGTGTGGTCTCAGCATAAAGAGAGGCATACAGATCAATGCAGCAGAAAAGAATCTAGAAAGAGATCCACACATACATAGTCAACTGACTTTTGAAAAAGGTTTAACAGGTAAAGGGAAGTCTTCAATGGATAGTTCTAGAGCAACAGGTATCCACATATTTAAAAAATTAAACCATTTCGTAACACCATAAACCAAAATTAACTCAAAATGGGCCACAGACATAAATGTAAGAGCTAAAACACAAAACTTTTAGAAGAAAACATAAGAGAAAAATTTTAGTAAACTTGGGCTAGGAAAATGCAAATTAAGCCACAATAAGATACCAATACACAGTCACTAGATTGCCTAAAATTTAAGACCCACAATACCAAATGTTGGTGATGAAGTAAGGCAAATGTAACTCTCATAGACATCTGGTGAAATTGTAAAATGGTACCATCACTTCGGAAAACAGTTTGCAGTTTCTTATAAATTTAAATATAGACCTACCATGTGATCTGGCTATTCTACTCCTAAGTACCTAAGAGAAATTAAAGAGGATATCCACATAATGACTTGTACACAAATGTGCATAGCACTTTTATTTGTAGTGGTTAAAAATGAAAACAATTGAAATGTCCATCAACTAAGTCAATGGAAAAGCAATCTGTGATTATCAATCACAATGGAATATGCGTTAACAATAAAAAGAAACTATATATACAGCAATATGAGTGAATTAAAAAAAAAATCTTTGCTAAGTAAAAGAAGCAAGACTGTCCCCCTGAAAAAATAGTACTTACTGTATGATTCCATTTATATAAAATTCTAGAAAATACAAACTAAGCCGGGCATAATGGCTCATGCCTGTAATCCCAGAACTTTGGGAGGCCAAGGCAGGTGGATCACGAGTTCAGGAGTTCGAGACTAGCCTAGCCAGCATGGAGAAACCCCGTCTCTACTAAAAATAGAAAAAATTAGCCGGGCATGGTGGTGCATGCCTGTGGTCCCAGCTACCTGGGAGGCTGAGGCAGAAGAATTGCTTGAACCCAGCAGGCAGAGGATTCAGTGAGCCAAGATCCCACCACTGCACTCCAGCGTGGGCGAGAGAGAGAGTGAGACTCTGTCTCAAAAAAAAAAAAAAAAGAATACAAAAGAAAATACAAACTAACCAGCAAGAGAAAGCAGGTCAGTGGTTGCCTGGGGACAATGGGGCTGGGAGGGACAGAAAGAAGGATTACAAAGGGGCATGATAAAATTTAGGAGTGGTGGTAATAGAAATGTTCACTATCTTAGTGGTTTCGTACATATGTCAAAACTCATCAAATTGTACACTTTAAATATATGAAGTTTATGGTCAATTATGCCTGCATAAAACTGTAAAAAAAAAAAAAGAAAAAAAAAGAAGCCATTCATAAATCCAAATAGATATAATTAAGGCCAAAATTAGGATGGTGACAATGGTAACATAAAGGAGAATACAAAAACCAGATCTTCCCCATTATTTTGTTGGCTTGTTTCTTGTTCATTACAAAGACCTCCATTTCATAATGCAGTGTAGAGAAAAAGAACACTGAGGAGATATTTTCAGTTGAATAAGCTGAATATTGTCAAGGTGATTTCTGCAAGAAACAGCTGAAGATCCTGAAAAGATAAAGGTATGTGTGGGTGAACCAGGTAGGAAGGTATGTGTGGGTGAACCAGGTAGGAAGGTATGTGTGGGTGAACCAGATAGGAAGGTATGTGTGGGTGAACTAGGTAGAAAGGTGTTGCAGAGGATGCTGCAGTCCTGCCCAGATCACTGCTCTGAGACTGAAGTGCTGGGACTGAAGTACTCAGTCTTCTAGCTGCCAAGAGTTTGGCTGTGAATGGCTCATACCTGAGTCCCTCCCCAGTAATGGACCTTGGCTAAAGAGAGCCACTTCACCCAAGATTCTGCTCCCTTGCTGGGGCCATCTCAGTTCCAGAGCTCCCCTGTGGGATTAATTCAAGCCTTGGATAGTAACAACCAAACCCATCAAAATAAGTGTGTATGTACAACAGTGACAGTATCCTACAACATTTAGACATCCCTAAACTAACAATGGGGTTAAGAACACCTTGAAGTTGTGGAATCCACAAGATAAGTTCTCCAAGATGTGGAGCAGTAAGAGTACTGGGGAAAAGATGGCTGTTAGGAATGTACCTAAATAAAGTGGGAGTTGAACAAAGAGAACACATGGACACAGGGAGGGGAACATCACACACCAGGGCCTGTTGAGGGGTAGGGGGCTGGGGGAGGGATAGCGTTAGGAGAAATACCTAACATAGATGACGGGTTGATGGGTGCAGCAAACCATTATGGCATGTGTATACCTATGTAACAAACCTGCGCGTTCTGCACATGTATCCCAAAACTTAAAGTATTTAAAAAAAAAAAACAAACAGAAAGACAAAAGAGGAAGGGAGAAAGACAGAAGCCTTTGGCCCTGAGAAGAACCATTCATTAACATTAATGGCAAGAAAGAGTTAAAAGTAAAAGTGCTGAGTCCAGATTTCTGCTGTCTGTCTTGTTGGGGAGGGGTGGGCAGAAAGAGGATGTCAAAATGATAGGAAGAGCTGTATTTGTTTTGTTTCCTGGGGCTTGGGGGACGCTTCCTGTGGGCTCTGCCAGGAAGTCATCTTTTCTGCCTGAATAATTGGATTTCATGAGAAGTGGATCAGTGGCTCCCATCCATGTCACTGCACAGTCAGAGAGGGTGGGAGGCAGAGCAGCCTACCTAGGAAGCGGTGCTTGCTGCCCGGGTGGGGTGACAGCAGTCCAAGGGTGAAGGAGCTAGCAGGGCACTTTGTGCCTCACTGTGCAGCATGCACCTGGGTTCCTGTCTGGCTACAAAGTGAACCTTCCCTTACCAAAGCTGTTCTAGGGAGCTTTTATGGGAGTGATGGAATACTTTTCCGACTGGGTTATTTCTTCT
The DNA here is from genome assembly GCF_000001405.40 of Homo sapiens. NCBI lineage: Eukaryota > Metazoa > Chordata > Mammalia > Primates > Hominidae > Homo > Homo sapiens. Next base: position 63,944,730 of record NC_000012.12, on the reverse strand, counting down.
CTGCACTATCAAAGGCAACCTTGGGCCTCAGCTGTATGTCCAGTGGCATGTTTGTGAGTGGAGCAAACCTGTTTACATAGCAGAAGCTTTCACATCTACTACTGTTCCGGTGGCCCAACTGTGCAGGAGGGGTAGAAACAAAGGGCAGTCAAAAGCCCTGGCTCTAAAGCTGATAGAGACTGAATGAATGTGTGTCCCCCTCCAAATCTACAGGTTAAATCTTAATGCCCAATGTGATAATATTTGGAGGTTGGGCCTTTGGTAGGTGATTGGGTCATGAGGGCATTAGTGCCCCAGGGAGCTCCCTCACCCCTTCTGCCATGCAAGGTTGAGAAGATGACCAGAAAGTGGGCCCTTAGTAGACATTGAATCTGCCTTGATCTTGGACTTCCCAGCCTCCAGAACGGTGAGATATAAATTTCTGTTGTTTACAAGCCCTTCAATCTATGGTAGTTTGTCATAGCAGCCCAAACTGACTAAGACAAAACCCAAGCTTTGCCACTTACTATTGTGCAACCTTGACACATGACAAATTACTTAATCTTCTGGGCCTCAGTTTCCTCAATTATAAAATGAGGATGACAGCACCTTCCCGAAAAGAGTTATGAGAATCTGAGGCAATGTGCCCCCAATACATGGCTGGCCATTACCAAATGAGACAAATGCTTGCTACCCATTCCTCCTTACCAGCTGAGCTCAACCGCAGGACCTAACATGTACATATACATCCAACTGCCAAAGGGCTACATATCTTTATCTACATTATGTGAACTCTCTGTAGTGGTATTTTTCCTGAATTATAATTTAATATACATTCTTGGATTTTCTGAAGGTAGATTTTAAAAATATATTCATCTCATACCTTTCATAGGCTTTCTCCCTATGGTTTCATATTCCAGCCATGTACTGCTGATGCCTAAAAAAATCACCTAAATGTTGGTTGGCCCAGATCTCTCTGCCCAACTGCAGATCTGTATACCCCATGGCCCACTGCATATCTCCATTCTTGATGCCTTCAGGCAACTCAAATTTAACATATTGCAAACCAATCACCTTTGCCCACCTCCAACCCTCAAAAACTTACTCCTCTTCATTTTCTTATACCCCTAGAAAAAAAACATAGAATAGTTGTTAAAAGCCTGTACCCAAGAGCCAGTCAGCCTTACTTGGGTTCAAATTTCTTACCACTTACAAGCTATGTAACCTTGGAAAAATTATTTAACTTCCCTTTGCCTCAATTTCTTTAAGTGTAAAAAGTAGAATAATTAACAGTACCAGTAAGGTTTATAGGAATTAACATGCTAATGCCTATATACACTTGGATGGGGGCCTGGCATAGCTAAGAGCTCAATGAATGTTATTGTTACTATTAACTAACTCTGTGGGATATAAAAAGATTTCTCTTTGATGGTAGAAACCATAAATTTCCTATTCTCCATTGTATGATCAGCTCCTGGCACAGGGCCTTGCACATATTAGATGCTCATTATATTTTTTAACTGAGAAAAAATGTCTGCAGCTTATTATAAAATTACTATGAAGAGACTGTCAATATTTTGTTCCTTGAATGACCATTAATACAGAAATATGTACTAAGAAAAAAAAATACTGTTTCTCCTGGTACAGTGGCATACTTCCCTCCACCAGATAATAAGTGACGTACAACTCACTGAGCTTCCCTTTCTGAAACTTTCGAGAAACATACGAACTTGGGATTAATTTGTAGTAACCAGACTTAGCTTAGATTTCCTGGTACCTATTACTCTGAAGAGCCCCTTTTCTCATTTTAATGCTTCTATTGAAAATTGGCTAAAGTAATTTTTAGATGTATTCATTTATTTTTAAAAAACCTATCTATATATTTAGTGAGCACTTTTAATGTTAAGCATTGTGCTAAGAACGATAACAAATTGTTATTGTTATTGCTAAACAAAAGAAAGCGTCTGCGCTGGGAGACGGCACTGGGAGAAGAAACGGATGGAAGGCAGGAGTAGGATAGAGGACAGGAAAGAGGCCAGGCTCAGAGAAGAAAGAAAAAAGCAGCAGAAGCAAAGTGGACTCACTAAGTGGCAAGTGTCTGTGATGGTAATAATGGTTCATTATGTTTGCTGAACAACTACAACACTGATCATAAAGTGGAAAAAACTCTTCTGAAGATCTAGACCGGTGGAGGCACCCCACAGAATCCCTGGGCCCAGCTGGGACTGAAAGAGAACAACAGCATATCAGCAGAAATCTGAAGCAATGAACAAGAAAAAAGAATGTCATCCTACCTAACAAAGTGTACCAAATCTTCCAAATAATTTAAGATGGGTTGCAATAAAGGGTAATAAACATATTTTAATTCACAATTATATCATTCACTTAGACATATTGTATATGTCATTAAATGTATATGGCTAATTTAATTACATAGAAAATCTAGCTATAAGTATTACTGTGTATAGTTATTCTCAAGTAGGTACTTTCTGTTTAATTAAAGAACTACAATAAAGTATTTTTCTTAGAGTATAAATGACCATGTTGAGGACTGCTAGAATTACAATGATGCCCATAGAGAAATTTTTCAACAAGACTACCTTTATATCCTCATTCTTTAGTACAAATAGAGGGTGTTGAGAGGGGGAGAGTTTTACAGAATTGATAGAGGGATCATAAAAGCACAGAATGTTAGGTTCTTCCTTCAAAGGAGTTCCCCTCAGATCATTACTAGCACACACTTCCTCTTGTTTTAAACAGAATTCTAATACACTCAGGATCTGATTTCCAAACCTGTGATTTCCAGGTTTGGAACTTCTGATTTCCAAACCACATGATCCCAAGGAGGGATAATGTGATAATACATATCCTAAGAAAAGCAGACAGAAAAACTAAAAATATCACAGCCAGGTGGGGTCATTCTATTCAACAGAATCCAGGCTCGTTGGCATCATTGTACCAGAGAACAAGGTTAAATTATTTCCCACAAAATGTAATATATCAGTCAAGGAAATGCTAGAAATATGTTAGAAAAGGCTTTCCACTCAAAGGATCAAGTCCTTTTTTTTTTTTTTTCTAACTGGCATGTTAGGAGGAGGAGCTGTAAGTCCTTTTTCAAAACACTTGGCTACATTGAGGATTTTTCAAAAAATGTTCACACATTTTACTGTTAAGAGACAGCTTTGGTGAAACCCAAGTGAACTTCTAAAATAAAATCCCAGTTACAATTTTAGAGAAAACCATGAGCTTCACCTCTTATGTATGCAGCATATTGTATTAACTGCAGATCAAACGGATCACAGACATTCTCGAGATACATTACTAGTTGAGCTGATGTCAAATTCAATGGACCTGATTGGTATTTTTTAACCATAAAAAAACCCATCCTATCATCCAGGTCTCCAGTTAGAAGAAGATAATTAGTTCATTTTTTGGCATGATGACAAGACCTAACAGCCATTCCTTTTTTTATTCAAACAGAAGGACAAGGGATTACAGTTAATCTTGGCAGTTGTACCAAACTGCAAAAGCGCAAACAGTAGGAGAGAAAGGTTTTTGGGGTAAAGAAAGCTAATTAATATATATTAAATATATATTAAAGACTAATTTAATATATATTTATCAGGGATTAATGTTACCTTAAATATCTTATTTACCACAATGAATGTATTTTTCATAGACCAGCAACACTAAACGATGCCAAACATCACTTCCATTCAGAAGCCATTAAGTTTCTGACACTCGGTCTCTAGAGAACACCCAGAAGAAACAATCCCAGCTCTCATCTAGAGTAAAACTGCCTTTATCAGGCCGCGGGAAGGTAATGTACAACTGTGGCAATGATAAGCGGCTAGTTGTTTTTAGGCGGCCTCCACTGTCCATATGCCGATGATGCATAATTCATAGGAGATGCCACATGCTGCCTGAGGCAGGTGCCCTTGTGAGCCTTTCTGGTCACACTCTGAGGCATGTTGCCTCCAACGATGATAACCCTGGAATGTAAGAAACAAACGGAGGCACAAACAATTTCCCTAAATACTGTTTTTAAGCTGATAGTTAGAGGTCTGCTGAACACAGAATACAATTAAGAACAATTAGCCATTCAGTGGCACAACCACAGACAGTTCTCCTTGTGGCCTATATTTTAAACAAAGAGCCCAGCTTTCAGGCAGAATCCTCAACTATCCTGCAAATGAAGGAAGTATAAAAACTGCTTCCTATTTCCTGGCTGACCTCAATTCCAGACAGCAAACCCCCACCCCCTTAACACATGGCCCATCCCCTTCCTCCCCTGACACAAACACTCCTTGATCATAGCTATTCTGCTCAGCCTTTTTTTTTTTTTTTTTAAGTAGGGGAAAAGATAAGCAGTTGTATGAGAAAGAGGCATTTGACATAATATCAGGCTGGGCCACAGAAAAAGAAAAAGGCAGGATGGAGTGGGGGATGGAAGGAGAGAAGAAATTCAGTAGTAAGAAATGGGAGACAGAGGCCAGGTGCCATGGGTCACGCCTGTAATACCAGCACTTTGGGAGGGCGAGGCGTGTGGATCACTTGAGCTCAGGAGTTCGAGACCAGCCTGGCCAACATGGTGAAACCCCATCTCTACTAAAAATACAAAAATTAGCCAGGCATGGTGGGAGGTGCCTGTAATCTCAGCTACTTGGGAGGCTGAGGCAGGAGAATCGCTTGAACCCGGGAGGTAGAGGTTGTAGTGAGCCGAGATTGCGCCACTGCATTCCAGCCTGGGCGACAGAGAGAGAGACTCTGTCTCAAAAAAAAAAGAAAAGAAAAGAGAGATAGAAAGATTGTTTCATTTCTACAAGAGAAAATGGTTAGGAGTGAAGACAACACACTCACTGGACTTGAGAGTTGCAGAGACTTTACAGATCTTTAGGTTCAATCTCTCCATTTCACAGAAGGGAATAAAGGTTTGGAGCCATGGAGCCACCTTCCAGGGTCATGTCAGGTGTTTATCCTAATTAGAGATTTTCTAAGTATGAGCACCCTTGGGAGAAGATGCTAGCTTAACACTAGGAATAATTCTTCTTCTCCTGAGAAACAACTTGTTTTTTACTTCTTGGTTGCTGTTCACAACCTGGTGTTTAACAGACCAGGTTTCCCTTTTCACTGGAAGAAAAAACTTCACAGGAAGCCAGGGGCCCACTCATTAACCTGCACTTCAAACACTATGGGGTGCATTTATCTTGGTCTCTTTTCTAGCTTCCCTGGATGCCTTTTTTTCTCCTCCTTTCTTTCGGGTCTTCCATTTAATATTTTTGTTCTTTTGTATTTTATGAATCCTTGCAAGTTCCCTTACGCCTTTCTGAAGCAAAAACAGTATATTGCAAATATCTTATAGGACACTTGCCATTCCAAGGAACTTGAAATATTTTCTTTGTTCATATAGTCTCACTGGAACTTGCTGAGGAGGGAGGTTGAGTATTACTCCTCTACTTTACATCCTCCCGTTAAGAGTCTGAGATCTGTCTTGGGATTGGTGCTCTTATACTTATCTTCTCAGAATATACTTCCTCCTAAGTAAGAATTGGTATACTAATTGACCACTCAGTGCAGAATTTTTTGTTTTCTAGACAAGGTCTTGCTCTGTGGCCCATGGTGGATCTAGTGTGCAGTGGTGTGATCACAGCTCACTGCAGCCTTGATCTCCTGGACTCAAGTGGTCCTCTTGCCTCAGCCTGCTGAGTAGCTGGGACTACAGGCAAAGCCATCACACCTGGCTAATTTTTGTATTTTTTTGTAGAGATGGGATCTCACCATGTTGTCCAGGCTGGTCTTGAACTCCTGGGCTCAAGCCATTTTCCCACCTCAGCCTCTTGAAATGCTGTGATTACAGGTATGAGTCACTACACCCAGCCCAGATTTTCATATCAAAAAAGTATATCACAATTTGCTCAGATTAAATTGAAAAGTATATTAGCAAACCATATGCCTTTAAGGTCAATTTTCATTCAACTTAAAGGAATTTCAGGCTGGAAAAAAAAAAAAACCTAAAAACATTTCTGAAGAGATTTCACAAACAGTAGTAGAAGGTGCTAACATGGTAAAAGTTATTGCTTCACTCTATTTCCATATGTGTGCAAATAGCATGATAATCTATACCACCTTCCAGCTGTTTAACCACACAAGGCATCATTGTTATTTGGACAATATTGCCTAGAAAGGAAGAAAAGAGAGGAACAGGGAAGGCAATCAACTATTCTTTTCTGTTCACTTTCCGTAAGGATGGGATTGGCTTGGGCTAAGGTAAGGGGTCTTTCTCAAACTTCAGGACACAAGCAACCAGCCAGTAAAAACCCACCATGGCTCCGCAGTAACAGGTGACAGGCGAGCACAACCGGACACCCTGGCAAGCCTGGAAGACTCCACCCCGAACCAGGGCGGCATCTGCTCTTCCACCTCTACAAGGGCTCCTAAAGATCCCTGCATAATTCATGGGACTCAAGGAGAGGTGAAATGTGAACTGGCTAAAATGTAAGCATTTACATTTAGAAGCAGAGGAGGCACCAAACCAGGCTCAGAAATATAAAAACAGGCCTTTGGTGTGGCTCTGCAGCTTCCATCTCTACTCTCCTGTGCATCTCCCTTGCCCTGGGCCCTTTCTTCTCTGGCCACATGACCAGCTTTGGATGCTCATCTCAGTAGAAACCGCTGAGGGTTCCTCTCCGGAGACTGTTACACATGGCTTAGTCCACACAGACAGTGTGCCAATGTGTAAAACACTCAACTTACTTTTTGGCTGACCTGGTCATCCAGGGCTGCCTGCTGCTGTGTGGGGAGATGTTGGAGATTCCAGGCCAACCGTGCCACGGGGCGCTTCTGGACACAGTGTGCTGTTTCCACATGCTGTGAAGGGGCACGCAATACCAGGAAAAAACAAAGACTCCTGATGTGGGTAAAAAGAATAAAGAATAAGAAAGCGCTGTGGCTTTGCATTTAGAGTGCACCCGTTTTATTAGTTATTAGTGAGGGACAGCAGTTTAAGGCGAGCTCCTAGGTGTTAATATAACATGCTACATGTCTCATTAAGAAGCTACAAAAGGCCGTTTATTGTTCTCACGCTAAAGGTCCCTGTACACAGAGAAATCAAAACGTCAGGATTTTCCTGTCTTAGTCCTAAGGGAGATCAGTCTTTGAAGAGGATATCAAGCTATCCAAATTCAGCATCCCTGCTTTAATTAATCTACCATATGGGGCCCAGATGTCATAGACAAGTCACATTTGAACTAAGTAATTCATAGAATACTACTACATTTCATTTGCAGTATGGATAATGCTAAATTATCCACATCTAAAGAGAAATGTTCTTGGGGTTTCTGGTTTTCCCTTATTTCAAGTTCTATAGTAGATTATATATAAAATGGTACACATATAGATATACAACTTGTCACCAAGATGAAAGGACTTTTAAAGACCTGCCTCTCTTTTTGTGCTGTATGATTATGGGCCATTGTCAGCAACATCCCAGTTTTTCCTACTAAATGAGAAATTAACTCTAGCCTGGAATTCTTAGGTTTCTACAATCTAATCCCAACTTAATTTTTTGATGCAGTTATCATGACCAACCAATGTGCAACATCCACTGATCCCAACATGAGATTCATGTGCCAAATGCTGAGCACACTTTCACTCTCTGCTGCTTTTCTTTTCTTCCCTCTCCTCTGCTTTGGATCCCTAGCTCCTAGAATGTTACCTGGGCATAGAACAGGCATTCACTCCAGAACTGATGAATTAAGTACCACATCTCTCCACTGATATGGCGCTCTCTCATTTGAAAAAGCAGAGGGAAAACAGAAAGATTTGGAATTGGTAAATTTGGATTTGGGTCCTTAGGCAAGTGGTATCCTTTTAACTTCAGTTTCATCATCAGTATAGGGAATAATTATTTATATATTACCAACTTTGCAGAATTGTTGTTCAGATCAAAGTCAATCTTGGATATGAACAAGTTAGCAAATTGTAGAATTGATATATCAGTGAGAGAACTTTGGGCCCAATTCAAACTGGCTTTACACAATAAGGAAATTAGTTATCTTACAAACCTATAAGTAAAACGGAAGAAACTAGTTCACCTACACACGCTGGCTGAACAATGGTATTGATGACTCTGGTGCCCTCTATGTCTTCACTGTACTGTCTACACTTGTCTACTGGTTCCTCTTGTGCAGCAGCTCCGGGTGTCATATGAGACCAGAAAAAGTCCACAGACAATGAAGGGTCATCTCTCTTAGTGTCTACAAAAATTCTCAGAAGCACCTGAGCACATGTCCCCTTGCCGTCCCATAGGCCAAAACTGGGCTACATATCCAACTGTAAGCCAATTTCTGATAACTGGAAAGGAACTATCCTAACTGAAGAAAATTGGGGCTCTTCCAATATAGAAAGGGAATATGCTTACTGGGGAGGCAACTTGTCTCTGATGCAGTAATAACCTATAAATTTGAAATCTCATCATTATTATGGTATTATCTACTCTTCAAGCTCCAGCTTGAGCCCCAGTTCCTCTACATATACTCACTACCCAAGCCCAATCCTCTGGATTCGTGTATCTCTTATTGTACTTACTTCTCATTTGGTACGTCCTGCACACTGTTGGGCAGTCTCTTTTTAAAAAAATAACTGTTATTATAACACTAGTAATAAATATTCATTTAAGAAAATTCAGAAATATATTAAGAAAATAAAAGTTACTCCTACTCTCATCAGAGGAGATAACCACTATTAAACTTTTGGAATATTATCTTCCACCTTTTTCCCTTTTTTCTGTTTGTGACTGTTGATGTATGAAAGAAGAGTCTCTTTTTTGGGTATAAATGTTCCTGGATTTCCCAGCTAAAATTTAAACTCACTAAGAGCTGGAATTCTCCATGTTTCTTTCCAATTTTTCATAACAGTTACAGGATCTCAAGACACTTGCTGCTTCATATTTCTGTAGATCACACAAAGAAACTTTAATCTGCTCTATTTCTTTGGAGGATTAGGAAGAGGTTAATATAACAACATCATAAAACACAGCCAATAATTTTTCAGATATTCCTTTTTACCAATACTTATAAGAAAGCTTATTAAACTTTCTGGCAATAAAATACCTAGTGATATACTGTTTTCTGTAAGTGTTATTTTTGGACCAGAAAGTATTGTGTCATTTCCTTGATATTTAGCAATTTCATTTATACTTATAATTGAAGCCATTCTACTGCTTAAAGACATGATACCAAACTATGTAGATTAAATATAATTTTAGAACATATGATTCTCAGAAAATTCACTTCATAAAAGATAAATTCACCAAAACTTTTGTGTAAATCAGTGTTTCTATACAACCAAGTCACATTTTCAAAGTGTTGGAGTAAGTGGTTATTTGAAAAAAATAGAGCATAAATATTATAATAAAATAAATGGTCTTCGACTAATTTATCTGCTTTTCGGTCTCAGGTTTTGCCAACAGAGTTTTCTTAAATTAAGGCACAATTCCACGAGGCATAAAGCCCATGATAAATATTCCATTGCTCAGACTCTCCATATGACTTCATGGGCTCATTTTTATTTAAAAAAACATTTACTTTTTGAACATCTACTGTGTGCCAGGCTCTGCGCCAGCCACTGGGAGTTGAGTGGTGTGGAAAAACAAAGACATACCCTCCTCTCCCGATGTTCACAGGCTGGTGGAGAGCCAAGGGCACTGCCAAGAGGGTCTATGGGAAATTAAGACTTTTTGTCCTAATGACAACGCCCAAAGACAAAGCATCTGATTCTCGCCACCATCTTTTTGCCTTTCTATTCTCCATCTCCACTAATTAAACAAGAACAAACATGTCTACATTGAAACACACGAGTTTAGATTAAAATAGTTACTGGGAAAAAAAATGAGGTGAGGTAGGGATATTATAGAACCTCTTCAGGAAATCAATGAAAATATGTAGAACAACCTGAAAGTCCAGAGGAAAGGGCCAGGCAGGGGCTGAGCTGCTGCCTCAAATTTCCTTCCACTCTTGTTAACTTATTGCAGTTAGTATCTTTGAGGTATCCAGGGCATCCATCAGTCTATGGATATTTATGGAGCAGATTGTTGGGGGGGGTGGTGGTTGTGCTCAGATCCTGGAAAAATCAGAGATTATGGACCAATAAAGGGCCAACATAAGCTTGAAATAATAATGTATGAAAATAGACAAAAATATAAGAGTTGTTGCAAAGTGGGTTGTGCATATAGCAAACAATGGAGCTGTAAAGAGTTCTACGAGTTCAGAGGAAAGAAGGACTCTGATGTGCCAGGATATTCCAAGGACTTAGTGGAAGTGGTGGGATAGCTGCAGGGTTTCTTCGGATAGGTGGAATGGAGGCAGAAAGAGAGATGGGGGAAGCCATCTCTCTTGGGAGGCCAACCCAATGGGACTGACTCAAAAGCAGCTGGCAGTACGGGAGTAGAGCTCACTCAGGAGGTGAGATCTGGGTTTACTGACTTGAGAGGCAAAGGTGGAAAGATAGACAGCTGAAGCAACACAATGGATGGGCTCTCTGAGAGTTGACATGCCTTGTCAAGTGCAGAGCTTCCATGTGGGCAAGAATTAACTGACATAAGTAGGAAGAGTCTCCTTGTTTTTTTCAGGTTAAGGTTTTCACTCTTAGGAAAGTTATATCTCAGGGCAAAAGGACGATATTCCTAAGGGCTTTGGACACAACTTCTTTACTTGAAGATTTACTTTGGCATAGAGGTTATTTTAAAGTGACAAGGATGGCTTTTTTCCTTGGGTGCCTTCCCACATGTGCCAGAATTACTTATATTTATAGTAAGTGGCTTGTCCTTTTTATTAACATTGTTGTGACATCGCTGATTTCAATTTTACCTTATGCAACACTAAAAACTTCCATGAATTACCATTGGTTCACCTAAAATTTGCAAGATTGCTTTATTAAACCTGGGACTAGTTATTAAAGTTTTATGAGCTCCACGGGTTTCCTCACATTAGATTCAAGCTCTGACTACTCAAGCTTTTTGTTGTAAATGGTTCACTTTTAGTGTACTTGTGCATCCCTTTCAGAAAGAAATGGAAAAGAAAGATAGTTCTTTTAACACTGTCCTTTAAAATAGTCCCAAAATGTAGCAAGATACTTACCATCTTTTCTATATTTTCTAAATAGCATTTATTAGATATGATGTTTTCAATATTCAGTGCTGGTTAACCTGCTTTTTGTGTTTGTGTGTAGGTTTTTTGTTTGTTTGTTCTTGGTATGCTTCTAAATCTCAGCTAGGGATCTGGGTTCATAGACATTAATAGTCCCCATGCCCACAATTTACTGAATGAAAAGTGGTTTCCTTTTCTCCATCCTTATACTTCCCTACCACATATAACCTAGGTATGCATCTGTGTATTATCCCTCTACTCATGCATTCTTTGGGTGCCAAAGAATGAACCCCTCTTCCAAAATATGCTCTCCCAAGAATGGCAAAACCACCACTCTGCCTGCAAGGACATATGGTTCTTTTTATTATTATTATTATTATACTTAAAGTTTTAGGATACATGTGCATAACGTGCAGGTTTGTTGAGAGAGTCTCGCTCTGTCACCAGGCTGGATTATGGTGGCATGATCTCAGCTTGCTGCAACCTCCACCTCCCGGGTTCAAGTGATTCTCCTGCTTCAGCCTCCTGAGTAGCTGGGACTACAGGCGCACACCACCAAGTCCAGCTAATTTTTGTATTTTTAGTAGAGATGGGGTTTCACCATGTTGGCCAGGATGGTCACAATCTCTTGATCTCATGATCTGCCCACCTTGGCCTCCCAAAGTGCTGGGATTAAAGGCGTGAGCCACTGCTCCTGGCCTACGTATGGTTCTTTCTAGCAACAACACAGGCATATATTTGGTTGCTGAGTGATTTTCCACTTCAACCAGTCTCATATCAGAATGCAGGAAAAAATGCAAAAGGAAGTGAGCAGGGGCAAAGAACGCAGTCTCCTTTCTCTTGTATACTCAACAGAGCACAGTGCAAGTGCAATCTTAAATGCCAATGGTAAAATCAATTTCCTTGGGTCTTCTGCAGACTAGTAAACTCTTAAAATTTATCAGTGTGTTAGGTCCCTATATTTCAAGGACTTTGAAACACAATCCCAATCTTTAAGATAACTAATTTTAAAACTTTATTTACTTGTTATTATTTATTAAAAGAATTCATTCATTCATGAAAAGAATTAGTAATAAAGATTTCTCTATATGACGGTCATGCATACCAGCAACAGATGGAAATTTAATTTCAAATTTGTATAAGATCTGTTGGGAAATACCCATATCTGCATATTGTATTTCTTTGTATGGCCTTTTTTGCAAATCTAAAGTAAGTTTAGACGATCTAAAGACATCTCAAAATTCTGTATGGTTAGATTAGCTCATGTGTTTGATTTGACACATTCTACGGTTTTCAAACTCAGAATCTATTTTTTTGTTGTTTTTTTGAGACAGAGTCTAGCTCTGTTGTCCAGGCTAGAGTGCAGTGGTGCAATCTCGGCTCACTGAAACCTCTGCCTCCCGGGTTCACGGCATTCTCCTGCCTCACCCTCCCAAGTAGCTGGGATTACAGGCATGTGCCACCACGCCCAGCTAATTTTTTTTTTGTATTTTTAGTAGAGACAGGGTTTCACTGTGTTGGCCAGGCTGGAGAAATTTTCTTAACATTTGCTAGTCCCTGTCTCAGTGCTTTCAGTTAAATCACATGGACAGGTAGATAATCTATCCAAACTCTTTGGACTGACAACATGCAAGGCATTCAACAATCTGTCCTTCTCTTATTTTTAGGCCTAACCCTACATCGTTCTATGTGCACTCAAAATTCCAGTCAAACCAGACCTGATCAGCAGGCTACTTTCCAGCCCTCATTCCTTTGTCTATTCTCTTCCTCCCTTCTAGAAAATAATCCCCATGTGCATGTTAAAACTCTTATCCACCTTGTTCTAAGGCACAACTCAAATTTCTTCTACTGTGAAAAATATTCCTTGACTTTGAGACTTCCCCAATAAAGTATGATCTCTATTTTTCTGAACACACAGCCTTTTGGCCTTATTCATCTTGACAAGACCCATAGCACGTAGCATCATGTCTTGTCTAAGGTAGGCATAATGATATCTGCTGAATGAATAAATGAATAATTCTGGTGATTCAAGCAGAAAATCTCTCAAATGATATGTCTTGTTCCTTGCATTAACACAGTGCTTCATCCATATGTAGTAGCGTGTACTCAATAAATATTTGTTAGAGAAAGGAAAGAGAAAAAAAATTCAACTTACTGCAGAATGGCAATGTATTCAAACAGAAGTGTCATCAGTTAATTACAAGATAAAATTTTTTCCAGTGAAATGATTTCAATTGATTAATGGTACTTTGGCTATTACCTTCTTTTGCTCAAAATAAAGGCAATTTTAATCCATTTAGAGATATAGAAACTTAGGCCCAGAGAAAAGAAGAACAGCAGGGAAAGATGACTGGTTTCATTTCAAGTGTATTACTCCACTGTACTGTATCGCTTCTTGCTCATTAATGATGAATTTTTGAGTCAATCCAGACACAGTACGAATGTGAATCATCTGGCCAAAACTACAAAAATAAAACTACCAACATTACTTCATTATTGATGAAGAAACACATTTTAACAATTATAAAAGATTCCCTTTACGTGACTGGATTTTTTCTCACTTAAAAACAAAAGGAGGGGGAGGGTGGACAAACACTGGCTACACAAATGCACAGAGATTAAGCTATTAGAATTATAAACCAGTCTATTAGCAACTCATTATCAGTAAGAGGCATGCAAGGATAAACAAAATTAGTTACATAAAAAGAACCAAATTGAACATTTATGGGAAACTCATCTGGCCATATTCATCTTTTAATGTAAAAATAGCTTTGCAATAATAACCAAAAGTGTCTATTAGTCTATTGCCATATGCGGCTTTTTCATTCTTGACGCTTTTTGAATTTTTTTTTTCCAATCCCAATGAGTAAGATCATCTTTTCCATTAATGCAAGCCCAAACAATTCACTCACTCGCTCCCCAAAAAGTGAGGTACATTTGGTTTCTTTCTTCTGAGAAAAGAAATTGATGTAACCTATTTCTATATAATCATCAAAGATACTTATGCTTCCAGGACTGCCTGCATTCATAATTAAAAAGAGAGAAAAGTGACACCTAACATTTATAGAGCTTTGAATAGAAGGGCCAAGAGTCTCATAATTTGCATTTTGGTGTAGCGTTGCCATCTTTTAAAAGTTCCTATGTTTTATCATCTCAATTTGAGTAATGCTTGCTTTCCCCCTCAAGCACTTCAAATACTTAATATTGCTTTCTGATAAAAGAAAAAAAATGATTTGAATAAAAAGAGGGCTCCCCTTTTTTTTTTTTTTTTTTTTTTTTAGTAGAGACGATGTTTCACCATGTTGGCCAGACTGGTCTCAAACTCCTGACCTCAAGTGATCTGCCCACCACAGCCTCCCAAACTGCTGGGATTATAGGCATGAGCCACCATGCCCAGCCATGGGAGCTCCCTTTTGAGTGTTACGAATTTCTGTTATTTCTCTGTGAAAACAAAATGAAGCAAACATCAGTAATTCTTAGGAAAATGGATCTTTTGAACTAATTTACATTCCCACCAACAGTGTAAAGGCGTTCCTATTTCTCCACAACCTCACCAGCATCTATTGTTTCCTGACTTTTTAATAATTGCCATTCTGACTGCCGTGAGATGGTATCTCATAGTGGTTTTGTTTTGCATTTCTCTGATGATCAGTGATGTTGAGCTTTTTTTCATCTGTTTGTTGCCTGCATAAATGTCTTCTTTTGAGAAGTGTCTGTTCATACCCTTTGCTCACAAACCTGCACATTCTGCACATATATCCCATTTTTATAGAAAAAGAAAAAAATGTTTTGAACTTTGTTTTGAATTATAGTTTAGCTAACTACACAATTCTGAAAAGAACAGTTTACTCTAAAACAAAAAGAAAATGGATCTTTTTAGTTTTCTCTGGTAAGGTTTTTAATACCACTACAAATGCAGCAAATACAGTTCGCCTGTTACACAGTGTCAGAATTATTGGAAACTGACTATATAATTATGATACATACCATACAGTATTACTCATGAAAACATAGTTAAAAAAAAAAAAAAAACTCGTGGGGGCTTTAAAAACACCACAATCCCCAGAAACCACCCAAAGCCAACTATATCAGAAACCCCAGGAATGGAACCCAGGTATCGTTGTTTTATAAAATCTCCCCAGGTGATTCTCAGATGCAGCTAGAAAGAGGAGCACTGAGGTGCTGTCATGAAGATCAGAGTTTTTACTTTTACATTTTATTTAACAAGAACTTAAAGAGCACTAACAATCTAATTTAATTCTTGTAATGACCTTATAAGGTAGATACTAACTTCATTTATATTTGACAGATGAGAAAACTGAAACAGATACTTAGGCAATTTGCCAAAAGTCCTGGTGACAATGAATGGTAGAACCAGGATTTGCATTTGGCTCCAAATTCCAGGCTCCTGACTACCTCACTAGCCTGATTCTCCCAGAGGTAATTTACCTACAGTAAAGACCAAACACACAGACCTTAAGTGTTTGGTTCAGTGAGATTTGACAATTGTGTACACACATGTAACCAGGGGTCCCCAACCCCCAGGCCATGGATGGGTATTGGTCCGTGGCCTGTTAGGAACCAGGCCGCAGAGCAGAAGGTGAGCAGCAGATGAGCCAGGGAAGCTTCATCTGTATTTACGGCCATTTCCCATTGCTTATGTTACTGCCTGAGCTCTGCCTCCTGTCATATCAATGGCACCATTAGATTCTCATAGGAGCACAGACCCTATTGTGAACTGCACATGCAAGGGATCTAAGTTGTGGGTTTCTTATGAGAATCTAATGCCTGATGATCTGTCCTCATCTCCTGTCACCCCCAGACAGAACTGTCCAGTTCCAGGAAAACAAGCTCGGGGCTCCCACTGATTCCACATTATGGTGAGTTGTATAATTATTTGACTATAATGCACTTGAATCATCCTGAAACCATCCCCACCACCGCCCCCACCCCCAGTCCATGGAAAAATCATCTTCAATGAAACCAGTCTCTGGTGCCAAAAAGGTTGGGGACCACTGCATGTAACCACTACCCAAGACAGACTGAAAACACTTTCATGGTTTTGAGCTTATCTATGTTAGGGCTTGTATGAATAGTGTTTTCTGTCTGTCTCAACTGAGAAACAGGCCATGGTGGTATAGATATACCAGAATTTGCATATCCAGTCACCTGTTGAAGAATGTTTGAGTTGTTTCCAGTTTTGGCTATTGTGAATAAGGCTGCTATAAACATTTTTCTCCAAGTCTTTTCGAGGATATATGTTTTCATTTCTCTTGGTTAAATGCATAGGAGTGGAATTTCTGGATCATAGGGTAGGTATATATTTAACTTCATAAGAAAATGCCAAACAATTTTCCAAAATAGTTGTACCATTTTATACTCCCATCAGCAAAGCATACCCAGAGTGACTTTTAGGAGTAGCATGCTGCAATTTTCAAGTACATTCATCTAGAAGGAGGTGAAGTATAGAATTTGATAACTATTTGGCTGAAAAAGGAAAAGACAACCTCAACACCATCATCAACACTAACAAAACAGCTATTTTTCCTACAGCAGCATATCCTGAGTGGGTTCCTGAAAATACTGGTTCTGTTAGACATCAAGGCAGGCAAAACAAAGGGGCAAAAAGCACTGTATGTACAGTATACCACTCACTTGAAGATTCACAATGCATTCTAGCATATTGAATGCACGTTGGCTCTGAGAAGTCCTATTGTAAGAATCAATAAGGGAATTAGTAAACTGACAAATCACATTTAACCTAGCTGTTCTCAAGGGTTCCCAGTTCCCTCAAATAACAAATTATTTGAGGGAACTGGGAACATTATGGTATATTACCAACCATAAAGCGTTTATAGCTCTGGGGGACACAGGTGAGAGCAACTACCTCTGAAGAGATTGGACATGAGCCCATAAAGGAAACAGTATTTTATATGAGTCTTGCCAGACAGTAAGGTTTTAAACTGCAGAAATGGATGGAGAAAGCTGTAGAAAGGTTTCATTCTAGGCTTAGGTTACAGTATGAACTAAAGAACAAAAGAGAAGTGTGAAAGGCATAATGAAAATGTTGACCTAACGGACTGGGCCACTGTGACTGGGTTAAGAGAAAGTGGGGTCAGAAACAGGGAATATGCAGCTTCTGTGTAAACATGAGGATGCCACCTCCATCTGCTGACTGGCTGGCCTGATGGTCGGCCACAGGATAAGCGTAGCAATCAGCCAATAGATACTTACCAAGTACCTAATCCGGGCCAGCTAGGGACTGGGCCAGCCAGGGACTGCAGCAGGCACCAGGGGTACAGTCATAGTCTGCACTTGTAAAGTTTGAGGTGTAGTAGGGGTAGGCAGGTGCTTACAAAGCGCAAGTTCTAGAACTGTAGAATAGGAATGGATGACCAACCAAAGTCTTCCAAGCCATGGGAGTAGAATCTATTCAAGTCAAGAATTTCAGAAGAAAATACTAACAGACGTCAAGATGAAATACGTATGTATATAGTAGTTGACTCCCTCCATTACTATAAAATATATTGGTGGGGGGTCGGGGGATTGGGTATGTTGAGAGAAGAATTTGAGGTATTGGAAAAATATCCAGGTAGAGATGCTCAGAAATAGAATGAAGTTCTAAGTCAGAGGTTTGGGTTTATTGACACATAATATGACAAATGGAATAATTTCAATATTATCGACAACTCATATTTAAATCATAAGAAAGCCATAATAATATTAGACTCTGTAAACAAACAAAAAAAGACATAATACGAAGGTAGGGAATGGGAAGTGTTGATCAAAGAGTACAAAGTTTCACATTGGGAAAAGGAATAGGTTTTGAGACCTACTGTACATCAGGGTGGCTATAGTCAATAATAATGTATTGTATATTTCAAAATAACTAAGAATGAATTTCCAGTGTCTCACCATAAAAAATGATAGGTAATCGAGGTGATATGTTAATTAACTTTATTTAATCATTCCACATTGTATACATATATCAAAACATCACATTGTACCCCATGAATGTATACAATTATGATTTGTCAAACAAAAATAATATTAATAATAAAAATCCTAAAAAACAACAAACAAAAAGAAGACTTGAGCCCTACCCAGAAGGCAGGCAGAGCACAGACTTAGGAGGTGAACAAGTTGGTCTAAATTCAGCTGGACCACTTGCAACTTGGGTGACCATGGCCAAAGAACTTCACCTCTCTGAGCCTTCACTTTCCTCTCCTATGAAACTGGAATGATAACTATATTTATATCCCCCATGAGAGTATTATAAAGATTGTCTGAATAGAATAGCACAGCACCCAACACACAGCATAGGCTCAGCAACTCTTAACTATTATTTATAACAAAAAATCCACATTTGCTTGCTGTTAAGATATTAAATTAGAAGGGTAATTTTGGAACATCCAAAAAGTCTATGTAATTGATGGTGTGAGGAAGAAAGAATCAGAGTGCTTAAACCAGTGGTATAATATCAAACTACTATAAATATATATTATCCAATCATTTTTAGAACATGAAATTAAATTGCGGATTTGAGAGAGAAGGATAAAAGGAAATCCTCTTGAAACTGGGCAAGTTGTGGTCCTCCTCAGTCCAAAGTGATTTTTCACCTGCAATAAGGGACCATCTTATTTATGCATGAAGGTTTTCATTCTAGGCTTAGGTTACAGTGTGAATTAAAGAACAAAATGGGAAGTGTGAAAGGCATAATACAAATTCTGCCCTAACAGACTGGGCCACTGTGGCTGGGTTAGGGGAAAGTGGGGTCAGACATAGGAAACCTACAGCTTCCCGGTATAAACATAAGGATGCCATCTCTATCTGTGGACGGGCTGGCCTGATCAGTACAAGGACAGGCCACAGTATAAGGGCTACAGTATAAGCGCAGCAATCAATAATTTCATAGAAAAATTATTCTTACTCCTTTTCTTTTTGTCCTCCTTTGCTTTATTCCTTTTTCTACTTTAGATATTAACACGTGGTATCTGTGACTGTGAAAATTAAGTAACATATGCAAATTCTCAATAAATGTTAACACTTCCCTCAATTTTTCTTCGCTGTAATACTTCCCCCAAAATTTTAATTCTAAAACACTGAATGTGCATGATAATTTTGACTTCTGCACTGCAGGTACATCCTACTAATCGGCATAATTTTAATAATGAAGCTTTTTAATATACACAACTATTAACAATTTTCCTCAAATTTAACTTAAACCCCTCATCAAAATTAAGACATTATACATCTCATTTATTTTTCCCAATGATCAGAAAGTGTAAAAGCTTAGCATTTGTCTGCCCTGATGAGAGACTAAGTCATTGATGCTGAAAGTAAATAGTTTATAATAATGTCAGCAGTAGATTCACCTTGAATATGAATGCTGGTATGATTTGCACCTGAAGCAGTACTACTTTAAATTCAGGCAAGAGAAGGCAGGCCACTTCTTCATAAGGAGGCTCTGCTACTAAATCAGGATCCAGGAAACAAATCATACTCACTTTAAATCATCTGTTCTTTAAAGCATTATGGACACATTGGATAACATCAAATGCAGTGACAGTCACCCCTCCTGTACCATGCCAAAATGACACCACTTGAGAGCCATAAATAGCCTCCAACCAGATGGCATGGCTTGGCTTAAGTTGCGATCTCATTTTTTAAGACAAAAATTTTAAATTAATTCATTTCTTAATTCAATCATTCATTTGGCAAATTCACATTGCCCCAGTACTATGTGCCAGGCACTGCTGAGACAGTACCTAAAGGTGAGAACTCTCTTGGAGACACTCACACATTTTATTTCACATCCTCACAGGCTGGTTCTCAAGGAGCAAGCCACAAAGTAACCAAGTAACCCCTGAGAGAATGATCCCTCTGGGAGTTCCCCACACTGCTCCCTCCTTCAATCCTCAATAAAAAAAGGTGGCATTGCCAAAAGCAAAAAGTCACGGAAACCCCTCATCATGTAAGTGATAAAGTTCACTAGGGTATAAATTTGCTCATTCCTGTATTCTTTTTATTGTTGGAATGATTACAAATATTCTTTTTGAAAACCATATAGTAAACTAGCTATTGGTGTTTTAAAAAATCCTTATGCTCCTCCAAAAAACTGTTCATGTAATGCCTAAACTAGATGATCTCTAAAATATGGATTCAACAAAGGAAGAATAATCACAAAAAGTTAATGAAGAATCTATTTCCGATTTACTTTATTCTGGGTCAATGGAGCACTATTAGGTTGGGATGAGAGGTACTTTATAGAAACCCAACTCATCTACAACTCAGACCAAAAGAAGGATGGCACCCACTTTCTCTGAGGATTAATCAAAGGGTCTAATAACTTGAAGAACCTCTGAAGTAAAATTAATGTGGCTACAAAGATTTGAAGACAAAGGTTTTATAGAGTTCATACTCTTTTTTTTCTTTTTTTCTTTTTTCTTTTAAATGGGGTCTTTCTCTGTCACCCAGCCTGGAATGCAGTGGTGCAATCTCGGCTCACTACGACCTCCACCTCCCTGCAACCTCCACCTCCCAGGTTCAAGCGATTCTCCTGCCTTGGCCTCTCAAGTAGCTGGGATTACAGGTACCCGCCACCACACCTGGCTAGTTTTTGTATTTTTAGTAGAGACAGGGTTTGCCATGTTGGCCAGGCTGGTCTCGAACTCCTGACCTCAGGTGATCCGCCTGCCTCGGCCTCCCAAAGTGCGGGATTACAGGCGTGAGCCACCATGCCCAGCTGAGCTCATACCTTTTTGTTCACATATCAAGTTATATAAATGTCTTATGTGGTCAATGTTCAAGTTACCAATTAATTAATTTAGTCCCTTAAGAATCAATGGTATAATCTGTAGCCTTTACTCAAGTGACTTCCTCCTGAAATTAACAAGTTTTTTGATAACCATCATGTATACTACTTGTATAAAATGAAGAAACTTAAAGGAGATTGTTACCAAAGGGTCTTGCTTAGTCTAATAGGAGAGAAAATTATCAAGGAATCTTAAAATGGGCATTCGGAAGCAGATAATTTTGATTAGAGAGACAGAATAAGTAATCTATTAAATATCATCTTAATTATGTACTGATGTAGCTATAATCTCAAACTTTTCACATAAAATCATTCTTTGATACCACTGGTTAAAAAAATTACAACAGATTGATTTCCTTATCCTAATCACCCCTTAAATTAAAAAGTGCCAAAGTAACATATTAATGTATAAACAAAATATTTAGAAGCCTTTATAAAAGATGTTGTAAGTACGGCCGTTATAAAATGATGTTGTTGTAAATATAATATATAGTAGCATGAATAAAATCTATCTATAAGGCTGGGAGCAAGAGGGAGAGAAACTATGTCATGAAAAAAGTGACAGAGTTTGATCCAACTTTAGGGCAATAATGCATAAAAGTACATAAGAAAAGGCTGGTAGGGTATTACAAAATATTAGTGGCATTTACCTCTGAGTGATAGGATTAGCATTTTAGTTTATGGATTGGTCACCATATGATTTCTGAGTTAAGTAGGTGAGTAGGAAAGGTGACAAAATTCTTTTCCTTTGTACCAACAGTGAGTTCCCAGGAAGGATAGCTGCAAACGCAATGCAGATATCCTAGAGAAGATGCTACCAAACGTTTTCATATTATCTAGTTAGCCTGTGGGTTATGGAGCAAGTAGCAAGTCTTGGGGTGGATTTGTCCTTTCAGTAATTAAACAGATCTACTCTTGTGGTTGACCACAAGTTGGATCTTTCATTCATTAAGCATTGACTGAGTCCTTCTGCACCAGACTCTGTACAAATGAATATACGAAAAAGAAATGGCAATGTTTCTTCCCTCAAAGAGCTTACAGTTCATTGGGAGAGACAAACAGATGCCTCCCATGCAACAATGCCCAAGATATTGCAGGGTATTGCAGGAACACAGACAAGGAGCACTTGCTCTAACATGAGCAACTACAAGCAATTTGGTATGGCTGGAATGTGAAGGATGGTGCAAGAAGTGGCAAGCACTGATGCTGGAAAAGTAGGTTGAAGTAGGATCATGGAGGCCTAGTCTACCATGGTAAAGAACTAAGACTTTGTCTGTCTGAATACTTGAAAAGTTTTACTTGTGAGGTAACATGCTAAGTAAAGAGAAACTTCATTGACTCCAGGGCATCCCTAATGTAAAAACAGTCTGCAAATCTGTAAATGCTACTGAAATGCCTTCTGTTTACAATAATCCTGTTTTACATATGGACATCAGTTGAATTAGAGTTCCTGCCCCAAAATTCCTTAAGCTACATTAGAAATCAAATTCCATAGATTAGAAATCATGTATCTTGGGCCAGGTGCAGTAGCTCATGCCTGTAATCCCAGCAGTTTGGGAGGCTGAGGTGGGTGGATCACTTGAGGTCAGGATTACAAGACCAGCCTGGCCAATATGGCAAGACCCCGTCTCTAATAAAAATACAAAAATAAGCCCGGTGTGGTGGTGGGCGCCTGTAACCTCAGCTACTTGGGAGGCTGATGCAAGAGAATCACTGGAAGCCGGCAGGGAGAAGCTGTAGTGAGCCAAGATCACACCACTGCACTCCAGCCTGAGCGACAGAGGTGAGACTCAGTCTCAAAAAAAAAAAAAAGAAAGAAATCACCTATCTTGATTTCCTTCACAATAAATAGTGGATGCAGAGTTGTGATGGCTAAGGAAATATAAAATGGAACTAAGACTCTTTCCAGCAAGTTTTTTTTGAAGAGTTTATCTATCATAACCAAAAGTATTTCTCTTAGAAAGGCCTATAAAATCAATTCAGATATTTGAGCAATCCCTTGTTCCCCAACTGATTTATTCAACAAATCTTCATTAAATGTTCTCTACGTACCAGGCATGATCACAGATCACTGCAGCCTCAGACTCCTGGGCTTAAGCAATCCTTGAAATTATATTCTTTAAGAACATATAACAGATAATCCTTAGTTGTGGCAGGCGTGGGAGCATATGTACGTGTACACGTTAGGGGAGCAGGGGTTGTGAGTGGCTTTTCCAAGGAAGTATCATTTGAGCTAAAATCTAAAGGATGATGTTACTTAGAGTTGTATTCCAGGTTCAGCCTGTGCAAACGCCCAGGAAGGGAAATGAATTTGTGCCTTCAAGAAACAAAGAGATGCCCAGAGAGAAGAAAATAGCTAGAGATGGCACTAGAGATATGGGCAGGAACCTGGTCATTCAGGTCATATCGTGGATTACTCATAAAGGCAATAAAGAAGTCTTGAAGGGTTTTGAACTTGGAGGTTCAAAGTGAGCCAGCTGCAGAGTCGACAATGGATTATTGAAAGATTAGAACAAATGCAGTTAGGAGATTACGACAGCACTCAAGGTGCAAACTGGTGGTAACGTAGCTGGCATTAGAGTGATCACGATGGAGATGGAAATAAATGAACACATTCTAGAGATATTTTAGAAGTAAACTGTCAGGTGGTGGTAATGGAGTGGTACTGGTGACAAGCTAGGGGGAGATATTAAAGATGACTACCAGATTTCTGGCTTGTCGAACCAGATGGATGGGCCACCACTCACTGAGATAAGGAAGAAGTTCAAGGGTGGGACAAAAAAGCATTTGTTCAGTTTTGTACATGTTTAATTGAAGGTACTTTTGAAACATCAACAGATGACATGTCAAGTAGGTAGCTACAAATACAATGAATATATATTCTCCATATTAAAAAAACTTTTCATTTTCTCCCCAACCCTACTCTTCTTTTCAAGGTCTTTCCCATTTCGTCAATGGATCTACATTCTCTGTTATTCACTCCCAAACCAGGATATTATCCTTAATTCCTCCCTTTTTCACACCTCCATCCAAACCATTTACAGGTCTCACTCACCAGCCTACCTTCAAACTATGTCCTGAATCTAGCTTCTCACCACCTTCTTCACCAACACTGACAGAAGCCAGAACTATCTCTTGCCTTAACTTCTGCATATCCAACTCATCTCTAGGGTCTCATTCTCATCATCCCCTATAATCCAATCACATAGAAGCCAACATATTTTAAAAACATTAATCAAATCACATTCCTCCCTTCTAATCGCCTTGTCATGTCTTCTCATACTCTCATATCAAGTCTAAAGTACAGTATTTACCATGGCATCCCAGGTTCTAGGAGAACTAGCCTCTCCACTCCTTCCCAACCTTGTATCTCCAGCTCACTTCTCTTTATTCACAAGGACTCTCTTGCTACTCCATGGACATCTCAGGATAATTTCAGCCTGTGTTTTGTTGCCTTGGAACATTCCACCCATCAGTCATTCATGGTTTGGTCGTTCACTTCATTCAGGTTTCTGCTCAAGTCACCTCTTCAGAGGCTATATCTCAATAGTTATCAGGAAATGTCAATGAAGACCACAATGCAATGTTATACCCACCAGACTGGCAAAAATTAAGATGTTTTATAATACCACGTGCTGATAAAAAGTGGGTCTGCTGGAGCTCTTAATCACTTATGAGTGGGAATGTAAACTGGTGATGCTCCTTCGGAAAACAATGCAGTCGTATCATGTGAACTTGAACACTGACATACCCAATAACCATGCAATTCCACTCCCAGCAATAGGCCATGGAGAAACTCCTGTATATGTGTGTTAATAGGAACACATGAAAATGTTCAGCAACATTGTTCAAATAGCAGAAAGCTGGAAACAATCCAAATATCCACCAACAGGGCAATGAATCAATTGATTCTGCATACTCACCCAACAACACATAATTCAGCTTTTAAAATGAATGAACTACAGCTACATGCAACAATGTCAAACAGTTATACTATTTTTACAAATCAAAACAAACAAGCAAAATTAGCTGTATAGTACTTATGAGCATATTTTTAAGGGATAAATAACATTTTTTAAAAAAAGGCAAGAGAAAGAAAAAAATTAGGAAGTAGTTGCTTCAAAAGATAGGCAGGTATATGGGATGGGGCAGAGCACAGATAAGTGCGACAGAATTGGCAGGGCTTTTGTTTGTAGATTAGGTGGTAAGTCATACATATGACACTGTTATCCTTTATAATTTTCAAACATAGTTGTGTGTGTGTGTATGTGTATATATATATATATATATATATGTAATGTTAAGTTAAAACAATTAAAATATTGGCCAGGCACAGTGGCTTACACCTGTAATCCCAGCACTTTGGTAGGCCAAGGCAGGTGGATCATTAATATACAAATATATATTAAATGTTAAGTTAAAACGATTAAAATATTGGCTAGGCATGGTGGCTCACACCTGTAATCACAGCACCTTGGGAGGCCAAGGCAGGTGGATCACTTGAGCCCAGGAGTTCCAGATCAGCCTGGGCAACATGGCGAAACCCTGTCTCTACAAAAAATACAGAAAGTAGCCAGGCATAGTGGTGTGTGCCTGTAGTCCCAGCTTCCAGTCCCAGGAGACTGAGGTGGGAGAATCACTCCAATCCGTGAGGCGGAGGTTGCAGTGAGCTGAGATTACACCACTGCACTCCAGCCTGCACCACAGAGCAAGATCCTGTCTCTAAAAACCAACTAAACAAACAAAAACACAAAAAACACCCCTCCCCAAAAAAACCAAAATACGAAATAACTAACATACCTCTTCTCTGAACTTCATTTGTCTTTATAGCACACGTCACTCCCCAAAGAATATATACATACACACTGACTCACACTCATGCACTCATTTCCTTGTTTATTTTAAGTCTCTCCCATTAGAATGCAAACTCCCTAACTGTGGAGTCTTTGACATTCTTGTTCACCACAGTATTTCCAGGCCTAGAAGAGTACTCGGCATATACAATAAATATTTATGGAATAAATGAATAAATGGATGAACAAATGGCCTAGATAGTGCAAACAAAGCAATAGAGCACTGGCTGGTGCAACGGCTCACGCCTGTAATCCCAGCACTTTAGGAGACCGAGGTAGGCAGATTGCTTGAGCCCAGGGATTCGAGACCAGCTGGGGCAACATGGTAAAACTTCATCTCTACAAAAAATACACAAATTAACTGGGCATGGTGGCACATGACTGTAGTTCCAGCTACTCAGGAGACTGATGTGGGAGGGTCACTTGAGCCTGGGAGGCAGAGGCTGCAGTGAACCATGACTGCACTACTGCACTCCAACCTGGGTGACAGAGTGAGGCTTGTCTTAAAAAAAGAGAGAAAGCAATAGAGCATAAAAGGCTTAGTTCATGAACCCTGAAGTCAGACACTTCCAGGTTCAAATCAAGGCTCTCATTAGTCTTCTTAGCTGGGTGACCTTGAATGAGTTGCTTAACTTCACTGGGTTTCCGTTTTCTCATCTCTAAAACAGGGTAATGGGGGGAGGAGGGGTTGTGATGATTAAAAAAAGAATTTAGCACTTTGTCCAGCACAATATTATTCTTGCACAACGACAGTGTAATTTCCTCATAAAAAGCGGCTTTTTATTGCTCAAGGACATAGCTTTGAGCAATCTGCATTCTTTACGCAGTTTTACTATGACTGATTTTGTCCACACCCAATTTTAAAATGTGAACCAATTGGGCATCCTATAGTTGTTGCTACAGTTTGCTCAGACTAAGGCCATGTGCTAGGGAAATCTTGTAGCCACCAAACTTCCAGTGAGTATGGCACAATATAATCTTGCATTTGTGCTAGCCACTAGCATAGGAAATCAGCAAGACGAGAATAGCAAAAATAACAGCCATTTATTCACGGTTTTCTGTAGGATAAACAACACAGACACATCATCCCATGAACTTCTCACAGCTAGCGTGGGAAATTGGTGTGTACAAGAATTACAGAAAGCAGGGTGGGAAATTGGTGTGTACAAGAATTACAGAAAGCAGGTTCATTATAAACTGTTTTCAAATTTGGGCCTAAGCAGGTTCTGAAATAGAGACCATATTCAAATAGTAATTAGAAATTCTTAAGAGTAGATTTGCACTATCAGCTATAATATATCCTTTTAAAACAAAACAGAAAGCAAGCTCTTTCACATCCTAGATGATGACTTATTTTATAGTAGTAAAACCCAGGGCCTTCGCTGCTGTGAAGCCCATGCAGTCCCTTCCAAAAATTATGGTAGCAAATTCAAAAGGAGCAACTGCGCAGTGCTGTTGACTCACATTGCTCCCAACACACTCACAATAAAAATGAACTTTTCAGTGAACTGACCTATATTTTCCACCCTGGACTCTAGCCAAGACCCAGGCATCCATACCTCTAATGGACCATACTGTCTTAGAGAGCCCTAGGTCTTTCTGGGAGTCTTTTCCAGTTCTGCTCAGGCTCCAGGTCCAAAGGACAGCCCAGGGGTTCCGACGACTCAGGAGAATCCCAGATGAATAATAATTACTCATCATAACAATAATAACGCTTTATACGGTGTTTACTATGTATCAGGCAGTATTTATTATTAGTGTTGTACATATATTTGCTCATTTAATCTGCATAACTGCCATTAAATAGCATATCCCATATGTTATATCCCATGGGGTAGATATAAAGCTTGCAATATGACTAAATCTCACAAGTGAGATTCCTTAAAGTGAACACATGAAATCTATATGCAATCTGACCTTGCTGAGCAAGGTGAGACCACAGCAGAAATCAGCAGCCCATGCCAAATGATCCTTGGTGGTACTGGAAAATGATCTGGCCTCGTGGTTTTGATCAAATGGCACACTCTCCTCTCAGATCCAAACCACAACTTCCCCAAAATTAATCAAGGAGAAATAAATGGATAGAGGGTGGAGCAGAAGAGTACTTAATTTTTGTCACATTTCACACCCTAACTACTTCTCATTAAGTCTACTGGCCTGCATGCGATTCCCAGACCTTTCTTAAATCTCATGACTTTTATATCATCCTAGGCACCTTATGCCCCTTCTCAGCTTTCAGCATAGTCACAACTTCCTCTGGAATTTCTTCCTGATTCAAATGTTCCCCGTCATTTCCCTCCAGCCCCTCTATGCTTAGAACACTCTGCACACATTTCCTACAGTATGTAATTACTGCTTTCAGTTTTAGTTATTTTGTCCATCTCCCCTTTAAACTTTTAGCATCTCAAGACCACGGATGACATTTGTTTTCCCAGCGTCTGGTATAGAGCTGGCTGAGCTGCTGCAGACAAGTAATAAATGTTTACTAACTGAATGAACTAAGGAAATCATGCTCCTCAAAGATGGCACACAGTTTCTCATCACCCACCTAAAGGTGTCTCAAACTGGTGGGGATCTGCCTGATTTGTAATGAAGGAATTATAAAACAACCTTTCAGGCTGGGCATGGTGGCTCATGCCTGTAATCCCAGCACTTTGGGAGGTCAAGGTGGGCAGATCCCTAGAGCTCAGGAATTTGAGACCAGCCTGGGCAACATGGTGAAACCTCATTTCTAGAAAAATCAGGCAGGCATGGTGGCACATGCCTTGTGGTCCCAGCTACTCGAGAGGGTGAGGTGGGAGGATCGCTCTAGCCTGGGAGGCAGAGGTTGCAATGAGCCATGATCACACCACTGCACTCCAGCCTGAGTGACAGAGTGAGACCCCATCTCAAAAAAAAAAAAAAAAAAGAAAAGAAAAGAAAAGACACCATTTCTGAGCATTTTGCTTCCAAGCCCTAGAATTTAAACTTGCCTCTTTTTCAGTAAAACAATAACCAATACTACCACCTATGACCAAGGCTTCTATTTCATCCTTGAGACTTCTCACTTCATTAATATCCAAGTTTCTGAATAGCTTTTGAAGGTTAGTGAAAGGCTGCTCAAAACGTTTTGAGCTGAGTTTCTGTTCTGAGAGTTACTTTTTCTCTTCAGGGCAAATCACATTTGGTTTTCCTTTATCTTTCTAATAAATGCTGTTTGAAAGGTTGGAGGCATTGAAGGTGAAGAGAGAAAGACATATCTAGAAGTTGTTAATCAATAAGGAATTTCTCTGGACGCCTGTGTGACCTCAGCGTTTTTCACATTTCCACAGGTCTCCTTGGAGATGGTTGCTATGATCACTCAGTGTCTCCAGCTAAAAATCTTCAAAATGTGGATCACTGCTTTTATTCTCTTTTGTCTCCTCTTTATTAGCTGTTTTCCCCTCACACATATTTTATTTCTCTATGAATGCAATCTGCTCATAATTTTTTATCAAATTATATTCCATACAAATAGAATGCCCCCATTCTTTTGGTTCCTCTGGAAATGCTTTTATTTGGATTATAACATTTGGCAGTCCATTAGAAATACTATTTATACTTTTATGTTTCCTGGTTCCCTGAAAGTAAATTATTCATATGGCAGTTAGCCCTGCCTACTTCTGTTTCAAAAAACACTAATCTACACTGGAAGTAACTAAACATTGACAATAAAAATGTCCAACCTGATTGATGCTCTTCATGTTGCTTATTTAACAAGCCCTTAGCATGGAATATCTCCAGATTAATTTTTAAATTTATGCAACTTTTATATTTCCCCTCTTTACTAAAGTTAAAGCAAATATACTTTTATTTGACTCTACTTTCATTATTCACATTTCAAATATCTAAATTATTTCATGATGGAGGTTTCTTACAAAAATATATAAGAAGAAAAAGAACTTGAAATGCTGAGTAGATTAAAACAAAATTTAAGTATCAATTGTCCAATAAGCAGAGAAAGCTAAAATACAATATTCAAAAACAATCTTAACATCCTTCCACAGCAAGGTTAGATGCTTTGTTGAAATATATAATTCAAATGTAAATTACAAAATAGAGCTCTTCTGGGATTTTTCAAAGTCCTAATTACGTAGGTCAGCTGAATAGGGAACATATTTAGAAAAAAAAAAGTACGGAAAAAAATATAGTAAATGAATCAGAGGGAATGGTTTTTAGACAGAAACTTGTAGGGTTTTCCGTTAGCTGCCTTATTTTTGGAAGAGAGGACCAGCTCAGAAACAAACACCAAAATTCAAACCTGCAAAGAAAGGCAAACCTGTGCAGCAGAATTACAGTAACGTAAATCAGTGGCAACGTGATACAAGGACTTTTTATTGGTACAAGTAATTCATACAAAAATGCAAATCCCATTTTGTTCACACGGAAAAAGATTATTTTATTATCTTCATAAAAAGATAATTCTTGACAATATTAAATTGTAGTAGTAGATATAGGGAGACATCAGAAATTAATTCTTCTAGATCTATTTTACACCCATAAGCTGTGAATTTATGAATCAAGCCATAATCAGGTCACTAAAAACAAAAAGGAACAGATAAGCAGCTAGAATCCATTCATTTGTTCATTCAATCAATGACACTTACTGAGCATTGATTTTATACCAAGCACTGTGGTTGGAATTTGGAAGGGAAAAGTGATTAAGAGCCGGGTTCAACTATCCTTAAGGTTTTGTGGGAAAAACAGAACCATAAACCGTTAATTACAGTATGATAATGATAAGTACAATGACTGAGGGATAAAACACAGTAGAATTCAGTCTTTAAAAAGGGACAAGTGATAGGTATGAAAATGGTTTTATGAGAGTCACAGTGTCATTGTTCTGAACAACAAATTCATTACTGTTGATACAAAAATACTGTTCATACAAGAGGGACTTTGCCCTTAGGTACTTACAGCCTAGCACAGAGGACAGATAAGAAAAAATAATAAATAGTGCTTCCCAAACTATCTGTAATAAAGGACCAGTTTTTTCAAATGTAAATCCTTCACGATGGATACTTTCATAAAAATTTGTTTAAAACTAGAAAAAAAAATAAAAATTAAGATATAAAAATGCAATCTCCAATTTTTATTATTAGATTCCAGAGTCATAAAATTACTTTGTTAAATTGCTATACAAGGTCTAAATGCTTACCTTCAATTTTTGTGCCTATTTTATGGACGACGGGTAACACACATTGTGGTCCATGTACAAATATTGCAATAAAATATTAGAGATGCTAATATAAAAGTATATATGCTGCTGTCACATAGGAGGAAGTGATCCATTAACAGGGAGAGAGATGAAGTTCATCTAAGAAAAAGCTTTGTAAAAGACTTGACCCTTGAACTGTGTCTTTATATACATATGTGTGTATATATATAATACACACATATATGTATATATATATACACATATATGTGTATTTATATATATATATCCATATATATATATATATATATATGTGGACACAGTGACACATGCCTATAATCCCAGCACCTTGGGAGGCCAAGGTGGGAGGATCGCTTGAGCCAAGAGTTCAAGACCAGCCTGGGCAATATGTGAAACCCTGTTTCTACAAAAAATACAAAAATTAGCTAGGCATGGTTATGAGCACCTATAGTCCCAGCTACCCAGGAGGCTGAGGTGGGAGGATCACCTGGGCCAATGTGGGCAAGAGTGAGACCCTGTCTCAAAAAAAAAAAAAAAAAAAAAAAAAAAAAAGAAGGATTTACCAGAAAATTGGTTGCACTGAGAGGCATAAAGAACAGCATTCCAGGTAGGAGGAATAAAACATGGGAGGTAGGAAAAGCAAGAATTTCTATGTCATTGCATAATGAGGGAGAAGAAGAGGCAGATCGAGGAGGGCCTTATAAGCTAAACACAAGCCTTATGTGTGGAATAGCACCCTATTTGATGAAATTTCAAAATGAGGACTAAGGAAAGCACTTGACTCCTCTACTGGGTATTTAAAATGTTGTTGTAAGCAACCCCAGTGATACTCACAAGTGAATTTAATCCTTCTAGGTGGAGCTTATTAATATTATCTAAACTTCCTCTTTCTTTCCAGCTAGTGTTGCAGGCCATGAACCCTCGTCCTAGTGTTGCAGGGCTGAACTACCTCTAAAATGTTGGTCAAAAATCCCTACCATGTAAAACTAGAGTTTTCAGATGGGAAACAACAGCGTTTATATTTCTCTTTTTTAAAAAAATTTTGTTTTCATCTTGCTATCTGTCCCAGCAGAATGGCAGAGCAACAAACAGTGTGTACTCTATCCAGTGCTGATTTTTTTTTTCTTTCTTTTAAAATGGAGTCTTGTTCCATCACCCAGGCTGGAGTGCAGTGGCTTAATCATAGCTCACTGCAGCCTCAAACTTCTGGGCTCAAGCCATCCTCCCACCTCAGCCTCCCAAGTAGCTGGGGTTACAGGCTCATGCCACCACGCCTGGGTAATTTTTTATTTTTAATATTTTTAGAGATGGGGGTCTCGCTTTGCTGCCCAGGCTTATCTGGAACTCCTAGCCTCAAGTGATTCTCTCGCCTTGGCTGCTCAAAGTGCTGGGATTACAGGTCTGAGCCACGGTGCCCAGCCTAGTGCTGACTTTTACATGCTCCGTGACATTGAATAAATTACCCTTTCAGTTTCCTCAACTCTGAAATAGGGATAGTGTCAGTACCTACCTCACAGGGCTTTTGTACTGTGAGGATTAAATGAGTTAATACAAGTAAAACACTCAGAACAGTGCCTGGCAAACAGTAGATGATCAATAAGTGTCCCTGAGTTATTAGTATCATTAAAAATAAAAGGAAATGGACACAGATTGGTGTATAATGTCCCCCTTCTCTTCTTCCCCAGTGCCATTCATCTAAGTATGCAAAAGTGAGACCAAGTACACTCCCTAATTTCTAACTCTGCACATCCTCCACTATTTCTCCAACATCATTTTAACCTAAAGATGTACCACAGGTGGAGAAAATAGAGCTAATTATAGGCCTCTGGAGTAAAATGACTAAGGAAAATCAATGGAGAAGAGCTTATTTTCTGTCCTAGTCCCACCTTAGTTATCCCTAAAATTAGAAGCCAGTAGTTTTGGGTTATTGAAAGACACTTCCTCTGTGAGGGGAAACCGGAATGAGACAAGACTGTTTAGGTAAGCTTTATTTAAAACATTCAGCACCTCTTAGCAATGTAATCGGGGTGATGCTTAAATATTTTAAAGTCTGAGATGGTTGTCAAGAGTTCACTGAGCATTTGACAACAACTGGGAACTACAGAATTAGCAACGTGGTGCCACTTCACACAGAAGACTTAGCAAGGGGATACAGTAATTCTGGGTCAGGAATGTTAAGAGTTTATCTTAATTTAGCAGCTGTAGTGCTGCAGTAGCCAAATCTAGCGAAGTCTTTTCAGGGAGATCAGCTAAGGGCACAGCCGTCTAGACAAAACACCACCACAACTACATGGATGGGTGCAGAGATAGATGCAAGGTTGACTAAGATGTTGCCAGCACATTAGCAGAAACTTGAAGAAATCCAGAGGCAAGAGTTTAAAAACACTGTGCTGGGTGACACCTTAAAGTTATTGAGGTGTTTTCTTTTCTTTTTTTTTTTTTTTTTTTGAGACAGAGTCTCACTCTGTCGCCCAGGCTGGAGTGCAGTGGTGCCATCTCGGCTCACTGCAAGCTCCGCCTCCTGGGTTCACGCCATTCTCCTGCCTCAGCCTCCTGAGTAGCTGGGACTACACGTGCCTGCCACCACGCCTGGCTAATTTTTTGTGTTTTTAGTAGAGATGGGGTTTCACCGTTTTAGCCAGGATGATCTCGATCTCCTGACCTCGTGATCCACCAGCCTCGGCCTCCCAAAGTGCTGGGATTACAGGCATGAGCCACCGCACCTGGCCAAAGTGTTTTCTTTTTTTATATATACTTTGGATTTGTTGTCAAGTGTATTGTTTCTGAGACTATTCCTTTCTCCTCTATTCTCAAAACATGTCCACATCTCTACTCTAGAGTTGTCAGGACAAATGGAGGATCTCTTCCACTCTGGGGTAGGCCCTTTTAAGATCAGACTGGGATGACCTCTCCACTGTTCCCATCTCCCAAAAGGCACTGTCCCTTAAAGACAACATATTATATTGGTTTTACCATCACCAGTAGTGAATATAAAAGCACAAGAGAAAATATTATGGTGTACCTATAACCACGAGCAACAAACCTCTCTACTCCATATTTGCCTTCTTTATGCCTCCCTACCATGTCTTATAGATATTACTAAATCATTACTGTAAGGTTCCATGCATTTTCCCCTCTAAAGTACCATGACTTTAATGTGTTTCAAAACACCTAGTATTACTGTTCCTGTAGAAAGACCCCAATGCTTGCAAGATCAAAATGGGTCAGAAGAGGGTGGGAAGGAAATGTAACTACATTGTGTTACTCTTGAATGCTACATTTATTTAATAGTTAAGTACGGTTGGAAGGATAGTCAGCTAAAGACAATAGCAGATTATAGATCAGTGACCTTGAGGTGGAAATAAACCCAGAACAGAAGGTATAGGCATATTTAGTGAAAATAATTGGGCTGCCAGAGAGATTGGGGGAAACAATTTCCTGCTAATAAAATCTAACAATAAAGAACACCTGCTAGCAGAAATAATCTTGCCAAAATTATAACTCTCAAGTTGTCAAGTTGGATTTTGGACTTAACCTTGTTGAAGTCATTCAATCATTCAAGCAAGCATTTGTAAAACATCAATTGATTATGTAGCATTGCATTTGATCCCCTGGAGTAAAGAGAAACAAAAGACACAGATGCTTTCCTACAGAAATTTACACTCTGATCCTTAGTTTTATGTGTCAATTCAGCTAGTCTACTGTATCCAGTAATTTAATCAGACACTAATTTAGATGTTGCTATGAAGATATTGTGTACATGTGGTTAACATCTATAACGGGTTGACTTTAAGTAAAGCAGATTACCTTCCATAATGTGGGTGGGCCTCATTCAATCAGCTGAAAGGCCTTAACAGTAAAAACTCAGGTTTCCTAAAGAGAAAAAATTCTGTCTCCAGACTGCAGCATCAATGCCTGCCTGAGTTTCTGGCCTGCCAGCATGCCCTACAGATTTGGGACTTGCTGAAATATATCCTGTTTGCTCTGTTTCTCTAGAGAAACCTGATTAATACACACTGTTATAAGCAATTACAAGCAAATAGTAAATGACAAGAATAAATTGGTTCCAAGATGCTTTACAAAGTCATGCCCAAGAGTGCACAGACACTGAGACAATTCTGGTATATAGTATAAATACGACAGCAGAGCCATGTACAAAAAAGACGACAGGAACACAGAGAGTGTGCCTATATTTGCCTGGGGGCAATCACTGTCAGGAATATCTGAGATTTGAAAGTATACCCTGGGAATCTGTTACAGGGAAAGGAAAAAGCACATACAATTGAAAAGAAATGCCAGAATGCAAAGTATATCTGTTGAAGCACAAAGTGAAAGGATGAGATGGAGGTCAAGGGATAGAGCAAGGGATGTGGTAAGAGATCAAGTAGGATGCATAGGTGGAAACAGTCATATCTGCATGTGAGAAAGATCATAAAATCCTGGAGCAAGGGGCCCAAATTGTTTTATGCCCTTAAATTCCACAGCTGTTCAAATAATTTTTCTTGATTTCACAAACCCATAAGTAAATATCACTGAATTACATTAAGATTCTTATTGTAGGCCCGGCGTGGTGGCTCATGCCTGTAATCCCAGCACTTTGGGAGGCTGAGGCGAGTGGATCACGAGGTCAAGAGATCAGGACCATCCTGGCCAACATGGTGAAACCCCGTCTCTACTAAAAATACAAAGATTAGCTGGGTGTGATGGCATGCACCTATACTCCCAGCTATTGGGAGGCTGAGGCACGAGAATCACTTGAACCCAGGAGGCAGAGGTTGGAGTGAGCCAAGATGGCGCCACTGCACTCCAACCTGGTGACAGAGTGAGACTTCGTCTAAAAAAAAAAAGATTATTATTGTAAATATATATGCAGTCAAAAAGGGAAGTTGAACAAGTTCAGCAATGTGAAAGGATACAAGATTAATACACAAGACTCTATTTCTATATGCTAACAATGAACAATTTAGAAAAAAAATTAAGGCAGCAATCCCATTTACAGTATTATGCAGCAAAAAGAACGAAGTAACTAGAAAAAACTTTAACAAAAGAAGTTTAACAGCTGGGTACAGTGGCTCATGCCTGTAATCCCAGAACTTTGGGAGGCCAAGGCAGGTGGATCACTTGAGGTCAGGAGTTCAAGACCAGCCTGGCCAACATGGTGAAACCCTGTCTCTACTAAAAATACAAAAGTTAGCCAGGTGTGGTGGTGGGTGCCTATAATCCCAGCTACTCAGGAGGTTGAGGCAGAAGAATCGCTTGAATCTGGGAGGCAGAGGTTGCAGTGAGCCAAGATCTCAGAGCGAGACTCCATCTCAAAAAAAAGCTTTACACTTACACACTAACAACTACAAAACATTGTTGAAAAATATTAAAGAAGATTTGAATAAATGGAAAGACATCTCATAGTCATAGATTAGACAACTTAACATTTTTAAGAAGGCAATGGTCTCCAAATTGATGTATAGATTCAACGCAATCCCTATCAAAATCTCAGCTAGTTTGAATTTCTGCAAATACTGACAGGTTAATTCCAAAATTCATATGGAAATATAATCAATCTAGGATAGCAAAAAAAAAAAATCTTGAAAAGAACAAAGTTAAAGGACTCACATTTCAAAGCTTACTACGAAGCTACAATTAATCAAGATAGTGTGGTACTGGCATAAGGACATACATATGCATCAATATACATCAATGGAACAGAATTAAAAGTCCAGAAATAAACTCTCACACTTATGGTTAACTGATTTTCAACAGGGATAGCACGATAATTCAATGAAAAAAGAATAGTCTTTTCAACAAATGGTGCTGCACAACTGGATATCCACATGCAAAAAAGTGAATATGGACCTCTACTTTATACTTTACACAAAAATCAACACAAAATCAGAGGCCTAAATGTAAGGGCTAGGACGATAAAATTCCAAGTAAATATCAATGACCCTGGGTTAGGCAATGGTTACTTAGAAATAACACCAAAACCACAATGACAAAATAAAAAATAAGTTGAACTTTATGAAAGTTTAAAACTTTTATGCCTCATAGGACACCATCAAGAGAGCAAAAAGACAACACACGGGATGACAGAACATATTTGCAAATCATATATCTGACAAGGAGTTTATATCTAGAAAATATAAAGAACTCTTACAACTCAACAGTAAAAACAAATAACTCAATTTTTTATTTTACTTTAATTTTTTTTTTTGAGATGGAGTTTCCCTCTTGTTGCCCAGGCTGGTGTGCAATGGCGTGATCTCAGCTCACTGCAACCTCCACCTCCCAGGATCAAGCGATTCCCCTGCCTCAGCCTCCCTAGTAGCTGGGATTACAGGTGCCTGCCACCACACCCAGCTAATTTTTTACATTTTTAGTAGAGATGGGGTTTCACTATGTTGGCCAAGCTGGTCTCGAACTCCTGACCTCAGGTGATACACCCACCTCAGCCTCCCAAAATGCTGGGATTACAGGCATGAGCCACAACACCTGGCTAACTCAATTTTAAAATGGGCAAATAATTTGAATATGTTTCTTCAAGGTAGATACACAAATGGCCATAAGTACATGAGAAGATGCTAAACATCCTTAACCATCAGGGAAGTGCAAATCAAAACCACAATGAGATATCATATCACATTCACTAGGATAGATAAAATTAAAAAGTCAGATAATAACAAGTAGTGGTGAGGATGTGGAGAAATTAGCACCCTCACATACTGCTGTGGGAACACAAAACGAGGCACAATTTGTGTTTCCATTTTGGAAAATAGTTTGGCAGTTCCTCAAAATGCTAAACAGAGTTGTGGTCACACCACTGCACTCTAGCCTGGGTATCAGAGTGAGACTCAGTCACAAAAAAAAAAAAATACAAATAATAAAAATTAAAAGTGGGTGAGTATAGTCACTAGGACACTGCTGATACATTTTACATGCCTAAACAGTATTTCTCAAATTTGAATATGGAATGGAGTCTTTTATATTAAGGAGCCCTGAGAAAAACAAATTGTGAAATTCTGTATCATCATTTTAGCTTCATGATTGTTACTTGGTAACAATTGTTAACCCAAAAGCAAATGTGACTGAAAATAATCTAATATCCAACAACAGGTAAATGGATAAGTAAAATGTAAAATCAGCCAGGCGTGGTGGCTCACACCTGTAATCCCAGCACTTTGGGAGGCCGAGGCGGGCAGATCACGAGGTCAGGAGATTGAGACCATCCTGGCTAACACGGTGAAACCCCGTCTCTACTAAAAATACAAAAAATTAGCCGGGCGTGGTGGCAGCGCCTGTAGTCCCAGCTACTCGGGAGGCTGAGGCAGGAGAATGGTGTGGACCCAGGAGGCGGAGCTTGCAGTGAGCCGAGATCTCACCACTGCACTCCAGCCTTGGCGACAAAGCCAGACTCCGTCTCAAAACAAAACAAAAAAAACCAGAAACAAACAAAAAAAGAACTATTAAAAAAAAGGACTTATACATAGTAAAATGTAAAATCCATACAATGAGATACTAATCAGCAATTAAAAGAAATGAACTACTGACTCATGATACATGTGATGAGCCTCAAAACAGGCTAAGTGAAGGAAGCCAGGGACAAAATACTACATGTTATTTGATTCCATTTATATGAATGTCTAGAAAAGGCAAATTTATAGAGACAGGCAGTAGACCATTGGTTGCCTAGGGTTGGGGTGGGATTGGGGATTAACTGCATATAAAGATGAGGGGGCCAACTTTTAGGGGTAATGAAAATATTTTACACCTGCATTGCAGTGATGGCTGCACAACTGTATCAATTTAGGCTTCTCAGTTGCTTATTCTGTTTTTTCAAGGCTGCAAGCTACCATTCCTCCATGGGTCTGATTGAGTCTAACCTTTTAAATATAGCGCACTGAGCACACCATCCTGATGACTCAGGCGCATCTCCATAAACACTAATTATTGCATTTTGCTGTGCTATAGCTCCAACATAGCAAAAGGGTTTACTGAAGTATGTGAGAGTGTCTGTTCCTCCATTAAATGGCCCCAGGCTACTGTGGCTTAAGTTCTTCCTGTGTTG
Source organism: Homo sapiens (assembly GCF_000001405.40). Taxonomy (NCBI): domain Eukaryota; kingdom Metazoa; phylum Chordata; class Mammalia; order Primates; family Hominidae; genus Homo; species Homo sapiens. The sequence goes on along the minus strand of NC_000012.12, from coordinate 63,905,687 downwards.
TCATCCTGTCTATTTCTTACTTCTGTTCATGGCTTACATATAGCAAGTACTCTTTTTCTCCTTTCCGACGTACTGACTCTATTGTTCTTTGAATTAGGAAGCTGACTTATTAAACTTGTTAGTTTAGAGCTCTGTATAAATCAAGACCAAAGAAGTTTTAGGCAGGAGCTTTCAGATTCCCCAGTATGTAAAATGCATAAGCTCTGGCACATGCACTTGGCTTTTTCAAAATACTCTCGTCCTTTACTGCAGTTCAGATAGTTGGACCATCCGATATTACTGTGCTGGGACTCCTCTTTGCTCAGCTCTCATCAACTAAACTCAAAGAACTCAAGAGAATGACAGCTTAGTCATCAGATAACCTGGACACATGTGGCCACTACCCACTCCTGTGCCCAAAGCAGACTTTGATAAATGATCATAACATTTTGTTTTTTAACTGAACACAACATGCCTCAGAATTCTTTTCAGCAGCCCTTTAGGAAGGCACTAACGATACTGAAATTGCCACTTAAGATAAAACCCAGAACCATGGCCCAAAGCAAAGGCCCTCGGACATTTCTGATTAGGAACTATAACTATTTCCTAAATTTTATAATCTAATTATATTTAAAACACATACTGATACATAAATTTTCCTGGAAAGATATAAAAGAAGTTGGTTGTACTATTTGCCTTTGGGGGAGGGTAGCAGGCAGCAAAGGTAAAACGGAAAGTTTTCACTCTGTTTCTCTGTATTTTTGTTTTGTTTTGTTAGACAGGGTCCTGCTCTGTCACTCAGGCTGGAGTGCAGTGACATAATTGTGACTCACTGCAGCCTCAAACTCCTGGCTAAAGTGATCCTCCCACCTCAGCCTCCCAAATAGCTAGGACCAGAGGCATGTACCATTATGCCTGGCTAATTTTTTAAAACATATTTGTAGAGATGGGGGTCTCCCAAAGTTGACCACGTTGGTCTTCAACTCCTGGACTCAAGCGATCCTCCCAACTCGGCCTCCCAAAGGGCTGGGATTATAGGTGTGAGCCACTGCACCCAGCCATACTCTGTATGTTAATATCTTGTGGATTTTGAACATGTGACCATGTTACTTTGTTAAAAATAAATCTTTAAAACTGTGTAAGTAAAGCTTACCAGGACACATTAGAAGAGAAATGACAAGGACAGTGCCACATACAGCTGGAGAGAATAAAACCTAGTTATTTAATCCTTTTGCTTTCCATCCTCAACACCTGACTTCCATCTCATAGTCTCTAAGACACTGCTTCAGTTCCTGCCATCATGTTCGCATTCCAATCAATAGAACAGGAAGAGAGAATAGAGCACAATCCTTCTAAGGACACAACACGGGAGTTGCACATATTTCTGTTCACATCACTGTGAACAGAAATGTGTGATCAGAACCTGCTGATATGTTCATATATAACTGCAAGGGAACATGGGAAATATAGTCTTTAGAAGGTGGGCATCCAGTTAAAACTTGGGGAGTTGTATTACTAAAGGAGAAAGGAGCATAGTTGTTGGTGTACAAACAAATGCGGCAATCTCAGTCACAAATAATTAGTGCAAAATTCAGGGTGGGAGTTATCTCGGGTGGGAGGGAAGGGAATGCATTCCAGGGGATTTAGGAGTATTGATAACATTTCATTTCTTAAGTGATCACAACATGGAGTTTATTTTTTAACTGTTATTCCTACATATATATAGTATATAAAATATTCATTATGTGTATTTCACAATTTAAAAAAACAGGCTGGAGCTGGGTGTGGTGGCTCATGCCTGTAATCCCAGCAATTTGGGAGGCCGAGGCGGGCAGATCACGAGGTCAGGAGTTCATGACCGGCCTGGCCAACACAGTGAAACCCCGTCTCTACTAAAAATACAAAAATTAGCCAGGTGTGGAGGCGGGCGCCCGTAGTCCCAGCTACTCAGGAGGCTGAGGCAGGAGAATTGCTTGAACCTGAGAGGCGGAGGCTGCAGTAAGCCAAGACCACACCACTGCACTCCAGCCTGGGCAACAGAGTGAGACTCTGTCTCAAGGCAGACGTTGCGGTGAACAAAGACTGCGCCATTGCCATTGCACTCCAGCCTGGGCAACAGAGTGAGACTCTGTCTCAAAGAAAAAAAAAACAAACAAAAAAACAGGCTGGGCGCGGTGGCTCACGCCTGTTATCCCAGCACTTTGGGAGGCTGAGTCAGGCAGATCACTTGAAGTCAGGAGTTCAAGTACAGCCTGGCCAACATGATGAAACCCTGTCTCTACTAAAAATACAAAAACGTATTGTATTTGTAATACAATACAAATTTACAATTTGCAAATTGTAAATTAGCGCACGCCAATCCCAGCTACTTAGGAGGCTGAGGCAGAAGGATCACCTGAACCCAGGAGCTGGAGGTTGCAGTGAGCAGAGATCATGCCACTGCACACCAGCCTGGTGACAGAGTGATACTCCATTTCAACAAAACAAAACAAGACACAACAACAAAAAACACATTAGTTGAAGCTGAGTATGAGTGCATGTGGATTCATTGTACTAGTCTCTCTACTTGAAAGCGTGCTTAAAATTTTCCCAAATAATAGTTCACACAAACACACATACACACACACTTTATATATATATATATAATAGTTTAATCCTAGTATCATTTCAGACATACAGTACCTGTAAAAACCAACTTTGTAAAAATTGTTCTAAATGTTCTGTTACATTATACATAGATGAGAAATAAAGAATTGTGCTATTCTTAAACTGTTTACAATCTAATTGGGAGGTCAAGACTAAAACAAAAGATATGATGGAATGACCAAATGAAAAGTACAGACAGAATCCAGAGAAAACAAAGATCAGTTCAGTTTAGGAAGACTGAGGTTGCTATAACCCTAGGAAATGAGCAAATGTGACAAAAATAGTAAGTCTTTAATCAAAATAATAATAAGCAAGCAAACTAATTTTAAGCAATTGGATTGTGCAGGTCTCTTCATGCAGCTGTCATTTTGTTTCAAAGTTTAGAATTAAGTTAACTGCAAACTGAGGAAATAGAAAAATAAGCAACTGTTCCACTTGCACATATTAAAATGGATTTAGTTACTTTATAACCAAATCTAGTCCATCATTTTAGGGAAGACTTTTGAACAGATGCCTCCAGTCTCTCTGAATAGGCAGTAAAAGCATGATTATGGGTAACTGTGGTTAGTCTGCTTTCTGCTTAGGTTGGATCTCCATTCCACAAATTACAAATTGTGACCCTGAAACACCCTGGAGATTAAGTTGATTAATCTCTTTGAGCTTCAGCTTCCTCATCTATAAAATAAGTTTAATAATAGTATCTACCTACTAGAAATACTGTGAGGGTTAATACTGTTCTTGGAATAGTGTCTAGAACATAGTAAACATTCAATAAATCTTGTTGTTACTTGCCTTTTTCATGGCTCTTTGAAAATTAGCTGTTTTCCCTACAGTTCATTGGAATGGGGAAGGTTATTTCAGACAAACTAGAGATCTCAACTTTTGTAAAATGTTTTTAAATAAATTTTTTAATAGCGATGGGGTTTCACCATGTTGCCCAGGCTGGTTTCGAACTCCTGAGCTCGAGCGATCCGCCCACCTCAGCCTCCCAAAGTACTGGGATTACAGGCGTGAGCCACCACACTCCCCAGCCAAATTTCTGTAAAACATGTCTTGATTTTGCAAGTACTATAAAGTCCAAACAAGGCAAGCTTGCAAGCCAAGTCCAGTGAGCTGCCAATCCCTGGTTTAAATTTTCATGAAGAACAATGTTAGGTGACTTATTGCATAAAGATGATGTTAAATTAAACTCGACAACCTACAGGGCTTAAACAATTCTAATTTAGAGTTCAAGCTTGATTATTACTCATGTGGGTAGAAACTTGATGATAATCCAGTTAATTTTAAAATCTCATTAATTTGTAAATGCCACCCATCAAATGCTAGAGTCTAGCTTTCTTCCTCAAAAAGTTGGGAGGCCAAACTGTGGTTAGTAGCAGTTTGTCCCATTAAAGCTCAGACAATCCAGTTGGGGAGGTATGACTAAAAACAAACAAGATGTGCAAAACAATATGTGATTAAGGGCTAACCTGTTGTGACGTCAATGATGGATAGGCCAAGATTATGGAGCGCTCAGGCTGAGCAGGAACAACCAGAAAGAAATGGCACTGTGTGTGGACAAAGTAACATTTTGCTCAGCTTTAAAGCACAAGTAGAATTCAGATTACAGGGGAAGGAGGAACAAGCTATAATAAAGGCAGAAAGACAGGGGTGAGCTCAGCATGTACCAAAATCAGACCAGACAATACAACTCAACAGGGAGACTTTACATTTTGGAGAACTGGGGAAAATAAACTTGCATAAACATGGTGCAGGACTGGGAATGGCTCATTTTTTCTTTACAGATTTATCCAGTGTTGAAATTATTTGCCCTGGGGTTCCTCACCTCTTAGTATGGAGAAGCAAGAACAAACCATATTAGGAATACTGCTTTTGAAGAGCAACTATGAGGTTTCTCCAGGGCAAGGACCTTAATTCTATTAACCTTTGAATTCTTAGCACCTGGGACAGTAACTGGCACATAGTAAATAAGTGTTTCCAAAATGCCTGGCAAATAAATGACTGAACAGCCACATAGCAGCAACCCAAACCAGCAGGTCAGAACTGTCTCTCATTTAAAAAAAAAAAAAATAGGTGCACAAGTGTGGTTGAGAGGTCATAATCTATAAACATTCTCAAAGAGATGTGTTTTATCACCTCTACTGCTCACTCCTGTTATACATAAACCTTTTCTTTAGCATACATTGTTTTTTTACTTAGGTTTGATAGTACAAAACCCTAAACAATAATTTCTTTGTTATTTATTTTTTGAGATAAGAGTCTCGCTCTGTCACCCAGGCTGGAATGCAGTGGCGTGATCTCAGCTCACTGCAAGCCTCTGCCTGCAGGTTCAAGCTATTCTATGCCTCAGACTCCCAAGTAGCTGGGACTACAGGTGCATGCCACCACACCTGGCTAATTTTTTGTGTTTTTAGTAGAGACAGCATTTTGCCATGTTGCCCAGGCTGGTCTCGAACTCCTGGCCTCATCTGATCCTCCCGCCTCATCCTCCCAAAGTGCTGCGATTACAGGTGTGAGCCACCAAACCCAGCCCTATTTTTAATTAGAGAAAAAAGCATGGCCGGGCACAGGTGGCTCACGCCTGTAATCCCAGCACTTTGGGAGGCTGAGGCGGGTGGACCACAAGGACAGGAGATTGATACTATCTGGCTAACACAGTGAAACTCTGTCTGTACCAAAAATACAAAAAATTAGCTGGGCGTGATGGCACGCACCTGTAGTCCCAGCTACTCAGGAGGCTGAGGCAGGAGAATCGCTTGAACCCGGGAGGCAGAGGCTGCAGTGAGCCGAGATCGTGCCACTGCACTCCAGCCTGGGTGAAAGAGCGAGGCTCCACCTCAAAAAAAAAAAAAAAAAAAGAAAAAGAAAAAGAAAAAGAAAAAAGCAAGGGCAAACGGAGACATAAGGCATTGCTTAGTTCATAACTGCAAAGCTGTTGTCATCAACATCATTTATTTACCAAATTAAAGGTAGAATAGTCCATTGGAGGTATCAGGAAATCTGTAACAGTTTAAGACTACAATTTATTACATGCTCTCCCCCAAAATAAACCCTGTTAAGAGCTCTATCAAGCTTCTAGAAAGTTTTTTGACAGTAACATGCCTTCTGCATCGAGTTCAGTGCCTCATATTTATTAGTGAGTTATTTCTAAAGGCAGATACACTGGAGCAAAGATACCTTACATTTATTATATAAGGAGTCACTTCATAGCTTCTATTTAAACTTACAAACATATATAATATAGAGATTTTTAAAATCACATGCACACATTGTTAAATTCGGTTTAGCCTAATGCTGCCTCCTTACATATTTTAAGTTTAGCCCAAGGTTTCCCTGTACATAATGAACTGTAACCTAACTGGATGTGTAAACAGTCTGTAACCTACTCTTGTGCCAATCACCAAGTTTTGGCCAATCAAAGGTGGCCAGCTGTTCAAACCATGTTCAAATAAGGCAAACGCGGAGGTGTTAACCAATCTGGGTGGTTCTGTATCTCACTTCCAATTTCTGTAGCCACTTTCCTTTTTCTGTCCATAACTTCCACCAAGTAGCTGTGCTGGAGTCTCTCTGAACCTATTCTGGTTCAGTAGCTGCACGACTGGTGAATTGTTCTTTGCTCAATTAAACTCTGTTAAATTTAATTGGTCTAAGGTTTTTCTTTTAACAACAAAAGTACAATTTGTAATATTCCTATTATGTAGCAAACCTGGTTCCTTTTTTTTTTTGGAGACAGGATCTCACTCTGTCACCCAGGCAGGAGTACAATGGCACTCCTACCTCTGCCTTTGGAGTAGCCGGGACCACAGGTGTATGCCACCACACCTAGCTAATTTTTGTATTTTTTGTAGAGACAAGGTTTCACTATGTTGCCCTGGCTGGTTTCAAATTCCTGAACTAAAGTGATCCACCCACCTCTGCCTCCCAAAGTGCTAGGAGTGCTGGGATTACAGGTGTGAGCCATCGTGCCCAGCCTGGTTCTATTTTTGAGAAGGTAAACTTCATTCTTGAGGAAGTTTTAAGGTATGGCATATCATACTTTAGTACTTTTTAATGTAATAATGGTAACTCAGCTGCTTCTAAGTAAGCTGGCAAAAACAATAGTGAAACTTAACCAATGACGTGATCAAAGAGGTAAGAAATGAAACATATGTCCTATCTTTTCCAATAGACTAAACTGGTCCAATTTAAAACAAAAAAGGCAAACACGTGAGGTTTCCTTAGCATTCCTTTTACCAAAAGGTATCTATGCATTCAAACTTAAATGTTTTCTGTCTTTTTAAAAATTTAAAACAATATCTAACAGTGGGAAATGTGACGATACTATAGAAATTAACTAAAATAACATCAATATACATTTAATAGCTTATAACCAATGCTTTGAGTCTTGATTAATACTATCATTTCAAATGATTCCAGATTGAATAATTCTGGATTGTTTGTAGAGTTTCCTTCTGTTTTGTAATATTTATGTAATGTAAATCTCCTAAAAGTCTCTGCAACACATTCAGTTTAAAACCTGGAATGATTTAAATTTTAATTTAAGGAAAGTTCCCATATTGGAACAGAGACAGAAGTGCCCAATGAAGTGTTCATTTTATCTGACAATTACCTTTTAAAATTATCAGAAGGGAATACATTAAATGTCCAAGGAAAATGTTCTCATTCAAGTTAACAATATGACTGTTCAGAATGAACACAGAATGCGTAATTCTCTTATAACTTAGAAATGGGATGTCCTGAGCTGACTGTACTATATTACATTCTATAACTGTGAAACCCAGCTCTCAGCCATATTGGTCTCCACATTTCTGAATGAATTAAAAGCCTTCCAACAAGCTTCCTTTCCACCACAGGAAATCCTGTTGGGAGTCCCCCCTGCAAGTTTGCGTCATGCTCACAGCTTTTCATTTTGTGTGCTTTGAAAGACCAACATTAGCTGTATTTCACAGGAATTTCTTCCTTTTCTCCCCCAGTAGTTTGCAGGATAAACTGGTTAGATAACAAAGTCAGCATAAATCGAGCTCTGCTTTCTTATCACAGTGAAGCAGCTGTGCCAAGGGTGTGAGACACCTCCACTCCATGTACCCAAAGCTTTCTTATTCTCAGTGTTTGAAATAGATTCAGCTTCAGGTGAGTGAGTCTTTTGTGCCTTCTTTTTCTCTGACTCCTATATTCATATCCAGAAATACCTATGAAAAACATCAAAGAAAAAAATCTATCTCCCTCCCCCAAATCCAAAGGCTAATCAAAATAAAATCCCCAGAAAGACTGGATTAGTTAACTGTGTTCTCAAATTGAATTTGAGCTTCCGAATAAAGACACATGAAAATGCAATTAAATTAAATCTAATGCAGAAACATTTTACTAAGTTGAGAGGCACCACAATTTTAATAAAACTGTGGGAAATTATGCTATTTTAAGACACATCTGAAATAGCAGACAAGGTAAATTGAGGTTGTTACCAAAAGAATTCTTGAGAGCATGTCGGAGTTACGGCCTAAATAGAAGGCTAACTGAATTCCTTTTAGAGGAATTTTTTTCACCTCTTTCCATAGACTATACACAAATTTCATTGATGAACATGAAAATATCCCTTTGTGCCAAATAAAAGTCATTGCAATAATGAAAGAGTAGGAAAGTTGAAAGTACAGCTGACATGTCCAAACATTATTCTCATAAGCATTGCTCTAGTTGCTCTAGTTCTCATAATATTATCAAGCCTAAATTTGGCTGCACATATTCTTATGCTAACATATTAAGCTAATTTCCAAACAAAAGCAATTATTTCAATATCTATTCCTATATAAACCACATCAAATAGCACATATGTTCTGGCAATAGGTGTCAGATGATAAGATCTTTTATTTAAAAACAGAAAATCTAACAAAATGGACATTCAATGGTTCCATTTGCATCACAAAATGTGAGTAACTTAATGACTTCTTCCTAAATGTCAACTAAGATTCAATTTATGTCTATTATATAAAAAGAGGTCCTTGAGATCTGCCCCTGTTGTTGTCATTCTCCAAAATACTGACACTCATCTCCCTCGTGTAGCCCCATGGAGAGATTCACTAGTCTTCTTTGGGAGCAAGGTTCTCTGATCAAATAAATTTTGGGAACGAAACCCAGGGTAAAGTATTTTCTAAATGTAATTTCGTCACAGAACTAGGTTTCCCAAATTTATCTGGCTATAGGACCTTCTTTCCAAGTAATTCCAAATTAACAACCCACAGCGTTAGCATTCTTGGGAAGACACTGGGAAATGTTGCCTTAAAGAAAAGACGGTAAAGTGATGGCTCATGGGCCAGCGTCAGCCCACAAACATATTCTGTCTGGTATACACAAGAGTTTTAAATAAAAACTAAGCCAATACTTGACATTTGGAGATTTCATATAAACATCATTTACTAATACTCCATTCCCACATGATTGTAACTGGCTAAATGATGCTTGGCAATGGATTTAGACCACTTAGACAGGGTACACATTCTCCAGTCTACTTAAATCCTTTCTATTCTCTGCAATCTCTTACCCACAGTCTGCCTTATGCCTGTGTATTACCTGCCTGCCTCTCCTAGGCATTTATTTGCCTTTGAGACCCTGTGCAGAGGATAGGGTAACATGGAGAAAGAACCACATACCAGCTTCCCTGAGTTGTTCAACTATAGGTAAGAAAGTGTCCCTCTAGTAAACCTCAAAACTTTGGCTGTCACACATTCTATCTTTTGGTGATCAAGATCTGTGTCTGGACTTTATACTCCTAACAGGTAATTCACTAAATTATTAATACATCACCATCGTATTATTATTAACAAGAATAATTTATAAGGAACTTACTAAGTTCTAGCCACTAGGCCAAGTACATGGATAATAGATCATTTAACCCCCACAAAACTCTATGGCATATGTCCTTTTATATAAATCCCCCTCCCTCCCATTTATGGATGATAAAATAAGGTTAGACTTGCCAAGGTCACACTATGAGTATGTGGCAGAGCTGGCAGAGCAAGGTGATTGTCTCCAGAGCCCACAGTCATAACCATAACAGCACATTGAGTCTTATAAGAAAATCTGACTGAGTGAAGAGCAAACCTGAGCAGGAAGTTTGGCAGAAGGCAATGTTTTGTTGCATGATACACTAAAGAATAAAGGCACAGCTGATTGCAGGGTGCAGAATGCTCCCACAGAGCAAAAGAATTTGAGACACTATTCCTTGAATTCCCCATGAAGCAAAGAGGCAAAGATCATCAAGTATTAATATTTTTTAGTTGCTAACGAAGTTAACAATAACCCCAACTTCTATCTTTGTCTACGTCATCACTTTAGGTATAACTGGAAGCATTTTACGGACATTGTAGGAGATGTAACCTCATTTTACCCAAAGGAAATGGGAGGTTACTAGGTTAAAGGCTCTGCCTGAGACCTTACAGCTTATAGAACAAGGCAAGTCGTGAATGTGGAGTTCAAATTCAGGTATCTCACTTCTAGATCTAGACTCATTATAAGTGACTTTGGCATAAATAGGGATAGAACTGTGTTGTCTAATAGACATTTCTATGATGATGGCAATGTTATATATCTGCTCTGTCCAGTACATTTCCAAATTTGGTTGTGTGGCCAGAGAACTAAATTTTTAATTATTTTTAAATAATGTTAATTCTAATTTAAGTGGTCAAATGTGGCTAGTTACTACTGTATTGGACGGCAGAGGGCTAAACATCCCATAAACCTTTTCAACCACACTTCCTGCATGTGTACCAAGAAATATACTTTGAATGCTTGATAACTCCCATATGAGATAAGCTATTGATCAGAAGGAGCCAAAGAAGGCTCTAGTCTTCAGTTGAACACTAAATTTTATATTAAGCTACCAAGCCATATCTTGAAAAATATGGCGATCATAAAAAAGTCAGGAAACAACAGGTGCTGGAGAGGATGTGCAGAAATAGGAACACTTTTACATTGTTGATGGGACTGTAAACTAGTTCGACCATTGTGGAAGACAGTGTGGCGATTCCTCAAGGATCTAGAACTAGAAATACCATTTGACCCAGCCATCCCATCACTGGGTATAGACCCAAAGGATTATAAATCATGCTGCTGCTGCTATAAAGGCACATGCACATGTGTGTTTATTGCAGCACTATTCACAATAGCAAAGACTTGGAACCAACCCAAATGTCCATCAATGATAGACTGGATTAAGAAAATGTGGCACATATACACCACGGAATACTATGCAGCCATAAAAAAGGATGAGTTCATGTCCTTTGTAGGGACATGGATGAAGCTGGAAACCATCATTCTCAGCAAACTATCGCAAGAACAAAAAACCAAACACCGTATGTTCTCACTCATAGGTGGGAATTGAACAATGAGAACACATGGACACAAGAAGGGGAACATCACACACCGGGGCCTGTCGTGGGGTGGGGAAGTGGGGAGGGACAATATTAGGAGATATAACTAATGTAAATGGAGAGTTAATGAGTGCAGCACACCAACATGGCACATATATACATATGTAACAAACCTGCATGTTGTGCACATGTACCCTAGAACTTGAAGTATAATTAAAAAAAAAAAAAGAGAGTGAGCTACCTGAAGGAGCATTTGGGGTAGGATGCTACAATGAGCGAAGAGACTTTTACCAATATTAGAGCAATAACTGTGACAGGGAAAAGGGGAAGAGTTGCTAGGAGGGGGAGAGTGTGAGAGTGATATGTTGAGAAGCAGCAGCACAAATGTTACCTATTTCACAATTTTAACTACTCTGATGAAACGGTCTTACTGAAGTGTGGTGAAAGCAAATGTCATTAAAAATCTGTACAGTACTTTAAAAAAAAAAGAAAGAAAAATAGCAGAGTGCCTTGAACACAGCAAATGTTCAACAAATGTTTACTTCAGTAAACAAATGAAGGCACCGGGCGTAGTGGCTCACGCCTGTAATCCCAGCACTTTGGGAGGCTGAGGCAGGCAGATCACCTGAGGTCAGGAGTTCGAGACAGCCTGGCCAACATGGCGAAACCCCGTCTCTACTAAAAAATACAAAAATTAGCCGGGTGTGGTGGCGGATGCCTGTAGTCCCAGCTACTTGAGAGGCCGAGGCAGGAGAATCACTTGAACCCAGGAGACGGAGGTTGCAGTGAGCCAAGATTGTGCTACGGCACTGAAGCCTGGGCAACAGAGCAAGACTCTGTCTCAAAAACAAACAAACAAAAATGAAGACTTTTGTTTCTTAACATGCAAAAGAACTCCATAGTAATGTCAGATGTAATTAGAGTAACAAAGCTCTGACAAATAGTGGATATTAAAATGCATTAAAATGTTCAGATCTAGTAAAAGTAAAGTGTAACAGACTTAGTGATGCAAGGATTTGTCCAAGTCAGTCAGAGAGGGACTTTGGGCAAGTCACTTGGCCTCTCTAGTTTCAGTTTACTTTTCTGTAAAATGAGAGGATAGGACCATTCATTCCTAGGCATTTTCAGCTGTCAAATTCTAGCTGTCAGGCATGTCTGAGGCACTCAATAAGCCTTTTCTATTTGGTGACTGTAGCTGAGAACAGCTTAAAACTATAAAATCAGATCCCGAAACTTACTTTATTCTTTTCCCTGAAACCCTTGCCACCTTGCAGAGTTATTAATAAAGAACAGTACATTCCAGTCTCTTCTTAGCCAGGGATGGCCCCAGCTGCCTGACACACATATAATGACTACTAAGCCTTACATTTGCAAAGCTTGGCTTTCTTATGATAATGGACTCAGCACAGTTCTTCTCAGTCTTCACTTTCTTTATTCATTTACTATAGCTGAAAAGTAAAGACTCCTCCATTTAAGCCCAAAAATGACAACCTGTTTTTAGTTGACATATACAACATGCATTTTCCAATCAACTAAACAATGTCTAATTGGGGAGTGGGCTGGGAAAAACAGCATAATCACCGTCTAACTATAGCAGCAAAAGATTGGATTCATGTAGCAATAGCTTAGATATGTCGCACAGAATTCCAAAGATCCTAATTTGGTACTTAAATTTACTGTGTTGCTCTTCTTCTAAATACCTACATAACTGAACAGCCGAGCTCAGAGGGCATGCAATCAAGGGCATAGCAAACAACTTCAAAGCCTTGGCACCACTTAGGTTAATAATATATAATTGCTACAATTTTTTTTTTAGCACAGTAGTTTTAATTAAATGCGCTACAGTCTCTACCTACCTACTTATTTTCAACCATAGGCAGCCATTTCGCACTCCGAATTGAGGCATCTAGATTGTGCCCTTTTTCAAAAAGCATGCATCTCCTCAATAACGTTTCTCATAATGCTGGCTTAGAGTGGAGAGACAGCCACTTTCTAAGTCCAGCTTTGGAGACAGGATTCAAAGACAGAGTAAGCTATAGCTTTAAAGAGCTACATATGGTGCTTATCATGGTTTTGCAAATCAGGTGCTATAACTTCCCATACTGTAACTCACAAGAGGCAGAGAACATGGGAAAGGAAAGGGAGGGGAGAAAAAAAGACCACTTTTATTCTGACTGTTAAAATATACAAGCATCTCAAAAACATTTTCTTTCTAACTCTAAAAGATAAAGAGAAAAGTGAGAGATGAATATGTTCAATTCAACAATATCATTACATAGAAGGCATTTGTCTAGAATATTTTTAATGATTTTCATAATGAAACTAGTAAGAATGATTCCATGTGAACAATGATTATTACATATTTTATGACTCTTCATTATTTTTCAGGGCTGTTTTTCATTAGCCCTATTTGAGATTAAACTTACAGATATGGCAGTAAGCACCAGAAAAACTGAAAACAGAACATTTAAAAATGGTTGACCCTGTAATTCAAGACTAGAGGTAGGGAAGGAGGGAATGGTTGCTTTTCATTAAAAACTTATTTATCTATTTTGTTTTTAAATTATGTGCATATATTACTTTGATCATAGTTTTTTGTTTAAGTTACATAATTGAATCTGGAAAAAGAGTCGTATGGTAGAATTTCTGGAATGAATATTTTTTCTACGACCTTCATCTCTTTTCTTTTTTCTTTTTTTCTTTTTTTTTTTTTTTTGAGACAGTCTTGCTCTGTGGCCCAGGATGGAGTGGAGTAGTACAGTCTCAGCTCACTGCAGCCTCTGCCTCCTGGGTTCAAGCAAATGTCATGCCTCAGCCCCACAGTAGCTGGAACTATAGGTGTCTGCCACCACACCCAGCTAATTTTTGTATTTTTAGTAGAGATGGGGTTTTACTATGTTGGCCAGGCTGGTCTCGAACTCCTGGCCTCAAGTGATCCTCCCACCTCGGTCTCCCAAAGTACTGGGATTACAGGTGTGAACCACCATGCCTGGCTGCATAATTTTTTTCAAGGGGGACATAGATTTGCGTCCTTTGTCAGTATTTTTACTGAATATACTAATATGTTTCAAATGTTAATGACCCATCAATAGTTTCCATCAGCTCAACAAAGCATGCCCTCCATGCTAGCAGTATGTGAAGGGATTTACTAGGTGCTACGGACCCAACCAGATCCTAAGTAATCCCCTCCCAGCTGTAAACCAACAGGTACTAAGAGAAATATGGGCCAGCCACAGAAGTGGTTCAGAGGAGAGAGTGATCAGTTTGGATGGAAGTCAAAATAACTTCAAGAGAAATGGCTGAACTAATGAATGCATGGTGTGGAGATGGTAGGAAAGAACGGTATGAAGGCAGGAGACTGGGTAGGTCTCTCTCTTGCAGAATAAGTACACTGGGCACACCCGTAGGACAGGCAGTGACAGTAACAGAGCACTGCTCCATGTCAGCAGGGGAGGAGTTTCCTCGGATAACAAGAACTCAGGTGTGGCGGTGAAGGCCACTGGCCTTGGTAGTGAGGAGCGTCTAATAAAGGCATCCAAGGCCTCCATGAGTGTGGAGGAATGAGCCAGAGCTATGCATGGGAGTTGCAAGGAACAAGAGAGGGCAAGATCCAGCCAGGTGGCCAGACCCCTGAAGAGGAAGGGCTTCTGTACAAGGAATAAAAAGAAGGTGTCTAGAATCAGCAACATGGAACTAGGCAGGGCCATTACCTCCTCCCAGCCTTGGGAAAGCACAGAGCTTCCTTTAGAAAAGGCTACCAGAGATGTGTTCTCCTTTGCGCAGGGAGAACAAGATGGTGGAAACATAAAGTTTTGAAGGAACAGTCTGTGAAGAGGGTCAAGAGATGGGGGCATTTAACTTACAACAGAACCAGTTCTCCACAGGGCCCAGTGCAAAAGGACAGGAAAGGGACCAGGCAGACAGCCTATCACTGCCCGTCTCCTGGGGCCTGCAGAAACCCAGGTGAAGAGCTTTGATTTTGCAGGGATGGGGGCTCAGGCAGGCCTGTCCTGGGGGAGCTCAGCAGGTGTCATCTAGACATGGGCTCCTTTCCTTCCTCATCCTAGATGCAGCTGGTCACTGCGGAGGAGAGGAGTAACTGAGGGCTGGGCACAGGGCCCACACCCCACAACTCACCTTACATGGCTCACACTACAAATTCCTGTAAATAGCTTCAATTTCAGTGGTCAGCTGCTTTTCTAGCTTCCCACAACAAAACCCCACAACCTTCTTAATTAACATGTTGTGGTTTTTTTCCTCCACTGTGGAAGCAAAACTCAAACTTTTGCTAGTGCCCACTGCAGCGAATGGCATGGAGGAGGGAAAAGTAGACACTTTAGGGAGAAGCATCCATTCACATGCTCCACTCACCTACACCCTCACTACCCGCTTACTCTCTCCTGCCTTTGGCCTCTCTCCAGCTACACTTGTTTCTAAAGTATAAGCGTGGCTCTTCAAAAACAAACGGTTTCACGCTTTTCTGGTAAAAACAGCACTAACTTCTTGGGGTTGAGTGGGAGAGGTGTGAGCTAAGAATAACGGTGAGTTATTTTTCCCCTGCTCTGGGCCAGGTATCAGGGCCTGGATTACACCAGAAGTACCTGCAAAGTCAAGAAACATGATAAATGTGAATCTGCAGCAATCTAAAAGAGATAGAAAGGAAAGAAGCTACAGACCAGTTAGGAAGAAACGACATGTCATGGAACAAACAGATAAAGCAAATGAATGATTAACCCATGGTAAATAAATACTAAATAACCATCAGAAATTCTTTTTCTTTCTTTTTTTTTTTGAGACTGAGTCTCGCTCTGTCACCCAGGCTGGAATGCAGTGGTGCAATCTTGGCTCACTGCAACCGCTGCCTCCCGGGGTCAAGTGATTCTCCTGCCTCAGCCTCCTGAGTAGCTGGGATTACAGGCGCTTCACACCACACCCGGCTAATTTTTGTATTCTTAGTAGAGACAGGGTTTCACTGTATTGGTCAGGCTGGTCTTGAACTCCTGCCCTCATGATCTGCCTGCCTTGGCCTCCCAAAGTGCTGGGATTACAGGCGTGAGCCACCACACTCGGCCGGATTTTTTTTTAAAGCCCCCTAAGGCCATTGATATTCTCTCTGTAGCATCAACTCTATTGCATTGGATTCCACTGTTTCCACACGGCATTGTAGAAAAGTCTATGGACTCCCATTTTCTAACAGCAGCAGCAGCTGCTCCTATGACTCACTACTTAGACTGAGTATTCACACAAGATATGCTGTTTTCAAATCTACTTGAGTAGAGGAATAGGAACGGGGATCACCCAGGCCAGAAGCTGTTGCCGCCTCTTCTCTCCACCTCCCAGCACAGAATTCTGAAAGGAGGTGAAAGCTCTCTGGTAGGCTTGGTATGCTGTCAGCAGGGCATTATGTGTGAACCTTCAGGGACAGCAAATGTGGCTTTGTCCCTGTCACCCAATCACTCACTCGTCCTTCCATAAAATGCATGGAGCACTGAGCCCCCACTCTATGCTTGGCCCTGCCCTGAGAACTGCTGTCACAGGGGTGAGGAGCTTGCAGATAGATATTGTCCCCATGTGTGCTTTCAGGGGATGGGCTTTCCAGGGAGAGGGAACAGCATGTGCAGATGATGAGGTGTGGCCTCAAGGGCTACAGAAAACAAAGCTCAAGAAGTGGAAAGCAGCAGCTATGGGTAGGGTTAAGGGTGTGAGTTTCTCCTGGACCAGGCCTGCACCCTCATCGACCCTCTCCACTCATGGTCCATTCTGGCTGCCGGGTGCAACCTTGGTTTGGGGCAGATCCCTGCCCAATATTCTTGTTGTGTTGTGGCCCAGCTGTGGCAGCTTGGGGTGTTACAGAGAAACTGTCCTGCCATGAGCCATACATTTGGCCAACCTGTGATACAATGCATTGTTTTGTGCAGAATTATCTAATGATGTGGGCCCAAGTCTTGTCCTCCTTGATTATTAACAGAAGGTGGTACTATGTGCTGGGATAGCTGGTGTGTTAACAATTCCCTTAGCTTAGGCAGAATTTCTCAGTAGGTAGAAACAAACAAACAAAAAATAAAACCTTTCTACACAGAGAAATGAGAACATGCCATTAGAGCTCAGCACTAATTCTAGTAAAAGTAAAGCTCTCGTCAGGTTTTACCCCGTTATGGAAGAAGATACAAGCCTAGAATGTCAGATCCTTGAACATGTCCAACCATGTGATCTGGTGCATCTCGGGTTTATAATAAACCAATTTGGGAAAGAAAAATCACCATGTACAGATTAAGATGAGCCGATGTCTGATACTGCAAGAAAGAGCTAATCTCTATATGCAGAAACTAAATCCATAAAGACACAAGTGGAAAAAATACAATAAGCTTAATACTATTAAGGGCAAAAGGAAAAAAAACTCAGGGTTTTCATACAGAGCTCTAGAGTCTCTACAGAAGGTCAGATGAAGACCGGAGGAAGCTGTGTGAAAGGTTAAAGACCTAGCAGCTCCCCTTGGAGAAGAGAACACAGTTGGTAACTGGGACACAGGAGACAGAGACCATGTGGATGAGCAGCAAGAGAAGCCAGGAGGAAACCGACAGATGCTGCCGGGTTGTGTGCATCTCAACACCCAGAAGAAAGAGAAAAATAAACTCTATGCCAACATTTCTAAAAAAGAGGACACAAAAACTGACCTGACAGATCATCTTAACAAGCTTTGGATTGAGGGAACCTCAACTGAAAGTACAGTTCAAAATCTTCAGGACAGAGGAAAGGAAATGAATGAACGTTGTCAGAAAGAAATGGAGCTTCTCAGGATATTACCTGTCAAGGCAGATCATGACTTGGAACAAGAAGAGGAAAGTTCTGAAGCAAAAGACAAGATAAGCCATGAGGATGAAGAGCTGAAGACCTTCGAAAGTAATTCAAAGACCTTGAAGAAAGGGTGGAAGGAACAATTTCTTCTTATCATCTTAGATTCTGTTCCTTGAACTAACAGCACATGATTCCCGGGGGAGAGTGTGGGAGGCTAGACAAAACCTTTTCATCTCAAGGGTGGAGGCTGCAGACCTAAGACAATTCAAACAGCCATTCAACTCGAGTTTCTAGAAGTGATGATCCACCTGATGTTCCAAGTGGCACAGGTGTCAGGGAGCAAATGGCCCCTGGGAAATGGTTCACATCTTCAAAGACAGGAGGGTCTCCCACCCTTCCCCTCAGACTTGCTTCTCGGCTGCAAAGCTTTTTCCTTCTTCCTCCATTGCCAAACCCAGTGTTTCCAGTGGATCCAAATGGGGAATTTATGGCCAGAGGGCTCAGATAGCATGGAAACCCCTCTCCTTCGGAAAGTGTGAATAACCGCTGTCCCCCAACACCAATCCCCCACTCCCCTGCCATGAGGTGGCTTCCCATCAAGGGGCTCCTGTGCTTATCCTTCCTTATGAGCTAGATTTTCCCTGGACAACCCCATGTAGAAAACGGAAGTGAGTTGCCTTCTGGGGTCACTGAGCCTCCACATGACCCCACTGGTTAAAATCATTAAATCTGGCCAGGCACGGTGGCTCACGCCTGTAATCCCAGCACTTTGGGAGGCTGAAGCAGGTGGATCACCTGAGATCAGGAGTTCAAGACCAGCCTGGCCAACATGGTGAAACCCTATCTCTACTAAAAATACAAAAATAAGCCAGGCATGGTGGCGGATGCCTGTAATCCCAGCTACTTGGTAGACTGAAGCAGAAGAATTGCTTGAACCCAGGAGGAGGAGGTTGCAGTGAGCCAAGATCACGCCATTGCACTCTAGCCTGGGAGACAGAGCGAGACTCCATCTCAAAAACAAAAACAAAAATCCTTAAATCCTCTGGAGGGGGTCTTTGCTTATTCTTTCTTCTGAAGTTGTTTCTGAATTATTTAAATTCAGTAACAAAAAAAAATCCCTTTTAAATGTGTTTTGGCCAGACGTGGTGTCTCACGCCTGTAATCCCAGCATTTTGGGAGGCCAAGGCGAAGGATGGCTTGAGCTCAGGAGTTTGAGACCAGCCTGGGGAACATGGCAGAATCCCATATCTACAAAAAATAAAAAAATTAGCTGGGCGCACACCTGTAGTCCCAGCTACTTGGGAGGCTGAAGTGGGAGGATCGCCTGAGCCCAGGAAAGTCAAGGCTGAGTGAGCCAAGATTGTGCCTGGACTCCAGCCTGGACGACAAGGTGAGACTGTCTTAAAAAAATAAAAATAAATAAGTACATAAAATGGTTCATTTCTAAAATAAAAAAGTAAAAAAAAGGGTTTTTACTTTGGCTCAAATTACAACTTCATATAAATTTTAGACTAATAAAGAGAATATTTAAGTTATTTTCATTGGCCAGGCACGATGGCTCATGCCTCTAATCCCAGTACCTTGAGAGGCCAAAGGGCGTGGATCACTTGAGCTCCGGAGCTTGAGACCAGTCTGGCCAACATGGTTAAACCCCATCTCTACTAAAAATACAAAAAATTAGACAGGCGTGGTGGCACATGCCTGTAGCCCCAGCTACTCAAGAGGCTGAGGCAGGAGAATTGCTTGAACCTGGGAGGCGAAGGTTGCAGTGAGCTGAGATTGCGCCGCTGCACTCCAGCCTGGGCAGCGGAGTGAGACTCGGTCTCCAAAGGAAAAAAAAATTATTTTGATTATACTATATTTTATAGAAAATGTAAGATCCAAACTTTAATCCAATGAGCCAGACAGATTTCCTGAACAACATATTATCCATGATCAGTTCGGATATGAGGACATTTGAAATAGCAAAATGCTTTTCTTCCCACCGATGATTCTACATAGCACAACAGCAGGAGAAAAGTGAAAGTTGGTCTCTGTGATATTATGATTTTGTGTGTGTGTAGGCATTCATCCATGGTTCCTGGCTCATAACTTCCAATAGCCCTTGGTGCAGTCATTTGTTATAGCCTTGGGGCACTTCAGGCATCAGGAGCAGACCCTAGAAAACAGAATCTCTCTCTCTGAACTTCTCCTGTTTTTCTTCTACTTGCCCAGGCAGGACTCTAACCTGATTGTGGGTCAAAAAACTCTCATTCCTGAGAGGGTCTTGCCCCGTACCTTCAAGGAAAGAATGCTGTACAGAGAGGCCAAGAAGAATTTAAACAGACAAGCCTTGCTGGATTCCTCCACTCAGTCTGTTAGTCTGAGATCATACCCTTTTTGTTCAATCACATTTCTACATGGTTGTCAATCATGCCTATGTAATGAAGCCTCCACAGAAACCCAAGAGAGTGTGGGGAGCTTCTGGACAGCTGAACATGTAGAGGTTCCTGGAGCGTGGTGCCCAGGGAAGGCATGGAAGCTCTGCGTGCCTTACTCCATACCTCGCCCTTGGCATCTCTTCATCTGTATCCTTTGTAATATCCTTTATAATAAACCAGTAAGCGTGTTTCCCTAAGTTCTGTGAGCCACTCCAGCAAATTAATTGAACCAAAAAAGGAAAGTCATAAGAACCCCAAGTTGAATCTGGTTGGTCAGAGGTTCTGGAGGCCTGGACTTCCTGGTGTCTGCTGCTTGTTGGTGGGGAAAAACTCTCACACATTTGGTCACGGAAGTCTTCTGTGTTGATTGTTGTAGTGTGAGAGTAGAGGAAAAACAGTTTGAGAGTTTTTCCTAAACAGCCTCCATAAACTTTAGTGGATTTTTAAAATCTACTCAAATAAGAATGGTGGGTGCGGTGGCTCACGCCTGTAATCCCAGCACTTTGGGAGGCCGAGGCGGGCGGATCACGAGGTCAGGAGATCGAGGCCATCCTGGCTAATGCGGTGAAACCCCGTCTCTACTAAAAATACAGAAAAATTAGCTGGGTGTGGTGGCGGGCGCCTGTAGTCCCAGCTACTCCGGAGGCTGAGGCAGGAGAATGGCCTTGAACCTGGGTGGAGCTTGCAGTGAGCCGAGATCGCGCCACTTCACTCCAGCCTGGGCGACAGAGCAAGACTCCATCTCAAAAAAAAAAAAAAAAAAAAGAATGGTGGTGACCAGAGACTGGGAAGCGGGAAGAGGGGAGAGGTTGGTCAATGGGTACAAAGTTACAATTAGGTACGGGGAATAAATTCTGGTGTTCTACTGCACAGCAGGGTGATTACAGTTAACAGTAAAATACTGCATGCATACTACCAAATAGCTAGAAGAGAGGCTTTTGAATGTTCTCACCACAAAGAAACAATAAATACATAAGGTGCTGGGCGCACTAACTACCCTGGCTAGATCATTATACAACACAGGTATGTACTGAAACATCAAATTGTACCCAATAAATATGTATAACTACAATGCATCAATTTAAAAATATACAAAATTTAAAAAATCTACTCAAACAATGTAGGAATCCAAAAGGATTTATATTCCACTATGACATGTAGACGTCTCAGTGACTAATGCTCTCCATACTTCCTTTTTTTGAGTCGGAGTCTTACTCCATCACCCAGGCTAGAGTGTGAAGTGGCATGATCTCGGCTCACTACAACCTCTGCCTCCTGGGATCAAGCGATTCTCCTGCCTCAGCCTCCCGAGTAGCTGGGATTACAGGCATGCGCCACCACACCCAGCTAATTTTTGTATTTTTAGTAGAGACGGGGTTTCACCATGTTGGCCCGGCTGGTCTCAAACTCCTGACCTCAAGTGATCCGCCCGCCTAGCCTCCCGAAGTGCTGGGATTACAGGCGTGAGCTACCGCGCCTGGCCTGCTCTCCTACACCTTATTGCATGCATTGAAAAGCATTTCCCTTGGCCGGGCACGGTGGCTCACGCCTGTAATCCCAGCACTTTGTGAGGCCGAGACGGGCGGATCACGACGTCAGGAGATGCAGACCATCCTGGCTAACATGGTGAAACCCCGTCTCTACTAAAAATACAAAAAATTAGCCGGGTGTGGCGGCAGGCGCCTGTAGTCCCAGCTACTCGGGAGGCTGAGGCAGGAGAATGGCGTGAACCCGGGAGGTGGAGCTTGCAGTGAGCCGAGATTGCATCACTGCACTCCAGCCTGGGCGACAGAGCGAGAATCCGCCTCAAAAAAAAAAAAAGAAAAAAGAAAAAAGGATTTCCCTTTAAAGGAAATGTCAAAATAGAGGTATACCTCCTGGATTGATGAACAAGTCTTGGGTAGGGCTGTCAGTGTGAAGACATATTCCGGTACCAGAGGCATTTTTACATGTTCAACAATTTTGTATATGCAAAATGTCAATATTTAATTTTCTTTTTTAATTTAGGAAGGCGTTTGGTCATAACAACAAGAACATTTGCTATGAGATGTGTCAATCTACCATATGGGATTCCTCAAACGAACAAAAAGCAAGTTTTCTTCTTGTCACTTTCTGGGGCAAAGACTTACCTAGGTAAATCACCTTTGCTTATTGTAAAACTGTGTCCAGTTTCAAGAGACACTTTGGGGACAGCCTGGGATGGACAAAGGGCAGGACCAACTGAAACATATAAACAGTCCTGCTGTTTAATAAACTGAGGTGGGTTCAATCACACCATCATTTGCCCTGCTGAGTCTTTCATGATACTTTGAAAACTTCTTGAAAATGAAGACTTTCAGGGTTTAATGGGAAAAGTCCCTGTGGGCCTGAGCCTAAATGGGAATAATGGGGCTGGCAGGTGGGCCTGCATCTCCTGCAAGGCAGCTGTGAGCTTGGCAGGCTGTCACTGCAATCACATGATGAACCAGATCTGCCCCTGCCCTGAGCTGTAACTGGATATCTCCTCATACGCTTCAGAGACCAGGCTGATCTTGGGATCCCCTGAATGGGTCACAAAAGAAGTTTGTGTTGCTGACTTCTCACTGGCGTTGAAAAGCTCCTTTATGAAATGTCTACAAAATGTCACACACTAAGAGTTTCAAGAGAATTGTTCTTGGTTGGGTACCTAAACATAAAACCAAGAGACTCTGTTTGCTCTTAGCCATCTAAGAAGTTAGTTAATTTACAAAGCAGTTACTTGATTTTAACCAACAGTCTGTAAATAAATTCAATAAATATCCTAGCTATAATAAAAGACATACTTATATTCAATATGATTTTTTAATGTCAATCATTTTGAGTGATTAGAATGGATAACTTATGTTTGGTCTTTAAAATTTTTTAATTATAAAAACATTATAGGGCCGGGCGTGGTAGTTCACGCCTGTAATCCCAGCACTTTGGGAGGCCGAGGCGGGTGGATAACCTGAGGTCAGGAGTTCGAGACCAGCCTGGCCAACATGCTGAAACCCCCGTCTCTACTAAAAATACAAAAACTTAGCCAGGCGTGGTTGCGGTTACCTGTAATCTCTGCTACTTGGGAGGCTGAGGCAGGAGAATTGCTTGAACCCAGGAGGTGGAGGCTGCAGTGAGCCGAGATTGCGCCACTGCACTCCAGCCTAGGCAACAAGAGCAAAACTCCATCTCAAAAAAACAAAACAAAACAAAACAAAACAAAATTACAGAAGCATTATAAACACTGGATAGTAAAGGGAAAAAGAGCCATTCTTCATCACAACATTTACTTATCTAAACATCTTATCCCAAGCTGTTACTTAATCTATAAATCTTAAAATGTGTATATTTAGGTTGGTGCAAAAGTAATCGCAGTTTTTGCCATACTTTTAATGTCAAAACTGCAATAACTTTGCACCAACCTAATATTTGCTTAATTATATTCATGTCATATATACAAACTCTATATTCTAATTTTTCATTTATTCTCTATATAACTAGTTTCCACAATATTTCCCAATACTGCAGTCCTTGAATTAGTAAAACTTTATAGTTTATTATTTTTCTAGAGTTTTAGTAATTTATTTTAATGAGCTGTATATCAACTCTCAATTTTAAGTGTTTAAAAGTTAAAGCTAACTTTTATTTCAAAGATTCTCCAGAGGAATAGATTAATGCATATAAAATAGTTAAGAAGGGCAAAAATATGTTAGAACTCTACCCATATAAGAGGTTTACAAATACAACTGCTATTGGTACTCTAAAGGGTGTCATTTCTTCCCAAAAGTGTTGGACACTGACAATCTACATACATCAAGTGATGATAAAAAGTGGTAAATGAATATTGGCACCACTCGGTGCTTTACCTGAATTATCATATTTAAGCTGCACAATACCTTAGGCCTCAGTACTATTATTACTTCCATTTTACAGATAAGAAAAGTGAGGCTCAAAGACGGTAACTTGAATGAAGTCACAGAGCTGGGATGGGAATCCAGACATCCTGATCTAAAGTCACTATTTAGTCAGTATGCTATGAACTCTACTGGTCCCCCAAATAATGAGTAACCACCAAAAACCCAGTCCATTACTACAGATCATCAATTTATTTTTGATAAGATTTTTCCTTGCAAATGACTGTTATTACGCAGGTGAAATTCTGATAGCCTTTGCTATCCCAGTGATGTTAGTCTGTGTACATATCATAAAATATCCACAAATGGCTTACTGTAATGCATCAATGATCTGTAATAGTCCATGCAAGTACTTTGATAGATTCCAGCCCAGTCATATGTTCACACACCATTGTGTGTACTCTAGAAAATTACTATCTATAATATCAAGAGCTCAATGCCATTGAATTTCAACTACAGTAAGGTGTGGCCCTGACACTTTCCAGTTGACTTCGCAAAATATACTGTGCATGTTCTCTTGGGTTATGCGCATTTAAAAATGTTGACAGCAGTGTGTTGCTTTACAGCAGCTCCCTTCTCCTCCCTCCCCCTACTCCTGATCCGGTTGTGTTTTTGAGAGGGACCCTAGCAAAGTGAAGAGTGTGCAGATAAAGGAAGGCTGGTGAGACGCCTGGAACACATCATCCGCTCATTCATTCACACATCAGTACATTTTCGAGGTACATCTAGGGTCTGCCAGGAGCCAGGGAGGCAAGAAGAGAATAAAATAGTTCCTACTGCAAAGTCCACAGTTCTGTGGAGGAGTCAGATAAAATAATGGCAGTATAATAAAATACGTGGATTCATAAAGGTAATGGGAGGTGCTGCCAGAACACAGGGGATGGAGGAGAAACTGAGGACCTGAGATTCTTATACCTACACCCTATGAGATCTGGGCTCTCAAGGTCAGTGATGGAGTCACTGAGAACCCCTGTATTAGTCAATTTTCATACTGCTACGAAGAAATACTTGAGACTGGGTAATTTATAAAGAAAAAGAGGTTTGGCTGGGTGTGGTGGCTCACGCCTGTAATACCAGCACTTTCGGAGGCCGATGGGAGGGGCGGATCACTTGAGGTCAGGAGTTTGAGAGCAGCCTGGCCAAACAGTGAAACCCTGTCTTTACTAAAAATACAAAAATTAGTCAGGCGGGGTGGCATGCGTCTGTAATCCCAGCTGCTGGGGAGGCTGAGTCAGGAGAATCACTTGAACCCAGGAGGCGGAGGTTGCAGTGAGCTGAGATTGCTCCACTACGCTCCAGCCTGGGTAACAGAGTAAGACTCTGTCTCAAAAAAAGAAAAAGAGGTTTAACGGACTCACAGTTCTACATGGCTGGGGAGGCTTCACAATCATGGCGGTAGGCGAAGGAGGAGAAAAGGAACGTCTTACATGGCAGCAGGCTAGAGAGTGTGTGCAGGGGAACTGCCCTTTATAAAATCATCAGATCTCATGAGACTTTTCCACTATCACAACAACAGCATGGAAAAACCTGCCCCCATGATTCAATTACCTTCCCCAGGTCCCTCCCATGACACATGGAGATTATGGGAGCTACAATTCAAGATGAGATTTGGGTGCGCACACAGCTAAACCATATCAACCCATTATGGATGGAGATACTCCAATCAACGGCCATCTTGGTCTGGAGACAACCACTGAGTTTTATTCCCCTATGAGATCTCCAGTTACCTCAAATCAAACAATCTTACATTATGGGGAGGGAAGCTGTTGAACATGGATTTGGGTAGATAATTAATTTTCACTTACAGTTGGTAACTACTTTTGAGGTAGAAGGGATAAATTCATTGTCTATTTAGTAACTAATTCTATCCAAGAGTAATTAATATGAATATTTTAAATAAATCGCCATGAACTTGCTTCCCCCCAACTTAGTGCTCCTAAAAGTGTGGCTCATGGATCAGTACTGGTTTGCCAATTGTTTATTACCAGTCCCCAAAGAAATACAGAGAAATTGACAGTAAGCATTTAGAAAATGTATGTGTTTATTGGATCTCATTATTAAAATGGGGGCTTTGTATGTGTTTTGTATGTTTTTCTTTTTTAATATTAATTCATTGTATTGTACTTTATAAAAGCATCAGTTCATGACGAATTCGGAACAAAATTAGGCCTTCACCATAGATAGTCTGAGAGGCACAGCTCCAAATAATTCAGAGTATGTAAGTATGCAGAGGTGCATTTTTCCCCCTTAAAAAGAACAAAGGACAGGGTGAGGAAGCTCACACTTGTGATCCTAACACTTCGGAAGGCCAAGGCTGGAGGATCACTTGAGCCCAAGGGTTCAAGACCAGCCTGGGCAACATAGCAAGACCTCATCTCTATTAAAAATAAAAAATTAAAAAGAAAATAGCCAGGCATGGTGGTGCTCACCAATAGTCCCAGCTGTTCAGGAGGCTGAGGTGGGAGGATCACGTGAGACTGAAAGATTGAGGCTGCAGTGAGGTAGAATCACCAATAACTTCAGCCTGGGTGACATAGCAAGACCCTGTCTCAAAAAAAAGAAAAAAAAATGTAAATTAACAGTAAAGTTTTTC
Source organism: Homo sapiens (assembly GCF_000001405.40). Taxonomy (NCBI): domain Eukaryota; kingdom Metazoa; phylum Chordata; class Mammalia; order Primates; family Hominidae; genus Homo; species Homo sapiens. The sequence continues at coordinate 63,878,983 of NC_000012.12, read as the reverse complement.
AAAAATCATTTAGCCTTCAGAATATGATTCTCATTCAAGATTGAAAGAACTACTGTTCATTGGGTTTATCTGTTTCAGGCACTGAGGTTGGCCTTCAAATGCATGGGCTCACTCAATTCTCAGCAACCCAACAAGGTGAGAATTAGCACTGTGTTATAGATGAGAAGACTGATCCCTAGAAAAGCTACATCACCAGCCAAGGACTTTGCAGCTAGGAGGTGGACTGTGAAACAGACTATCCAACTGTAAAGCCAGGACTCTCCAATGTAACTCAAAATCTACTCAATTATGAATAAAAAGGTGTAATGGTTTAATCTCACAGACAAACAAGGCATTCCCTATCATCCCTACCGTGTTCTAGAGATGTAGTCAAATTGACTAGAAAAATCAATTCCCACACAGCTTCAGAAATCAAAAGCTGACAGTTTATCAGATATACATACTCTACACACACACAAACACAAACATGCACACGCACACGAATAGAGGAATGAAGTAATGAACAATTACAACTTTGGTGGCAAGAATTTATCTCTGATTTTAAAAAGATGCGAACATACTCTCAATTATCTTCCACAGGGATTAGAAAACTATGATCTATTTTTACAAAGAGAACTTTATTAGAATACAGCCATGCCCATTCATTTCCATATTGTCTACCACTAGTCTTGGCTACAATGGTACAATAGAGAAGTTGTGACAGAAATTGAAGAGCCCACAAAGCCTCAAATATTTGCTCCCTGGCTCTTCACAGAAAAAGTTTGCTGACTCTTGCTTTATACCAATAAAGCAGGCAGCAGTACAGATAATGATATCCATAAACAAATGCCCAATCGCATTTCAGGCATTAGGATCAAGAATCTGATATAGCAACTCTTCTCTAATGTTGTTATTAGATAAAGAGAGCCTGACTTGCATTCTTGATATTTTTCCTTTGTCAGCTTTTTAAAGGAGGGTATACTGTCCAGCTAATTCTCCCAAATGTAGATGGCAGAAAGGCAAAAGTGTTTTAAGTAACCCACAGCATAGAGGCTCTATCATCAACTATGTAACAGCAGTGTGTGCAATCATCATTGGCTCCAGGTAAACATTCTAGGCACTTTCCACATATTTGTGAGGATTTCAGTAATCTGTCCAACAACCTTACGAAGGTGGGGCCACTAAGGCCTGGCAAGATTCAGTAACCTGACTAGAAAGATGGTATCTAAGCTGAGTGCTGGATCTAGAATTTGGTCTCAACACTCTCTGACCCTGAAACCTCTCTAGTGTTGCCAGTAGACACCACCACACATCTAAATTAGCCTCAAGACATAAAGTTTTATACCCAAATTTTATAAAATGATAATTTAATATTTTTGGCAATCAAGATGAAGTAACCAGATAGTTGTAACACTGTAGCATTACTATAACATTTGAAAACAATGTTCCACCTACCCAACAACTTTATTTGCTTGAATGAGTCCATGTTGAGGTTTTAACAAAAGACAGAAAGAAAATGTGACTAAGACACATCTTAATTACAGGCTTTTTTTTGGTTCTAATGTGAATTGTATTTTCCTATTAGATTATATTTTCCAGAAGAACAACGTGCATTTAAATTTTCCCAAAGGGAAAAAATACCTTTTCATGGGTTTATGTTTGCAAAGAAGAAAGCATTGGCAGAGAATCAATTTTCCCCAAAATACATACACACACAAAATAAATACAGACTACACAATTAAAGAAGCATTCCCATCCATTATTTTCTCTTTCTTTTTTTGAGATGGAGTTTCACTCTTGTTGCCCAAGCTGGAGTGTAATGGCGCAATCTCGGCTCACTGAAACCTTGCCTCCCAGGTTCAAGCCATTCTGCTGCTTCAGTCTCCCAAGTAGCTAAGATTACAGGCGCATGCCACCATGCTCAGCTAATTTTTTGTATTTTTAGTAGAAACGTGGTTTTGCCATGTTAGCCAGGCTAGTCTTAAACTCCTGACCTCAGATGATCTGCCTGCCTCAGCCTCCAAAAGTGCTGGGATTACAGGCATGAGCCACAGCACCTGGCCCACCATTTTCAACTTCAATATTATTGCAGCTTTAAGAGGAGAAGAAGTTCAAGTCCAAAGCCTGGTTCATATTTTTTAAAAGGTTCATTAATAATTTCCAAGAAGATAAGGATGCAGTCAACCAAAATGATATAAACTATATTGAGAAAATAGTTAAATACTACATGATCCTAAAAAGTTAAAATGATCTAGTTGGTGACTGATTTTTGTGCAAACAATAAATTATCTAAATCACATGCTTATCTTAGAAGTCAACATGAGCGTACATCATTCTGTTTGTCACAGTATTTTAGCCACAAACAATGCTTCTCCCACAAGATATAGACTAATGTTAAATGGTAGAAACATCTTGAATTTTGTAGTATTTAAATATAGTTATTCTCCATCAGAGGGTTGTATGCTTTTTGGAATTTGAGTTCCATAAACACTGTAATTTCACAGTTAAACATATTTCCATTGTCATAAATATTCAAATTACATAATAAAGATAGTATAAGCAGCTGATAAAATGCGATTAACATTCATTTACAGTAGCTTAGCAGGCTTAACCAAATGATACTTCCCATAACAGGCTACAAGGTTCTGATTGCATTAAGCTCCCTGATTATTCCTTTCTATCCTATGATATTTCAATACTATATCTGAGATTCCAAATATCACCATCAAGCGGATTGTAAGGTCTTTTGAAGTTCAAGAGTTCTAGGTTTCATGATATTAAAATTTTCTCCAAGCGTGTTTTCTGAGTTTGTACTTCTTAATTTCTTGTTTCCAAAAATGGTAGCTACTTACCATTTCTTCAATCTTTTCAGTTTAACTCTAGAAAACTAAGATCTCTGACAAAAAAGTCTTCAAACTTTTTATGTTGGTTTCATGTAAATAAACACACTTTTTTTAAAAAATGCATTACTCTGGATTTCCTCTGCTACATTTAAGTTATATTCAGCAAAGCTGTCACAGAGAGATACAATAAACATGATTGTTATGTTTTAAGTAATAAACACTGCTGTCAGCACATTACTTTCATTAAGTGAATTTTATCATTTGGTTTTATAAACAGCAGCTGGTAATTCTAGCTGAGTTTCCTTATTTCTTAGTGATCAGCCCGTCTTGGCAAGTGACTGCAACTAAGAAACTTTGTATATTGCAGAGACCTCTCTAAACTTGCAATCAACTACAGATTCAAATTACGTTCTTACAAAGAATTACGGATTTTCATATAAACAAATACACTCTTACTGTCCCACCAAAATACCTTCCAAGTTGTTAAAAGTGTCCCTATGCTTGCTTAAAGTTATAATCTTAGAACCAATCAAAAAGGATATCTAAGATAGCTTTTTCATAATCTTATTTACTGAGTTGTGTTGTAAATTTCAAAAACTATATCTTTAAAAAATTTTTAAAGAAATCTCAGTGCCATTTTGTTTATAAAATAAGACAATAAACATATTTCTGGTTCAACAACATACCATTTAACACTGTGCAATTTTGTTTACATACATTTCAGCATTCATAAGAACACAAAAATTCTAAATTGGGAGCAGCTAATATTTTTACAGCTTGATTATTGGCGACCTTCCTGCTAAAAAGCAGAAATAAAATAGGAGAAAATATTTAGAAACCTGATCTTTGAGGGTACAAACAAATATACACACACACACACACACCAAACAATAACTGAGCACTTATTATGTGCCAGGTATTAGAGCCAGCTTGTATTTGACGGATATGGTCTTTAAGGACTGCTCATGACTGTAATATCCAACACTTTGGGAGGTGGAGGAAGAGGATCACTTTGAGCTCAGGAGTTCAAGATCAGCCTGGGCAAGGCAGTGAGACCCCATCTCTACAAAACTAAAAAGTTAGCTAGGTGCAGTGGCAGATGCCTGTAGTCCTAGCTACTCAGGAGGCTGAGGTGGGAGGGCCCTTGGAGCCCAGGAGGCTGAGGCTGCAGTGAACTATGATCATGCAACTGCACTCTAGCCTGAGCAGCAGAGCAAGATCCTATCTCAAAAAAAATTTTTTTATAAGGGACCAAAGACGATAGAGGATAGAGGACAAACATTAAACAAGTAGTTACACAAACAATTAATTACAATTAGAGTGAGTTTTTAAAAATATTTTATATATAATAAAAGTAATTATATCATAGCAACAGTAAAAGCTCATATTTGAGAGTTCACTATAAGGCCAGGCATTCTTCTAGCACTTTATATACTCATTCATTTAATCATCATTGTACTACACATTTGTTATAGGAAATTTGGAAAATAAACACATAAAGAAGGAGCTTTTAAAAAACTGTCCCTCCCTTTTCCTCAGAAATAATAATTGTAATATATTCCGGTATATACTGTATTTTATTAATCATATTTTTCTCTCTTCATGGGATTTCTTAAATAGTTCATTTGTCCTTTAATACTCTTCAAAAGTCACACTTTCGGCCGGGCGTGGTTGCTCACACCTGTAATCCCAGCACTTTGGGAGGTCGAGGCAGGCGGATCACGAGGTCAGGAGATCGAGATCATCCTGGCTAACATGGTGAAACCCTGTTACTATTAAAAATACAAAAAGTTAGCCAGGCATGGTGGCAGGCACCTGTAGTCCCAGCTACTCGGGAGGATGACGCAGGAGAATGGTGTGAACCCAGGAGGCGGAGCTTGCAGCGAGCCGAGATCGTGCCACTGCACTCCAGCCTGGGAGACAGAGGCAGACTCCAGCTCAAAAAAAAAAGAGTCATACTTTCTAATGGTTCCATATTATGCTAACACTTTTACATATAATAATTGATTTGATTATTTATTGGCTCTTGAATATCTATGTGGCTTATAATTTTCTTTCTTTCCTTTCTTTCTCTGTCTCTCCCTTCCTTCTTTCTTCTCTTTCTTTCCTCTCTCTCTCATTTTCTCTTTCTGACAGAGTCTCGCTCAGTCACCCAGGCTGGAGTGCAGTGGTGCAGATCTCAGTTCACTGCAACCTCCACTTCTCAGACTCAATTGATCCTCCCACCTCAGCCTCCTGAGTAGCTGCATGCGACCATAGGCACACACCACCATGCCTGGCTAATTTTTGTATTTTTTGTAGAGACAGAGTTTCGTCACGTTACCAGGTTGGTCTTGAAGATAGCAGGCACCTGTAGTCCCAGCTACTCAGGAGGCTAAGGCAGGAGAATCACTTGAACCCTGGACGCTGAGGTTGCAGCGAACTGAGATTGCACCACTGTACTCCAGCCTGGGCAACAGGGTGAGACTCCATCTCAAAAAAATAAATAAATAAATAAAATAAAATCTAATTTTATATGGCATTCAGCCAAGGCTTATATAACATAATGTCATTTCACTAGTTATGTCATCTCTGGTAAATTCAACTTTCCTCAGTTTTTTTTTCTTTTCTTTTCTTTTTTTTTTTTTTGAGACGGATTTTCACTCTTGATGCCCAGGTTGGAGTGGAATGGCTCAATCTCGGCTCACTGCAACTTCTGCCTCCTGGGTTCAAGCGATTCTCCTGCCTCAGCCTCCTAAGTAGCTGGGATTACAGGCATGCGCCACCATACTCAGCTAATTTTTTTGTATTTGTAGTAGACACGAGATTTCACCATGTCAGTCAGGCTGGTCTTGAGCTCCTGACCTCAGTTGATCCACCCGCCTCGGCCTCCCAAAGTGCTGGGATTACAGGTGTGAGCTACCGCGCCCGGCCAACTTTCCTCAGTTTTCTAATCTAGAAAATGGGACAATGGGATTAGCAGTGTGTACCTCATATATTTCTTGTGAGATTTAAGCAAAATGTAAAATTCACTTACACTGCCAGGCATAAACTCTATGCCCAATAGCTATTAGCTATTATTAGCACTACCTGTCTATTCTTATCTTTTACTACTCTGCTCAAGGCACTTAAAACACTAAGCTCATGATTGTTAAGAAGGAAACATATTAGAATCATTTCAGGAGCCTTTCCTATACCCAGAATGCCCCTCCTTTCCTAGAGAACTCCTCATCCATCAAGGTCTAGCCCAGATGTCTCTCTCATGAGTTTGTATTGTACTCTCCCAGGCAGAATGAATTTCTTCCTCCACAATATTCCCATAAATTAAGATATCTCTAACAGACTCTATGGCAAATCTTTGTTTACTTTTCAACTTTAAAACCAGGATATAAACCACAAAAAGACATGGACTGTATTTCACTATTCATTCAACAAACACTGCCTGAGCGACTACTATAAGACAAAAAAGGGCCCAATAAAAAAACAAATCCCTGTCCTTGATAAATCTATAAAGATATTCAATAGCTGTTTGTTGAATGAATGAACTTATGATACTTAATTCCAGCATGACTGTAAATGAATTTAAACCAGTGACCCAGAATCAAATACTTCAATTATCTTAACAATATAATGGAGTCACAGTACATTTAATTTATTGGAGTTGAACCACATGTCTATGTCTACTTGGAAGGGAAAAAAGGAGAAAGGACAAAATCCTATTTTCCCTAACATCCTTTCCCTCTTTCAACTAGACCGTGGCCACAGGCAAGTGTGGGGTCGTAGCCCATAAGCAAAGAGAAACTTAAATTAATTTCTGGCTTCAGAGCTTTCATGGATGCACTTCTTGGTGACTTGGGGATTTTCAAGGGTAATTTTACAAAATGTTTTCTCCTTATTGTCTGACTTGAGATCCTACCTCTCACGTACGTTGTAGTTCCCATATAACTATTGTTAAATCAATTTCATAAATTGCCAGTAGACCTAGGGTACAAAAACAATCAAACAGGTGCTCTCATGAAACATAACGAAATGTTCCATTTAAAGAAAAACTCCCGGTTAGGTGAGAGCTGTACAAGGCAAGGGTCTCGGACACTGTTTCTTGTGTTCATCATATAAACAGAACAGCCCTGCTGCAAAGATGGTCAACGTACCTAAACCCGAAGAACCTTTGTAAGCATCACCTGACGAAGTGACACAGTATAAGAAGGGCAAGGATTCATCGTATGCCCAGGGAAAGAGGTGCTATGATCAGAAGCAGAGTGGCTATGGTGGGCAGACAAAGCCAATTTTCTGGAAGAAGGCTAAGACCACAAAGAAGGTTGTGCTAAGGCTGGAATGTGTTGAGCCTAACTGCAGATCCAAGAGGATGCTGGCCATTAACAGATGCAAGCATTTTGAACTGGGAGGATATAAGAAAAGAAAGGACCAAGTGATCCAGTTCTAAACTTTGGAATATTTTTCTTTTAATTTTGAAGAGAAAATGTTGAAGCAATAGAAAAATTACCTGTAGGAAAATACAGCGCTATTCTTATGCCAAAAAAAAAAGAAAAAAGAAAAACTCCCAACCTCACACTAACTTGCATGAGCCATAACCTACAAAAAACCTGCACTTTGGTTGTTCTAGAGTCAGGTGTCAAATGTGATGACTGTCCTAAGAGCTGGCGGTAACTGTAGAAAACTGAAATGTGCTAGCGAAGCCCTACGGAGGGTTACATTGCCCTGTGTTCTTTTTCCTTAGTTCAAAAGCACATGCAGATTTGCAGGGAAATTGAACCATTAATCCTCAAGGGCTCATCAGGCTCCCACTTTAGATTTCAATTTACCCAGGTGTGGCATGAAAAGGCGCTTTATAATTTGGGAAGGGAACAAAATATGAAAATGAAGGAAAAATGGCAAAGCAAAAAGCAAGGAGCTACATGCATTTTCTAGAATCTTAGTTTAAATAGCCATGATTTGATGTCCATTGAGAGCAATTGTAAGAAAGGTAAAAGATCTTTGGGAAATTGGGAGGAAAATTAGCATTTAAATTGGCTAACTTAAGGAAGTTATAAAATCGCTTGATTTTTACGGCAGTAGTTCCCAAAGTGTGGTCCTTGACCTACAGCATCAGTCTCACCTGGTAACTCGTTACAAATGCAAATCTGGGGGCCTGAGGTGGGGCCTGTGTCAAGTGGCTCCACCAGAATTCCTAGCACCACTCAAAGAGGACCAACAACAAAGGGTGAACACTTAAATAAAATCAAGAGAAGAGATAGAAGCTGAAGAGATACAACCTCTTTCCCAAGAAAATCAAGCTAGGAAGGCGGGGAGCAGTGGCTCACTCCTATAATCCCTAATCCCAGCACTTTGGGACACATTGGACTCAATGGAATATTGTGGAGGAATATTGTGAGGCAGGCGGATTTCTTGAGCTCAGGAGTTCAAGACCAGCCTGGCCAACATGGCAAAACCTCCATCTCTACTAAAAATACAAAAATTAGTTGGGCATGGTGGCACACGCCTGCAGTCCCAGCTACTCAGGAGGTTGACGCAGGAGAATCACTTGAACCCCAGAAGCGGAGGTTGCACTGACAGCTGAGATCGCACCATTGCACTCCAGCCTGGGCAACAGAGCAAGACTCTCTCAAAAAAAAAAAAAAAAAAAAAAAATCAAGATAGGGAGGAACCTCTTCATTTGGAAACTAGCAAAGCCATGTGGTGGAAGTAACAAGGAGCTGACACAGTGATTCTTATTATCCCTAGGAACAGGGCATTACATTTTAGCAAGAGTATTCATTCCAATTTAGGATTTTAAAAAATATTTCTCCCCAAACTACCTTTTCTTATGTTTTTCTTTTACTTTCTTTTTAAATTTATTTCTTCTCTACAGGCAAGTTCTACCCAAACCGCTTTTTCTAATGCATATAAAGAGGCAGCTCCACCATGAGTCTCCTCATCAAATAATCCATTGAGGTAATAATAAAACAGCAATTTTATGTTAGCACATAATTGTTGAACAACAACAACAAAAAAATACAGACTTTTATCTGACCTTATAAACTCTTATTAGGTCAAAGATGGCAATCATTCTTCCTAGTTTTTTGGAAGTTTAAACAGAATGAATAACATGCAATGTAAGCATTTAACCTTTTTTTAAGGTGGCATCCTGATGTAGCCCTGCAGGATGGTTCCAGCACAGGTTTGGACCCTGGTGGCTCCACCATTTACCAGCTATGTGATCTTGGGAAAAAGACCTCAAGTTTCTAAGTTTTGAGTTTCTTTTTCCCTATCTGTAATGTGACACCAATATGACCTCTCTTAAAAAAGAACACACTGTGAATGTAAGCTGCTGTTACTAAGACATTAACAATAACCCCAGGCAACATTCATATTGTATCTACTAGGCTGATGCAAAAGTAATATTGGTTTTTGCCATTACTTTTGCACCAACCTAATAGCAAACTTTCATACAGGATTTCAGGCATTTTGGATTCGATTACAAGTATCAGCATAAACCCAAGCTTTCTTCTGAGTCACCATTAAGGAGACAATCAAATTATAAAGGCTTTAATGACATAGTGAATACTTATAGATGAACGCAGGAAAAATCAGAGTTAAGTTATGGAAGACTTGTGAGAATAAGGTGCTGACCAAGGACATTTAGGGAGTATTTGGGGGTGTTTTAGAAGGGTGCTGCCCTGTTGAAAGGAAGGAAAGAAACACACACACACACACATACATACCATATGCCGTGGTTTCAATGTGTCCCCCAAAAAGCATGTGCTGGAAACTTAATCCCCAGTGCAGTAGTGTCGGGAGGTGGGACTTTCAAGAGGTGATCAGACCATGAGGGGTTTGCCTTCCTGAATGAATTAATGCCATTATTGTTATCTCTGGAGTGGGCTCCTTATAAAAGATACATTTGGCCCTCTCTTGCCCTTTCTTTGCCTTTCTGCCATGGGATGATGTAGCAAGAAGGCCCTCATCAGATGCCAGACCTTCCATCTTGGACTTCCCAGCAACCAGAACTGTGAGCCAACAAATATATTTTCATTATAAATTACCTAGTCTGTGGTACTCTGTTATAGCAGCACAAAACAGACCTTAGTGTCTTAACACGATACATATATATCCTATCTGGAAGCAAATGAGAGGATTATGCCTTTGAGAGCCAGATGGAATAACTTATTAGTTTTTTAATTTGTCTGGCACATTATTTATTTTTGACACAACTAGTGAACAACTAGTGCAGGTTAATGGTAGAGCAATCTACATCTATAGCAACAATGCCACCACCAACAACAAAATCATAGCAATTCACTTTTCTGAAAATTAAACTAAAACTAGATCTTCTCAACAGAGAAGCCAATACCAGATATCAAGAGAATAAGGAAGTGGTCTGACCTTTTAGAACTATTGATAGCACTTAAAAGTTAAGGAGACACTTGCAGATCTTATGATGAGAGTGGTCTCCTTATAAAAATATTATCTCTCCCCCTATTAAAATAGGACTCCCCCATTGCACATAGAAAATAGAATTCAGGCCAGGCGCAGTGGCTCATGGCTGTACTCCTAGCACTTCTGGAGGCCAAGGCTGGCATATCGCTTGAGCCCAGGAGTTCAAGGCCAGCCTGGGCAACATAGCAAAACCCCGTCCATCTCTACAAAAAATTAGCCAGGTTTGCTGGTGCGCTCAGCTACTTCGGAGGCTGAGGTGGGAGGATCACCTGAGCCCAGAAAGTCAAGACTGCAGTGAGCTGAGATTATGCCACTGCACTCTAGCCTAGGCAACATAACAAAACCCTGTAAAAATATATAGACAGCCAGGCGCGGTGGCTCACGCCTGTAAGCCCAACACTTTGGGAGGCTGAGGCGGGCGGATCACCTGAAGTCAGGAGTTTGACACCAGGCTGGCCAACCTGGTGAGACCCCATCTCTACTAAAAATACAAAAAATTAGCTGGGTGTGGTGGTGCACACCTGTAATCCCAGCTGCTTGGGAGGCTGAGGCAGGAGAATGGCTTGAACCCAGGAGGCGGAGGTTGCAGTGAGCCGAGATCGTGCCAGTGCACTCCAGCCTGAGCAACAGAGTGAAACTCTATCTCAAAAAACAAAAAAAAAAAAACAAAAAAAAAAAAAAAAAAAAAATATATATATATATATATATATGGAAATAGAATTTATCAGCCCTTGAGATTCTCTTAATGATGATGTAAGAAATTGTAACAAAATGTCTCTTTGTAGCCAAATGTTATAGGAAGTCTAACAACACAATACTTTTTAACATTGGGCAAAGCATAGCTTCTGGTGATAAATATCTCCCTGCTTTTCTAAAGCACCATTAACATCCACATTTTTTTTAGTGTTTGCTTTGCAAGATTTTAATCTGTTAAGTAATTTCAACTTATTTGGAAATGAGTGAGTTTTAAATTATTTTTTTTTAAATGTCACTAATTAAGACCATAGCTTCTGGTAGTAGTAAATAATATTATGATAGCAACTCATTGTTATTGAGCCCTTACTACATGACAAAAAAACGTGTTAAGCTCTTTGAAGGTATGATCTCATTTAATCATTAATCCTCATAATAATCTTATAAGATAGATTCATCTTATAAGATTGATTCATCATATCAATTTTTCAGATTAAAAAATTGAGGTTCCAGAGTAGCCATAATTTGAATTGGCTTTATCCAAGGTCTCAACCTCTATACTGTGTTGACTCTTTAAATGAAGTTCAATCACTGAAACTGATGCAGATAAAAGTACAGAGGTGGCTATTGGTAAATGCCACCACTATTCCATTTGAAAGACAATCTTGTTTCTAAATCAAAAAGAAAAACAAGTAATATCAATAACTCCTAAAGAGATAACACAGCTCTTTATATGTTTATATGGCATGGTGCAGACCAGCACTACTCAGATGAAGGTCAGCAAACTGTTCATTTCAGATCCACAATGAGATAAGAGGCTTAGGCCAGAATCTAAAGCTTCACATCACTAACCACTGTTTAGTTTCGTAGCAAGATTTTCTGAATAAAGAAAGCAGTGCCAAGGCCAGGAGTGGTGGCTCACACTTGTAATCCCAGAACTTTGGAAGGCCAAGGTAAGAGGATCACTTAAGTCCAGGAGTTCGAGACCACCGTGGGCAACACGGCGAAATAAAAAAATTAGCTGGGAATAGTGATGAACGCCTGTAGTCCCAGCTACTCAGAAGGCTGAGGTGGGAGGATCAGTTGAGTCCAGGAGATTGAGGCTGCAGTGAGCCATGAGCGTGCCACTGCACTCTAGCCTGGGTGACAGAGTGAGAGCCTGTCTCAAAAAAAAAAAAAAGAAATGTTATGATTTACCTTATCTCCTCCCTTATCTCCCCAGAGACTGGTAACAAATGCATTGCTGACCAGCACTGGTCTATGAACTATGCTTGAGTAGCACTGGTATAGATGACACATTGTTGAGCAAAAAAAAAAAGAAAAAAAAAAGTCTATATTAACTATTCTACAAACGATCCCATTTGTTCAATAAGTAAATAAATAGATTAACTATTATAAATATAAATAAATACAAATTTTGCCATTGGAAGGATGTATTCAACTGGTACAAGTGTAATCATGGTTTTTGCATTGTTGAAATTTGCTGTCTGATATTGGAATACACATTCTTACATAAATGTGGTTATGTTATACATCATTTTAATGCATATTTCTCACTTTATGTTTTCTTGCTAATGACTTATTACTTGCTTTTTATTTTATATTTATTTTAGACAATGGAAATGATGTTAGACAAAAAGCAGATTCGAGTGATATTCAAGTTAAAAATGGGTCATAAAGCAGTGGAGACAACTCACAATATCAACAACACATTTGGCCCAGGGACTGCTTATGAACATACAGTGCAGTGGTGGTTTCAAGAAGTTTTGCAAAGGAGATGAGAGCCTTGAAGATAAGAAGCATAGTGGCTGGCCACTGGAAGTTGACAATGACCAGTTGAGAGCAATCATCGAAGCTGATCCTCTTACAACTACACAAAAAGTTGTCGAAGAACAACATCGACGATTCTATGGTCATTCAGCATTTGAAGCATATTGGAAAGCTAAAAAGCCTTGATAAGTGGGTGCCTCATGAGCTGAGCAAAAATAAAAAAAACGTCATTTTGAAGTGTTGTCTTCTCTTACTCTGCAAAATAACAACAAACTATTTCTCCATCGGATGTTGACATGCAACGAAAAGTGGATTTTATACCACAACCGACAACGATGAGCTGAGTGGTTGGACTGAGAGAAGCTCCAAAGCACTTCCCAAAACCAAACTTGCACCAAAAAAAGGTCATGGTCATTGTGTGGTGATCTGCTGCTTGTCTGATCCACTACAGCTTTCTGAATCCCAGCAAACCCATTACATCTGAGAAGTATGCTCAGCAAATGGATGAGATGCACCGAAAACTGCAACACCTGCAGCCGGCACTGGTCAATAGGAAAGGCCCAATTCTTCTCCATGACAATAGCCAAATGAACTTCACTCGACCAACGCTTCAAAAGTTGAAGGAATTGGGTTACAAAGTTTTGCTTCATCCACCATATTCACCTGACCTCTCGCCAACAGACTGCCACTTCTTCAAGTATCTCAATGACTTTTTGCAGGGAAAACACTTCCACAACCAGCAGGATGCAGAAAATGCTTTTCAAGAATTTGTTGAATCACAAAGCACAGATTTTTTTTTTGGCAGCGGCGGGTGGGGACTGAATCTCGCTCTATCGCCCAGGCTGGAGTACAGTGGCAGGATCTCGGCTCACCGCAACCTCCACCTCCTGGGTTCAAGCGATTCTCCTGCCTCAGTCTCCCAAGTAACTAAGATTATAGGCACCCACCACCATGCCCAGCTAATTTTTGTATTTTTAGTAGAGACGGGGTTTCGCCATGTTGGCTGGGCTGGTCTCGAACTCCTGACCTCACGTGATCTGCCCTGTGATCTGCCCGCCTCAGCCTCCCAAAGTGCTAGGATTACAGGAGTGAGCCACCGTGCCCTGCCTACGGATTTTTACTCAGAAAAACTTATTTTTCATTGGCAAAAATGTGTTGGTTATAATGCTTCCTATTTTGATTAATAAAAATGTGTTTCAGCCTAGTAATAATGATTTAAAATTCATGGTGCAAAAGTAATTGCACTTTTGCACCAATGTAATACTCTGAACCATTAAGAGTAGTTATCTTTGGAAAGGGGAGAACTTCCATTTTCTGCCTTATCAATCTCTATTTTAGCCAACAAGTTTATTTTTTTATATAACCATATAGTTATATGAGTGGAATTTTTTTTTCACAGATGTTTTATTTTCCCAGGCTAACAATTTTTCCTAATTCACTAAAGTTCATCCTTTATTTGGATTTCCTTTGTTTTTACCTAATGTTCTTTTCCTGTCGCAGGATCCTATCTATACAGCATATTATGTTTAGTCCCCATGTACTCCTTAGGCTCCTCTTGGCTACTAAGTCTTTTGCAACCTAACATTTATTATTATTGCTTTCAGGGCCAGAGTTCATAAAAGTGGTAATACTTTCACATATTTTGAGCATTCTATGTGACAGACAGTTCAACACTCTACTTGTCTCAGCAATGCTCTGAAATGGGTACTATCATTATCACTATTTTAATGGCAAGGAAAGTAAGGCAGAATGAGATTAAGTAATTTGCCCATAGTTAAACTGCCAGAAAGTAGCTGAGCTGGGAGATTTAGACCCTAGCAGTTTGACTCCTGAGGCCATGCTATAAACTACTAGGTTACATGAGATGTATACTAATCTACATGAGTGTGCTTATTTCAGAGTGTTATATGGTATCTGAAAATGGGACGTGGTATTATGAGACTGTGAAATACCCAAAAGATGAATAACCACAATGATAATAAAAGTAATTTTTATTCTGTTTCACAGTGCACAAGGCTTTCTGTACATTATTTCACAACGTAATTCCAAGATTGCTGGAGGAAATCTTGGAATTAAATGCTAAACAGAAAAGAACCTGAAGTACAGTTCCCGTCTTCAAAGAAGATGCTTATTCATAGATTAGGTATGTGGAGAATACTATTAAATTAAGTTTAACCTAAAGCTGCCTCCTCATATATTTTAAGTTTAGCCTAAAGGTTTCTCTGGACATAGTAAACTGAAACCTTAGTGGAAATATAAACAGACTAAAACCTCCTCTTGTGCCAGTGACCAAATTTTGGCCAATTAAAGGTGGCTGGGGGTTCAAACCGTATTCAAATAAGGCAAATGCTGAGCTGTAACCAATCCACCTGTTTCTGTACCTCGCTTCCATTTTCTATACATCACTTTCCCTTTTCTGTCCATAAATCTTCCACCATGTGGCTGCACTGGAGTCTCTCTGAGCTTATTACTCTGGCTTGGGAGGCAGCCCAATTCACAAATTGTTCTTTGCTCAATTAAACTCTGTTAAATTTAATTTGTTTAAAGTTTTTATTTTAACAATACAGATAGATGTGTATAATTAAAACTTAGCTCTAGAACAATAGTCTGGAAATCTTTCAAATATAGATTTTTGGTGACACATTTGAGAGTTCCCATAAACACTGTCAATACAAGTGCAACAGAAGTTCAATTAAAAATGGAGCAACTGTGGCTGGGCGCGGTGGCTCACGCCTATAATCCCAGCACTTTGAGAGGCCAAGGCAGGCAGATCACTTAAGGCCAGGAGTTCGAGACCAGCCTGGCCAACATGGTGAAACCCCATCTCTACTAAAGACACAAAATTAGGCAGGCATGGCAGCACATGCCTGTCATCCGAGCTACTTGGGAGGCTGAGGTATGAAAATTGCTTGAACCCAGGAGGCAGAGGTTGCAGTGAACCCAGATCATGCCACTGCACTCCAGCCTGGGCGATAAGGTAAGACACTGTCTCAAAAAAAAAAAAAAGAAAAAAAAAGAGCAACCTTTTGAAAAGAGCAACCATTTGAAAAGGCATTCATTCCTTTTTTGTAATACTGTACTCAGAAAACTCTTCTCTAAGAGACACAAAAACTAACAAATTTTCTTTTCTAAATCTCAAAACCTACCAGCTTTCTGTGCCGCATCATTATCAAGCAATGTCTCCACTGTCTGTCATGAAGTAAATAAAAGTGAAAACTTGTCACAGCCAAAGAAATGGTGAGCAAATTAATCAAGCCCTGGGGTCAGCCAAAGAAAACATTCCTCGCCTTTTCTAGTGCAAGTTTCTAAAAAGGTGCTCTTTTTCCCTACCTCTCCTCTAAGAACAGGGAATGGGCAGAACTCAGTCCTGCAGCAATGATCAAATCTCTCATTCACTGAGTTCTGGAATCTCCCCTGGTGCTTGAGGATTATAATTCAACTAAATGGTACTTGAACTGTGGTAATCAATATGAGCAGAAGGATAAAGCCATCACTTTCAAAGAAAACTTTGTGAACGGCATTGAGAAGACATCAAAAGAAATACACAGCGCCATTACATATGTAAAACAAGATGAGCAAACGGATGTCTTCCTGCTCCTTCTCCTTGGTAAATACTGTTCCAAAGCTGAATTCCACTGGTGAAAACATGCTAATTTCACAGCCAGACTAAAATCTGGATATCTTCAGAAGTGAAAAAGGTCTGACTTAAGATAAGCAGACACCTTTGTTCTATCTTAGTTGCTGGAGGTCTGTGAGAAGGAGCTGTTTGCATAAGCCGCACCTTCAGAATAATAAAAGTCAAGGGCAAAAGTCCATGTCTTCCACAGACCAACTGAGAAGGGAGTCAGAAATGACAGTCCAGTAACTGTGACATCTAATGCTTTAAGAACTGCTGGAATGTTTGTAAATGCTCGTCTTGTGCCAAGTTGGCTGTGACACCAAAAAGCCTGCAGGGTGGCACCTCCCCCGCAGGGCCTAGTGTCATAGGTCTCCACAGCCAGCCTTGGAGTAGGAAAGAATCACAAGGGATAATTTTCCTTAAACTACTACCTTTGCTGCATCTCACTAGTTTTGATATGTAAAGAATTAAGTTCTAAAAATGTTTTAATTTTCATAATAATTTCTTCTTTGACTCATGAGGTGTGTGTGTATAAATTTTTTTTGAGATGGAGTTTCACTCATCGCCCAGACTAGAATGCAGTGGCGTGATCTCGGCTCACTGCAACCTCCTCCTCCTGGGTTCAAGCAGTTCTCCTGCCTCAGCCTCCTGAGTAGCTGGGATTACAGGCATGCGCCACCACACCTGGCTAATTTTTGTGTTATTAGCAGAGACGGGGTTTACCATGTCGGCCAGGCTGGTCTCAAACTCCTGACCTCAGGTGATCCACCCACCTCATCCTCCCAAAGTGCTGGGATTACAGGCGTGAGCCACTGCGCCAGGCCAATTTTTAAATTTTTTATAGAGACAGTGCCTCACTATGTTGCCCAGGCTGGTTTCAAATTCCTGGACTCAAGCAATTGACCCATCTCAGCCTCCCAAAGTGTTGGGATTACGGAATAAGCCACCACTCCTGGCCTAAAACATATTTTTAAACAGGTCATGAGTCACAGAAATAATAATCATGGAAATTAGAAAATACACAGAGCTGAAAGATAAAAACACTACATATAAAAATTTATGCCTGGCTGGGTGCAGTGGTTCATGCCTGTATTCCTAGCACTTTGGGAGGCAGAGGCAGGCAGATCACTTGAGGTCAGGAGTTCAAGGCCAGCCTGGCTAACATGGTGAAACCCTGTCTCTACTGAAAATACTAAAATTGGTGGGTATGGTGGTGGGTGCCTATAATCCTAGCTACTCCAGAGGTTGAGGTATGAGAATCGCTTGATCCTGGGAGGCGGAGGTTGCAGTAAGCTGAGAATGTGCCACTGCACTCCAGCCTGGGCAACAGAGCAAGACTTTGCCTCAAAAAAAAAAAAAAATATATATATATATATGCCTACCATCCCTTTGTGAGGCTAAGCTGGGCAGATTGCTTGAGCTCAGGAGTTCAAGACCAGCCTTGGTAACATAGTGAATCCCTGTCTCTATTAAAAAAAAAAAAAAATTACAGAATGCAGGTAAAGCAGTACTTAGAGGAAATTTTACAACCTTTTATTTTTATATCAGAAAAGAAAAATAATAACTGAGAAATTAAATAAAAAACTTTAAAAATAATAACTGAGAAAATAAATACAAACCTTAAAAAGGTTCAGCAAATAAAGACCCATGAGAAAAGTAAAAGGGCCAGGCTTGGCGGTCTGCGCCTGCACTCCCAGTTACTCAAGAGGCTGAAGTGAGAGCATTACTTGAGCCCAGGAGTTCCAGGCTATAATGCACAATGATTACACCTGTGAAAAGCACTGCACTCCAGTCTGGGCAACAAAGCGAGACCCTTTCTCTTTAAAAAAAAAAAAGAGGGCAAGAAAGAGAGAAATGAAGAAAAAGGAAGAGTATAATAGGATAAACTAATGAAACAGAAAATACAATACAGTAAATCAATAAAGCAAAAACCTAGTTCTTTGAAAAGACTAATAAACATACTTCTGGCAAGTCAATCAATGAAAAAAGAGAGAATATATACACAGACATTTGTTATTAACAGAAAAGAGGCCTAATTGAAAATAATGCAGAGATTAAGACGATAAAAGGATGCTGTAAACAATTTTATGTCAGTTAATCAGAAAATTTGAACACAATGAGATTTTTTTCTCCTTGATGAAAATGTGAGACCCAGATGACTTTGCAGATGAGTTCTACTAAACATTTAAGAGTCAGATAATTCCAATCTAACATGAACTCCTGCAGAAAACAGAAAAAGGGGAAACAACCTCCAACTAATTTCAAACACTATTACTCTCAGTTCATAATGTAATTATATTAAAAGGAAAAAATAAAATAGTCTTATGTATCTGTTTAAAAAATGTAAATACCAGGCTGGGCATGGTGGCTCACACCTGTAATCCCAGCACTTTGGGAGTCCAAGGCAGGCAAATTGCTTGAGCTCAGGAGTTTGAGACAAGCCTGAGCAACATGGTGAAACCCTGTCTCTACCAAAAATACAAAAAATTAGCCAGGTGTGGTGGTGCATGCTTGTGGTCCCAGCGACCTACTCAGGAGGCTGAGGTGGGAGGACTGCTTGAGCCCAGGAGGCAGAGGTTGCAGTGAACCAAGATCACGCCACTGCACTTTAGCCTGGGCAGCACAGTTAGACCCCATCCCAGAAAAATAAAAGGAAATACCATATATTTACACACACACACCTCATGAGTCAAAGAAGAAATTATTATGAAAATTAAAACATTTTTAGAACTTAATTCTTTACATATCAAAACTAGTGAGATGCAGCAAAGGTAGTAGTTTAAGGAAAATTATCATGAATATTTATTAGGGAAGAAAAGATGCCTTTCTTAGGGTTAACGCTTACATTAGAAGAAACAGTCATATTAGAAAGAATGATTATATTAGAAAAGGAATTGTATTCCATTTCATGCTGATGTTAAAAAGAGGAAAAGGTGTTTATGTTAGAAGTGTTACATTTTAAAAGATGCTTACATTCTAAATACTTATATTAGTAATAGCGTTTATATTATAGAAAATAACTGTATTATCTTAAGTGCTTATATTAGAAAATAAGGATAAAAAAGAATGAGCTATGTGTTCAACTTAAGAAAATAGGTAAAGAACAATAAATTCAATGAAAATGAAAACGATGATAGTAAAGATAAGAGCAGAAATTCACAAAACAGAGAAGAAAAACCAACAGAAACAGATAAACTAGCCAGGTGCAGAGGTTCACACCTGTAATCCCAGCACTTTAGGAGGCTGAGGCGAGTGTATCATTTGAGGCCACGAGTTCAAGACCAGCCTGTTCAACATGGTGAAACCCCATCTCTACTAATTATACAAAAATTAGCCAGGAGCCAGGCATGGTGGTGCATACCTGTAATCCCAGCTACTTGGGAGGCTGAGGCACCAAAATCACTTGAACTGGGAGGTGGCGGTTGCAATGAGCCACTGAATGCCAGCCTGGATGACAGAGTAAGACCTCGTCTCAAAAAAGACAAACTACTTTAAGATTCAGCAAGAAAAGGCAAAAATAAATATTTTTAAATAATATATTTTTAATTCATTACAGATCAGCCTATGTTTTTAAAATAAGAGAATACTATCATCAGTATTATTTCAATACATTTTAAATCTTATACAGAATGAATACATTTCTAGAAAAATATAATTTATCGGCCAGGCACAGTGGCTCACGCCTGTAATCCCAGCACTTTGGGAGGCCGAGGCGGGTGGATCACCTGAGGTCAGGAGTTCCAGACCAGCCAGGCCAACATGGCAAAACCCTGTCTCTACTAAAAATACAAAAATTAGCTGGGCATGGTGGCACGCACCCGTAAACCCAGCTACTTGGGAGGTTGAGGCAGGAGAATCGCTTGAACCCAGGAGGCAGAGGTTGTAGTGAGCAGATTGCGCCATTGCACTCCAGCCTGGCAACAAGAGCGAAACTCCATCTCAAAAAAAGAAAAGTATAATTTATCAAAACTGACATGAGAAGAAATACACAGCACAAATAATCCTGTAACTAATAAAATGATTAACTACTGATTAGCAGTTTAAAAATTATTCATACAAGGAAACTAATTAGACTCAGATAAACAGTTCTACTGAACTCTCAATGAAAGAAATATTTCAAAGTTTCAAAATCTTCCACAAAATAGCCTCACTCACGCTGTGAGGCTAGTATAACAGATTCGTGGTCAGGCTTGATGGCTCTATGCCTGTAATCCCAGCACTTTGAAAGGCCGAGGCAGGAGGATTGTTTGAGCCCAGGAATTCTCTGAGTCCAGGAATTCAAGACCAGCCTGGGCAGCAAAGTGAAGCCCCATCTCCCCACCCTCCCCTCCAAAAAAAAAACATAGACAGCGACATTATTAAAAAGTAAAATCATAGGTCTGTTTTTTTCCCAAGAATTTAAAGACAAAAATACTAGATATTAGCAAACTGAATCCAACGGTGTATACAGACAGACAGACACACACACACACACACACACCACACACAAAATACAACGAAGATAGCCTTAATGCAAAGAAGGTTAAATATTAGGAAATCTATAAATATTACTCATCACATTAACAGAGTAAAGAAGAAAAAACATAATATCAACAGATTCAAAAAGAAAAAGAAGGTAACATTCAACCACCTATTAATGATTAAAACTTCAAGTAAGCAAAGAATACAAAAGATTTGCACTTTACCTATTAAAGAGTATCTATAATAAACTGAAAACAACCATCATTCTTCAAGGGAGGAGGGGCCTGAAAGCATTCCTTTCTCAATGGAAAACAAGAATGCCAAGGTTGGCACTTTCACTAATTTTGTACTGGAAATTCTGCCTAGGGCAAAAATATAAGAAAAATAAATCCATAGGGCTTATAAATGAGAAAATAAAATCATCTTTATTTATAAATAATGAGTGTTTTTTTTACCAAACAAGGGAAAAAATTCTTTGAAATAGCAGACTAGCAAAGTGGCTATGTAAAAGTAAACTGCAGCCAGGCACGGTGGCTCATGCCTGTAATCCCAGCACTTTGGGAGGCCAAGGCGGGTGGATCACTTGATGTCTGGAGTTTGAGATCAGCCTGGCCAACATGGTGAAACCCTGTCTTTACTAAAAATACAAAAAAAGTTGCCAGGTATGGTGGTGCACACCTGTAATACCAGCTACTTTGGAGGCTGAGGCAGGAGAATTGCTTAAACATGGGAGGCGGAGGTTGCAGTGAGCCGAGACCATGCCACTGCACTCCAGCCTGGGTGACAGAGCAAGACTTCGTCTCAAAAAAAAAAAGTAAATTGCAGACCAGGTGTGGTGGCTCACACCTGTAATCCCAGCACTTTGGGAGGCCAAGGTGGGTGAATCATCTGAGGTCGGGAGTTCGAGACCAGCCTGGCCAACATGGAGAAATCCCATCTCTACTAAAAATACAAAATTAGCTGGGCGTGGTGGAGCATGCCTGTAATCTTAGCTACTTGGGAGGCTGAGGCAAGAGAATCGCTTGAACCCAGGAGGCGGAGGTTGCAGTGGGCCGAGATCACGCCAGTGCACTCCAGCCTGGGTAAGCGAAACTCCATCTCAAAAAAAAAAAAAGCAGTAAATTGCATTTCTGCATAATAGAAAGTAGAAAACACTCTTGAAAGAGATCTCATGAACATTAGTCATAAAAATAGCATCCTGATATAAATCTAAACAAAAATATCAAAAGCATAAAACTTTACACAAAGATATTTTAAAACAACTAAATAAATGGAGGAATACTCATATTCACAGGTAGGAAGAACTAATATATAGATGCCAATTCTTCCCTAACTGATTTATAATTTCACGCAATTCCAATCAAAATGCCAATGTGTTTTCAATGGAAGGCCAACTAATTCTAAAATTTACTTGGAAGAGAAAGGAGCAAGATCAGAAGATACTTCTGAAAAAGAAGACAGAAGGAAGATTTAGCTTACCAGACATAAAGACTTATTACAAAGCTATAGTAGTTAAGATAGTGTGATTGGTATTGGTGCAAGAATAAATTAACCAACGGAACACAATAGAGTGTCCAAAAATAGAGTTTTGCGTATGTGAAACTTTCATCAAAACAGAAGCAGCTAGCATATCATTTCTTCAAAAAGACTATTAGCACATGGAACCCAAGAAAGGTCATTTAAATGAAAAGAACTTTAACAAAATTCCTAGCTCACACAAAATAAAAAACTTCAGATGAATTAAAAACATACGCCGAAAGCAAAATTTTACAACATTTAGAAGATGACACAGACAGGTATCTTCCTGACTTTAGAGTGGGGAAGGATTATTTAAACACCAAATATAAATAATTGATACATGTGAACAGATTAAAAATGAACAACTTCTATTTATTAAGAGGATCTTTTTATTTATTTATTTATTTATTTATTTATTTATTTATTTATTTAGAGACGGAGTTTCGCTCTTGTTGCCCAGGCTGGAGTGCAATGGTGCGATCTTGGCTCATCCCCACCTCCTGGGTTGAGATGATTCTCCTGCCTCAGCCTCCCAAGGAGCTGGGATTACCAGCGCCTGCCACCATGCCCAGCTAATTTTTGTATTTTTAGTAGAGATGGCGTTTCGCCATGTTGGCCAGGCTGATCTCAAATTCCTGACCTCAGGTGATCCACCTGCCTCAGCTTCCCAAAGTGCTGGGATTACAGGCATGAGCCACCAAGCCCAGCCTAGAGGATCTTTTTAAAAGTGAAAACACAAGCTACAGACTGGGAGCAGATATTTGCAACAGATATAACTGGCAAGAGACTAACATCACGAACATACTAAAACAAAACAAAACTCACAAATCAATAAGATATACACACCTACTGTGTACCCACAAAAATTAAAAATAAAAAGGAAGAGAAAATAATTCTGGCTGGGCATGGTGGCTCACGCCTGTAATCCCAGCACTTTGGAAGGCCAAGGAGGGCAATCACTTGAGCCCAGGAGTTCAAGACCAGCCTGGGCAACATGGTGGAACTCCGTCTCTACTAAAAAATACAAAAATCAGCCGGGTGTGGTGGTGCACGCCTGTAGTCCCTACTTGGGAAGCTGAGGCATGAGAATTGCCTGAACTTGGGAGGTGGAGGTTGCAGTGAGCCATAGAGATGGTGCCACTGCACCCTAGCCTGGCTGATAGAGTGAGACTCTCCCTCAAAAAAAAAAAAAAAAAAAAAAAAAAAAAAAACACCATTTTTCATGTTGACTGCTGCTTGTTCACCAAAATCTCTTCTTTCATGCTGTGACCATCAAGTTATAATTAGAAACAGGGCCATCCAGAGAGACTATATTTCCCAGCTTCCCTTGCAGCAAGATGTGGCCATGTAACTAAGTTCCCACTGGTTAAGTAAGTGGAAATTATGTGTACTAGTAAGGGCTGGGTTTGAAAACCGTGGACATGTGCTCCTTAAGGCTGATTTTCCTTCCTACAAGCTGAAACACTGAAATACTTAAAATCTGGTTTCAAAGAGTAGACAAGTTCATTTATCTAGGTAATGGCAGAACCACAAGATGGAAGGAAACTTAATAATGGGGCAAAGATGTCCTGCTGGCCTGGATTGGACATCTCCAGTCTGTTACCCGAGAAAGAAAAAAATCTCTCTAGTTTAAAGTCACTGTTTGGGGGGTTCTCTTTATTATAACAGCTTAGCCTCTTCTTTAACTAGCACATTGCTCAATGCTAAGTGTTTTTCAGGCTGTGGAACTCTCCTCCCCTGCTAATAAGAGAAAGGTTTGACATTACCTGGTAAAGATGAACATGCACATTCCCAGTGACCCAGCAAGTACACCTAGAGAAACTCTTCTTGTACGTATACATCAGGAGACACCTACAGCATTTTATACACTATTACTATTCATGATAGCAAAAAAACTATAAATAATTCAAATGTCATATAGAATGAATCAATAGCTTGTAGTATTTTTTATGCACTGGAATATTATGCACCAGAGAAAGCACACAGTGTGGCAGTGAAATTATAGTTGCATACATTAAGGTAGATTAATCTTAACATAATAATATTGAGTATAAAATTGAAGTCATAAGAATACATATTATTAATTTTTTATTAGGGAAAATTTCAAGCATATGCAAAAATAAAGAGAATAATATAATTAACCTCGTGCACCCACGGATTATCAATTCATTTTGTATTTTATCTGTATCCCTACGTATTTCTTCCCTCCCCAAGATTACTTTCAAGAAAATCCCAGATGTCCTAATTTCATCCATTATTACTCAGCATGTATCTTTAAAAGATAAAGATTTGTTATACATGCCAAAACACTACTATTCCAATTTTTAAAATTTACACCAATTCATCAATATTATTAAAAATTCAGAAAGTGTTCAAATGGCCCTATATTCTTGATATATGAATGCATCCTAATCAAAACTATAAAGAAAGCTACAAAATGACAGTAAAGCTTTACAGAAAACAAAGGAATTATTAATACTAAGAGTGGCAGTGGGAATGAAGGGAGATTTGCTAGGAAAGGGACATTCCATGGGGGTTTCTAAGGCACTGGTAATGTTTCTTTCTTAACCTGGGTGGCTAGCACTGAAGTATTCAAAGCTACTATTCTTTAAACTGTAAATAATCATTTTCTGTACCTGTTTGTATGTATATTTCACAAAGCAAGCAAGCAAAGAAGCAAGCTTGCTCTCCCAAACACACATGCCAACTAAGCTCAAAGCAAGGAAAAACCAAAGTATATAAATGAGTTGTAAACAAATGAGAAATTTGGTTGTCCCATGGACAAATCTGATTATCAGAGGTTCAATCCAGAGGCTAAGCTTTGCTTGGATTTACCTTGCCCACTCCTGTACTCAAGGAGGGTGGAGTTGAAAGTCAGATTCTTACATTTAGCCTGAAAATTTACCAAAGGCCAGGTATACTGTGGCCCAAAGACACAGAAAGTACTAACTATACTAAATAGGAAAGTTAAGCAGAAATTCCTCCTCCCGTGCATTGCAGCTTGTTTTGCACATACACAACTCAGTGTATCCCTCATGGTGCCCATGCAAAGCAATGGTGACTGGCTCACTGTAGGTGCTCAATACTGTTAGCTCTGGTTATGATTATCTTTAATTATTATTTCACCTTCCATTTTACAGTCTTTCTTCAATTATTATAAAAACAATTAACCACATCATAAAATGTTCTTCAAAAACCAGTGGTAAAGACTGCATAACATTGCATGTATACAGTTAGTTAACAATTTACCAGTGGAATTTAGTTAACCATTCCCCACTGTTGGACATTTAGAATGTTTCCAGCTGAGTGACTTTCTAAAGAAATTATAAACCATTTGAATTCAACTTAAAATTTTGTGGTAATAGGCCGGGTGCGGTGGCTCACACCTGTAATCCCAGCACTTTGGGAGGCCGAGGTGGGTGGATCACCTGATGTCAGGAGTTCGAGACCAGCCTGGCCAACATGGTGAAACCCCGTGTCTCCTAAAAATACAAAAAATTAGCCGGGCATGGTGGCGGGTGCCTGTACTCCCAGCTACTCATGAGTCTGAGGCAGGAGAATTGCTTGAACCCAGGAAACGGAGGTTGCAGTGAGCCAAGATCTTGCCATTGCACTCCAGCCTGGGCAACAAGAGTGAAACTCCATCTCAAAAAAAAAAAAAATTTTGCGGTAATACTTGTTTGGACATCCTAGATAATTCTGAATGATCACCATGCTTATTTGCAGTATAAAGGAATTATTATTCCAAATTATTCCTCTTCTCATGTAATAAATGTTTAATGAGGCCCTGTACTAAAGCGTGTGGGAGATGCACAGACAATGATTTCTAATATCAAAGTGCTTTCTAGTGAAACAGAAGCAAATTAGCAGTCATAAGTGGAATTTTCATTCCTACATTGATTTTAAAAGAAAATACTTTTCTCAAGACTATGAGATTAAGGCAGTGACTTTATCTGATGTCATAAGAATCTTTTTCACCCACAGGTAAGTCAAATCCACTGACTGAACTACAGTTTTCATTTTCCATACAGCATCACTGAACAGAGGTAGAGACAATTTAAAACAAAAGTTATTCTTAAATACGTGGCAGCCCAGGGCCAGGAATGTGCTTTTAGGCTTTGTTACTTGCACTTGCATGAAAAATAATGACAAAATATAAAATCCACCTTATAATGAGCTGGGAATCTGTATGCATTGTCTATTCTATTTCCCTTTTAAATTCCACCATGAAACCCACTCCACTCTAAAAGCACATGGCACTCTCTTAGGATAATTCAAGATTAGTCCACTTTGGAATTCATTCTGGTAAAAAGACTAGTGATTACGTATTTGAATTTCAAAAAACCTATCTAAATCAGAATGCAACAAGATACAGCAGATAGAACAACATGCTGGGCGAGGTGGCTCATGCCTGTAATCCCAGCACTTTGGGAGGCCCAAGGCTCAAGCAGGTGGATCACTTGAGTTTGGGAGTTTGAAACCAGCCTGGGCAACATGGCCAAAACCCGTCTCTACAAAAAATACAAAAATCAGGCGTGATGGCAGGCGCCTATAGTCCCAGCTACACAGGAGGCTGAGGTGGCAGGATCACCTGAGCCTGGGGAGGTTGAGGCTGCAGTGAGCTGAGCCGAGATTGGGCCACTGTGCTCCAGCCTGAGCAACAGAGCGAGACCCTGTCTCAAAAATAAATAAATAAATACAGTAGATAGAAAGAAAACCAGCATTAAAGAGATAACAATGACTAACATTTGTTGACTATTATGTGCCAAGCCTGTGATAAATGTTTTCCTCACTGCAATCTCACAAAGACAACAAGGAGGCCAGATGCAGTGGCTCACACCTGTAATCCCAGCACTTGGGGAAGCTGAGGCAGGTGGATTGCTTGAGGTCAGGAGTTCGAGACCAGCCTGGCCAACACAGTAAAACTCTGTCTCTACCAAAAATACAAAAAAATTAGCTGGGCATGGGGGTGCATGCCTGTAATCCTAGCTACTTGGGAGGCTGATGTGGGAGGATCACTTGAACCTGAGAGTCCCGCCACTGCACTCCAGCCTGGGTGACAGAGCAAGACTCGGTCTAAAAAAAAAAAAAAAGAAAGAAAGAAAGAAAAGAAGACAACAAGGTAAGTACTACTATTATCCCTATTTTACAGATGAAGAAATTGACTCTTAGAGATCACACAACTAATCAGTGACAAGGCTAGACTGCTAACACCGAAGTTCCTGGTTTTTTATTATTTATTTATTTTTTAAAAATTAGAGATGGTGTCTCGCCATGTTGACCAGGCTGGTCTCGAACTCCTGGTCTCAAATGATCCTTCCATCTCTGCCTCCCAAAGTGCTGAGATTACAGGTGTGAGCCACCGTGCTTGGCCCAGAGTTCCTGGTTTTAAATACCATGTTCTGTTTCTTCCCAGTCTAACATATCAACAGGGGAGAGTAGATAATGCTGTCAATAAATTAGAAAGTAGTTCTGAGCTGACAAAATTACCTTTACATAACTGTCTCTAAACCAAACTTCTTTTTTTCTGAGATGGAGTCTCGCTCTGTGGCCCAGGCTGGAGTGCAGTGGCACAATCTCAGCTCACTGCAACCTCTGCCTTCTGGGTTCAAGTGATTCTTGTGCCTCAGCCTCCAGAGTAGCTGGGATTATAGATACATGCTACCACACCCGGCTAATTTTTGTGTTTTTAGTAGAGACGAGATTTCACCATGTTGCCAAGGCTGGTCTCAAACTCCTGGGCTCAAGCAATCCACCCGCCTCGGCCTCCCAAAGTGCTAGGATTGATTACAGGTATGAGCTACCATGCCCATCCTCTAATCCAAAATTCTGCCTTCAAACTGCTAAAGCATAAATAGACTAATTAGACAAACAATTTATTCCCTTTTCTTTATTTTGTTAGTTGTTTGAATTGAAGTGAAAATAGGTAGCATGAATAAAATTTTTTAAGCTGTCTCTCCTTGGCCGGGCATGGTGGCTCATGCCAATTATCCCAGCACTTTGGGAGGCTGAGGCAGGAGCTCAGGAGTTTGAGACCAGTCTGGGCAACATGGCGAAACCCTATCTTTACAAAAAAAAAAAAAAAAAATAGCCAGGTATGGTGGTGTGTACCTATATTCCCAGCTACTTGGGGTGCTGAGGCAGAAGAATCGCTTGAGCCCAGGAGGTCAAGGCTGCAGTGAGCCTTGTTCACCCACTGCACTGCAGCCTGGGTGACAAAGCAAGATCCTGTCTTGAAGAAAAAAAAAAAAAAATTGGCCAATTTACAAAGACTCTAAAACCTAGAACAGACTTGAAGCTGTCTGGCTCCTAAACTGGTCAACATAGCACAGGAGTAAACAAACCAATATAGATTGTCAGAGCTGAGATTTACTACCCTGTATTATAATCCAGCCCTCATGTGTTTCAGAAGGTCATGCTTTGCTCAAAATTTTCTCCAAAACTATCCCTTAATATATTCTGAAGTTCATGAAACTAACCGGGTTTTCAGGGCACTGTAAAGGCCTTGTTGCAGTAGCGCAATCAGCTTCACCAAAACATCAGGCAAATCATATTTGTACATATTAACCATGTTGTTTTTCTAGACCTTAAAGGCCACCCTGTGAAGCTGCTGCCTGGGTATTGTGGTCTCTTAAAATGGTCCTGGTGAAAAAAACAACTTGGTTAGAGTTAATCAATGTAATTAACTCCTGTTCACAGACGACGGTTTCCTTGCTCTCTTAGTTCCAACAATGACTCCTTCAATGAATGTAAAGTCTCAATAGGTAACTGTTCTATCTCCTATTTAGATATCTACTATGTGAGGAATCTACAAGTGAATTATCGCTACTGAAAAGAAGATAACCTGGGTTCTGGTCCCAGGTACGTCTTAATTGTGCAACTCTGTCATTAAGCCTCCCTGCATCATGTAATGAGTGGGTTGGAGAAAAAATGTTAAAAGTCCCTCCCAGCTATAAAGTTTTAATTCATAACTTAAATTGCTGTCACTTCCTATTCTATGTTGAAGAAAGAATGTAAGATGCAGACACAGGTTCCATATTGCTATGGCATGATGCAGGGCCATACCAAATCAAATTGGCATTTCCTCATGTTCCATCTGCTACTAAAATGTATTATTTGTATGTCAGGCTGCAGAGTGGTCAAAGAACAACAGATTTTCTTGGCACTCCCTGTACATATTCCATGTAGATAAATATGGTGCTATCTCTAGGAAAATACTACAAATAATAACTGTCAATTCTTAGCAACTAGCAACATGCATTATTAAAAACAAACACAGCCTCTCATCTATAAGTTCCACTTCATAAAACATGTCTTTATGAGTCTTTATTGTTCCCATATGTGTAGCTCCACAATATTTTTGCTGCAGAATACAAGAATTACATAGATCACTAAAGTCCACAGATAATTCAAAACCTTCTGCTAGCCAATTATTCAATCCCTTCCACTGCTACGCTATTTGCCAGAGATGCTAACAAATAGCATAGTCAACTGGTTTGGGTTTCATACACTTTTCCAGACATGCTTGCTTTCTAATGGCCTATTCAAACAAGAGATTTATTTCTCTTAATTCTAAGTCTTTGAGAATTTGACCAAGAGGCATGAAATGTTCAATTCATTCTTTAAAACTGTTGCCTGGGGTCCCCTTTTGTCCCCCATTTAAACCTATCCACTGTTTAACCACTTGTATCATTCCTGATTCTTCTGTCTTACAATTCTGTGCTACATTTCTCTGCATGTGGTTTTGATTACTGTTTTTTCTGTATTCTTTATTGTATTCTATTTTAATTCTCCAAAAACTCAATTTATACACTGTCCATGAACTTATGAAAAAAAAGTGAAAGCAAAAATGATTCTCCACAAAACAGAGCAGCCAACTGAAAACTTTAAAAGCTTGAAAATTTTATGAGGCAATTAATATGAACTGATATGACATCTTCAATTAGATTCAAAGACACTTAGGATTACAAAAATTAGTCAGGCATGGTGGTGCACGCTTGTATTTCCAGCTACTCAGGAGGCTGAGGCATGAGAATCACTTGAAACCGGAAGGCAGAGGCTTCAGAGAGCAGAGATCGTGTCACTGCACTCCAGCTTGGGTGACAGAGTGAGACTCTGTCTCAAAAAGAAAAAAAAAAGACACTTAAGATGAAGAGAATTCCAACTCCTTATCTTATAGATAAGAAAACCGAAACCCA
The DNA here is from genome assembly GCF_000001405.40 of Homo sapiens. Taxonomy (NCBI): domain Eukaryota; kingdom Metazoa; phylum Chordata; class Mammalia; order Primates; family Hominidae; genus Homo; species Homo sapiens. The sequence continues at coordinate 63,848,486 of NC_000012.12, read as the reverse complement.
GAGAAAGGCTAAGTGACTTGCCCAAAATGATACACACAACTAGATACATCTATGATCTTATACATAAAATTACGAATTATCACCAGGAATGGTTCTTTTCACAGTTAAGAATAGCCCCATGAAGTCTGTTCCCAAAACCTGTGCAGGCAGCCACAGTGGCAAAATTCCATATCTGGGCCGGGTGCAGTGGCTCATGCCTGTAATCCCAGCACTTTGGGAGGTGGAGGCAGAGGCAGGTGGATCACCTGAGGTCAGGAGTTCGAGACCAGCCTGGCCAACATGTCGAAACCCCATCTCTACTAAAAATACAAAAATTAACTGGGCGTGGTGGTGCGTGTATATAATTCCAACTACTCCAGAGGCTGAGGCAGGAGAATCACTTGAACCCAGGAGGTGGAGGTTGCACTGAGCCGAGACCACGCCACTGCACTCTGGCCTGGGCAGCAGACCGATACTCCTTTTATATATATATATATATAAAATAAAAATTAAAGAATAAAAAAATTCCATATCTGAAGTCATTCCTTTAGGTCAAAACATTATCTCAAAAATTCTGAGATAAATAAAGTTGTTATTAGGGAAAATGGGAGAGAGTAACAGGGGAAAATATTCTAGAGTGTTAGGTTCTAAGTTAGAAGGTAGAAAAAAAAATACATATAATCAAAATGACTCTTGAAATCACCCACACACCTAAGTCACCTATAGAGTCCAATATGTATGTTTATTCATTGTGTTTTTCTTGAGACAGAGTCTCACTCTGTCAGCCAGGCTGGAGTGCAGTGGCGCAATTTCAGCTCACTGCAACTTCTGCCTCCCGGGTTCAAGCAATTCTCCTGACTCAGCCTCCAGGGTAGCTGGGACTACAGGCATGCACCACCATGTCCGGCTAATTTTTGTATTTTTAGTAGGGACAGGGTTTCACCATGTTGGCCAGGCTGGTCTCGGCCTCAAGTGATCCGCCCACCTCGGTCTCCCAAAGTGCTGGGATTACAGGCGTGAGCCACCGTGCCTGGCCTAGACTTATGTCTTAATGAGTCCCACACAGTCAGGTTTTCCTTTAGCAATAGAACAGAATTTTTTTTTATCATCAGATAAAGTTGCTGACTGTAATTTAAAAAGTAGTTTGTTCCAAATACATATACCTTTATTTATTTATTTATTTATTAGACAGAGTCTCACTCTGTCACCCAGACTGGAGTGCAGTGATGTGATTTCGGCTCACTGTAACCTCTGCCTCCTGGGTTCAAGTGGAACCACAGGCACACTGGGACCACAGGTGTGTGCCACCACACCTAGCTAATTTTTGTATTTTTTGGTAAAGATGTGGTTTCTCTACCAAAATGTTGGCCAGGCTGGTCTTGAACCCCTAACCCCAAGTGATCCGCCTGCCTCAGCCTCCTGAAATGCGGAGATTACAGGCATGCACCACTGCACCTGATCCCAAAACACATACCTGTAAATAACAGACTAGCACTCTGCGAGGGTACAGAAAAACCAGTCTTGTCTCCCATGCTGTCCTTACTAAGGGGCCTACTCTCCCTGCATTGGACAGCTGGCCTCATGTACTATTTATCTGTTATTTGTCTCCCACTCTCTTCTTGATTTGCCTAGAAGTACCAGGTGAATTTGTGCCATTTAATGCGTATATGATCTGACTCCATGATATTCCCTTATTCCCATGTTTGTGTATGGATGTAGTGATCTAGGTTAGATACTGGATGTGTAGGTACTGCAGGAGGAGGTAAAGCCTGGACTCAGGGCAGGGCAGGTGCAGTGAAGACTCCTAAAGCAGCCTAGGGACTCGTGGGTGTGTGGAAGGAAGAAGTGTTGAAGGAAATAGGGAGAAGGTCATTCTCTGTGGGACAGACTTAGCTCCAAATGTGATTTTCACCATGTTCATGATTTTTCTTCCGTTTGAATTTGATAGACACATTGCAACACATCCCATTTCGCTGATTTTCAAATAAGGACTTGATCACTGGCAAGTGACCTTACAGCAAACATAAAGAAATCAACATTTGGAAGTGCATTTGCCAATTAGTGCTCTAGGCGGCAGAAAAACCAGACCGCCACCCCTTGAAGACCTGCCACAAAGAGCCATGTGGAAAAACTGCACAGAGAAATGGTGGTTGTGAACAAGAGTACTGCCCTGGAATGAAAGGTTTTAGGCTATGTTGGACTCACTGAAAAAAGAAAGGTTAGTCTCATTAGAAAGTTTACCTGGCTCTAAGAAAATAATTACTTATCTGCTAACACAACTTCCATAGCAATGAAACAAGTTCCTGTAAGTATAAATTATCACAATTCCAAGCAGACAAAAATCTGTGTCTCCTGAACACATTATAGGGGTCAGCCTATAGATAACTCCATTATAGGGGTCCTCCTAAAGATAACCTAAGTTATCTTGCATATTGTGTCTGCAGTGTCCACAATGAGTTGGTCTGTATTCACACTGGATGATACAGGATTTCTCCACCAGGTCCTCTCACAGGACTCCAGGCATTTTTACAACTTGACCACACAAAAGAACACTCAGGCTGCTCCTCCCTTGCTCAAGGGAAGTACAGTAATGCCTCTCTCCGTAGCCCTTTCATAAGACTGTGCATAGATAAACACAGGTGTATACATAGCAATCTTTATGAACTTTGCATTGAATGTGTCAAAGAACAGTGGCGGTCCCAACATTCCATCCATTGTCTCAATCAGGAAAGCTACTCCTGAGACCTCAGGAAAGAGGAGGAAAAAATTCAAGTAACACATATGTTTACGAAACACTTCAGTAACAAAACAAAATACTTGTATTGGAGAGAAAATATATATATTTTTAATCACAAGGCATAGAAAGTAAAAATAATCAGCCTTAATTAGGTTTCCTTCATTAGTTGACAATGTAAATGGACTGAAACTACTACTCAAATATTCAAACCTTCATTTTACATGCAAGTGGCTTCCAGAAAATGATAAAGCAATATTCCCATGTGAGTGTGAAAGATGGCAATGAATTCTGGCCCATTATAAAGGAAGAGTCAGATTCCACTAGTCACTGCTTCGTTTAACTGCCAGGCTTTTAGGGAGCTATTTAATAAAAGGGGTCTCGCCCTAATAAATTGTGAGCGGTGTAAATAGGTGAGTGGTGTAAATATCTGAAATAGCCTGCACTCAATGAGGCTGTAGACCGCTTGGGGTTCACAGACTTTACAAAAATCATTCCGTAAAAAAATTACGTAGTGACAATCCTACCATTTAAAAAGAATAATGATGGTGATAATAATAGCTGGACAGGATCCTCCACTGCTGCCTGCTTCCCACATAAGTTGCCCAGCTGAAGGTGGTTAAGTTAAAGCCAGTTCTCTCCCCATTAGAGATGCGGGCTGGCAGCTGGCGGGGGAAGTCACCCAGTTTCCAGCTCCCCGTGGGTTTGACGGGACTGGGATTGCAACTGGGAACTAACTGGCTTGTAGGAAGCCCAGGTGGCTCAGACAGGGCTCGAGCTGTCCCCTCACCACCTTCCTCCCACGCAGACACCAAGTTAGATACGCAACTCCACGAGCACAATGACAAGAAGGCACACAAAAGGAGCAAGGCAGCCGCTCCCATCCTTACCTTTGACTTGACTTTCATACTCGGCTATGATCTCTTTGTCCTTCTTGAATCGGCTCGGGGTGGACATTATCCAGCTGTTCCGGGTTTGCTTTCAATGGGCAAGTTTTGTTCAGTGGTCACAACCCGTTCTCCTTGGAGAGGCAGAGTTGTACTCCCACACGCAGGCAATCCAGAGGCAGCGCCGACCCGAGGGAAGGGAGGAGGGAGAGGAGAAGTAGGAGGAGGAGGGGAAAAAGAGCGAGTAGAGAGGACTAGATTAGCCCGGGCGCTGGCACCATACTCTCGAAATTGAGCTCCGTCGGTAATCCCAGGGGATCCCCGGGGGAGAGGCCGGACGCGCAGGCAAACTCCAGCCAGCGAGTGGCGGGGGACGTCTCCCTGCCCACCTCGCCGGGAGCCCGGCCACTTCCTCTACGGCCGCTGGGCGGGCGCGGGGCTCGCGCCGGCGCTCCGCACCATTGTTCGAGACCCGCACCGGGCGCCCGGGACAGGGCCAGCGGCGGAGGGCAGGCGCTGGGAACGCGCCCAGCTCGGGCGCCACAACCCTCCCTTCCTGCCTCCAGCTGTCGGCTCCGGCGCTCAAGGGTCCCGCCCGGGCTGGGGATGCTGCTGCCACGGCCGCCGCTCCTCTGCCCGCAGACACTGCCGCTACAGCTCGGCAGGCGAAAGGAATCGCAGTCCTGACGCGAGTCCCCGCTGCTGCTGAGAGGGTGAAGGCGGCGACGCTCAGACGCGCCCTGGGCACAGCCCCGGCGGAGTTTAGGTCTCCAGAGCCGGCGCCGCGAGGGGCCTCTGCCTCCCTGGCCGCGGTGCGCCGAGGCTGCCTTTCTCTGCGTCCCCCTTTCCGCTGCTGCCCCCAGGAGGCCGCTAGTGACAGGCACACTCGCACACGCACGCGGGAGCCGCGCCCCCGGCGGCAGCAAAGTTGAGGGTGCGCACACGGCTCGCGCCTCGCGGGCGCCCGGCTAGCGATCTGCGGGCGGTGGCTCCTCGGGGCTCCGCCAGGCGGGGCCAGGCTCGCGGGAGCGGACCGCGCTCCGGCCTGTGCCCTTCTCCGTCCAAGCTCCCGCCCCTGCTCCGCTAGGAAACGCCTGGCTGGTCCGGGAAGATGGATGCCTCTTGTGGCCAACCGCAGCCCGGCCCCGCGCGCCGAGCCCAGGAGGCCGTGGGCGGCGCCCCCGGCACCTCCCTCCGCCGAGGCCCCGCACCTCCCTCCGCCGAAGCCCCGCTCCACCGCTAGCCGAGGTCGCGGCTCCGGCGGCAGGAAAACCCCTTCCTGACCTGAGGGACCGCCTTCTGGCTCTGGCGGGGGCTCTGGTGGGGCTTTTGCCAGAATCTAATGGGGAAGTCCAGAGTTGGATGTATCCATGACACAAAGGGATGTTACTCCGAGACGCTGGACCCCAATAGAAAAACTGAACACTGAATTGTGAATGACCTGGCTGTTAATCCAAAGAGCGCGAAGCTCTTCAATCGAGGCGGAGAAAAACACCCACCTTGAACACCATATCCTCTATTCCTACAGTAGATAGGGAAGCTAGGATGGTAGGAAAGCGATGGTATGGAAACACGTCACACTTAACGGCGTTGTTAGCTTATTTATTTACTAAACTCCAGATTTTATTCCAATTTTACCAATTTTTTCGACTAGTGTCATTTTTTCTGTTCCAAGATCCAACACAGGACACTACATTGCACTTAGTACTTTTACGGTTGTTTTTGTTTTTGTTTTTTGATTTTGTTTTTTGGGGGTTTTTTTTGAGACGGGGTCTCACTCTCGCCCAGGCTGGAGTGCAGGGGCACGAGCTCCGCTCACTGCAACCTCCGCCTCCCGGGTTCAAGTGATTCTCCTGGCTCAGCCTCCAGAGTAGGTGTGACTACAGGCGCCCGCCACCGTGCCTGGGTAATTTTTGTATCTTTAGTAGAAACAGGGTTTTGCCATGTTGGTCAGGCTGGTCTTGAACTCCTGACCTCAAGTGATCCGCTCACCTCGGCCTCCCAAAGTGGTAGGATTACAGGTGTGAGCCACGGCGCCCGGCCACGTTTTTAATAGATACCTTTTACAAGATCTATCGTGTCTAGTCTCTTTTTATTTTATTTGTTTGTTTGTTTTCATTTTAGTACAGACGGGGGTCTCCCTATGTTGTCCAGGCTGGTCTCAAACTCTAGTCTCTTTTTGAACAATATAACGAAGAATTTACCTTGCCATCTTTGCATGGTTCAGGTGTTGTGTTAAGTACTTTAAATCCATCCTTGCCAGCCTTTTAAATTTTTTTTTATTATTTTTACTTTTTTGTAGAGATGAAGCCTTGCTCTATGGCCCAGGCTGGTCTCAAACTCCTGGCCTCAAAAGATTCTGGCTGGGCACGGTGGTTTACACCAGTAATCCCAGCACTTTGGGAGGCCGAGGTGGGCAGATCACAAGGTCAAGAGTCCGAGACCAGCCTGGCCAACATGGTGAAACCCCATCTCTACTAAAAATATAAAACTTAGCCGGGCATGGTGGCATGTGCCTATAATCCCAGCTACTCAGGAGGCGGAGGCAGGAGAATCGCTTGAACCCAGGAGGTGGAGGTTGCAGTGAGCCAAGATTGCACCACTGCACTCCAGCCTGGGCGACAGAGGGAGACTCCTTCTCAAAAAAAAAAAAAAAAAAAAAAAAGAAAATCCTCCGACCTCAGCCTCCCAAAGCACTGGGATTACAAGCATCAGCCACCACACCTGGTTCTGTTAGCCTTTTTGACTCACACCACTTGAGATATTTACTGACTCCTTTCAAATCAATTCTCAAATATTATGGGCCTGATTTATCAAAATGATGTGTCCAAAGGTGTATCCCCTCAAGTGTTTTCCCCACAAGATCTAAAGAAAGTAGGGACTTTTAGACTTTGATCATTCTTTCATGTATCCAGTGATCGGCTCTCCAGTTCTTAACTCTGTGCCAAACACCACGCTAGGAACTAGGGATTCAAAGATTAAGACTGCCGGAAAGGATCATGCAGTCTATTACTGTATAAATAAATAATTACAAGCAGTACAATAATGCTGTAAGAGATAGAAATACTCCCAGTCTTGGGAGCACTGGGGATGGAAAAACAGACTGCATAAGAGGATTGGGTGTAAGAGTTCGCAGAGGAGTGGTTTTGAGCTGGATTTAAAGGATGAATAGTAAGTAGCTGGCAACTTTAGGGAGGAAAAGGGATGCATTCCAGGGAAAAGGAAGAGTGTTATACTCTAGAGGAATTGCAAATAGAGTGACAAGATATCTTCCACTAAGATACCAGATCTCTGCTAGATGGTGAAAAATAATGTAAAAAATTGTAATATATGTATATGCATGTGTCAGCTGATAGTATGTGGGTATGTGGACATTGTTAATTGCACTGCTTTTTTAAAATCTAATTTTAGCAAGTTTTTTTTACTTTATAGCAACAGAATATATGTAAAGAAAATATGCCAATTTTTTTTAAGTTTTTTTTTCAGTCTTTTTTTCATTTTACCACACAGGCAGTTATACTATGGCACCCCTGGCTGCCCTAATTTCACGTGGAGCTGTCTTATGTAAGAGTGTACGGTGAAGAGAAAGCAGAGGCTGGAAGGAAGGTCAGGGCCAGCTGGGAGAGTCCTCCTGTGCCATGCTAAGATCTTGGACACAGTTCTGCAGACAGCAGGGAGCCTTTTAAGTAGAGAAGTATCACGATCAGATTTGTGTTTTATAAAGATAACTGTTGGCAGTGTAGAAGGATGGGTTAGCCATAGAGAAAGAGAGACCAGGCAGGCAGCCTACTTAGGTGATAATCATAGTCACATCTAAATGGGATTCATATCCATGATGCTGTTGGGATTTGTTTCATATTTGCACCTGGGAAGCACAAGTTGACAGCAGAGATTGCAGCACCTAGAAATGAATTGTTGCCTGAGTCTAGACCTAAATCAGTGTGTTGCAAACAAGCCCCAGAGACAGGGTGCCCAGAGGTGAATCCTAAATCTGCTGTTTCCTAAGGGATCTGGTAAAAATTACTATTCTCTCTAGGCCTTAGTTTGTAAAATGGGTTACAAATTTTCCTTATCTGTAAAATTGGTTAATGCCTAAGTCCTGGGGATGTTATAAGCACTTACTGAGATAAACCCTTAAAAGTACTTGTAGGCCATGGTATACACCCAGTGAGTATTAGTTATCTTTACAATTATTATCTTAGTTTTACTCTTCCTAATAGAAAGCTATCTAAAAATCAGAGATAGGCTGGGCGTGGTGGCTCATGCCTGTAATCTAAACACTTTGGGAGGCTGAGGTGGGAGGATTGCTTGAGCCCAGGAGTACAAGACCAGCCTCATTTCTACAAAGAATAAATAAAGATCAGAGATAATGTTTCATCTTTAATTTTATTATGGTGTTCAATACACAGTCAATAAAATGTATTGAATATTAATGCCACCATTAGTAGGCCACCATTTTATTGTTGTTGAAGATGGGATATACCCACTAAGGTAAGAATTTTGCACACATTCTCAGAAGAACCCTACATGGCGGACACCATTGTCCTCATTTTACAGATGAGAATCTGGAGGCTCAGAAAATTCAGTAAATGTCTGGCCTGGCAGGGTCAGAATTCCAGTTCACATCTGCCTGTCTCCAAAGTGGGTACTCTTTCCAATTTTCCATTCCACTTCCTATGAACTTATGATTCCTTTAAACTTGTGAAGTGAGTTCAAATAAGTAAAATGTGTGTGACGGAGTCATGGGTTTCTATTGGTGGATCTCTTTTCTGATCCAACTGTTTAGTGTAATTAACAAGTCAATTAGTGTTTCCATTATTTTCTTTTAACTTTTTTTTTTTTTTTGACACAGAGTCTCACTTGCCCAGGTTGGAGTGCAGTGGCATGATCTCAGCTCACTGCAGCCTCCACCTCCTGGGTTCAAGTGATTCTCCTGCCTCAGCCTCCCGAGTAGCTGGGACTACAGGCACACACCACCACACCCGGCTAATTTTTGTATTTTTAGTAGAGATGGGATTTCACCATGTTGGCCAGGCTAGACTCGAACTCCTGGCCTCAGGTGATCCGCCCGTATAGGCCTCCCAAAGTGCTGGGATTACAGGCATGAACCACCACACCCAGCCAGTATTTCCATTATTTTCTTTTTTCAGATTTTCTTTATCTTTCCCATAGTTAAGAACCCATTTCAGTTTACAAAGTTGGGTATGGAGAATGCCTGTGATTTAAAATGCAGAAAGCCAGGGTGACCCAAGTTTGGGAGACAGGCAACCCTGGTTCTGGCTCTCACACCGCTTCTCTGTGACTTTGCTCCACCTTGTGGTAGCTCTTTTCTAGCTATAAAACAAGAAAGACTGCACTTGGCCCGGGAAAACCTGCCTCTCCCCTGCCACACTCCCATTCTTTAGGAACATGTGAGAAATCTGGAGTGCCTGATGGTTGGGACCACTGCTACGTACTAATCCACTCTGTTATCTAGCATGGTCCTTTTTAGACTGCCCCCAAATTTCCATATGTAGAAGTTAATTTACCACTTGACCATATGCCCTGGGATAAGTAAGAGTATGCACGGAGGTCCCTATAGCCACAAAATAAATCATGCACCCTACTGCAGCATCACTTTGGCTCAGAGGTAAATAATTAAAATTATTTTCTAAAAATTAACACAAATATTTTAAAGAGTCGATGCCAAATTCACACAGGTGTTTTTGTTTGTTTGTTTGTTTTGTGGATTTTTTTTTTTTTTTTTTTTGAGGCAGATTCTCACTCTGTCACCCAGGCTGGAGTACAGTGGCACAATCACCTACCAGGTTCAGGCAATCTTCCCACCTCAGCCTCCTGAGGAGCTGGGACTACAAGTGTGCACCACCACACCTGGCTAATGTTTGTATTTTTTGGTAGAGACCAGATTTCACCACATTGCCCAGGCTGGTCTTGAACTCCTGAGTTCAAGCACTCCGCCTGCCTCAGCCTCCCAAAGTGCAGGATTACAGGCATGAGCCACCAGGCCTGGCTAGCTGTGGTATTAGCCTTTAAGAATTTCATGTCTGGGGCCGGGCATGGTGGCTCACACCTGTAATCCCAGCACTTTTGGAGGCCGAGGCAGACGGATCACCCAACATCGGGAGTTAGAGACCAGCCTGACTAACATGAAGAAGCCCCGTCTCTACTAAAAATACAAAGGTAGCCGGGCATAGTGGCGCATGCCTGTAATCTCAGCTACTCTAGAGGCTGAGGCAGGAGAATCGCTTGAACCCAGGAGGCAGAGGTTGTGGTGAGCCAAGATCGCACCTGGGCAACAAAAGCGAAACTCTGTCTCAAAAAAAAAGAATTTCATGTCTGAAATGGGCCATTCTGCTACTCCTCTTAACACAAAGGATACACTCTCCCCTGCCAATATCCTAGGTTTTATTTCTGGATCCAGCCAGAGCTTCAGAATACAGATTGCTCTGCACACCTCTCTCTTACTGTCTTGATTCTGTAACCCTTTGGCTTCTCAAATTATTTGCAGTATTGGTTTCAGTGAATTGCATTTTGGTATCATGTCTTGGGACAATGTGTTATCAAATATGACCTTACCATTGATCACATACATCAGAATCACTTTGGGAATGTGTTTCAAATTTGGACACATGGGACCTACTTTACACTCTTCAAAATGACACTTCTCAACTTTGATGTGTGTACAAATCACCTGGGGGTCTTGCTAAAATGCAGTTCTGATTTCTTCTGGAATGAGCCTAAGATCTTGCTTTTTTCATAACCTCCTATGCCATGTCAATAGTGCTGTCATAAAGACCACATGTGGAAGAGCAAGGAAACATTAGGGTCTGAATTTTGGGTGCCTAGGAAGTTCTCATGTGATTCTTATGCATGAGAATCTTTGCTCAAGGCTAAGGGATATTAAAATAATATCCTTATAAAAGATTTGCTACATTTACTCAAGTAACACTGAGGACATTGTCAATACTTTTGTTTCAATTTAATGTGTCCCTAAGAAACTGGACGATTTTCTCAAAGATTATTATTAGTACTATTTTATCTGTAAGATAGAGATAATTACCCTAACAGGTTGTGGTAGGCACTAAATGCAAAGTATATATAAAGCACTTAGCACCAAGTCTGGCACAAATAAATATTGGTTGTCATTGTCATTGGTATTACTTCGATGTAGAATGAGAAGGTCTAAATTTATAGTAAAATCATTGCAGTTGTCGAGGACCTTGTACCTTATTTATCTGTCCTATTTACCTTCTTGTTGGAACCTTGTATGTTAGTTGAGGATTTCTTTGATATTAATGGGCTTGCTTTGTAGCTTATTATCAGCTTACTATATGTCCACACTTTATTATACATTACCTCAAACATTTTATAGAATGAATTGTATAGTCTATTCAATTATAATCAACAGATATTTATGATCTATTAAGTTGAACCACATAACATTGCTGATAGTTGATCATTTTTGACATAAAAATGGCAATATTATATTATTCAACCCAACACTGTGAGCCCTGCGCTTTGTAATTGGTGTGAACAAAATCCAACAATAAAAACCCACTTCTGAGTAGATTTGTGCAGGGTTCAACTGCACAAATCTAGGGAAATCCCACTCATTCATAGGTTGGATTAGTCCAGTGCAGTTTGCCAGATAGTCAATCAAGAAATATTAATTATTGTTTTAAAAGAAACTTGGCCTGTAATTTTACAGCAGCTTGTCTAAATGGACCGTATAAATATCCATTTTCCCTCTTTTGGCAGCAGAATAGTAAAGACAAGCTGTCAAATGATCTTGCCAATTCCATTCTGATGCACTTTCCCTGGCAGAAAAGAGGATGGAATGAAACAATAAAGGTGAGTTTCGATGAGGTCCTGAAAGGATTGGTGCAGGAGAGGCTGACGAAAGACAGGCAGAGAGAGAAAGGACAGAAAAGAAAGAGGTAAAGAAATGGAATGTCACAGAGAGAAAAGGCAAAAGACAGCAATGAAATGAATGATTATTCAAAAATGTTCAATTGTATAATTTAGCTCCCCTCCCCCCAAAAAAACTTGTCTCTGATTTTCAAGAAAACTAAAATAAATCAGGGCTTTACACTCTTTTATTTTGTTTCAGTGAAGCTGCTCTATAATATTTTTAGCCATCTGCTCAAAAATCACCTGTTTCCACTTTGCACAAATCATTGTTAAAACAGAATTTGCTTTGCTTAATCTCATATTAATAACTTCTAAACACCCACACATAACAGCCTTCTCATCAGAGCTACTATTTTCTGCTTTTGAAATTCTACTACAGCTTCCCATGTGGCTCTGCACAATATAAGCAGAATATGAATATTCAATGAACCCATCCTGATGAAAGTATTAAATCCCATCACTTATACAAAAAAAAAAAAAAGATTGTATTATTACTCAGAGGAAAACAGCCAAAGTTAGACAAGAAATGGCAGTTGTAATTCAGTTGTCAGAGTTAGAGATAAATTGGTATATAAAGCAAGCTGTAACAAAAGATTTATTATACCAAGAAATACATGTATCTCTCTAATGCTTATATTTTAGGAAATAAATGACAGACTCCTTCTTTTCTTGCCATTATACTTTGGCAGCAGACATTTTGAGGCTGCCTAATTCTGTCACCTCTTCTACAAAGAAACAGTCTGTGGCGTTATTCCTCATTTTACACACAGATCTGCTGCTGGTGACTGTGCAAGGGAAATCTAGGGTTGGTAGAGTCCTATTTAAATGTAACAGAGACATTTGTTATTTGAAAGAATCTCATGGTATCTATCGCCTTTTGTAAAGGAAAGAACATTTTTGGAAAACAATTATCACCTGTCCTAGATTTTTGGTATAAATTTGAATTCTTATGAAGTAGTTCTTTATTTAAATTAGCTGTTCTCAAACCAATCAGAACCAATGCTTTCTTAAAGAAATAAAAGCAATAAATTATTGCATTTTAAAAGCAGTTTTAAGTTTACAGAAAAATTGGGCAGAAAGTACAAGAGAGTTCCCATAAACTTCCTTACCCTGCGATTTCCCCTATTATGAACATCTTGTGGTTGTGTGATACATTTGTTACAATTGACGAGTCAATATTGATCTGTGATTATTAACTGAAGCCCATAGTTTACATTAGGGTTCACTCTTTGTGTTGTGCATTCCATGGATTTTGATAAATGCATAATGAAATGTTTCCACTAAAGCAGTATCATACAGAAGAGTTTCACGCTCTACTTTTACAGAATTTGAACCCTCCCTCCCACCTTTTTTTTTTTTTTTTTTTTTTTGAGGTAGAGTTTCATTCTTGTTGCCCAGGCTGGGGTGCAGTGGTGCGATCTTGTCTCACTGCAAATTCCACCTCCCTCCTAGGTTCAAGCAATTCTCCTACCTCAGCTTCCCGAGCAGCTGGGACTACAGGCAACCGCCACCATGTCCAGCTAATTTTTTTTTTTTTTTTTTGTATTTTTAGTAAAGACAGGGTTTCACCATATGGGTCAGGCTGGTCTTGAACTCCTGACCTCAGGTGACCCGCCCACCTGGGCATCCCAAAGTGCTGGGATTACAACAGGCGTGAGCCACCACGCCCAGCCTGAAATCCCTTTTTATAATAAAAATTTTGTAACGTCTCATTTACTGTTCTAAAAGAGAATTTATAGAAAACAAAATGAGACATATGTGGTGGCTCACACCTGTAATCCTAGCACTTTGGGAGGCCAAGGCAAGAGGATCACTTGAGGCCAGGAGTTCGAGAGCAGCCTGGGCAACTTAGAGAGACCCCTGTCTCTAGAAAAAAAAAATTAAAAAAAACAAAAACAAAACAAAACAAAACAAAAAAACTAGTTGGGCATGGTCGCACGTACCAGTAGTCTCAGCTACTTGGGAGGCTGAGGCAGGAGGATTGTATGAGCTCAGGAGTTCAAGGCTGCAGTGAGCTAATATCGTGCCATTGCACTCCAGCCTGGGTGACAGAGTGTGACCCTGTCTCTTAGAAAAAAAAAAAAAAGCAAGAAAAAAAATGTATCTGTATCTGCCTTGTATTTTTCTTCATAAAGTCAATATAACATTTAACTGTAACATGGACACATTAAAAGAAAGTAAATCATAATGAAATGATATATATTTAAATATGCAAATACTCAGATCCACTACAATAGAAAACTTAATGAAGCAGTCAGAGGCTTGTACCTACTTATAATTAATAAATTTAGACATAAGAGAAGCAGGACAGGCATGGTGGCTGACACCTGTAATTCTAGCATTTTGGGAGGCCCAGGTGGGCAGATCACTTGAGCCCAGGAGTTTGAGACCAGGCTGGGCAACACAGTGAAACCCCATCTCTACAAAAAAATCAAAAAATTAGCCAGGGGGTGGTGTTTGCCTTTGGTCCTAGCTACATGAGACATCGGAGGCTGAGGCTGAAGGATTGCCTGAGCCCACGAGCAACACAGTGACACCCTGTCTCAGAGAGAGAGAGAGAGAGAGAGAGAGAGAATCAGACCAGAATATACTCTAAAAAAAGAGAGAGAGAAAGAAGTAATAAGACCAGAATATACTCTATACAAGATTTACAAGGGAGGCTGAAGTGGGCGGATCCCTTAAGCTTAGGCATTCGAAACCAGTCTGGGCAACATGGTGAAGCCCTGTCTCTACAAAAAATACAAAAATTGGCTGGGTGTGGTGGTGGGTGCCTGTTGTCCCAGCTCCTTGGGAGGCTGAGGTGGGAGGATCACTTGAGCCAGGGAAGCAGAGGTTGAAATGAGCTGAGATTGCACTACTGCACTCCAGCCTGGGCAACAGAGTGAGATCCTGTCTGTGGATCTCAAACAAACAAACAAACAAATATATAAGGCAATAAAAGACAGAGGTATGTGTGAATGCTTAGATGGTTTAAATCAATATTTCACACACACGAATACCTGGTGGGATAATCTAACATTGGACCCATCCACTAAATAGCTAATATCCTTTCTTCCTAAAATATTGTGACAAACCAAAATACTCCCTTACATGTCCAAAAAAGAAGCAATTCAGCTTCCTTTGGCCCCTAAGAAGCAATTCTACTTCTACTGAAAACCACACTATTAAAAGTCTAGTGCAACTATAGAGACTAGCGTCACCATTGTTTCCTTGGGGCTTTTTTTCTGAACAATTTTTCCTGGCCCATCATCTGAATTTTTTTTTTTTTTTTTTTGAGACACAGTCTTACTTCGTCGTCTAGGCTGGGGGGCAGTGGTGCAATCTCAGCTCACTGCAACCTCTGCCTTCCAGGTTCAAGCAACTCTCGTGCCTCAGCCAGGTGCCACCATGCCTGGCTAATTTTTGTATTTTTGGTAGAGACGAGATTTCGCCATGTTGTAAGCTGGTCTCGAACTCCTGACCTCAGGTGATCCGCCTGCCTTGGCCTCCTAAAGTGCTGGGATTACAGGCATGAGCCACTGCACGCAACCTGAATTTTTCTTAAAAGAACTCACAGTTCGATGTATGTCTTATTTCAT
Organism: Homo sapiens; assembly: GCF_000001405.40. Classification (NCBI taxonomy): domain Eukaryota; kingdom Metazoa; phylum Chordata; class Mammalia; order Primates; family Hominidae; genus Homo; species Homo sapiens. The sequence continues at coordinate 63,833,397 of NC_000012.12, read as the reverse complement.
ATGCTGTGGGCCAGCATGTTCTGTAGTGAGGAACCTTCATTCCATGGGATACAAGATGATCTGTTGGAGTTTGGAAAGACAATATTGCAATGTCTATGTTCTTTATTTAGTTTCTATTTTTGAGTACATTGTATTTTGTAAACAAAGCATTACCATAGTAGTACCTGCATATAGTTTATTAAAGTAAGTATGCAGATATTGAGATTGCATGTTCAAAATTTTTTACTGATGGGGTTATGATAAAAAATAGTATGCAAATCCCTTTCTATAAGTACATTCAGATACAGAGTAGCAGACACAACTTGTCTTTGACTTTGGCCACATCTTATATCCTTTCAGATTCCTGAGGTACCAGCAGTGATTCTTGTTTTGTTTTGTTTTGTTGTTGAGATGGAGTCTCGCTCTGTCACCCAGGCTGGACACTATCTCAGCTCACTGCAACCTCCGCCTCACGGGTTCAAGCCATTCTCTTGCCTCAGCCTCCTGAGTAGCTGGGATTACAGGCACCCGCCACCACGCCCAGCTAATTTTTTGTATTTTTAGTAGAGATGGGGTTTTGCCATGTTGGCCACGCTGATCTCAAACTCCTGACCTCAGGTGATTCACCCGCCTCAGCCTCCCAAACTGTTGGGATTACAGGCGTAAGCCACCGCCCCTGGCCTGCAGCAGTGATTCTTGTTATTTTGGGTGAGGTACATTTGTGACAGACATGAGGGCCCTTCATGACTGACCTCTGTAACAACCCAGCCACCACGCCTCCCTGCATTGGCTCCCGCCATACTCAACTCTTACTGCTCCCCCTATGTGTCTTGTACGCCCCAATCACCTTCACATTTTTGCAAGGACTGTGCCTCTGCTTCAAACTGTCAGGGGGGAAAAAGTTTTCCTCTATGCTCTTAGGTTCATTTTTTAGAGGTGTGTGAGTTAAACTGATAAAATACAGATTCACTGGAGGAAAAAGTTTATTCGTACGCACATAATAGCTAACAGAAGAAGTAGTTAGCTCCTTCATGGTTAAAGTTAGAGGCTTATATGCCTAATTTAGTAGGAAAAAGAGAATGGGGAGAAGAGGCTACTCTGGGAAGAACCAGTAAGTTTCTTTAGGAAAGACAAATGAGATTTTAGGTGAGCAAATGGGAAATAAGAAAGTTGTGATGATGTTTGTTTTTGCAGGTGCAAGTGGTCTTTCCATCTTCCTCGTAGCCATGAAAATCCTCTGGAGAAGAGATTTATAGTAGCCCCCTTTCCCAGAAATTGCTGCTTTGATTCAGATAAGAAGAGCTTGAGCAGTGTTTTGTAGTTCTCCTTGAAGAGGTCCTTCACGTTCCTTGTAAGTTATATTCCTAGGTGTTTCATTATCTTTGTAGCAATTGTGAATGGGAGTTCACTCATGATTTGGCACTCTGCTTATCTGTTGTTGGTATATAGGAATGCTTATGATTTTTGCACATTGATTTTGTAGCCTGAGACTTTGCTGAAGTTGCTAATCAGCTTAAGGAGATTTTGGGCTGAGACGACGGGGTTTTCTAAATATACAATCATGTTATCTGCAATCAGAGACAATTTGACTTTCTCTCTTCCTATTTGAATACCCTTTATTTCTTTCTTCTACCTGATTGCCCTGGCCTGAACTTCCAATACTATGTTGAATAGGAGTAGTGAGAGAGGGCATCCTTGTCTTGTGCTGATTTTCAAAGGAAATGCTTCCAGATTTTGCCAATTCAGTATGAAATTGGCTATTGGTTTGTCATAAATAACTCTTATTATTTTGAGATATGTTCCATCAATACCTAGTTTATTGAGAGTTTTTTGCATGAAGGGGTATTGAATTTTATCAAAGGCCTTTTCTGCCTGTATAGAGATAATTGTGTGGTTTTTGTCATTGGTTCTGTTTATGTGATGGATTATGTTTATTGATTTGCGTATGTTGAACCAGCCTTGCATCCCAGGGTAAAGCTGACCTGATTGTAGTGAATAAGCTTTCTGATGTGCTACTGGATTCAGTTTGCCAGTATTTTATTGAGGATTTTTGCATTGATGTTCATCAGGGATATTGGCCTGAAGTTTTCTTTTTTTTGTTGTGTCTTCCCAGTTTTTGTATCAGGATGATGCTGGCCTCATAAAGAGTTATGGAGGAGCCCCTCTTTTTTGATTGTTTGGAATAGTTTCAGAAGGAATGGTACCAGCTCCTCTTTGTATTTCTGGTAGAATTCAGCTGTGAATCTATCTGGTCCTGGGCTTTTTTTGGTTGGTAGGCTATTAATTACTGCCTCAGTTTCAGAACTTGTTATTGGTCTATTCAGGGATTTGACTTCTACCTGGTTTAGTCTTGGGAGGGTGGGTTTATGTGTCCAGGAATTTATCCATTTCTTCTAGATTTTCTAGTTTCTTTGCATAGAGGTTTTTTTTTTTTTTTTAGACAGAGTCTCTGTTGCCCAGGCTGGAGTGCAGTGGCGTGATCTCGGCTCACTGCAACCTCTGCCTCCCAGGTTCAAGCAATTCTGCTTCCTCAGCCTCCTGAGTAGCTGGGATTACAGGCACGCACCACCACACCTGGCTAATTTTTGTATTTTTAGTAGAGATGGGGTTTCACCATGTTGGTCAGGCTGGTCTCAAACTCCTGACCTCAGGTGATCCACCCACCTAAGCCTCCAAAAGTGCTGGGATTACAGGTGTGAGCTGCCACGCCCAGCTGAGGCTTTTACAGTATTCTCTGATGGCAGTTTGTATTTATGTAGGATCAGTGGTGATATCCACTTTATCATTTTTTATTGTGTCTATTTGATTCCTCTTTATTAGTCTAACTAGTGGTCCATCTATTTTGTTAATCTTTTCAAAAAACCAGCTCCTAGATTTATTGATTTTTTGAAGGCCTTTTCATGTCTCTATATCTTTCAGTTCTGCTCTGATCTTAGTTATTTCTTGTCTTCTGCTAGCTTTTGAATTTGTTCTTGCTTCTCTAGTTCTCTTGTGATTTTAGGGTGTCGATTTTAGATCTTTCCAGATTTCTGCTGTCAGCATTTAGTGCTATGAATTTTTCATCCCCAGCCAATCAGCAGCACCCATTCCCTATCCCCCTGCGCATCAAATTATCCTTAAAAACTCTAGACTCTGAGTTATTGGGGAGGCAGATTTGAGAAATATCTCCTGTCCTTCTGCTCAGCTACCTTGTGATAATTAAAGTCTTTTTCTATGGCAACTCCTGCTGTTCTCTGTATCATCTTTTTTGGGCAGCAGAAAAGAGGAATCCATCAGACAGTTACACCCCTTTCCCCCCGATCCTGCAAAAAAAGTTCACATCCTAATCCCTGGAATCTGTTGTAGGGGATCAGAATTTTCCACCCCCAAATATTCTATCCTGACATAAGTATTATTTCAAGTTGAAGGCAATTGAGAAAAAGTTCACTGCCCTCCCTCCATCTTCCTAAAAACAGGGTATAAATTTTCCTTGTGAAGGTATCCCTCCTTTTCCTGTAGCAGAGAGAACAACCCTCAATACCATAGACAGAAATGGTACCAGAAGAGTCTACACAAACAAACCTTACTGGCTAGCCCTAGGGGGCTAACATTAGTGATTCTCCTACATTTATCTTTTCACAAGTTATCACTGCTAGAACACTTATAAACCTCTTTCCTTTGTCTTGTCATTTCTCTATAAATTTATCATCCTTTAAATGGTGTAAAAGCCTCCAAGCCTGGCTACTTCTTTGGTGGGGGTGGGTTCTCTTCTCTGTAATTCCCCCTTCCCATGTAAAACTTTTAAGATCAAATAAAATTTGTATGTTTTACTCCTCTTAATATGTCTTTTATCAGTTTATTTCACAGGCTCAGCCACTGAGCCTAAGAGGGTAGAGGGAAATTATTATTATTATTTTTGCCCTGCATTGTGAATATGTTTTCTTATATGGCAAAGGGGAATTAAGGTTGCAGATGGAATTGCTGGCTTTGAAGATGAAAGGAGAAGCCACAAGCCAAGGAAGGCAGGCAGCATCTAGAAGTTGAATAAAACAAAGATATGAATTATCCCATACAGCCCTCAGGAAGAAACACAACTGTCTTAGTCCATTTTGTGTTGCTATAACAGAATAGCACAGACTGTGTAATATATAAAGAAAAGAAATTTATTTCTCATAGTCATGGAGGCTGGAAAGTCCAAGATCAAGAGGCCTGGCATCTGGCAAGGGCCTTTGGCTGTGTCATGCCATGATGGGACGTGAGAGGGCATGAGGGGTGAAAGACAAAGAGAGAGAGTGAGAGACAGAGAGAGAGAGAGAGAGAGAGAATTCACAGCCTCAAGCCCTTTTCTAATCTGCATTACCCTATTCATGAGGGTGGAGCCCTTATGATCTAAACACTTCCTATTAGGTCCCACCTCCTGACACTATTGCATTGGAGATTAAGTTTCTAACACTTACTTCTTGAGGGACACATTAAAAACACAACAGTCCTACTGACATCTTGATTTTAGCTCAGTGAGTGCCATTCTGGATTTCGAATCTCTAGAAAGGTAAGAGAAGAAATTTGTATTGTTTCAAGCCATTAAGTTTTCAGTAATTTTTTTTGAGACAGGGTCTTTCTCTGTTGCCCAGGCTGGAGTGCAGTGGTGTGAACATGGCTCCCTGCAGCCTTGAACTCCTGGACTCTAGCAATCCTTCCACCACAGCCTCCTGAGTAGCTGGGACTACAGGCATGCACCACTATGCCTGGCTAGTTTTTTTCCTTTTGGTAGAAACAAGGTCTTGCCATGTTGCCCAGGTTGGCCTTGAAGACCTGGGTTCAAGCCATCCTCCTACCTTGGCCTTCCAAAGTGCTAGAATTACAAATGTGAGCCACTGCCCCTGGCCTATGGTAACTTTTTTTTTCTTGTTTTGAGATGGTGTTTTGCTCTTGTCACCCAGGCTGGAGTGCAATGGCGCAATCTCAGCTCACTGCAACCTCCACCTCCTGGGTTCAAGTGATTCTTCTGCCTCAGCTTCCCAAGAAGCTGGGATTACAGGCACCCACAACCACGCCCAGCTAATTTTTGTATTTTTAGTAGAGATGGGGGTTCACTATGTTGGCCAGGCTGGTCTCAAACTTCTGACCTTAGGTGATCCACCCGCCTCAGCCTCCCAAAGTGCTGTCAGATTACAGGCATGAGCCACCAAACCTGGCCTGGTAACTTTTTAAATAGAAGCTGTAGAAAACTAGCACAGGATTTATAGGTTTAGTTTATTCATTTTAATTGCTATGTAGGTTTATATATAGGTTTAGTTTATTCATTTTATATGCTACGTAGAATTCTACTGTATGTGTTCTTTGCCTATTACTTCTCAAAATTGTATTTGGGAGATTCAATCACGCAGCATGTGCCGGTATTTTGTACAGTTTTGTTTTCTGTTGAATGACTACACAACATTTTATTTCTCTATATTCCTGTTGGTGGACATTATTTCCTTTTTTTTGTTATAAGCAATGTTATAAAAATTTTTGAATTTGTTTTCTATGTACATGTGCAAGAATTTCTCATAGGGGCCGGGCACAGTGGCTCACACCTGCAATCCCAGCATTTTGAGAGGCCAAGCTGGGAGTATCACTTGAGCCCAGGAGTTCAAGGCCAGCCTGGGCAACATAGCAAGACCTCATCTCTACAAAAAATTTAAAAGCTAGCCAGGCATAGTGACATGCGCCTGTAGTCTTAGCTACTCAGGAGGTTGAAGGGGAAAGATCGCTTGAGCTCAGGAGGTCAAGGCTTCAGTGGGTATTGATCGTGCCACTGTACTCCAGCCTGGGCAACAGGGCAAGACCCTGACTCAAAAGAAACAAAAAGATTTTCTTAATAGGCCAATGGGTTGATAGCCCACTGGGGTAATGAATCTAATGTGCAGCCAGGTTTTTAACTGAAGGGGAGTGGAATTGCTGGATTGTAGGGAGTATGCATCATTAACTTCATTATATGGACTATATTGCTCTCCAAAGTGGTTCTACCAATTTAACCTCCTCTGGCAATGCATGAAGGCGTCCATTTTCCTACAAATTCAAATTTGACTTTAAAATTTTTGCCAATATGATGAGTATAAATGGCTTCTCCTTTTTATTTTAATGTGCATTTCCCTGATTACTAGAAAGGATGAACATGTTTACATATGTTTATTGGCCATCTGCCTTTCCTGTTCCTTGAATTGTCTGGATAATGTGGAACAATGTAAGATACCTACCTGACATGCCGGATAACGCCAATGTGAAAATGTAATTGAACCCCCATAGGCCTTGATGGTTATTTAAGTAGTATTTATTAAATTTAAGTAACTTTAAGTGAAATTTACATGAGGAACTCATGAATGTATTATTTAATAAAATGTATCATGAATGTATCACTTAATAAATCTAAGTAATAATATTTGTCTTTTCACATGAAGAATAATTTAAAGCTATTGAAACTCTGAGAAACTTTAATATGGCTCTTTTGACAAACACTTCCTACTTTTTTTTTTTTGAGACGGAGTCTCACCCTGTTGCCCAGACTGGAGTGCAGTGGCGTGATCTCGGCTCATTGCAACCTCTGCCTCCTGGTTTCAAGTGATTCTCCTGTCTCAGCCTCCCGAGTAGCTGGGATTACAGGTGCCTGCCACCATGCCCAGCTAAGTTTTGTATTTTTAGTAGAGACGGGGTTTCACTATGTTGGCCAGGATGGTCTCCATCTCCTGACGCCAAGTCATCCTCCTGCCCTGGCCTTCCAAAATGCTGAGATTGCAGGCATGTGCCACCACATTCAGCCAACATGTCCTACTTTTTGTTTCTGATTTAGCAATCAAATGTCAAGAATATGAACCCATTTTTCATTAAACAATGAATACATTTTAGATTCTAACCAGTTTATTTAACAATGAACACGTTTTAGATTCTAACCAGTTCATTTAAGTAGAATTAAAAGCTTCTAGCAACAAGGATATCATCTTGATAATTATTGAATGTTTAAAAGTATTTAATTCTTAGGTTAAAGGAAAGGACTTGGGAAATCACAGAAGGGCATTGGTGGCTGGGTGTTCTGCTCAATGGCTGTAAAGCTGCAGTGTGCGAGACAACTGCTTACTCCAAAGATCTGTTCATCCAACAGCTGATAAACTCTTCTTTCCCAGTTCCCTACTCTCCTCTGGCTCTTAAGTTGGGAAATATCAGAAGCAAAAAGTCAGAAAAACCATGATGCTATCTGTGATTTCACTACTCCCTCTTTCGGACATAGACTGCACTTGCACCATGAGAGTCATCCACTTTCCATGGCATAATACAATAAATGACTTCCGTTTCTGTATTTCTATTTTGTAACCAAAACTATCAAATGGTACTTAGTACATAAAGACTTCAAATTAATATATTTTTATCTATTTACCTAACTATTTAATCTAGACATATCTATCTGCCATAGGTATATAAATATAGACAGGTAGATGGATGATAGAGAGATGGAGATATGGCTAGATCTATAGATAGATATACGTGATAGGCTTGTCTTCCTTCTCTTTTTTTCTAAGTCTTTGTGACATGGAATTTCCCTCCACAAAGCATTTAAAAATATTGTTATTAACTGACAATTTACCCTTGACTATCTGATGTCTTTTTATCAAATTCTATTTCATATCTTTTAATCATAATATTTATCTAGTTTTCTGATGTGATGTTTTTCCCCTGAAAGAGAAACTGGCTCAGCACAAATCACCAACTTTGTATTACTATTATTTTAATTTTAATTTTTTGGACAGAGTTTTGCTCTGTAGCCCAGATTGGAGGGCAGTGGCATGATCTCGACTCACTGTAACCTCCACCTCCTGGGTTCAAGCGATTCTCCTGCCTCAGCCTCCTGAGTAGCTGGTATTACAGGCACATGCCACCACTCACAGCTAATTTTTTGTATTTTTAGTAGAAACAGGGTTTAATTATGTAGGTCAGGCTGGTCTTGAACTCCTGACCTCAAATGAATCACCCGTCTTGGCCTCCCAAAGAGCTGGGATTACAGGCATGAGCCACTACGCCCAGCCATATTATTATTATTTTTGAGACAGGCTCTGTTTCAAAAGGCTGGAGTGTGGTGGTGCAATCACAGCTCACTGCAGCCTTAACCTCCTGGGCTCAAGTGATCCTCCCACCTCAGCCTCCTGAGTAGCTGGGACTGCAGCTGTGCGCCACCATGCCCAGATAATTTTTGTAATTTTGTAGAGATGGGGTTTCTCCATGTTATCCAGGCTGGTCTCAGAACTCCTGGGCTCAAGTGATCTGCCCGCTTTGACCTCCCAAGGTGTTGTGATTACAGGTGTGAGCCACCACGCTCGGCACCAACTTTATTATACCAGCCTACATTTTATTCCTTTCCTTTCTATTCTTCCCTCCCTCCCTTCCTACCTTTCCTCCTTTCTCCCCTACTTTTTGTGATCTTTTATAACTGCTGAAATGATCACATGTATTCCTTGCTACAGTGCAAGGTATATTGGGATAACAAAATATATGCGGAAGATAATAGACATATATAAGTCAAAGGGTCCCTCTATTACTTTTATTATTCATTAAGTTGAGCCAAGATTTTGTTGGCTTTACAATTAATTGGGAGATACAAGCATATGATGCAAAACCCATGCAGTATTAAAATGTATACAGTGAGGGAAAAGAGTCTGTTTTACACATCAGCTTCCCGCCTAAGGGACAATCTCTGTTGCCTGTTCCTTAATATATGTATTTTAAAAGCGATATCCTCTGCACATGGTTAACAAAATGGAGTGGAATTTCAGGGTGATATTATGTTCCTCATTTAATGGAGAGAAAAAAGCATATGCCCTCAAATACCCTTCTGCCTCTTCTCCCCTCCCCTCCCCGTCCCCCACCCCCTTCCTTCCTTCTTTTTTGAGATGGGGTCTTGCTCCGTCACCCAGGCTGGAACACAATGATGCGATCTCAGCTCACTGTAACCTCTGCCTCCCGGGTTCAAGAAATTCTCCTGCCTCAGTCTCCTGAGTAGCTGGGATTACAGGCGCGTGCCACTATGCCCGGCTAATTTTTGTATTTTATTATTATTATTTTTTTCACCATTTAAGGAATTGTTATTAAAGCAATAATTTTATAATCCAAATTACGTTTCCTAGCTCAGTTATCAATTCTGTTACTTAAAACAGAACTGACATTTTGAACTATTCCACAGTAAAGAATTACAAAATTAAAGAAAGGAATGCTTTAAATTTTTGCACTTTGCTGAAAATTTTTTCCCAGAGTCTATAAAACATTAATTGGTTTTCATATTTTACTATTTTTGTGTTTTTTTAAAATTTTTAAATCAATAAGTAATCTAGGACTAGCATTATGTTTGCTAGACCTGGCATTTTCTCGGTACATAAGGTTCAAAGTTTCTTTTCCTTTTTAAATTTATTTTATATTTTGCAATGTTTATTAAAAAAATAATATTTACATTTTTCGATGTTTAGATATTTTTCTTCTGTGAAGCACAAGTTTCTTTTCATGGTACCTGATCAATTTTAAACAGTTGGAACACCGGTGGCACGGTTAACTGCTTTCTGGGCAGCCACTTCAGCTTGGTGGGCTTGTAGTACAGCTACAGTTTCATTAACCTTAGAACGGAGTGACTCTGGAGACTCCAGCATATGAAGAAGTTCTGAATTACCAATCTCCAACAACATGCCAGTGATTTTACCAGCAAGAGTAAGGTGCATGGCTTGAATAAGAGGAAACAGCCGTTCACCCAACATTTGCTTTTGCTCTTGAGCATGGGCAGATACCAACATGGAAGCAGTCAAAGGTTCCTGACCTTGTACATGAGCAGCAGGCTGTTGCATTGTAACTTGTGGCTGTGCATTAAGATGTTTCTGAGGACTGCGAACTCCCGCAGCATAGTTATAATGTGGAGTGGCAGCAGCAGCAGCTGCAGGACGTGGACCCATTGTCTGTGTCGATGTGTTAGCAACACGCTGTGTTGACATAACTCATGGAACCTGTGAAGAAGCTGGTCTCATAGTACTAAATGGTGGTCTAGGAGCAGCCGGGCGGATAGCACTGGGCCTATTTTGGAATGGATGGGGTCTGGCACCCTCAGCAGTCCAGCGAGGACTTGGTCTTAGTTGAGCAATTTGGCTAGGAGGATAGTATGCAGCACCGTTCTGAGTCTGTGGGATAGCTGCCATGAAGTAACCTGAAGGAGGTGCTGGCTGGTAGGGGTTGATTTCAAGATTGGGCACAGCTCGTACACTTGCCATTCTTTGCATATACTGGTTAGTGAGGTGAGCCTGGCACTCTTCTTTGCGCTGAGCTAAAGCAACATACAATGGCTTTGTGGCCACAATTCTACCATTCATTTCTGTAACTGCTTTAGTGGCTTCTTCTGGTGAGGAGAAACATACAAAACCAAACCCTTTGCAGCGACCACCCTCCATCATAACCTTTGCACTGGTGATTGTACCAAATGGAGAAAACTCTTTCCGGAGACGTTAATTATTAATGCCATCATCAAGATTTTTCACATAAAGATTAACACGGTGGTATCTGGTGATCCTATCTTGCCTCACCTGTTCAAATTTGCGCTTAAGTTCTGTCTGCCGTTCCACTTTTTTCTGAGCTCTACCTACATAAATTTGTTTTCCATTGAGCTCCTTTCATTTCATCCACAGCTTTCTGTGCATCTTCAAGCCTTTCAAAGCTTACAAATCCAAATCCTTTAGATTTTCCACTTTCACCAGTCATTACTTTCACATTTAAGGCAGGCCCAAACTTGCCAAAGAGATTCTTAAGGCGCTCATCATCCATGTCTTCTCCGAAATTCTTGATGTAAACATTGGTGAACTCTTTCACGTAGCTCCAAGTTCAGCTTCTCGTTCTTTATGAGACATAAATCGTCCAACAAATACTTTGCGATCATTTAGGAGCATTCCATTCATTTTTTCCATAGCTCTTTCAGCTGCTTCCTGTGTCTCAAAGTGTACAGATCCATAGCCCTTGGAATCATTTTCATCACAGCCCACCTTACATGAAAGGATGTTACCAAAAGCAGAAAAATGTATCATACAGTGCTTTATTATCAATGGATTTGTCCAGATTTTTAATGAATATGTAGCCCACTCCACTTTTGCGAAGTGATGGATCACGCTGAGACTACACGATGCGTACTGGCTTGCCCTTTATAACATCAAAATTCATAGTGTTCACAGCATGCTCCGCGTCCGCGGGCTACTGGAAGTTCACATACGCGTAGCCCAAGGAGCCGTGGGTGATCATGTCCCTGCAGACCCGGATGGAGAGGATGAGCCCGGCCGCGCTGAACTTCTTGTAGAGCATCGCCTCGGTCACGTCGGGATGGAGGTCCCCCACGTACAGCGAGGACGTAGCTGGGGGCACTGGGGTTCATCTCGGCACTGCTGCTCGCAGGGCCACAGGCCGCGACCTTTCCGTGAGAGGAGGAGAGCGAATGCTGGGGCTAGGGGCCGGAGCTGGGGGAAGGTGAGCGGGGGCAAGCGCAAGCGCAAGCGCAGAGGGACAAAAATCACCCGGAATCGAAAACTACTTCACCGCCCCAGAATGGTGTTGATCCGCTGCCGCTGGCTGCGGGCGAAGGTGGAGGTGTCAGTCCGGACAGCGGGAAGGCCTCGGTCTCTTGGTTCCTTTTTGGAGCTGCTGCGGGCGGGCGAGTCGGCCTCGGCTGCTTCACGGGGTTACTTTATAAAAGAAGAAGAAGAAAAAAATAAAAGTCTATGGCAGGGGAGAGGCGGATTTTTTGTAAATTGTGGGAAAGTTTTTAAAATATTTTTTTAGATTTTTTTTTAATAATAAATGTATGTTCCGAGCCTGGAGCACACACTCCGCACTCTGAGCACTAACTGCCGGGAGAAGGGGCTAATTTTTGTATTTTCAGTAGAAACGGGGTTTCACCATGTTGGCCAGGCTGGTATGGAACTCCTGACCTCAGGTAATCTGTCCGCCTAGCCCTCCCAAAGTGCTGGGATTACAGGCGTGAGCCACCACGCCCGGCCAGTTTTTCTTTTTTTCTGATGTAGGCACTTGTAGCTATAAAATTCCCTCTTAGTACTGCTTTTGCTGTATCCCATAGGTTTTGGTATGTTGTGTTTCCATTATCATTTGATTCAATAAATATTTCAATTTCCTTTTTAATTACTTCATTGATCCACTGGTCGTTCAGGAGTATATTGTTTAATTTCCATATGTTTGCATAGTTTCCAAAATTCCTCTTGTTATTAATTTCTAGTTTTGTTTCATTGTGGTCAGAGAAAATGCTTGATATTATTTCAGGGTTTTTTTTAGACTGAGTCTCCCTCTGTCACCCGGGCTGGAGTGCAGTGGCGTGATCTCAACTCATTGCAACCTCTGCCTCCTGGGTTCGAGTGACTCCCTTGCCTCAGCCTCCCGAGTAGCGGGGACTACAGGTGTGTTCCACCATGCCTGGCTAGTTTTTGCATTTTTAGTAGAGATGGGGTTTCACTATGTTGGCCAGGCTGGTCTCAAACTCCTGACCTTGTGATCTGCCTGCCTCGGCCTCCCAAAGTGTTGGGTTACAGGCATGAGCCACTGCACCCGGCCCAGTTTTTTTTTTTTTTTTTTTAATGTTTTAAGACTTATTTTGTGACCTAATAGATGGTCTATTCTTGAGAATAATCTATGTGCTGAGGAAAATAATGTGTGTTCTGCAGCCATTGGATGAAATGTTCCATAAATATCTATTAGATCCGTTTGTTTTATAATGCAGATTAGGTCCAATTCATTAATTTTCTATCTGGAAGATCTGTCCAGTGCTGAAAGTGGGGTGTTGAAGTCTTCAGGTAGTATCATATTGGGAACTATCTCTCTCTTTAGCTCTAATAATATTTACTTTATATATCTGAGTGCTCCAGTGTTGGGCACATATACATTTAAAATTGTTATATCCTCTTGCTGAACTGACCCCTTTATCCTTACATAGTGACCTTCTTTGTCTCTTCTTTAGATTTGTCTTGAAATCGATTTTGTCTAAGTATAGCTACTCCTGCTCTTTTTTGGTTTTTATTGGCAGGGAGTATCTTTCTATCCCTTTATTTTCAGTCTATGTGTGTCTTTGTAGGTGAAGTGTCTTTCTTGTAAGCAACAGATCAGTGGGTCTTATTTTTTTATCCATTTAGCTACTCTATGTCTTTTGATTGGAGAGGTTAGTCCATTGAAGAATTTACATTCAATGTTATTATTGATAAGTAAGAACTTACTTTTGCAATTTTGTTAATTGTTTTCTGGCTGTTTTGTGGTCTTCTTTCTTTCTTTTCTTCCTGTTTTCCCTTAGTAAATATTATTTTCTCTGGTGATATGATTTAGTTCCTTGCTTTTTGTTTTTTGTGTATTCATGGCATGTTTTTTTCATTTGAGATTACCATGCGGCTTGCAAACGCTATCTTATAACCCATTATTTTAAGCTGATAAAAACTTATCACTGTTTGTATAAACAAACAAGCAAAAAGAAACCTAATAAAAAGTTTACACTCTAACTTCATCCCCCCTTTTTAATTTTTTGTTGTTTCTATTTATATCTTATTGTACTGTTCATGTCTTAAAAAGTTGTCATAGTTATTATTTTTGATTGATTCATCATTTAATCTTTCTGCTTATGACAAGAGTAGTTTACATACCACAGTTACAGTGTTATCATAGTCTGTGTTTCTCCATGTACTTATTTATTACCAGTGAGTTTTGTACCTTTTCTTTCAAATTGAAGAACTCTCTTTAGCATTTCTTGTAGGACAGGTCTGGTATTGATGAAATCCCTCAGTTTTTGTTTGTCTGGGAAAGTCTTTATTTATCCTCCATATTTGAAGGATGTTTGGACTGGATATACTATTCTAGGGTAAAAGTATTTTTTTTATTCAGCATTTTAAATATGTCATGCCACTCTCCCTTGGCCTGTAAGATTTTCACTGAAAAGTCTGCTGCCAGATATATTAGAGCTCCATTGTATGTTATTTGTTTCTTTTCTCTTGCTGCTTTTAGGATCCTTTCTTTATCCTTGACCTGTGGGAGTTTGATTATTAAATGCCTTAAGGTAGTTATCTTTGGGTTAAATCACCTTAGTGTTCTGTAATCTTCTTGTACTTGGATATTTATATCTTTCTCTATGTTTGGGAAGTTCTCTGTTATTATCGCTTTGAATAAACTTTCTACCCCTGTCTCTCTACCTCCTTTTTAAGGCCAATAACTCTTAGATTTTCCCTTTTGAGGCTATTTTCTAGATCCTTTAGGGATGCTTCATTGTTTTTTATTATTTTTTTCTTTTGTCTCTTCTGACTGTGTATTTTCAAATAGCTGTTCTCATGCTCACTAATTCTTTCTTCTGCGTGATTCATTCTGCTATTAAAGGCCTCTAATGTATTCTTCAGTATGCCAATTGCATTTTTCAGCTGGAGAATTTCTGCTTGATTCTTCTTATTTCAATCTCTTTGTTAAATTTTTTCTTATAGAATTGAATTCTGAATTCCTTCTCTGTGTTATCTTGAATTTCTTTGAGTGTCTTCAACACAGCTATTTTGAATTTTTCATCTGAACATTCACGTATCTCTGTTTTTCCAGAATTGGTTCCCACTGCTTTATTTAGTTTATTTGGTGAAGTCACATTTTCCTAGAGTGTGTTGATACTTAAGGATGTTTGCTTGTGTGTGGGCATTGAAGAGTTAAGTGTTTATTGTCTCACCTGAAGCCAGCAAATCCCAGAGGTTCACTGTCTGGGCCAGACTACTGCAAATGTTCCCTTAAGGCTCAAGGGCTCTTAAGTCAGCTTTTTTTTTTGGATGGTCCCTGGCCTGGGACTCACCCTTCATGGGGGTGTTCTCCTCTTGGCCCAGGGCAGGTCCAGAAATGCCCACCAAGGGTCAAGTCCTAGAATTGGGGACCTCATGAGCCAACTGGGTGCTCTACCCAGCTGTGGCTGTGCTGTTACCTAAGGTGCAAGACAAAGTCGCCTTCATGTTTTCCTCTGCTTTTCTCAAGCAGAAGGAGTTTTTCCCTGTAGTTACCACAGCTGGTAATATGCTGAGTCTCACCTGAAGCCAGCAAGTTCCAGAGGTTCACCAACGCTCTTGATGTAGTACGTGGGTATAACTGGTGGTTATTCAGAGCCCAGGGGCTCTTCAGTTAGCAGGTGATGAATGCCACCAGGACTGGATCCTTTCCTTCAAAACAGTGGGTTCCCTTCTGGCCCAGGGCATGTCTAGAAATGTCCAGGAGCTACGGCCTGGAACAGGGAGCTCATGACTCTGATGCTTTGTCCTGCTGTGGGTGACCTGGCATCCAAGATTCAAGACAAAGTCCTCGTGGTTCTTCCCTCACCTCAAGTGGAAGGAAGGGGTCCTTTTGGAGCTGCAAGCTGTGCAGCCTGGAGTTAGGGGAGGGGTGATGCCAGCACTCCCTTTGTTATGCCAGCTAATGTCTCAGTAGTCATGTACCCCCCAAGTCCACTGTCTCTGGGCCTAGTTCAGCACTAGGACTCACCTATGAGTTGCAGTCCTATGACCTAGACTACCTTTCAAGTTTATTTAGAGACCTAGAGCACTTTAGCCCTCAGTGGCAAGGTTTGTGGGAACTCAAGTTCAGACTGCTGGGGTTGGCAATTCCCCTCTGGCTAGGGCTGGTTGAAAGACCCCCTCTGTGGGTGGATGTCAGCTGAGTTTGGTCCGGTTTTCCTTTCTGCTATAACAGGACAGCACCAAGTTTAATGCCTCATAATTGCTGTATTTTCCCTCCCCCAGCACCCATAGATGCTCTTTGCACCATGCCGCCAATGCCATGGCATGAGGAGGGGTGGCATTGATGATTCAGAACTGTTTTCTCTATCTCTTCATTGCTCTTTCAGCAATACAAAGTTAAACTCAGGTATGATAAGGGCTTACTTGATTTTTGGTTCTTATGAAGGTGTTCTTTTCTGTGTAGACCATTATTAAATTGGTGTCTCTGCAGTGGGGGGTGGGAAGGAGATCGGTGGAGACTTTTATTCCACCATCTTGCTGTGCCTTCCCGTATCCCATTACTGATAATGTATTGATCAGTTGGTTAAGTTGGTGCTTTCTCAACTGTAAACTTGTATGTTTTTTCCTTTATAACTAGTTAAGTATATTGCAAGGAAATACTTTGAGACTATGTAAATCTCCTGCTTCTTATCAGACCACTAATTTTAGAAGAATTGGTTAACCTATCAGAGAAGAGTGATTATCTTTCATTTCCTAGAAATGCATAAGCCAGACAATGAGGGGAAGCATCCCTGAAAGCCAAATGTGCTAGTCAGGATGGGCTGGGTTATGCTGTGACAACAAACAACCCTCAAATCACAATGACTTAGTACAGTAAAAATTTATGTATCTCATTTTTCATGTTCATTGTGAGTTGCTGGGGGGTTCTTCTCACTTAGGGATGCAGGCTGACTGAGGTCCATTTGGACACAAGCTTCCCTAACTGGTGAGGTAGACAAAGAGAATGAGAGGCTGAGTGCAGTGGCTCATAGGTGTAATCTCAGCACTTTGGGAGGCTGAGGCAGGTGGATCACTTGAGGTCAGGAGTTCAACACCAGCCTGACCAACATGGTGAAACCCTGTCTCTACTAATAATACAAAAATAAGCTGGGCGTGGTGGCGCATGCCTGTAACCCCAGCTACTTGGGAGGCTGAAGCAGGAGAATCAATTAAACCAGGGAGGCGGAGGTTGCAGTGAGCCAAGATTGCACCACTGCACTCCAGCCTGGGCAACAAGAGCAAAACTCTGCCTCAAAAAATAAAAAGAAAAAAAAAAAAGAAGAAGAAGAAAAAATGGAATGAGATGATCATACTTTGGCTTCTCCCAGGGATTGAAACACATTACCTACATTATACTCTGTTGGCTAAAGTAAGCCACAATGATAGTCCTAGCTTCCAAGAGGTCCACTGAGTGTAATCCTAGCACGTGCTCAGGAGAGTAGAACTGGAATGCTTGTGAATAGCCTCCAGGACTTTAACACCATGTCTCCTGTACTTCAGGTTTCACTAGTAGGGTGTGGTAACTCAGACTATTTCCAATATTTTGTCTCTTTCAGAAGATGGAGTATACACCTCCACCTCTTTGAGTTCAGGCTTGCCACTGTGACTGCTTTGGCCTTTGGAAACTGGGCTGAAGGGACAGGGTGCCAGTTCTAGGCAGAAACTTTGAGATCCAGGGCATGACTCATCACAAGGTACGGAAATGATTGTCCTGTCCGGTTTTGATACTTCACTGTGAGAATAAAATATTTCAGAGATGGGCTACTCCTTCCTCACGCGTTTTGGAAAGACTAAGACACGTGGGACCAAGTTGAGCAGGGCCCAGCCATGCCCTGCACAGTTGCAGCGGACAGGCAACCTCAGTGTAATGAGGACAAGAAATACATGTCTGTTTTTGTACGCCACTGAGATATTGAGGTTGCTTATTATCAGGCCAGGACTAGGGTGCTGAGAGTAAAGGACTCTCATTGGGGCAAGCTTCAGGGGGTGCCAAACAGCATAGTAATCAAGGTGAGTGATATTTTCATGCAATTACTACCACCAAAAGTAATGTAAAATAATCCATGATGAACAAAATATCCAAAGTCAGAATCAAGACCAGATGAGCGGTATAGCTTAGCAAAAGCTCACTGAAGAAGAGTTTTTATGCAACTAAAACAAACTCTAGCTGGAGTTTTAGCAAGAGAAGGGAAGGAACAGAAAGCCAGTAGGAAATAATAAAAAAAAAAATGTCAACAGCAGTTAGAAATGTGTTTCTGAGTTAATGATTCATTATTACGTTTCTCTGTTTTGTTTTTAGTGAATTTTTAAAAGCTTTAAACACATAAAGCATCTCAAACAACAGATTGCAAAAGGAGAGTAAATCAAAGAGAGAAAAACGCAAACAAGGAATGTTTTAAAAATTTAGGCCCAAGACCGGGCACGGTGGCTCACGCCTGTAATCCTAGCATTTTGGGAGGCTGAGGTGGGTGGATCACCTGAGGTCGGGAGTTCAAGACCAGCCTGGCCAACATGGCAAAACCCTTATCTCTACTAAGAAAAAAAAAAAATACAGAAAGTAGCCAGGCGTGGTGGCACACGCCTATAATCTCAGCTACTCAGGAGGCTGAAGCAGGAGAATTGCTTGAACCCAGCGGGCAGAGGTTGCAGTGAGCTGAGATTGTGCCACTTCACTCCAGCCTGGGTGAAAGAGCGAAGCTCCGTCTAAAAAAAAAAAAAATTTAGGCCCAAACTGCACCTCCCTGGAAAGAATTAGGGGCCAATTTGGAGCAAAGTGGTGATGGTTTAGTGAGGCCCCTCCAGCCTGACAGGGGAATTCCTCTTCTGCTATGTGGTTTTTAAAACCAAGGCTTCACTACCCAGGAAGTTAAGTTGCAACAGTAGTGTTTTCCATTTTCATCTCAGAAAGGTAAATAGATAATTTATTTAAAGCAATTCAAATCTATCTCAAGCAAGACAGACACATAGAAACCATAGCTGAATCGAAGATAAGTTTAAATACCAGGTTGATTTAGCCATCTGGATATTTTGGCAACCAACAGACGGAAGCTTATTTGACTAACTTCTCTCAGTAAACAATCCGAGAATCTGTCATTTGTGTTGGGATTGATACAACCAGTTATCATAATGAAAGAGGCAAAATGTGTATTCTAAAGGACAAAGGCTTCAGCATCTGAGATTTTCAAGTGCTTAATGTGTTAATGTGTGACTTTTTTTTTTTTTTAACATTAGAGACTCTGCAAAATTTAAAGGCCGACAATGAGATTAAGTCCTAGAAACTGTGGTTTGCTGCCTAGAGCAGTACCTGCAATATAGTAACTATTCAATAGGTTTGTGTAAAAGGAGTGTTTTAGTGAAACTTTAGTGGAAGTTTGCCACACACTAGACTGTAAAAAATGTACTATATTCACTTGCATAATTTGCTTCTTTTTGGAAAAAGTTATTTTAACAGTAAAGCAGGACACATATGAATCTTTGCAATAAGATGTAGTTCAACAAAAACGCATCTCGACAGTTGAACAGCCTAGACCGTACTGTCCCCTGCTGTGGCTGCTTTGGCAACAACTTCACCTCTAGCACAAATGTAGGACTCCTAGGGAGTGAGATTGCAAGTCAAAAAGAAAGAATGCAGTTTCCTTTCAACTGGTAACTTTAAAAATATCTGTATTAAAAAAATCTGTATTTCTGCTACAGGAAATAACCCAACTAGAATGTACAAAACTAGAAGACACATTTTTGCCTAATTAGCTTACTTAAATAAAATAACTATAACTGTTAAAATAGTGTTTTAGGCCGGGTGCAGTGGGTCACCTGTAATCCCGGTACTTTGGGAGGCCGAGGTGGTTGGAACTCTTGAGGTCAGGAGTTCGAGACCAGCCTGGCCAACATGGTGAAAATCCGTCTCCACTAAAAGTAGAAAAATTAGCCAGGTGTGGTGGTGGGCACCTGTAATCCCAGCTACTCGGGAGGTTGAGGCAGGAGAACTGCTTAAACCCAGGAGGTGGAGGTTTCAGTGAACCAAGATTGTGCCACTGCACTCCAACCTGGGTGACAGAGTGAGACTTCATATTAAAAAAAAAAAATAGTGTTTTAATTACTGCTTTCATGGTAACAAGTATAATGAATGACTATCAATAATTGGCGATGCTTGTGAATACTGATTTTTCATAGACATTTAAGCTGTTGTTTTATATTTATGAAGGTCTTATGTTAGAAACTATTGATAATGTATTAAACTTTATATTTCAGAAGTTCTACTTGCTAGTTATAGCTTTAAATCTCAAATTATTTTGTAGATCAAATAATATATCTCATAGGTAAGATTTTTTTATACAACACCTGATTGTTTCTTCAATTTGTAATTAATCTCAGTAACATCAAATTGTTTTTGTGGTAGAAATTTACCACCTGAAAAAATATTACATTATTTAAAAAATTGCCTAAATAAAATATAAATTTGAAAAACAGTACAAGATTTCATGAATTTATTAATTAATTTATTTTTTTCAGACAGGATCTTGTTCTGTTGCCTAGGGTGAAGTGCAGTGGCGTGATCATGGCTCACTGCAGCCTCGACCTCTTGGGCTCAAGTGATCCTCCCATCTTAGCCTCCTGAGTAGTTGGGACTGCGGGCATATGCCACCATGCCCAGTTAACTTTAGTATTTTTGTAGAGCTAGGTTTCACCATGTTGCCCAGGCTGGTCTTAAACTCCTGGGCTCAAGTGATCTGCCCGCCTTGGCCTCTAAAACTGCTGGGATTATAGGCGGGAGTCACCATGCCTGGCCGATTTCATCAATTTAAGTGTATGAGTGTTAAAGAAAAGCAAGGGTGCTGTTTAAGTTCTTCAGCTTCATTGTTACAAATAATCAAAAGGGAGAGTTGTTTGATTCATTCTTTCCCTCTAGGACAAAACATAGTCTCTGTCGTGAAATAAGAATTCACTCACAGTGTAGATACACCTTCCTGGCACCATGCTGATTAAAACATACTTTTAGAATATAATATCTCAAAAAATATGTTTAGATGTATTTGTTATGCTATAGATTCCATTACTTTGTTAGAGACTCAAAATTACTGTGGCTTATACATGATAAAGGTGAAAAAAATGTTCAAAGCTCCTTTTCTGCTAGAGTTTTATATTACAGTGGAAGGAGGTAAACTAACAAAGAAATATATCTAGTAACTGAATGAAATGAATGTTATTTAGCTACTGAAATCGTGGTATGAATGACACATTTTTTTTCAGAAAGAGAAAAAAGCTTATATAAAAGTATACCCAAGAGAGCATGTTTACTGAACAGATAATGAGGGAAAACTCGAGCACTTGTTGAGGGGTAGAAGAAGACAAGGCTGGAGAAATAGGTTGGAGTCAGATTGTGAAGGATCTTGGAATAACAATTTATAAAATGTTAATTTTAGCTGGGTGCAGTGGCCCATGCCTGTAATCCCAGCACTTTGGGAGGCTAAGGCAGGTGGATCACTTGAGGTCAGGAGTTTGAGACCAGCCTGGCCAACGTGGTAAAAACTCCATCTCTACTAAAAATACAAAATTATCCGGGCGTGGTGGTGCATGCCTGTAATCCCAGGTACTCAGGAGGCTGAGGCAGGAGAATTGCTTGAACCCAGGAGGTAGAGGTTGCAGTGAGCCAAGATTGCACCACTACTGTACTCCAGCTTGGGCGAAAAAGTGAGTATCTGTCTCAAAAAGAAAAAAAAAGGTAATTTTAAGATATAGGCAACAAAATGCCACAGATGCCTTTAATTGATTGTGACCTGATAGTATTTCTATTTTAGGAATATGTGTGTGTGTGTCTCCTTCTCCTTCTCCTTCCTCTCCTTCCCCTCCTTCTTCTTCTTCCTCCTCTTCCTCTTCCTCTCCTTGTCTTCCTCCTTCTCCTCCCCCCTCCCCCTCCTTCCTCCTCTTCTTCCTTTTCTTCTTCCTCTTCTCCTTCTCCTCCTTCTCCCTCTTCCTCTTCCTCCTCTTCTTCTTCCTCTTCCTCTTCCTTTTTCATACGGGATCTCACTCTGTCATCCAGGCTGGAGTGCGGTGGTGTGATCATAGCTCATTGCTGCTTCAGCCCCCCAGGTAGCTGGAACTACAGCTGCATGCCACAACCCTTCACTAATTTAAAGTTTTTTTGTAAAGATGGGTCTCACTACGTGACCCAGGCTGGTCTTGATCTCCTGTCCTTAAGTGATCTTCCTGCACTGGCCTCTCAAAACTCCAGCATTACAAGGCACAAGCCACCGAGGCTGACCTATTATTATTCCTTCATGGCATTTTTCCTTCAATGAACTTGACATTTCAGATTTAAAGTTTGTTGAAATTGGAAATGATTAACTTGCACCCATGAAACTAAGGCAGTGCTGAGAGTTGGAGAGGCAGGGAAGACACACTATTGTGGTTGTCCCTCTGAGACAAGACAAAATCTGCAAATGAGGGAGAGGTGGTGGGGATGGAGGGAGAGGCCTTATTCTAGGAAGACTTGGGGGTAAAAGGCACATAATTTGGTGATTAATTGGCGGAATAGGGAGGAATAAATATGATGTTACAGATTGTAGCTTGGGAAACAGCTAATGAAACCATTTACTGAAATTAAAAATGTTTGAGAGGAAATAGGTTTGTGTGTGTATATTGTGGAAAAAGACAATAACGAATACAGTTGTAGTTATGTGGTTTAAGTGCCCAAAAGACATCTAGGTGGGGCTAAAAGAGCCATTTGAGGGCCTGTGACACACTGAAGATGCCAAGTCATATGCCAGACAACTTACAGCAAGCGGGACTCTAATTCTTTCTGAAGATACTAAAGAACTATAGCCATGCATGGCTTAATGACAGGGGTATGTCCTTAGAAACACATCCTTACATGGTTTTGTCATGCAAACATCATAGAGTGTACTTATGCAAACCTGAATAGTACAGCCTACTACACACCTAGGCTATGGCTCCTAGGATGCAAACCTATATGTATAGCACTTCACTGTACTGAATACCATAGGCAATTGTAACACAAATGTAAGTATTTGTGTAGTTAAACATAGAAAAGGTACAGTAAAAATATGATATAAAATATTAAAATGGCACATCTGTGTAGAGCTTTTATGAATGGAGCTTGCAGGCCTGGAAGTTGCTCTGAGTGAATGAGTGAGTGGTGAGTGAATGTGAAGACCTAGGACATTACTGTAAACTACTGTAGACTTTATAAACCCTGTATATTTAACCTACACTAAATTTATAAAAAAATATTTTTCTGGCTGAGTGCGATAGCTCACACCTGTAATCCCACCACTTTGGGAGGCCAAGGCAGATGGATCACCTGAGGTTAAGAGTTCAAGACCAGCCTGGCCAACATGATGAAACCCCGTCTTTACTAAAAATATAAAAAATTAGCTGGGCGTGGTGGCAGGTGCCTGCTATCCCAGCTACCTGGGAGGCTGAAGCAGGAGAATCGCTTGAACCTGGGAGGCAGAGGTTGCGGTGAGCCGAGATCATGGCACTGCACTCCAGCCTGGGCAATAAGAACAACTTCGTCTCAAAAAAAAAAAAAAAAAGAAAAAGAAAAAAGAAAATATTTTTCTTTCTTGACGAATAAATTAATGTTAGCTTACTGTAAATTTTTACTTTATAACTTTTTAAACCTTTTGATTATTTTATAATAACACTGCTGAAAACATTATACTGCTGTACAAAAATATTTTTTATATCCTTATTTTATAAACTTTAGTCTATTTAAAAATTTAAAAAATTTGTTACTTTTATTTTCTTACTTTTTGTTAAAAATGAAGACACAACCGCATTAGCCTAAGCCTAGACAGAGTAAGAATCATTAACATCACTGTCTTCCACCTCCACATCTCACCCCACCACAAGGCCTTCAGGGGCAATAATAGGCATGGAGCTGCCATCTCCTGATAGCAATGCCTTCTTCTTCTGGATACCTCCTGAAGGATCTGCCTGAGGCTGTTTAACTTTTTTTTTTTTTTTAATAAGTACAAGTAGTACACTCGAAAATAATGATGATATGGTTTGGATCTGTGCCTCACCCAAACCTCATGTTGAATTGTAATCCCCAGTGTTGGAGGCAGGGCCTGGTGGGAGGAGATTGGGTCATGGAGGTGGATTTCCCCTATGGTGCTGCTTTCCTGGTAGTGAGTGCTTGTGAGATCTGGTTGTTTAAAAGTGTGTAGCACCCACCCCCTTTTCCCTCTGCTCTGGCCACGTGAAGACATGTCTGCTTCCCCTTCGCTTTCTGCCAGGATTGTTAAGTTTCCTGAAGTTTTCATGCTTCCCGTACAGTCTGTTGAACTGTGAGCCAATTAAACCTCTCTTCTTTATAAATTACTCAATCTCAGGCATTTATTCATAGCAATGCAAGAACTAATACAAATTGTAAAAAGTATAGTATAGTAAATACATAAACCAGTAACATAGTCATTTATTGTCATTATTAAATATTATGTACAGGACATAATTGCTGTACTTTTACTTGACTGGCAGTGCAATAGATTTGTTTACACCAGTATCACCACAAACACGTGAGTGATGTATTGCAATACATATGTCATCACTAGGCTATGACATCACTAGGCGATAGAAATTTTTCAGCTCCATTATAATCTTATGGGACCACTATCATATATGTAGTCTACCACTGACTGAAATGTCATTATGTGGCATACATAATGTAGAGTTTTCAAGGGTACCTTAAAGAACATCTATAAATACATACACACACAAACACATTTATACACCCAGTAGTCAAAATGATTTTAAAAATCACATGTTAGCTCAAAAAGATAATTAACTTTTATTATTCATTAAAAATGAGCTTTCTAAAATATTAGTAAATTTCATTTTAAGCTCTGTCTTGAAGTGCTGATACCACTGAAGTAACATTTTTCTTCTTTCAATTTTTTCTTGTAAAATTATAGTTTTCTCTTTTTCTAAAACAGCAGGGAGTTCCTTCCAGTTCTTGATAAAGATAAAGGGAGCACCCATGGACTTGAGTAACTGCAGAGGAGCACCGTGGTGCACAGATGTATTCCCACAGTTGCCAGCTGTCATCACGTCTTCCACCACAGGAATGGAGCCATAGGAGCAAGCCTCATAGATTCGATAGCATTCTGTGTTTACTCCGACCGGGCACAATGTGAGATCACTCTGAAGCAAGGCATCTTGGTAATTCTTAAGACTTTCATTTGTTTCCTGAGGCTGCCAGCTAGAAAATCAGAAAAACAACTGTAGTTTTCACTTTACTAAGTATATAGTTTGTGAACAAAAATACCTTATCTTTTAATAAAATCAGTTTCAGGAAATGGTGAAACTTTATAGAGATGATAGGCATAAGAGATATCCAAAATCCTGGCCCAAACAGATTTCTTAAAAATGTTGAAGAATTGGAACATTTTACAGTTGTACATTTATAAAATCTAGGAGTCACCGTAACACTTCTGAATGGATAATAATAATTCAACCGATACTTTGGGAGTGCTAGGTCCTCTCTTCCCTACCTTGCCCTCATGGAGCATATATTCTAGTTCTAGTGGTGGAGATGGATAGTGACCAAGTGAAGTCAGTAAATTATTTAGATGGGGTAGAATACTGTGAGAAAAGAGCAAAGGAGTAAGTAGAGCAGGAGTTTCTAAGGGGGTAGGGTTGCAATCTTAAATAAGTGATGAGGGACTGTCTTACTGCGGCAGCATCTGAGCACAGAGTTGGGGATGAAGGAGCAAGCCACGTAGATCTGGCGGGATAAAAGAGCAAGCAAGAGTGAAGGCCATGAGACAGCATGTGCCTGGCATGTTCAAGGAGCTGCGGGGAAGCCAGGGTGGCTGAGGTAGGGTAACTGAGGGAACAGGCGCAGAAGATAAAGTCTGAATGGTCACACGGGACTCTATCATGCAGGCTTTTGATCATGGGGTGACATGACGTGATGTAGGTTTCATCAGAATCAATCTGGCTATTGTGTTGAGAATGGACTGTACAGGGGCAAGGGTAGAAACTGAAAGATCAGTAAAGAAAGATAGACGCGGCTGGGTGCGGTGGCTCACGCCTGTAATCCCAGCACTTCATGAGGCCAAGGCGGGTGGATCACCTGAGGTCAGGAGTTCGAGACCAACCTGGCCAACAAGGTAAAACCCCGTCTCTACTAAATACAATAATTAGCCGGGCGTGATGGCGTGCACCTGTAATCCCAACTACACGGGAGGCTGAGGCAGAAGAATCGCTTGAACCTGGGAGGTAGAGGTTGCAGTGAGCCGAGATCCTGTCACTGCACTACAGCCTGGGCAATAAGAGTGAAACTCAGTCTCAAAAGAAAAAAAAAAAGATAGATGCTTTCTCCTGACTATTCTCAGTGAAATAAGCAATAGGGTCATAAAGTAAGAAAGGCGGAGGTGTTAGAGTGTAGGAGAGAAGAAGGTATAAAACAGCCTTCTAGGAGAGTGGGAGAATATATGGACAAGGGAAATATAAGACTGCTGGGCACCTGAGGTTCAAAGTCACGTGTTTAAATAAAGGTCAATTAGCACCTTTCTCCAATTATGTGTAGTTGCATGGGTGCAGGCATGGAGTAGGCAGAGAGCTGGATTTAACCAGAGTTATGGTTTGCCAGATTAGGGAATTAGGGAGCTGAAGGTATAGGCAATTATGATTGACAATGAAATTTAAGTTAGGTGAAGAATAAAATGAAGAAAGGGGAGTGAAGGACAACAAAAGGGTAGTAGGAACAATAGATTCTAAGTGCCAGCTGAATTGTCAGAGTCAGATTATTACACGGAATGAGCTGGAATGACAGATGATGGTGGTTGTAGAAAGAGATGCTGGGACTTGAGATCATGTTCAGAAGGTGCAGTATGTGTAATGACAAAGTCTAGGAAATAACCATGAGAGAGAATGGCTGAGGTCAGGTGGAAGCCCAGATTATTGGAGGAGGGGAGGTGAAGGAACTGCAAAGACCAAAATGACAGAAAGACCATCTATGTAGATTTGCCAGTCACTAAGAATTGAGAACAGAGTAGTGTCAGACAGAGCTAGAGAGTACCAGGAGCTAAACTCTTCGAAGAAGTAGGGGGAGAAACCCAAGGGTAAGTGCATGATTTCAGAGAGTAAGGGTGATGGATGGTTTTGTCTGCTGACATGAGTTTCAAAATTGGGATTATTAGGGAGGGAAAGGGGAGAATAGTCTAGAAGCAACAATGAGAAACAAGGAAAACATCTACTCAAACCTCTGGCTCAATGGTATGAGAGGAGTTACAAGAATTATTCCCATAATAACCTTTGTTATTTTACACTGTCCTCATTCATTCCACTCCAGACATACTGGCCCTGTTGTTCCTGTAACATAGTAAGCACATTCCTGCCTGCCTCAGGGCCTTTGCTCTTCCCTACGTCTGGAATAGTCTTCTCCCAAATATACACAAGACTCACCCATGCACATTCTTAAGGCCTGTGCATAAATGTAACCTTCTAATGAATGCCTTTCTTGGCTATTCCAAAATAGCAAATGCTCCACCACCAACACCCAAGCTCTTTCTATGCCATTCTTCTGCTTAATTTTTTACAGGGCATTTATCATCTTCTGACACACAATATATTTTACTTGCTTGTCTACTCCAACAAGCATTTAAGTGCCAGGAGGGCATGGACTTTGTTTTGTTCACTGCTGTATTTACTGTGGGTAAACAAGTTTCTGGCATAGAGCAATTGCTTGGTAAACACTGACTGAACGAATATGATATGGTTACATTAGCAATAAAGAGTACCTGCTATAATTTAAAAAGTAAAATTCCAGACCTAACTGGACATTTTTAAGGCATTACTTCCCTGATGACTCTGCATTATGCTTTGTTTATTTGAAAACTTGATTTGTCTATTTAAAAACAAAATAAATGATTGCAAATTTACTTCCTTCACAACATGAACACCTGTTTCCTGGTTACTACATAAAAGAAGACATTTAACCCTATTGAGTCTCCCTATCCAACCATTCATCCACTCACCATTTATCCTAGGTCTACTTTGTGCAAGGTCCTATGTTAGATCTGGGGATTCACAGAAGAATACAAGGTCCATGTCCTGAAGATGGTGTCAGGTTCCTGAATTCCTGAATTTGTGAGACCTGCACACCGGTCTTGGAACACTGAATTGGTCCACTGCACAACATCTCAGTGATGAACCTAAGTATCTCATTAGCATCTATAATCTCCTGTGTGACTAACAAATATTATTGAGGAAACCCTAACAACTGAAATTTGCAAATGACAGTTACCAGTGTTCCTCTTCAAGATGGACTACAGTCATAGGCGGTTCTCTCTATTCTAAATGTGTACAACCCAGTCTTTTCACAGTTTTAATTACTAATGTATCTTCTGGGGAAAGATTGGTACAAATAGAGTTAACAATGCCTCTTTGGAAACCTGTGTTTCTACATAAAGCAACTCTCAGACTGGAGAACAAAATGAATGAATTAAATAAGCATAGAACTTACTGTTCTCTTGCTGAAACCCAACAAAGCTTATCGTTCCCATCTTTTTTCAAAATGTTCATTAGTGCCTGTCTGGATGAATTTTCATAAATCGTTCCTAAGAAATTACATAAATATGGCCTCTCATCATGCAGCATTGACCAACTTGCCTCCACCACAGGAAAATTCCTGTATCTATAAAAATAAATACACATGAATTAACATATGATATAGAATTGGCAAAAATTCCCCATAACCCAATCTCTTAGGTAGCAAGAAGTATACAGAAGAGGTTTAAAATGTGATTTCTAAATCTCAAATTGTAATTTTCCATGAATACTTTGGAAAACTCCCTGAATCTACTGACTTAAAAAAATTGAATTTCACACTGACATCTCTTACAAAAGTGTTACAGAGATGTTGTGCCTAAAGTTATTTGTTTTTGACATTCTTTAACTTGCATTACTCATCTGCAGCTGTTAGGCATGTTACATTCAAAACCTTCAAAGTATAAAGACTCTTCTCTATTCATAATGATCACGATTTAAGCAACATTTTAACCAGGTGATGAAAAGATTACAGAATACTCCAGGGGAGGGAGATGGATGGGGAAAAGGAAGATGTTGATCGAAGGGTATGAAGTTTCAGTTGGACAGGAGGAATAAGCTTTAGTGATCTATCACACAGAATAGGGTGACTATAATAAATAATAATGCACTGTATATTTCAAAATTGCTAAAACAGCAGATGTTATGTTTTTACCACAAAAATTGTTAAGTATATAAGGTTACGGATTTGTTAGTCTGATTTAAGCATTCTACGTTGTAAATATATTTCAAAACATCATTTGTACCCCATTATCATATACCATTACTATTTGTCAATTAAAAAAAAGGAAAGATTATATATTTTGCTATTGCAAAGGGCTCTGAAAAATTAATCCCAAGGGCTTTTCAAGTAGATTAAAACAAACTGACAGATAAAACCATGGTATGCCATACAGGAAAAGTTACCTATTTTTATGAGCATTTGGAAATACCAGGGATTAAACTGTGTACCTGAAATGTAACTTTCACACGAGAACAAAATTTTACCTAACAGTTTGTATATAACAGGGTTTCTTAGCCTCAGCATTACTGACATTTTGGGTTAATTTTTTCTTGTGGAGGCTGTCCTATACATTGTGGGGTGTTCAGCTGTATCCCTGGGCTCTATCTGCTAGATACCAGTTGTGACAACCTCTTTCCTCCAGTTGTGACAATCAAAAACGTCTCCAGGCCAGGCACAGTGGCTCATGCCTATAATCTCAGCACTGTGGGAGTCCAAGGCAGGCAGATCACTTGAGGTCAGGAATTTGAGACCAGCCTGGCCAACATGGCGAAACCCCCTCTCTATAAAAAATACAAAATTAGCCAGGAGTGGTGATGCCCACCTGTAATCCCAGCTACTTGGGAGGCTGAGGCAGGAGAATGGCTAGAACCTGGGAGGCAGAGGTTGCAGAGAGCCAAGATCGTGCCACTGAACTCCAGCTGGGGTGACAGAGCAAGACTTCGTCTCAAAAAAAAAAAAAAAAAAAAGTCTCCAGACACTGCCAAATGCCTCCCGGTGGGCAAAATTGCCCCTGGTTGAGAACCACAGACCTATATAAGAAATATACTGGCCTAGTGCAACAACATCATGATTACCAAGAGGTTCCATCTTATACTATATGAAAACATTTTACAAATGCAGGCTCTGCTCAAAAAATAGATTTTTAAGAGGGTCTTAAACCTGGCTTTACTTAACAAGAACCTTTTTGTCTGGCCTTACCCCAAACCTACTGAGTTAGGGTGTTATAGGAGTAGGCTTGGGAATACATCTCATTACTGGCACAGATGTGCCAGTGACATCTGTGTCGCTAACTAGGCAGCAGTCTAAGGCCACATCCCGCAACCAGGGACAGAATGATGAATAATGAATGTATGATTCAAAAATCATGTCAGTGAGATTTTTCATAATTTATCCACTCAACAAATACAGAATACCTACTCTGCAGGTGCTGTTTTAGGCTCTGTGGATAGAACAGTGAACAAAAGAGACAAAAATCCCTGCTCTCAGGAGGTTTATATACTAGTGGCAACTTATCTTAAAGTCAACTTGCTCTTAATTAAAAACATCCTATTAACAGAAAGATAAAAATATATGTTTTCCATTTTATAGCTGGAGAAAGACTATATCTTTTTTTTTTTTTTTTTTTTTTTTTTTTTTGGTGAGACAGTCTCATCTCACTCTGTTGCCCAGGCTAGAGTGCAGTGGTACAATCTCAGCTCAATCTCCTGGGCTTAAGTGATCCTCCCACCTCAACCTCATGAGTAGCTAGGACTAGAGGCGCCATACAGGAGTCCATGTCACCATGCCCGGATAATTTTTGATTTTTTTTTTTTTTAGAGATAGGGTTTTGCCATGTTGCCCAGGATGCTCTTGAACTCCTGGACTCGAGCAATCTGCCTAGTTGGCCTCCCAAAGTGCTGGGATTACAGGCAGTAAGCCACTGCGCCTGGCCTAAAAGACTGTATCTTGAGAAACCTTAGCTATCATTTAATTAATCCCTCCTTTTATAGAAGAGATTTGTATAAATTCAGCCAGTCTCAAACACAATGGTACGGTATATTCCTGATATAATAATATTGCCTTTTTTTACTATATATAGATACTATCATTGTTTTTAAAAAAATCTATCTGCCATTTCTCTGCTAAATATATTTTTATGGCACTCCTAATAAGCTTGAAAAATCCATTCTATGCCTTGGGGTTTTAAAAGAAAAAAAGTAACTCATCTCCTCATTAAAGAATAAAATACTCTTAAAAACATCATAATTGTTATTGAAGGATGCGACCACACCCTGTTTTTATCTCTGAGAAAGACTGTACCTGGCCTCAATAATCCCAGAAGAACTAAATTTATTACAATTTTGAATAAGTCTTCCTGGTTCAGAAATTCAGGTGTTAGGGCCTAAAAATGTTTAATCATATTTTGTACTTACGTTGCTACTCCTAAAGGCCACTGAAAAACATCCACGTCATTAATCCAGGGGCTGTCATATATTATGAAAAGCAGCTCCACGAAGCCTCCATTTCTTTTGAGGAATGGGTTTATCCACTCATTATCACAATGTTCATTTCCGAGCAAAACAACAGCAAGATGCTGGAGTTTTTGAATTTGCACTAAATTTTGTGCATAAAGTAACCACTGGGTGGCATAAAAGATCTTTGCTTTTTCTCTTCCATTTAAAATGAGTACCACATTATTCACATCAACGGAGAAGTACCCTGGTATTACAGCTGGACCAGTGATGAAGCTGTTAAAAACAACACAACAAAAACAAGAGACAAACAAAGCCTGAACAAAGGTATGTGGTATCAGAAATTCATCATTTTATACAAAATCTACAATGAGATTTAATCCACATTCTATCTAGAAGTAAAATTTCTATAATACAATCTTTTGAACAAGTTTGAATGATGGGGCATAGCTGTAGATTAATGGTAAGCTTTGGCTGTAGGCAGATCAATTTGCATATGATAATACAAAATGTGATAGTTTTGTGTTTTTTTGTTTTTTTTTTGAGGCAGGGTCTCAACTCTTGTGGCCCAGGCTGGAGTGCAGTGGTGCAATCTTGGCTCACTGCAGCCTCAACTTCCCTGGCTCAGGTGATCCTCCCACCTCAGCCTCCCGAGTAGCTGGGACTACGGGTGTGCACCACTACACACAGGTAATTTTTCGTATTTTTTTGTAGAGATGGGGTTTCACCATGTTGCCCATGCTGGTCTTGAACTCCTTGGCTGAAGCAATCCACCTACCTCAGTCTCCCAAAGTACTGGGATTACAGGCATGAACCACCATGCCTGACCTTTTTTTCTGTTGTTGTTTTAACCACACTGAAAATAAATGCTGGCTAGAATTTAAACTCTTAAGCAAAGAAATATAATTGAATAGCATGGAACTCTGTAAAATAATGGTTTAGTTCAAACCAGAAAGGCATTTAAAGTCAGTAGTTCTCAACCCTTTTATGGTGTGAGCTGCTATTACACTCTTCATCTGACTCAATGGATGAGAAAGTGCTGACAAATTAAGAAACGAAGAATGGCATTATAAACATTCCATGAATGTTATATCTCAAAAATATAATGTTAAAAAAAGCAAGGATTAGGACACTCACAAAATATACATAAACTTGAAAGTACAGTCATAAAAATTATTTACACATATATATTTAGGATCAGTATAAATATAAAAATTTGAATGGGAGGATCCACATCAAATTTATGATAGCAATTGTATCTGAGGAGGAAGGAAGATGAAAGGGACTAGAAAACAGTACAAAGGGAGCTTTACCCTTATTGAAAGTATTTAATTTTTTTAACAGGAAAATTAAATATCTGAAGCAAATATGACAGAGAGCTGAAATTTGTTAGTTTTGAATGGTGAGTAAATGGGAATGTGTTGTATTACCATTTTTTTTTTTTTTGAGACAGAGTCTCAGTCTGTTGCTCAGGCTGGAGTGCTGTGGCATGATCTCAGCTCACAGCAGCCTCTGCCTCCTGGGTTCAAGCAATTCTTGTGCCTCAGCTCCTGAGTAGCTGGGACTGCAGGTGCGTGCCACCATGCCCAACTAATTTTTGTATTTTTAGTAGAGACAGGGTTTTTGCCATGTTGGCCAGGCTGGTCTTGAACTCCTGACCTCAAGTGATTCACCTGCCTTGGCCTTCCAACGTGCTGGGATTACAGGTATGAGCCACTGTGCTCAGCCTACTCTCTTTTTAACTGTATTTTTAAAAAGTTTTCATTAAAGGAATAGACATGTATCATAACTCATTTTTTTCATATTAAGTGCTGCCTAGAACAACCAGTACCATTGAAATATTTTCACTAGTATGTATTAAATAGAACAAGTACCATTTAATTCATCTTAAAATTAGTCACTCTTATCCTAGATTCTTTACAACTTGCTTAAACCATTTCTTTATATCCTGATAGAATCTAATTTTCAGCACAAATATACCCAAAGCCTACTTTCATTGCTTCTTACTGCTGGGGATAAAAACATTTGTTCAACGCCTTTTATATACATGATACATAAGCACTTTGCATGGGTCATCATTAACCCCCCCAACAACTCTGAGGAGTTCATTATTCTCTCATTGGCATTTGTGAAATTGCACTTTAGCTGTCAGCTTGTAATGGCAATGACGAGTTCTCAACAAAGTTCTGTCTCACTTCAGAGCTTAAGTTTTTCCATAACTCCATGGTTAACAAATACTAAACAGATATTAGTTAAAGCACAAAACGTAAAAATATATTTTACTATGTGTGCATGTACCATATGATTTATATGACATTATTCTAAAATTATATAACATACAGGGACCAGGACTATGTTTTGAGGACTATGTTTGCCTTGGACAGTATCTAGCACTGGCAATGACTAATGATTCAGTGATAACCTAGTAATTTAAGACAATATGCAGAATCTGAGGGGCTAGAAAAACTAGCAATGATGATGATAATTATGGTATGTTTAAAATATTTATTATTGGTAGCATACGAATACTTTGTATTTCTCTTTTAGAAATATAAGCAGGTATAATTCTTAAGAGCATGAGAAAGTCTTCCAGTCCTCCTTCCCCATGTTAGGCCAATTTTATGAAGGAAAAAAAAGGAAATCTTGAGAGAGGTTCTATGACTTGCATAAAGCTAGCTGACACTAGATAGGAAATGGTACAGATCAGACTCAAATTTGGTTATTTGACATTAAGTCCATATATATCATGTGCCCAAACAATTTCAGAGTGCCATACAGCTGGGTGTGGTGGCTCATGCCTGTAATCCCAGCACTTTAGTTGACTGAGGTAGGCGGATCGCTTGAGTCCAGGAGTTCGAGACCAGCCTACACAATATGGTGAAAACCCATCTCTACAAAAAATACAAAAATTAGCTGGGCATGGTGGTGCAGCTACTCAGCAGGCTGAGGCAGGAGGATCACTTGAGCCCAGGAAGTCAAGGCTGCAGTGAGCTGAGATCACGCCACTGCACTTCAGCCTGGGTAACAATGAAACGTTGTCTCAAAAAAAAAAAAAAAAAAAAAAGAAAAGAAAAGAAAAACAAAGTAGGTTTTAGTCAATGTATTAAAATAAAATATATGAAGCTATTCTCAAATGTAACTTTCATGTGAAAGGAATATCTTTCTAATTTTAGTGATCCACACAAATTAACAAAATGAAGTATGATTCATTCAAGGGCACATTTATACTGTCTTGGTCTTGGATGTCCACAACTCCCTGTGTTTTGGTAATGGTGAAAGCCATGGGGTCAATACTGCGAAGCCAAGGTGTAGGTCAGAGATTCTTAGCACCTTTAGTGTTCCTGTAAATTTTTCAGTGTCTCCCAAGCTAAAAGAAATGCTTAACAGTTCAATTTTTAAAGTCATTAGGTCTAAACAACCTAATAAGTATCTATGTCCTAACAGCTTAAAAGTGACTTAAAAAAATACACAGACACTGAAAGAAAAACTCATATTCCTATTTCATTCTTAACTAATCACAAATATTTAATAGCATGTGTGCACCTGTTGAGCACTATAGAACTTCTCAAACCTTGGAATCAGTGGACACTGTCAGTGTCATTTCCTGTTCCACACTCATTTTTGTGCAGTGCGTGCATTTTATCACGGCAACCATGGAAAACCCAGCTTCACAAAGTCCTGATATTGTTCAAATAAATGCAGGGTAATCTAATGTTGAAACTGTACTGCTTTGAACTTGCAGTTTGCATAGGGCCTGAAAGATATCAAGTATCAGTGTTTCCCATAAATATTTAAAATATTTGGTGATGTCCCACAGTGCCTCCGTCAAGGAACCACAGATCTAAAAGAAGAAACTTTAAGGGCCCAAAAAATTTCATTTGATTCAGATACCTGGGTTGTATGTATGTATGTACATATGTGTGTTGGAAAGTTTGTTAGTCAAACTGCAATGGGTTGAGAAGTAAGGAAGTGATTACAGTGAGTATAGACAAGGATTCTGAAAGTTTTGAAGAGAAGGTGATAAAGCAATAATGAATGAAGTGGAGAATAAAGGAAAGCAAGGAAGTAATGCATGGAACAAGGTCCTAGAAGCAGGTGGGATGCACAGGTGGTGGGCTTTAACCTTGAGCCAGGAAAGATCACTCAATGTTTGAGAGCTTGGAAAGAGATAAGGATGGGTGAGGGACCAGACAGAGAGTAGGTACATGTTACAGCAGCTAGTTAAGAGAGATAATTATGATGTCCTCAATTTTCCTGATGAAAGAGGAGGCAGGGTTGTCTGCTGAGAAAGAGGAGATAGGTAGATGTTGGGTGGTGGGCTAGAGAAGAGTGGACAGATTTGCTATTTCTGTATTTTCTATTTTTGTGTCACATTAGCTACCTACTCATGCAAACTAGAAACTAGGGACTTCTCAGATTTGTTTCCCTCTCTCATCTTCCCATCTAATTAATCCCTAAATTCCGACCATTTTGCTCCTAAATATTTCTCAAATTTGTCCCTGGCTCTGACCCACTACCACTTCCCTATTTCATCCATTAGTTTTATCTCTGTGGGATACTTCCAATCTCCTACTTGGTCTGCCTGCACCCAGCTGTCTCCTTCAAATCACTTTCCCCCATGGCTGCTAAAGAAATCTACACACATAAACACATGACAATACCACTATCCTGCTTAATCATCCTCAATTGCTTTTCACTACCCTAGAATAAAGTCCAAGAGCCTTAATGTGGTACATACAAGGCCCACCATGATCTGGCCCTTGCTCAATCCTCCCCATCTCAGCTACCTTACCTTTTCTTCATGCTCTAGGAATATTGATTGGTTTGCAATTCCATGCATAAACCCAAGTTTATCACTTATGAACCTCTGATGTCACTTCTGCTGGGAATATAATCTTTTTTCTGCCTTGCTAACTTCTACTCATTTTAAAGACTGCTCAGCTATCACCTCCTTTAGAAAACATTTGTTGATAGGCCCCACACCCCTAACTCTACTTAGATTGAGTTAATTGCCTTTCTTCTGTATTTCCATAACAATAAACATGGTAGAGTATGCATATTCTTATCATTATGCTTTCTATATGGTATGAAAATAATTTATGAGGCTGGGCATGGTGGCTCACGCCTGTAATCCCAGCACTTTGGGAGGCTGAGGCAGGTGGATCACCTGAGGTCAGGAGTTCGAGACCAGCCTGGCCAACATGGTGAAACCCCATTTCTACTAAAAATACAAAAATTAGCTGGGCATGGTGGCAGGTGCCTGTAATCCCAGCTACTTGGGAGGCTGAGGCAGGAGAATTGCTTGAACCTAGGAGGTGGAGGTTGCAGTGAGCCAAGATCGTGCCACTGCTCTCCAGCCTGGATGACAGAGCAAGACTCTGTCACAAAAAAAAAAAAAAAAAAGAAAAAGAAAAAGAAATATAATTTTCTTTAGGCCCTAAATTCTTCTAATAGTTGGCTTTTTTATTTTCTCAATTTCTTCTTTTTTTTATCGACAGGACTATTGCAGTAGGCTTTTTTCCTAATGAATGGTCAACATTAAAGTCTTATTGGGATTGCACTTTCTTTATTTTTAAATTTTTATCCAGTGATTCTGGGGATTTTTATGAGGTTTTCTTGGTTGTTTTTTATGTATTTATTTGCATATAACAAACAATTTAATTCTTTGTTCCAAAATAATTCATCATATTCAAATGATGTGCTCCTTTTACTTTTGTTTCTTAAAATCAAAACGTTTAAGACTACTAAACATTTTACTCCTTGCTCTGAAGATGAGGCCTAATTTAAGAGATGAATAATCAGCTGATGACTGATTCAATGAATGGCATTTATCTCTTTATTTGTCTTTGGGTATTTATATGGATGCTAACATTTGTGGGTGAAAGGGAGATACTGTGGGACCTTGTAATCATATTGAAAAACAGGTTATCTACATGGTCCCAGAGAATCTCCTAGTAAATATCACAATGGAAAAAAACAGTAACTTTACAGTGAACAAACTAGGCAGACTGCACCTTAGCCAAGTGATCAAAGTTAACATAATCAGTAACGGGAACAAATATGACACACTGAGGATGACACGATGTTGTTTCTGAGGTATTCGGAACCAAAATACATAACCTGAACTGAACTGTAAGGAAACATCAGACAAACCCAAACTAAAGGACGTTCTACAAAATACATGGGCAGTACTCTTCATAAGTCACAAGGTCAACAAAGACTGAGAAACTGTCACAGACTGGCTGAAGCCAAAGAGATATGAAACCAAGCACACCGTGTGATTCTGGATTGGAAACTGGGCCAGAAAATGGACAGTAGTGGGAATGTGTGTATCTGTAAATTAGATAACAGTTTTGTATCAATGTTATTTTCCTGAAAAAAATAATTATACGGTAATTATGTAAGATGTTAGCATTTGAGGAATCTGGATGAAAGGTGTAATGGATTTTTTTGGTACCATTTTTGCAATATTTTTGTTAAGTCTAAAATTATTTCAAAAAGAACAAGTTAAAAAATTAAAATATTAAAAAACAATAATTTCCCATAATTTTACAGGAAATAATTTGGGTATATTTAAATATTAGCAGTTTAAATGGCTATAGATTAAAGTTCATAGAGATAAATGCTCAAATAGAGGAGAAATGAGTCTGGTATTATATTTAATATTGGGTTCAATTATTATACATTTTGAAGACACAGCCTATAAATTCACCTCTCATTAAGGAAAGGTGTTATAAACACAGAAATAGCCCAACTTTTATATTTTAATACTTTTTTTTTTTTTTTTTTGAGACAGGGTCTTGCTCTGTCACCGGCTGGAGTGCAGTGGTGTGATCTAGGCTCACTGCAGCCTTGACCTCGCAGGCTCAGGTGATCCTCCCTAGTAGCTGGGACTACAGGTTTGTGCTGCCACGCACAAAGTTTTTCTGTTTTTTGTAGAGACAGGGTTTCACCATATTTCCTAGGCTGGTCTTGAATTCCTGGGCTGAAGCAATCCTCCTACTTCAGCCTCCCAAACTGCTGGGATTCCAGGTGTGAGCCACTATGCCTGGCCCTTCTTCTTCTTCTTCTTCTTCTTCTTTTTTTTTGACACAGGGTCTCACTGTCGCCCAGGCAGGAATGCAGTCACGTGATCACAGCTCACTTGCAGCCTTGACCTCCCAGGCTCAAGCTATCCTTCCACCTCAGCCCCGCAAGTACCTGGGACGACAGGTGCTAATTTTTGTGTTTTTTGTAGAGATACAGTTTCGCCATGCTGCCTAGGCTGGTCTCAAACTCCTGAGCTCAAAACGATCTGCCTGCTTTGGCCTCCCAAAGTGCTGGGATTACAGGCGGGAGCTACCATGCCCAGCCTATATTTTGATATTTTAAAAATAAATTATTAGTCTCCTCTGCAGCTTGTTCTGTCACCCATACATTAACATACCAAAATACATATATTTCTTACTTCCCAGGTGAGGTTATCATAAGATCTTGCTTTCACATATTTTGCTGACAAATTAGATATTTATTTATTCTGCTACAATGAAAACTATGGAACGGCCCTCTGTTTTATTTTTAATTTTTTTTTTAAATGAAAAATCATGGGGTTTCACTATGTTGCCCAGGCTGACCTCAAACTCCTAGGCTCAAGTGATCCTGCTGCCTTGGCCTCCCAAAGTGCTGGGATTATGGGAGTGAGCCACCATGCCCGGTCAAAAGGCCCTTTAGGAATAAGATATTACTTTTGTTGCTCCAAGCAGTACATAAATTAATAACTTTACAAATAAATCCACTACCCCCTTCAGCTATTAGTTTGTCTGAGTTTGCAAGGAGACACTAATGCCCATTTCCGTAGACTAGGAAGGAGGAAAGGAGAAATTAAACATTAGGAGGTGCTCAACAATTATTTGGTAGAAATGAATTAATGGATCTCTCAATTTATTTAATATTTTAATTTTTGAAGAATTATAAATACATTTTCCAAAGCTAGGGAGCAATGATATTTTGGTGGTCAAAGTTTTAAGCAATGTGACTGACAACTTAGTAAGAAACTGAGAACAAGAACTGTGGAGAAACCATTTCCTTGGGTAATGAACAGACCACAGTGGACTATAATAGAGATCTGAGTGTCCTACAACAGCTACACATCAATAGAGAGAGGAAATGGGAGTAAGGGCTAGACCTCCAACTGTGAATAGACTACCTTATGATGGGGCATTTTGAAATTCATGCCAGGTGGATTTAGCTGGCCCCAGAGAATCCTACTGGAGTGTACCAGTAACACGAAAAGTTATCACTTAAAGGCTACAAGATGGCAACCTCCTTTCTCTTATATTATACATAACCCTCCAAGCAAGGATCTCTTTGCTCGGTAGTTGAGGCCTACTTTAAGAGATGAGTCATCAGCCGATGGCTGATTCAAGCAACGGCATTTCTCTTATTAAGTAGGCTTCAGTATTGTAAGAAGTTGTTTACTTGATGTTCTAATTTTTATGTATCCCAAAGTTCTTTTTAGGTAAGGGCGATTAACCTAAAAAAATTATTCAGTGTTCATTCAGACTATGATCCATTCTATGACAAATTGTGTTCTGAAGAGAAAATAATATAATACTATCCTATGTGAATCAAATTTATCTTTTCAAAGACAGCTAAGTTTTTATTCCTTTTGGTCATAAATATTTGTTTTTCACCCCACTTCTCTCCATTTCTACTACTATTTAGGCAGCTTACCTGTAGCTAAAGGCAATTTTAGTTTCCTAAGTATATAAAATCTCCTAAATGTATCACCAAGAGATGAATTTCTATTGTAGAAATATTATATATTAATTTAGGGGAGAAAAAGTTTTCTTTTTTATTTGCTTCTATTATAATTTCATGCATCAGGTATGCTTTTATTGCAGCACTTCACTCTTTTTTTCATAATTATGAGTATAGCAGAAGGGGGGCTATTAATTTAGTTTGTGTAAGCAAAAGCATCAGAGAACCCTTCAAGTGTATACATGCACTGTGCACCCTGTGCCTAAAATTCACTAAGTAGTAAACATAACCCTGAAAAATCACACGATTAAAAAAATTAAAAACATTAAAAGATAATCAAGAATTGGGCACATTAGATGTGCAAAAGTTAAATCATAGTTAACAGAGATTATGGCAAAATTGTAATTAAATTACTATAAAGAGGATATTAAAATCTAAAAACATTTAAAAGTCAAGATGAGGTTATAACTGGGTTGTAGCAGATTAGGAAAAAAAGTCTAGACCCAAAGCATAGATAAGAATTTCTAAAAATGACCCCATTTAAGAATTCAGAATGATGCTGGGCCAGTGTTGCATACCTATATTCCCAGCTACTCAGAAGGCTGGGGCAGGAGGATCTCTTGAGCCCAGGAGTTAGAGGCTGTAGTATGCTATGATCTTGTCTGTGAACAGTCACCACACTCCAGTCTGGGCAACATAGCAAGACCCCCATCTCTTAAAAAGAATTCAACATGAAATTATAGAATTGAATATACTTAATATTGGAGGTGACTTGTAGATGATGTGGACTAATCTATCATGTTAAAGGGAGGACCATGGTTCAATCCCATCTTTACTAGTCATTTAATCTCTCAGAACATCAAGGTTTTCATTGCAAAATGGGAGTAATACCACCAGCTGCACAGGGTGGTTCTGAGGATTAAAATTCACTGAGCTAATATCTGTAAAAGCCCCTGGAACACAGCAACCACTTCATATGTTGCTGTTGACTCAGGATTCTTTCCATTTTAAAATAAGACAATAAGACCCCAGATGGCTGGGAAATCTCATAGCACGCCAGCAGCAGAGCTGGGACAAGACTGCGGGCCTCAGTGTTTACTCTGCCAGGCTGGAAGCCCATCTCACCCACAGCTGGATGCCTTCTAAGCAGCCTGAATGCTCATTAATCTTTGAAGAGGCATAAGAGCCAAGAGCTGGCAATTTCTCATTTCTTTATGTTGACTACATGGGCTTGGGTGAGACATCGGCTGAACAGGAGTGATGAGAGAGAAAGAGTTTCAGCAGCTGTCTTCTGTCAAACCAAAAATATATCAAAATAGTGCATTTTTAAAACAAGGTTTCTAATATTACACTGGATAAGGTGTGAACTCAGAGTTGCTACTCTAGGACACTGCTTAGCTCATCAGTTCTTAGATTTCAAGATTCCATTTACTACAAAAAACTGAAAATGATCTTTAGGGACCAATACAGAATCACCAACTTCTTAAGACATTAAAAATAAAAATCCCCTGACTGCCTCTTACTCAAAATAGTCCCTTAGTCAAGAGTGTAGTGCTTGACTTTTGGCTTTACCCACTAATTAGAAGTATGTAACCTTAGGCCAGGTACTTAGCCTTTCAGTGCTCAAACGAGGTAAGCACAGTACCTGCCTCATGGATGCTTGTGAGCACTGAGAATAGTGTCTCACACATAGTAAGAGCTATGTAAATGTTAGATGTTATTTGTTATAATTACTAGTTTGCAGTTGTGGGGAAGTTATTTAATCTCTTTTGTCTTAGTTTCCTAACTTGCAAAATGTAAACAATGATACTTCATAGGGTTGTGGTAAGGATTAAACAAACTAAAAGTTATTAAGTGTATAGAACTGTTTGGCGCATAGTAAGCTCTTTATAAGCATGGGCCATCACTATCACTACTATTTTTTAAAGGATATTTTAACATTAAAAGAATAAATGTGGCATTTTGAAATACTGTTTTGTCTTTGTTTACCAATGAAAATTTTATTTGGGATCTCCATTGATTTATGCTCCAGCATTTGACCTAAATAAATGTCATGTCAGTAACCATTAACGTTATCTATAAATGCTTTCATTCATAGTGAGCTAACTTCTTACAAAAGTAGTCTGGAAATTCTAAAAATGCCATCTGACATGTTTTATTCTATCATGATCTTTGGAAATAAGTTCAACTCTTTCATAAGTAGCAGATGCTCACTGAAGATGTTATAATCGAATCTTGATAACAATTAATAATTTATGATCTACCTTTTGTTTTACCAAATGGGTAGACATTTATATAGCCTGTGGTAATGACTATACATAGAAATGATAGGATTCTGAAGGCAGTCTTTGGGGGATGAGCAAAAGTCACGATGAGCAGAATCAAGGTTCCTCTTAAGAAATTAAAAATAAAATTGTCCTATGAGATTAAACTATAAATCAACATATGATGGCTATGAGTAGTGGTAGGCAAAGTTCCTTCAAGAGACAGAATGGGTCTCAGGCTAGCTTAAAACTTAATTGAACATATTAATATAAAGAATGTATCAATAAGGCATTTGTGGGCAGGTACATGACGGAGGGGTAAGAGACAGTAATGGAAACAGAAAAAGGAGAACTGCTTGTAGGAAGATGTTGCAGTACTTAGTTAAGGAACACTAAAATAAAAGAGCAACAAGACTTCTATAGTGATTACTGTGTGTTAGATACTATTCTAAGCCCTGTAATTTATTAACACATTTAATCTTTGGAATAATCCTGTGAAATATGAACTACTACTTGCCTTAAATGTGAGGAAACTGAAACAGAGAGGTTAAGAAACTTGCCCAAGGTCAGACAGCAAAGTAATAGAACAAGAATTTGAACTAGGCCAGGTGTGGTGGCTCACACGTGTAATCCCAGCACTTTTGGAGGCCAAGGCAGGTGGATCATGAGGTCAGTTAGTTGGGCATGGTGATGGGCGCCTGTAATCCCAGCTACTCAGGAGGCTGAGGCAGGAGAATCGTTTGAACCCGGGAGGTGGAGGTTGCAGTGAGCCGAGATTGCGCCACTGCACTCCAGCCTGGGTGACAGAGCAAGACTCTGTCTGAAAAAAATAAAAGAATTTGAACAAAGATAGTCTGGCTCCAGAGTCTGTACTCTCAATAACTGAGTCACATGCTACACTGCCCAGAGGTGACAGGGCTTCATCAGGCTCATCCAGAAGTTCAGTTTGCCCTGTATGTATTCATGCATTCATATTCTGAGCACAGCCTATGGATGATGTTACCGATTCAGTGGTGAAAAAGGAGTCATATTTCTGTCTTTCTTTCTGAAACAGAGTTAAAAGCACTACATATAATTAAATCCCATAATATGGTTCCATTATGTAATCAACCCTCAAATAATTGGTTATCAATTGTAGCCTGCCTGTATGGAAAGAATGTGTCAGTCAAACCAATACAAACACATGGCCTGACTGACAGCTCTCTTTCCATTCTATATCATTTATTTGGTATGCTGGAATTCATTCTTTGGGCCTATGTGTTGATGAAAATCAGCATTCCTGAGCCTGATGAG
This sequence comes from Homo sapiens, assembly GCF_000001405.40. Classification (NCBI taxonomy): domain Eukaryota; kingdom Metazoa; phylum Chordata; class Mammalia; order Primates; family Hominidae; genus Homo; species Homo sapiens. The sequence continues at coordinate 63,790,070 of NC_000012.12, read as the reverse complement.
CCCTGCAACACTGATGATATCCTTTCTACTTCTGTCTTAGAATTGTCTCGAGGCTACAATTAAATGATATAAGCTCGTTTGTTTATTTAAACAAAGTATATTTACACTTATTTTCAACAAGTATCTTAACAGTACTTACAAATTCTTCCAATATCTTCAAGGTGAGCCGTTACTTCTGATTCACTTTTGGTCAAACAAGGATGGTGAATGTGTGGAAACACTTAAGTTAGTACCCATGTAGTTGTTTCAACTGAAGACTTACAATTGCATAAAAGTTTATTAATTTTGGATAAATTATGTACGCTACTTTTCATGAACCTAACACTTTAATAAGCTGTTTAAAAAAAATCTCATACAATGGTGACCTTTCTTGAATATAGTTCTCTTAAATCCTAAGAGGAAACGGTATTACTCTTTGGCCATAATACCAGCACACCTCATTTTATTGTGCTTCACTTTATTGTACTTTGCAAATAAAGAGTTTTTTACAAATTGAAAGTTTGTGGTGATCCCCAGTCAAGCAATTCTATTGGTACCATTTTCCAACAGCATGTGCTCACTATGAGATGGTGATATGGTTTGGCTGTGTCCCCACCCAAATCTCATCTTGAACTGTAGCTCCCACAATTCCCACATGTTGTGGGAGGTGCCCGGTGGGAAGTAATTGAATCATGGGGGCAGGTCTTTCTTGTACTGTTCTCATGATAGTGAATAAGTCTCACAAGATCTGATGGCAAACTTAATAGATAAATGCTATGTGTGTGGTCTAACTGCTCCACCAACCAGTATTCCCCCATTTCTCCCCATCTCCTTGGGCCTCCCTATTCCCTGAGACACAACACTATTAGGCCAATTATTAACCCTATAATGCCCTCTAAGTGTTCCCTATAATTAATAACCCTATAATGAATGCCCTCTAGGTGAAAGGAAGAGTCGCAAGTCTCTCACTTTCAGGAGTGTCCAAGGGAGAGAATATAGGCATGGATTCTTAGTTTCTGTTTCTGGTTGGGCCAGTAAAACCCCTTCCTTATCCCTCTTTTCTGCTTATTACTAAAGACAGAAACTAAAAGCCATGGCTTCAGGCTGCTAAAAGCCTAAGACAAAACAAAACAGAACAACAACAATAAAATAAGGTGGGTTGGAGAAGCTTGCAACCAAAAGCTAGAAATAGTTAAGCTTAGTGAGGAAGGCATGTCAAAAGCTGAGGCAAGCTAAAAGCTAGGCCTCTTATGCCAAACAGTCAAGGTGGGAATGCAAAGGAAAAGTTCTTGAAGGAAATGAAAAGTGCTACTCCAGTGAACAACATGAATGATGTGAAGGTGAAATAGTCTTATTGCTCATATGGAGAAAGGTTTAATAGTCTGGATAGAGGATCAAACCAGCCACAACATTCCCTTAAGCCAAAGCCTAATCCAGAGCAAGGCCTCCACTCTTTTCAATTCTATGAAGGTTGAGAAAGGTGAGGAAGCTGCAGGAGAAAAGTCTGACGTTGCCAGAGGTTGATTCATGAGGTTTAAGGAAAGAAGCCATCTCCATAACATAAAAATGCAAGGTGAAGCAGCAAGTACTAATGTAGAAGCTGCATCAAGTTATCCAGAAGATTTAGCTAAGATCATTGATGAAGGTGGCTACACTAGACAACAGATTTTCAATGCAGATGAAACAGCTTTATATCAGCAGAAGATGACATCTAGGACTTTCATAGCTAGAGAGAAGTCAATGCCTGGCTTCAAAGCTTCAAAGGACAGGCTGATTCTCTTATCAGGGACTAAATGTAGCTGGGTGACTTTAAGTTGAAGCCAATGCTCATTTATCATTCTGAAAATCCTAGGACCTTTAAAACTATCCTAAATCTACTCTGCCTGTGCCCTATAAATGGAAAAAAGCCTAGATGACAGCAACATCTGTTCACAGCATGGTTTACTGAATATTTTAAGCTTACTATTGAGAAGTACTGCTCAGAAAAAAGGATTCCTTTCAAAATATTACTGCTCATTGACAATGCACCTGGTCACCCAAGAGATCTGATGGAGATGTACAGGAGATTCATGTCCTCATACCTGCTAACAAAATATCTATTCTGCAGCCCATGGATCAAGGAGTAATTTTGACTTTCAAGTCTTATTTAAGAAATACTTTTTGGCCAGACACGATGGCTCACGCCCGTAATCCTAGCACTTTGGGAGGCTGAAGCGGGTGGATCACTTGGGGACAGGAGTCCGAGACAGGAGACCTGGCCAACATGGTGAAACCCCATCTCCACTAAAAATACAAAAATTAGCTGGGTGTGGTGGCGTATGCCCATAGTCCCAGCTACTTGGGATGTTGAAGCACGAGAATCACTTGAACCCAGGGGCGCAAGTTGCAGGAAGCTGAGATTACGCTACTGCCCTCCAGCCTGGATGACAGAACAAGACTCTGTCTCAAAAAAAAAACAACAAACAACAACAACAAAAGAAATACTTTTCATAAGGCTATAGCTGCCACAGACAGTGGTTCCTCTGATGGATCTGGGCAAAGTAAATGAAAACCTTCTGGAGATGATTCATTATTCTAGATACCATGAACATTCATGATTCATGGGACGAGGTCAAAACATCAACATTAAAAGGAATTTGGAAGAAGCTGATTTAAACCCTCATGGATGACTTTGAGGGGTTCGAGATTTAAGTGGAGGAAGTCACTGAAGATGTGGTAGAAATGGAAAGAAAAGTAGAATTAGAAGTGGAACCTGAAGGTGTGACTGAATTGCTTCAATCTCATGATAAAACTTCAACAGATGAGGAGTTGCTTTTTATGAATGAGCAGAGAAAGTGGTTTCCTGAGATGGAATCTACTTCTGGTGAAGATACAATGTTGTGAACATTGGTGAAGTGACAATAAAGGATTCAGAATATTCCAAAAATGTAGTTGATAAAGCAGCAGTAGGGTTTGAGAGGACTGGCTCCAATTTTTTTTTTTCTTTGACTCATTCTGTCGCCCGGGGTTGGAGGGCAGTGGCATGATCTTACCTCACTGCATCCTCTGACTCCCAGGTTCAAGGATTCTTTTGCCTCAGCCTCCCAAGTAGCTGGGATTACAGGTGTGTGCTGCCACTTGCAGCCAATTTTTGTATCTTTAGTAGAGACGGGGTTTCACGATGATAGCCAGGTTGGTCTCGAACTCCTGACCTCAAGTGATCCAGCTACCTCAGCCTCCCAAAGTACTGGGATTACAGGCATGAGCCACTGCATCCGGCCTAGGATTGACTCCAATTTTGAAAGAAGTTCTATGGGTAAAAATGCCACCAAATAGCATCATGTGCTACAGAGAAAACTTTTGTGAAGGAAGAGTCAACTGATGTGGCAAACTTCATTGTTGTCTTATTTTAAGAAATTGTCACAGCCACCCCAGCCTTCAGCAACCACCACCCTGATTAGTCATCAATACACTGATTAGACATCAACATCGAGGCAAGACCCTCCACCAGCAAAAAGATGACTTGCTGATGGGTCAGATAACTGTTAGCATTTTTTAGCAATAAAGTATTTTTCACTTAAGGTACGTATTTTTTTTTTTTAGGCATAATACTATTACACACTTAATAGACTGTAGTACAGTGTAAACATAACTTTCATATGTACTGGATAATAAAAAAATTCATATGACTTGCTTTATTGCAGTATTTGCTTGACTGCAGTGGTGTGGAACTGAACACGCAGTATCTCTAGAGGATGCCTGTAAAATCTCCCACAAATATTTCAGAAGTAAAGGATACATTTGGCTTTCTTTTGGGAGTTAATGTTCTTTGCTCAAATCTTTCACTATTATTATAGTAACAATGTATAATTTTAACCTTAAAGATGCTAACTTTATGAATTTTTAATAACTTTTCTGAAAATTTTATATATTATGGATTAGACTAATATTCCTAACACACATTTACTTTTCAAATACCAAAATATTAGATTTATACACATAATACACATTTACTTTCACACACCCAAATCCAACCATTGTAAGTCTATTTAAGCTCTTGAATGGGATTAGATCAACAGAAGCATGAAGATGAAAGGAAAAATAATCATTACCAATGATAATTTTAAAAACCTGTTTACTTTTTAACTTTGAAAAGATACATGCAATAAAACTGCTTTCCAAGTGTATATAAAGTAAATAAAGAATTAAAGCTGTAGTAAAAATTAGAACAAAATTGAGGTTAACTATAGCTTTTCCTTTCCTGATTTCTGTAGAAAAGACTGAAATTCCAATACAAAGCAGAATCTTTAGTTCACATTTTCCCCCAATAATACAACTGTTATATAAAATAAGCATTTAAAAATAATGTTTTTATTTTTAATTTCAATAAAGCAAAATCTAATAAAATAGCATTTCATATGATAAAATTATAGTTTTCCTAAATAAAATAATCCTAATATACTTAAAAACACTCAGAAAATATGCAGTCATAGAAAAGAGTTATATAAAAAGGCCAAAAAAGTCTAAGCAATACATTGGCTTTATTAAATCTAAAATAAAAAATAAATCCTGATAGAACTCATCAAATTTGTTTTAATAAACAAAAATCTACAAAGTGACAGCAAGAGCTTTGATATCACCTAAATATTTTAAAAAGTGAACATGACTATTACATGAAAGAGAAAAATGAAAATACTTTTAGGTTTACATATTATTCCTCCAAGATACAGAATGTTTTCAATGGCTGTCACCATTCAAACGCTGTAAGATGTGGAGTATGAACTTTTCTATATAATTAGGTAAAAATAAAACAGACATATGATGCCAAAAAGGAGTATTCTGTAATATACAATTTCATAAGGTCCAAGTAAGCTTAATTATGAATACATATTCATGAGATTTACTTCTCTATTCTTTACAAGTTGAAATAGAAGTATTTTTATAAATATATTTTCCTATTATTTTTCTTTTAGTATTTACAGAAAATATTGCAGAGCAAAACATCAAAGGTTAATGTTGCACAACTAATACAACCAATACCTGTACTGTGTTCTTCCTACGATTGACTTTCCTTCTCTCCATTGAGCAGTCACATCGCTGGGATCAAGTAAGCCTTCAAAAATATGCTCCCAGAGATACAAGCCTGGTAATTAACAACAAAAACAAAATCAAAACAATTTACTGTCTCATCTACTTTAGTGCATGAGACAAGTTTACGTTCTGTTCTTTTACTCATTTGACTATAAAACCAGAATGCCTCTCCTTTGGGCCGTTGGCAGGCAGTGCTATCAAGCAACAGCTCCAAATCATCAACATGGCAGCTAATGAGAGACAGAGCTCAGAAGCTGTTAGTGTGTAAAATGTGGCAAAATGTGAGTTAATATTAAAGACCTCTCCTACTCTAGATTTGAGAAACCCCTAATTTATATGGATCTTTACCACCTGTCTTATTCTGAAATGAAATGTATTATATTACAAAGTAAACTATACTATGTGGTTAGAACTGCTTTTATAACAGATTGGGGGAGTTGCCATTTTGTGCCAAATGGAGCCAGAGGAGCTCATGTATGTACATATATTAATACATTCAATATGTCAAGGGGATATTACCTCCTCCTCACTTGAACACATATCCCTGAATGCATGATCCCCTCACAGACAAATGTCATTGCATCTTTTCTCCTTATGGCAGCCCCTGATGTTTTATCATGATTTCACCTGAATGAAAGCTCTGAGAGTAGAGGAGAGCAGTGTTACTCAATGAGGCACTATGGAGACCATACACCACCTCTGGGCACCCTGTTTTGGTTACACTCAAAGAGGTTTTTGTTCCATTCTCATTGTACCCTGGTACTAAAGGAAACGCAAGCCACCACGTTTAAAATGTGGCCAATTAGATAACGCTTTCCAAATGTGATGGGTTGAATAATGTCCCTCTGCCCCACCAGCAAAGATGTCCATATTCTAATCTTTAGAATCTATGAATATGTTACCTTACATGGCAAAAGACACTTTAAAAATATGATTAAGTTAAGGATGCTGAGGTGAAGAGATTATTATAGATTATCTAGGTGGGCCCTATGTAATCTCAAGAGTCCTCACACAAGGGAGGCAGGAGTGTCAGAGTGAGGCAAGGGATATATAAAGATAGAAGCAGAGGTCAGAGTGATGTGGGGCCATAAATGAAGGAATACGGGTAGCCGCTAGAAACTCTAAACGGTAAGGAAACAGGTTCTCCTCTAGAGCCTCAAAAAGTAACACAGACCCCACACATTTTAGAGTTCTGCCTTCAGAAAGGTAGGATACTGCATTTGTGGTAATTTGTTATGGCTGCAATAGGATGCTATGGATTATACAGTTAAGATTATGGTACCTGGAAATGAGGTGCTACTGTAACAAATACTTAAAAATGTGGAAGTGTCTCTGAAATTGGGTAATGGGGAAAGGCTGAGAGAACTGTGAGGACATGATTTTAAAAAGCCTAGATTAGATTGCCTTGAATAACCTGCAGATAGAAATATGGATGTTAATGACTCAGCTAGTGAAGACTCAAGAAAGTGAGGTAGAGTAGAGAAAACCTGTATTGTCTTAGAGGATATCTAAATGATCACAAGCAGATTGTTGGTAAGAATATGCAATGTTTTTTTTTTTTGAGACAGAGTCTCGCTCTGTCGCCCAGGCTGGAGTAAGGTGGCATGATCTCGGCTCACTGCAACCTCCACCTCCCGGGTTCAAGCAATTCTCCTGCCTCAGCCTCCTGAGTAGCTGGGATTACAGGCACGTGCCACAATGTCTGGCTAATTTTTGTATTTTTGGTACAGACGGGGTTTCACCATGATGGCCAGGCTGGTCTTGAACTCCTGGCCTCAAGTGATCCACCGGCCTCAGCCTCCCAAAGTGCTGGGATTACGGGCGTGAGACGCCATGCCTAGAATATGCGTATTAAAGAAATTGCTGGTGAGGGCTCAGAAGAAAATCAGGAATGTGTTATTAGAAACTGGAAGGATGAGGATCCTTGTTATATAACAGTAAAAAGCTTAGTTGGATTGTATCCTGCAGTTACATGGAAAGCAGAACTTGTGATAAACTTTAATAATTAGCTGGAGGGTTCCAAGCAAAGTGAAAGGTGTGGACTGGTTTCTTGGTGATTAGTGAAATATAAGAAAAAAGAGATAGAAGGAAAAACTGTTAAGCAAAAGGGAACCAGAATTTGATGATTTGGGAAATTCTCGGACCATTAAGATTGCAAAAGATGTGAAAAATTAGATTTGCTGCCTGAAAAGGGTGTTCCAGAAACAAGACCAAGGATGTGGCTGCACAACCTTTTGCTAGTGCCTCAGAAGGATCAGAAGATCTGAATATTCATTCACACAAAGGGCTCTTTGAAGAGATTATACATGTGACTTACAGGTCTCCTCAGCCATCTCAGCAGAAGCCAGAAATGGAGATGGGATTACTCAGAAAAGATCTGCAGAGGAGCTTCCCATCTAATGGAGTGAATCCTGTGACATACACAGAGGGCCCACAAGGTTCTTCAGAATGTTTTATGAGCAGAAACGCTGCCAGCTTGGACTAAAAAAGACAGCAAGAGGTCACAATGAAAGAAGGCTGATGGGCTCTGAAAATTTTACCAGCTGTCAACAGGCTGATAAAATTACGAAGCTGCAAACTTGTGCTACTTTTTATGAAAAAGGAAAAGATGACTTCAAGAGTGTGGCTGAGATGCCAGAGGGCAAAGCTGTACAACCTATAGATTATTCCTAGGCCTGCAATATCATCTAATGGAGCTGGCCATTTAGATGAAATTTAGATTTCAAAATTGCTTGGACCAGTGACACTTTTTTACTTCAATTTTTCTCCCCTTTTGAATGGGAATTTCTATAACGGTATTTTATAACTGTGTCTAGAGAATAGGCTGATCAAAGTAGCATTTTTCCTGCTAGCAGAGGTGTTAAAAAAAAAAGGTAGCATTTGATGAAATTCACTTGGCCACTTTGCACTTATCAGATTGAAAAGAGAGAAGTCTGGAAATGAAAATCTGAGATTTAAAAGAAGAAATCAATATTAGAGACTTTATTTAAAAAATAATGGCTAGAACTTGATGATTGAAGGCCTGGTTTCAGGTACTTGAAATTTAGAGGTTGGTAGTAATCTTCTAGGATATATACTTGTATGTAAGTATGAACGAATTTATGAAATACCATGAGCAGAGCACTATGCTCTGTACATTTTCCTCTCATCTGGTACTTTCTATCCATATGCCTTATTGTACATAAACCCAACTCATGTTCAAAGGCCACATAAAGCGCTTTCTAAGTCACTAAATTCTTTGTGACTCTTTAAACCCTCAGGGCCCCATTCTCTAATTGAGCATAATATATATCTTAGAACACTACACTCTCATGATATTCACAGCAAAAATGCTTCTGTGGTCAATCAAGTTTAATCAACTACATACTATAATATATTCCTTCGCTGATACAATGAACATTGTCATATTAAAGGCTCTTGAGAAAGGCCTGCAATGAAGAACCTTGTTTAACTTTGTACTCTTCAGTGTTTCCCAAATGTGTTTGGCCATCAAGGGCAGGGGCCACATCTTATACTTGTGTATCAAGTGTCCAAAAAATACACAGATTCATGAAAATTCAGTTGACATATGCATTGCAATCTAATGACACTATACAGCCTACTCAATGTATCAATAAATGAAGCTGTGCTCTGCTAAAGACCAACAGTGGAATATGTATGTGTGTACATTTACAAACAGATGTTGTCTAATTGGAAGGAGAAAGGAATTATTGACAAAAAGCGAAAAAATATATCATGATGCCTTAATTAACAAATTATGAAATAAATTATATTAAAATGAATTTCATATCAATAAAATACATTTTATAATGCTTTTTACATGTCTTCCTTCTACGTATTAACTTACCAATGGCAGCTTTGCCCCAGATTTGTACACTGAGATCTGTTTTTCCTTTCGTGGATTTATCTAATATTTGAAGGCTAGTTTTAAATCTGTGTTGTTGCTCATTTTTTTCATCTCCTTCCCAAGGATTCCATTCTTCACTTTCCAAAGTGGACTGTTCTGTTTTAAAAAGAGTAAGTGTTTACCAGTAAGGTATTATTGCAGTTGTAGGTAAATTCAAATCATTTAAATTAAGTGTTAGTTCTAATTTCATCCTAACTTTAATTTCTGAGAGGTACAGCAACTGAATTTAAACTGGTAATACACAATGAAAACAAAAAAGAAAATCAGCAATTTTTTTACTGAACTTTTTTTACTCTGAAAAGTCTTAGAAATAAAATGCTACCTTGAGACAGGAAAATTCTCTTCCCCAACACAAAACCTTTAAAAATAACAGGATAATATGTATCAAGTTACAAGCTTAACTTTTGCAATTATTTTTATCCATTGTATACAGGTAACCTATGCACAAAAAACTGACTTCAGAGTGTAGTGTTCACCAGTCTTAGATACTATCGTGCAAAATTCTGAATAAAGGGAAAGAGAAAGCCGAGTCTGATCTTAACACAAGTTAAAACACAGGACAGGGGACCAGAATTTGGAGGTAAAGTCTGCCTTATGGTCACTGCAGGATTAGAGAGGGCTTTGTTTCAACATGGAAACGGATGTCTTAAACCTTGCGGCGATTTTGAGGCCTTCCAGGAGCATTCCCGCAAATCTCTGGCATTTGAGACGACGTCTTGGATTTTAACACGTGTTTGAAAGGCGTGCGCGCCTGTCACCCCCTGGGATCGGGAGCGGGGACGGCGTGTGAGATCTGGGTAAGAATGAGGACCATTCTCCAATTCCGAGCCAAGGGCTGGCTCGAGAGGCTGTAGGGGGCAAAGCGCTTCTCAGGCCCTGCGGGTAATCCCGGACTTGAGAGCCGGGTGCGGGGACCCGGCCCCAGCCGCCCAGCAGCCCCAGCCAGGAGCGCAGAGCCGGAAGGAAGCCGCCGACCCAGTCCTACCTCGGCCGCGTCTCTCCCGCGCGGGGGCCGCCCCCTTCCTGAGGCCCCGCGGGGACCCGGCCGGCGCCTGGCGGCGGCGCCCGAAGAAGACGTGGTAGGCAGCGTAGAGGGAGAATAGGCAGTACAGGGCGATAAGAAACGAGCAGAGCCGCTTCCGCGTCAGCCGCATCCCACTCGGGCTTCCAGTCAGGCATCCACCGCCATGGAGCGGGCGGAAAGAGAATCCGCGACACCGGCGGCGTCCGAGGCAGGCCCAGCCCGTTTCCAGGCAGTCCCCAGCCAAGGCTCCTCCGCCCAGCGCCCGGTACAGCCCCGCCCCGGACACGCCCACCGCCCGCCTCCCGCCCAGGCCCCGCCCCCTCCAGTCGCGGCTCATCCACCCGGCCGAGGGCCTGCCCACCTTCGACACTGGAGGAGGGGGTACTGGAGCGGCCCCTACCCCACGCTGCTTCCAGACGCCGGGCTGAGTGGGAACCTCTCTGACCTCTGCCGTGTACTCATTGCACCTTTCAACCCTGGCCACTTTTCCCAAGTACATAAAGACTCGGGGGAAAAAGAACACCCGCGGTGGTCCATGAAGGCCATGTGAAGGCATGGACTGTGACGTTTTTTGCTCTGCATGGAATCCCTAGCGCCTAGGACAGTGCCTACTACGTTGATAGATGAGTGAATATAAACGTCCTTTAAAAAAATTAAGTGATGATGGTCGCTTAACATTGTGAATGTAATTAATACCACTCACTTGTATGCATAGAAATAGTTAAACTGTCGAATTCATGTTTTATATACCTTACTGCAATAAAAACATTTTTAAAGTTAAGTTTCATTATTATGTGAGTTGAACGCACATAGGCATGCAGTATTTTGTCAAATAGAGGCTGTAAATGTGAATGCTTCAGAAAACTTTGTATCCAGCCTTGGGAAGATGGGCTACAATGTTTTGTCAGTTGCTCTGGTACTACTGTTCAAATTACCCAGCAGTCTTGCGACGGTATGTCTGCTAATTAGGGTGACCAATGGTCCCAGTTTGCCCAGGACTGTAAGGATTCTCCAGTTGGAGGATTTTTAGTGCTAAAATTGAGAAAGTCCTAGGAAATCAGTAAAATTGGTCACTCTAGCACCGACCCTAAACTATTAGGTCAAACACTTTACCCAATCCCCCAAACAGTTCCCTGCCTCAAAAGACCTGTTTTAAACCATTTTTGCTCAGACTCCCCAAATCCTATAAATATCACCCCCAACCTTCTCCTTCTGAGACTGCCAAGCTTCTGTCAAAGTGTGGCCTCCCTTACTGTAGTAGATTTAATAAATTTAGCTTTCCTTGATTAACAGGCTATTCTGGTGTCTTAGGGAGATGGCAGTTGTTTTATGTATGCTGTATTGTTGTTTATCCTATTTTGTTTGTTTGTGGAAATGACAATTATTTAAGGATAGGAAGTAATTACCTTATAATTACCACAAAACACCCACTGTATCAATGTACATTCAGATGCTACTGACTAATGGTTTTACTATTGAGAAATGCATACAAGGTAAAACTAATATGCAGTTGATGTCATCTTGAATAGGGGAGAGGGCCATGAAAATGAAGGAGTTGTTTTACCTCAAACTGCAAATGACTGCATAATTTGATGATAAGCTTTTAAAAATGTATTTAGGTTACAAAGGAATCTTCTAATTGATCTAAGTCTGGCAGAGTTCATTTTCCTTTCTCTTGGTGTTTAATGGTTGAGCTACAGCTGGGAGCTACTTTCTGTATATGCTCTCATCTCTTCAGGTGGATGGAAAGAGAGGGAAAGAGATGTGGTGGGGAATGCAGCAGTGTGGAGGGGGAGACAAGGTTAAATATCCTCTGGGGGTTGAAGCTCCGCATATAGGGAACCAGACCTGAGAAGGAAAGATGTGGGAGGAAGAATAGAAATAAAGGAATATGAGATGAATTAAACTAAAGCAGGGCTAAAATCTTTACTTGGTGAAATTTTCTACTCTGTCTGCAAAGGGAAGAACTATTAATCAACAAGATATTGAGAAAATAGCCCTAATGTCCTAATGCCTTCTTCTAGTTGACTGTGAAATAGTACACGCTTATTCTTAGAAGTCCCCAGTACAAATTTCTTGTGATACCTGGTCAAAATTCTCTTCTTAGTTTATCAAGTTTCCAGTAATACTCAAGAAGTGTGTTAACTACTTTGAGAGATTTTTCACAGCTTGGCCAAGCTTCTGTGTCAAACCCTTTGCAAGATACTTCTAGCAGGGCTTGGCCATGTAAGTTATAAACTATAGCTATTTCAAATTTGTAAGAATCAGTCCTAAGAAGATACATTTTTCTTTTTCATGTGAGTACAATGCTCACAAAAATAAGTAATAAAACTCTACAGAAATATATTGGCATTGGGAAATAGTAAGCAAATTATAACGCCTTCTTTAAACAATCAATCAAACAACATACTAATAACCAACCAAACAGAAACTAGGATGAAGGTTAAAGACAGAACAACTCTGAGGTGAAATTGAAGCAGATGAGCAGAAACAGATTCTGTGCAAACATCACTTCCTCTGTAAATCTTTCCCTCTCCTATTTCCCCTTCCCCACACCCTCTAAACCCTATGCACAGTTTCATCATTGGTGTAACATTTCATCACCAATTTTGTTTATGTATTCCATATGATCCACCAGCCTTAACTAGTGTGATAGTTGTCTATGGACTCTGTTCTACTAAAAGCCCTTATGAGTGGGTGCCACCATGGTGATAGTCTCAGAGAGTGATTCAAGACAGCTTGAACCCATGTGACTCCATCTCTCATTTACCACTGACTTCATTTGCATATGCTGTTTTTCTAATGATATTATTATCATCAACTTGGGGTAGGAGGCTACTGAAAGGCCCCAGGAGTGATATAAATGCATTTCAACCTCTTAAAAATTAAAAAAAAATTTTGTGAGTACATCGTAGGTGTATATATTTATGGGTTACATGAGATTATTTTGATATAGGCATGCAATGTGTAATAATCCCATCAGAGTAAATAGAGCATACATCCACTGAAGCATTCATCCTTCGTGTTACAAACAATGCAATTATACTCTTTTAGTTATTTTAAAATGTACAATTAAATTATTTTTGACTATAGTCACCCTGTTGTGCTAGCAAAGACTAGGTCTTATTCATTCTTTCTTACTGTTTTTTGTCTGCATTAACCATCCCCACTCTCCTCCCCCACCTGCCCCCACTACTCTTCACAGCTTTTAGTAGCCATCCTTCTACTTTCTATCTCCATGAGTTCAATTGTTTTATTTATTTATTTTTTAAAGTAGAGACAGGCTCTCATTATGTTGCCCAGGTGGGTCTTGAGATCCTGGGCTCAACTGATCAGCTTGCCTTGGCCTTTCAAAGTGCTGGGATTACAGGCGTGAGCCACTGTGCCTGGTCTCAATTGCTTTAATTTGCAGCTCCCACAAATAAGTGAGAACATGCAAAGTTGGTCTTTCTGTACTTGGCTTACTTTACTTAACATAATGACCTTCATTTTCATCCATGTTGTTGCAAAATGCAAGCTCTCATTCTTTTTTTATGGCTGGATAGCACTCTGTGGTGTATATGTACCACATTTTCTTTATCCATTCATCTGTTGATGAACATTTAGGTTGCTTCCAAATCTTGGCTATTGTGAATAGTGTTGCAATAAACATGGGAGTGCAGATATCTCTTCAATATACTGATTTCCTTTCTTTTGAGTATATACCTAGGAGTGGGATTGCTGACTCCCATGGTAGCTCTATTTTTAATTTTTTGAGGAACCTCCAAACTGTTCTCCATAGTGGTGGTACTAATTTACATTTCCACCAACAGTGTACAAGGGTTCCCTTTTCTCCATATCTTCTCCAGCATTTGTTATTGCCCTTTCAACCTCTTTTAGTCTCATTTAGTGATGTCTTTCTGTGCTTTTTGCTCACTTCATTTTTTGTGGTTGCAAGAATGTAAATATTTGATGTATTCCCTCTCCTAATTTTGACTTTTCATCACAAGGTCTTGATGGCTTATACATATTCCCGTGAATCCATCAACTTCATGCATTCTTATTTCTATTAACTCACTTAACTCACCCAGATAGATTTATTCTTTTCCAGTAGAATAGACACATCTGATTAATAATGCACCTTTAATAATCTGAGATTTATCTTTATTTTTACAAACTCTGCCATGTTTATTTTATATCAGGATTATTGCTAGCTGTCTCAAATGGGTTGGATAGCATTTCAGTCCTTGAACAGTTTATATAGCATGGAAAATACTGTCTGTAAAAGTCTGACTGCACTTTTCAGTAATATTCATTGGCCCTAGAACTATTTTTTGAGATAGTTCTTTAATAACACTCGTTTGGTTTATTCTTGCTTGTAATATTAATACTTAAGTCTGTTTTGGCAATTTTTATTTACTAAGAAGCCAGTTTACCTCATTAGGATTAAAAAGCATTCAGATATATCCCTTCTTTCATTCCTAATTTTATTCTTTTGAGTTTTTCTTTTTTATAGTGAAATTTTCAGCTTTTATAATTGATTGTATGATTTTATTATTGGTTTTCCCCTCTCCTTCCAACTATCTTTGGATTTATCAGTTTTGTTTGTCTATGTGGCAGTTACTAGATTGTGCATTATTTTTCATTATTTTGTTTTTTCTGTTTTCCTGTTTGTTTGATCTTTTCTCTAACTTTATTAATTGGACAGTTGGTTTAACATTTTATCATTTCTTCTTAATAATGAAATCATAGAAACTGATTAATTTACCACTGCATCCTGAAAGTGCAATATTTTTACTCTTTGCTATTTAGATTTTTTATTTGATCCAGTAGAGATTATAGGAGAGAGTGTATGTGATATTTTAATGACCAAGTAGTAAACATTTTGTTAGATCAGTCCTTAAAATTTTTACCAATATGATGGCTGCAATGGACTTTTATTATTGTAATTTTCATTTCCCTGGTTAATAATGAGGTTGAGTATCTTTTAATATATTTATTGTTTTTTTGTTTTTATCCTCAGTTTTTATGTTTTGTATAGTTTTTTATTTGTTGCTTATCTTTTACTATTGATTGTAGAATTTCTATTTACTTTATACAGCAATCATTTGTTTATGTACATTAAGTATATTCTTCCAATTTTTGGCTAGTCTATTTTATTTGTATACATATTTTTATTTTTTCTTATTTTTATTTTTTATTTTTTTGGACAGAGTCTTGCTCTGTCATCTAGGCAGGAGTGCAGTGGTGCAGTCTCAGCTCAATGCAATCTGTGCCTCCCAGGTTCAAGTGATTGTCCTGCCTCAGCCTCCCAAGTAGCTGGGATTGCAGGTGTGTGCCACCACACCAGACTAATTTTTGTATATTTAGTAGAGATGGAGTTTCACCATGTTGGCCAGGCTGGTCTCAAACTCCTGAGCTCCACCCACCTTGGCCTCCCAAAGTGCTGGGATTACAGGCGTGAACCATCACACCCCACCATATTTTATTTATATTTACTTTTATTGTAAAGACATTTTAAATTTTAACATAGCTAAATTTATCAGTCTTTTCCTTTACAGTTTGGGGGGGTGTGTATGCATATATGGGTGTGTGTGTGCATATGTGTATTCTTTAAGAAAAATATGCCTGCATATTCCTATTAGAATCTTAATTAAAATTGGATTAAATTTATAGAATAATTTGGGTAGAATCAAGTTACAATATTGAGTTATTCCACCCAAATGTATTACAAATTATCCCAGTACCAATTATTGATAGGCCGTCCTTTAATGACTGCTCAGCAGTGCCTCATCTGTCAACATGAGGCTTTCTTGTATGTGTAGTCTAGCTCTGACTTCTCTGCCTTTCTTGTCTCAATTTCATACTATCTTAGTTACTATAGCTTTATAAGTCTTCATATTTGGAAGGACAATCTCTCCAATTTGCTCTTTTATTTTACTTTTTAAAATTGTCTTGGCTATTCCTATTTCCCTGTACATTTTAGAATTAGCTTGTCGAGTTTTACTAAAAAACACTCATGAATGGTAATTAGCATTTTATTGCATTTATAGGATAACTTGGGGAATAATTGACTTTTTATATAATATTGAATTTTTAATTCTATTTATGGACACTAAAACTGTGCCTGATTTAATTTTATACAAGCAATGCTACAGGGAACCCCATTGTGTTTGTCTCCTTGTTCCCGTGTGTGACATCCTCCAGGGCACAGCTCCCAATTTGCACGTCAATAGAAAAATGTGAAAAAAAATTACATTAATTGACAAAAGTAAGTCACAGAAGGAAATGGATGGTAAGGTAGTATTTAGGTCCAACTTAATGTCTTTCAATACAGCTTTATAATTTTATCCATACAGTTTGCATATCTTTTATTGGATTTTCTATAATAGGATTGGCTATGTGTAGCAGAGACTCAAAATACCAGTGATTTAAATAAAACAAATCTATTTTACGCTACATTAAAGTTTTGAATGAAGTAAATTCTTCACTTGTCTCCTGTGATATTGTGACATGTATGTTTGATTTTCCACCTCCAGTTTCTTGGCATACAACTAAAATCCTTGGAATAAGTGTCTTTTTGAATGCTAATGAGATGACTGGTGGCTGGTAGCCCCTTGGGTAGCTTCAGGTTAGGTGCTGGTCACTGGAAAGACCAAGGCAGGAATAGAAGGTTGGAACTTTCTTCTCCACCCCATAACCTCCACAAAGGAGGGAGGGGCTGAAGGTAAAGTTGATCAATGGTCAATAATTTAATCAATCACGCCTATGTTTCTTTCCTTCCTTCCTTCCTTTCTTCCTTCCTTCCTTCCTCTTTCTTTCCTTCCTTCATTTTTTTCTTTCTTTCTTTCTTTCTTTCTTTCTTTCTTTCTTTCTTTCTTTCTTTCTTTCTTTCTTCTTTCTTTCTTTCCTTCTTTCTTTCTTTCTCTCGCTTTCTCACTTTCTCACTTTCTCTCTCTTTCTCTCTTTCTTTCAGATGGACTCTTACTCTGTTGTCCAGCCTGGAGTGCAGTGGTGCCATCTCGGCTTACTGCAACCTCCGCCTCCTGGGTTCAAGCGATTCTCGTGCCTTAGCCTCCTGAGTAGGGATTACAGGTGCACATCACCATACCTGCCTAATTTTTGTATTTTTAGTGGAGATGGGGTTTCACCATGTTGGCCAGGCTAGTCTTGAACTCCTGACCTCAGGCAATCAACTCACCTCGGGCTCCCAGAGTGCTGGGATAACAGGCATGAGCCACCACACCCAGCTGTAATTAAACTTTCATAAAATCTCTAATGGACAGGGTTTGGAGAGCTTCTGAATAGCTAAACATGACGAAGTTCCTAGAGGGTGGCACCCCCAGAGAGGGCAGGAAAGCGCCACGCCCCTTCCCACATGTCTTTCTCCATGCATGTCTTCATCTGTATCCCTTGTAATATTCTTTAAAATAAACTAATAAAAGTAAATATTTCCCTGGGTTATAACGAGCTGTTTTAGAAAATGTGTCAAACTCGAGGAGGTGGTTGTGGGAACCTGGATTCATAGCCAGTGGGTTAGACGCACAGGTAAAACAACCCAGAGCTTGCGGTTGGCATGAGAAATGGGGAGTAGTCTTATGGAACGGAGCCCTAAGCCTATGGGATCTGATGCTATCTCCAGATGTTGTCAGAATTGAAATGGAGGACACTCAGCTTGTATCTGCTGAAGAACTGATGGATTGGTTGATGGTTGTCGGTGGGGAGAAATCTCCAGATACTTCTTGGTGACCAGGGGTCACAGAAGTCTTTTTTTTTTTTCTGAGTCAGGGTCTTACTCTGTCCCCCATACTGGAGTGCAGTAGTGCAAACATGGCTTACTTCAGCCTCAACCTCCTGGGTTCAAGTGATCCTCCCACCTCGGCCTCCTGAGTAGCTGGGATCACAGGTATATGCCATCATTCTTGGCTAAGTTTTAAAATTTTTGTAGCAACTGGTTCTTGCTACATTGCCCAGGCTGTTCTCAAACTCCTGGGCTCAAGCAATCCTCCTGCCTTGGTCTCCCAAATTGCTGGGATTATAGATGTGAGCCATCACTCCAGCCAACATAACAATTTTGAAAATTTCTATTGTGAGAATAGTCTGTTCTTTAATCAAAGATTTTCTGAACAAGAGGAATATCAACATAACAGAACAAAAAATGATCCTAGGAACTGAATTGGAATCTTAATCTCTTGATGATGAAATGAAGGGAGACAAAGGTTAGGTCAGAAAGGCTTTTTTTGAAACAATCTATAGCTTGCTCTCTGTAAAAAGGTACAATCCTTGACTCTTTTATTGAAGAATAATAAGATACAAATCGTGTTCAAGATCTTCTCACGCTCTTGAAGATGGAAAATATTTGGAGTTAGTTGATTTCTCTCCCCTCACCATTCCCTTTGCTAGCGTAGATTCAAAGACAGTCTTTACAGCAGCTGGAGAAAACTTGTACAAAAATATGCTTAACCATGACAACATTAACACACTTTGTTTTTTTAAGATCACACTTTTCAAAAAAGGTCAAGTAATATTTTATCTTTAATTATTTATGATAAATTTTCTTTATTTTAATTAAATGTTTAGGCTACTATTTTTAAAGCTTTATTATTTGTTAATAATTCATATTTGAATAATAATACAGTTTTAACATTTATTTTTAATTTACCTTTTTACTTACTAGGTTTATAAATTTATAGTTTTTTTGTATTTAAAAATACCATTTTTCTAAGATAAGAAAGGAAAATATCAGTTTTGTATTTGAAATATTTATTTTGTATTTGTATGTATCATTTCATATTTGGAAATATAATAATTTTATATTTGAAAATATAAACATGCATCATTTTGTATTTGAAAATGTAAATATACAGCACTGAAAACAATGTACTTTCCTGCCTCTATGCTGATCAATTCTAGACCAAATCATACTTTCTTGTTTTTGACTAAGCAATAGTGGGGCAAGTCTAATATAGCTTAACTGCCTATAGTGGAAATAGTGGCTCCTGGAAGTCGACTGTAAACCAACTAAAATAGCTTATGTAGAAAGTGAAAGTTCCTCTTCAAAGTTTCCCTTCTTGTTAAAGAATAAATCATAAGTTTAAAAATAATAGTTTCTTATAAAAACTAACTTCCTTCAAGCCTCCTTGCTTTGTGCTAATAACTCTTTGTTAAGCCCGATCCTATGTAGCTGTTAAAAATGCTCACAGGGACGTAGTACATTATATACCCTTGTACCTTAACAAATATATTTGTGCTGGACATGCTCACAGGCACGTTCCAGCTCGCAGCCTATGCCCCTTCCCTATTTGGCATAAGCAACTTCGTCTTTTCCTTTGTCTTTCCGTTACTTTTACCTATTTAGAAAAGTTTTAAACTGTTAGCCAATTGGGTTTTAATTTAGATTGTGAGGTCTGGCTCCAGCCAATGGAGACAGGACACAGTAGCAGGGACAAACTGTGTAAGGGATAAAAATTTCTTCCCTCCTTTGTTCAGGTATCCTCTCACCATTGTTCCATCTGTGGTGAGCACCCTTTCTGCAGAAAATAAAAATGGCTTTGCTGAGACAATTAAATTTATGTTCAAGTGCTATTTCTTTGGAGCACCAGGGAACAAGCATTCTGTTTCTAAATAAACATTTTACATATAACACTTATCAAGAACTTGCCTCATTATCCTAGTCTCACTGTTTGATTATCCAAAGCTGTTATGCCATGAATTCTACCCAAGCCCAACCAGTTTCCTGCTCTCAAGACCTACCTTAAAATCATCTTGCCCAGACCCTCAAATACTGTGAGTAATCCTGTCTTGATTTTCCTCATCTGAGACCCTACTCAGACTATCAAGTTTGTGTCCTTTGTTATTTTAGGAAACCTAATAAACTTAGTTTTGATTGATCAACAGGTTTTTCTGGTGTTCTTTTTGGGACCTAAAAACATAAAAAAATTTGTTTGCACAGTACTGTTTTATCAATACTGCTGTTGGTGTTTTTCATATTTGAATGTTGGTATTTTTTTCCTTGTGAGTTCATCATTGGTAAAGATGGTTTTTTTTTCCTGAGAGAGTTTCATTTGTCCTGGATTTAGGACAAATGAAAATTGCCCTGAGCTGTGAAAGTGTCTCCAGAGAGTGGGTTTCGTTTTTCATTGAGTTTCAATAGATCAGCACCAGTTTTTCTCTTTTTTTTTAAAACTGAAGTATAACATATAATATGCATATTTACTAAAGTATAAAATGTAATATCCATATGGAAAAGGACAATATAAATGTAGAGCTTAATGCATTTTCACAAAGTGAACACTGTTCTGTGACTTGCACCTACATCAAGAAATAGAATATCACCAGCTCCTCAGAAGCCCCACTGAGATTCCCTTCAGCCAATACCACCTTCACACTGCACAAGAGTAATCACCATACTGCCTTTGAACATTGTCGATCATGTGGTTTTCTGAATAGCTTCATTCATTCCACATTGAACTTGTGAGGTTCATCTGTATTTGTGTGTGGTGGTGTTGATCATCATTCTCATAGCTGTATAATATTTCAATATGGGAAGGTACTATAATTTATTTACCTGGATTAATTTTAATATTTTTCTTAGGTTTTGATTCTTAATCTAAACAGGTCTTTCTATTTTTCTAGGTGGGTTTTATTTTCTTCCAAGTTTCTGAGCAGCTCACAAACTAATTTATATCCTCCTAGTGCTCTTGGAAGAATTCCCCATTTTTCATGAGTGGGATAAACTGATATTCTAGATATTATGCAAGAGGTTCACTTCTACTCCCTTGCTTCACACAGGCCTGAAGTTATATCTCCTGTTCTGTAAGGGACATACTTGATATGTATTAGTTAATAACTATTTTCTCTCCATTGTGAATTTTTATTTTTCTTATTGTAATATTACCCCATTTATTCCATTTAATTCTTTTTGATTTAAACTCTACCTGAATTAATATTTCCCTGTTGGCTTTTGTGATAGACTGAATGTTTGTGTCTTCACAGAATTTATATGTTGAAATCCTAATCTCCAATATGATGGTATTAGGAGGTCGGGCCTTTAGAAGGTGATTAGGTCATGAGGGTTAGGCCCTTATAAATGGAATTAGTGCCCTTATGACAAAGACCTTAGAGAGCTCCCCCATCCCTTCTGAAAAGATGGCTATCTCAATCAAGAAGTTGTCTCTCCCCAGACACTGAATCTGCTGTTACCTTGATCTTGGACTTCTCAGCCTTTAGAACTGGGAAATAAACATTGATTATTTAAGCTACCCAGTATATTGTGGTTTGTTATAGCAGTCCAAACAGATTATGACAGCTTTCTGTTTGTGTTTACAAATTGGATCTTCCATTCCTTTATTTTTATGTTTTTTTGGTTTTATTTTACTTTAGATTTGTCTCTCAAGCAGCACATGGTTGGTTCTTACTCTTTAACTAGTATTTGCCTTTCATTATGAGATTTTATACCTTTTGTGTTTGAGGTTGTAATTGCTACATGTAATCACTAGTTTTTGCTAAGCTTCATATTTTTTATGTATCCTTGCTCTTTCTTTTGTTTTTGATATTTTGCTACATAAGTTTAAGTTTAATTTACTTTTGTCTTCTCCAATAACTTGGAAGGAACTCTGAAACTTTAAATTCTTGAATAGTTTTTGTAAGTTGTGTTTTAATGAAAATAACATTTAGCTCATATTTCTCTAATTGTCAAAATAAAAACAAAATGGTATATTTTGATCTTTTTCTTCCTACTCTTTGTGAGGATAATATGGGTTTAGAACCAGATGCCACGAAATTACTGACTTGACATGATGCAGTGTATCGGCAGGGGTAGGACGTGTTACTGTTCACAATATTTGTGTCGCCTGCTCACAGGAGAATTACACATGCTTGCCCTATTGCTTGATCTCAGGCGTGGCCACATGACTTGCTTTGGCTAATGAAATTTTGAGCGGAAGCATCCATGTGGCACTACCGGCAGAGCTTCAGGAGCCTGCACATACTCTGCCATACTCTTGCCCACAGGTCACTGTGATTGCTACTTTCTAGATGGTTTCTGTTCCCTCAGCTGGGTGCTGCTGCACTAAGTGTCTCTATTATGAACAGAGCCGTCCTGCTGATCAGCCATCGACATATGCCACAAACAAGAAAAATTAACCTCTGTTTTTATGGGCCACTAAGATTTTAGGATTACTTGTTACCTCAGCCTTACTTAGCTTCCCCTGCCTGATATGATGATATTTGGAGAAGCCTGACAAGAGCTTATGAATGAGTTTGCTAACAGAAAATTAATATGGTAAAATCTACTCACAATGTGGTGACCTATCTATTTTAGTAACCAAGCAAGAGATTGTAGATGTGTTTCTGGAATGTCCAAGAACTGTGTGGAGCAAAGCCATTTTACTTTCCAGGACAGAAATTAGTGGTACCTTCAAGAGACAGAGTTACAGAGGCCCTTGCAAACCAAGTATTCAATAATTAAGAGTTTTGTCTGTACCCTGAAGGCAGTGGGAATCTGCTGTATGGTCTTAATCATTCATTTATTCATTCAACAAACATTTATCAAACAATGATTATGTGCTCATTACTATTTTTAGTCATGGGGCACCTGCTGTGAGCAAAACAGAGTTCCTGCTCAAATTAGTTTTCTTTCTTTTTTTTTAATTCATTTTTTCTTTTTGGGAGGCTCAAGTGATCCTCGCATCTCAACGTCCTGAGTAGCTGGGACCACAGGTGCATGCCACCATACCTGGCTAATTTTTTTTTTTTTTTTGGTATGTTTTGTAGAGGCGGGGTTTTGCCACGTTGCTCAGGCTGGTCTTAAACTCCTGGAATCAAGTGATCCTCCTGCCTTGGCCTCTCATAGTGCTGGGATTAAAGGTGTGAGCCACCATGCCTGGCCTTCAAATGAAATTTCTTTGTGGCAAAATGGCAAGCTATGTCTCTGACACTGTGGTAATACCCGCACAGCCAACTCAATAGCTTCAGACCGGACTCTCCTTGCTTATTGTCTTAAAAGTTACTATGGGTAACGTTTGAACAACAGTTGGCATAATTCATGTCCCAAGTATGTATGTAGCTATGTGCAAAACATGTCACACAGTCAGCCTGAACAAATGATATCTGAATCATATGACCCAATTTTCTAGTTTAAACAAAAATAGTATAGGCTTGAAATTTATCTATGATTCAAATAAATGTTGGGGGTTTTGATGTGGGAAATTTAAATACATTTTGTAGTAGATTTTGTGCTCCTTGCTCTGACATCGTAGCTTCTTGAGTCAGCAAAAGAGAAAGGTTAATAAAGGTGGCACTGTCCAAAAAAAAAATCACTGAAAATTTTTGGATAAAACAATACTGTCAAGATGAATTATTCCAAAATGCAGTTTTTAAAAACTGCATTTAAAGAAAGTGAACAGAGGAGGGAGCTGTAGGTAGAATTTTAACCACATGCATACCACTATCTTTATATTAGAGATTTCTGATATATGCTAATATAAATGTACACATTACTAAAAAATTATATTACACATAAAAATTGTATGCTTATGTATCTGTGAATTGGAGATGTTTGCTTGCAGGTTAAAAAAAGAATGTTATAAGGTTGATTCTAGGTTTGTTATTAAGGATACCTGTGTTCACAAATGATGTCCCTTTTTTTAAATTCTTTTTTTTGTGAGGTCATTTTTTAATTTAATTTAATTTTAATTTTAATTTTGAGACCGGGTCTTGTTCTGTTATCCAGGCTGTAGTGCAGTGGTGTGATCATGGCTCACTGCAGCCTTGACTTCCTGGGCTCAGGCAATCCTCCCACCTCAGCCTCTTGAGTAGCTGGGACTATAGGCAAGTGCCACCATGTCCAGCTAGTTAAATTTTTTTTTTTAAGAGATGGGGTCTCTCTATGTTGCTTAGGCTGGTCTTGAGCTTCTGGGCTCATGCAGTCCTCCCACCTCAGCCTCCCAAAGTGCTGCGATTATAAATGTGAGCTACATGCCTAGCCAAGGTCACTCTTTCATAAGTAAACCATGTTTCTCAGGTTACACCAATCAAGTGGGCAAAGTGAATTAATAATAACAATTTTAAAAAAGAAAGATTTCTTGGCTCTGCCACTATCACTTTGCATGAACGCTTGTCTCCTCCTTGATATTCCTGCTACAAATATCTCTTCCCCCGTAGCCTTTGTTATTCACCTCCTCCTTCACCTTGGTTTGCCGTGGTGCCATCTTCGTCTTCTGTATGAAACACCTAGGTAAAGCTCAGTGAAGTTGCCTTCATTACTGCTGCTGGGAGAGGTCTACACTGACACTTCCCTGCCATATTGATACAAGTGGTACTAATATTAATATTAATATTGGTGCCAAGGGTCTCTTGCCACTGCCAATATTGCTGGTATGGTATCCACTAACTATGCAAAATATTGTCAACAGTGCTGCTTATATACAGCTCCTTTATCCTCTGCTCATTTTTCATCCTAAATAGATCTCTTTAGTTTTATTTCCATCAGGCCTTAAAATATGCCCAGTCTTGCCTGTATAAAGGCTGTTTAGAATCAAGCTTGGATCTTACAAAGATTTTAGGACAATTGTATTGCCATTTTTTGCAAAAGCCAGAGAGGGAGGGGGGACCCCTATTACTGTGTATATCTGAGATAATATAATCTGGTTTGAACTTGTTCATGGAGCTGAAGATAAATGTATCTTCAGCAACCATTCATTGAATAACCTATTCTCTATTATTATTTTTCTGTTCAGATACATAAACAGATCTGTGCTATATTGCTGTCTGGTCTCACATCAATTCTATTCTATACATATGAACAAGTTCAATTTAGGCAATGTTTATTTCTAGAGGTAATTTTTTCCCTTTGGCATGTGTATATAAAAACTTTCCACTGCTGTAAACCCTTCCTTCCTTCCTTTCATCCTTTTTTCCCCTTCCTTCCTTCTTTCCTTCCTTCCTTCCTTCCTTTCATCCTTTTTTCCCCTTCCTTCCTTCTTTTGTTCCTTCCTTCCTTCCTTCCTTCCTTCCTCCCTCCCTCCCTCCCTCCCTCCCTCCCTCCCTCCCTCCCTGTTTTCCTTCCTTCTTCTCTTTCAACAATTTTCCATGGGTCTGTCATGTTTCTGTATGTCTTGTGAGGAAAGGCGTTGGGCCATCTTTGTTCTGGACTGTTTTCTCAAGGATGTTTGTTAGCAAAGAGCCTTGGAAGATGGAGGTAGTGTCTTCCTCTGGAGAAAAAAAAGCAAGGTTATTTACTGCCCAGTATCATAAAGAATGATTTTCTTCGGGGCGAAAAGTTCAAGCAGGCTTACTGCCCATCATAAAAGATTTGGGTTTCCCAAGCTCAAGGATCCTCAGCTGTGAGGCAAACCCACTGCGTGAGCAGCATCCACTTGGAGCCCTCTGGCTTGCCTGGCAGAGGTAGAGGCAAGGGGAACTGGCATGAAACATGATCCTTAGGCTACTTGCTGTGCCTTGGTCTTTGACCCAGGAGTCTTGGGTCTTCTGCCAGCATCTGTGGAACTGTGGCAGGCTGATTTATTAGCTTACAAGTAAGGTAAAACCTCAGACCCTTCACAGTTTCTGATTCTGTCTTCCCAGCATTAAGATTCCTTTTGAAGAATACCAAGTCCATATGAAAGACTTTATAAATAATAATGCATAAGTACAGATTCGTTAGTGTAGGCTGTTTAATTGTTGACTGATTTCTGATGGAAAAGTCTGACAAGATGTTCACAGCTCATATTTTCTGAGAGTTTCAGTTTTTGACAGATTGATCTTTTAAAATATTAGGTTGTTGAAGTTCTTATTTTCTTATTAATCTCCTATTAATGTTAAACTTCATTGGGACTTTATCTTCCTAAAATACATATATAACTCGTAAAGTTACTCACAGTATTTCAAATATTTGAAGCCACCCATGATAGTCTATTTTATCTCCCTGAGTCTCCTGTATGAGCTAAAATTTCTCCAATTGCTTTAAGTGGTGTGGTTTTGAGTCTGATCACCATTCTATACTTTCCTCTGAAAAAGTTTCACTACAAAATGTGGCATCTCATTTTTCTTTTCCTTCTTTCCTTTCCTTTCCTCCTTTCTTCTTTTCTGTTCTCTTTTCCTTCCTTCCTCTCTCTTTCTTTCTCTCTCCTTCCTTCCTTTCTTTCTTTCTGCTTCTTTCTTTCTTTCTTTCTTTCTTTCTTTCTTTCTTTCTTTCTTTCTCCTTCTCCTTCCTTCCTTCCCCTTCCTTCCTTCCTTTTCTTTTCTTTTCCTTTCTCTTTCTCTCTTTCTTTATTTCTCTTTCTCTTTCTGTCTCTTTCTCTCTCTCTCACTTTCTTTCTTTTCTTTCTTTCTTTCTTTCTTTTTCCTTCTTTCTTTCTTTCTTTCTCTTTCTTTCTCTCTTTCTTTCTTTCTTTCTTTCTTTCTTTCTTTCTTTCTTTCTTTCTTTCTTTCTTTCTCTCTTTCTTTCTTTCTTTCTTTTCCCCTCTGTCTCTCTTTTTCCTTTCTTGACAGTATCTCACTCTGTCACCCAGGCTAGAGTGCAGTGGCATGATCATAGCTCACTGGACCCAAGAACTTCTGGGCTCAAATGATCTTCTTGCCCCAGCCTCCTGAGTAGCTGGGACTACAGGTGCATGCCACTATGCCCAGCTAATTTTTAAAATTTTTTGAAGAGATGGGGGCCTTGTTTTGTTGCCCAGGCTGGTCTCGAACTCCTGGGCTCAAGTGATCCTCTTATCTCGGCCTCCCAAAGTGCTGGGATTACAGGTATAAGCCACTGTGGCCAGTCCCATATTTCTATACACTAGCAATGTATGGTTGTAAATGGAAAAAATATTAATAACTATACAATTTATAATAGTTCCCTGTCCCCTCAAAAAGAAAGAATTTAAGTATAACTCTAACTTAAAAGTATCCAGGATATGTATGCTGAGCACTAAAGAAAACACTACCTGCCTGGGCAACATGGTGAAACCCCGTCTCTACCAAAAATACAAAAATTAGCCAAGCGTAGTGGTGCACGCCTGTAGTCCCGGCTACTCAGGATGCTGAGATAGGGAGATGGTTTGAGTTTGGGAGGCTAAGGTTGCAGTGAGCTGTGATTGTGTCATTGCACTCCAGCCTTGGTGACACAGCCAGACCCTGTCTCAAAGAAAAAATAAAAATAAAAAACACTAAAGAACAAAACAAAAATGAAAGACCTAAATAAATAAATGAAGAGTGATAACTCTGTTCATGGATTGAAAGACTTAATTAACATATCAATCATTCCCTAATTGATATATAGATTTTAATAAATTCAAATAAAAATCCAAGCAGGATATTCTGTAGAAACAGACAAGCTTGTTTTAAAGTTACATAAAAAGACAAAGGAACTGTAATAGCCAAAACAATTTTGAAGAAAAAAAAAGTTTGAGGAAGTACCATATTTGATTTTAAGACTTCTGATGAAGTCACAGTAATCAAGGCAGTATGATATTTGTGAAACAGTAGGCCCGTAGATCAGTGAAACAGAATAGAGCCCAAAAGTAGGTGCATAATGAGATAGTTAATTGACTTTGACAAAGGTGCAAAAGCAATTCAATGAAGAGTATTTTCTTTCAACAAATGATGTTGGAATAATTGCACATCCATATCCAAAAAAGTCCTAATTTTTATACCTTATACCAAAGTTAACTTGAAGTAGATTGTAGATCTAAATGTAAAATTATAAAGGTTTTAGAAGTAAATATAGAAGAAAATCTGGTTGACCTTGGGTTTGGCAAAAAGTTATTAGATATGACATCAAAAGCATAATCTCCAAAAAACATTGATAAATGGGGCTTCATACAAATTAAAAACATTTGCTCTGCAAAAGACACCATTAGGAGAATAAGACAAGCTACAGACTGGGAAAAAAATTCACAAATCATAGATATAATAAAACAATGTATCCAGAATATATTTAAAAAACTCCCAAAATTCAATGATAAGAAAACAAATGCCAATTAAAAAATGGGCAAGTAATTTGAACAGTCATTGAATAAGACATATAGATGGCAAATAAGTATGTGAAAGATGCTCAACATCATTAGCCATTAGGGAAATGCAAATTAAAACCACAATTAATGAATTGAAAACCATCCCAAACAATACCAAGTGCTAGGAAGTGGAGTAACTGGAACTCTCATATATTACTGTTGGAAATGCAAAATACAAGATAGAAAATAGTTTGTCAGTTTCTTATAAATTGAAACATACATTTACAATATGACCCAGAAATTTTATACCTATGTATTTATCCCAGAGCAATGAAAACTTATGTTCACACACAAAACTGTACAAAGAGGTTTATAGCAGTTTTATTATTTTATTGCCAAATACTGGGCAGAACCCAAATGCCTTTCAGTGGGTGAATGTATAAACTGTGTTATACCCATATAATAGAATACAACGTCACAATAAAAAGGAATGAACTATTGATGCACACACATGAGTAAATCTCAGAAGCATTATGCTGAGTGAAAGAAGCCAGTCTCAAAAGGTTATACTGTATGATTGAATCAAAATGACATTCTGCACAAGGCAAAACTATCAGAACAGAGAACAGACCAGTGGTTGACAGGGTGTAGGAGTCTGGGAAGTGCTTGACCACAAATGGGTAGCATGAGGGAATTTTTTTGGGATAATGGAATTGTTCAGTATCTTGGTTGTGAAGATGTTGACATAAGTCTATACTGGTCTTAAAACTCATAGATCTGCACTCCAAAAATAGCCTCCCAAATCAACACCCATAATTCCCCAATGATCACCCTCTATATACATTTGTGTAACATATATATATATATATATATATATATACACACACATATACATAAATGTATATATGCATACATATCTTGATTATATTGGTGAGTTATGCTTAGATGTATGCATTTGTCAAAACTCATCAACCCTTAAAATGAGTGTGTTTAATTGTATGTAAATTGTACCTTAATACAATTTTTTAAATTTTTTAATAAAAATTGATTGAAAATGTGGTCCCAGAACAGAAGAGAACATGCTGCTTTGGTACTAATTAGCATTAGTTAGAACTGGACTGTTCTCTACTTTGCTATATGCTCTATGGAATTTCATGAATTTGATTAATAAATTATGCAAAAATATTTATTGAGCAACCACAGTGTGCAAGGTCCTGTGCTTTGAGTGCTATCAGAACTAGAGATGGTTTCTGCTTTTTGAAATATATTCACATAACCGTAATAGAAATAGTCTGTGTATGTCATATGGAAATAAAACACACAATACAAATTAGGGGTGCTGTGCTTTTTTTTGCCTTACTTATGAGGTTAATAAACTCTTTGAATATCAGCAGCAATTACTAGCAAGTG
This sequence comes from Homo sapiens, assembly GCF_000001405.40. Taxonomy (NCBI): domain Eukaryota; kingdom Metazoa; phylum Chordata; class Mammalia; order Primates; family Hominidae; genus Homo; species Homo sapiens. The sequence continues at coordinate 63,760,762 of NC_000012.12, read as the reverse complement.
CATACAACTTTTTAAGAAATTAATTGTACTAATTCAACTAAACACAACTAAGTGTCATTTAAAGACACTTAAAGAGATTGAAGTGAAAGCAAGTGACAGAAGTTGTAAGCTCGTTTTTTTTTCTGGCAGTGATGACCTCCCCAGGAGAGCATGCCTCTTGGGAAGGCTCTCCTTCATTGTTCTCCAGAAATGGAGAGAAAGCAAGACAAGAAGCAGGGCCTGGTGCAGAGCCTCAATTCCTACTTCATGGATGTGAAATGCCCAGGATGCCATAAGATCAGCATGATTGTTAGCCATGCACAAATAGTAGTTTTGTGGGTCGTCTGCTCCACTGTCCTCTGTCAGCAAACAGGAGGAAAAGCAAGGCTTACAGAAGAATGTTCCTTCAGATGGAAGCAACACTAAAAGCACCATGAATCAAGATAAATAGGAAACCATCCCCATACACACATTTTGGATATAAAAACTAATAAAAATAAAGAAAATGTAAGCTTGTAAGATTACTTGGTATGTAAGAGCTTCTGAACCCATGCATCTCTTTCAGGGGAAAAAAATTGGATTCTGTTAATGTGGACACTGACTACCTTCAACAAACATTTTTTCACATTAACTGTAGGTAACTTTGTTAGGTGAGGTCAGTGTTGTTGAAACTGATGGGGTTTTGAGTCCACAAAGAAGAGCTGGTTCTTGTACCCAAAACACATATTATGCATGTTTTACTAAAAATATGTTTTGTGCAATTGCTGGTGTACTGGAAAATAGATGCTGTGAACTGGAGCAAAGGGAACTTGCTGTGAATTTAAGAGGAAGAATGATGATGTACCAGAATTCATCACAGGAAAAATATGATGGGTAAAATCTTTTGCAGGATTTGTTCTGCTTATGTTGCCTTCTTAGGAAGGCATTTTGATAACAATCAGTTTTGCATTAGAATGTGTATTAATCTTGAGATGTTCAACCTCTTTAAAACTAAACTTTCACTGTGTTTCTTGAGGAACAGATTTTAAACTTGTGAATTTTCCTTTTGTTGACAGCAAGATGACTTGAAAGAGAAACAAAAATTGGTGATTTTTCTAGGAAGAAATGAAAAATACTTCATTGAAATTGTAATAAAAAATTAAATTCTCCTTAACTCTTCTATGAAGAAATGGCTCTAAGGAGTTGATATCTGGGTTTCTGAGCCATTTTACTTTATTATGAATATAAACTACTTGAGATACAGAATCTTCAGCTGGATGTCAACATGATGAAACAGTCAACTTTACAATAGAAAAGACTAGGATGAGAGAGTTCTTTAAATGACTTGTTTAAAGTCACAAGGTAGTTTGTAGCAGAATTCATGCTAAAATTTAGAAGCCTCTTTGTCTAATCTGTCTACTCCCACTATGTTACATTGACTTTCTCTATATTTATACACAAAAAGACACAAAAACTCACATGTAATCCATTGTCACACAAAGTCAAACATATATAAAGCCTTACCCAGAATATTGACCTTGTAATTGTAATTTTCATAAAATCAAACGAATTTCTACATTTTTTGATAAAGGATATTGGATAGGAGAGTGTAAATACATTTATTGTTTTGTTTTGTTTTTTTGAGACAGAGTCTCGCTCTGTTGCCCAGGCTGGAATGCAATGGCATGATCTCAGCTCACTGCAATCTCTACCTCTTGGGTTCAAGCGATTCTCCTTGCCTCAGCCTCCGAAGTAGCTGGGATTACAGGTACCCACTAGCATGCCCGGCTAATTTTTGTGTTTTTAGTAGAGATGGGGTTCGTCATGTTGGCCAGGTTGGTCTCGAACTTCTGACCTCAGGTGATCCGCCCACCTCAGCCTCCCAAAGTGCTGGGATTACAGGCATGAGGCACCATGCCCGGCCAATATACTTATTGTTATGCAATAATTCTAACATTTAACAAATAAGTTGTATCCTTCATGGATTTTAGGTGGACACTTGCAGATAAAGATTTCTACCATCTCCCTGGTTCACTGAGTGCTGTAAGAACCAGGTGCCCCAGCTGGAAAGCCTTGGTTTCAGACATGTCTGATTGTGGTAGGCAGAATTAAAGCCCCCAAGAACACTCTGTAGCCCCTAATCCCTGGCAGCATGAATATATTATCTTACATGGCAAAGGGAACTTTGCAGATATAAATAGAGTTACTAATTATTTAATCTTAAAATAAGGAGATTCTTGGATTTTCTGGGTAGACCCAATGTATTCACATGAACCCTCAAACCAGAAGAATAAGGCAGAAGAAGAAGGCAGGAAGTTAGAGAGATGTAACAGAAGACATCCGATTGATTTGAAATGTAAGAAGGAATTGAATGTTGCTGGCTTTGAAGGAGCGGAGCATAACCCCAAGGACAATTGGCAACTTCCAGAAGCTGAAAATGAGCCCTGGCCCACAGCCAGCAAGGCAACAGGACCCACCATACTGGCAATCTGAATAAGCATGGAAGCAGGGTCTCCCCCAGAGCCTCCAGATAAGAGTCCAGACCAGCCAGCACTTTGATGACCTCTGACCAGAGGACCCAGCTGAGCCTCCCCTGGAATTCTGACCTGTAGAACTGTGAGATAATGCTTGGGTGTTGCCGTAAGCCACTTCATTTGTGGTAATTCGTTAAAGCAGCAATAGTGAAGGAATATACTATTCATGTATGGAAGCTGGAAGGATGGACCACCAGGGGTGTCATGACTAAGATGCTTCCTGGGGACGCACTGGGCTTAAGAGAAGAGAGAGCTGGGGTACTTAGGGTTTTCCTTTACAGTGTGGCAGTATCAGAAGACAGAGACAATTTTGAGTGTCCAGCTTTGTGTATCTACTCAAATTGCTAGTCAGGTCAGTGCCTTTCACTCACGCTGAAGGCTTTATCTTCAATAAAGAGGGAATCTAAAAATCCTGAGCTGTTACACAAAAAGGTACTTAAGACTTTTGAAACTATCAGATGCTATATATATATACATATATAGCATGTAACAGAGCTTAGCAAAAAACTGAGTTAAGGTTACTTTCCTCACAGGAAGGTTTCTACTGAAGCATATTGGAACCCACATGTTCAAAATGGCTTGGACAGTAAAAGAGCCACTTCAGAGAAGACACGGTAGAGGACCCTCAGTTTTAGAGGACTGTGTTTCTAAAGCAACCTCAGTAGCTTTAGAATTGCAGTGTTTTTATGCTGCTGACTTTTACTTAAATTGTATAATTTACTCAGATAGTTTAAACTACTTACCTAAGATCACTGAACAAGGTAGAATCAAAACTTATATCTCCAGCTTTAAAATATATAACCTGATTGTAGACTGTGGTCTATTCCCTATTCTAATAAAAGAGTGCTGAAATTCAGCATTACCTAAAAATGGTAGATCTTGGAACACATATTTGGTCTAAACTGGCTCTTTTTAATTTTTTTAAAATTTTATTTAAAAAATTGAGGCAGGGTCTTGCCATATTGCCTAGGTTGGTCTTGAACTCCTGGGCTCAAGCAATTTTCCTGCCTTGGCCTCCAAAAGTGCGAGGATTACAGAAGTGAGCCACCAGGCCTGGTTTAAACTGGCTCTTTTGATTCAAAATGTTGTATTCCCCAAGGGTGATATAAGTTAGCTTAAAATTATTTATATGTTGAACTTGGGGCTGCAGAAATTTCTTTTACCAGAAGTAAGAGGCATTAAATAGACTTTGAAAAAGCCTACAAAGTCCTGAGAAAAAGATCTCCAAGTTAAATATGGCCTCTATGGAAATGATTAATGAAGTTTTCTTGGCTAGGTTGTGATCATATGTATGTAAACTTGCCTAATCCTTGTTTTATTGTTGCAGATTACTTTTGCCAAAAATTGCCAAATAAAAAGTGTTTATATTGGAGCTATGACTGCATATAAATGAAGGAGTTTTCTAAAAGGTAGTGTCAAATGGAAGATTTGGGATTACAAGAATGATTCTAGAGGGGTGGGAGTGAGGTGGAAATGGCGTAAGAAAAGTGGGAAGATGAGGAAATCATGGAGTATTTGGAAAGTAGGGAAGCACCCTGACTGGATTGCAGAGTTTATGCTGGAAGAAATGAAAGTTTATACTGGGGTTGACCTAGATTGTTAGTTAAGATTCACTATGTCTTATGGATCCAGCAATGTCTTCAGAACAACAGAGATCTCACCTACAGGGGAGCTTCCGTGAGGCCACATAAAGGGTGTTCCAAAATCAAGACTGCCACCAACACCTCTGCTGCCACTGTGCTTTTGCTTCTGGCACCCAGCAAACCAAAGAATGAATATTCAAAACTCCTAACAGGGAACCAGCTGAAACATAGTCATTTCCAAGATGATATTTGCTTGCAAAGACTGCTAAAGAACTGACTGGAAGATGACCTGTGATTAGTTTCTGCTCTTTAAATCTTACCCGTTAGGCATAGGATACATGCAGAATGTTAGCTGAAGGCAGTGAGTGTAACATTTTTAGCTTTTCAATTTCTCGAACTACAAGACAAGTTGATAAGACTCTGTGAATCAGTCCACAATTTCCATCACATTTGGGTAGGTCATGAAAGTCTGGGACCATAAAACTAAGGAATTTAACATAATCTTGGAAAGAAAAAAGCTCATATATATTATTGAGTGCTTACCATATTCCAGAAACAGCTCAAACCACTTTTATATATAGTGTCTTGTTCAATTTTCTCAAAAATCCTATGAGGAATTATCCCCAACTTACAAATGAGGAAACTGAGGCACAGAGAGGTTAAATTATTTGACAAAGGTCATAGAGCTAGCAGCTTGAGCTCATGAACCCCTGTTCTTAAATACCATGGTATACTGCTCCTTGGGGGCAGAATCAAGGTAGCATTCCTCAAGGTGGTAATGCATCAATTAAGTGTTAAAGCATGAATAGTGGTTTTCCAGGCAAAGAGAGAAAAGCACTTTCTAGGGAAAGGTATGAAGGTGGGATGGAGCAGGACTCATTCAGCAAATTGCTGTTGGTTTTATTCGGCTGCTGTGTAGGGTATGAGATGAAGTACCAAGAGATGGCATTAGAGAGGTAATCATGGAATAGATCCTAATAGGCCTTCGGTTCCCAGCTAAGACATTTGAATTAAACTAATCAGATTTTCATTTTGAAAGATTCATTTTATTAAACTATGAAATATAAGTTAGATGGAGGCATGGCAATACTTATTTAGGAATTGCTGTAGTCCAGATGAGAAATGATGAGACTGAAAAAATAAGAGGACATGAGAAAAATTTAGGTGGTAGGATCACAGGTACATAGCAACCAACGGATGTGGAGGGAGGAGTGTGGGATTATTTCTAGATTTCTGATAGTAGTACCATTCACTGGGCCATAGAAGTGGGAGGAGGTAGGTTCCATTTTGTACATACTGAAACGGAAGTATCTGGGGGATACGAGTGGAAATTGTTGGTAGACTTTAGGCTCTAGCTACTCGAAGTGAAAAGTAGAACCAGAAACATTCTGGCTGTAAAACCCCATGCTCTGGACAACCCCAGGAAGAAAATAAATCTTCCTTCAGGCCATCTGTGGCTTAAATGGAAGTTATCAGGTTAACATTGTGAGGCATACTTCACTCCTTTTCATGTGGATGAAGGGAGATATTCATTATCCTTTTGAAGAACTGTGAGAGTTAAACAGAGTTATTAGTTTTTAGTGGATGAGGAACTAGTTTCTTACATTCTTGGGGAATCTTTTTCTGTACTCTGTTTTGCTTGAATGAGAACTAACCTTTACTAACTAGTCTGGGGCAGCCATCCCAAGTCTGTCACTTACAGTGTTTTCTAAAAGAAGATAATTTTCCTCCCACATCCTTTACCAAACAATAGGGTTAGGGTCATGTGTAGCTGGTGTTTTGTTGACCACTACACGAACTAGATGGAATTGGCATTCAGCTGCTGATAATAATAGAGAACTGACTGTAGTGGCTTAAACATGGAAACATTTGTTCTTTCATGTAAAGGAAGTTCAGAAACAGACATTCCTTCATGGTGTTGGTGAGGCAGCATCATGTCTTTGGCCAAACTTGGTCACAAAACCTATCCTAGCTGCAAAGAAGGCTGCGAAATGTAGTGTTTTAGTTGGGCACATTTTGAATAAAATCAGAAGAAAGAATAAATATTAATTAGATAACAGTCCCTGCCACAAAATGATCCCAAAGATCAGCAGTCCTTATGGTAAGGTGTAGATGAATCAATGACTAAGACAGAGATAACAAGTAATATGAATTTTAAACAAAAAATAATTTTTTTTTGCATTTGATAACTCCTTTTCCCTAAAACTTAGGTTATTACTCCAGGTATCTGTAAACTCTTGTCCACAAATGAACTTCACAGGATGTTTGGAACTCTTGGAAGTTTTTTGGAAATTTTTGATCTCTGGCAATGTGTGTAATTTTTAGGGAGAAGGTTCATAACATTTCTCAGGTTCTCAAAGGTATCCATGAATCTCCAAAAGGATAAGAACTACTGGCCTAGAACATAAAATCCAAGCAAGCACATCAGCTCTTCATATTCAGATCCCAAAATACTTTCTCTGGTTCCATTTCCTTATATGCCTGTGATCCAGCTACACAAAAAATAATATGCATTTTGATTGTGGCATATACTTTTAGTCCTCTGTCTCTCAGTTTAAAATTCTGTCTGCCAATTCTCCATTTAGGGAATGCCTACTTGAACTCTAAAAATTGTCAAAATATCATCTCTTTTGAGAAAACCTTCCTTAACTCCTTTTATAGAATTGTCCTATCTTCTTGGGTTTTAGAGCAGAGATAATGTTTAAGGAAACAGTACTGGAGACAAGGCTGCCACCAGTAGAGGGCCAGATGGAGGAGGTATGGGGATGGATATGGAGCAGATGGAAAAGAAATTAGGTATGGATGCAGAATCAGGTCTATCCTTGACAGTACAGAACTCTGGCTTCTAGCAAAATGGGACTGAGTGTGGCTTATGTGGCTAAAACCTGCCAGTGTGATGATTTTTTAAACCTATTTTCCATTTGGGAATTCTTTTTTTTTTTTTTTTTTTTTTTTGAGATGGAGTCTTGCTCTGTCACCCAGGCTGGAGTACAGTGGTGCGATCTTGGCTCAATGCAACCTCTGCCACCTGGGTTCAAGCTATTCTCCTGCTTTAGCATCCTGAGTAGCTGGGATTACAGGTGCAGGTCACCATGCCCGGCTAATTTTTGTATTTTTAGTAGAGACAAGGTTTTGCCGTGTTGGCCAGACTGGTCTCAAACTCCTGACCTCAAGTGATCCACCTGCTTCGGCCTCCCAAATGTTGGGATTACAGGCATGAGCCACCACGCCCAGCCTTTTGGGAATTCTTAATCCATTCTACCAAGATCCTATATTTGAAACCATGATAATAGTAATAATCTCTTATGCCTAAGCATTAAAAGTAATTATGTTCAAGATTCTCTTGAAAGCATTACAAGAGAGACAAAGATAATAAAACCTAATACATTCTTAAGAAGCTTAGAGTGTAATGGAGGAGGACCTCAATTAAGTATGTAAAAAACTACCATACAAGACAGAATGTAATGAACAACATTAGGTGAAAGTTCAAACAAAGTAAAATGGGGCCATAACAGGAAAAAACATCATATCCGAGAGTTAGGATCATGAAAATTTTTGTGGAGAAAGTAATAAATGTGATGGACTTCCAAGAATGAGCCACATATAGAGGTCTGATGTTTTGGAAGATGAGCCAGCATAAGCACAAATAGTGAGAGAAAGTGGATTTTTTTTGCCCAATTGTGAGTCATCTAGTTTGGTTGAATTATAGAATATGAGTGGAGGAACAGTGGAATCAAGCTGGAAAAGTTGATTGGGTCACATTTTGGAGGAGTTCGAATCATAACAGTGAGGAATTTGTACTTCATCTTGAAAGTAATTTTTAAAGAAAATTATAGTAGACATTTGTCTTTCATTTTGGCTGCCTAGTACTTGAACCCTTTCCTCTTTGGGGAATTCTCCTCCTTATGAATCTTGGTGAAGGGTAAAGACCTATAGCTCATATAAATACTCAATATTTGCTTTCCCAGTCTCCTTGCAGTGAAGGGTCAGCTATGTGACCTAGGCTGTACCACATGACCCCAGACCTAGTCTCAGAAACTAGTGCCCCAGGAAGGCAGGGTCAGAAGTTTTCTTTCATCTGGCAGGATCAGTACCGGGGGTTTCAAGGTCAAGTTTCTAATGCAGACATGGATGTGAAATGACTGTGGCAGTGGATGAAGTATAAATGAGCTCCTGGTGCAGACACTGGCAGTGGTAGGAAGTGTTGCATCCTGGCTCTGTGGTGGGGGCAGCTGTTTCCTGCTGTCAGTTCTGCAAAGGTCGGGTATTGTTGCTGGCAGGTTTGCTTTGAGTCCTCTCATAGTTACTATCAACTGACCAATATCCTTAAGTTTTTTTTTTTCAGACAGTTTCAAATTCACAAAAGTGGAGATCAGATTCAGATTTGATTTTTGACAAGAGCACTTCAGAGGTGGTACTTCTGATTGCAACAGGTCAGGAGGCATATAATGGCCAGCTGTTTCTCTTTTTGTGTTGTTAAGGTTGATCAAGTGGGTTCAGGTATTATCAACCTGGTCCATCTAGTATAACTGTCCAGTCAGCCTTTTTCCTAGTAGTATTGGTTGGCATTAGACTTTTTTTTTGAGAGAGAGTCTTGCTCTTGTCACCCAGGCTGGAGTGCAATGTCGCAATCTCGGCTCACTGCAACCTCTGTCTCCTGGGTTCAAGCGATTCTCCTGCCTGAGCCTCCTGAGTAGCTGGGATTACAGGTGCCCACCACCACGTTCAGCTAATTTTGTATTTTCAGTAGAGATGGGGTTTCACCGCATTGGCCAGGCTGGTCTTGAACTCCGGACCTCAGGTGATCCGCCCACCTTGGCCTCCCAAAATGCTGGGATTACAGGCGTGAGCCACACTGCACCCGGACTCAGTTGGCATTAGAGAATGGCATGGGATAGGATAGGGAATAAAATTAATTCAAGGACAGAAGATTTATGGGAACAACTTACTCCTGTTCATTCCATGTTTTTCCCTGTGACAGCTTTCCTCACCTCTTTGGCCTTAGACCTAGTGGACCTGCCTTTGACTCCCATGGTGTCAGGGTGAACAAGCCATCTTAGAAGTTTATAACTGCAAACCATAAGCAATTGAGTATGCATATGTTTGTTGGACTTACAACAAAAATGCTCTACATGTAGCAGGTGTTCAGAGAAGGTTAGCTGTTATTGTCACACACTATTTTAAATCCTATGTTTGTTTGTTTATTTATTTATTTTTTGAGACAGTTTCACTGTTGTTGCCCAGGCTGGAGTGCAATGGCGTGATCTCGGCTCGCCACAACCTCTGCCTTCCGGGTTCAAGCGGTTCTCCTGCCTCAGCCTCCTCAGTAGCTGGGATTACAGGCATGCGCCACCACGCCCAGCTAATTTTATATATATATATGTGTGTATATATATATATACACATATATATATGTGTATATATATATATACACACATATATATATACATATATATATACACATATATACGTATATATATGTATATATACACACACACACACACACACACACACACACACACACACACACACACGTATATAGTATTTAGTAGAGACGGAGTTTCTCCATGTTGGTCAGGCTGGTCTTGAACTCCCAACCTCAGGTGATTTGCCCGCCCCTGACTCCCAAAGTGTTGGGATTACAGGCATGAGCCACTGCGCCTGGCCAAAATCCTGTTTTTAAACTTCATTTGGTAACAAAAATAGTTTCTCATGTTATAACTAATGCTTTGTAAATTGTTTTATGCTATAGATATCCAAAAATGGGTATGTGGATATCCATTTTGAGGATGTGCCATAATTTATTTAACCTCTCCTTATTTTTAGGTATTTAAATAATCTAAAGTTACACTATAGTGTGTATTTGTATAGTTCAGCTTTCTAACCTAGAATTCTCATAGTGTTTAGCAGCCAGGCTCATCTTCTGTGTACAGGGCATTCTGTCCATAAGACAGTACTTTTCTTAGGTAAAAATCACCTAATCTTCTGAAGTGCAATCCAATGGTAGGAATTTGTCAATAAAAATTTTCAAGCAGCTAAAAATGATGCTGTTCAATCCAAGCACTAAAGTCACTGTATTGAACTTACAAGAAAGTGCACTGGTGCTTTTTCAGAGACTATTTATTCTTCTCTTACGTGTAACTAATCCAGTTTTTCAACTGATTTCCCAACTCTTAAAAAATAAGGGATGGGAAACTGGAAGGCAATTTGAGGAAAGATATTAGATGGAGGCACAGTGGAAAGTGAAAGGAGTAACTGACAGGTTGACAGTGATAAAGGATAAGGAAAAATTATAAATTCAGATGGAAGAACACAAAGGCACAAGACTCTAAGCGATATGATGTGCTTTCATAGAGATTTACACAGTCAGTCTCCCCAGTCATCGAATTACAGCCTGGAACAGCAACAAATATTCTTAACCATGACTTTGACATTTTAAAAAATGTTTAATATTTTTCTGTTTAAAATAAGGGCACTCCTGGTGCGATGCTCATGGTTTTAATCTCAGCACTTTGGAAGGATGAGGTGGGAAGATTGCTTGAGCCCAAGAGCTCGAGAGCAGCCTGGGCAACATAGTGAGACTCTGTCTCTACAAAAAGCTTTTGAAAATTGGCTGGACACAGTGGCGTGAACCTGTAGTCTCAGCTACTTGGGAGGCCGAGGAGGGACGATCGCTTGAGCCTGGGACATTGAGGCTGCAGTGAGCCATGATTGCAACCCTCACTCCAGCCTGGGTGATAGAGAAATACTCTGTCTCAAAAAACAAAACAAAAAACAAAACAACAACAAACCAAGGGCAGTCTGTAAAGCTATAGTGTATAGTGGTAAAGAGCCTAGGCTCTGGATCCCAGTCTACTGAGCAATGTCACTTATTTGAGACTGACCTTAGGCATGTACTTAAAGTCTCTAATATTTATTCTTACCTATGAATTTAAAAAGTAACATTACCTACCTCATGCGGTTGTGCAAAGATTAAATTCGGTAATGCATTTGAAGCACTTAGCAATGAGCCTGGATAATAAGCACTCAGTAAATTATCGCTATTAAAATCAATAGTTGTAATATAAAATTCTCTTAAAAAAGTTTTATTAGAAATTATTTTAAAACGATAAAAGGTATCATTAGAAAAATTAATGTAATGAAATTATTTTTTTCTTGATGATATTGTGTTGGTGAGGCATTAGAGTCGATAAATACTAGTTGATTAATTTAACTTAATTAATCTTTTTTTTTGAGACAGAGTCTTGCTCTGTCACCCAGGCTGGAGTACAGTGCTGCCATATCGGCTCACTGCAACCTCCACTTCCCTGGTTCAAGCAATTCTCCTGCCTCAGCCTCCTGAGTAGCTGGGACTACAGGTGCATGCCACCACGCTAGGCTAATTTTTGTATTAGTAGAGATGGGATTTCACCATGTTGGCCAAGCTAATCTTGAACTCCTGACCTCAAATGATCTACCCACCTCGACCTCCCAAAGTGCTGGGATTACAGGTGTGAGCTGCTGCGCCTGGCCAGTTGATTTATTTAAATATCAGCGTCATGATTAAAGTCAGGCATCCTAATTAAAATTTTCTGACTCTTAAACATAAAGCTTTATGTTAATTTAACAAGCAAATTTAACAAATTTAACAATAGCTTCTTGTTGTTCATAGTAGAAAAACAAAACATTTGTTGGCATTTATTCTTATTGATTTATATGATATACAATACTAGAGGAGATCATTATTCTATTTGATCCAGCAACCCCATATTAATACTACATTCTTCCAGCCAGGAGATCAGGAGAGGAGTTGGTCCTAGCTCTGTCATTAGCTTTCTGTGAAATCCTGAGCAGGTCATTTGGGGTCTTGACCACTGTTTGCTTACCTGTTAAATGAGAACATAACTCAAATGCTCTTGCTGGCCTGAGAGCACAAACAAGGCCACATAATTCTGATGGCTCTTATCAGCCCTTGCTCCACCCAGGTTTCTCACCCTGCAGTCCCTGCAGCCTATTACTTCCGATATCCCTGGGTAGTGGAGTGGGGAGGCATCTCAAATGTTCTCTTCAAGTCTGATCTGGTTTCCCACAATCTCTTATTGCCAAGGTACCTTAGTACCACTTCTTTTGCCAATGCCCTTCCAGAGAGTGATGGCATCAAGGCCATTCATTGTTGATCTTGAGTCCTCAGAGTATCCCAAACTGCACTGAGCCCATGGTACAGTGAGGATCAGGCATGATCTCCACCAGTTCTGCTCGACATTTGTTAACCCAACACCAAACTTGCTCTCCTTACTCTCAGATACTCATGAAGTCATTCACAAAACTAGTTCTTTCAGCATCTATCCCCCAACAAAGTCTCAAAAACAGCTCTTTCAGCTATTGGCAGTTGATTGCCATCTCATTTCCCTCCTCCGTCTGGCTATTACGCCACCCCGGAACTTTAATCTTCCTCCCTGACCCTCCCACCCAAAGCAAAAACCAAATCCTTGCCTAGCAACCCATGGAAACATAGAATGATTCAAAAAGAATTGATTTCTTAAAAAAAAAAATGAGTAGGCCAGACGTGGTGGCTCATGCCTGTAATCCCAGCACTTTGGGAGGCCGAGGCGGGTAGATCATGAGGTCAGGAGATTGAGACCCCGTCTCTACTAACAATACAAAAAATTAGCCAGATGTGGTGGCGGGTGCCTGTTGTCCCAGCTGCTTGGGAGGCTTAGGCAGGAGAATGGCATGAACCTGGGAGGCGGAGGTTGCAGTGAGCCGAGATCGCGCCACTGTGCTCCAGCCTGGGCGACAGAGTGAGACTCCATATTAAAAAAAAAAAAAAAAAGTAATGAGGTTCTATATGTAGTCAATGAGGTTCTTTATGTGGTCAATACCAATTTATAAAGAAATTATAGCTGTCCCTCTATATCCATGAGAGACTGGCTCTAGCACCACCTGCAGATAACAAAATCCACAGATGCTCAAGCCTCTTATATAAAGTGGTATAGTATTTGCAGATAACCCACACACATCCTCCTGTACACTTTAAATAATCTCTAGATTACTTATATAATGCGTACACATCTCCTCATTCATGTGGATTCAACATAGTCCTCAGTGTGTGGCAAATTCAAATTTTGCCTTTTGGAACTTTGTGAAGTTTTTTCCCCCTAAATATTTTTGATCCATGGTTGGTTGAATCTACTGATGGGGAACCTATGGATATGGAGAGCCAACTGTATTTCTATTAATGTTTCCAGTTATTTCTATGATATTTAAGAGAACAAAAAATATTTTTATCATCTTTAAGCCTATTATGAGCCCCTCATGTCACATGGTACACAGCAATCCTGTAATCAAATTCATCCCAGGCCACATTCATCATCAATGATTAACATGCTGCCCATGATGCTACTTCATTTCCTGCAGGCTGCCAGAAAGAGGTGGTACAAACAAGAGTTTCCTGACATAACTCCATGTGCATAGGAATGTAAATTTAAAGCTAATCACTGAGAAATAAAAATTTTGAAATTGTTCAATTTTTAAAAATTCACTCTGTTCCTAGCACCACCAGCCAAATAGTCCTACCTTAATCCTACCCTAATCCTGTTTTACAGCCTGGACTCAGCTAGACCCTGCTACTAAAACATTAAACCAAAGGATATTGAGGATTCCTTTCCGCTCTGTATCACACGGTTATATACTAAAGGCACATAGTATTGCGAGGGCGATAAATACAAACAAAATTAAACAGAACAAAAGACAACAGTACTGAAGGAGCACAGAAAAGAAGAATGACATCAGGGAATGATTATTAGTCTTAGCTTTGGAACTGGAACTTGAAGAATGAGTAAGATTGGCTGGGTGGAGTTGAGATGATACGGTTTGGCTGTGTCCACACCTGAATCTCACCTTGAATTGTAATAATCCCCACGTGTCAAGGTTGGGGCCAGGTGGAGATAATTGAATCACGGGGGTGGTTTCCCCTATACTGTTCTCATGGTAGTGAATAAGTCTCGCGAGATCTGGTGGTTTTATAAACAGGAGTTCCTCCGCACACGCCCTTTTGCCTGCCGCCACGTGAGTCGTGCTTTTGCTCCTCCTTTGCCTTCTGCCATGATTGTGAGGCCTCCCCAGGCAGGTGAGACTGTGAGTCAATTAAACGTCTTTCCTTTATAAATTACTCAGTTTTGGGTATATCTTTTTTAGCAGTGTGAGAACAAACTAATACATGAGGTAAGGGCAACCCCCAGGAGAGAAAACCATAATAATGTTCTTTTGGAGAAGAACTCTCTCTCCTTTGTTTTTTGTGAGTCTTTCATAATTTTTCTTTTAGCAGTTTGTTTCCATCAATTACTTTAAATTTAATGCCATCTTCTCACGAACAAATTAGTATTACAAAGCAATTTATTGTCTGATCACTGAGCCAGTTATAACTAAATGCTACTGATTAACATGGATATTTGGTCCTTGCTTAATGTTATTTCAAAAATTAAATTTCCAACTTGTTGAACTGCCTATTCTCAGATCTTTTCATAGGAAATAATCTAGTGCCTTAAGCTGCTTGGACTATACAGGAGCCCATTAAAGTTGATTAAATTTTAATTTTTTTCTAATGAATCCTATTTATATTTATTCTCCCATCATACTGTTACTTATCAAATTAACTCTCTTCACTTGTCACTTTTTTTAATAGAAAAATGGAGCTTATTTTCTGTCCTTTTTAAAGCAAAACATCTAGATTTGTTTTCTGTAGCATGAGATTCATTCTAAGGTGAATTCCTTAGCCTATAAAGCAAGGTTTCTATTTCCTCCTCTTTTTTTTTTTTTTTTTTTTTTTTTTGAGACAGAGTCTTGCTCTGTCACCCTGGCTGGAGTGCAGTGGTGTGATCACGGCTCACTGCAGCCTTGACCTCCTGGGCTCTGGTGATCCTCTCACCTCGGCCTCCTGAATAGGTGGAACTACAGGCACGTGCCACAAAGCCCGGCTAATTTTTCTATTTTTTGTAGAGACAGGGTTTCTTCATGTTTCCTGGGCTGGTCTTGAAATCCTGGGCTCAAGTGATCAGTCAGTCTTGGCCTCCCAAAGTGCTAGGATTATAGGCATGAGCCACTATGCCCTGCCCATGGTTTCTACTTCTAAAACCACCAGAGAGACTTGTTAAAACATCATTTTAATCTACAAAACCAAGTTTTGGTTAGGACATATAGAACACTGAATGGAAAACTACATTAGGATTAACAAAACCTAGTCCTATATTAATTTTGCATCAGATTTGTATCATCCTGGATAAGCACATGGACCTCTGAATTGTGGTCTTTTCATTTCTATCATCATTCCTGTTATGTTTGTGGGAATGGTGGGAGGGTTAAAGCATTGTCAAAAGCCTTAGTTTATTCTTTGAATCTCTGTGGTGCTTTTGAAAACTATTGTTCAATCAACTTAATCTGGGATGAGGTAATATATACAGTAGTTCAATACTAGAAATCATTGCCTGGTGACCAGAGCCAGTGATTTTAGGTACATGAGTTTAAATATAATTTCAAATTTAAACTTTAATGTAACCAAGAAGGTATCTCTTTGTGAAATCTCCCCTACTATCCTAGAAATTTAATTTCTCCTTTCTAATTCTGTACCTTGTATAACTAATCTGGCACATATCTTGATATACTGTAATTTTTAGGGTCCACTATTGTACTGCACATTCCTTAAGGAAAAGGGCTGGACTTCATTTATTCTCAAGGGCAGCAGGGTGGAGAATGAGTAAGACACAGGCTCAAAAGCCAACCTGCTGGCTTTAAATCCAGGTTACACCACTGGCCGTCTCTGTGATCTTAATATCTCCCTCCCATAGTTTTCTCAGTTTTAAAATGAAGACATTAATAAAAGCATCTTGCTAGTTGGGATTAAAGAAATGAATATATGTCATTGGGGTCAATTCAAGTTTTATAGGCCTAAAGTTTAAACAATTTTGTAGAACTCCTTAAGAGAAAGAAAACAAAATTTAGTGTGGAAATAGATATATTTAAAGTGATGAAAGAACAAGTTACACACACAAAAAAAACACAGAATGTAGCAAGCTATCTTAAGAAAACTAAGAGCCTAATGTACCTCTATAATTTTTCCTTCTTTTTTGGCTATATGTTCTTTGATTGCATTTTCATACAAAAAGTTTACTATTGAGATAACACAAAGATTTTAATAGTTAGCATAGCTGATTGAAGTTTGTTTTTTATTAATCATTTGGAAACGTTTATCTCTGCTTTACAACTCATCAGTAGTGTCATACACATTTTTAGGATTATTGTCAAATTTGGGAAAGCCTCTATCAAGATATTATTTCTGGCCTGCAACTTCATGTTACAATGGCTGGTGAGTTTTCATGATGAGTGGTTGGAGCGTTCCTGGAGGTCAGTCCAACACTGAATGACTAAAAATAGCTTCTGCAAGACAGTGACTGCCAAACACAAATATTCTCTAGAACAGAAACTAAATATATGATGAATTTAATTTCCCCTTAACTGGATCTGCAAAATTCTTGTGGTAACTTCCATGCCACTCAACATGACATTTTGCAGAATTTTAGGATGTATTTGTTTAGGTGAACACATTGCTAAAACCTCTTCCAAAGTTTTGAAAGGGGCTGTGGAAATGAGGGGACCTGAACGTTAGCTTCATTAGCTTCATGGTAATCTGCCTGCTGCTTACTAAGAACTGTGTAACAAGTGACTATTCCAGCACAGTTAGCACAGCACACAAGCAGGGGCACACCAAAGACTCAAACTGCTAGAAAGACATCTTCCTTCTTCATCCTAGCTGAGAGTTAATTCCTCAGTGTGGAAGAAATTAAGACTGCTACCAGCCTTCCTTGAATTCCCTCCAAACCCATGTGAGTAAACTTCTGCATCATTTTCTCTGCTTAGCACTCTATTTTCTCACCAAACTGATGCCCTGTCAGGAGTTCCAGTTCATTTGGCTAGAGTGAGAACATCTGTTTAAATTATCTGTTGTTGCCTAACAAATGTCAAAGAAAAAAATTATTCGTGACACTCGGTAAAGCACAGTAAGGCAGACATTTTTCAGAACATCTTGGTAGGTGAAGGGATGGCACAGTGGGGTCCTGCAGTAGGGGAGAGACATTGTGCTCAACCTCAAACAACAAAAAAGTGGACATTTCTATCTAGAAAAAGCAGGGTGGGCTCAGTGGGTGGAAAATTACTAACTGGAAACATCAGGGGTAAGGGAAGATTCTGGCTGAACTGACCTAACAGGATTCTTGCTAAAGGCAGGCAGTGCTGATCAGACATCACCTGGGTGCTGGTGGAGGGGGAGGAAAATGATCAGGTATCGAAGGTGATCAGATACTGAGGATGGGGAATTCTGGCTAAATGGACTTGGCAGGATTCTTGTTAAAATTGCATTCTATAAGGAAGGACACCGGAGTCCAAGAAGAGACTGATGTAACTTTGATTCTTTGTCACAAAGTATCGAAAAACAGCTGCTTAAAACAACAATTTTATTGTTCATAATTCTGTGGGTTAGGAATTAGGTGGGGTTCACTGGGTATATCTCATCTCCCTTCCATGTGGTATCAGCTGGGGTCACACATGCTGTTGCATTCAGCTGAGAGCTCAGCTGGGGCTGCGACATTCAAGACGGCTTCACTCACATGGCACCTAGGCTAAGTGTGACTGGAATGGCTGAGGACTGGCTGGATCTCTTTCTCTCTGTCTCCTGGAAATCCATTATTTAACAGCACGACTCTTGCTTCCATGCTGGCTGGATCCTAACACAATGAAAATGGAAGCTGCCAGGTCTCTAAAAGGACAGACCCAAACTGGCACTGAGTATTGCGGCTACATTTTCTTGGCCAAAACAAGTCACAAGTGAGCCCAGATTCAAAGGGAAGAAAGATAGGTTCTACCTCTTGATGGGAGAGGCAACATGCATGTTGGTGGCCGTCTTTACAGACAATTTTCTACAATGTGTCCTCTGGCCACAACAATTCACGTCTCTCCGATAGGCAAAAGATACCCAACCTCCTTTCCTTCTCTCTACCTGCTAAAGCCTCATCTAGTTACCCATTAGACTTAAACTCCAGTCTGCATCCAGTCCTGATAGCTCTCTGTAGAGAATAAGAGACTTTGTAAAGAGAGAGACCATGCAGACTGGAAACAATGGATCCAGGTTGACAGCCAGCACCAAAGCCCCAGATGGATGAGCAAGACCATCTTGGACCCTCCAGCCCTAGTTGAGGGTCTCAGACAGCACCATGTGGAGTGGAGAAGAACCACCTCAACTGATCGCTGCTGGAATTTCTAACCCACAGAGTCATAAGTAATAAAATTATTGTTTTAGGCCACTAAATTTTTGGATATTATGCAGCAATAGCTAGCTGAAGCAATATTCGACTTAGACTTTATCTTCATTTATTTCTTGCTTCTTTTATTACCGTAGGATTTGCCTTGGATTCACCTTTTGTCATTAAGCCTTGACATTGAGTTTCCATTCCTCCACCTCATGTTCCTTAAGCTTGTTTGCCCCAGATTCCTCATTCTCCGTATCAGTGTCTGTGGCCAAAATCATCAAATGTTTCATGCCTCCCTTCCATACAACAAAGGTCATTGGATTTGTGATTAGGAACTTATAAGTCTCCATTTCCATGACAGATATGTGGATAAGAGCCAGGTTGTGAGATTGAGGAGTGGTGAAAAAAACCCAAAAATAGCCTGTGTAAACTTTACAAAGTTTGAGAATAAAAGGAGAGTAGGGGATGGGGAGATAGGTTAAGGGGGATAGGGATGGGGCTAAAAGAGGAAAAAAGAAATAAATAGAAATTATATAAATAAAAATAGATGTGTATATAGATATTTACACATCTATATACCTGTACCTGTCTATACTTGTACCTGTCTCTGTATCTACATCTATATCTTTATTCCAGGCCAAGATGTGACTATTTGAAGACCTGAAGTAGTTCTGAAAAGATTTAGGAAATATAAATCCAAGGTGTCTAAAATCTCACAAGATTACCAAGGATGATGATTGAGAAAGCATAGAGAGCAAAGTTATGAGTCAGAAATACAAACTTCTTGTGGAAAATGACTGAAACAAATCCTTCATACAGTATCATATTTCATGACAAAATTAGATTAAGAAAATCCCATCACATGCAGAGGAAAATAACTGTGACTTGCTAGCTTCTCTATCTTCAAATAAGCTTATGCTGAAGATAGAAAATCAAGGAAGCAGACAAAATGTTGAAAATTCCATAAGAGACTGCACGACAAAGCTGGCATATGAGGCCGTTGTGATCTTATATTTACTAATATTACTGTTCTAACAAGCTCCTCAGTGCGATATTCTGAAACATTACCATCTGGCAGAAATCAAAAGTAAATGTCTCAAAATTCACTACATACCCTGAAAGAGAATTTAAAGAGACAATTATATATTCAGTATCTTCAAATCCATGGAAATACCTGTTACACTGAATTGGTTCTAGGATATGGTACAACAATGAATTTTGTGAGGATTAAAAATGCCTTCATGGGATGGAAGATTATCATATCTCTACTTCCAATGCAAATGAGAGACTAGTTCCTAAATCACATACTATAGTATCACTATTTTGCATATACTCATGAAATAGTACTTCCAGAGACAGAAAATCAAGTTGCCCTAAAAATGACATCACGAAGGGCTCACTCGTATAAAAATGGCTGCAATAGCCTGACAGCCTTACCACAAAAGGTTACCTCAGGCAAGAAAATGATATATGTGATCATTTTACCAAATGTTTTGTCATGACATAATGAGTTGCCATTTTTCTGTTTCCTGTAACACTTTCCTTGCCCCCTCCCCTACCTACATGGTTTTTGTTCCATCAACACCTCACTTCTAGGTACCAGTAATTGAGTCAGTTTTTGCTGTGGTAACGCTGCAGAAAAACAAGCTAAATGTATTTATTTTCACAATACATGTGGCTTCAGGCTGCAGATGACTGAGGGCTGGCTCTATGTGTCTTCTCTTCTTAGTTTGGGACTTGGTCGAAAGAGCCACCTCTCACTGCACATGCTGTTCTATCATGGCAGAAGATGGGAACAGCAAGCTGTGATGAATCAAGCAATTGTGCTTAAAGTTTTTGTGCAGAATTGGCACATTGCTACTTCTGCTCACATCCTGTTGGCCAACGTGTGTCATAATATCACATGGCCAACCCCCAAAATCAAGGAGGTGAAGAGAAATACTCCTTTCATAGTGACCACCTTACACGACAAAGGGCGGGGGTGGGATATTCTATTACAAAGAGGGGCTGGGCGTGGTGGCTCACACCTGTAATCCCAGCACATTGGGAGGCCGAGGCAGGTGGATCACTTGAGGTCAGGAGTTCAAAACCAGCCTGGTCAACATGGTGAAACCCCATCTCTACTAAAAATACAGAAATTAGCTGGGCGTGGTGGTACACACCTATAATCTCGCTACTCTGGAGGCTGAGGCACGAGAATCGGTTGAGCCTGGGAGGCAGAGTTTGCAGTGAGCTGAGATTGTGCCACTGCACTTCAGCCTAGATGACAGAGTGTGACTCTGTCTCAAACAAAAACCAAACCAAAGGAAAAGAAAACCCCAAAATCAAACAGGGAGCAAGGAGTTGGAAACAATTATCTAATCTATTGTCACTTCAAAATAGTTCCTTATTTCAGGGTGACATTAGTTCATTCATTCATGAATTCAACACTTATTGAGTACCAAATATATACTGGATATTGCTCTTAGTGCTTGGACTACATCAGCAGACAAAACAGACAAAGCCTTCTCTCATGAGGTTTATATTCTAGCTGATATTTCTAAATAGAATATTGGAACCTACACTTCAGGTTTGCTTGCTATTGTCCATGAAGTTAGGTTTGGTGGTGATCTTTCACTTGCTGTTGGACTGCTCTTTTTTTTGTTTTGTTTTAAAATGATTCTACCTCTGCCTCAGCAATGCTATTTATGAACATTTTGAAGTAGGAAGTGATGCCAGATTATAATTACATGGGTTTATATATGTGAATTCTCTAAAATGTTGCCAGATGATGTTATGTAAAAATGTTAAGTATAAATTGGGAGCTGAAATAATGCCCAGAGAAATATTTGTTATCCACACTAACCAAAATTTTGAAAAAGCGTACAAAATATTATTAGAATGAAGAAGATCTAGCATTCGATAGCACAACAGGGTGACTATAGTCAATAATAATTTATTGTACATTTAAAAATAAAAGAGTAAAACTGGATTGTAACACAAAGGATAAATGCTTCAGGGGATGAGTACTCCATTTCCCTGATGTGATTATTACACATTGCATGCCTGTGTCAAAATATCTCATGTACCCCATAAATATGTACACCTATGTACCTACAAAAATTAAAAATTAAAAGAGTAACAAAACAGAGGAAGGAAAGAAACAGAAGACACCATCTGAAAAGGCAGAGATCCAGCATACAGAGAAGATGGGGAGTTAGACTTTCTATGTCCCTTCCTAAGTCATACGTTCACTCATGATTCAGTTATTTATCCAGTGCTTCTTTCGCATCTCCTACTATGTTCCCTGTTCTCTCGTAGGTGCTGGGAATACAGTAGTATGCAAAAGGGACAAATCTTGACTTCATGAAGCCTATGTTTTAGCGGAGGGAGAAAACAAGTAATTAAGTAAAATACGTAAGATGCCAGATGATGCAGCAGTTTGGAAAGTAAAGGTCATTGTCAAAATGGTGAGAAGAGTCTAATTAACTTAATGTAGTTAATAAAGAGCTTAATAAAGGTTAGTAATTAATAAAACAGTGCTTAAAGCACAAGGGATATGCTATGCCCTGGAGCTAGTAACAGGGAGGAGCTCTTAACACCTGAAAGTAAGGAGAGGGAGAAGTTACTCAGAGAAGGGAGCTGAAGGGAGAGAGCTGCTTGATAGGGAGTGTGGTCCTCACAAAAGGGAGGCAACCAGCTGGCCATGGTGGCTTACACCTGTAATCCTAGAACTTTGGGAGTCCAAGGCAGATGGATCACCTGAGGTCAGGAGTTCAAGACCAGCCTGGCCAGCATGGTGAAACCCCGTCTCTGCTAAAAAAAAAAAAAAAAAGGCACAAAAATAATTAGCTGGGCATGGTGGCACGCGCCTGTAGTCCCAGCTACTCAGGAGGCTGAGGTAGGAGAATCACTTGAACCCGGAAGGCAGAGGTTGCAGTGAGCCGAGATCACGCCACCGCCTCCAGCCTGGGCGACAGAGCAAGGCTCCATCTCAAAAAAAAAAAAAAAAAAAAAAAAGAGGGAGGCAGCTAACACACCGGGACTTGGCAGGAGCGGAGCTGGGAGAATAAATTCCCAACCTCTTTCTCTTCCCTCCTTGGATCTCGTTCTGCTGCCTTTTATTGGTCAAACCCGACAGGAAGCGGAAGGACAGCAGAGCTTGTTGATGGAGAGCATCCGGTCAGCCTCCTGGTACACGTGGCAGGGCTGAGACGGTGGCAAGTGAATATGGGGCTGGGGCTGGAAGACATCCGGGGCAGATGACGGTAAGTGCTATGGTGAAAAATAAAGTAGGAAAGAGAGACAAGGAGGAAATACGGTAAGGGACTGACATTTTGAAATAGGGGGCTCAGAGGAGGCCTAAATCAACAAGATTGTGATATTTAAGCAAAGACTTGGAGGCTGAGGAATCTGAGGAAAGAGTATTTCAGGCAAGGGAATGCAGATGAGAAGTCTCTGAAGCAAAACATTCCCTTGGGGCTGGAATGGAGTCCAGCTGCAGCCACAGCGGGGATGAAAGCAGTCAGCGAACTGCCCCAAGTGGAGCAGCTTCTGTGACCTCTCCACTTTGGGGTCTGAGTGGGCACCGCTCCTACCTGTTCTCTGCCTTGTGAGCACCTGGGAGAGACTCTTAGGGTGTAAGTGAGGAGGGGTGGTAGTGGGGCTCTATCTCTTGTGCCATGACCCTGAAGAAAAGAACCTTTGTCCTTTTGAAATGGCATCGTTTGTGTGGGATAAAACTTGAGGTTCATTGTCTAATGCCAAGGAAATCGAAGACGCTGACAAACACAAGGAGTGAGTTTAAGAGAAGAGGCTTAATAGGTGAAAGAAAGAGAAAAGAGAAAAGCTCTGTCTCCTGCAGAGAGAGATGGGTTTCCGAGTGGGTCTTCCAGTTTTGTGGTGAAATGCACGGGGTTTTATAGACGAGCTTGAGGATGCGGTGTCTGCTTTACATAGGGCCTGAGATATTGGTCGGACCAGGTGTGCTGTTTGCATAGCACACGAAGAAACTGGCCGCCCCACCCTAATCTTTTATTATACAAATGGGTTCCCTACCTGGCTAATGCCATGTTGCCTGCTTCTTTACTGTACACGTGGTTGACAAAAGGGAAGATGCAGCCTCCATGTTGAACATGCCTGGCTCCCATTGTAGCCTTTTCCTGTTGGCACAGCTGCCAGCATTCACCCGTGCGAGCTTCTAGCTTGCTTTTCTATGCTTGCAGCTTGATTTTTCAGGCTGCTCTTTGTTAGAAAAGAAATGATTTGGGGGTTGCTTTTGCATTAAAAGAGAAACCTTGCCAAGGACTCTCTTTCCCTCACTATCTGCCTTAATAATTTCTTTCTAGCTCCTGTATCACTTTCTCTCCCTCTCCCTATCTTTCAAATTTTCCTTGGTTAATAGAGGCAGATGAAGGAATAAAGCAATCTTTTAGAGATGCAATGTTTCTGACTTTTCTTCTTAATTTCTAAGCAGATTTGAAGAAAATTACCTGATTTATGTATGTATGTTTGTATTTATTTCTATTTTTTTGAGATGGAGTTTTGCTCTTATCGCCCAGGCTGGAGTGCAATGGTGTGATCTCGGCTCACTGCAACCTCTGCCACCTGGGTTCAAGTGATTCTCCCGCCTCAAGCCTCCTAAGTAGCGCCTGCCACAACATCCAGCTAATTTTTGTATTTTTAGTAGAGACAGGGTTTCACCATATTGGCCAGGTTGGTCTGCAGCTCCTGACCTCAGGTGATCCACCCACCTCAGCCTCCCAAAGTTCTGGGATTACAGGCATGAGCCACTGCACCTGGCCAAATTACCTGTTTCAGAGAAAACTATTGAGAACCTTAGAATTTTAAAATTTAACCTCCCCCCCCACCCACCCCATTCCTGTGAAGATATATGTGAGGACAGGAGGGGAGCTATAGCAAGAAACTCATCCTCTCACTTGTGCCATGGTGTGTACACCATTCTTTTCTGAAACACAGAGAACTGTACTGAAAGATATAATAACATATTTTTCGAATTGACTTTTCCATGGTGACACTAAAGTGAGTATGATAGAATTGTAAGAGGAAAAAAGCAATTCTGAGCAGTTGACCCTGTCTTTAGAGAAAATGTAGGCATTTTACTCATCTATTTTATCTGCTTAAATCATATGGATCAAATAAAATCTTAGGTACAAAGGGTGAAAATGCTTGTCAGAAGCCTTCATAAGAATAAATTACTATTCAATAGAAAGTAACGATGCTGTGACTGTGTCTAGATTTTTAAGAGGATTTTGGGTTATTATTCATGTCTCCATTGGGCCTACACAGACTTTATTATTGATCCTTCAACAGCAGGAAAATAAAAGCAGCAGAAGTGTTAAATGTATAGAAAAATTATCTTTCATGAATTATGAAGAATATTCCCATGAATAACATTACGATATGATCTGCCAGGAGAAAAGCGAGAAAGTCAGATTTTCTTGGAGTGATTTTTCTAAAACAATCATTAGTTTGATGTTTAAATGTTTTGAATTTCTGATTTCCATTTCTTTAGAATGCAGTAGAAATTACAGATTATTCCTTTACCGCCTTTTAAAATGTAAAGTCAGTCTGTAGTCTATAAATTGGGTTTCCTTTGAATCCACAACTACACTAGAGTGAAAGGTATATTACCACTTTGATTTCTGTTCAAGAAAGAAATATATTCAGTATTATAAAGAGAAATTGAAGCAGGCTGCTGGATAGTATATCTGATTTGTGACTTTCTTGGATTTGGTGACAACAGAGATGAATATTTCACTCTTAGTTTTTTAAAAAAGCTGTTGAAGTTGCATTGGCTATTAATTTTATTCTCTTCTTTCCCAGAAGAGTCTAGACTAATGCAAAATCTTCTGGAGTCATGAAAAGTAAAATGTTGTTAAAATGTCTGATTATCTGAGCGCCAGTGCTCATAAGTGCCATAAGTTGTCATTATGGAATCTGTAAACAATTAATAGAGCAGCTAACTTTCCAGAAGTTTCCTAATTCTCTTCTCATCCAGAACGATGAAATAATGCTGAGTAAATAGAGGATATGTTACATACTACTGAAACTGCATATGGGTAAGGAAGGCTGGGAAAGGATTCTGTGTTTAAAAATAAGTATGGCTGGTTGCAGTGGCTCATGCCTGTAACCTCAGCACTTTGGGAGGCCGAGGTGGGCAGATCATTTGAGGTCAGGAGTTTGAGACCGGCCTGGCCAACAGGGTGAAACCCCGTCTCTACTAAAAATACAAAAATTAGCCGGGTGTGGTGGGGCACGCCTGTAATCCTAGCTACTGGGGAGGCTGGGGCAGGAGAATCGCTTGAACCTGGGAGGCAGAGGTTGCAGTGAGCCAAAGTCGTGCCACTGCACTCCAGCCTGAGCAACAGAGTGAGACTCCTTCTCAAAAAGAAATAAGTAAATACATAGAGTAATACACTATTGTCTTGCAAACTGACACAAACCTTTTGGGCATTTATACTTCTTAGATAATTTTTTGATAGCTATAGATTATAGCTAATATTTGAAAGTATGTTTGTTGTCAACTTGACTGGGCCATGGGGTGTCCGGATGTTTGGTCAAACATTTTGGGTGTCTGTGTTTTTGGATGAAATTAACATTTAGCTTGGTAGACTGAGTAAAGCAGATTGCCCTTCTTAATGTGGATAGGCCTCATCCAATCAGTTAAGGCTTGAGTAGAACAAAAAGGCTGACTCTTCCTCAAATATGAGGGAACTACTCCCTGACTGCTTTGAGCTAGGACATTGGTCTTTTCTGGCCTTTAGACTCAGACTGAAACATTGGCTCTTCTTGGGTCTCAAGCCTGCTGCTTTCACACTGAACCTTGGCTCTCCTGGAGAGAACCTGGCTCTCCTGGTGCTCAGGACTTGGGACTCAGGCTGGAACTATACATTGGCTTTGCTGGGTCTCCAGCTTCCTGACTGCAGACCTTGGGTCTTAGACTCCGAAATTGCATGAGCAAATTACCGATTATCTGTCTGTCTGTCAGTCCGTCCATCCATCGATCCATTCGTCTGTCCATCCATCTATTTATTCTTTCATCCATCCACCCTGTTGGTTCTGTTTCTCTGGAGAATTCTGACTAATACAACACCCAAAGAAATTACACACACACACACACACACACACACACACACACACATATATATAATGTGTACATGCGTATCCCCTAGAGAAAAAGTAACTTCCTATTTTATGGATCAGGAAAGTTGAGAACATTATCCAAGAACACTTATAGAAATAGATGGACTTGGGATTTGAATCTAGGTGTGTCTGACTCCAGAGGAGACCTCTGAAGAAGACTATTATCTTTACTGGTTTGAACAATGAGCAGTTTACTTAGCAAATTGTGGATGAAATATACATGAGGAATAGTACATGAAAAAAATAATTCCTAGGGAAATTTCTATTTTGTATTTAATATTCATTCTCTTGTTCTTTAGAATATATCCTGGATCCTTAAAACAGCACAGATGAGTTAAATCTATGAATTTATTCCCAGCAAATGAGTGCTTGGGAATATGTCTGATGCATATTTGAGGGTTTAACAACTCCGCAACATGCTCTAAAAATAAAAATAACACTGCACATGCTGTACATTCACTTGTCAAATTCCTTACATCACTGTGTGAACAGTTTTGTGATTCCTGGAAATACTGACTCGAATGTTTTTCTCATTGGCCCTTACAACTCATAACAAATCCAGGAAGCTTCTGAGAGACTCTCTTAATGGAAATCATCTTTTAAAATGAAGAAGCTTTACCGATTAAAATAAAACAGCAAGTTCCAAACATGTGACTCTTAGTTTTAGGTTTTATCAATACTTGTATGGCTTAGGCAAGTTTAGGCATATAACTCTGATGAAGAATTCATTTTCTAGTAACAGAGATGGAAGTTAGCATCAGATTCTTTTTCTCTCCTTGCATGAGTATGCCTTTCCTCAGAAATACCAACCCACAAGGTACAAATAAGGTTAGGAGTCATTAGTGCCTCAGCTTTCCTTTTTTGAGGTCCAGTGGAGAATGGAGATGGAAGTGCTAGCTAAAGTGAAGAGATGTACCACAGTTTATTCTCCAGGACGAATGGAGCATGGATGTTCTGTTCATGGACACTTGGGTTGTTTCCAGTTTTAGTTTTTATAAAGATGCCATGAACATTTTTTTGCACAAAAAATAAATAAGGAGTAGAGATGGAGGCTACAGTTTTTTTTTACTCCAGGGAGAATTTAGCTCATGCTGGTGTGGAAGAGGAGGGTTGGGTCCTCTTGGCAGCCTGTGGGTCTCTGAAGGAAATTGGGACTTCCTAGTTGGTTTGGTGGAGTCACTTTCATCAGACATGGAGAAGCATTGACTGACAGTAGAGGTGTGGACATGATGTGGACTGTGTTGTCTCAGGGTCAGCAGCAGTGTGGCCACCAGGCATTCCCTGGTATGGGGCCAGTCAGGGACTGTCCTTCCTGACTCTTATTCAGACTAGCCAGCAACTTGGGGACTAGTCTGCCCAGGCACAAGTCATCACCAGTTCTTTAACAATACACAGTGAAAGCCAATCATGTTCTTATAATTCATAGAATAGATGCCTAAGTTAAAATAGCTACATTATTAAGTTGTTTTCAGCCAGCTTATCAACTGAGTGTTTGTGTGTGATGCCCAGGGAAATAAATTCTAAGTATAAACTGGCATTTGTTCCGGGGAACTAAGTCACGGGGACTCTTATGGGGTGGTTCCCAGAACTCCTACCAAAACACAGCTTTGCATTAATATGGTTGTGCGTTAATAAAGATATTTCACCTAACTTTGTATAAACTGCCTGAAAAAATACTTTTTTTTCCTTCAGTGTTTCTGTTTTTTTCCTACCAGTGTTTTTCCTATTAGTGTATCAGTACATTCTGTTCTTTTAAAAAACTTCTTTTATACTTGAGAAATTTTTGCTACTCTTTATATAATTTTGTTCCTTACTTTTCTCCTCCATATTATGTCATATACATCTTCCATATTGGCATAGTTAAAAACATGTATTCAGATATCATTCACATACTATAAAATTCACCCTTTAAAGGAATATAATTCAGTGTTTTTCAGTATATTGAGGTTGTATAACCATTAACACTAATTCCAGAAGTTTCAGCCCCCCAAATAAACTTCATACCTGCTGGCAGTAACTACCCATTTCCCTCTTTCTCCAACTCCTGGAAACCACCAATCTATTTTCTCTCTATATAGATTTGTCTATTCTGGACATTTCATGTTAAGTGGAATCATATGATATGTAGCCTTTTATGTCTGGCTTCTTTTAGTTAGCACAGTGTTTTCAAGGTTCACCACTCTGTAGTATAAATCAGTACTTCATTTTTTTTGCTTAGGAGTATTCCATTGTATGGCTTAGTCTTTTTTAAACAATATTTTTAGTGAATACATAGTATTGGAAAGGTGGCTATACCATCATTAATATTATTCTATAGAAATTTAAATTTTTTTTTCTCTTACAGATAATGCTGAGGAGAATTACTTGTGTGTGTGTGTGTTTTTTTTTTTTTCTCTCAGATTTAGAATTGTTTTCATAGATAGTGCCTTCTCTCTGTATCCTCACATGGTGGGAAGGAAGAATGAGTTGCCTTGGGCCTATTTTCTAAGGGCACTAATTCCATTCATGAAGGCTCTTCCCTTATGACCTAATTACCTCCTGAAGGTATCACCTCCTAATACCAGTGCCTTGAGCATTAGGATTTTAACACACAAATTTTGGGAGGATATAAATATTCAGCTTATAATGAGAGAGAAAGAGAGAAAAAGAGAGCAATATTAACAGAGGTTGAAAGAGATAGAGAGACCTTCAAAGACAGCGGTGGCCCAGCCAGCAGACATCTTGGAGGACAGTGGATTTGATTTGGGGCCTAAAAGAGAGTAAAATATGGATAGAAAGAATGTAGCAAGGAGGATATTCTTCAGAGAAAGGATTTACAAAAATAGATGTGGCTAGAGTAAATCTAGCATCCATGACAAGTGAGAAGTGAAAGGCAGGACTATAGGGTAAAATTGCAGAAGGGTTAGTAGGCCAAGCTAAAGAGTATAAGCTTTATTCTAAATGTAATTGGAGGCCGGGCCCAGTGGCTCACACCTGTAATCCCAATGTTTGGGAGGCAGAGACAGGAAATTGCTTGAGGGTAGGAATTCAAGACTAGCCTAGAAAACATATGAGACCCTGTCTCTACAAAAAATACTTAGTCAGGCATGGTGTTGTGCACCTCTATAGTCCCAGCTACTTAGGAGGCTGAAGCAGAGGAACGTTTGAGCCCTGGAGGTCGAGGCTGTAGTGTGCTATGATTGCACCACGGCACTCCAGCCTGGGTGACAGAGTGAGATCCGGTCTCAAAAACAAAAAATGTAATGGGAGATTTTGAAACTTGTTGAGAAAAGTAGAGCATGAGAGCAGTGGTATTTTTTTAAAAATTCATATAGACAGCAGGGAGACACATTAGGAGGCTGTAGTAATAATCTTGGAATAGAACTGGGCCTATTCTTAAGAAAGTGGACCTTCTGGAAGTATTACCAAAAACAGAAAACAAGAATCATTTTAAAGAGATAGTTATAGGACGTTATTAAATAAGAATTATAAATAAAATTAAAAAATAAAGTCAACACATCTGCGTTCAAGACCAGGGAATAATGGGGGTTTCATTATTGACAGATTTATTGAAGACAGAAGGGGGGGATCCGATTTGGGGATGATTACAAATTCAGATTTGAGACATACATATTTGGTTGAGACAATAGTAGACTATATTAATACACACTTTCCTAAAACATATGCTGCTTTTGTACATCTAATGAAAATTTGCATTGGGAGTACTTACTCCTTCAAGGAATCTTTGGTCAACCCTTTCGTAAAAATAAGATACTTTATTTTATTTTTATTTTTTTGAGACAAGTTCTTGCTCTGTTACCCAGGCTAGAGTGTAGTGGCATGATCACAGCTCAGTGCAGCCTTCACCTCCAGGGCTCATGTGATCCTCCCACCTCAGCCTCCCAAGTAGTTGGGACTATAGGCACATGCCACCACACCTGGCTAATTTTTGCATTTTTTTGGTAGAAACAGGATTTTGCCATGTTGCCCAGGGTGGTCTCGAACTCCTGGGCTCAAGCAGTCCACCCACCTTGGCCTCCCAAAGTACTAGGATTACAGGTGTGAGCCACTGCGCCCAGCCAAAAGAAGATATTTTAATGTAAATTTTGTTTTATCTCTTTTTTTTTTTTAGACGGAGTCTTACTGTGTCACCCAGGCTGGAGTGCGGTGGTGTGATCTTGGCTCACTGCAACCTCCACCTCCTGGGTTCAAGTGATTCTTCTGCCTCAGCCTCCTGAGTAGCTGGGACAACAGGTGTGTGCCACCACGCCTGGCTAATTTTTGTATTTTTAGTAGAGATGGGGGTTTCACCATACTGGCCAGGCTGATCTCGAACTCTGGACCTCATGATCTGCCCCTCCTCGGCCTCCCAAAGTGCTGTGATTAGTGATTACAGGCATGGGCCACTGTGCCTGGCCGCCCCTTTTTTTTTTTTAAGACAGGGTCTCGCTCTGTTACCCAGGCTGGAGTGCAGTGACACCATCTCGGCTCACTGTAACCTCTGCCTCCCAGGCTCAAGTGATTCTCCTGCCTCAGCTTCCTGAGTAGCTGGGATTACAGGAGTGTGCCACCATGCCTGGCTAATTTTGTATTTTTAGTAGAGATGGGGTTTTGCCATGTTGGCCAGGCAGGTGTCAAACTTGGGGCCTTAAGGGATCTGCTGGCCTCAGCCTTCCAAAGTGCTGGGATTACAGACGTGAGCTACTGCGCTCAGCCTTAAATCATTATTTTATAAATTTTGGTTTTCCTTTGTTGAATTTTTGAAAGCAGCATATACTTGTAATGTTAGCTGATTGTCATCTGTGAAAGCTAAGGAAGAACTTCGCTATGTATCCTTCCTTTATTTCCACCATGGCCCAGAGTCATTTACACTGCAGCCCTAATTCTCAAATTTGGCTCTATATTGGAATTGTCTGGGGAGTTTTAAAAAATACTGATGCCTGGGTTTCATTCTTAGGGCTTCTGCTTTAATTGGCCCAAGGAGCTCTGGGCATTGGGATTTTTAAAAGCTCCCAAGTGATTCTAATGTGTAGCAAACTTTGAGAATCACTGACTCACATCCAACAATCATGGAAGAAAAACATTTTCCTGTGGGCTGAAGCCTAAAGGTAATCAAGATAAATTTAGTGAATATTAGAAAGTTTAAGATGAATGATCCTTGCCTTTGTTTAATTCTGTTTGCTTGTTTTTTCAAATGTTCACAATCAGCGAAGGAATGGTGAGTACTGCGAGGCAGCCAGTATTTCCAAAGAATTCAAGAGATAGAGGTTGCAAATTCTCCAGATTTCTAGCCACTGTGTGGTACTCAGGGGAATGAGTTGGTGCACTCATGGTACCCAGGGAAAGGGTTACAAGAGTGGATGGGGCTCATGGAGATGAGTGCCAGAACTGGGGCCATCCATCCTCAGGAGGTGGCCCTCCCTGGCTTGCTAACCACCTCCTCTGCCTCAAATGTCCAGAAGCTCTGACATTAACACCCACTCATGATGGGTCTGCAATTCCACTACTCAGACACTCAAGCATTTTCCATATTATATTCCTTCCCCCTTTACCAACTGAAAGCAAAAATAAATTATAAAATCTACTGACCCAAAATGCCTTGCTATATTTTATAATTTATCCCATATTCTATATTATTTCCAAATAAATAGGTTACCAAATAGTTTGCCATAATGTCAAAAGCCCTGTTGACGCTAGCTACTAAACAGAGTGAAGAATGGCACCTATGGCAACACCTATAAGCAACAATTTATTTAATCAAGGGAGATTAAATTAACTGCCCAACAGTTATTGTAACTTTATGAGCACAAAAGAATTTAAAATATAGAACAGTTTAATCTGAAGGTTAAATTTCATTACAAAACAATAAAAAAGCCAAACAACTTTCAAAACATATTGACTGGCCAGGTGCAATAGCTCAGGCCTGTAATCCTAGCACTTTGGGAAGCTGAGGTGGGTGGATCACCTGAGGTCAGGTGTTCAAGACCAACCTGGCCAACATGGTGAAACCCCATCTCTACTAAAAATACAAAAATTAACCCCGCATGGTGGCAGGTGCCTGTAACCCCAGCTACTTCGGAGCAAACTCAGGGAGACTTGAAGATTAACCTTGAACAGTTTTTGACTGTTTCAGTGGATTGGACATATCAGTTACTAAACTGAGTTTATGTTTTTGGCTAAGTGATGGAAAACTTTTTATTGCCTAAAAATGACGATCAAAGTTGTAGAAGTTGCTCTAAACATTTTCAAGGTCAGAGAAATACCTAGTCTCACTGAAAGGCTGTGGAAAAAATGAAGCCGTGTTTTGAATAGGCACCATAAGTTTTGCATGCTCTATTTATTTTATTATTATTTTATTTTGAGAGGGTCTTGCTGTCACCGAGGCTGTAGTGGGGTGGAGCAGCCAGAGCTCACTGCAGCGTCAAACTCCTGGGCTCAAGTGATCTTCCTGCCTCTGGCTCTGAAGTAGCTGGGACTGCAGGTGTGCACCACCACGGCCTGCTAATTAAAAACATTAATTTTTTTTTGTTTGGTAGAGACAGGGTCTTACTATGTTCACAGGCTGGTCTTGAACTCCTGGCCTCAAGCAGTCCTCCCACCTTGGCTTCCCAAAGTGTTAGGATTACAGACATCAGCCACTGCACGTAGCCTGCTTGCTCAATTTTAGGGATATAGGCCTGTTGTACTGCAGGAGAATTGCTGGTACCAAAACATGAATCCTACAAAAGGAAATTGCTAAGTAGTAGACATTGCCTGCTGGAAACTCACCTGAAAAAAGTATAATAACATTTGAACACTCCTCCCTATGTGTTTTCCACTGGCCCCAGAGAAAAGTAAAGAGGATACCCACTACCCATTTATTTCCAGAGTGGGTTCATTAACCTCTGAGCACCACTTGACTTGGGCAAGCTTAATATGCAATCAAAAATCTGACTTTAGGTAATACTGGCTGCTCTAAAAGGGGTGGTATTCTTTTCTCTTTCTACTAATGTACAAGTCAGAATGTTTGTTTGTTTGTTTATTTATTTTTGAGACAGAGTCTGACTCTGTTGCCCAGGCTGGAGTGCAGTGGCATGATCTCAGCTCACTGCAACCACCACCTCCTAGGTTCATGTGATTCTCCTGCCTCAGCCTCCTGAGTAGCTAGGATTACAGGCATGTGCCACACCTGGCTAATTTTGTATTTTTATTAGAGATGGGGTTTCACCATGTTGGTCCAGGCTGGTCTTGAACTCCTAACCTCAAGTGATCCACCTGTCTTGGCCTCCCAAAGTTCTGGGATTACAGGTGTGAACCACTGCACCCGGCCCAGAATGTCCATTTAAAAGAATCTTATTCTTTGTATTTCTAAGGTGACAATATGCAAATATAGGAAATAATCAGGCATGAGGAAATGATTTTGACCATCTAATAAATATGGTGTCTAGTCTCTGAGGCAGTGCTAATTATTCTAGTTTTGATAATTTTACATCAGGAAGGAGTAGACAGTTGTCCCACGGCAGTGGAAAAATATTTCTTCTACTCCTATTATATTTCATTCCCTCTACTGCTAAATAAATACAGTCCTGGAGGTAGGTGGTAGGGACAGTTAAAAAAGAAGGGTCAACATGGGAGAGCTGAATGCAAATTTTGGAAACTGAAGCTTATACTATTATTACTTTTCTTTTTTTTTTTTAATGAGACTGTGTCTCGTTCTGTTGCCCAGGCTGGAGTGTAGTGGCGCAATCTCAGCTCACTGCAACCTCCGCCTCTCAGTTAAAACGATTCTTATGCCTCAGTCTCCCGAGTAGTAGCTGGGATTACAGGTGTGCACCACCATGCCTGGCTAATTTTTGTATTTTTAGTAGAGATGGGGTTTCACCATGTGTCCAGCCTGATCTCAAACTCCTGGCCTCAAGAGATCGGCCTGCCTCGGCCCTCCCAAAGTGCTGGAATTACAGGCATGAGCCCCTGCACCCAGCTTATTACTGTTATTATTATTTTTTAATTTAAGAGATGATGTATTTCTGATTATACTGTGGATTCTTTTAAACCTCATCCCCTTGATTTATAGCTTAGCTTTACTTCTCAATATTTTCTTGCCTTTCTGTCTTACAGTTCATCTCTGAGAACATGTTTTGCACTTTTTAAAGGCCCTGCTGACGTTCTCAGTACCATTTTCTTTATAAATTGTTTTTAGTAACCTGGGACATTTTAAAGGTGAGCCATTCTATAGCTTAAGTTTTATCCACAGCTTTATTGCTACCATATTTTATTTGGCAAGTACTATCTTCATGGAAAGTACCAGTTAGACAGAAAAATCTAAATAGATTTTTTTTTTTGATTTCCCAGGAAATTTGATTTCCTTGAGATTAACCTGAGGCTTACTTTAACCTAAAGGTTATTATTAAAATTCTTGCCTGGGTGCAGTGGCTCCATACCTGTAATCCCAGCACTTTGGGAGGCCCAGCGGTCGCATCGCTGGAGTCTAGGAGTTCGAAACCAGCCTGGCAACATGGTAAGACCCCATCTCTCCGAAAAAAACAAAAACAAAACAAAACAAAAAAAAAATTAGCCAGGTGTGGTGATCCATGTCTGTAGTCCCAGCTACTCAGGAAGCTGAGATGGGAGAATCGCTTGAGCCTGGGCGGTCAAGATCGCAGTGAGCCGTGATTGCACTACTGCACTCCGGCCTGGGTGACAGAGTGAGACACTATCTCAAAAAAAAAAAAAAAAAAAAAGAAATTTTTAATAATCATTTCAGTTTTATCATTATGACCAAGCTATACATGATTTAGTACCATAAATGCCATTCTGTTTTTGCTTTGCATATTCATTTGCATAAACTAGGAATTGGGGAGATGAGATCACTTGGCTAAGGATTAAAGGACTAGAAACTCACAGATTCAAAATTTTTACCCAAGTCTGTCTAACACCCCACTGCTTTTCTAAACTCTTTTATTTTTTTCTCCATAAATAATAATCTGGCCTCTTAGAATATGTGATTTCTTATTTTAGAAAATTTAGACATGCGTCCTTTGGTCTAACTAGACTAGCAAAACAAAAGTATTTAAAATACTTGATTTTTAAAAATCGGTAAAACTTATCCTTCAGATGACCTCTCCCCCTACCATTTTAGAAAGGACACTTGAAACAACCTGTGTGGTTTGCAGTTGTTTCGGTAAAATGTGATTCACAACAATGACTCTGCAGTATCTTGTGAAAATGATTTGCCTTAAGGCTGGAAAGGGTAGATCCATATCTTAAAATTGACTTTGAAATTGTAGACCATTTGGTTCTTTCTTGCCTCATTGTAATTTGGCCTGTTGAGCAGTATAAGTATGTAAAATTCAGTACTTTCCATCTTTTTGTTGTAGATCATTTTGAACTCAATGCATAAGTACCAGCCAAGGGTGCACATCATTAAGAAGAAAGACCACACAGCCTCATTGCTCAACCTGAAGTCTGAAGAATTTAGAACTTTCATCCTTCCAGAAACAGTTTTTACGGCAGTCACTGCCTACCAGAATTAACTGATGAGTGTACAGTTCACAATTTAGTTCCTGCATAAGAGAAGGATTTAGGAGGTTCTTATATTTTCTTGGAGAGAAGTGATATCCCAGTACTCAAAATGGATGTTCACTTTGCAGAGAGCTATTGAGTTTCAGTGCTAGGACCTCTAAGAGTGTGTTGAGTGACTGTGTATTACACTGTATTTTCTAGAATCTCTACATTATGGGTCAAGTTTTTAACTGCCCACTTCCCCACCCACACCTACCCCAATCTGCCTTCTCACATTTTCTTCTCCAGAAGGTTACTTGCCTCCTTTTCCTCCTCCTGGTAACATGTATAACCATGTTCTTGTTGCTTCATAAAATTTAAAAGTTCAGTTTTTCTGCTGAATTAAACACACCTATTCTATCCAACTGCCCAAACTGCTGATACTTTAGATATTTTGTGAGGTTTTATTCAGCTATAATTTAGGGTGAGATAATTCTGGTAAAATGATTTTAAATGTCTTTTTAGATAGTAAACTATAGTATGTAACATCAAGATATCTAATTTATATTATTGAGTTATATGCAGGGTGAGTATCCCTAATCGAAAAACCCAAAATCTGAATGCTCCAAAATCTGAAACTTTTTGAGCATTGACATGACACTCAAAGGAAATGCTCACTGGAGCATTTCAGATTTTAGATTTGTGGATTAAGGATGCTTAACCTGTAAGTATAATGCACATTCCCAAATCTGAGAAAATCTGAGATCCAAAATACTTTTGGTTCCAAGCATTTCAGATAAGGGATACTCAACCTACATTTTTTACTCTCTGTTGTACATCACATTTAAAATTAATAAATTTTTGGCCAGGTGCAGTGGCTCATGCCTGTAATCCCAGCACTTTGGGAGGCCAGGGTGGGTGGATCACCTGAGGTCAGGAGTTCGAGACCAGCCTGGCCAACATGGTGAAACCCTGTCTCTACTAAAAATACAAAAGTTAGCTGGGCCTGGTGGCACATGCCTGTAGTCCCAGCTACTCGGGAGGCTGAGGCAGGAGAATCGCTTGAACCTGGGAGGCAGGGGTTGCAGTGAGCAGAGATCTCACCACTGCATTCCAGCCTGGGCGACAAAGCGAGACCCCACCTCAAAAAAATAAAATTAAAAAAAATAAACTTAATGCATTTCTTCATCCATAGGGCTTATTCCAACTTAGTAAATATTTATCAAGGCCAT
Organism: Homo sapiens; assembly: GCF_000001405.40. Classification (NCBI taxonomy): domain Eukaryota; kingdom Metazoa; phylum Chordata; class Mammalia; order Primates; family Hominidae; genus Homo; species Homo sapiens. The sequence continues at coordinate 63,723,575 of NC_000012.12, read as the reverse complement.
ACTAAGGGCTATGTACTGATAGACATTTCCCATACATTTTCTTCTTTTGTGCCCAGCGTAAGCTTAAGGGGCTGTGGCAGTACTACGCTCCATAGGTGAGGAAGCTGAAGCTAAGAGAGGGTGAGTAACTTCTCTCCATCAGAAAGGACCAGAAATAGAATTCCTTTTCATACACTTCAATATAAAAGGAAGTCACATGCTCCGTTTACTTGACACATTCAGTTGTTTATGACCTCTCTGTGTCTTTGTATCTTGTGTTTGTTTCATTGGTCATAGGTAGCCAAGACTACTGCTCTCCTCTTGTCTTGATGTTGTTAGGTTTTGGGTTCTGAGTGAGTAGCTATTAGATGCTGCCTGGTAGATGGCTCAGAGTCCAGAGGAGGATGGTCACCTGGAAGCGAGGTGGTGTGGAGACCCTCGGGACAGGCAAGATGAAGCTGACATCACAGCCAGCCTCACAGAAATGAGGTAGTAGAAGCCTGGAAAAGGGATGTGGGCAGATGGCCAGAGTGGATGTATGTAAGGCTTACTCTCCTAGGATTTCTATACAACTTTGAGTAGATTTCATTTCACCAGTGGCTGCTGTTTTCCTTACCTAGCTATTAGGGCCAAGAACTGACCAGACCATTTTAGGGGATTGCTGTGAAGATCAAATGTAGTTGTGTGTGTAGGCTTGTTTAAGCCTTTGGAAGCTGTAAGGTGCTCTGTAAATAAGACGTGGTTATGATGGGGCTATCTCAGAAATGTCAAAAAAAGAATTTGTCACCATTTGTATTTTAAAATTTTAGTGGTGTATTAGTTAATGAGATAGAGAAATTAATGCATAATTGCTATCATGCTGATGATCTTATAGTAAAGGCAAGTATTGTAACCTTTGAATTATCTCCAAGATCATAACACAGGAGTGGAAACATTCAGAGAATGCCCAAACTAAAAGTTGGGGTTTAGATGGAAGCCTACAAAGGCCTGAAGCGCTAATGCTGTTTCTTTGCAAATCTGGAACACTGAAACCAGCAATCCTGTTTTTAATTTATTTGAGGGCACGTGGGATGCAAATATCATAGGCTCCAAAAAGATTCCAAAAACATTCCATTCATTTATACTAATTGATTTCATAGCTTTTATAATATACACCATGCTAATATATTCTAACAATTTAAATTTATGCTCACTTAAGAAACCTTATTGATGTTTGGAAATAACATAGACACTTGTCATGTGGAAACCTCATTGCTTTTATCATAATTCTTTTTAAAGAGGGCCAAAGCAGGAGGAGGTAAATTGTTTTCCTCTTTATTTTTTTTAGTGAAAATTATAGAGATGAACAAAAATTAAAGTTTCTAGTAAACTTTAAAGTATAATGCCTGAGATTTGGTTTAATAGGTGAGAGAGCAAGACTGCGTAAGTGTTGGCGGGACCTCTCATATCATAGGACGGTCTTATTTACATAATACGAATAACAGCTAACATTTGGGTACTTACTATGTGCAAGACACCACTTGAATTCATAATCACACTTGATCTTCTCAATGATATCGTGAGATAGGAACAATTGTATTTTTATTCAGCATCGTACAGTTGGGGTAATTGAGGCACTAGTTAAATAAGTCATCTGAAGTGACCTTGCTCCTCCCATTGCAGATTTGAATTCAGGTGGTTAAGATTCAAGAGGGAGTGCCCTTAACCCCTAAGCTGTGAGTGCCTGCTGTTCCCAAAGAAGCAGAACTTCACCCTCTCTCAGCTCTTGGCCCTGATAGACTCTGAGACATCAATTTTAGAGAGCATCAACTCTTTATGCTCATTTTTTTTTAAACAAATGTGCTGCTCACACCACACATCAGCAAGTGTAACACGATGATGATCATCCTAAACAGGAGGTCAGAATATCTGCTAGTACTCGCTGTATCCAACTGGAACCACATCTTTAATGACATTTTCTAATTTAATTCTTGTTTTTCTACTCGATTTTTTATTTAGAACAAATTTCAGATATACAAAAAATGAAACAAATAGTAAAATGAACCTCACATGCCTTCCACCCAGATTCAGCAATGCCAAATTTGCTTTTCCCCCAAATTTTCTCTTTCCTTCCTCTTCCTCTCTATATGCAAACATACTTCCCCTCTTCCTTCCCATTTTCTTCCCTCCCCTTTTGAAACTAAGTTGCATGCTTCCTGAGACTTCTAAACACTCTGTAAGCCTATTCTGACAATTAGAACATTATTTTTATAATCCCAACATCTTTATCACAGCTAAGAAAATTTATAAGAATTTGTTCTTTATATCACCTAATATTCAGTTTATATTAAAATTTTCAGGATAGACCAACTGCCCCTAAACCCCCTCTGAACTAGGATCCAGCTAAAATTCATGGTTTGGATTTATTACTTTTAATTTAGAAAAATCTTTCCACATTTTTTTCTAAACACCTCATTTAATTCTGACACTGTATGCCTTGAAGAAGGCCCCACGAGTCCCATTTTGTAGAATTAGAAACTGAGGTCAGAGTGGTTAAGACATTCACCCAAGGTCACAGATCTGGTAAGTGACAGAACCAGTACAAGGTTTTGATCTTCTGGGTTTTAATTCCTCCTTTTTGGTGGCATCATAATAGATTGCAAGGCCAAGGAAGTGGTGACCACTGACAGTGTCATCGAAAACTGACTTTGAAAATATGGGTAATGAAAATAGCTGAAGATAATAATACGCACATTTCAACATAAGTTGCTCCTTTGGCAAAGGTTTATTTCTAATTAATATCATAAATGGGATCAAAATCCAGCCATCAGTGCCCAGCTATTCTTTCTTGCATTAAGTATAATATTAATAAGATTAATATGTCATTTCATTGCTGAGTAACCACAATGGAAGTGACTAAATTCAGAATTAATTTTCTCATAGATTCTACTATGTCTGAGTTTATTTTTCGATATCCACCTTTAAAACCATAGCCCCTTGCACAAAGCCATATGCCTTTAAAATAGAAATCCAGTTAATAGTCAACAATTTGATTTGGTATCCTAACAGGCCAGTTTTGCAAATGGTTTATAAACCTCGTAAGACCAATCAAAATTCCTCTTGTAGGTGCTCAGTAAACATATGTGCAGTGAATAAATGAACTTGTGGGTTGGCATTTTCATTAGTCCTATGTCATTTTCTAAAGTTATCCTTGACTCTTTCTAGGCCTTCTACCATCTACTGTGACTTCACTGCTCTACCAAGTTTGTGTAGTAATTTTCCTATAGCATACAATAATGTATCCTGCAGCATATAATAGCCTATAACATATAATAAATATATAGGAAATAAAGTAAATATATACTAGGTATAGTATTAGAATTTTTTCACATACAAAGAACAAAGAGGGAGGAGAAAAGAGAGGAAGATTTAAAAATTCACATTTAGGACCACTTTCATATATCTTAAGCTTTGGATATGACTGCTATTTTTATGTCTATTGAAATCCAAGTCAGAGTTTCCAAAACAATTTGTGAAAAACTTCCTCATTTATTGTGCCTTGTAGTTTCATTTATAAGTAATGAAAGTGGGACCTTTTATTTGCTATTTCTTTCTCTGGTTTTTGCAAGGGAATGATTGCATTTCTTTACATTATTGGATAAAAGCTAAATACATTACACTTTCAACAAACTATTTTATAATTTAAGATTGAAAGGTCATGCATTGTTTTTGAGCAGGCAGACCATTGCTGTAGAGTTGAAGTGTAGGTCAAGTTTCATTTTTAAATGCCTTTGGTCAGATATTTTCCTGCTAATTGGAGAAATGGTCTCTGAGGGCCAATTTTACCTTGTGGCTGGGAACCCTAGCTGGATTCAGAGTCCAGTGATATTATACAGAACAACCACTGCAAAAGGTCCCCTTCTCTTTTGCACAGCAGGTAGTGTCAAAATCTGCCCTCCACACATTTACTTAAAGATAATAGAGATGCCAAAAGAGTGAACATTTTGGTTAGGAATTGCATTATGTTCTATATTATTTAAATACATGAAAAAGCAGGGTTGTGTTTTGGACTGAATTAGTAACTTGGATATATGTAGACCCACACTAAACAGTAGCATTTCTTAAGCACATACTACTAACCTTGCTTAGTGTTTTCTCTTGATGAAGTGAGAAACATTGCTGCTTTTAAGAATTTGTGAGTTATAAAGAAGCCATATCTCTGGTTTCTGTACATACAATGTTTGGTAGCTGATTTATTTTTGAGACTTCTTTTAGGATTACTTTTGATAAACGTGATTTGTTCAACAACATTACAAGATGCAGGCATCCTCTATTCGGACATGAATGAAATGGTGTCCACCTGAAATCACTGTCTGTAACTCAGCTTCTTTTTCTCATCAGTTCTCAGTGTTTTTTTTTTTTTCAGTTATCCCAAATTTCATAAAGAGATGTAAAACTACACCTTAAAAATGAATTTCTGTATAGCTACTGGTCTTTATTTAAATATTGTGGCATAAACTCTATGTCTGACCTTTTAAAACGTATGATTACCTAGAATGTTAAAATTTTGCTATTTAAAAATTATTTTATCTTAAAATTTAAAAAGTGAAATGCTTTTCCTGTAAATTCATGGTTTCACTTAGTTCATAATTGGTGAAAAGGTGAGATCATATTTCTGACTGTGCTTGTTCTTGAGGTAAAGCTCAACAAATACTTGTGGGGTTCTTAATTGTGGACACTCTAGTAGATTCAGAGTCTAGTGACAGTGGGCTACAAGGAACATGGTGGGCTCACAAAGAAGTTTAATCCACAATCTCTGTGCTGCTAATTATTAATACCCCATAAAAGCTGTTCAGGAATGTGTAGCATCAACCCAGAGCTCCCATACAATTTTAGTGATAATAGATCCATTCAGTTTTTTTTTGCTGTCACGTGCAAAAGCAATTATTTTCCCTAGAATTAGATTAAATAGAAATAGAGAAAGTAATTGTTTTGAATTCTTTTTCTAATTAGTGCACTAAAATTAAATCATTGCTGTAGCTAATTGGTAAATCTGGGTGTATAAGAGCACCTGTACTATTCTTGCAACTTTCCTGAAGTTTGAAATTATATCAAAATGTAAAGAAATTTCCACTGATACTCCTAGGAATTATGAAAGTTGGATTAAAATGATATTAGCAGTAGATAATTCTCATAATGAGAGAAAATTCGAAGACATCTGAAAACTCATGTTGAATTTAAGTTACTCCTTTGCTCAAAGTATGGCAGTATTATCAGATATGGTGACACATCAATTGAGCAACACGTGTTTTGAGAGTATGTATTTTCTGTGGTATTAGAGCACTGGAGAATTTAAGATAACTTCTCAATCATATTCTGAGCCAATAGTCTTTATCTTTTGAAAGAAGAACAAGAAATGTGATTTTCAAAATTCTTTTCAGAGATAAAATATGTCAAAAGTCCATCTTTAATCATTAGAACAGATAGGTAATACCTTCTACCCTTTTCATTTGTAAAGACTCAGAAAAAGCTTGATATGATTCATATCTTAGAGAGATGGCTGTAAAAAGTTCTTTCAAAATGAATTTTTTATCAGATATATTATCTGTTGTTGTCTGTAGAAAATTTTATCCATTGGCAAGCCTGTTTACTTTTCAATTTTATAAATGTGCTATTTAAAGGCAGCCTTACCTTTATTGCTCCACCTCACAGTTTCAGTTTGAAATTTTCATGTGGGTTTGATTTACCCTTAATGTCTCTGTTGGAGGTGGTGTCACCTTCTTTAGCATCATTTAGAGCCAGTTCCAGCTCTGATTAGCTGTGCATGTCATCCGACATCTAGCGCAGTGCATGGGCATGGTGATTTATCCTCATTATTTGCTGATGAATTATTGTGAAAGCATATTAATGAACTATAAAGTACTTCAGAAGTAGAACGTATTTTAAGTATAGTTGTTCGTTACAAAGAGACATAGCTCATGTCCTGGAGGATTTTAAAATCTTGTTGATATTTGTAATTGTAGACTCTATCGATTGCCTGGGCTTTAGAGGATGTTTATAATTTATTTCAAAAAAAAAAAAATATTTTCCCCTTCCCTCCCAAAACTGACTTTCAAAAACAAGTCCTAGTTGGAATAAGTGGATGAAACAAGGCTTCATTCTTCAGAGAGTGGTAGCTGTGTGTGAGAAGGTTCGCTATAAACTCTTTCCTGTATCTCTCTTCATATACATGTCTTAGCTGTTGCTGTCCATGAGAACAGGTTTCTGATTTATGTAGCTTATTTGCTTCCCTGTTTACCAATGCTCATAGCATAGCTATTTTCTTCTAACTGCTCAACAGTGAATGTTCATGGACTAAAAATGAGCATTTCTGAGGCACTGTCAAATTTTTTAAAAATTAATATTATCAAAGAGTTAATCTTATGATTTGCCAGTGTTATTGATAGAGGAGTCTTTCTGGCTGGGTTAGTATGGGGGGTTTCATTTTAAGCGAGGCATAAATAGCTTCTTTGCAGCTTGTGCCTTGGTTCTGAAAGTGTTCAGAAACCATGAAAAAGAAAAAACCACATTTCTTTTGAAATGAAAAAAGAAATTCCTCATGTGTTAACAGTTTAAAGTGTTCTATAGATATACTTTGGGGAGAAAGTTGCTTTTTGGCAAGAGTATTTCTTTTTTTCGTCTTTTTTTTTTTTCTTTTGAGACAGAGTCTTGCTCTCGCTCTTGCCGCCCAGGCTGGAGTGCAGTGGCGTGATCTCGGCTCACTGCAACCTCTGCCTCCCAGGTTCAGGTGATTCTCATGCGTCAGCCTCCTGAGTAGGTGGGATTACAGGCTCATGCCACTATGCCTGGCTAATTTTTTATTTTTAGTAGAGACAGGGTTTCACCATGTTGGTCAGGCTGGTCTCGAACTCCTGACCTTATGATCTGCCCACCTCGGTCTCCCAAAGCGCTGGGATTACAGGCGTGACCCACGGTGCCCGGCCTGGCAAGAGTATTTCAAACTATCTGTTTTGATTGTGTACTCCTTACTTTGAAAGAAGAAGACATGCCTGTAACTTTTTTCCCCTGTTAAGAATCTTTAGCATGCATTTCTCTCTGGAGATGAACATGTGTTCTAATTTTGATACTGAGAAGCTATGATTCCTTAAAGGTTTTCTTGGTTCTAATTCAGTTACTGACCAGCTGAATCTTGGCCCTTGTGCTCTTTGAGTCTGTGTGTGATTATCTGTCGGATAAGACCATGGGCTAGATGGTCTCTCAGCTTCCTTTCAGCTCTAACAATTCCAGTATTTTCCATGTTGAGTATCTTTTAATCAGTGTTTCCTTTATTTTTTCGTTACAACTTAATGTATTCTCCTTCAGAGGCATGGGGCATATAATTTCATGGATCTTTCTACACTAATATTAGTACTATGGGAATTCTGAATACCACAGCATGAGCATTTAATATTTCAGACTGTGATTATTATTAGAATGTGTTTTTCCATAAAAACATAGAGTTTATAAATAACATTTCATGGAAGGATAACAAAAGATGGACTAATTTGATTCTGATTTAGTCAAATGGAAAGGGAAATAGAAAATTTATATTCAGAAGGCTTTATGTCATGTATTTATGTCACGTATATCAATATCATATTGAACATGAGGCTATTATTGGCCATTTTACCTTTTATCTATTATGGTGTGTGTATGTACTCACAGTACTAAAAAAGATGTCACCAAGTCAAATGCATTCTTTCTTTCATTCTCTATCAATGCTGGAATTCTGCATAATTCTCCCATTTAGGTGGTTCTCCCATTCCTCAGTTCAGCCCTAGCCTTTGACATATTATATAATATATTAAATACTGCACACCCCAGTTCACATCTACTTTTGCCTCAAAGGCTCCCTTCCCTAATTGTATCTATCTGTCAACCTCCAGCCTGTCCTCAATACCTCCTCTCTGAGGTCTTCCCTTACCATCCCACCTGGCTGGGATTTGTCCCTCTTGTGAACATGTGTAGCATTTTCCACCCTTCTCACGACACTGAGAAACATTAAGATATTCTTGGTGTGCTATGGAGAATGAACAAACTATTTATGATTTTACTTCCTTGACCTCAGAAATGATACTGTTTTGTACCCATTCTTTCTCCAGATAACGAAGCTGAAAATAGATAGCAATCCTTTTGCCAAAGGATTCTGGGATTCCTCCAGGCTCACTGACCTTGAGAGGTAATGAGAATTTTCTGTTTACTTTCTTGTTCAGATAAGATCAAGAGAAGAGGGAGTTTGTAACAACACACTCCTTTCGACACCAGAGAATCATAACCTTACTATATATAGTCTTCTATTCTCTGCCCCTATTCCTTGTACATATGCAACTGCCTAAGTCTGACAGCTACTGTGACTGGATCTATTATATGCTTAATTTCTGAGTGAAATAGTTTCTTTGGTCAGGACATTTATTCTACTATAAAAAATAGGGCTTTGTTGTTATTAAAGACTTAGTCCTCTTTACATTTTTAAGCTTCATGTCTCAATGAGTGGCAGTCTGTAGAGAAATAGAACCTTGGTAGCTTTTTACCTTCCCAAGTAGATATATTTGCTAACACAAAGAGTGTAAGGGTAGTTGGGGAATTTTAAAACAAGGAGATGTAATTTAATTCAAGGTCACATAATTTTACCAATATAGTAGACTGCTTTTATTTAATAGGAGAGACATCAGGCGTCTAAGAAGACAAGTGAAATCATGTGCCTGTAACGTACCCTACTTTTTATTCAATTAAAATGGTTCATGCAGTTTGAGACCATTGAGGTGATGAGTAATGACTATATGGAGATACATATTTTGCCCAGTATGAATGTCAAAAATTGTTTTTCAAAGAGAAGATTTTTAAACCTAATTGATTATTTTTACTTCTTAAACACACTAATTCTTTTATGTGGCCCAATGTCTTGATTGACCAGGGAAGTTCCCTAGCCACCAGAACCACTGATTTTCTTATCTCTACATCTGTGTAATTTCCCTACTAACTTCTGCACATTTCTGCTGCACTCTTTGTTACCTACATAGCCACATCTGCTGACCTCAGCACTTCTGTCTAATCTATCTTGGCAACTCAAATTAAAAGATAATTACATATTTTAACAACCTCTGTCTCAGCCTTCCTAAGCCTTCCCAAATGGCAGAATGTGAGGCGGAGGTTTGATTTAGGGGAACAGACTTAGAGGCTCAGTGGGGAAGCAGAGGAGCAAGCAGGAGAGGCTGAATGTTGGCCAGGAACTATGGGATTTGAGCAGAAAAGAAAGATTAAATAGTTGGAGAGCTGGACAAGTTGGTTGGAAGTGTTGGGATCAGGAAAAGAAACTTGAGCTTGTGATTGAAAATCCATTGCAAAGGGCAGAGAGAAGGCAAGTGGTAACTCTCAAGTTAGGTGGGATACAAATCACTGAGAATGAGGTACCAGCAGTGTGGGCAACAAAGGAGTCCACTTGCAAAAGGCAACTTCATTTAGGCATGACTTTATTTCCTGTTTCTGAGGGCCAGAAGCCCTGCTGCAGACCGGGTTTATGCAGTTGGGATTGTTATAAGTGAACTTTTTCTCAGTTTTATTCAGGTATTAAATAAGAATGGAGACAATGATGCAGTGGGGTGATAGTGATCTGTTTTTATAGTGTGTGTCATATTTTCTGTCTCAGACCATGGGGGTACGCATGATATATTGGGAGAAAAAAAAAGTTAGGGCTTAGAGTCTCACCTCTGCCTCTTCCTGGGTGAGTGATCCTGGAGAAGTCACCAGACTTCTGAGTCTGTACACTCATCTAGAAAATGGAAAAAATAACCCTGCTCACCTCAGAGGTTTATTCTGAGAATCAAATAAGCTGGCATTTATGACAGCATTTTATAAATCTAAAAATGTAAAATAATTACAAGTTCTTCATCTTGTTATATGAGCATTTCATCTAACAACTTTTATCCCATGTAACTCTATGTTTCATAGTCTTAATAAACTACTCCTAGAGTAAAAATAGCCTTGTAGTTGCACATTGGTTTACAAGATAGGAGGTACTCAGTCTGACTGCTCTTTAGAATGGCAGATTTGATAATGCATGTGGCCACATTTTCCACTTATTGGATAAGCATCCTGATGTGGGAGCACTCACATGTACATGAAGCTAAGTAGCTTTCAATGGTCTGAGGGCAAAGACAGCACTCTTATATGACTAGCTGAAAGTTTGCAAGATGACCTAAGTAGTGTGAAATTGGCCGAGGTTTTGGATTTCATTTCCAGATATTTAAGTCTGAATTTTTCATAAACAGCCTTTGGGGATGGGACAAATCAGATCAATTGATCTTTAGAGACCTAAAGAAATTAAATTAGTCTGAGTCAGTTACTGCACTAAACCATCTAGTAATTGAATTGCTCCTTGTAACTGATTGAAAACAGCCCTATCCTTAACAATATAGGGAGCTTTTCTTTATAAGAGATCTGAGAGAAAAACACATCTTTTTATGACATGATGACAGATATTGCACTTTTCTAACCTAATTGAATATGATGTTATAAATATGTGACCTTAATGATTTCAAGTTTCCTGTTTCAGATTTACAGCTTAATGTGTGGGACACCCAAACAAAAATGCCTTTAGGATTGGATCTGTTTGCCTGTACCTCTAAATTCACAATTTTAATCCTTCTACAGCTACACAAGCTTTTGAGATACTCTTAAAGGTGTTTTAGTTTTCTTGCTCTAATTTTACTAGGTTCCATTGAGGTACTTGAATGTCTCACTTTGTGTGTAGCCTTACTCTTCAGGGACATCGTCTTCCTCATTTCTAAAAGAAAACCCACCTCACTGGCAAAAATAGAAAGTGTTTTCATTACTGCTTTGTAATATACCTACTATGGTCAACCAAGAGGCAAACCAAAAGCCCAAAGGGATATCTTTGTATAATCTAATGTCTAGTTTCTCAGATTGGGAAAACAATTATTGGCTGGTTCCATATAATAACAAGCTTTAGACAGTCATTCAGTTGGCATTTTATGTTTCTTTTCTGGGGGGATGTGGTTCACTTTGTCCAGTACACAAAGGCACAGTGTTACTTCTGAGAAAAGAAAAATAACTGGGAGGAGTTATCTATGTTTTATTCAAAATTAAGTTTCTTTTAATAAATTTTTTTCTTTTTACTAAAAGAGTTTGTGTGCATTGCCAAAATATCAGAAAATACGGACAAGTAAGAAAAAGCATAAAAAAGCAGTTAAAACCCATTTCCTTAGAGATGACCCCTGGCAAAACCCCATTATATATTCTTTCAGGTACTTTCTTATGCACGTATGAACATTTACTTCCTTTAAAGTTTATCTTGTCAACCATATTATTTTTAAATATTTCTCCTTAATATAAATAGATATATGTCTGCAGCACACTTTTTATTGGCTTTCTAATTTTCCATTATGTGCTGTAATTTATTTGACTAATCCTATGCATTAGTTATTTAGGTTTCTGATTTTTTGCTGATACAAATAGTGCCAGGAGGAAAATGCACATCTTTACACATCTTCTTAATTATTACCATGAGATAAATATCCACAAATTGAAATGCTGAGTCAAAGGATGTATTTTTTTTTATCATAGTATTATTTTTAATTGTTTAAAAATTTAGAAAAAGAACCCAAATATTCAATAATAGGAGAATGGTTTAATAAAATTCATAGTCATGCAATGGAGGTTTTAGAAATTGTGGTAAAATATACATAACATAAAATTGACCATTTTAACCATTTTAAAGTGTACAATTCAGTGACATTAAGTACATTTATGATGTCACATAACCATCACTGCTATCCGTTTCCAGAATGTTTTCATCATCCCAAACAGAAACTCTGTATCCATTAAAATAACTTCCAATTTACTTTCCCTTCGAGACCCTGGTAATCTGTATCCTACTTTCTGCATCTGTGAATTTATCTAGTCTGGGTACCTCATGTAAGTGGAAAGATGTATAGTCATGAGTCACTTAACAGAAGGGCTGCATTCTGAGAAATGCATTGTTTGGAGATTTTGTCATTGTGAAAACATCATAGAGTGTATTTACACAAACCCAGATGGTACAGCCTACTACACACATAGGCTATTTGGTATGGCCTATTGATCCTAGCCTATAAACCGTACTGTGCTGCATGTTACTGTACTGAATACTGTAAGCAATTGTAATGCAAGGGCAGGTATTTATGTACCTAAACATTAAAAAGGCACAGTAAAAATACAGTGTAAAACATAAAAAATGGTACACCTGTATAAGGCACCTGTATAAGGCACCTGTATAAGCTTAAGGTCTGGAATTTGCTCTGGGTGAGTGGTCAGTGAATATGAAGGCCTAGGACATTACTGTACACTACTGAAGACTTTATAAACACTGTACACTTAGGCTACACTAAATTTATAAAGAATATTTTTCTTTAAGAATAAATTAACCTTAGCTTATTATAACTGTTTTACTTTTTAAACTTTTTATTTTTTTTAACTTTTTGACTCTCCTGTAACATTTAGATTAAAACATACACATTGTACAACTGTACAAAAACATTTTTTCTTTATATCCTTATTCCGTTAAGTTTTTTCAATTTTTTTTTTTTTTTTTTTTTTTTTTTTTTTTTTTTTACTTTTTAAACATTTTTGTTAAAACCTAAGACATAATCACACACATCAGGCCTACCCTGGGTCAGGATAATCAATATCACTGTCTTCCACCTCCACATCTTCTGTCACTGAAGGTCTTCAGGGGCAATAACACACATCTCCTGTAATGATAATGCCTTCTTCTGGAATACCTGCCGAAGGATCTGCCTGAAGCTGTTTCACGGTTAACTTTTTTTTTTTGATAAGTAGAAGGAGTAGACTGTGAAATAATTATAAAAATTATAGCATAGTACATATACAAACCAGTAACATCATTGTTTATTATCATTAATCAAGTATGATGTATTTTATACAAACATGTGAGTAACATGTTGTGCTGCTGCATTATGATGGCTATGATGTCACTAGGTGATAGACATTTTTCAGCTCCGTTCTGATGTTAGGGGACCGCTTTCATATATGTGAAACGTTGTGGGCTGAAACATTGTGATGTGGCACATGACTGTATATGTTTTTAAGGCATTTTATGCATACTGCCAAGTTTCCTTCAGGAAAGGTTGTTCACAGCAGTTACCATTCCTTTACACCTTTGTCCGACATAATCATCGTCTTTTCATCTTTGCCAGTTTCATAGGTGAACATTTGTATTTTCTCCTGGGAATTGGCCTGTTTATGTCCTTAGGTTTTTTTTTTTTTTTTTTTTTTGGATTGTTCACCTTGTTCTCTAAATGAGCTGTAAAAGCTACTTATGTATCAAGAGTATTAGTATTTTATTGTTCATATATGTTGGAATCATTTTACCAGTTTGAAAATTAGCTTTTTATTTATGCTTTTGATACATAGATGGTTTTATCACCAAATC